>NC_000003.12:152455574-153705574 GCF_000001405.40 Homo sapiens
TTGGTAGGTGCCAGCTTTGTTTCTTGATTATCTTAAACCTATGGTGTACCTCACAGCCCCTCAAAATCCACTGCTAAGTTTAACTTATATCTATTGGGCAAGTCCATTTCCCTTTTACTAACACTTGTCAATTAAATGCCATTTTCTGTTTAATTGACATGGACTCACATAAGTGTTTTCTTTACACACAACAGTTTCCTTTAGTCACCTTTGGTGGATTTTGATTGGACTATGAGTTCTGGTGTGTAAAAAAAATCTATTTCATAAAAGTAATATACTGTATATTTTTATAATAGTAAATGAGAAAAAAATACTTTCATTCAAACAGATAACTGTATATATGAAGTAAATACTTGTATTTTGACTTAGATTTTGAATGTCTGACTATGAACACTATATAAAATTCTTGTTTTTGACTTAGCATATTAAGCCTGTTTGTGTCAATTTTCTTGATTTGATGGTAACAAGCTTTTTTCCCCCTTTTTTTTCTCTTTCATCCCTCCTCCCCTTCTCTCCTTGGAATGTTGTCCTGCTTTGCGCTGTGATTGCATGTCACTCGCTGGTGATGATGTCCTGTCACATGGCTTATTGCTGTGATAAATACCATGCCCAATTATCTCTTCCATGTTGCCATGGTTTCCATATTGCTACACTCTTCTGTATGTTCGCTTATATGATTTTCCCTCCGAAAGTTCCCATGGTGCACGGTGCTACGCCAGCCACTGTGTCCGCAGCAACAACATCTGCCACAAGTGTTCCCTTCGCTGCAACAGCCACAGCCAACCAGGTTTGCTAATTTACAGCTTTGTTTCTTAAAAAACAACTCTAATAGGGCTCAATCCAACAGCCCTTACGCACGTGGATTTCCCATTGAGGTCAGTGGGAATCGTGTGTACGTGAGGGCTGTAGAGGGTGCTTTAATAAGCATGGGGTTTCAAAGATACCTCTTGTTGGCCTACACATTCTCTCTATGATGAGCAGCAGAATGCTTTTATGCCATTTATAAGTGCTCCAAAGTCGTCGCAGCTCCATTTCTGAAGCTACTAAAATGATATTTACACAAGCAATTCTCAATTGGTTTCAACCAATCGTGCAGGTATTTTGACCAATCAAAAATAGAGGCCATTTTAAGGTTTTTATTTAAAATATTTGGTATATACAGTTTCTTAGTTCTTGCCTAAATGATTAATAGAAAGTAAAATACTTAAATGTATTACGTATGCCACAAATGACCACTCTTGTAAATAAGTTTGTTATAAATTCATTATAATCTGAATCATTTAATGAGCAGATTCAAAATAAATTGTTTGCATGTAGCATTTCTAAGCTTTTATTCTCAATGCTTTCAGTGAAAGAAAAATCCTAAGCGCTCTTATTTTTATAATTACCCTGCATAAATGTTGGAGATTTATGAAGGAAAAGAAAAGAAATTAAGTATGGCAAATTGACAGTCATTCTGTATTCCATGCAAATTTATTGCAGGATACTTTTAAGTGAAAGGGATTTGTTTCATAAATTTAAATTTTATGATATACAATAATAACTATTTAAAAATAAATGATGATTTAAAATATTTAAAATTTAAAAATTGACATTTATTCACCCAGCATTTTCTGATTCTACTTAAAAATATTTTCTAGAAAATACTGGTTGATTTCAAGTTTCATTTATGTAGATTTGGGCTTCAATAGAGTTGATAGTGTATGAAAAACATAGAGCCAAGCCACATTTCAGATAATCCACAGAGGAAGATTAAAGGTAGCCAAATGAATCTCAAAAGAATGAGTGTCAGATGAAAATGAACATGTTCCCCCTTGGGAAGGGAAGACCAATTAAGACATAGATTTGTTGTTATTACTGTGAGGAGTAGCCACCCTTGTTCTATAATACATCACGTACTGTTGATGAAGAACATTCAGCTATTAGTACAGCCATTAAAAACTTTCAAAATCAGAACACAAAAATGAATTTAACGTTTCAGTCAAGCTTTAAACATTTCTTGGCAAAGAATCATTAATTTTTCAGAAGCTTGTCAAAATAGCCCTGGGTTTACATGAACACGTCAGACTCATTTACAAGAATGCTAGATTGTGCATATGTGGCATGTTAATAAGTAACCTTTGGTAGAACTATTATGATGGATTCAATACAATCCATCTATGGTGCAAATCAATGATAAAGAACTCTCATGCGTCTACCATGTATGACTGTAGAATTGCTGGTGTAAGCAGAACTATAGCAGAGCAAATTTCAACATGCCCTTGGCCACCTGGGTTGTAGGGGACACTTTACTTTTTGCATTGTGCTGTGACCATTTCATGCATAATCTTGGATCTTCATACTATTTGACAACCAAAAGAAAGAAAAGGGAATGGATATATATATACACACATATATTATATCTACATATACATACATATGTATATGCCTACAGTACATTAGCAATGCTGGAAATAGCTGATGCCACAAAATGCAGCCTGCATGCATGCAGAAGTTTATAGCTGGCCCTTCATCTGCATCGATTGGTGTTGAAGGTCCTTGGTATGTTTCGACAGCCCCATCCTTGATGCTTCTACACTGTTGGGTGCAACATCCTGTCCTGCAGCAGCAGGAAAAATGGTATGAGAAGCTTCATTATGCTTGGAGCACATTTTCGTGCCATTTGCCAATGCTGTAAAATTGTGTAAAAATGTCAGCTGAGAACTGGAAATAAAACAGGGACATATTAATATACACGCCAGACTGTGGATTGTAGTATGTTGAATTAGCCTAAGATGTCTAAATTGAAAGAACAGCAACAAAATGCCTTTGTGTATCTGATTTCATTATTCTCCCAACAACATTGCTGAAATGGGATTAGTATCATTTTATAGAAGAGACTTAAGCATAGAGTAATGAGTTGCTTTGCTCAGGGTCACACAGCCAGTAAATGGATCTCTGGGGCTAGCACCCGTGTCATCAGTCCTCTGACAGTCTCAATCCATTGTGCTGCCTCTCTCAGGTTAGCAGGCATTAATTTCAGGTTGAAGAATCAAGCTACAAATCCGAAGTTCTTAACTTTGGGAACTATTGAAATAAGTCAACTCTATATTGGTTTCTTATTGTATTTTCTCTCAAGTTCTCTAATTCTCTTGCCCATTTAAAATACAATAAAAGGTGTCATCAGGATTCAGAAATATGTTCTGAAGTAAACTTAGGCTCTTACCTAGTTCTTTTGAATTACTGCTTTATAATTCTTACCTGGTATTTTTAATTTGGAAAAAAAAAGTTAGACACCCTAATTTGAACGAAAATGTTAGAAATTTGGTTGCACAAAAATAGGCAAGACATTTCCTTATCTGATTTCTGGATGATTACTAAGTAACTGAAACCACGGGGGTGCGTGTGTGTGTGTGTGTGTAGGCCAACAAAAAGGGCTTCTTTCAATTACTGCTCTGCATGAATTTTTGATAGTTTTACTTATTTCCTAAAAGCTGGTAACATTTATAGAATAGTATTTAACATGAAGATTTTAAAGTTAGTTGCTACTTTGGCATTTAAGTTTACATTAACTTACTGTTATGTTGACCAGATAAGGACTATCACCTCACAGCTGAATTTCACTTTTCTTTAAAAATTTAATATTAAAATGTTTTCATCTCTTAATTGTTGGCTTGCTTGCATGGATCATTCATTAAATAATTTTTTATTTGCTAGATACCCATAATATCTGCCGAACATCTGACTAGCCACAAGTATGTTACCCAGATGTAGAATTTTCATCACTAAACAGTAAGTTCATTATGTAATATATAGTTGCATATTTGTGGTGGTTTTTTTTAAGATAGCAATTGTATAGTGCACTTAAAATTTTGCGAAATCTCTGAGAAAATATATACAGATCACATTTTTATCTTAAATGGGTGTGAGGAATTTTATCAGACATCTTTATAACAAATATGTTAATATCACTTAAATATACAAAGTACTAAGAGAAAATAAATTTTTTAAATTTCTGATTAGAGATAAACACAGCATAAAGAAAATGTATGACCAAAAAGTAATTAGAAGGTGTAGATCAAGGGTTGGCAAACTTTCTTATAGGGTCAGACAGTAAGTATTTTTGCTGTGTGGGCCGTATCGTTTCTGTTGCAGCTACTCTCCTCTGCCATTGTATCATGAAAGCAGCCAGAGACCACATGTAAACAAATGGGTGTAGCTGTGTTCCAGTAAAACTTTATTTACAAAAACAGGCAGTACATCACATCTGGCCCACAGGCAGTAGTTTGGCTGACCTCTGGTGTAGATTATCACTTTTTTTTTTTTTTTTCATTCTTTGGCTAAACCTTAAATGGGACCATGTACTTACTTCATCCCATGCACCACCATACACAGGGGCATTAGAATGTAATGAGTTTGGCTAAGCGTGGTGGCTCACACTTGTAATCCAAGCACTTTGGGAGGCCAAGGTGGGTGGATTGCTTGAGCCCAGGAATTTAAGACTAGCCTAGGCAACATGGTCAAACCCTGTCCTACAAAAAATACAAAAAAATCAGCTGGGTATGGTAGCACACTCTGTAGTTCCAGCTACTAGGGAGGCTAAAGTGGGAGGATCACTTGAGCCCAGGAGGTTGAGGCTGCAATGAGCTGTGATTGCGCCACTGCACTCCAGCCTGGGCAACAGAGCAAGACCTGTCTCAAAAAAAAAAAAATGTAGTGAGTCTGACTTTAAATAAATATATACACATAATCAAATATATGTGTACACACAAATCTACATATTCAAATGAATCTTAGTTACTTTAAAGTAGTTACCTCAGAGGATCATATAATTCTGAAAATGTTGCCATTGCCACATTTTAAAAATGGTTTGAAAGTCTTGTATTTTGTCTTTAAAAACACTGTGGTGGTGGGGTCGGGGGAGGGGGGAGGGATAGCATTGGGAGATATACCTAATGCTAGATGACACGTTAGTGGGTGCAGCGCACCAGCATGGCACATGTATACATATGTAACTAACCTGCACAATGTGCACATGTACCCTAAAACTTAAAGTATAAAAAAAAAAACAAAAAAAAAAACCACTGTCTTAAATACTTAAAAAGGTGTCCATTTTTCATCCATAGGAATATGTTTTGTCCAGTATGCATGCATTCAAGTTATAACATGTGCTCAGATGCTTGTTATTTATTTTTATATTTAGAAAGAGACATTACATTTAAAACTGAAATTGGTTAAGATGGGTGACCATTCTTTGTTGCTTCCTTTATTTATTTATTAACATATTTACAAATGAGTTTTTGGTGCTACTTTGTGTTAGTTACCATGGCAAGGAGATAAAGGTAAATAGATAATAAGATAAAGATGTAAGGAATTTCAGGATAATATAGTAAAATAAGAGAGGTTTGAAGAAATTTCTCTTAGAGCAAAGATGAAGGAGCAGCTGTTCCCAACAGGATCCGTAAACAAATGAATGTGGACAATGAAGGTGTTGTTCTAAAGAGAATGGAGGTGTAAAGGCCTTGTAAAAGAAGGACAGTGTGCCAAGTCAGGAAACGATGATGGCTGAGAACCAACTCAGAAACCCTTGTGATGTTAATCTGTAGCAAAGCTGGACAAAGTCAAAGCCCATGCAGGAGAACAGGCAGAATTCAATAGCCATTTAAGAAAGAAATGAGAGGCTCAACTGGAGAAGTACTGCCAAAGATATGCTGCAATCGTGAATTATTAAAATTGATTTTTGTCTATTTCATAAGTTTTCTCAAAGCAGTTCTGATAAAAAGGTTCAGATTCTGAACAATAGCCACATTTGTAGAAGAAGAGGCATTACTTTGCAGTGTTGTAGGTTTAGAAGAAGAGGTTTTTTTGACATGCCAGAAAAATCTGTTTCAAGCTCTTATAGTCAATTAGGTGTGTTTGGTATGTATATATTTAACTAAATTCTGTTTCTTAGCAATAATCCAGGTTGAAAAAAATTTCTAAAAATAATTAGCAAACCAGTAGTTTTGTCTGTATTGAAGCTAAGCTTTTAATGTTCTGTTCATTTAACAAATGATTGCTCATCTTCATGAGGAGTTGCAACATTTAAACTGGTTTTTGAGTCACTAGATTATGATTTCTTTCATTTTCAAGGTTGTATTGTGAAGCATACTTTTAATATATGTAAATATTCGCTGCTGAGAACAAATTTCATGTAAAAACTGGAACTGTTAATCCACAAGTACATTGTAATGTCTATTACAGCTTAATTCATGAGTAATAATTCTGTAATTCAAAAAGAATGATTTTTATTTTCTTAGTTTTAGGTGAAAAAAGTTCAACAAACTGAATTACCCAAAGCCATCACTTAAAGTATCATTCTTTTTTTTTCAAACATGCATTATGCTAATCAAGCACCCAAAAAGAATAAATCTTGTTTAATAGAACATATTACATGAATTTTAATTTTGTAGACCAGACCTTTACTCTTGAAACCTTATTAAACTTCAGAAAAGAAGTTTAAATTTTGCCCTACAACAATTGTGCTAAAAAAGAGCTCTGTATATTAGGCCCCCTGATTCTGCAAATGTATTTTATACTTTTAGTTTAGGATTGGTAAATTTTGGAGCACATTCTACAGTTTTATTAAATTGTACGTGTTATTTCATTCGTGTAGAGATGATAGACAAATTTTGATCTGTCTACTCTTGTAAAATGGTTTTTGTTTTTATATGAAGATATAATGTAAATATACTGGTTAATCAAAAAGAAAATTTTCATATTAAATGTATATTAGAAACTGCTTTTAGATATTACCTGTTCTAACAAAGCTTATCTCTTTTTCCCTTGTAGATCATGCTAAAGAGGAAAGGACAGTGTGCTTGGTTAGAGTAAAGGACGAGGTCATTAGCCATATTGTATATATCGTCAAGCAACACACACAAAAGTTCCTCAGCCACAAGACATCCACATATTGCATGTTAACCAGAAGAAAAGACAACATTTTCCGGAAATCCACTGCACACTGTTGCCTATACACTTTGTACATTTAATTGATATTTGTGCTGAGGTGATATTCCTGTCTAAAAGAACAACATTGTCTTTCTTTTCTAGCACAGAGTTATGCATTCAAAGATGCATACCTAGTTAGTTTCCTATATATTCATGCCATCTTGAAAAGACAGACTATGGTGTAACCATGATTCTATTATGTATTGGTACGTCTGTAGACCAAGATATAATTTTTTAAAAATAAGTTTATTTCTTTCAAGGTTTACAAATAACAAAGGTGCACCTTGTATTTAAAATTGCCATTATAGATGAGAGCGTGCATGCACAGTCATTTTTGTTTAAGAGTAATATTTTTAATGTAATAGATTGTAAGACGTGGTGAGGGAGGGATCTGACAGAGATGAATGTGCCAAGCAAAACCACAACTGTGTATATTTTAAAGCACATCATGGCTTTAAGTACCATGTTGTTAAGGATTCTCATGAAGTGCCATAGACTGTACATCAAATTAGAGTATTATTTCTTCAGTGTTATTGTTTTCAGAGCCACATTTTGTTGCATATTTGCTAGTACTAATCAGTCAAAGGGCACCATTCTTTTTTTTTTTTTTTGAAACCAAAGCTGTCTCAGAAATGGCCAATTTAACTTTACAGTAACAATAGACAGCACAACACAAACTCTCTCAATACAGATAAACTCACACATACTGGAGATATATATATAATAGATATATATAAAATTATTTTAATGCATTGTAGTGTAATATTTATGCATACTATACTGTATAACATGTTATTCAAAAGGGATTGCCATTTCTGAGACACAGTAACAAAAAAATGAGGAAATTATTTTGCTTCTATTTATAGCCTCTGTCAAAAGTCAAAAGACTATAAATGCTTTGCAAAAATGGTTTCACGTTTGCTTAAATGCTTCATCACAGTCACATTCAAAATAGTGACTCTAAACAAAGAAGAAAGCAGCACTGTCATCAGATGCATGATAAACCAAAATATGAAAATGGGAAATGTTTAATTAACCTAGTAATTGGGTGGGTTAAGTACATGGGTGAATTTTATATGTGATTTTTGTTTTGTTTTGTTTTGTTCAGATTAACTGCTTATAGCCTTAGAAAGCCTTTTACAAAATTAAAAAAAAAATAGATGTGCATTCAGTTTTTAAGAATGGAATCATCCAAAGGAATTCCTTTTTTTGAGGTTTGGATGTTGCAGCTAGTAAAGGATATTTTTGCTCTGTTCAGCAGTTCTAAAAATTGCTGAAGTAGGGGCCAGGTCACTGGTAGTTATAGTATGGAATGGGAGAAGTGAAAGTTCAGTTATAGAACTTTCCATACTTCCAAGTTTACTGCAAGTTTTTATGCTTGAGAGAGATGCTTTCTAATATAAGACTGATGTGTTGATTTTACTGATTGTACTGTACATCTATTAAAGCCTTAGATTATTACATTACGGGTTGGAACCCATACCAATGTAATTTCAATCGTGTTAAGAAAGTAATGGTGACTTCACATGTTATTGTAGTTAGTTACATTATAGAATATTACTTATTTTTCTTGTTAAAATGTAGTTTTTCATTTCCTACATTTATTAGATTTTCATTTTCTATTAACAATTGAATACCATTTCAGTTTATAGACTTGTTTTATTAGATTTTACCAATGAATTTTTCAAAATACAAAAAAAAGTAGTTTTTCCTTCATAACATACTCAGTTTTGAATTACATGTAGTGTCACATGAATATTCGTATTGTTAACTAAATGATTTATATTTTACTGATTTAATATTACAGTGTAAGAATGTCAGTCATTGTTAGTTCTTGTCTAGTTTTCATTAAAAGAACAAAGATCTTTTATATGGATATCTTATAAATATATAATCATTGCTAAGTAAGAAGTTAAGTTGTTGCTATCGCAACAATCCTGGCAGACAATTGAGTAATATTTTGATGATTTATTTTGTTTGTAATTAGTTATTATAAGAAGATCTAGATCCTAGATATTAGAATAAAATTTATTTTCTACTGTATCCATTTCAAATGTTAAAATATTGTTTAATATTTTTGAAATCCCTGAGTATCAGGCCTTGTTATAAATAAGCTGCATAATCAATAAATAGAACAAGGGACTTTTTGTTGATAATCCAAATACTCAAAGTTTACGTAATGAAAATTATAGCGTGTGTGCAAACTCTTGAGGGTTGATTATGCTGCAATTTAGCATGTTGGAACGTCTAGGGAGAAGGTTGACTTTTTGCACTTCTGTATATAGTCAAAAGAGAGAAACCTGTATAATAGTAAGATCTTATTTTGAATAAAAACGTCTATAATTACAAGGAGTTTTGTTAAGGCTAATACAATGACAGACTGAGCAAAATTGCTTGCAAAAGTGGCACAGAGTTAGCACTCCATACCCCTTCAAACATGTTGCTTTGCTTTCTTGTGGACAGCTTGTAGTTTGCCAGGATTTTTTCAGCTGGAAAGATACGCCATCCTTTCAAACCCTCATGACTGACAAAAACTCCATGGGGCCAAATCTGCCTGAAGATCATTACCAAAAATAGCAGGTACTTCTACCATTAAGGTGAAATCATGGATCAGATATTCCTTACATTTTTCAAAACTACTGCATGTTTAAAACTTCAACAAAAAAAGAGAGAAAGAACTATACTAAGAACATATATTATTCAGATCAGTTTCTGCCAATTTCAGTGGTTTATTGTTCACAAAAAAATCTTCAAAACAAGTATTGACTTTCACAAAATTTAAATCATAAACAGGCAAACCAAACAGCACACTGTAGCTATAGTTGTTATGTGATTGTTTTTTAATTGCTGTAGGATCCTGTTCTTTCAGCAGGTGAAAAATAAAACGCAGTTCAAATTTCATGGTTTTAATTTTCAACTCAGAAGCACTCAAAAATGCAAAATGTGATAATGGGCACTTGTTTAAAAGAATTAGTGTATCCAGCCTTCACTCCAGCTGGTTAAAAATGTTGCACTTATCAGCAACCCTACCACTTTCATCTGCTGAAAGGACAAATGTGCTTGGTTTTACTATTATGTAATCACAACTTACTTTCTGCTTGTAGTTGCTTAAAATTATGTATTTTGTCTTGGGCTGCAATTTGTTTTATGCTTATTTTATTATTACTGCAGTAGTTGACTTTGCTGTATGGAAAAATAAAGTGAAATTGCCCTAATAAAACTTCTCTTTCTTAAGTATATTCGTGTATCTGAGATTGAATACTAAATTATTTTTGCGTGTTTCATGTATTCATGCATATGTATCTATCTTTACAAACATATTGATGTATAAATTTGTTACCTGGTTTTAACTGATTGCAACTGCGAGGAAGGCATTTGTTGTCTTTCTCACTAATTATCCTTTGACACTGAGAGGGAGAATCTAAATCAGCATATATTGCCCTCCTGTGCCCAATGTTTTCTGAAATTCTTGCCTTCCCCTGTCTGACACTTTAAGCGCTGATTGAAATAGTTTTAAGTGTCAGGGCAAAAAACGGTAAGAAAAAAATTATTATACATTATAGATCACTATCTATCTTTTATTAAAGAAATCTTATTTGCCTGACTGCTGCGTCAGCTGATTAGGACTGGAAATCAGGCAATCCAAGAGAGGTGATGGCACTGTATTCAGAGGGATGAAAGAAATTATGCATATGATCTATGAGGCAGGCCATGATATTACTCCTGAGGGGTGTGTGTGTGTGTGTGTGTGTGAATGTCTTAAACGGTGGGTTAAAAACTTTGTTGAAGTGGGGCCTGGCATCACATATAAGCTTTGCAGTTTCTACAGATAGCCAGTGAATGCCAAAGTTTCAACATGAAGAACGTGCACATTGTATCATTTAGTTCTACTTTATGCTGACTGCCACTTGGTATTTGGTCAAGAGTTACAAATGCTCATTTGTAGGTTGATGCCTTTTTTTCTAAAATTTATTGTGATAAAAATAGGTGCATTATTCATAATCAATACAGTTCTGTTACTGGTTGAGTTCTAAAGGACAATTCTGTTATTTTCAGTAGGTCCAACTGTTCTGGGTGCCACTTGTCAAAAAGAATGGCTGCCCTGAAGATGATTGTCTAAAGCAGGAGTTCACAGCCTTTTTTGAGTAATATCAAGACATCTGGCTCTTTCCAGTTAGTGATATTTTGGAAATCTTTTCATTGAAAAAATGCATAACTAAAAGTCCTTGTAACTTTTGCAATACTTTAAATGAAACTGTATTTTGTTAATCACAACAGCATATACATGCATCTGAAAAATTATTTTCAGAAGAGTTATTATTACAACGCCCACTAGGAGTCCTCAGCTCACAGAATGGGACTCTGTTAGAAGTCATTCGTTTTTCATTTGGAGAACAAAATCGTTTGCTAGAGCTATTACTTCATCACATACCCTTGGTACTCATGGAATTTAAACTTTGAAATGATACTAAAGGTCAGTGATGTAGCAATCTATTATTTCACTGAGACATACTTTTGAATGCCTGTATGAATGCTTTCATACAGGAAGTAGTCACTAAAGCACTGGGGAGACATTGCAGTGGTCGAGGAACGGCTCAAAAATCAGAACACCTGGAATCACGTCGCAGCTCCCTGACCTTGGCAAATTACTTCTCTGACTCAGTTTCCACTTTAATAAAATAAGTACGAGAATATAAATACTGCACCATTATTGAGTGGTTTCCAGACTTTGCTGCAAACTGGAATTGTCGGGGGGATTTTTTTTTTTTTTTTTTTTTTTTTTTTTTTTGAGACAGTCTTGCTCTGTGGCCCCGGCTGGAGTGCAGTGGCGCGATCTTGGCTCACTCCAAGTTCCGCCTCCCAGGTTCACGCCATTCTCCCGCCTCAGCCTCCCGAGTAGCTGGGACTACAGGCGCCTGCCACCACGCCCGGCTAATTTTTTGTATTTTTAGTAGAGATGGGGTTTCGATACTTTTAAAATAAAACTCAATAAAAGTATCGATACTTTTAAAAGATCCCCCAGATAACTGGTTCCTACCTGCACACATTCTGGTTTAATGACTATGGAGGAAAGAACTGGGTTAATATATAAAAAGAGCTTAGAAAGTTGCTTGGTTTATAGCAAGTAATTGATACATGTTAACTATGATTGCTATTTTATCAATTTTAAAAATCACTCCACTTATTCTTCAACTTTTTATCCTGATTCTTCGATTACACATCCCTTTCAAAGTAGCCAGGTACACACACTCTCTCATTTATATTATCTGTAATTTTATCTTTCATGTTTAGCAATGAAACTATCTTGTAATTTACCACCACCACAAGACCTGCTGTTACTTCATTTATACTATTTCAAAAACAGAATCAAGTACATTTTTATTAACTCTGAAAATTTTGTATAATTCTTATTTCAATTTGATATGGTCAATCTGAAAATTTTGTATAGTTCTTACTTCAATTTGATATGGTCACAGACAACACCTAGCCCATTTAGACCCAATATGAAAGTAACCATTTAGGCATATCTAAGCTTAACTCTTTGAATCCCCCTTCAAATATTTTAACTGTGTTCAAGATCAAGTAATAGAATGAATGCATTATGAAAATGATACCATTAAATAATGTATTTTAAATATTTTTATTGTATTTATCAAAATAATACTTCTAGTAACATTTCAGTGACACTAGTATATTTCCATAACATGTTTCATCATAGGTTTATTTTGAATGCTTAAATTAGTACTATTTCAACTTAAACATATTAGAATCTGGTTATATACTGTACAGGATGCTAGGCTCTGAGATACAAGGATCAATGGCAAGAACCTTACAGTGTAATGACTAAAACAAAATATGTAGAGTATGTAATTCCATCTGTATAGACACTCATCTAGTATTTCCCTCCTCCCTCACTAGTCCGAATCTCTTTATACCACAAAATAATTTAGAATAAAATTAAATAAAAACTACATTCTCTTCTGGAATACAATGATACAACTCCCCTACTTACTGTCTAACTCACTTTATCCTTAAAAATTAACTTGAATATTGAAAAAATATTTTTGAATAAACATGTTCATTGCAGCATTTTTATAATGGCAAAATCCTGGTCTCAATACTTAGGAAATGTTTCAATACTTAGGAAATAAGTAAAGTATCATACAGTGTTATATATTTATAAAGCATTTTTTCAAAAATGAGTTAATCACATAGGAAAGTAATTTTAGTGGTAAGATAATAGGAGACTTTAATTGGCTTTTCAGAGATTTCTAGTTTAGTAAATATTCATTGTTTTTTAAATTTATTTTTTTTAAAATCTGAATTATTTACTTTTTTCTTAGACCATTTCCCTATTTAGTTGAGTCAGTTTGTCATCTTCAGAATCTTAAAATGTCCTACAAAACTTCCACTTTACCTATCACTGTTAGTTGAGAAATTATAGAAGACATCTTGCCAAATCAGTAAAATATGTATGCTGTTTTAGTAAAATATGTGTTGTTTTAGTGAAAAATAGCAAAAGGATATGAATAAAACTCCTTTTAACTTTTTTTTAAATTGTTCTTTTTTTTTTGAGACAGGGTCTTCCTCTATTGTCCAGGCTGGAGTGCGGTGGCATAAACATGGCTAATTGCAGTCTCAACCTTCTGGGCTTAAGCAATCCTCCCAGCTCAGCCTCCCAAGTAGCTGGGACTACAGGCATGCACCACTACACCCAGAGAATTTTTTAATTTTTTCGTAGAGATGGGGGTCTTCCTATTTCCCCAGGTGGGTCTTGAACTCCTGGGCTCAAGCAATCCACCTTGGCCTCTCAATTTAATTTAATTTAATCAATTAAATCATCTTTTTGTTTTAGGAGTATCTCATCACCTTCCCGACTCTTTAAAAGATGCTGAGTCACCAGAATTGGTTAATATCTACTATAATTTTATCAAAAAAAGATAACTGTGTGCAAAATACCTTAGGAGGATTTGCTAACAGGGTAACTATAATAATGTGGGAGATGAGAGCAAGGTGTGCTCGAAGAAGGTGACATTTGAGCAGAGACCTTGTTAAAGTAAAGGTGGCATAACATTACCTCGGTGGCATACACTCTCCAGCCATCTTTGCTATTGGATACTGACTCATCCTTCTTGCCAAATTAAATGCCACTGCATCAAGAAGTATTATTTTCCCTCCTGACACTATGAAGCATTATTATTTGCTTTATTTTTTTCATGATGTATTGCTTTTAACTGTATTTCAGTACTCATTTTGTTCTGATATTTCAAATTTGTTTACAGTTTGGAATTGTTCCAAAGACAGGTACATTCTTGCTAGGAGGAACCAGTCTTACTCATGTCTGTGAAGCACCTAGAGCCTAGCATCTAGTTTTTATTTAGTAGGAACTGGCTGATTGTATACATTAATATTTATTAAATCTGTCTTCTAGCCTTCATGGAAAATGCAGATGAGGAACATTCTATGACACTCTACTTTTCAGATTGTAAAAACAATGCAGACACAGTATCTAGAAAGGTTGATTGACTCAATACCTTCCATTCTTTGAAAATTAGTCTGGAAAAGTGAACTGGTATTTTCCAGCCCACACTGACCCTAAACCCCAAAAGCCCAAACTATACCACCAAATACAGTATTTTAGAATGTGTTTAATTAAAACTTCCCTCGCTTGAATACAAAGATGTGATTACCTAACTCGCTGTCTATGGAGAGAAGGATGTGTGGGAAGGAATATTCTGGTATGAGTGGTATACGTTATGAACATTTTCTTATAAAGCATCTGTGGTGAAAGAGAACATACCTTTACGTTCTCTCTGCATCCCTTAAAATATTTCTAATTCTGAACTTATGAATCTCTTGCCTTGCATTCAAATGCCTTTCCTTACCATCTGCTGAACTGTTTTTATTTATGTTTTGGTTTCTTTCCCTTGGCACCTCACACCTGTGCTAATTAGCAACAACAGCAGAGCATAGGAGGAACATAGGCCATCCACCTGTGAACAAATTGTAAGAACTGCAGTGGACATTGATTCGTACAGAATATATACTTACAGTTGAATGCTTTTTAACATATCTATCTTGCTTTAATTAGTTGTGTGTATTTTTCTTTCATCCTGTTCCCTTTATATTATTTCATAGGGCTCGAAGCTCTGATCTCTATTTAGGCTATCTCATCTCCCAGGAGAACCTTCATTATGAAAATGTGTATCGAACAGTTACTTCATTTGATAAGGGGGTCTGAGAAACCACCATATTCTCCTACAATTTCCCACTTGTTCACAGCTAATTAACAATCGCTGAGTTAGACATGAATTTAAAAATTCATAGTTAATGAGATTTAAAAACTTTAAGGAGACTTTATTGGAAAGTGACTTAAATCCATATTAGTTTATTTCCTTCTTCCCTCCTTTCATCCCTTTTCCACCCTCTCTTCATTCTTTTGTTTTTTTCTGTTCTCCTCATAGGAATTTACAGAATGCTAATCTGCTAAGCACTGTGGTAGACAGATTAATCCACAAAAGTCTGTGCTCAAAGAATCCAGTGAAGAGTGGGCAAGATATACGTGTCAACAACTAGTTAAAATACAAACTGATAACTGATATGCTAAAAGACTGCCTAGTGTTATGGGAAAAGAGAAAGGCCACTGATTCCTAAGGAGAAATGGAAGAGAAGGAGCCCAGAAGATAGGTCTGTGTTGGAACACAAATTTCCCCAAATTCACAGTTTTTCCCCTGGTTTTCAGTGTCATGCAACTTTCTAAAGGCATTATCATGTTCATGAGGATAAGGAGAATATTACTATATGCCTTCTATAATTGCACAGTAACCAGACCTCAAGTTGGTTAAGACAAAATGTGACAATCACCCGCATTTTGGTCCTACAAACTCTAATGATACTGTGTCTTTAACTTGAATTGATTGGATGTGTTGGTATAATGTGGATATCTTTTGAAATTTGAAATTCTTTCATTTGTTATTATCAAGTTCTTACCCACCACATGCATATGTATATGAAGGAAATATTTTATATAAGAAAAATTATTGAAATAGTTGCCTCATTGCATTTTTTTCAAGACTCCAAAAGATAAAATCAATGTATTAGTTTATTTATTAGTCTTGTTTCAAAAACAAATAGATAAGGATGGACAAAGAAACTAGTTCTCCACAAAATTCAGAAATTTAGAACTCAATTTAGTCAGGTGTTTTTTTTTTTTTTTTTTTTTTGACAGAGTCTCGCTCTGTTGCCCAGGCTGGAGTGCAGTGGTGCTATCTAGGCTCATTGCAACCTCCACCTCCCGGACTACAGTGATTCTTCTGCCTCAGCCTGCTGGATAGCTGGGACTATAGGCACGTGCCACCACACCCGGCTAATTTTTGTATTTTTAGTAGAGACGGGATTTCACCATGTTGGCCAGACTGGTCTTGAACTCCTTACCTCAGGTGATCCACCCACCTCGGCCTCCCAAAGTGCTGGGATTACAGGTTTGAGCCACCACGCTAGTTATTAGTATTACCATTTTAAAAGTTTTCCTCCAGATTTGCTATCAGTATACAACAGACTGATTCTAATTTATGTTGTTTTCCTTCTCTTGCTCGCCCTCTGGTGGAGCTTCCTGTAACCCTAAAATGACGAAAACTGGGCAGTCACCGTTTTACTCGCGTCATCTCCCAAAATACAAATAACTTGCTCTCTAATGGTTCAAAACACTTGAACAAACTAATCGATTATTTTTTATTTTAAGAGTTTCTAAAAATAGCAAATTCTTAAATTACTAGAGCCCAACACTTTGGATTTTACAAAAAAATCTACTGATTACTTTAAGCTAAGTATGTGCTAGCACTAGACATACGCAGATGAAACGAGTAAGGTACTGTCGCTGCTCTGGTGGAGGCTGTGTTTCCCTTGGGGAGAAAGTCACAAGGCAGTAACATGTAAGACCTAGGAGTATTGAGGGGGTAGGGTGTTTGGTGGGGTCCAGCAGTAAATCCAGCTTGAGGTGATGTGAGAAGTTCTCCTGGAGGGGGTGCCAACAAGATGAGCAGCTGTATTTAGGAAAAGAGGAAGGAAGATTATCCCAGGCAGAGGAGGCCACCTTACTAAGGCACAGAGGAAACAAATACAAGACCTGAGTGGAAGGCATCAACAAAGTTGATACCATTATCACATAAAATGAGAGGCTGAGAGGGCCAGATGAAGACACTGATGCGATAGACTGGTATGGGATTATGGAGATCTGATGGGCCTCAATAGCGAGTTTACACTTTCAGGGGGCAGCTATGGACAGATGGATTATTCTGGTTGCTGCTGACAGAGGATTTGTGAAGGTAAAATTGCACGCAAGGAAACCAGCTGTTGGATAAAAGACAACATGGTGGCAAATTGGAATAATAAGTACAGGGACTGTATTACTTAGGGTCCTCTGGGAAATAGATGCCAAGATAGATCAAAAATGCAAGAGACTTAGTGGGGAAGGAGCCACAGAAATTAAAAGGAGATGTCAAACCGTCCTATAGACCTGACAACTGTGAAGGAAAGGGCACTAGGGTAGAAACATTTTCAAACTGAAGCACAATTCCAGGAAAGTTTCAGCCGGGTCAACAGTCTCCAAGCCAAAACAGCTCATTAAAGGAATCTTGATTTTTCTGTCATAGGTCTGCATTAATAGGAGTAGGTATTTGCAACACAACAACAAAGGGCAAATAAACCGAATTTATGAAGAATTTCTGGAAATATGTTTTTGAAAAGACTGACACCCCATTAGGAAAAAGGGCAAGGGGCTTATACAGGTACTTTATAAAAGAGGATATTCAACACAAGTTAAAAACCAAATGAAATGCCTCTACTCACTCCATCCCAATTGCCAAGATGAGAAAGTATCCATATCAGGTGTTGGTGAAGATGTGAAGTAAATGAAACACCATGTACTTCTGGGTAGAGATCAAATTGGTAAAACCACGTTATTAAAATATATTGGTGTTACTGAAGTTGAAGACCTATAACCTATGAGCTAGCAAATTCATTCTTAGATTTATATCCAACAGAAATGCCTGTATATGCACCAAAAGACTTGGACAAAAATGCTTATATTAGAATTAGAAACAGCTCCACATCAGAAACAACCCAAAAGTTCATCAAGAACACTTTGGTTCAAAAAATGGTTATATGTTCATAAAATTGAATAATACTAATCAAGGAAGAGGTATAAATCACAGCAAAAGGCAAAACTAAACCATAGTATTTAAAAATGTATACTCAGGGGTTAAACTGTAAAAGGAACCAAGATGTGAAATGTAATACAAAAGGGGCAATGAGGATTTTCTGAAACATGTTGGCAGTGTTCTATTTCTTTATCTGAGTGGTGGTTACATGAGTGCCCATCTTTCCATAATACATTAAACTGCACATTTGTATATGATATACTTTTTGTATTTCCTTGCTATGTTTTATAATGCAAAGATTTTTTAAAGGGACAAAATAAATATTTTCCCAAAAGGATAACTTATAAGATAAATTCAGAAGAAAATATTAATATTTCCTAACATGCAAGGCTTATGCTAGGAAACTAGGAGGTAATTTTTACAGATACCCATGGAAAATATACAGATTTTTTTTTCTGAAAAAATGAAACAAAATAATTTTTAAGTTGTAGAATTATTTTTCTTTTACTGAAAAGTTTCAGTAAATGAAAGATTAGTGTAGCAAGGAATATTTTGCATTAGATTATACTTAAAATTTATATGTAGCCAAGGGTAGGAAAGTGTATTCTTCTTCAATTTCACTATTCCTCAAATACCTAATTCATATCACAAGTGAGACAGCAGGAAGAAAACTTAGAAGAATGGGCAGAATAATACAAACCACAGCAACAAATCATTTGTCAAAACTGTGTTCACATATCAATGAAAAGTGAGGCCTCCAACTAATTTAATTTTTTCTCTAATCCAGAGAACAATAACCATGCTACTTACGAAACATGGGATGAAATTAAATTCTTCATATTCAGAGATATGTATAATGTTTTGCTTTTAAAAATATCAAATACGCTTATTTGGACCATGCTAAGGCTTATGTATATAACAATTAGTAATTTAGAGTAAAAATCCTATGGCCATGTTTATCCCTAAAAATTTGTTTGCCAAGATTATCATCTCAATAAAACAAATGTTTCTTTGCACTTTATTTCTACTTAACCAACTGCAGGAACTGTGAGCAATGTGCATTTCCAGCAGATGTCAGTGTTGGCGTATGATGTAATCTAGAAATTCCTCCAAACCTGAGGCCTTACCCTGAAGATGACCAGAGTACAGTGCAGATTCTTGTGAAATGTGAAAAGGCATTCTGGAGAATTCTGTTCTCTTGGGCAATATTTTCTTAAGAAATATATTGTTATAGGTTAGGAAATAGACATGGAGGTCTTCAGCAGTATTCTCCCATCTCTGAGATTGCATTTCTTCTGGTTATACATTAATTACCTGCATTTATTCTTCCTCTTGCTCCAAGAAGTATATTCACTACCTATTCCTGTCTCTGCATTTCTTCCCAGAATAAAGTGGTTGTTTTTTTTTTTTTGCCTTGAAGAATTTCAATGAGTTTATACAAGAAAAACATATTTAGCATTTACTGGGTGTCAAAGAAATAGAATAGTCTAGCTGCCCTAAAGAAATTCTTATAATGATAGAGTTGAGTTCTGTCACAAGGTACTAAGAATACACAGAAGAAATATATGTAAAGCACTTAGTGCAGTGTGTGGCACATAGTAAGTCCTCAAAATGTTAGCTATTATTAATAGCTATTTTATCTCATTAGGAATAATGAAGAAACATATTTTAAAAGTTAGCATTGAGTAGAGGTACTCAGATTTTAATTGGGGAAATAAGTGAATTGATTACTTTTTTTTCTACCAGTAGCTCACTAATGTTTGATATTTGTATGAAAACTGCTCTATCGCCTAGGAAAGAGAACATGTCAAAACAGCCATTTCAAACAGTTGCCCCTTCTGTGTTTCATGCTATTTGGTTTGTATTATGCTCACATATTATCAATGAAGGACCAACTCAGGTTCAAGAGCATATAAAGAGAAAGACAGGCTTAAAGGGCAAAATTTGAGAAAAATCTTCAACCCAGTAACAGTTGGGCTAATTTTTTATCTTGTTCCTGTGCACTTTTTTTTGGTTTTTCTTTTTCTTTTCTTAGATGGAGTCTCGCTCTGTCTCCCAGGCTGGAGTGCAATCTCAGCTCACTGCAACCTCTGCCTCCCGGGTTCTAGTGATTCTCCTGCCTCAGCCTCCCAAGTAGCTGGGATTACAGTCGCCCACCACCATGTCCAGGTAATTTTTGTATTTTTAGTAGAGACAGGATTTCACCATGTTGGTTACGCTGGTCTCTAACTTCAGACCTAAGGTGATCCACCCGCCTCAGCCTCCCAAAGTGCTGGAATTACAGGCATGAACCACTGAGCCTGGGTTGGTTTTTTTTTTTTCTTTTTAGCCAATTGCAAGAACTGTGGGCAATATGCATTTACAATACTGGGCATGTTCCCAACAATAGCGCTCAAGCAAAGAAAATAAGAGAGGACTTTGTCAATATGAGCCTAGAAGCCAAAATTCCACTTGGAAAGACTGATCACCCAGTAGTCCTGCTTCCCCTCTTATGAAGAATCGTGACTCTTTTCCTAAGTCAGAACAGCTGAGAATAAAATGCTTTGGTTGAGGGAGAGAGTGGGAATCATATCCTTAGCTTTCAAGTTTACTGACAACGAAGTCTCCCTCATCGTTAAGCAGGTGAATTATGGGGCTTATTAACGTTGGGTTGACTGTATAGTAGGTATTTATATTTGTTTCACTGAAGTGATGTTATTCAGAAAATAAAATGGCATATAAGAGGAAAAACAAGACTTAGAGAAGAAAATCAATTTACAGCAACTGGGTAGATATGCCTTACTTTGATTTTCCAGACAACAACGTAAAAAGATTGACTGAGTTTAATTACTCACGTGAAGAGAGAAATATATCACTCTCCCAAAGAAAGCCAAATTTTTATAAGAAGGAAATTTTGTCAAATGAGGTATTGTATAGGGGCCAGTGAGTTATGTAATTAAGAATATTCTCAACAACAATTTTACAGTATTGTTCCTATGTCAGTCTGATGTATATTTGGATATATAAGGTGACTCTACAAGTTTTAAATACAACTTT
Organism: Homo sapiens; assembly: GCF_000001405.40. Lineage (NCBI taxonomy): Eukaryota > Metazoa > Chordata > Mammalia > Primates > Hominidae > Homo > Homo sapiens. Next base: position 152,476,739 of record NC_000003.12, read on the forward strand.
AAATACTTTTCTTAGATTAGAAGTCTTATTTTTCATAATGAGAGTAATATACCCTCTTTACTTCTCTTTTTGACTACATACCATCTCCTAGCTATATGAACTTGAGTGAATTACTGCCCATGTGTCTTGTACATTCCCTCATGTGCAAAATGGAGACTAATGTTAGTGACTTTGTGGTTGGAATTTGAGGAATTCAGAAATTCTCCAGAAGGACCTAATCTCTACTTTTCCATGATAACACTAAAGATATTAATACAAACAATAAGTTTCACTTGCCCTGGAAGGATTAGATCAATTCAAGGTGATAGGAAATACTGACAATTAACTATATGTCCCTTGGTTTAAAATTGGAAACATGTATTATTATTCAACACATGTAACTTGGTTAGTAGATGTACTCATTCATATAGAGTATGAAATAACACAAGTTAAACTGTTGATATTTCAGTTCTGAAAATTGGTATAATTCTAGGGTAGAGAATATGGGATTTACCTTGATTCCCACCCTTGGCTTTGGAACAAATGGTCTGGATAAGGATCCTAGCTTCTCCAAGCCTGGCCTCAGTCTTCCTGGTACAGCATAGGTACAAAATGTACCTTTATTTTTTACTGAAACTGTATTTTCTTTCTATAAAAAGCCCCCATTCTGCTTGAAGAATAAAACAAAAACCAAAAAACAAATATTAAGCCCACCTGATTCTAATCACTCCCAAACAAACATACTCAAATTTAGTGATAGAGTTAGTGACTAAGTTTTCATTGTCCAGCCTACACTGGCATTCTTCTGAGATAACCACATCCTAAAATAATCCCTGGCTGGGATTATTTATTATTAACTACGTGCAGTTGTGCACATAGTTGCTGCTACAGAGCCCCTTATCTTAGCTAAAGAAACCGACTCCAGGCTTTATCAATCCCTTTCTCATCCAGCTTCTGTACTCTTTCTGTTGGGCACTGAGAAGTCTTAGCTGCTCTCATGCACCCCTCTAGGGTAGCCAGAAGCCATAACATGTTCCTATTACCCCTCATAGACTTCTTGATTCTAGTTTTCACAACTTTTAATGGGAGGGCACTAGCAAGGCTGCCAATTACCAGAGTCTGGAAGGGACTGGGAGTTCATAGGTCTTCTCAACTCTCGAACCATTCCCAGGGGTTCTGAGAAGTCCTATTGCTGCTGCAAAGTCCCCCTCAGATGTATCCTGGGATGAAGGTGGAAAGCAAGGCATAGAGAACAACCAATGTCTAAATGCTTTCAATTCTCCTCACTTTATGAGAGTTTTATCTGGTCTGGATATGGATGGAAGTAGGATAAACTTGTTCTGGCTGAACACTGTCACTTCCTAAAGTATCCTTGCATAAACTTTGTTGGAGGTTACATCAAAAAGCTATACTTTTTGATCTTTGATCTCTTGTCCCTTTCTGATGCCTCTTTGCTAGGCAAGATAGCTCATATCTTTTAGCCCCAAAGAACATTTCAAATTATTAACCTACCACATTATTTCTTTCAACTGGGCCAGAATCTGGTGTAGTTGTAATAATGACACCTGTCACATTCACAAATTGAATACCTGCAAAGGCTTTTGTCAGAGGAAAACGTTCTCAAACTTAACTCTATTTGGCATATACTTTAGGATAAAAGCTTCGTGATTTATGGATTACATAAATTCTCCATAGAAAGGTGCATATTCTTTTTTTAAAAAAAAAGCATTCTCAGAACAAGAAGAAGGGACATTTTTTTTGGTGGCAACTTTTTGTATTAAAAGAATTGTATTTTTAAAATGTACCTGAGCATTTAGAAAGAGAGAAAGAGAATACTGTAAGTATAAAGGATACAGCTGAGATAGGTAAAAGCCAAACAGGCTTAAAAGTCATATTGTTATGAATATGATATATTCATTCAGAATATGTATTTTTGGAAGCAGAGAAAAGGTATTCCATAGTTTTAGTGCCAGCTGAAAAATATAATTGTGCCATAATGATAATTACTATGTACTAGGTGCTTCCATAAACTAGATGCTATACTCCACTTTTTTTCTGAAAATCATTTCTTTGTTGTTGTTTTTGTTGGCCAAAACGTCTTCCATTTTTATTTTCTTCAACTTCTATTTTAGATTCAGGGGATACATGTGCAGGTTTGTTACCTGTGAATATTGCATGATGCTGACGTTTAGGGTAGGAAGGATCCTGTCACCCGGGTACTGAGCATAGTACCCAACAGTTAGTTTTTCAGCTCTTTCACCCCTTTCTCCTTCCCACCCCTAGTAGTTCCCAGTATCTGTTGTTCCCATCTTTATGTCCATGATTAACGAATGTTTAGTTTCCACTTACAATTGAGTACGTGCAGTATTTGATTTTTTGTTATTGTGTTAATTCACTTAGGATAATGGCCTCCAGCTGCGTCCATGCTGATTTTTTTTTCTTTTCTGTTTTTTTTTTTTTTTTTTTTTTTTTTTTTCAGATGAAGTATCGCTCTGTCGCCCAGGCTGGAGGGCAGTGGTATGATCTCGGCTCACTGCAACCTCTGCCTCCCAGGCTCAAGCAATCCTCTGCCTCAGCCTCCTGAGTAGCTGGGATTACAGGTGCCTGCCACCATGCCCAGCTAATTTTTTTTTTAGTAGAGACGGGGTTTCAAGATCTTGGCCAGGCTGGTCTTGAACTCCTGACCTTGTGATCCACCCGCCTCAGCCTCCCAAAGTGCTGAGATTTACAGGCATGAGCCATCACACCAGACCGATTTCATTCTTTTATGGCTGTGTAGTACTCCATTCTGTATATGTACCACATTTTCTTTCTGAAATTGTTTACTCTGTATATGTGTGTTTATACACACACATATATAAACACACTCACACATGTATATGTACAGAATACACACATATATATTGCTGCACAGAAGCTCTTTAGTTTAATTAGGCCCTACTTGCCAATTTTTGTTTTTGTTGCAATTGCTTTTGAGGACATTGTCATAAATTCTTTCCCAAGGTCGATGTACGGAATCTGTTTCCTAGGTTTTCTTTTAGAATTCCTATAGTTTGAGGTTTTACATATCTTTAATCCATCCTGAGTTAATTTTTTATGTGGTGAAAGGTAGGGGTCCAGTTTCATTCTTTTGCATATGCCTATCCAACTATCCCAGCACCATTTATTGAATAGGGAGTCCTTTCCCCATTGCTTGTTTTTGTCAAAGATTAGATGGGATGGCTGTAGGTGTGTGGCTTTATTTCTGGGTTCTCTCTTCTGTTTTATCGCTCTGTCTGTTTTTGGACAAGTACTATGCTGTTTTGGTTACAGTAGCTTTATAGTATAGTTTTTACTTGAGTAATGTGATGTCTCCAATATTGTTCTTTTTGCTTAGGATTGCTTTGGCTATTCAGGCTCCTTTTTGGTTCCACATGAATTTTAGTGTAGGGTTTTTTTCCCAATTCTGTGAAAAATGATGTTGGTGGTTTGATAGAAATAGCATTGAATCTGTAGATTGCTTTGGTCAGTTTGGCCATTTTAATGATATTGATTCTTCTTGTCCATGAGCATGGAATGTTTTTCCATTTGTTTGTGTCATCTGTGATTTCTTTTTTTGCAGTGTTTTGCAGTTCTCATTGTAGAGATCTTTCACTTCCTCAGTTAGATGTATTCTTAGATATTTTGTGTGTGTGTGTAACTATTTTAAGTGGCATTGCATTCTTGATTTGACTCTCAGCTTGGACATTATTAGTGTGTAGAAATGCTACTGACTTTTGTACATTGATTTTGTATCCTGAAACCTTGCTAAAATCGTTTATCAGTTATAATAGCCTTTTGGCAGAGCCCCTAGAGTTTTCTAAGTTTAGAATCATATCATCAGTGAAGAGAGAGGGTTTGACTTCCCCTTTTCCTACTTGGATGCCTTTTGTATCTCTTGTTCAATTTCTCTGGCTAGGATTTCCAGTATTATGTTCAATAGGAGGAATGAGAATGGGCATCCTTATCTTGTTTTGGTTCTCAAGGGGAATACCTCCAGCTTTTGCCCATTCAGTATGATGTTGGCTGTGGGTCTGTGATAGATGGCTTTTATTATTCTAAGGTACGTTCATTCAGTGCTGAGTTTTTAACATGAAGGCATGCTGAATTTTATTAAAAGCCTTTTCTGCACCTATTTAGATATTCATGTGGTTTTTTAGTTCTATTTATGTGGTGAATAACATTTATTGCTTTGCCTATGTTGAATCAACCTTGAATCCCAGGAATGAATTCACTTGATCATAGTGAATTAACTCTTTGGTGTGCTGCTGAATTCAATTTGCTAGTATTTTCCTGAGGATTTTTGTGTCTATATTCATCAGGGATATTGGCCTGTAGTTTTCTTTTTTCACTGTGTCTTTTCCAGGTTTTGGTTTCAGGGTAATGCTGGCTTCATAGAATGAGCTAGGGAAGAGTCCCTCCTCCTCAATGTTTTGGAATAGTTTTCGTAGAATTAGTATCAGATTTTCTTTGTATGTCTGGTAGAATTCCACTGTGACTCCATCTGGTCTAGGGATTTTTGTTGGTGGTTGTGGTGGTAGGTTTTTATTTTTTTAATTACTGTCAATTTTGGAACTTGATATTGCTCTGTTCAGTGTTCCAATTTCTTCCTGATTTAATCTTGGGAGATTGTGTGTTTCCAAGAGTTTATCCATTTCCTCTAGATTTTCTAGTTTGTGTGCATAGAGGTGTTCATAATAGTCTATCAGGATCTCTTTTCTTCTTCCTAATCCTCTCACACTGATCTGAGGATCTTTTGTATTTCTGTGGGGTCAGTTGTAATGTCACTTTTGCCATTTTTGATTGTGCCTATTTGGATATGCTCTCTTTTTTGCTTTGTTAACCTAGCTCTATTGATCTTGTTTATCCTTCCAAAGAACCAACTTTTAGTTTCCTTGATTCTTTGTATTTGATTCTTTGTATTTGTATTATTTGATTTTGGGGTCTCAATTTCATCAGTTCCACTCTGATTTTAGTTATTTCTTTTTTTCTGCTAGCTTTGGGGTTAGTTTGTTCTTGTTTTTCTGATTCCTCTAGGTATGATGTTAGATCATTAATTTGAGATCTTTCTAACTTTTTGAGGTAGGCATCTAGAGCTATAAACTTTTAACACTGCTTTTGCTACATCCCAAATATTTTGGTATGTTGTGTCTCTATTTTTATTTATTCCAATTTTTTTTTAAATTTCTGCCTTGATTTTATTGTTTACCCAAAAGTCATTCAGGAGCAAGTTGATTAATTTCCATGTAAATGTGTGGTTTTGAGAGATCTTCTTAGTATTGATTTCTATTTTTATTCCACTGCAGTCTGAGAGAATGGTTGGCATGATTTCAATTTTTTAAATTTATTGAGGCTTGGTTTATGGCTGAACATGTAGTCAATTTTGGAATATGTTCCATGTGCAGATGAGAAAAATGTATATTCTGTGATTGATGGGTGGAGTATTCTGTAGATGTCTTTTAGGTCCAATTGGTCAAGTACCAAGTTTAAGTCTAAAATTTCTTTGTTAGTTTTCTGCCTTAATGATCTGTCTAATACTTTCAGTGGGGTGTTGAAGTCCCTAACTGTTGTTATGTGGCTAAGTCTTTTCATAGGTCTAGAAGTACTTGTTTTATGAATCTGGTTTCCCAAATGTTGGGTGCATAGGTATTTAGTATAATTAAGTCTTCTTGCTGAATTGAGCCCTTTATCATTATGTAATGCTATTTTTTGTCTTTTTTTTTTCACTGTTTTTGATTTAAAGTCTCTTGTATCTGACATAAGAATAGCAACCATTGTTCTTTTTTGTTTACTGTTTGCATGGTAGATCTTTCTCTAACCCTTAGAGCCAGTGGGTGTCATTATGTGTGAGATGGGTCTCTTGAAGACAGCAGATAGATGGATTGCATTTTTTTATCCAACTTGCCACTCTGTGCCTTCTAAGTGAAGCATTTGGGCCATTTATATTCAAGGTTAATATTGATATGTGAGGTTTTGATCCTATCATGAAGTTCTTAGCTGGTTGCTTTGTACTTTCTATTAGGTAGTTGCTTTATAGAGTCAGTGGGCTATGTACTTAAGTGTTTTTGTGGTAGCAGGTATTGATCTTTTGTTTCCATGTTTAGAGTTTCCTTAAGGATCTCTTGTAAGTCTGGTCTAGTGGTAACAAATTCCCTTAGCACTTGCTTGTCTGGCAAATATTTTATTTCTCCTTCACTTATGAAGCTTAGTTTGGTGTGATAAAATGAAATTCTTTGTTGAAATTTATTTTAAGAATGCTGAAAATAGGCCCCTGATCTCTCTTGGCTTGCAAGGTTTCTGCTAAGAAATGTGCTCTTAACTTGATGAGGTTCCTTTTGTACATAATCTGCCCTTTTTTTCTAGCTGCCTTTAAATTTTTTTTTCTTTAGCACTTACCTTGGACAATCTAGTGACTATATGCCTTGGTGTTGATTATTTTGTATGATATCTCACAGATGTTCCCTAGATTTCTTGTATCTAAATATCTACCTCTCTAGCAAGATTAAAGAAGTTTTCTTGAATTATTCCTTCAAATATATTTTCCAGGTTGTTTACTTTTTCTCCTCTCTCAGAAATGCCAATAACTCACAGATTTGGTTGCTTTATGTAATCCCATAATTCTTGAAGACTTTTTTTCTTAAAAATCTTTTTTCTTTATTTTTGATTTTTGTCTGACTTAGTTCAAAAGATTGATGTTCTAACTCTGAAATTTTCTTCTGCTTGGTGTAATCTGTTGATAAGGCTGTCGATGGTATTTTGAAATTCCTTAAGTGAGGGTTTTTTTTTTTTTTTTGAGATAGAGTCTCGCTTTTTTGCCCAGGCTGGAGTGCAGTGGTGCGATCTCGGCTCACTGCAAGCTCTGCCTCCCGGGTTCACGCCATTCTCCTGCCTCAGCCTCCCGAGTAGCTGGGACTACAGATGCCCGCCACCATGCCCAACTAATTTTTTTGTATTTTTAGTAGAGACAGGGTTTCACTGTGTTAGCCAGGACGGTCTTGATCTCCTGACCTCGTGATCCACCTGCCTCGGCCTTCCAAAGTGCTGGGATTACAGGCATGAGCCACCACTCCTGGCCTTAACTGAGTTTTTTAATTCCAGAAGTTCTGATTCATTTTTTTAAAGATGTTTATTCCTTCCTTCATTTCCTGGATTGCTTTAGAAGTTTCTTTGTATTAATTTTCAACCTGATCTTGAATGTCATTGAGCTTCCTTGCAATCTATGCTTTGAATTCTTTATCTGTCATTTCTGAGTTTCCATTTTGGTTAGGAACCATTGCTAGAGAGCTAGAGCAATCCTTTGATCGTGTCACCACATTCTTATTCTTCATGGTGCCAGAATTCTTATGCTCTTTCTTTCCCATCTGGAGATGCTGGTACTTCTAATTTTTGTAATTGTTTTTGTGTGGGTAAGATTTTTTCTTTTTTGTTCTTCCTCTATAATGTTATTATTATATTATTTTTATCTTTCCTTTTCCCTTTTTCCCCATCCCTAGGGGTTGTGACTGTAGAGAAAGCTGGGTAGGGTATTATAGCTTTGCTTCCATAGCCCTATACACTTCTTTTAGCAGGTTTTATATTGCATTGTGGAGTACAATCTACAAGCTTGCAGATGGCACTTACAGGTAAGAGCTGGTGCTGGCCAGTTTGGCTGTGTAAATACTTGATCCTTGTTTAGTGGCAGAAACTCTCTGTTGCTTCAGGCAATAAGATGATTTGTGAAATGTATGGTTGTCTAATCTCCCTACTCAGCCCTGGGGAGGGGGGTACAAGGGGCAGACCTGGACTGGGAAGGTCCATGTACAGATCGTCCAATGTCAGGCATAGACACAAGTGCCAAGGGAGAATCCCATGAGAAGCCACCAAGTGCCTAGAGGCGTGCCTAGATGCGGAGCTAGGAAACCACCTTGGCTCTAAGTTCTCTGCACAGAGAGGTCAGGGATGCCGTAAACTACCAATCCAGAAGAGTGAGTCCTCCATATGCCTGGAGATCTGCCTGAGCATGCAGCAGAGAGAAGACCCCTGCACCAAGATCTCTGGACAGGAGGGCTGGGGTAACTCAGGCTGCTGAACTAGGCAAGCAGGTGCTCTGAATACCTGGAAATCTCCTTGAGCATGTAGCAGAGAGGACCCCACTGCACTAGGAACTCTGCACAGTAAAGATGGGGTGGCTCAGTCTGCTGGTCTAGCTGAGCTGGTGCTCAGAATGCCTGGAGATCTGCCTGGACATGGAGTAGAGAAAACCCCACTGCAACATGGAAATCATTTTTTTTAATTCTCACAACTAACTTACTGAGATAGGTATTTTTATCTCTATGAGGGAAACGAAAAAACTCAGGAACAGAGAGAACAAGTACCTTGCTAAATACACCAATAATAATTAAGCAATACTTCAAAATAGGTATTTCTGACTCTAGAGTTCTTAAGAATATCTTGAATTCTCAAGGCAAATATCATTGGTCTTGATCAATTTTAAATTGTGGTTCACCTGATTTATAACTGATCTGTTTTATTTTTATATAAATTTGATCACAATGGCTTAAAGCCATATAAACATTTGAAGAGATTATGCAGCTGGATTAGTCATTAAGCATTAATTTGGGTTAAAGGATATATATATATATAATATATATATAAAAGTACCAAATATATTAATACCAAATAATATAAATTAATACCAAGATAGGTATACCCTGATTTTATATATATAATAGATATACCCTGATTATATATATATAATAGATATGCCCTGATTTTATATATTATATAATATTATATAATATATAAAATCAGGGCATATCTATTTTGGTATTAATTTCTCTTCTTCTAAGGAAAGTAAATGAAATGTTTAATTATAAAGACGCATTGATTCATTTGTATCCCTGAGCACATTTTACAAGAAACCAATTCTAGTCATTTTAGTCATATCAATTGAAAAATTACTTATAAAGAGTGATAAAGAAGAAAAATATTATCATAAATATATAATATTTTATATTCAAGGTAATATTTTTTGTCTTTTATATTTAATGAGTCCAAAACTGATCTTTATAACTCTTTTCCTATTAAATCACCACCTACTATTGTAGTAAATTTGAATAGGGCAGATTCATCTTAATCTTGAAAATTTTTTAGTTCCTATTAAGCTCCTTCGTTATGAAAAATACTCACTTGGATTCTCTGAGAGGCTGATGAGCTGTTTCTAAAACCATATCTCCTCGAATCTGAGGGTGGAGTCACCTTGAAATTTATATTTGAATTATCCAAATTATTTATAATTTAAGACAAAGCTCAAGCAAGTGAATTTATTAGATTGTCCTCTTCAGTGAGAATCTTGTTTGGAGTTGGATTACGGAAGGAAGCAGCACAGTACCTAACTTCCAAACCTATCACTCTTGGTAAATGCTCAGCTATGAAACCATTACAAGTGAGGATCAGAGGCTTAATGCTTACAAATAAATTTATTCATGATGCCAAGTATTATAGCTAAAGTAATTTACCTCTCAGTACTACATTTCATTAGGAAAAATTAGATGTAAATATATATCTTAGCAGAAAAAAATATAAATATATATCTCACTGGAACAAACAGAAATGGTCATGCTTTTATTCTGAAGTATATTGTGAGTGAAAAAAGCCTAGAGGAAAAGAAAAAAATCTGAATACTTTCTGTGAGAACTCCACTTTATGAGTTTTATATGAATGATAAAATTTAATTGACAGAAATCTTTTATGATCTTCAGTTCACTTTTCAGGGGGACTAACAGCATTTCTGAGTCTCCTGAGTCAAGATCGTGTGAAGTTACATCATTTGGCAGTAAGGAAGCCAACAAGATCAGCAAACCATGTGTCAGCATTTGTCTGCAGGTACTTCTTTGTGTGTGTGCTTACTAAATTATTTATATTTATAATCTCATGTAATCAAAGGGAGACAAATGATTTTGTTCATGTCATAGAGGAAAAAAATTACTTGTTATTTAAAGTGCAAATGTATGTAGTAACTTCTGCCTACTAGGAGGCATGGCACATTTTTATCAATAGAAGTAATAATCTCCTTATTGCTCTATTTCTCTGAATTATCTATTTTAGAATAGTATGCTGCAAATGCAAATGTCTTGTGTAAGTAGGACATTTATGTTCCAGTCGTTGTTTCAGCCATGAAGAAGGAGAGAATTCTGCATTTTGATCAAATCAAGTGCAAAGACACAAACGGTCTTGGGAGAGGAGGTTCAAGTGAGAATCACAAGAGAGCAGGAATTATGAACCTAGGGCGATCACAGGAACCTAGGTCCCTGCAATACATAGAAATCTAATGGGTCTACACAGTATAGGAGGCAGCATGTGTGGGTAGGTATATTCCAATGTTTACTATGTTTGTGCAAGTATAGTATTACAATAAGGTTATGACTCCATTTCTTAATGTTTGTCTGCTAACAACTTTTAAGCTTCTCCTCTTCCTTTTCCTCTTTTTTCCCATATGTGGGCAACCTGATTAGAAAGCCTAATACTTTCTCCTTTGGCACCTGCAGGAAGTTCAAGCCGCATACAGGAATCCTCACCTCAGTCTTCCTCTCTGATTACATAAAAACCCCATGCTAGTCTTTTTTCCCTCCTCTGTCAAACTACTTTTGGATTTGCTTGGAATCTATCTTCCTCAAAAAGCCTCATTATTTGAGTAGTAAACCTTTTCTTTTAATTAATTAATTAATTATTTTTTTTTTTGAGACAGTCTCCCTCTGTCACCCAAGGCTGGAGTGCAGTGGTGCGATCTCAGCTCACTGCAACCTCCGCCTCCCAGTTCAAGCGATTCTCATGCCTCAGCCACCTGAGTAGCTGGGACTACAGGAGTACACCACCATCCTCGGCTAATTTTTGTATTTTTAGTAGAGATGGGGTTTTGCCATATTGGCCTGGCTGGTCTCAAACTCCTGGCCTCAAGTGATCCACCTGCCTTGGCCTCCCAAAGTGCTGGGTTCACAGGTGTGAGACACCACATGATATGGTTTGGCTGTATCCCCATGCCAATCTCATCTTGAATTCCCACATGTTGTGGGAGGGAGCCGGTGAAAGGTAATTGAATCACGGGGGCTGGTCTTTCCCTTGCTGTTCTCATGATAGTGAATAAGTCTCACGAGATCTGATAGTTGTATAAGGGGGTGTTTCCTGCACAAGCTCTCTCTCTTTGCCTGCCACCATTCACATAAGATGTGACTTGTTCCTCCTTGCCTTCCCCCATGATTGTGAGGCCTCCCCAGCCATGTGTAACTGTTAGTCCATTAAACCTTTCTTTTGTAAATTGCCCAGTCTCGGGTATGTCTTAATTAGCAGCGTGGCAATAATACACCACGCCTGGCTAATAAACATTTTCATACTCTCTTGGTGTATCATTCTCAACATTCAAACAAATTTTGGATATAGGTTCATTCCCTTGTGTTACATAAGCATGTAAGTACATTTCAGTATATATGCACAGTTAGATTTTAGATTTAGGTTGAATTTATAGGGAGAACCCTACTATCAGAAAGAGAACTCAAAACTTGTGAAAGGAAATAAGAGATCTGAGTAAATATTTTTCTGAAGTCTGTGTTTAAAATTCACATTGAGTGAATATAGCTAAAAAGTCATTTTGAAAATTAAGGAGCTTCTGAGAAAGAGATAATCACTTTTAAAACAGCATCTAATACATAAGCTTTTCTTTTTCTTTTAAATACCAGTGAGGTTTTAAAATCCTACCCATAGTTACAGAGTACAAAATAGAGTCTCAGGTGACTATGGCAGGCATAGATATAGATTAACATAAGTTCTTGCATTTGTGTGGCTCTAGTCAGAATCAAATCAAGCACAGAAATAGACAGATGAGATAAAACCAAATGTTGATAGAGTCTATACATGAACTTGGCACCGTTAGAGATGGAAAGCCTGAGTATTACTTCTGTCATTTCTGGCACAAGGTAATGAGACTGGTAAGGGCAAAGTATTATGATCAGATGCACTGGATGACATTTAGTCACATGTTGATTAAGAAAAGAGGCATGTGGGTTTTTTGAGGTGTTAGGTGAGAAAATTCAGGGAAGTTATATGTTTAATATATGCCATTCAAGAAAGGAACATGCCAACCATTTTTTTTTTTTTTTTTTTTTTTGAGAGGGAGTCTTGCTCTGTCACCCAGGCTGGAGTGCAGTGGCGTCATCTTGGCTCTGGGTTCATGCCATTCTCCTGCCTCAGCCTCCCCAGCAGCTGGGACTATAGGCGCATGCTGCCACGCCTGGCTAATTTTTTTGTATTTTCAGTAGAGACGGGGTTTCACCATGTTAGCCGGGATGGTCTCGATCTCCTGACCTCGTGATCCACCTGCCTCGGCCTCCCAAAGTGCTAGGATTACAGGCGTGAGCCACCGCGCGCGGCCATTCCAACGATTTTTACGTCATCAGCATCAATGTGGTTTCTTTAGAAAAAATGAAGTTTCGGGCTGGGCATGGTGGCTCATGCCTGTAATCCCAGCACTTTGGGAGGCTGAGATGGATGGATCACCTGAGATCAGGAGTTCAAGACCAGCCTGGCAAACATGGTGAAACCCCATCTCTACTGAAAATACAAAAAATTAGCCAGGTGTGGTTGTGAATGCCTGTAATCCCAGCTACTCAGGAGGCTGAGTCAGGACAATCACTTGAACCTGGGAGGTGGAAGTTGCAGTGAGCCGAGATCACGCCACTGCACTCCAGCCTGGGTAACAAGAGCAAAACTCTGTCAAAAAAAAAAAAAAAAAAAAAGAAAGAGAAAGAAAAGATGAAGTTTCAAAAGTCTATCCAAAGTGGCTTTATTGGGTCATTCTACTTCTAGAGAGGGTTCTGAGGTTGAGGTCCTTGGATACACTATCCAAATTAAATCATGATCTCTTAGAGAAACAATTATTCCTTCTAAAATATAATAAAACCCAGCCAGCTCCCTTAGGAGTTGTTAACATCTCATTGCTATATCAATGTTCAGCAGAAGCACAAGGAAGAATTATATTCAAGAAATTATTCTGACAGATAATAGTTTGAGGTCTTGTTAAAAGTTATTAAGGGTTTTGTCCTCCAAATGATTTTTCCATCACAGTAGGAACAGATACACCAAACAGCCTGAGTAAGAATGAGCGCCGCCATTTGAATTAGCTGAGAACTGGATTGTTAAAACCCAAACAAGGTCATGTGCAGTAACTCACGCCTGTAATCGCAGCACTTTAGGAGGCCAAAGCAGGAGAATCGCTTGAGGCCAAGAGTTTCACACCAGCCAGGGCAACACAGTGAGACCACGTCTCTTAAATATATATATATATTTTATTAGCCGGGCTTGGTGGTGCACACCTGTAGTCCCAACTACTCAGGAGGCTGAGGCAGAGAGTATCTAGAGCCCAGAAGGTGAAGGCTTCAGTGAGCTAGTATCACCCCACTGCACTCCAGCCTGGGCGACAGACCAAAACTCTGTCTCTGGAAAAAATTTTTTTAATTTTAAAATAAAAAATGAAACACAAATAAACAATGTTATAATCAATATTCGATAGAGGCACTGCAAAACACTTTTAAGTGATAAAGTCTTCATTTAATTCAAATTAGGTTGCCTTAAATATTTCTAGTTAACACATTTTTTTCTCCATTTACCCCAAATTTTCATTCCACCATCTCTAAGTGAATGAAGGAAAGGTAATTCTGTTGTGGCACATTTTAGAAATTACACTGTTATTGAAGGTAAGAAATGCAGTAACTTTAGTTATACCAAGAGAAAAGTTATGATTACATGAGAAAGACCAAATGGCTTACAGTCCACTTGCAGAAGCCAGTAGAATGTCAAAACAGAAATGTGTTTCATTGGGAATCTCCTTAAACAAAATCATGAAATAAGGAACAACTCATAATGGATTCTACGAAACAAATTACTTTGAAAGAAGTATTAATATTATATAATTGTGCCTATAACAATATTAGATTAAACAGTAGAAATACACTAGCTGTAGCCACTTTGAAGTTAGAACCTATAGATAATGAGCAGAAACAAAAATCAAGACTGTAGCAAATTGTTTTAAGAGACAAGAGCTAAAGAGTAGAGAAGAGTACTTTGCAAGGGGATAATTAGACTTGTGGGAGTCAGAATCCAATCTTGTTAATGGTATGAGGCTTTTTATTCTTTTCCACAATCAATTATTTAAGCCTATTTCAGGAATTTACACAATGAATGCAGTCAAGGTACAGAGATTTTGGACGACATGAAATTGTCCAGAGATGCACTGAGAGTAATTTAGTCTACACTGGAAAGTTTCCAATGTGTGAGTATTTGTAGAAGCTCTAAAATGGATTATTTTCTTTCAACTAAAGTCTTGGGAAGACTTATACACGTTAGTGACTCTCAGGACTGATAGAGCCTAGCAAATAATCTGGAGACATTTGACACTATATATCCATCAAATATTGGAAAACAAACACAAAAATAACAACTATCTATTAAGCACCTATAATAACCCAAACACTCTGTTAGGTCCTCTCTCTCTCTCTCTCTCCATATATATATATATAATATATATATATAAAATATATATATATATATATAATCTCATTTAATCAAGGAAAGCTTTATAAGCCTTTAAAAAAAATGGGGACTTTGTGACTCTGAGGGCTTAAATAACTTCCTGAGGTCACTCAGTGGATTAGTGGAAGGCTGAAGATTAATACATTGCTCAGATTTTACTCTGTCAGACGCCTCTTTGTAGATTCACATGGATAATATTGAAATTAGCTCTAATAATTCCAGTTTTTCATTCATGTTTGGAGGTCAACTTTATACCATTTCTTGTTTTTTTTCTGGTCACAAGGTACTATGACTTATTAGTGTCTCCTCCAAATTCTTATGTTGAAGCCTTAATTCCCAACGTGGTGGTATTAGAAGGTGGGCCCTTGGGAGGTAATTAGTTTTAGATGAGATCATGAGTTTGGAGATTCTATGATTGGATTAACACCATTATAAGGAGAGGATGAGACTGGATCTCTCTCTCTTCACCATGTAAGGATACAGCAAGAAGATGGACAAGAAGAAAACCAAGTTTTGGTTGGCCATCTAAAAACCAAAAAGAGAGCTCTCACCAGGAATTGAATAGCAGCAGTTTGTCATGGACTTCCTAGCCTTCAGAACTGTGAGAAATAAATTTGTGTTGTTCGAGCCACTCAGTCCATGGTATTTTTGCTGTGGCAACTGAACTGATTAGAACACAAGGCTAAAGCTAAAACTCAGAAATGTGACGGTATGAATCAGGCCATTCTCTGACAGCTTCCATATGATAGGCTGCTTTTATGAACACTTCCTGTATTTGATAATTTGATCTGTAGTGGTTAAAAAATGTCATATGTGGGGTCTAGCTCTGACTTCATCACTAACCACCTGTCTGACCTGTGGTAATTAACCTTCTCTCAATTCCTCTTCAGTCACCTCTAAACCGGTAATAATAATAATAATAGGATCTACTTCATAGGACTGATAGACAATATTAAATGAAATAAAGTGCCTGATGCCTACTGTATGCTCAATTTATGTTCAGCAACTAGAATTATAAATAGCTGATTTCTATGAGCAAAACCAGTATTTCTAAAAATAAGATTCCAAGAGCTTTACAAAGCTGTTCACTTGATTTTTAAAATTGATTACAAATTTTTGTTGCTTAGCATCAGAGAAATCTATAAAGAGTTTATTTATATGGACAAAGAACAACAAAAGACAATTTTCACAAGGCAACATAATAAAATATGTAAAAATTTAAAGCTAATTAATCAAATAAATGCACAATGCGAGATGCCGTTTATTATTTATTAAATTGATCACTCCCAAAATGATGCCACTCAATGATTAAAAGAGTGCAGTAAAGAAAGTAATTTTATACATTGCTGAAAAGGACATTTAGGATAATAAATAATATTTTCCAAAAACTATATAAAAACAATAATTTTTAAATATTAACTCTACATCTGAGAACTCCCACTAAGGAAAAATCAAAAAATGAAAAATCACTATAGATACAGATTTTCATTATAGTATTAGGTAATTGAGTGAAAACTGAGAGCAATCTGATTACCCAACAAGAAAATTGTTTACAATAGTCATGGTGCCATCTTTTCTAGGCATATTATGTACTAATTAAAATTAAGGTTATGAGGATAATGTGGCATCATGGTAAGGATTAGGAAAAAAAAGAGAAAAGTGTGATATAAATTGTGTACAGACTGGTTAAGGTTAAATGAGAAAGAGATGACCAGGAAAAAATGATTACTAGAAAATTCAATATGTTAATAATTGTGTTAGGGTTGTGGAATATATGAACATTATTCTTCTGAAAAATTATAATTTCAATATTAATTATATATTTAAAAAACCAATTTCATTAAAATAGTATGAGTGATTGTGGTAAGAGGTGACTATCTTCAATTCTACATAATATTGGCAATTTTTAGAACAATTTAAAATTTCTGACTTTAGAACATAATTTATAAATTATGGTGGTTTTTATATGAATAATATCAAGAAAAAACAAAAACAAGAACCAAATAGTAAAATTCATCCTAACACACATTTATGCTTATTATTTTTTGAAGTATTTTCAGTCAAATTAATACTTTCTCAATATGAGTCAAATATATGATATAAGACTAATTATATTCATTCAGTAGGTTAAAATGTACTACGATTGATTAATATCTTTAATTTCATATGTACATGGACATTGATAATTTGTTTTCTCAAAGTTTTGGCATAATCTCTTATCTTTCGGGAGTTTCTTTAGAAGGATCAGTCACAATACCAATATTGCTATATTCTTGCTAAAATCTTTTTTAAAAAGTGTAGGGAAAGGTACACAGTCAACCATTACAGCAAGTAGCCAGAGAGGGCTTTGATTAATAGACAGAACTTCTTCACAGTAACAGAAGAAGCTCTGAGACTATGACAACAGAGAAAACAATCTACCCAGTGAAATTTAACATTCACTAAGGCTTATATGCAAGTGCTAGATATGGCAGACAGAAGAAAAGATGAGCAAGAGACAGGTTTTGGTGTCAACCTAAACCTAAAAAGAAATTATGTTCGGCCGGGCACAGTGGCTCACACCTGTAATCCCAGAACTTTAGGAGGCCAAGGTGGGCAGATCACATGAGGTAAGCAGTTTGAGATCAACGTGGCCAACATGATGAAATCCCGTCTCTACTAAAAATACAAAAAAATTAGCTGAGTGCGGAGGCTCACGCCTGTAATCCCAGCACTTTGGGAGGCTGAGGCAGGCAGATCACAAGATCGAGAGATTGAGACCATCCTGGCCAACATGGTGAAAAACCCATCTCTACTAAAAATACAAAAAATTAGCTGGGTGTGGTGGCATGCACCTGTAGTCTCAGCTACTCAGGAGGCTGAAGCAGGGGAATCGCTTGCACCCAGGAGGCAGAGGTTGCAGTGAGCCAAGATTGTGCCACTGCACTCCAGCCTGGCGACAAAGTGAGACTCCATCTCAAAAAAAAAAAAAAAAAAATTAGCCAGGCGTGGTGGCATACACCTGTAGTCCCAGCTACTCAGGAGGCTGGGGCAGGAGAATTGCTTGAACCTGGGAGGTGGAGGTTGCAGTGAGCCGAGATTGTGCCACTGCACTCCAGCCTGGGCAACAGAGTGAGACTCTGTCTCTAAATAAATAAAAAATAAATATTATGTTTATTTGGAAATAGAGTGTTGCAATGGGAATATACATGCTGCAACAAAGTTTGTGCTTATTCAAGGAAGTAAAGGAAAACAAATCTTTCTAAAGGAAAAAATGAAGAGGAGTACATAATTGTTTTGAAATAATTACCCTTGGCTACAAAGATCAATAACAAGGGTGACACCAGTCCGAGGTTGGACAGGCAGTTGCTGAACAGATGTTCTTGCAGAAGTATATATATAAGTATATATATATATACACACACACACACACACACATATATACATACACATATACACATATATATACACATATATATACTTACATATATATGTACTCACACACACATATATATACTTACACACACACACACACACACACACACACATATATGTATACTTCAATGGCCTTTGTGTAAGGTCTTTGTAGAATCTTTTTCTTTATCAGGTATACAAGGGAGAGCCCTCCCTTCATGGACTTCCTTGACTCAATTTGTCAGGAATTTCTTAACATTAGTGACTCCATTTTAATTCTGAAAATTTTCACCCTGGCAACAAGTATATATTTAATAAGGAAGAGAATACATATGAAAACAATAATAAATATACACAAGTCACTAAACTATATTTCTTTCAGTTATGCTGGGCTGAAATTCTATAAAAGTGTTTTTTTGCCAAGCAGTTTTAGAAAATGTAAAGCAAAGGCTATTTTTATCATTTTATATTTATTCCTAAATACATACATAATATTTGTGCTCATTATAATAAATTTGGTAAAGGGGGGAGATGACTAACAAAATTACCCACAGACTCTGGCAGTGAACAAAATAGAATAAGAACACTATATCTATCTTTCCCATTGACCACAACCAAACACCCTGGATAAAATACCCAAAATAAACAAGCAACTACTCTGAAAATTAATAAATGAATTGGTAAAGACCAAACTTGATAAACAATCTTTATTGGGTGAGTTTCCCAATTAATTATCTCCTCTTTTTTCTTTGTGCTTTGGTCCAAGGGCAGCTCCAGCTTCTGGGCAATTGGTTCAGGCAGCAAATTTCAGAAATGGTCTTTCCGGCCAGAGGAACAGGAAAGGAGCTACTCTTTGCTTTAATGGCAGCCCGAATTGTGCATAACTGTGCAGCAGCAAAAGTGGCTAAAACGCCAAAAAACAAAACAAAGAACATCTTTCAAGACAGGGAACTAGGAAAAGAGAGCCCTGGGAGTCAGATAATAGGGGAAAACTTGCAGAAAGGAGAGAATCGAAAATAGGGATGCCTTAATTCTGTGTGTGAACTGACAAAAGTTCAGCTCAGCCCTGAGCTGTTCATATGTGGGACAGACCAAAAGCAGCATAGCAATGGCTTTTAAAACTCAATTGACTTTGGAATGCTCCCCATGGAAGCTAAGACAGAACTTCCAGTTTGAACCTAACTAGGTTAATTGCCTGCTGAAACAGCCACAACAATAGCAGAAAAGCCAACATTCTCCAGCGTATTGTCATAGGACTCAGAGTCTCATACTATCAAAATGTCCAGGATGTAATCCCAAAATACTCACCTTACAAAGAACCAGGACACCCTGAGAAACTCTCAAGTGAAAAACCATCATCAGATCAACAGATGGAATCCCTGAGATAAACCAGATGTCAGTCAGAGAATAACTATGTAATAGTTCAGTCATTTTGAGTTTATTGAGACTTGTTCACAGCCCAGCATATGATCTATGGGTGACTGTTCCAAGTGTACTGAAGAAAATTGTTTTTTGTTATTGTTGGTTTAGGGTTCTAAGTTCCCACTGACTGCCATTTTTCTGGATTATAGATCCCACTTTCTTCTTTCTTTGCATGTCTAGTAATATTTTAATACTGAACATTGCAAATAATATATTGTAGCAACTCTGGATTCTCTTGTGTTCTTCTGGGTATTTTTCTTTTTAATAGTTGGTTAATTTTTTAAATTCAAACTGTATCCTCACTCTTTCCTGTGGAATGCAGCAGCTGGTAACTGCTTATTGCTCACAGCATCCAGCTGCTGTTTTTCTTACCCTTGTCCACTGAGGGTCTCCGCTGTAACTGCATGGCAATCAGCTGAAGACTCAGACAAAATGTATTGTTACATTTTTAAGCTCACACATCATGGTTACTCTGCTGCTGGAGAGTTCCCCTTAAATTTCCAGATGCTCTACCAGCTTCAGGCTCTTTTCTGTACTATTTCAAACTAGTAAATTTTTAGGTTTTCCTTGCTAGATTGAAATATGAGTTGGGAAATGCACCTAGTTAACAACAACAACAATAAAGCAGCAAACTCACAATCTTACCTGGTGAATCTGTCTTTCAGGACTATATGACTTTTTGGTCTATATTTACCAGACACACAGGGCTCTTCTTTGCACATTTGTAATTTACTGGCCAGTTGGAGATTTCTGCAGAACTTAACATGCAAATTTTGGCTCTCACCCCTTCTGTAGTACTCCTGCTTACAGGATTTCCTTTTCAAATACTCAGCTGCTCCCCTGGTACTGAGTTATTTCCCCTGCATCTTTGACCTGGTTAGGCTGGCTTTTTCTCTTTGTTATACGTGTTCTTAAAGAGAATATCCAATCATTTCCTACCTTTTGTAAACACAGTTTTATAAGAATAAAATTTCCTCTGGCTTTTGTTTGTACTTGAATACTTTCTACTACTTCCAAATAGTTATTTTTTAAAAAATATATTATGTTTCAATGTGGTAACTTTTATTTGTGAGGTTTATGACATCACTTTGTTACCACTATCAGAATTCCTCCCAAAACCCTCCCAAGTCTTTGATCTGCACTCCCTTCACGGGCAAGTTTTCATAGCTGCCTTTGTTTTTGCCTGCTGTAATGGTATTGAAGCTTTAAGTCTAAATAGTCATTTTAAAAGAATTCACTGTCAAATAAATCTTGGAAAGGCCATCTCACTAGAAGTCAGTAGATATGCATTTAACTTGAGCAAGTTGCTTGACTGCCTTGTATCATTGCTTTCTCTTCTAAAACTTAAGGAATTGGATGAGCTATTCAATGACTTATCTGATAAAGTTTCTTTTTCCCATGGCTAAGTCAGTAAACAAGACCTCTACTAATTTATAGGCATAGTGATTGTCTAAGCTAAGTTTTCCTTCTGTTTCCATTTTCCCAGAAGAGAAACTACTGGTCAGCCGAGATGTTCTCAAGAGTTGAACGAAGCATTTTATCTATCTGTTGCTTTCTACATCCTGTTTTCAATTTCAATGCCAAAATGGTCATCAGGCACATTACTCTTAAGGATATTTTGCAATGTGCTCTAGTTTCCCAACCAAGATGTCTCATTTTTCTTTCCTTGATTCGCTGTCAGTTTTCTCCCTTTCTTAATATCTCTGCTATCACTCAACTCTAATTTCCAATTCTTTCTCAGTATTTTAATATCAAGTTGCATTTTTTCTAAATAAAAGAAAAACTATGATTGGCTATCTTGGCCCAGAGTATTTTTACTCTCTGCACAATTTAAAAGATGGATGCTGAACTGTATTTTCTCTGCTGAATGACAAAGTAAACAAAATAAGAAACATGTCAAGAAAGTATCAGGTGTGTTGGTAAGAGGCGGAAAATAACAAGTTGAACAAAGTGTAGGAAGCATTCTACCACACATCATGGTTACTCTGCTGAGTAATTATTCACAGTTTGTGAACACATCACAAACTATGAATAATAGTTTTTGTCATCCTTATTTTTATGTCATATATGTGGAAAAAGTAATATTTATCTTACTAAGTCTAGCATGCTTATTTACTATAGCTGTTATATTTTCATTCAATTTTTTATTTATCAAAAATGTTTAAATTACTACCATCTGCCATGGAGCAGTGAATAAAACAAAGTGTTTCTCACTTATTGTTGCCCCCGCAAGTCACAGGAAGAAGAAAAAGGCTACTTGGAGTTGACAGTGATCATGGGATTCAGTAATTAGGTAAGGCTTCTGGACAAGACAGCAGAAGTAGGTAATTCAGGGATAAACTTCTTTTTAAGATGACAGTATGAGTGATGAAACAGGAAAGGGAAGATGAGGGATTATCAAATGATTTGTTTTGCTATTCTTCCACTGAATTAACCAAATTGTTTCTAATTAAATTTATTAAAATCCTATTACATTTCAAAACAAATACCTGCTAATTTTGACAATTCAAACAAGAGTTAAGTTTGAAATTACTTTTCATAGTTACATTAAAAAAACCAATTGATTGATGTTGCATTATCAGGGAATGAACATCATAATACATTTTCCTTTTATTTATTAAATGAACAGCCAGAATATGTTAAAATGTATTAATCTAATTAATATAAAGTTGATGTATCAAATATTTTAAAACTTATTTGCTTGAATTTACTTGTAGTACACATTGAGATTAGTACGTGTAAATTTTAGAAATATACAATTACATTTTGTGTGAATTTTATGATCAATTTATGAAAGAATTGAGAATATTTATTTAGGAATCTTCTTACATATCTTAAAGTAAATGATGTCTTCCAAAGTAGTTTATTGAAAATTTTATTAAAAATTGATTTTCTGCTAGCACTTCTGTAATACTTTGATTTCGGAGATGCTGAATTTCTGAAGCTGGATTTCAAAATTAAAAAAACTAAGTCTCTCATGGTAGTTAGATTATATAGCTATGCCTTGAATCATGGATAGTATATGTGAATGTGCAACTTTGATTTAATATGAAATATGGGAATACTAGAATTTTTAAAGGATGTGTTGCTTATTTGCTAGTTTGTGAGTATTAGGATAGAGATAAGTGGAATGTAAGACTATCTTTCAAAACCCCTTATCATCCAATCCTTTTATTCTGGTGATGGGGATGCAAAGGAGAGATGAGAATTTCTTGGTAGTAAGAAAAGGTAGAAAGTTGGGGAAACAGAAATATATTTTTAGTAAGAAAATTAGGCTTTCTTTTTAATAACATGATTTATGTGTAGTCGACATTTACATAAATGTTCATATTTTGGTCAAGTAAACTTTTATGTTTCTAAACTATCTTTACTATTATTAATAATATGTAATAAGCTAAGTTATCTTAATATTGGTTATATGGACATTAAACAGATATGATGACTATGTTGCTACAATTTGAAGCTATTGTGCATCTAGATTTATTCATAAATGTAAATATTACTTATCTTAGTAAAATGCTTAACAGAAATTGCTTTTTAAAGAATATATGCTTTCTCCAGGGAATAATTTTGGCCTTGAAAAAACATGTATATATGTTTTACTTATCTTTCAATATTTACATCCCAGTATTTCTGAACAGAGATAAAAATTCTTGCTGTCAAAGGTGGCCGACCAGGAACATGCATTTGTCTCCCATGCCTGCTAAGACCTCACTTAAAAAAAAGATAAGGTGTGTGATTAAGAATAAACTCATAATAGAAAAAAAGAATTGTGGAGGTTAACGTAAGGGAGGATATCATCGTGAAAGGGAAATTACACTGAATTTCTGCAAAACAGGAAGAGGATGAGAAATCACAGTTGGAGGAAACAAACTAAACAAACAGAAACCTGAGGTAGCTTTTGTTCATAGTGAGCTGTTACCAAAATTTTCTCCCATAAAATAAACTCTAGACAAATCTCTAAGGAAATTGAGCAGAGCTTTAGAGAAGAGCTAATCTCTATGCAGGTTTTATTTTGTCATTTGGCATTGCATTCACCAGGAAATCCAGTGCCACACCAATTCAGTTTGCTGACCTTCATACCCACTTGCCTTGCTCCAGTCAGAATTTCCATTCCAGGGAGGTCCGTGTAAGGAAACAGTTTTATATACATAAACCCACACCATGTACCAAAATTTTTAAAAAGGTAGCTCTTTGACAAACGTATTCTATGTTTATTGGATTGGCTTATGCAAATGTAGAGGCCAATTTTAGTAATGTATATCTTCCCAGAAAATTAATGTTTTCATTCATGTTTGAAAATATGTTTAGATGGAGTTTAATCAGGTAGTCAATTTTGATTATTTAAATTTTGTTTGTATCTTGTGGTTATTTCACCATCTTTTAAAAATTTAATTTTTTTATTTGTAATTTTTGTGGGTTCATAGTAGGCTGATATGGTTTGGATTTGTGTCCTCACCCTAATCTCATGTTGAATTGTAATCCCCACTGTTGGAGGAGGAGCCTGGTAGGAGATTATTGGATCATTGGGGTGGATTTCTCCCTTGCTGTTCTTGTAATAGTAAGTTCTCATGTAAGATCTAGTTGTTTAAAAGTGTGTAGCACCTCCTCCTTTACTCTTTCTCCTGCTCCCACCATGTAAGACTTGCCTGCCCTCTTCGCTTTCCTCCATGATTATAAGTTTCCTGAGGCCTCTCCACCTAGCCATGCTTCCTGTACAGCCTGTGGAATTGTGTCAATTGAACCTCTTTTCTTTACAAATTACCCAGTTTCTGGTAGTTCTTTTATTTATTAAATTTTTTTTTTGAGATGGAGTCTCCCTTTATCTCCCAGGCTGGAGTGCAGTGGCACAATCTCAGCTCACTGCAACCTCTGCCGCCTAGGTTTAAGCGATTCTGTGTCCGGACTTGGTGGGTTCTTGCTCTCACTGACTTCAAGAATGAAGCCACAGACCCTCGCGGTAAGTGTTACAGTTCTTAAAGATGGTGTGTCTGGAGTTTGTTCCTTCTTATGTTTGGACATGTTCAGAGTTTCTTCCTTCTGGTGGGTTCGTGGTCTTGCTGGCTTCAGGAGTGAAGCTGCAGATCATCGTGGTGAGTGTTACAGCTCTTAACGCAGCACGTCTGGAGTTGTTCATTCCTCCCGGTGGGTTCATGGTCTTGTTCATTCCTCCCGGTGGGTTCCTGGTCTCGCAGGCCTCAGGAGTGAAGCTGTGGACCTTCCCAGTGAGCGTTATAGCTCATAATGACAGTGCAGACACAAAAGTGAGCAGCAGCAAGATTTACTGCAAAGAGCAAAGGAACAAAGCTTCCACAGTGTGGAATGGGACCAGAGGGGGTTGCCGCTGCTGGCTTGGGCAGCCTGCTTATATTCCCTTATCCGACCCCACCCACATCCTGCTGATTGGCCCATTTTACAGAGAGCTGATTGGTGCATTATACAGAGAGCTGATTGGTCCATTTTGACAGGGTGCTGATTGTTGCGTTTACAAACCTTGAGCTAGACACAGAGTGCTGATTGGTGTATTTACAATCCTCTAGCTAGACATAAAAGTTCTCCAAGTCCGCACTAGATTAGCTAGACACAGAGCACTGATTGGTGCCTTTACAAACCTTGAGCTAGACACAGAGTGTTGATTGGTGCATTTACAATCCTTTAGCTAGACACAAAAGTTCTCCAAGTCCCCACTAGATTAGCTAGACACGGAGCAGTGACTGGTGCATTTACAAACCTTGAGCTAGACACAGAGTGCTGATTGGTGCATTTAGAATCCTCTAGCTAGACATAAAAGCCCTGTTGCCCAGGCTGGAGTGCAATGGCACAATCTCAGCTCTAGATCTTGGAGGCATGCTTCATTCTTTTTTATTTCTTTTTATTTTATCTCTTCTGACTGTGTATTTTCAAATAACTTGTCTTCAGGCTCACTAATTCTTTCTTCTGCTTGATCCATCTGCTGTTAAAGGACTTTGCTGCATTCATCAGTATGCCAATTGCATTTTCAGTTCCAGAATTTCTTCATGATTCTTTGTAATTATTTCATTCATTTTGTTAAATTTACATGATAGGATTCTGAATTCCTTCTCTGTGTTGTTTTGAATTTCACTGAGCTTCCTCAGATTTGAATTCTCTGTTTGAAAGGTAACATAAGTCTGTCTCTCTAGGATTGGTCCCTGGAAACTTACTTAGTTTGTTTGGTGATATCATGTTTTCTTGTATTGTCTTGAAATCAATGTCAAAAAATCAATGTCTGGGAACTGATTTTTTGAGTGTTTTAGGACTTGTTCTGTGACTTAATATATGGTCTATCTTTGAGAATAATCCATGTGCTGAAGAAAAGAATGTGTACTCTGAAGCTCTTGGATAAAATATTCTGTAAATATGTATTAGATCCATTTGGTCTGTAGTGCAGATTAAGTCTGTTGTTTCTTTGTTAAGTTTCTGTCTGAAAGATCTGTTCAGTGCTAAAAGTGGTGTGTTGAAGTTTCCAGCTATTACTATATTGGGGCCTATCTCTCTCCTTAGCTCTAATAATATTTCCTTTATATATGTGAGTGCTCTGGTTTGGGGTGCATATATATTTAAAATTGTCATATCCTCTTCCTAAATTGACCCCTTTATCATTTTATATAGTGACCTTCTTTGTCTCTGATAGTTTTGGTCTTGAAACCTATTTTGTCTGGTATAAGTAGAGCAACTCCAGCTCTTTTTTGGTTTCCATTGGAATCAAATATCTTTTTTCATTCCTTTATTTTCAGTCTATGTGTATCTTTATAGGTGAAATGTGTTTCCTATAGGCAACAGATCAGTCGATCTTATATTTTGTTCATTCAGCCAGTATATGTCTTTTTATTGGAGAGTTTAGTCCATTTACATTCAATGTTATTGATAAGTAAGAACTTACTTCTGCCATTTTGTTATTTTCTTTCTGGTTGTTTTGTGGTCTCTCTTCCTTCTTTCTTTCATTCCTGTATTCCTCTACTGAAGGTGACTTTCTCTGTTGATATGATTTAGTTTCTTGCTTTTTATTTTTTGTGTCTCCATTGTATGTTTTCTGGTTTAGGGTTACCATGAGATTTGCAAATACTATCTTATAACTCATTATCTTAATCTGATAACAGCTTAACACTATTTGCCCACACAAACACACAAGCAAAAAGGAAACTAATAAAACCTTGCTTTAACTTTGTCTCTCTGCTTTTTTACATTTTTATTGTTTCCATTAATATTCACATCTTATTTTACTATGTCTTGAAAAGTTGTTGTAGTTAGTATTTTTTATTGGTTCATCATTTACTCTTTCTACTTAGGATACAAGTAGCTTATACAACACAGTTAAGTGTTATAATACTTTGTGTTGTCCTGTTTACTTACTATTACCAGTAAGTTTTGTACCTTCAGGACATTCATTGCTCATGAATGTCCTTTTCTTTCTGTGTGAAGTACTCCCTCTAGCATTTCTTGTAGGACAGATCTAGAATTAATAAAATCCCTTAGCTTTTATTTTTCTGGGAAAGTCTTTATTTCTCCTCCATGCTTGAAGTATAGTTTCACTGGATATACTCTCCTTGGGTAAATTTTTTTTCTTCAGCATTTTAAATAAGTCATGCCACTTTCTTTTGCCCTGCAAGGTTTCCACTTAAAAGTCTGCTGCCAGATGCATTGGAGCTCTATTATATGTTATTCTTTTCTTTTCTTTTGCTGCTTTTCAATCCTTTCTGAATCCTTGACCTTTGGGAATTTGATTATTAAACACATTGAGGCAGTCTTCTTTGAGCTAAAACTGCTTGGTGTTCTATAACCTTCTTGTACTTGAATATCTCTCTCTAGGTTTGCGAAGTTCTCTGTTACTATCCCTTTAAATAAACTTTCTACCTCTATCTCTTTCTCTTCCTCCTCTTTAAGGCCAATAACTCTTAGATTTGCCTTTTGAGGCTCTTTTTTTAGATCCTGTAGGCTTTCTTCTGACTGTGTATTTTCACATAGTCTGTCTTTAATTCACTAATTCTTTCTTCTGCTTGATCCATTCTGCTGTTAAAGGACTGTCTTCAGTGTGCCAACTGCATTTTTCGACTCCAAAATTTCTGCATGATTCTTTTTAATTATTTCAATCTCTGTTAAATGTATCCGATGGAATTCTAAATTCCATCTCTGTGTTATCTTGAGTTTATTTGCATTTCCTCAACACAGCTATTTTGAATTCTCTATCTGAAAGGTCACATATATCTGGCATTGTTCCCTGGTGCCTTATTTAGATAATTTGGTGAGGTCATGTTTTCCTGGATGGTGTTGATACTAATAACTGTTCTTTGGTGTCTAAGCATTGAAGAGTTAGGTATTTATTATAGTCTTCACTGTCTGGGCTAATTTGTAGCTGTCCTCCTTGGGAAGACTTTCCAGATATTTAAAAGGACATGGGTGTTGTGATCTAAGCTGTTTCTGCTTTAGGGGGGATCCCAAACCTAATAACACTGCAGTTCTTGCAGACTCATAGAGGCACTGCCTTGATGGCCTTGGACAAGGTCTGGGGGAGTTCTCTGGATTACCAGGTAAAGAATTTTGTTCTCTTCTCTTACTTTCTCCCAAATACACAGTCTCTCTCTCTGTTTTGAACCACCTAAAGCTGTAAATGGATGACACAAGCACCCCTGTGTCCACCACCACTATGACTTCTATGGGTCAGACCTGAAGCCAG
This sequence comes from Homo sapiens, assembly GCF_000001405.40. Taxonomy (NCBI): domain Eukaryota; kingdom Metazoa; phylum Chordata; class Mammalia; order Primates; family Hominidae; genus Homo; species Homo sapiens. The sequence continues at coordinate 152,504,802 of NC_000003.12, forward strand.
GACAGCACGGGGTCTCACCCAAGGCCTGCTTTAACCACTTTAACCACTCCCTGAATACTACCTATGTTTGCTCAAGGCCCTTGGACTCTAAAATCAGCAGGTAGCAAAGCCAGCCAGATCTGTGTTTTTCCCTTCAGGGTAGCAAGGTCCCCCAGGCCCTGGGTGGGTCCAGAAGTGCCATCCAGGAGTCATGGACTAGAGTCAAAAACCTTAGAAGTCTACCTGATGTTCTATTATATTATGGCCGAGCTGGCACTCAAACCATAAGATGCCATAATTCCCACCCTTCCTTCCCCTTTCCGAAGGCAGAGGATCCTCACCTCCATAGCCAATGCCACACCTGGCCACGAGGAATACTGCCAGACTACCACCAAAGTTCCTTTAAAGCCAAGGTCTCTTAAGTCAGCTTGTGGCAAATGCTGCCTGGCCTGGTTCTCACTCTTTAGAACAGTGGGCTCCCTCTTGCCCAGGACAGGTCCAGAAATGCTGTCCGAGAGTCAAGTCCTGGAATTGGGGAACCCAAGAGCCTGCTTGGCGCTCTACTCCCTTGTGGCAGTGTTGGTACCTAAGGTGCAAGAAAAAGTCCCCTTTACTTTGCCCTGTGCTTTTCTCAAGCAGAAGGAGTTTTGCCCCATAGCCACCACAGGTGGTTATGTGTGAGTATCACCTGAAGCCAGCAAGTCTCATAGGCCCACCAAAGCCCTTGATGTGCACCTCTCTATTGCTACTGGTTATTCAGGACCCAAGGGCTCCTCAGTTAGCAGAATACTGGCAGGACTGAGTCCTTTCCTTCAAGGCAGTGGGTTCCCTTCTAGCCCAGGGTGTGTCTGGAAATGTCGTGTGGGAATTAGGGCCTGGAATAGAGGCCTCATGACTTTAATCAGTGCCTTATTCTGCTATGGCTGAGCTGGTATCAAAGATGCAAGACAAAGTCCTCCCCGCTCTTCCCTCTCCTCTCTTTAAGCAGAAGGAAGGGGTCTTTTTTGGAACCATAAGCTGCGCAGCATGGGGTTAAGAGAGGAATGATGCCAGCACTCCCTAGGCCGCCCCAACTGGTGTCTCAGTATGTCACATGCCCCTCCAGTCCACTACCTCTGTGCCTAGTTCAGCCCTAGGACTCGCCTACAAGTTGCAGTCCTAATGGACTGAACTGCCTTTCATGTTTACCTAGAGACCCAAGGCACTGTGGCCCTCGGTGGTGAGGTTTGCAGGCACTCAAGTTCAGACCACTGGACTAGGTGATTCCCCTCTGACTAGGGCTGGTTTAAATGTTGCCTTTGTGGGCGAGCATCAGCTGAGGTTGGTCTCATTTTCCTTTCTGCTCTAAGAGAACAGTCTGAGCTCAGTGCCTCATGATTGCTGTGTTTTTTCCTCCCCAGTTCCCAGAAATGCTCTCCACATCATGCTGCTGCTGTGGTAGGTGGGAGGACGGGCGGCATTGGTGATTCAGGACTTAAAAAAGAAATCTTTTCATTGCCTCTTTCAGCAATACGAAGTTAAAGCCAGGTACTATGAGTGCTCATTTGATTTTTTATTCTTATGCAGGTGTTTTTTTCTGTGTAGAGAGTTGTTAACTTGGTGTCCTTGCAGGGAGGATGATCAGAGGAACTTTCTGAGGATGATCAGAGGAATGTTCTGCCATCTTGCTCTGCCTCCTAATTATTATTAATCTTAATAGCTGTATCCAACATTTATAGCAATGTATCAGTTTCATGTACAAGACACTATTGTATGCTCAAGGAACACTAACTCATCTAATCATTACCAGTTTGCAGGTCAGAAATAAGAAAACTGAGATTTAGGAGGTTATAGGCATCATGTTAAGTCATACAGCTTACTAGACTCTAAATTAGAACACGTAGTCTCTAACCTAGGTCTCTCACTCCAGAGCTAATGCTCTGACATCAGAGCCGCACACTCTGATGAATGTGTGTAAGGGAAAGAGCATAGGAACTGGAGTCAGTTGACTTATATTCTAGCCCCATCTCTGCTACAGTAAGACCTGGTTCAGGTCAATCAAGCTCTATGGCACTAAGTTGGAGTTGTACTAAGTGAGTTCAAAACTCTACTAAAGTAAGCAGCAATATTATATGATCCTTTATTTGCTATTTCCAGAATAGGGATAGATTTATGCACTTCAAATACTTCTCATGGTCAGCTGCGTCATCTGTGATATGGCCAGCTTTGAGTAAGGGTACATTCCAGAGTCACGGAAAAGAAAAGCTACCTGCCCATATTACACTGACATCATTAAAACTATACTGTCACCAAGTACTCTAACAGTAACCTAAGATTCCATGCAGGCCTAAAACTAATGCTAAATTCTCAGAAGCCATAGGGGTGAGCTGATATCAGAACAGTCTACATCCATGTGATAAGTGCAGTGGACATAATAAGCTTCAAGTTTAATTATTTAATACTAATAATATTGGGTTTGACTAATCCACTGTTGGACCAACTTTAGCCATGTGTTAAGTACAATTTTGAATACAAAAACTACTTCAGTTTCTTAAGTAAATGCAAAAGAAAACAGCTTTTCAAAAGAAAGCAAAGATGAAAATATATATTGTATATATACATAAATGATAATATGGCAGAGTTCACAGTATAGCATTGAAGAAAAAAATAACTAGGGCTAAGAAAGAACAGTTCTCGGTATCTAATTCACTAGAATTAAAAGGCAGTCTCTTCAGGATGATGGGAGAAAAATTAACCCGAAAAACTTTTCATCTTTTTGTCACTCAAGGGACAAGTTTAGGACATATGAAATCTCATTGGTCAAGGTTGGATTCTGTGCCCACCTCTTGCACAAGGCAAATGGCATCTTGTTTCATAGACCAACTAAGAGAACTGTCATGGTTCCACAAAAGCTGAGCTAATGTTACAGAAGAAGAGTGAATACTGCAGGAAATTATGACAGGGAACAGATAAGTCCTATACTTACTACATTTTCCCGTCCATTATACTCCATAGAGTAATTTCATTAGACTTACTGTAATACCATACATTAGAGTAATACCATATTTAATTTGGCTACATGTATCTGAAAACTCAAACAACAGTGCCTTAAGTTTAAAGTTTATTTCTCTCTCACATAAAAGAGGTAGGCATATAGGGCCATTCAACAATTAGCTGGCTTCCCTCTTCAAAGTCACCTTCAAGGTGGCTTCTGAAACTTCATTCATGAAATCTGATTTTCAGGCAATAGGAAGGAGGAAGGGGGAAGGCAAAAGAAAATACCTCTCAAATGAGTCAGATTCTAATAAGCAGCCCTCCCAGAAGTCCCCCATGCTTAAAATTACATCCCAGTAGTCCAGAACTTTGTCACCTAGCTGCAAGCAGGGCTGGCTTCGATCTAGTCCGTTACAAGAGTGTATTATAGCCCCATTATGATTTGGGTTCTATTACTAAGGAAGGAAAGAGTGAATACTCTCTCTTCATCTTAGAAATTACTCTTCTAATTTTCATAGTGCAGGATTAATTCAGGGTCATTATAACAATCTGAGAGTTTTAAACAACTCAATTTTTAGCAATCAATGAAGTCATTATATAAGTCTAAGATTTAAAGTCTTTTCCCCCTTCTTGCCAATCATTTGTATTTTTTTCTTAATTGGCTGCTATTTTCAATCAAGTACAATTGCTTTAAAGTGAAGTTAGAGTCACATTCCACTGATTAGAGTTGTCTTCTAATGATTAATGAGCCAGTCTTAAATTCACACTGAGCTTATTTGGAACACGATAGCATCGTTCAGTAATGAACTTTTGAGAGATTATTTATTTCCCGTTGCCATATTTCTAATCAAGTGCTCATATGCATAATGAATGCTTCAAGAGAAATCAGTTTTTGTCTTGTTTACAAGAAGAGTCATTTTAATGGCAAACCATAAGCATGTTGAGATAGATTGTCTAGTCAAACCTGAAAATGAATTAAAATATTTTAAGAATTCATAAACCAGTGAAATATAATTATCTTTAAAATTCTAATAAAATCACATGAACCCAGAAATGTAAGACCTTGGAATTCATTTACTTCAACCTTCAAATTAATGTCATGAATATAATGACCAGCAGGTGGTTCTCTAACATCTTGTGGACACCTTTGGAAGCTGAAAACTTATTACTTCTTGTCAGTCCCTTCCAGATGGCACCAATTGTTAGAACATTTCTTTACTAAGCAAAGCCACAAAATATACTTTCCCTATCATCATCTTTAATTTTTTGTCTTCTTCTACCACGCCAGATGCCAGATATGTGTGTATGTGCTAGGTATTTATTTAGCAAAATAAGTTGCCATCAATACTGACAGGCATATTACAACAAATTTTCATTTTGGGAAAGGATAGTAAAAGTGGTGAAAAAGATTACCAAAGAGCTAAATAAGTTAGGAAAGAGGATTAAGGGTGACAGATTTGGGAGAGGCAGGGAAGCCTACTTTGATAGGCAAAGTTTGACAGAGACCTGAGGGAAGTGAGGGTCCTATCTATGCAGATATTTAACTCTTTGCCCACATTTTGGGCAGACAAAACAGAAAGTGAAGAGGCCCTGGGGGAGGAGGTGAGTTTGGTTGGGTGTGTTTGAGGAATACCAAGAAGACTAGAGTTAGCAGAGCAGAGTGAGTGAAGAGAATATGGTAGGTGATTAAGATAGACAGTGAGGCGGGTTGTGAAGGGGACATGAAGTCTTTGGAAGGTTTTAACAAAGGAGTGACATGATATTTCTTAGATTTAAAAGAATAATTCTGTCTGATGTGTGAAAAATAGATTATAAGGCAAGGGAGAAGTAGAGAGACCATTTAGGCTGCTAAGTGGAGATGGTAGCTTATGTCAAGGTATAACAATGTATAAATGGTCTGATTCTAGCTGTATTTTGAAAGAAGGGCCTATAAGATGCCTAATGGATTGAATGTGCACAAAAGAACTAAATATAGTGAATCAGATTATTTTAACTTGAGCACCTGGAAGAATGACTGTATCACTTACTGAAGTAGGGAATCTTGGGGAACAGGCACATTTATGCAGGAAAAAATCAATACTTGCTTTGCATTTTATTACGCCATTTAGGCATACAAATGAGGATATTCAGTAGGCAAGTAGATATATAAATTAAAATTCATCTGAACACCATTAGTCCAATGTCTTTAGAGTTGTTCGATTTATAGGATATCATCTATATTGTTTCCTCTTTACTGCTTTGAGAGGGTTGAGCTTGATGATGACAAAACGTTTTTTTCAGGTTATATTTCAATATTAATGATATCATAATCCCAATAGTACATTGGAAGATTTTTCTTTGAGTTTGTAAATTATAGTGGATACTACAGTGTACCCCACCACCTTCAGGATGAAGGCACTTAGTTACCGAGGGTATTGAGTGATTAGAGCTCACAGTTGCATCTTATTTGGAGAATTGCTCTTCCTTCTGTAGAGGCTGCCTTGTATATCCCTTCCTCTGGGTGTAGTTTACATCCAATGACTGGTCAGTGTGGGAAGGGTAATAAGGCTTGGACCCTTTGCCTTGACTTAAGAACACTCTTTTACAAGTACATCACAGTTTTATTATTCTACTTAATTCTTTTCCTTTATTCCTTAGAGGTGCTCCTAGAAAAACTCCCTAATAGATCTCTGACACTCAAGTTTCCATCTCAGAACCTGTTGTTCAGGGAACTCAACTTAAGCCAAAAATATTCTACAAAAGTGAATATTCATAAATAAAATGTTATAAGTTACAAATGTAACAGGAATACTAGTGATTAATTGAATTTGGTATTACTTGCATTATTTATTGTAGCTATCCAAGAACACTGGTTAGAGTATTCAATGAGACTACATCCTGTTTAGAATTATTTTACCTAATGTACACTAATCCAGGCAGAATCAGTCTCATGGCAAATATAGATTTCATTTGCCCTGTATTCTGTTTAAAGCTTAATTAATGATTCATCCATAGACTATCATGCTTAAACAACATCTTATCAAAATTTATATTGAACAAAACAGAAAAAAATTAACGAAATAACACTTCAATTGCAAATATACCTCAAAACAACATGCTAGATTCATCATTTTTATAATGTAAAAATTTCACAAAAGACACTAAGATCAAACTCTCAAAGCTTTTGTTCAGAATATCATCTGTCAATCAAATGCTTCCTTTATGAACACGTTGCTTTTCATTCCAAAAAATTGACATTTCTATGGTTAAGATTATCCTCTCATTTAAAAATCTCTCCCCCAAGTTCCTGTGTCTTTCAGTATTATTTTTTAAAATACGAATAAATGGTCTTTTGATGGATTCAGTTTGTTCACTTGACTACTTACAAACCAGCAAACTTTAAGATAATGTTTCTCCTTTTTTAATTCTTAAAACATTTAAACCTGCTGACTGCATTTTCTTAACTTTCGTTATATATTTACTAACATTGATTTAAGTTGTTTTAGAAACATGGGAAGAAAAACATGACCAATAAATAAGACATATACCTGAAACCCCATTACTTCATTGCTTTCAAAAAACAATACCTTTGACTACAGAAACATCTGTTTATCAGCTGCCTAGAAGTTGCCGACCCTCATTTATTTTGTTCCTTTAGAATTTCAACCTTCAATTTCTTTCATTTTGTTGATAAAGTAAAACTGTATCTTAAAAGAGAAACTAGGCAATGTTATTTTATTTAGATTATTTTAAAGTGAAGTACTCTGTTTTCAAATTATATTTCATGAAAAGAAAATGGAAGATTGTTTTTCTAATCTTAGTTTTAATGACTGAGGTGATCTTTAGTGTATTGGAGATAAATTTCAAGTTTAAACTGTCTGGCTGAAAGTTCATTGTAGAGGGTTTTTGAGGTTTTCTTTGCAAAGAACCCAAATGAAAAAAATATGACACGGATTAAAAATAATTTAGCAGATCTATGATATTATGCATCTCTTAAATGGTCTTACAAGTGATTACATAAGCTAGGTTCTTTTTTGTTTTTATTTAAATTGTAAAATAGGAAAAGTTTATAAGTTTCTTTATTCTAATCTATTCAGTGGCCTAGAATGGTTCCATAAGGCCAGTAAAACTGTAATCAGTGGGCTGAGCAGAGATTTATTTTTAAAGGAGAGGACTTTTAAAGGGATGTGTTCATGACAGGCCTTTAGCTCCACTATGCGATCATTAAGTATGCATTGTATGTCTACTAGTGTTCATGATGGCAAACTGAAGGTTAAGTTCAAAGACCTTGGGGTTAAACAATGCTGACTGAGTTCAGGCTCTACTATTTAGGACTGTGACCATAGCTGTGATCAAGTTTCTATTTCCTCATCTGAGAAATAAGGATAACGACCATGCTAAACTCTTAGGTTTACTGTGAAGTTGAAGTGAAAGTACACATATCACACGCCTAACACAGTGCCTGGTGTAGAGTAAGGACTCGGCAAACTTGACCAATTAGTTATTCTCTGTCTCAGGCTCAAGATAAGACATTGTGTAAAGGCACAGAAAAACAAGAAGACTCAACCCTGAACCCCATGGAGCTTTCTCCCACCCGTCAGACGTTTCCTCCCTGTGAATAGGCATCAGAAAAGCAACAGCTCTCGCTTTTACAAAGTAGTTAATTCATACAAACCTGGAATTTTCAAACAAATTTTGATCAACAACAACAAAGCCAATTACTTAAATCCTTGTGTATATATGATTTTTCAATGTACTGCTTTAGAATTCTCACATTCAGGCTGGGTGTAGTAGCTTAAACCTGTAATCCCAACACTTTGGGAGGCCGAGGTGGGAAGATAACTTGAGGCTGAGAGTTTGAGACCAGATTGCTCAATATAGTGAGACCCTGTCCCTACTATATATATATATACACACACACACATTTTATATATATATATATATCCTGGTATGGTGGCATGTGCCTGTTGTCTCAGCTACTAGGGAGGCTAAGGTGGGAGGATCCCTTGAGCCAAGGAGGTTGAGGCTGCAATAATCCATGACTGCACCACTGCACTCCAGCTTGGGTGACAGGGTGAGACCCTGTTTTCAGAAAACAAACAAACCAAACAAGAATTCTCACAGTTTAAAGAGGAAGAAATGCAAAGGAGAAAACCCATAAGTAAATCAGAATTATTTTCCCTTTATCATACACAATGAATAACTAACTGAAGAAAAGATTGTCTTTAAAAACATGTCATGGTAGAGTGAAAAAAAGGGATATATATTTTAGAATATATGTCTACAGCTTCCTCTGGAATTCCAACTTTGCTCAGGATACTTTTGTTACTGCTATAAAATAGAAAGGTACCAGCCTGGCCAACACAGTGAAACCCCGTCTCTACTAAAAATACAAAAAAATTAGCTGGGCGTGGGGGCGGGCACCTGTAATCCCAGCTACTCAGGAGGTTGAGGCAGGAGAATTGCTTCAATCTGGGAGGCAGAGGTTGCAGTGAGCCAAGATCATGCCATTGCACTCCAGCCTGGGTGACAGAGCTAGATTCAGTCTCAAAAAATAATAATAAAATAAAATAAAATAAAATAAAATAAAATAAAATAAAATAAAATAAAATAAAATAAAATAGAAAGGCAGTCCTGAGTGAAGGTGACGACATCAAGACTGATTTGGTGAAGGTTGTTAGGTGACAATAATTATTAATAGCTCCATTTTGTGGACTAAAAAAACTAAACCAAACAAAAACCAAAAAAACCCCTCAATTTTAATTTTAGATCTCAAAAAAGATGAACCATAGCATGAACTGTTAGACAAGGCAAAATAATTCAAAAGGGGCCTTCTTGGTATTTCAGAAAAGAGGAATTGAGATTTTTTTCAAAAGTTAAATTTAAGAAAAAGCCTGATTATAATAAAAGCTGCTTTTCTTAAGAGATACCATTCAGAATTGATTACCTTCTTTCACACGATACAACATTAGATATGATTAGATATGATTGACAAGCATGCCAAAGGCTTCATTCTTCTAGCTGATTATCAACTTTTCTTCCTGGGAGCCAATTTCAATGAGCTGTTATATTTTGAAGTGCTGTCACAGATTTATTGGAAGGAACTAGAAATGTTAGTTCCTTATGTCTGCAATTCCAGTAGGAATTCCATGTCTGAGTATTTTAAGTTTAATAATATAATTTTAAAGAAATTTTTAGAACTGTATGGAGAAATGGAGCAGAATTACCACAAATAAATATTTATAGGAAAGCTATAGAACATCAGAACAGTGCTTCCTATAGTCAATCATATTTAACTGCCTGTTATTGTGAATTGATATATGTTGTTGCAAACAGTGAACTGAATACTAGACTAGCACATAAAAGTCAAATGAAATAGAGTTGTTAATACTTTTTTGAGCAGAAATCGAGTAAGTACTCCTTGTAGCATGAAAGGATACATCTAACTCTTAGAAAATCTATTTTCTGCTGAAGGGAAGGTGTGACCATTTATACAGTTAAAGTTAATCAGGCTGGGTGCAGTGGCTCACGCTTCTAATTCTAGCACTTTGGGAGGCTGAGGTGCGTGGATTGCTTGAGCCCAGGGGTTCAAGACCAGCCTGGGCAACATGGTGAAATCCTGTCTCTACAAAAAATACAAAAAAATTAGCTGGGTATGGTGGTGTGCACCTGTAGCCCCAGCTACTCCAGAGGCTGGGTTGAGAGGATCACTTGAGCCTGGGAGGGCAAGGTGGAAGTGAGCTGTGACCGCCCCACTGTGCTCCAGACTGAGCAACAGAGCAAGACCCTGTCTTAAAAAATAAAGAATAAAGTTAATTAATCCTTCATGGGACAAATGAGTCTATAAAAATATCACAAACTAAGGATGTCTAACCTGCATAGAATGTCACTATCTTTCTAGAAGTAACACTTGAAAATTACTTAGGATGGTGTCTGGCACATGGTAGATGCTCAATAAATGTTAACTGTATCATCATTTAGAAATGGTATTAGGGGCTGGGTGTGTTGGCTTACGCCTGTAATCTCAGCACTTTGGGAGGCTGAGGCCCTTGAGTTCAAGAGTTTCAAGAGTTTGACACCAGCCTGGCCAACATGGTGAAACCCTGTCTCTACCAAAAATACAAAAATTTAGCTAGTTATGGTGGTGGGTGCCTGTAGTCCCAGCTACTCGGGTGACTGAGGCATGGAATCGCTTGAACCCAGAGGTGGAGATTGCAGTGAGCCAAGATCATGCCATTGCACTCCAGCCTGAGCAACAGAGAGAGACTCCATCTTAAAAATAAAAAAAAAAAGAAAGAAAGAAAGAAAAAGAAAGAAAGAAATAGTATTTAGTTGGAAGTTAGAAAGATCTAAAAATAAGTGGCTTAAAAATACATTAACTTTTTGCTTATGTACCATGGAGTCCAGAAGCAGGCTGTTCAAGTTTGGTAGTATATTGACTACTTTGGCTATATTATATTATCAAACTCTCAGAACACTTCTGTTAAAGTTTACATCCTCAGAACCACCTCATGCTCACAAGACGGCTGCCCGGAGTCTATTTTTCATATACAAGTGCAAAGAAGGAAGAGAAAAGAAAGGTGGTTCTGCAAAGGGATGAATGCCAGCTGGATACACACACACGTGCACACGCGCACACACACACACACACACACACACACACAGAGAGAAAGGTTTCTAGAACCCTACCCAACAACTTTTGCCCAAATATCATTAACCTAAACTCAGTCACATGCCTTCCTTTTTCTTTAAGATGGAAATATTGTATTTTAGCTGAATGCATTGCTAAACATAATGAAATCAAATTTCTGTTGTTAAGAAATAAGGGAAAATTATACATTGGTGTTATGTGGGAAATTTACAGAAAAGAATTACATAGGGGAAAATTGGATTTGGGGAGGGAATTAGAAATCTTTCCCATTGTTATTAATGAGATTATGTTTATTTGGAAGTTTACGAATAAACTAATCCTTTTTCAGGTGTTTGCTTCTCTGTGGGACTAAAATATTTTCCTTTCAGCAATGTGCTGGAGAAGCCAGCTTATACCTACTTGCAGGAACCAATTGAGAAATTCTTAAGAATTTTGTAAGTCAGTAATGAAACACAGCCATTATTTTAAAAATAAATACTATAAATATGGAATTAAATTATGTTAGAAACAAAGGATAGTAAATACTTAGAACAGCTCACTTCCTAATTTTTTTCTACAATTTACTGTTATCTGTGCTGTTGGCATGATGTACATCTATTGTATCTGTATAGTGAAAATATTATGTGATAGAAACCTGTATAATGGTATCTACTGTACCTCTCTTCCCAACTCTGAATTCAGTAACATCACTTTGGTATCTTAAAACTGGCCATATAGGGAATATTTACATCACAGAAGTTGACAAACACTAAAATGAGGGCCCTTTTCCCTGAAGAATAGGTTGTAAAAATCTACCAGCATGCTTCTGCCTTCTAATATTTACAAATACATTTTTAATAGTTTGCTGTATTAATGGTGGCCAGTATAGAGATCAGAGTAGAGATAAATTTAATGTTTCACTAGCATAACCACATACAGAAGGTTAACCAGTGAGTACATTAAGAGGGAAGGAACTGTTTTTCTTCTATTCATGTCTTGCAACAGCTCTCATGGGACCACCAACACCACCAGCCAGATATTTCAGCTCCGAGCTAGAGAAATGAATTTTTTGTGACCAACTCCTTGGGGAAATAGGAAAGGAGAGGAACTGCTACATGTTTTCCCCTGAGGACTAATAAATTTGTTTATGTCTCTTTGAGCATAGAGCACTCATCAGAAAAGAAAAAGATACTTTAAAAAACCCCCACAATTCTCCCTCATCGCCTCTTTCATTGCCACTCTTTGAAGCGTAAATAAATGAGGCATTTGGGGCAAATAAATGTAATATTAAGCAGAAAATAAATGAGACAATATAGTGATAATCATTGAAAAGAGTGATTTATAGCTCCTCTTCTGTATCTAGTATTTAAATTGATCATATTAAATTAAAATTAATTTTTTCACCTGGAGTATTTTTTCTTTTTGTTATCTACAATTTTGTGTAAACCTTCTGCCCCACTCTCTGGAGTGTAAGATGGTGCCAGAGAGATTTACAGGAGAAAGTAGTTTAACAACATACTGCTTTGGTGAGGTTATGGGGAAGAAAGAGCTCTTCATTGCTGAGGGAAGCGTGAATTAGTATGACCTCTATGAAGAAAAATTTGGCAACATTTATCAAAACTGTAAATGCATATAGCCTTTGACCCAGCAATTCTACTTTTGGAAATATACTCTCTAGATGTACTTGTATATATATGAAATGATATAGGCTCAATATTATTCTTTGTAATATTTTTGCATAATAGCTAATTGTTAGAATAAATGTAAAATCCATCAATAGGAGTGGCTAAATAACCTAAGATTTATTTTTGCAGTGGAGTGTTACATGGCTGTAAAAAATAATAATAATCCTAGAAACTATATAGTGAAAAAAACCCAAGAGTTAGAACAGTATGTATAATATACCTTTTGTGAAAAATAAGAGAAAATAAAAATCTATATTTATATCCTCTTGAATATGCATTACTCTGAAAAGATCCGTAGAATCTAAGAATAGAGATTTCTATGTAGAAAAGGAGGTTCTGGCTAGATGAGGGACAAGGTTGGAAGGAAAGGAACATTTTTTACTTTTAACTTTTATAGCTATTCACTTTTTGAGCCATGTGAATGTATTATGTACTTAAAAATACCTTAAAGCTTAAATACATAGCTTGCAATACTTAAAGAGAAACTTCCCTTCCATCAACAGAGACGCTGTTTAGTGTGATTTAATAAGGAGTTCTAGCTGTGAGATGGCTCACTCACTCAAAGATATAAGAGAGGAGAGTTTAGTCATGTGCAGATTTAAGGGAATCAACATAAGAGAGTGAGACACTGAGGGATTAGCAAGAGCAGAATGCCAGAGACACCACTATTCTGGAAGGGAAAAGGAATGGAGCGGTCATGGAGATGCTGCAGAGACAACAGCTCTGAACAGAATGCAGCCACTGCCAGGAACAGTGAGGCAGTAAGGAGCAGAAAGAATCAATATCCCAACCTTTCTGTCCTCTCACCCCTGATCTCCAGCTAGTGACACACAGAAGCCAGAGGATAAGGAAGCCTGGAGTGTACTCTGGAGAGTGGTCATCTTCCTGGGGGACAAAAGAAGACAGAGAATACAGAGAATGGATCTGGGCAACAAATGAAAAATAATGAGTGCAGGATATCAGGATGGCAATTTGCATCCTGGATGTGTGTGTATGTCCACAAATATAGGTATGTGCTATGCCAATTGGTTATATTGGGACCAACGTTTACTTCTTCACAGTAGGCTAGGACAATTCGCTCACATTCTGCCACTGCCAGCACCAAACTCAAATGTTTACACATTTGATTGCTTTAAAGCAATTACCCAAGTAAGTATATTTTTTAGCCATTCAAACAGCCTACTTTGTATACTCCATGAAACTACACCAAATATCTACCAGTCAAAGATGAAATAAACCCTGGAGTTACGAAAGATGCCAAATCCCTGCTCCTCCTGGCAACTCTGTGACAGAGATTCTCCTCCTTGCTGCTGAATGACATCACCCTGACATGTAAGCCTCCTCTCTCATTCCCCTCTAGCTGAGGGTTCCCTTGTCCCCTTGACCTCCACCTCTCTGGGTAGTGGCCCCATCCAGTTGTTTCTGGCAAGTCTGCTGCCACCAAAAACTTCCCCTCTCTTACAACCTGTCAAAGTATTAATACAACTCAGTAAAGGCCCTTATATACTACTGCCACCTCGTGCTCATGTTTTTTTCTTGATCAGTCGTCAAATCCTCTATCTTATAACTGCTCAATTCAATTGATATAAGTGAGTAGCTAGTATTCAGATAGCTTTTCATAAATTATTCAATTTAGTTCTTAAGATAAGCCTGTAGATTAAGTTCTATTATTCCTACTCAAAAGCTAATTGGCTTATCCAAGGTCTGAAGGCCAAATCCAAACCCTTCCTCCATACCATATGTAAGACTCTTATTCAATCCCCCGAACCCTCTCATTTTCCCTATCCATCCATTGTTGTCTAGTGCACAATATTTACTATACTTTACAATATAATATCGGAAAGGGGGGCATTAGAGTGCTATTCTCAGAAGTTCATCCGATGGCCAGAGGTTAGCAGATTCATGAAAAAAAAAAAAAAAAAAAAAAAAAAAAAGCAACCTAAAGACTTTTTGGATCTTCTGTTTTTAGTAAAGTTATATAACTAACTTTTTGAAAAATCTCCCACTCTAAAACTTTTTATGTATGTTGGGTAAAATATGATCACCTTATTTTCAAATGCAAAGCTTGATTCATAAGATGTAGAAGGACATTCCCACAGAATGAGAAACAAAGTAGGCTATCATAACACCTGACATCATCTCTGATGAGTATATCTTCAAATCTCTATGTCCCAATGCCTTGGCTTTTTGCAGCTCCACATAGGACAGGAAATGAGGTCTTAGTACACTCAAAAACGGAGATTTTGAGCAGGGGATCCATATACACCTGAGAGCCATAAAAGGCCACATTCTCAAAGAATAATAGACTTGTAAAATCTGCTCCCCAGCAAAGAGAAATAATAAGGAAATCAATCACTCTTGGTGTAGCCTCTGGGTTAAAAGTAATCTTGGGGGTTGGGATTCATCTTTCACTTATCTGTAATGTCTGATAAACCCCAAACCAGACAATTGACTTTATGTGGTTCTAGACTGATAGAAACTCAGAACACCTGGTAGAAACCAAAGCAAATACTCTCTAAAGAGATGCCCAGTCATCAGAGACCTCATTGAATTCCCACTGATGAAGCTAGTCATTTAAGTAAATTCACAATCCAAATTACAAAGCATAGAAGGCATAAGGCCACAATGAGAAAGAGCCAGTAAAACCAAGAAAAATCCAAATTTGACCCTCAAGGGCTTTGGCTATTCAAATTATTGAATGTAGAATGACAAGCACACAAACATATAACCACAATTATTGAATAAAAACTAATATAATGTGGTTTTAAGATTCTCAGAATGTTTGATGAGCATAGCATTGCATTTCTTGATTTGTTACAGAATGGATAAGGAGATTTTGTGATTCAGTCGTCTGGTGACTAATTGGAATTTGCTTTTTTAAACACATAAGGGAGGGGTGAAAATGGAAAATGTTTATAAAACAAATGAAAGTCCTCTTTGAAACTAAAATTATAATAGTAACCCTTAGAAAAGAATTTAGTAATTTGAGAAATAGCATCCTTAAACTTGGTCTCATGGCTTAACTAGTATTATTTTCTCTGTCTGTAAAATGAAAATTTTAGACCAGTCTATGGGTGAGAGATAAAATGCTTTTTCTCCTCTCTTATATTTCATTTTGCAGGCTTGAAAAAAAGAAGGTTCTGCTATTTTTGAGAACTCCACTATTTTTCATAGTGGTAAGCTGATAAGTTTCTAATTAAAAACAAACCTAGATCTATCATGTTAATATAGAATCATTTCCCAGGTACATTGTTAAGTGAAAAAAACTGAAGATACAGAGCAGTGTCTAAATGTCTTATTTGTGTAAAAAACATACATATTATACTTATTTATATTTGAATAGACTATTCTTGCAGGAATATGCAAAAAAAAATGATATTTGTTTGAGGGAAGTTGCTAGTGAATTTAGAGATCTGGAAAGGAGTAAAACTGACCGTTTTAAACCTCACTTAATTGTTATTTCAAATTTAGAAACTTCGTTAATAGAAAATAGACAAATTCTCTCACTAACCAGCAGATACCTTCTTTAGTTAATGATTATGCATTATTTGCCATTCATTTAGGCAATGCAATATCTAACATGTATACTGTATTAAACAGCTTGACTATGTTTGCTTAGGTCTAACTCCTAGCCCACAATTTTTTAGCTTTATGAAGTTGGTCAAGTTACTTGGCCTGTCACTGGCTCAGTTTTGTCTTCTATTTAATGGCCAAAATAACAAAATTGTGTTAAAAATTAAATAAGCTAATCCATATAAACTGCTTTATACAGTACCTGACACATGGAAAAAAACATAATGAACGTTAGCTCTAATCATTATTTCAACCTTGCTGATAATTTTCCAGTTCCTACATTTCAAACACCTGCATGTACTTGAAATCTCAAAAATGGTCACTAATTAAAGTGGAAAGTTTTAATACATTGTAGGACACTGTTATTTGACAATTATTACAGATTCACTTTCAAAACTTCTTTTGTCAGGC
Source organism: Homo sapiens (assembly GCF_000001405.40). NCBI lineage: Eukaryota > Metazoa > Chordata > Mammalia > Primates > Hominidae > Homo > Homo sapiens. The sequence goes on from NC_000003.12 coordinate 152,521,032, forward strand.
ATATTTTGAAGATGACAGAACCAGACTGAAATATCAGAATAAGATCAATATTGTTGCCTCACATAAATGTTTGGTCTTCAGGCTATATACCATCTGATGAGCACCTGCACATAAACATTACATTTCACAGTTTGCCAAATATTTCATGAGTATTAGGAAGTGCATCCCGTAAACAAGAAAATAAAATATGCACTTGGTTTATGAAATCATATCATTATTCCATTTGAAATAATAAGTGAATGAAATCCTTCAGTAATATCAGTTGAGAGAAAGCTTGGCTTCCAGATAATTCAAATTTATTATTTTACAAGGACAAATAAGATTAATTATCAAACAGACAAAAATACCAGACTTCACAGAAGACCATAATTTCTTCCCAAAAGACTGATTTACATTTGAAGCCAAATTGTTACAGAATGTTCAGTTTATAAAGTATTTCTTCTGAGCCCAAGGAGTTGGGTGATTTTTAGCCACCTGACAACCCTCTTCTCGGTGGAGAACATACTTTGACTTTCCTTGACTATTCAACAGAGCTAGCAATCTATGGATTAAATTTTATTCTAGGGTTTTTGTTGTTGTTGTTTTTCCATTTAGCATTAGTTAAAAATTATTTCTTTTGCACGTGGTAATGACATTTACTTTGCTTCAGGTGAGGCATGCTGATAAGCTCAGATGTATTTCCTATTATTACTTGAATATGTAGATAAATGTTTTAATAAACTAGATGTTTCTTAAATACCTCTCTACTAGTTTATTATTGCTACCTCACAAATTTCCACAAACATAGTGGCTGAAAACAACGTAAATTTATTGTCTCACAGTTTTCTTGCTACAGGAATCAAGGTATGGGATAACTGGGTCTTTCGCCCAGGGTTTCACCAGATTAAAATCAAGGTTCGTGTTAGGCCTGCAGTTTCATCTGAGATGCAGGGAAATTGTCTTCCAAGCTCACTGGTTGTTGGCAGAATTCATTTACTTATGGTTGTAGGACTGAGGCCTTCAGCTCCTAAAGGCCTACCATTACCAGCCGTAAGGCTTTCTCCACAAGATGGTGGTTTGATTCTTCCAGGCCATCAGAGGAGCATCTGCTACTGCCTGGAATCTCTATCTCTGGTCTGTCACAACTGAGTTTTATTTAACTTAATCTAAACAAAGGACTGGCTACCCTGTATATTCATAGATGCCACCCACTCTCAAAGGGTGGGTGGGGATTATACAGGGTTGTACAAGGAGAGTGGGAATTTCAGGGGTGATCTTCAAATCCTGTCTGCCACACTGACTATTTACTGGGTATTAAGAGGGTGAGAGCAAAAAGGAATATATTTGACTTGATCTGTGATTGCACTGAAGCAAAATCTCAATCTAAATTATGGTACAGCCAGCTGTTGTCACCCCCAAGTTTTCCTACAAAAAATTTGGTCTTTAAATGGTGGTTAAACATGGTTTTGAAATTGGATTTGCAAAATCAGAATTGAGGGGTGCCATGAATATACATTGGAGAGAAAATAAGGCTTATGGATTCTAGAATTATGCTTTTTTTTTTTTTTTTGGAGGAAAACATAGCTTGTTGTTGTATTAGGTCATTCTTGCATTGCTGTAAAGAAACACCTGCGACTGAGTAATTTCCAAGAAAAGAGGTTTAATTGGCTCATGATTCTGCAGGGTATACAAGTAGCATACCACCAGCATTTGCTTCTAGGGAGGCATCAGGAAACTTAAAATCATGGCAGAAGGCACAGGGGTAGCAAATGTCTCACATGGAGAGAGAGGGAACAAAAGAGAGACTGGGGGCAGGAAGTGCCATACACTTAACCAGATCTCATGAAAACTCACTCACTATTGCAACGACAGCACCAAGCCATGAGGGATCCACCCCCATGAACCAAACACCTCCCACTAGGCCCCACATCCAATACCAGGGATCACCTTTCAACATGAGATTTGGACAGGGACAAATACCCAAATTATATCAGTTGTCTGCATAAATTCTTTCATCAGGATGCAGATTAACAAATTATAACTGTGGGTGAGCAATAATAAGATTCACCAGTTTTAGTGCCCATTATACGAGGTGCTCTACACACATTATTTCCTCCATTCTTTCCTATAAAAAAATTGAAGCTCAATTAATGTTAATAATGAATATATTCTAAAAAGTTAATAAATGCCAATTTCTTGCTCAATGTCCATAGCTAGTAAGTCTCAGAGCTAGGGTTTCAAATCTAGTTCCATTTGAGTTGAAGTATATTCCCTAAGTGCTACACTGTGATTCAAAGTAGGAGACCCAGAAATGTCCTTGCAGCTTATCCATAAACATTTATTGAGGGCAAAGAATTTGCCAGGCACTGTTCTAACCTCAAGAGATATAATGTGGAACAGATAGACACGAGCTCTACCTTCCAGAATAAGGGTTCAAGTTTCTGCCAGTGTCTGAGATATAAAATTTTCTTGTATCAAATGACAAGTATACCTTTGTTATTATTAGTATTGTTAATACTAATAATACTAATAATAATATATAACTAGTATTATTAATAATACTAATAATAATATATAACTAGTATTAATAATACTAATAATAATATATAACTAGTATTATTAATAATACTAATTAGTAATACTGTTCTATATTGAATATAATCAATTTGCTTGGATTTCTGATATAGCCACAATAAATTTAAATAAAATTTTTTCTAACTATAATAGAATACTATGACATTTTTATTTGCTGTTACTATAATAAAGGGAGTAAGAAGCCCTGTGTGTGTGCATGTGTGTACTCATGTTTTGGTTTCATTCATTGAAAAATTAGCATTAACCGTCACAGAATTGAAAACTAGTAAACACTGAATTATAACTTGGATTGTTCTTACGTAGTGTGTGTCTTTGGGTTCAAACAAGGTTATCCAGTTGCCAGAGCATGTACTCTGGACAGGAACAAAGAGGGATACTCACTAAATATACAAATAAATAAATAAATAAATAAATAAATAAATAGAGAAGAGTGAGATCGATAGAGAGAGCATGAGACATTGAGATGATTTAGCTTTAAAACATTTATCTAAAATTATGAAAGCAGAAATTCTAGAAATAAACCCAATCTTAATTATCTGTGCACATGCAAGTTTTATAGTCACATGCTGCATAATGAAGTTTTGGTCAATAATGGACCACATGTATGACAGTGGTCCAAATATGATAATATTGTATTTTTACTATAGCTTTTCTATGTTTAGATATGTTAAGATACACAAATACTATTGAGTTATGATTGGCTACATTATTCAATACAATAATATTTGGTACAGGTTTTTACCTTAGGAGTAACAGGCTATACCATGATGACTAGGTGTGTAGGAGGCTACGCTATCTAGTTTGCGTAAGTATACTGTATGATGTTCACACAATGACAAAATTGTCTAAAGATACATTTCTCAGAACCTATCCGATTATTAACTAATGCATGACTGTAACTATTTTTATTTTGAGTTATATGAAATGAGAAAATCAAATGTAACAATGTTTTCAGTGATTTGGTTCTTCTAAAAACCTTAATCCAGTTGATTTTATTTTGAATCAACTGTTTAACATCTTTGTTTTACTACAGAAAGACTTTTGAAATGAACTGAAGCACACACCATTTCAACAGTACATAAATAACATGTTAAACAACTTCTATGAATTACAGAGAGACAACTACTGCCACCTAATGTTGGCAATGCAAACTGCAGTAGCTTCTTTAATAAACATCTGCAACTTTTACAGCACATTGGACTAAACAAAAATGGTATCAATTTAATATGCAAATTACACTAAAATAAAATAATGGCAATGATAAATATGGAAACATGCATTAATATTAGAAATGAATAAGAATTAGAAAACAATTAGAAATGAATAAGAATTAGAAATTCTTATTAATATTAGAAATACACTGTTATATGTTATATGACTTTTATGTTAATACCTGACATTAATAAGTCTGATAAACTTTTTCATCATGCTATTTCTGTTATAATAAAAGCATAATATAAGAACAATTACTTTTTATGACTTCATCTATGTTTTATAATTATACTGGAAAAATTACTAAATATGCAAGAATAATTGCTTTGCGTTTGCCAAGAAATAAAATCTAAATATTTGATAGTGTCTTTTTAATCATTTTGTGTTCAGGTGTTTAAATATTTCATAACTTTCCTTTTTCTCTTGAGAAGTATATTTTAAACATTTAGTTAAAACATATATATGTATGTTTGTATATATATAATAATGTTTATTATATAAGATGAATTACTGTAATGTCAAAGTTAGATCAGTCAGTCAGTACAATCACCTAATGGGGATGTGATAGTTCCTGAAGAGTCAGCAGAGATAATGTCCTACCTAACGAGATTTGTAGGTTGCTCAGATGACTGCATTGTCATATTGCCCACAATTCCACTGTGTATGAATTTCAAGTCATTGTTTCTCCAGTTAAAGTGAGTTTCTCTTTAAGTTGACTATGTTATGTCTTCCATCATGTGTTTGTGTTTGTTGTGCCTTGTTGATATCAGTGCTCTTTGGAAGGGGCACATGGGACAGAGGATTCTGATGAGTAATCAGTGGGGAAAGCTAGTCCTGACTATGAGGTATGGCGGGATAGGGCAAGAGGGGATGTGCCTAGTGTGAGGCCTCTTTCACTCTGGCACTGAATTTCTAAGGGAACTCAGTGAAAGAGGAAATTTTGAGGGCAGTATTGAAGGCCTAGGGAAACCTTTTGCCTTCTAAGCTATGTTAGCGGTAAAAGTCTGGGATTTAGAGTCAGAAGACCTCTATATATTGGTTCTATAACCCCTACTAAATCATCAATTAATTTTTCAAACCTTGGTTTAGTATTTATTTATAAAATGGATATGAAAATGCTTGTCTAAAACATGCATGATTGCTTGCTCACATGATAGCTTATCCTTCCCCTAAATTGCTACAAGCTAGTGTAGTAATTAGACCATATATTGCTATAATGTGTCTCAGCTAATTATATCCCACTGGCTTTGTTGAAGCCATAGTTGGGCAATTTTATGGTGTGGAGAGAAAGATATTAATTTTTTAAGACACAAACTTGCTCAAGAGAGAAATATATTGCCATTTCCTTCACGTAAGTCAGCAGTGACTTTGGAGGACAAATTTTCTGATACATAAAAAACTGGAAAAGCACTCCATTCTTAGTTTTAAATCTTCTAAACCGAGAATATATCTGTAAGAGAAACCATTAGTGTCCACCAAATACCCATTATCTCCTTTCTGTTTCCTACTTGCTTTTAGTTAGGGTGGGTCCATGTGACTAGTTTTCCAGTAAATGGACTATATGAAGAAGTGACATGTGTTCTTTCAGATGAAGAAAATTAAGAACCAGTGTGGTTCTGACATTTTTCTCCACCCCTGCTACAGGGATTTTGTGTATTCCAGATGATATATTAAGGCCAATATAATATAGCATAATGTAGTTTAATATAGTATAATATAATGTCATTATATAATATACAAAATTATAGTCAATATATTATATAGAATACATAATACTACATATTTATAATATTAATTGTATATATTTTATATGTTATATGCAGTTACACATAATTTAATATATAATCATGTTATGTAATAGCCAAATAAGACTGACTGATTCACATTGAAACATGATTGTGACATGAGAGGAATAAATCTTTATTGTAAATCCCTAAGAATTTGGATTTTTTTTGACAGGCTTAATTACTATGACTAGTGTAATACTTTAGGGTCAGAACAATTTGGCAAATATTTCATAATCTCATGTCTGTTCGCTGATGAATGGAAGCCATATTAGAATGTGGGAAATGATATTTTATTAGAGGAAGTTAACAGGTAGGAGAGATTTATCCTTGCTTAGAGAAAATGATATTCTAATGAGGCCAATTATCATAATGTAATTGGAGTATTTGTTCTGGAAGTCATGAACTTTCCATGTCTTAATTATATCTGGGCTTAAAAACTCTTTTTTTAATAGATACTAGTTCACAATTTTTTCATCTCTAGGTCCAAAGGAAAATATTTTGACAAATACAAGAGTGGGCTGGTGGACTGGACATCCAGAATTATGCCAACTAGTTGGGGTTGGGTGCAGGGGGCTACTCAAGAAAAGGAATACTGTCATCAAGACTTTGAGTTCTCTGGCACATACTGAGTTGGTTTCCTATCAAGTTAAACAGAATTCTTTTCTGCACTTATATTTTCTCTACCAGGCTCAGATTATCTATTTGAATCTAGATACATTTTGATAATCTTTGATGATGTTTATTCTATATACCCATGCTGTTAATTATGTTGGTGCACCTGAACAAAACAATTTCTCATTTCAGATACAGGTATTTGTTTTTCTGTGGGCAATTTTGCATGTGTGGGAAAGAAATGTGTTACACTGAAGAAAAATATTCCCATTATTTATACTTGGGTTATGGATGTTGGTGCCCAGAAAAGTGTAGGTCTTATATACATTTGTTATGTAGGTAAATGTACGAATAAATGAATGGATGGATGGATAAAAGAGTGAATGAATCAATCCTGAATGGGAACACATGAAATCAATCAGGGAAATTTTCATGAATTCATTGTAAGGCACATAGTCATAGACTTCAATATATTTAATCATGCTTTGTTTATTGAAATTATTAGGATAAATATAACTGAAAAGATAGATTTTTAAATGTAAATCATATTTTTCTATTCAATTTATTTTTATGTATTTAATTTGCTTTACGCTGTTGCAAAGGGAATATTACCTTCTATTTCATCCTCTAACTTGTTGCTACTTGTTTACAGGAAGACAATTGTACTTTCTTAATTGATTCTATAGGCAACCAAACACAGGCATATCTCAGAGATACTGTGGGTTTGGCTCTAGACCCCTGCAACAAAATGAGTCACATGAATATTTTGGCTTCCCAGTGTACTTAAAAGTATGTTTATAGTATACTGTAGCCTATTAAGTATGCAATAGCGTTGTGTATAAAACACAATATATATAGCTTGATTTAAAAATACATTATTGCTAAAAAATGCTAGCAATCATCTAAGCCTTCAGCAAGTCATCATCATCTTCTGCTGGTGAAAGTTCTTGTTCCATATCGGATGGCTGATGACTGATCAGGGTGGTGGTTACTGAAGGTTGAGGTGGCTGAGGCAACTTCTTTTTTTCTTTCTTGAGACGGAGTCTCGCTCTGTCGCCCAGGCTGGAGTGCAGTGGCGCGATCTCAGCTCACTGCAAGCTCCGCCTCCCGGGTTCACGCCATTCTCCTGCCTCAGCCTCCCGAGTAGCTGGGACTACAGGCACCCGCCACCACGCCCGGCTAATTTTTTGTATTTTGTATAGTAGAGACGGGGTTTCACCGTGTTAGCCAGGATGGTCGTGATCTCCTGACCTCGTGATCCGCCCGCCTCAGCCTCCCAAAGTGCTGGGCTTACAGGCGTAAGCCACCGTGGCCGGCCGGCAACTTCTTAAAATAAGACAATAAAGTTTGCCACATAGATTGACTCTTCCTTTCAAGATATATTTCTCTGTAGCATGTGAGGCTGTTTGATAGCATTTTACCTACAGCACAACTTCTTTCAAAATTGAAGTCAGTCCTCTCAAACTCTGCTGCTGCTTTATCAACTATGTTTACGGAATACTCTAAATCCTGTATTGTCATTTCAACAGTGTTCACAACATTTTCACCAAGAGTAGATTATATCGCAATAAAACACTTTTTTTGCTCATCCGTAAGAAACAACTCTTTATTAGTTAGTTCTATCATGAGAATGCAGCAATTCAGTCACATTTTCAGGCTCCACTTTAAATTGTAGTTCTCTTTCTATTAATATTTTCACCACACCTGCAGTTACTTCCTCCATTAAAGGCTGGAACCCTTCAAAGTTATCCATAGGGGTTGAAATCAATTTCTTCCAAACTGCTGTTAATGTTGATATTTTGACCTCCTTCCATGAACCACAAATGTTCTAAATGGCAGTTAGAATGGTGAATTCTTTCCAGAAGGTTTTTAATTTAATTTGCCCAGATCCATCAGAGGAATCACTATGAATGGCAATGGTAGCTTCACAGATTGCATATCTTAAATAATAAGAATTGAAAGTTAAAATTACTTCTTGATCCATGGGCTGCAGAATAGATGTTGTGTTAGCAGGCATGAAAACAACATTAATCTCCTTGTGCATCTCTATCAGAGCTTTTGGAAGATTAGATGCATTGCTATTGAGCAGTAGTCTTTTGAAAGGAATCTTTTTTTCTGAGTAGCAGGTCTCAATAGCGGGTTTAAAACATTCAGTAAACCATACTGTAAGAAGATGTGCTGTCACTCAAATTTTGTTATTCCTTTTATAGCGCATAGGCAGAGTTGATTTGCATAATTATTAAGGGTCCTAGGATTTTCAGAATAGTCAGTGAGCACTGGCCTTAACTTCAACTCACTAGCTGCATTTTTCCCATAACAAGAGAGTCAGCCAGTCTACTTAATCTACAGTGAAAATCTGCTGTTTTGTGTAGTCACTTTCATAAATGATTTTAGCTTGATCTTCTGGAAAATTTGCTACAGTTTCTCCATCAGCACTTGCTGCTTCATCTTGCACTTTTATGCTTTGAAGATGGCTTCTTTCCCTAAAAATCTCATGAACTAACCTCTGCTAGCATCACTTTCTTCTGCAGTTTCCTTACCACTCACAGTCTTGATAGAATTCAAGAGAGTTATGGCCTTGTTCTGGATTAGATTTTGGGAATGTCATGGCTGGTTTAATCTTCCATCCAGACAACTCAAATTTTCTCCATATCATCAATAATACTGTTTTACCCTCTTATTATTTGTGTGCTACTGGAGTTGATTATTTTTTTTTTTTTTTTTTTTTTTTTTGTGACAGAGTCTTACTATGTCGCCCAGGCTTGAGTGCAATGGTGCGATCTTGGCTCACTGCAACCTCCAACTCCCGGGTTCAAGTCATTCTCTTGCCTAAGCCTCCCAAGTAGCTGGGATTACAGTTGCCCGCCACCACGCCTGGCTAATTTTTGTGTTTTTAGTAGAGACAGGGTTTCACCATGTTGGACCAGGCTGATCTTGAACTCCTGGCCTCAGAGTATCCACCCACCTCGGCCCCTAAAAGTCCTGGGATTACAGCATGAGCCACTGTGCCCATCCTGGAGTTGCACTTTTAATTTCCTTCAAGAACTTTTTATTTTGTTTTCACAACTTGACTAATTGTTTGATGCAAGAGGTCTAATTTTTGGCAGATCTCAGCCTTCAATATGCCTTCCTCACTAAACATTTCTAGTTTTTTATTTAAAGAGACAGATGTGTGAATCTTTCTTTCACTTGAACACTGAGAGGCCATTGTAGGGTTATTACTTGGCCTAATTACAATATTGTTGTGTCTTAGGGAGTAGGAATGCCGAGTGGAAGAGAGATGGGGGAATGGCCAAGTGGTGGAGCAGTCAGAACACACACAACATTCATCATTTAATTTCACTCTCTTATGTGGGTGCAGTTTGTAGCATCCCAAAACAATTACAATAGTAATATCAAAGATCACAGATCACCATAACAGTTATAATACTGATATAAAAATTTGAAACAATGTGAGAATTACAAAAAAATGTGACACAGAAACATAAAGTGAGCACATGCTGTTGAAAAAATTGTGCCAATAGACTTGCTTGATGCAGGATTGCCACTGACCTTCAATTTGTAAAAAATGCACTCTCTGCAAAATGCAATGAAATGCAATAAAATGAGGTACATCTGTAATTGAATATTTAGGCTATTTGTAATATTTTAAAATCTAAATTATTTTATCTTGAATTTTCAATTATATGATTAAGTGTACTATAAAAATGAAAAAAATCTCAAATTTTCAATTTTTCTGACTCTCATCTTTCAATTATATAATTGTGTTGGTTGATATCAATAGGGTAAAATTTGAAAATAGCTGTGATAGTGTTTTTTTCTTTTTTTTAAGACAGCAGAATAGAAGCTTTGTTGTTATGCTTTGCCCACTTGGAAATACAAAATAATATGAAAAGATTCACATTGTTACCTTTTAAAAAATCTTTATTTAACTTTTATTCAAAGTTCAAGGGTACATATGCAGGCTTGTTACATAGGTAAACTTGTGTCATGGTTTTGTTGCACAGATTATTTCATCACCCAGGTATTAAGCCTAGTGCCCACTAGTTATTTTTCTGGATCCTCTCCCTCCTCCCACCCTCCACCCTCTAATAGGCCCCAGTATCTGTTGTTCTCGTGTATGTGTCCATGTGTTCTCATCATTTAGCTCCCACTTATAACTGAAAACATGCAGTATTTGGTTTTCTGTTCTTGCATTAGTTTGCTAAGGATAATTGCCTCCAGCCTCATCCATGTTTCTGCAAAGGACATGATTCCATGGTCCATATATACCACATTTACTTTATCCAATTCACCACTGATGGACAATTAGGTTGATTTTCCATTTCTTTGCTATTGTGAATAGTGCTTCAATGAACATATGTGTGCATGTGTCTTTATAACAGAATAATTTATATTCCTTCGGGCATATACCCTGTAATTAGATTGCTGGGTTGAAGGTATTTCTATTTTTAGGTCTTTTAGGAATTACCACACTGTCTTCCACAATGGTTGAACTAATTTACACTCCACCAACACTGTATAACTGTTCCTTTTTCTCTGCAACTTAACCAGCATTTGTTATTTTTTGACTTTTTAATAATTGCCATTTTGATTGGTGTGAGATGGTATCTCATTGTGTTTTGATTTTCACTTCTCTAATGATCAGTGATGCTGAGCTTTCTTTTATATGATTGTTGGCTGCATGTATGCCTTCTTTTGAAAAGTGTCTGTTCATGTCATTTGCCCATGTTTTAATCAGGTTGATTTTTTTTCTTGTAAATTTGCTTAAGTTCCCTATAGATGCTGGATATTAGACCTTTGTCAGATGCATAGTTTGCAAAAATTTTCTCCCCTTCTGTAGGTTGTCTGCTTAATTTGTCAATAGTTTCCTTTGCTGTGCAGAAGCTCTTTAATTAGATCTCTTTTGTCATTTTTTTGCTTTTGTTTTAATTGCTTTTTGTGTCTTTGTCATGAAATCTTTGCCAGTTCTTATGTTCAGAATGATATTGCCTAGGTTGTCTTCCAGGGTTTTTATCCTTTTGGGTTTTATATTTAAGTCTTTAATCCACCTTGAGTTAATTTTTGTATATGGTGTAAGGAAGGGGCCCTGTTTCAATCTTCTGCATATGGCTAGTCAGTTATCCCAGTACCATTTATTGAATAAGGAATCCTTCCTTCATTGCTTGTTTTTATCAGGTTTATCAAAGATCAGATAGTTGTAGGTGTGTGGCCTTATTTCTGGGTTCTCCATTCTGTTTTATTAGTCTATGTTTCTGTTTTTGTAACAGTATCCTGCTGTTTTGGTTACTGTATCCCTGTAGTATGGTTTGAAGTTGGGTAGCATGAGTCCTCCAGCTTTGTTCCTTTTGCTTAGGATTGTCTTGGCTATTTTGTGATCATTTTGGTTCCCTGTGAATTTTAAAATAGTTTTTTCTAGTTCTGTGAAGAATGTCAATGGTAGTTTAATAGGAACAACCTTGAATCTATAGGTTGCTTTGGACAGTATGGCCATAATGATATTGATTCTTCCTATCCATTAGCATGAAATGTTTTTCCATTTGTTTGTGTCATCTCTGATTCATTTGGCAGCATTTTGTAGTTCTCCTTGTAGAGCTCTTTCACCTCCCTGGTTAGCTGTATTCCTAGGTATTTTATTCTTTTTGTGGCAGTTGTACATGAAATTGCCTTTCTGATTTGGCACTTGGCTTGGCTGTTGCTGGTTGTTAGGAATGCTAGTGATTTTTTGTACATTGATTTTGTATCCTGAAACTTTGCTGAACTTGTTTATCAGCTGAAGGAGGAGCTTTTGGGCTGAGACTATGGAGTTTTCTAGATACAGGATCACGTCATCTGCAAATAGAGATAGTTGACTTCCTCCCTTCCCATTTGGATGCCATTTATTTCCTTCTCTTGCCTCATTGCCCTGGCCAGGACTTCCAATACTATGTTGAATAGGAGTGCTGAGAGAGGGCATTCTTGCCTTGTGCCAGTTTTCAAGGGGAATGGTCCTAGCTTTTGCCCATTTAGTATGATGTGGGCTGTGGGTTCGTTATAGATGGCTCTTATTATTTTGAGGTATGTTCCTTCAACACCTAGTTTATTGAAAGTTTTTAACATGAAAGGTGTTGAATATGATCAAAAGCCTTTTCTGCATCTATTGAGATAATCATGTGGTTTTTGTCTTTAGTGTGATGAATTACATTTACTGATTTGCATATGTCAAACCAACCTTGCATCTCAGGGATAAATCCTACTTGATTGTGGTGGATAAAATTTTTGATATGCTGCTGGATTCAATTTGCAAGTGTTTTTTGACAATTTTTGCATTGATGTTCACCAAAGATATTGGCCTGAAGCTTTCTTTTTATGTTGTGTCTCTGTCAGGTTTTGGTATCAGGATGATACTGGCCTCATAGAATGAGTAAGGGAGGAATCCCTCTTCCTCAATTTTTTTGGAATAGTTTCAGCAGGAATGGTACCAGCTCTTCTTTGTACATCTGGTAGAATTCAGCTATGACTCCATCTGGTTCTGGGCCTTTTTTGGTTGGTAGGCTATTTACTACTGATCAATTTCAGAGCTCATTATTGGTCTGCTCAGGGATTCAGCTTCTTCCTTGTTCAGTCTTGGGAGAATGCATGTGTCCAGGAATTTATCCATTTCTTCTAGAGTTTCTAGTTTATGTGCATAGAAGTGTTCATAATATTCCCCAATGGTTGTATTTCTGTGGGGTGATTGGTAATATCTTGTCATTTTTGACTGTGTTTATTTGAATCTTCTCTCTGTTGTTCTTTATTAGCCTAGCTAGCAATCTATGTATTTTACTATTTTTTCAAAGAAACAGCTCCTGATTTGTTGATTTTTTTACAAGATTTGAAAAGTTTATTATATGTAAGATATATGTTTACGGATAAGAAAGTCTCTAAAAACAAAAGAAAATGGAACTTTAAAAAAATTAGATTTTACATTTTTTACAACTCATTAATAAGATACCAAATTCAAGAGAGATTATAGTTACATTGTTAAATGTAATCTTCTTTGAATGAAAGCTAATAATAACTTAAACTGATGAATTACAAATACATTTATTTATTGGTGATTAGAAATAATACTTAAGAACTTCAGGGGCTTGAGTAGTAGTTTAAGCTACACAGAGCAAAGAAAATTCTTGTGTGTGTATATATATATATATACACACACAAAATATATATTTATTTATATATAAATTTATATAGATATTTAATTCCAGTAACATTTTCTTAAATTCCTGTTAAAAAATATTAAAGTCAGCAAAACGCCTTTGACTGATACCTGGATTATTTTACCACTTAACCTAGTTACACAGTGGTTTTTTTTTTCCTGTCATATGTAACTGACAACTAGCTTTGTCTTTAAGATAAATGAAGTGATAACACCTATTGCAGCATCTTGTGGAAAATATTCAAACTACATTTAAAATGCTTTTGTAAAATGGAAAAATCTATTTTTCTACAAGAAATTGTATATGTAAAACTATGGGTGGACTATGGTAATAGTAACTAAACTATATCTAACCCTGAAGGTAGAAAAATCCCTGAAAAGAAATACACAGCCTAGTTATAATATGGATTCATTGATCTTTTGAATAGTTTTTCGTGTTCAGTCTCCTTCAGTTCAGCTCTGATTTTGGTTATTTCTTTTTTCTGCTAGCTTTGGAGTTGATTTTTTCTTGTTTCTCTAAATTCTTTCAGTTGCAATTTTACGTTGTTAGTTTGAGATCTTTCTAACTTTTTAATGTGGGCATTATTGCTATGAATTTCCCTCTGAACACTTCCTTAACTGTATCCCAGAGATTCTGGTATGCCTTATCTTTGTCCTCATTAGTTTCAGAGAACTTCCTGACTTCTACCTTAATTTTGTTATTTATCTAAAAGTCATTCAGGAGCAGGTTATTCAATTTCCATGTAATTGTATGGTTTTGAGTGAATTCATTGTGCTGTGGCCCATGAGATTGTTTGTTATCTTTCAGTTATTTTGTATTTTCTGAGGAGTGTTTTCTTCTGATTATGTGATACATGAAAAACCATTCAAAAGATCAATGAATCCATATTATAACTAGGCTGCGTATTTCTTTTCAGGGATATATTTTAGGATATGTGCCACGTGGCAATGGGAAAAATGTATATTCTATTGTTTTTGAGTGGTGAGTACTGTAGATGTCTATCAGGTCCACTTGATCCAGTGCTGAGTTTAGGTGCTGAATATCTTCACTAATTTTCTGTCTTGATACTCTATCTAATATTGTCAGTGGGATGTTAAATTCTCCCACTGCCATTATGTGGGAGTCTAAATCTCTTTGAAGGTCTCTAAGAACTTTCTTTATGAATTTGGGTGCTCCTGTGTTGGGTGAATATGTATTTATGATAGATCATCTTGTTGAATTGAACCCTTTACCATTATGTAATGCACTTTGCCTTATTTGATCTTTGTTGGTTTAAAGTCTATTTTGTCTGAAACTAGGATTGCAACCCCTGCTTTTTTTCTATTATCCATTTGCTTGGTAGATTTTTCTCCATCCCTTTATTTTGAGCCTATGTGAGATGAATCTCTCGAAGACAGCATACCAGTGGGTCTTCATTATCCAACTTTCCACTCTGTGTCTTTTAATTGGGTCATTTAGCCCATTTACATTCAAGGTTAGTATTGATATGTGTGAATCTGATCCTGTCATCATGATGTTAGCTGGCTATTTTGCAGACTCGTATATGTGGTTGCTTCATAGTGTTACTGGTCTGTGAATTTCAGTGTGTTATGGTAGTGGCTGGTACATCTTTTCCTTCCATGTTTAGTGCTTCTTTCAGCTCTTGTAAGGCAGGTCAGGTGGTAGTGAATTCCTTTAGTATTTGCTTGTCTGAAAAGGATCTTATTTTTCCTTACTTATGAAGCTTAGTTTGGCCAGAAATGAAATTCTAGGTTGCAATTTCTTTTCCTTAAGAATGTTGAATATTGGCCCTCAATCTCTTCTGGCTGGTAGGGTTTCTCCTAAGTGGTTCACTTGTTAGTCTGATGGGCTTCCCTTGGTAGATAACCTAACCCTTCTGTCTAGCTGCTTTTAACATTTTTTTCTTTTATTTCAATCTTGGAGAATCTGATGATTATGTGTCTTGGGGATGTTCTTCTTGTGAAGCATCTTACTGAGGTTGTTGGCATTTCCCGAATTTGAATGTTGGCCTCGCTAGCTAGGTTGGGGAAGTTCTCAGGGATGCTATCCTGAAATACGTTTTCCAAATTGGTTCCATTCTCCTCATCTCTTTCAGGGACAACAGTGAGTCACAGATTTTGTCTCTTTACATAACCCCGTATTGCTTGGAGGTTTTGTCTAGTCCTTCTCATTTTTTCCTCTATTCCTTTCCGACTGTCTTATTTCAGAAAGCCAAGCTTCAAGCTCTGAGATTCTTTCCTCTGCTTGATCTATTCTGCTGTCAATAATTATGATTTCATTATGAAACTCTTGTAGTGTGTTTTTAAGCTCTATCAGGTCACTTATGTTCTTTCCTATATGGCCATCTTGTCTCTCAGTTCCTGCATTGTTTTACAATTTTTAGCTTTGTTGGATTGGGTATCAACATTTGGTACTCTTGCATCTCAATGATCTTCATTCCTATCCATATTTTGAATTCTATTTCTGTCATTTCAGCCATCTCAGCCCTGTTCAGAACCTTTGCTGGAGAGGTGACACAGTCATTTGGAGGAAAGGAGGCACTGTGGCCTTTTGAATTGTCAGGGTGCTTGTGCTGATTCCTTCTCAACTTTGTGGGCTTAGCTACCTTCAATCTTTGAGGTTGCTGACCTTAGGATTTTTATTCTTTTATCCTATTTGATGACCTTCAGAGTCTAATTGTGGTATAAGGTGGATTCAGCCAACTGACTTCATTTCTGGGAGATTTTAGTGGGGCAACACTCAGTTCCCAAATCCTAGACTGCATGCTGTAGCTCCAGGGGACTTGTATCGGGACCTGACTTTGTTCTCTGGCTTCTTGAGGTTAGGAATCCACAGTGTTGGAGGTGGCTAAGTGCTCCCAGACCACTGGTTCTTATACTCTGATGAGTGGTATCAGCCAAAGCATTTCATAGTGTGGTGACAGTGGGATCCGTCCTTGTAGTGGCAGGTATGGCAGAGCGCTTGTGGGTGCTGGGGTGCCTGCCTCCCTGCAGGCATTCACCACAGTGGTGGAGGCAATGCACCTGATGGGGATGGGCTGCTGGCAACTGTGCATAGTCATTCTGGAGATGGTGGTGGCTTGGGGGTAAGGTGCTGACAGGCACAGGTCTGGGTGTCTTCTCTGTGCCCCACAAGCAGGAGTGGTTGCTCAGGATAGGGGGGGATCTGCTGTTCTCCACACAGTGTTAGTGTAAGAGTGGGGCACTGGTGGGAGCGATGCTGGCTGGCTCAGTGCATGCCAAGACTATATCTGCAATGGCAGTTGGCAAGTCGGAGGGGGAATAGGGGCAGACTGCACTCCTGTGCTCTGGCAAGGCAAGGAAAGCAAAACCTGCTTTCACAAACACATGCCAGCAAAGCAATGTGGGGAGTTCCGTGGGCCCAAGGGAAGCTGCAGTATAGGGAGGGAACATGGGGACTGGTGAGTGGCTGTAGGGGTCCACAAGCTAAAGCTGTTGGCAGGTCAGTCATGGTCGGCCAGTGCAGAAGCTATGGTGCAGGCCCCCAGGGCACCTGAGACTCCCCTGCAAGAGGTATGGCGAGGCTGTCCCCCACTCCCACGAAAGGCCAACAGCCCAAGGGGTGCTCAGGTTGGACTACCCCTGTCTGATGGGCAAGACCGCTCTCCAGAGCAGTCAGACAATTCCCCTAGGGCTAAAGTCTCCTTTGGGAGCAAGTTGAGCCTAGGGAGATGGCCATCCTTGAGCATGCCCTCTATAGATGCTCCCACACCAAATCTTCTGGGCTCCACATCATTTTGCTTGCTGCTCCTACCACTTCTCCAAGCAGCTCTTCCTGACAACTCGAGTATCTGTGGTGGTCGAGGGATTTCCTCCTGCAGGGGTTTCAGAGGCCCATGGTAAGAGTAAGTTGCTCCTTGCCAGTTCAACTTACTTGTTCCCCTGGAGCTGTTGTGGGTCAGAAACAAGTCCTGATGCATGGTAGTCCCATGCAGAGTTCCCAGCTTTCTCCCACTTCAGCACAGCTTCTGTGTCTTCCCTCCATCCACTCTCAGTGCCTTCCTTCTGAAGATCTGTTAGGAGTGTGCCAGTCGTCTCGTTCCCTCGGTGAGAGTTGTTTCACCTGGCTCCATCTAGTCAGCCATCTTGCCCTCCCTGACCTACACTGTGAGCTTTTTTCCAAGAAAAAACATAGCAGTTCAACATGAAAGGCAAAGAAAACTTCAGATACTGAGAAAAAGAAAGCAGGCAGCAGCTCATCTGGTGGGGTCTGGCAGAAAATTGTGAGTGAATCATCAATGCATGATACAGGGAGTAACTGTCTCTGTGATACACATTCTCACTGAAGATCCAGGCAATCCAGGCCACAGGGGAGCTCCCTGACCCTTTTTCACCCTGTATCTGACTTGGAGAGCAGTCAGGAGACTGTGAAAAAGAATAGCACTGGGAAGTATCCTACGCATGCTCCCAGACCTAGGCACTGATAGAAGGATGCCATTTCTGATCCTAGCTCACATGGGAACCTACCAACTAGCAGAGGTAGACATCACTTGTTATGAGGGTCTTAGGCCAGGATTTGCAATCTGGTCTTGAGAAGAGGAGGAAACTCCATATCCAGAACTGAGGGGTGATTGTGGAATGGGCTCCAGCCTTGGGCACTGAAGTTTCTTGCTCTGCTCTAATGAGACGGGACTGGGAAGGGTTTACCCTGAGAGGTGTGGTTTTGACCTGGCTGTGTGTTTTGTGGCCTGGTATGGATTCATGGTCTGAAGGCTTTGTTACTTGGCTAACTACCTCAACTTGCTGCCAGTGTCAAGTCATGAGAGAGAGACTTGCCAGGCTGGAGGCATGAGAATAAAGTAGGTCCCACTACCACTTGCTAGGCTGTAGAGTTCTAGCTGCCCTCTTTCCCTGTGCTAGGTCTTTGGCATGACAGCAGTTATTCCACTTCTTGCTGGGGCATTTTTTCAGGGACCATGGACTGCTCCCATCCGCTATTGGGGCTGGGGCTTGCATCAACCACTAGGGGACCCAAATGCAGGCATGCCTGGCCCAGCCCTGCCTAGGTTCTCTCCCTCACCCCCTTGAGGGGCAGAGCACAGGACCAGGACTACTGAGTGTTCTACGGTCCAATCCATTGCCTGGGACATCAGAGTACTTCTCCTCATTAACAAAGGTCAAGTATAAACACTACTGTCACTACTGCAGCTGACTGTCACTTGTAAGCACCACCTACTGGCCTAGAGGTTGATCTGCATGGCCCATTACAACATGTGCTAATGCAAGTGCACAGTGCTCAAGAAGGAGACAAGCTTCATGTGACCTCTGCTACCACCATTGCCCATGCCATTCTTGCTATTCAGGAGACTTTGAGCATGCCAACCTCCCCAGTACCTCAATACTACAACTGGCATTTGAGAAAGATACCACATATCCAAGGAAATCATACAAAGTCTATACTACTGAATATAAACAAAAGTAAAGCCATATGGCCCAACTTAACATACATCACAATCACACCTTCAAGAAAAAATGTCCTACACCAAAGAAAGTAAATTCAAAAATAATAATAAGAGAATGATTCTCCAGATGCCTCAGCATAATAATATTGGAAATATGAATAAGCAGGATTCTATGACATCCCCAAGAGAACATAGTAACTCTGTAACAATGGATCCTCTCTAAAATAAACATTTTAAAATGCCAGATAAATAAATTAAAATATTGATTTTAAAGAAGCTCAATGAGATGCAGAGAAATCTGAAAACCAATAAAAAGAAATCTGAAAACCAATAAAAAGAAATCAGAAAGGCAATTCAGTATATGATCAAGAAATTGACCAAGGAGACTGATTTAAAAAAAACAAACAAGCAAACCTGGAACTCCTGCTCCTGGAAATTAAAAATTCATAGAAAGAATTACAAAATACAGTTGAAAGCTTCAACAATAAACTAAACCAAACAGAAGAGAGTATCTCACAACTGGAGCACAGATCTTTTGAATTGATCCACTCAGACAAAAATAAAGAGAAAAGAATAGAAAAGAATGAACAAAGCCTTCAAGAAATATAGAAGTACATAAAGCAATCAAACTTAGAATTCATTGGTATTCTTAAGGGAGAAGAAAAAGCAACAAATTTGGAAAACCTATTTAAGGAAATAATTGATGAAAATCTCCCTAGTGTTTTTTTTTTTGTTTTTTTTTTTTTTTGTGGCAGGGTCTTACTCTGTTCCCCATGCTGGAGTGCAATGGCATGATCATGGCTCACTGCAGCCTCAACATCTCTGGGCTCAGATGATCCTCTCACCTCAGCCTCCTGAGTAGCTGGGACAATAGGTGCACCCCACCATGCCTGGCTAATTTTTCTATTTTTCATATTTTTGTAGAGATGGGGTTTTTCCATGTTGCCCAGGCTGGTTTCTAACTCCTGGGCTCAAGCAATCTCCCTGTCTCAGCCTCCCAAAGTGCTGGGATTACAGGCATGAGCCACCACACTCAGTACTTCCCTAGTCTTGCAAGAGATTTAGACATCTAGGTACAAGAGGCCCAATAAACACTAGAAAATACATTGCAAGACAAACTTCATCGTAACATATAGTCATCAGACTGACTAAAGTCAATGTGAAGGAAAAAAATCCTAAAATCAGCAAGAGAAATGCATCTAGTTACCTATAAAGGAGACCTCATCAGACTAACCGTGGACTTCTCAGCAGAAATAAACCTTACAAACCAGAAGAGACTGGGATACTATTTTCAGAGTGCTTAAAGGAAAAAAAAAATTGTCAACAAAAAACTTTTTATCCTGGCAGAATAAGATTGATAAATGAAGCTGAAATAGTCTTTCCTACATGGGGAAATGTTGAGGGAATTTGTCACCACTATACCAAACCTGCAAAAAATGCTCGAAAGAGTTCTAAACACAAAAACAAAATGTCAATATTTACCATCATAAAAACACATGAAAGTCAAAAACTCACAGGTCTTATACACAAAGGAAGAAGAGAAAGAAATCAAATGACATCACAGAACTCCACCAAACCACAAAGACGTAGGGGGAAGAAAAAAACCAAAGAATCCACAAAACAACTATATAACAATGAACATTATGACCAGAAATACAACCTCAAATATCAATATAACTTTGTATGTAAATGAATTAAATGATCTACTTAAATGATATAGACTAGAATAATGAATTTTAAAAAATAAACCAACTGCATACTGCTTATAAGAAATTCATCTTATGAAATTTGAAATTCACCTTATGAAATTCACCTTATGAAACCAACTGTATATTGCTTTTAAGAAATTTACCTTGATGGTAAATAAATGGAAAAAATCTATTTCATGCAAACGAAAACAAAAAACAAGCAGAGGTAGCTATACTTACATCAGATAAAACAGACTTTAAGTCAAAGAAAGTAAAAAAAAGACAAAGATGATTATATAATGATTGAGGTATCAATTCAACAAGAGGTTATAACAATCCCAAATATATAAGCACTCAATACCAGAGCACCCAGATTCATAAAACAAATATTACTAACTTAACGAAAGAGATAGACAACAACACAATAATAGTGGGAGATTTCAACACCCTACTTACAGCACTAGACAAATCATCCAAGGCAGAAAATTAACAAACACAATTGAAAACTTGACTTTTTTTTTTTTTTGAGATGCAGTCTCACTTTGTCACCCAGGCTGGAGTGCACTGGCGCGATCTCGGCTCACTGCAACCTCCACCACCCAGAATCAATTGATTCTTCTGCCTCAGCCCCCCAAGTAGTTGGGATTATATGCGCCTGCCACCGTGCCCTGCTAATTTTTGATGGGGGATTTCGCATTGTTGCCCAGGCTGGTCTTGAATTTCTGGGCTCAAGCCATCTGCCTGCCTCAGCCTCTGAAAGTGTTGGGATTACAGGTGTAAGCCACCACACCTGGCCTTAAATTTGGCTTTAGACTAAATGGACCTAACACACATGTACAGAACTTTCTATCCAACAACCACAGAATGTACATTCTTTTCGTTAGCAGTCCCCAAAATAGACTGACCATATGTTAGGCCAAAAAACAAGTCTCGATAAATTTTTAAATACAAAATTATATCAAGTGTATTTTCAGACCACAGCAGAATGAAACTAGAAAGCAGTATCAAGAGGAGCACTTTAAACTATACACATGTGTAGAAATTAAATAACATGCCCTTGAATGATCTTTGAATCAATGAAGAAATAAGATGGCTATTTTAAAAATTGTTGAAATGAATAAAAATGGAGACAAAACATACCAAAACCTGTGGGATACAGCAAAAACAGCGCAAAAAGGGAGGCTTATAGCATTAAAAGCCTACATAAAAAAAATACAGCACAACTTAACAACATACTGTTGCACTTCAGGGAACTATAAAAACAAGAAGAAACCAAAAGCAAAGCGAGTGGAAGAAAAGGCATAATAAAGATCATAGCAGAACTAAATGAATAAATGAAACTGAGACAAAAAAATCCAAAGGATCAATAAAATGAAAAGATGATTATTTAAAAAGATAAACAAAATTGATAAACTGTTTGCTAGACTAACCAAAAAAATTAGAGAAGAGATTCTAATAAACATAATCAGAAATGAAGGAGACATTACGACTGATACAATAGAAATACAAAAGATCATGAGACTACTATGAACAATTATATACTCACAAACTAAAAAACATGGAAGGAATAAATGAATACCATTTCCCAAGTTGTGCCAGAAAAAAATTAAAATCCTGAGCACACCAAGAAAGAGTAGTGAGATTGAATCAATAATAAAAAATCTTCCAACAAAACCAAAAACCCCAGGACAATGCACAAATTCCATCAAACATAAAATAACTAGTACCAAACGTGTTGAAACTGTTCCAAAAAATTGAGGAGAAGGGAATCCTCCCTAACTCATTCTATAAGCCAGTATCACCCTGATAACAAAGACAGACAAGGACACAAGGAAAAAATAAAACTATAGATCAATATCCCTGATGAACATAGATGCAAAAATCTTCAGCAAAATGTTACCAAACCGAATCCATGAGTGTCTCAAAAAGATAATACACTATAATCATGTGGGTTTGATTCCAAGGATGAAAAGATGGTTCAACATATACAAATCAATACATGTGATTCATCATAAACAGAATTTAGAGTAAAACCACATGATCATCTTAATACATTCAGAAGAAACATTTGATAAAGTTCAGCATCCCTTCATGATAAAAATCCTCAACAAACTAGGCATAGAAGGAACATAGCTCAAAATAATAAAGGCCATATATAGATATATAGCAAGCTCACAGCCAACATCATATTGAATGGGGAAAAATGTTTAAAGCAATCCCCTAAGGACAGGAACAAGACAAGGATGCCTATTTTCACCTCTGCTATCAACATAGTAGTGGAAGTCCTAGCCAAAGCAACCAGAAAAGAGAAAGAAATAAAAAGCATCCGAATTGGAAAAGAGGAAGTAAAATTATTTCTGTTCACTAGCAATATGATCTCAAAAACCCTAAAGACTCCTCCAAAAAACTCTTAGATTTGATAAATGAATTTTAAAAAGTTTCAGGATATGAAATCAATGTACAAAAACCAGTAGCATTTCTATACACTAAGAACAATCAAACTCAGAACCAAATCAAGAAGGCAAGCCCATTTACAATAGCTACAAAAAAAAAAAAATCTGGAATTTATTTAACCAGAGAGGTGAAATATATTTGCAAGGAAAAGTACAAAAAACTGACAAAATAAATTGTAGATGACATAAAGAAATGGAAAAACATCCCATCTTCAGAGATTGGAAGAATATTGTTAAAATGACCATACTGCCCAAAGCAATCTACAGATTCAAAGCAATCTCAACAAAAATACCAACATTATTTTTCACAGGATTAGGAAAAAATCTAAAATTCATATGGAACCAAAAAAGAGCCCAAATAGCCAAAGTAATTGTAAGTAAAAAGAACAAAGCTAGAGGCATTACATTATGTAAACTCAAATTATACTACAGGGCTATAGTAATCAAAACAGCATGGCCAAAGCAACCAGGAAAGAGAAAGAAATAAAAAGCATCAAAATTGGGAAAGAGGAAGTCAAATTATTTCTGTTCACTAGCAATATGATCTAGAAAACCCTAAAGACTCCTCCAAAAATCTCTTAGATTTGATACATTAATTTAACAAAGTTTCAGGATATGAAATCAGTGTACAAAAACCAGTAGCATAAAATAGATGTCTAACCAATGGTACAAAATAGAAAACCCAGAAACAAAGCCACGTATCTATAGCTAACTGATATTTCACAAAGGTGACCAAAATATACACTGAGGAAAGGACGCCTTTTTCAATAAATGGTGCTGGGAAAATTGGATTGTCATATGCAGAAGAATAAAACTGGACCCATATTTCTCACCATATACAAAAGTCAACTCAAAATAGATTAAAGACTTAAATGTAAGACCTGAAACTCTTAAAATACTAAAAGAAAACCTAAGGAATACTCTTCTGGACATTGGTCTAGGCAATGAATTCATGACTAAGACCTCAAAAGCACAAGTAATGAAAACAAAAATAGACAAATAGGATGTAATTAAAGTAGAAAGTTTCTAAGCATTCCAAATAAGTAATCAACAATGTGAACAGCAACCTGCATCATGGGAGAAAACATTTGCAAACTGTACATCTGACTGGTGACCGATATCCAGAATTTTCAAGGAACTCAAATGACAACAGCAGGAAAACAAACAATCCCATTAAAAAGTGGGCAAAGGACATGAATAGACATTTTTTAAAAGAAGACATACAAATGATCAACTAACATAAAAAAATGCTCAACATCACTGTCATCAGAGAAATGTAAACTAAAACCACAGGGAGATGTCATCTTACACCTGTCAGAAGGGCGATTATTAAAAAGTTAAAAAAACAACAGGTGTTGGCATGAATGCAAGGGAACCCTTATACACTGTCGGTGGGAATGTAAATTAGTACAACCTCTCTGGAAAACTGGATATTTCTCAAAGAACTAAAAATAGAACTACCATTTGATCCAGCAATCCCACTACTGGGTATCTACTTAAAATAAAATAAATAATTATATCAAAAAGATACTTGCAGTCATATGTTTATCACAGCACTATTCACAATAGCAAACATATGGAATCAACTAAGTGTCTATCAGTAGATAATTGGATAAAGAAAATGTGGTATCTAACTATCTATCATCTATCTATTTTCTATCTTTCTATAATGGAATACTTATTCAGCCACAAGAAAGAAATCATGTCTTTTGAAGCAAGATGGATGTAACTGACGACCATTATCTATTTTTTTTTTTTTTTTGAGACGGAGTCTCGCTTTGTCGCCCAGGCTGGAGTGCAGTGGCGCGATCTCGGCTCACTGCAAGCTCTGCCTCCCGGGTTCACGCCATTCTCCTGCCTCAGCCTCCCGAGTAGCTGGGATTACAGGCTCATACCACCATGCCTGGCTAATTTTTTGTATTTTTAGTAGAGACGGGGTTTCACCGCGTTAGCCAGGATGGCCTCGATCTCCTGACCTTGTGATCCTCCCTCCTCGGCCTCCCAAAGTGCTGAGATTACAGGCGTGAGCCACCGTGCCCAGCCAAGCATGTCAGTCTTTATTGCTAGAACTCAAACTTTCCAATGGTGTTTGTGTATTAACTTCATAAATGTGCCTTTAGAGTTTTTACTATTAGAACTTTGAGTGCTCTTCCATTTGAATTTAACAGAAACTGTGTTATGAGAACAAATGACTTACACCTCTGATTAGTCCCAAATTTATCTTTGTTCAAATCATACTAACAAATGTACCACATTAACTTAACACAAGGATAATCGAAGTCACAACTCAGATATTTATAGGGATAATTTTTTATTACAGAGTTTTCCACATGACATGGTAGTTGCTTTGTGATTAGCTGTAGGACTTTTTTTTCCCCAGGTGATAGTAACTGGATAATCTGATTTTTTTTTTTTTTTTTTTTTTTTTTTTTTTTTTAGCAACTAACACATTTTATGTTATGGACACTAACATATCTTTAAGATGATCTTACTTTACTCTTTACTCAAGCACCTAGAAATATTACAGCTAAATTTTGCACCATCTCCAGGAATTGTACACGGCATCGAAGCATTTATTTTGTATAGATGTGCTATCTCTAACTTCACCTAATTACTTGCTGTTATTTTTCTTTTGCTTTCTGTTTTAGTTTAAAAGTGACAAAAATCTAGTTTTATCCAAGAGACATAGATTCTACTCATACTAATTTAATCAAAGAGCAGGACTTATTATGTAATACTGTTTTTTATAGAGCCCAAGGAAGAGAATTCCACCAGACCTGAGGAATTAGCTAGAGAAATCAGCTGAAATACCATCAGGATTTTGTCTCCATTCTGTACCTCTGTTCATCTCTGCATAACACCTTTACATTTCTTTTCATTTATAGTGTTAACTCCCACTCTGAATGATGGTACGTGATCAATATGAACAATGGAAAAGGCTATAATAAGAATCAAAGTAATTAAAAGTTCTCATTGTTATTCAGTAAGTGAGTAATATTATTGATTTAACTTAAAGCTTTTCAGTTACAGTATGCATATTTTTTTCACTTTTAAATCCAGGGGTACATGAGTAGGTTTGTTACATAGGTAAACTCGTGTCATGAGGGTTTGTTGTACAGATTATTTCATCACCCAGGTATTAACCCTAGTACTTATTAGTTTATTAGTTATTTTTCTTGATCTTCTCCCTCCTCCCACCCTCCACTCTCTGGTTGTCCCTAGGATCTGTTGTTCCCATGTACATGGCCATATGTTCTCATCATTTAGCTCCCACTTACAAGTGAGAACATGTAGTATTTGGTCTTCTGTTACTGCTTAGTTTGCTAAGGATAATGGCCTGCAGCTCCATCCATGTTCCTGCAAAGGATATGATCTCATTCTTTTTCATGGCTGCATAGTGTTCCATGGTGTACATGTACCACATTTTCTTTATCCATTCTACCATTGATGGGCCTTTAGGTTGATTCCATGTCTTTGCTATTGTGAATAGAAGTATGCATATTTTAAAAACATTAAGGAATAAAAATAGAATTAAGGATACTCATCGATCTAATAAAATGGAGGGAAAAAGAAAAATAATGAAAAAGGAAAAACATTGTTAAACAGCGCACAATAATATGAGAGTAATACATCTACTACAAGGAACCATCATAAACACAAACAGATGAAATCACAGGGTAAAGCAAATTCTCACTTTGGTTAAAACTATAAAATTCAGCTATACCTTGTTTATAAAAGATAGTAATAACAATGTTACAAAAGATTACAAAAAAATAGATTTTAAATTCAATACATTATTATGGATTACAGGGCATTACATGATAAAAGGAAGATATGATTTTGATGATATATGACCCTAGCAACATACTGTAATATACATGAAGTAAAAATTATGAATAGAAATGGATAGATATGCAATCATAGAGAAAGATTTTTAACTACTTCATATAATTTTAAAAATTAGTTGCTTTAGCAGACAAAAATTTGGTTTCAAGATACAGAATTTGAACCATACAATTTATAAACTTTATATAATGGCCATACATGAAATGTGTGTGAAACAGAGAACACATTATTCCCAAGAACCAAATGTTTTAAAAAGCAAACATGCATTGGCCACCAAGAAACTCTCAACAAAATTGGAATTAAATTGTAATAAGTTGTAGAACTTGATGGTCAAAATATAGGCATTTGAAAAATTTTAAATGCATGCTAATATAATGTATTGGTTAAAGAATAAATAATCAAATATTCATATATCAAAATGGATGCATGATAGATAAAATATCAAGTGAAAAAAGAAGTTGCAGATTTGTAGCATATTGTTTACATAAGGAAGTTGCAGATTTGTAACATAAACATATGTAAATTTAAACACAAAAAACAATATTACTATGTATAAATACATAGACACTGGCTACTATAACATTCATAGGAATGATATAAAGTGTTTATAGGGCAGTGGATACTTCTAGGAAATCAGGAAGGGGAAATAGTTATAGCCAAATCTATAACATGTATAACATCCAATTTCTTTTTTAAAAAAGATCTGAAGCAAATGTGGTGAAGTGTTAATTTCTCTTAAATTTGGTTCTTGGATGACATGCTGTTTTTATTTTTTTCTGAATGTATAAAATATTTTGTAATTAAAATAAAATAATGTCTTTAAAGAAATGTTAGCAAAGTAGAAAACAAATGCCCTACAGTCAGAGGAAATTTTTTCTATCTTGGCTATGTCATTAAGGAAAGTGTGGGATGTTGCATGAATTATGTAATTTTATTGGGCTCCAGTGTCTTATGTTATAGAATCATTCTGAGAATTATATAAGATTTCTATAAATTGTTCACTTAATTTTGAACTGCCACATGGTAGTTGCTCACCAAATATTTATTCTCACATTTGCTGAATAAATGAATGAGTAAAGGAACAAGCAAGATTATGTTCTAGGATCATGCGTAAGCAATGCATACTCTTTCTCAATTTATAATCCAGAAATATGTCTGATAAGGGAAACAAGAGATAATTGTATCTGTATCTTTCAAGAGGTGCATAGTGAGTCTTGTTATTTTCTGAATCTCATCTTTTAATAGCAGCAAGCGAAGCATTACTTTTTGCCACATTAGTAAGCTGCACCTTTGGTCATCATGCTTATTATTTGTCCTGATTTAAAGATTTTTCCAGTGTATAGTTTAAAGAATAAATCCTAGGTGGCCTCCTCAACAACATCTATTTCCTCTAGAAATAAAATAGTGCTTAGATTTTTGGACATGATTTTCCTTGTGAAAATGATGGACTGTGTATTTGGTAATATTTAACCTTATGGTCATTAAAAAAAAGCTTTTCTCCATTCCCCCAAATGCAGGACTCTGTCAAGTATCTGTGGAACTAATATCAGACTCACATCCTTGAACAAGAAGTTTTTGGGTTACATGGTGCCAAAATAACCAGTTGAAAGGTGAATAATTTTGTCAAGATGATTTTGTAAAATTCTTTAGAAGACAATATGTTCAGTTTAAAGAAATTAATTGGCCATTTCCCTGAACTCAACCTCTTTTCAAATGAATTTATCAAAACCATCTGTATGTCTAGACATGGCCAAAGATATAGTATTCCCACTGGTATATTAAGTAACAAAAATGAACAAATTAGAAAATTAATAGTTCTTTAGGGAGTATTAGTAATCTTGGTAAAAGAATTGAAGGGAAAGTTTAAATCTACTTAAGCCTATATTCTTATTTTCCCAAGGGGAGTCATTTATTAAAATGTTAATTTCAAAAAGAGTTAATTTACCATCTGGAAGCAATATTTTACAAGCTATAACTTAATTAACTAAGCTATATCTAAAGCAGTTCTAAGAAATATGCTGCAAGTTTTTTTCTTTGAGGAACTAATGGGTAGGATTCTTGATTTTTATAACTGACAGCAATACAGTCATCCCTTAATATCTCTGCAGATACCAAAATCCATGGATGTTTTAGTTCTTTATATAAAATGGCATAGTATCTGCATAAAGCCTATGCACATTCTCCTGTATACTTTAAGTCATCTCTAGATTATTTATAATACCGAATATAATGTAAATGATATGTAAATAGCTGTTATGCCATATTTTTATTTGCATTTTTAAATTATTATATTGTTTCTACTTGTTGTTTCTTTTCTTTAAAGAACGTTTTAGATCCAAAGTTGATTGAATCACCAAATGCAGAACCCAGGGATACAGAGGGATGACTGAATATGAAATCATTAAACAGTAATCATGTAGATAATTTTGACTTGTAAAGTAAGAAGATTATGTACTCAGGATTTTCATTCAGTCCTAGTAAAATTCTGAGTTAGACAAATACTCCAAAAGTTTAATGGAAAGACAACCATTCTTTTTTGTAGACTTTTAAAATTTTTATTTTTTAATTGACAAATGTTAATTTTACATATTCACGGGGTACATAGTGATGACTTCTTCTGTTTTGTCATTGGTCATATGTATGGGGAGAGGTGATGTGAAAGAAAGAATGACTAAGTAAAACTATGACTTGACACTGAAGAGGAAGTCATGCTAGATCTGTGATCCCATGCAAAATGTACCACAGTGCCTAGACCATGATTCTAGTTTTAAAATTATTTTCTTTTTGCTTTGTTTTTACAACTGTATTGAGATATAATTCATTTATTTCCCATTTTCTGGGACTGTCTTTTCACTGTCATCATGAAAGTAAAACAAATATTTTTAATTTTGATGAAGTCCAACTTATCTATATTTTAAATTTTTTCTTATGCTTTTGGTGGCATGGGAGGGCTAAGAGGGCTTTGTGAACCAATGTCATGAAGATTTACTCCTGTATTTTCTTCTGTGAGTTTTATGCTCTTTACTTTTACATTTACATCTATCTTCTACTTGGAGTTACTTTTTATGTACTGTGTAAGAAAAGGATTCAGCTTAACTCTCACATGTGGATATCCAGTGTCCCAGGACCATATGTAAAAAAGACAATTCTTTCTCCATTTAATTGTCTTAACACCCTTGTCAAAAAATCAATTGATTATAAATGTGAGGGCATATTTTTGGACTCTCTAGTCTATTAGAGCAATAACACAAAAAGGCACTCTATGGGGTTAATTTTTAATGGAAACTTTTTCCTCTTTAATCCTGTGAACTATTGAAATTCTGTTTGCTGAGCATAATCTACTGCATACACACACACACACACACACACACACACACACACACACACACACACACACACACAAGGGGCAGGGGGAGAGATCTATGTTCTCAGTTTTATTCCACCCTATATTCACCGGGCTGTTGTGGCTTCAACCATCTTCCTTGTTTCTCAGTTTTTACATTCACCCTTTCTGTTTGTTTCTTTCCTTATAAGTACCTTCAAATTTTCCTAGATCAACATAAAGAAACCCAAAATATAATCCTTCAACCTTCAGGCTTTATTTTCAAGCTATATTTCCTTCTCATTCTTTCCCTTTATCACTTGTCTTCTCAAACATCTGTGTATATGAACATTTACATTTATTTTAAAATAGTAAAAACATTGTAGGGAAAAATATTAGTTATCAGAAATGCATTCTTAATACTGTCTTCAATTTTCGTTTACTCCTCACTCCCATGATGATCTCTAGTTTGTAGCAACCCGTAATCCAAGCTGCTGTTCCATACACAAATATGGCCCTCCAGAAGTCAAATTCATTTCAAAATGCAATCGGATTTTTCACAAACTTAACAAGCTGATTTTGTAACTTAAATGAAAGAGCAAAAGATTAACAATATCCAAGACATTTCCAGAGAAGAAAACTTCTCTAACAGATGATAAAATTTTAATGAGGCTATGGCAACGAAGGCATTTTGGTATGAGCACGGAGATAGATAAAGTAAACCTATGAAACATAGTGAGTCTTGGAAGAAATCATTGAAATATACAGATTCAGCTTATATACCACAGTGTATTTCTCTTGCTTATAACAGCTTGTGCTTTTTCCATGGTCTTATAGGGTTATGGCACACTCCAGAAAAAAAATACCATGTGTATTTTGTAAGTGATGGACAGGGGTCTGGGCTGGTACTGGCGTTATGGTCCTCTGGTTGGAGTGAGGACTTAGAGATTTCTGGTAATAAATGGAAAGTGGGCTCAAGTCCATTTCACTGGGGGTTCAATGGGTCTGTAGACTCAACCTGTGGTTATTTCCACCTTTCTAGAATTTACAACTGGGAAAGATAGCTGTGGATAAGACCCTCATATTTGCTTCTGGGCCTTTCAGAAAAAGGGTTGTTATGAAAGGAATGGACACATTTAATCAGATGTAGCCCAATTACACCTGCTTTACCAGATGTAATATCTTTGCTGGAGCAGATCAGCATAGCCTCTGGTATTGTTTGACAACACATTCTTCATTTCTTGAGTAGAGAAGTATAATAACACAGTTTACTTTATACAGCAAGGCAGTATACATTCACTGTTTTGCTTTAGAGTTTTCATGCTAACTCTCTTATTTGTCATAAAAAGGGAACTGACAATACTATCACTTTACTTGAACTCTGTTTGCTTGGAAAACAGTGATAGTTAAGAAACTCCCACGTAGCCTTCTAGTAAACAACTTACAGCAAAGAACCACTCTTTTCCAAATGACTTGGATAAGACTCACGGAAGACCCTTTGCTTACCTATGACAAGGCCAGACACATATCTTCCAAATTCCCTTTCTTTGCTTAATAACTGAGTAGCTAAACTGTTTGTCCCATTCACTAACTTGTTTTGACCAAACTTTAGTCAGCAACCCCCCACTCAGGTCCCTGAATTGTAACTTGTCCCTGAAATTAAACAAGCATCAAATGCAAAAGCAACCTTTTATACGCCCCCTTCTAAGAACTGGCTGACTACAGAGAAAAACATTTGCGGATCAACTTTTCCATCAAGTCGGCTGCTCATCCACTTCCCTACACCACATTCTTCCTAGCTCTGTTTACTCCTCCTTATAAAAGAAAAGCATTTTGTGCCCGACCCTTAAGATCTTTACAAGTCTTATGGTAGATCTTATGGTGAGAACATTCTCTGTATTACAGTAGTCCCCCTCTCCTTATTACAATAATCTTCTTAAATAAAATCCTATTTATCTAAGTCTGGATTTTTAAAATTGGCAGTACAAAGTATGCAAATACTGGTAACTCACATTAATGTTCACTATAGGATATAACGCTTTTGAGGAGATCCCCAACAACCAAGGGATTAGAATGACTCATCCTCTGCATGTCGGCCAGCCTCTCTCTTGATCACCTCAATATTTATACAGTGGGTATAAAGCTTCCATTTTGGTAGGAATGAACACTCTATGAGCAGAGCATCCATTTTGGTAGGAATAAAAATCATTTATGAGCTCAAGATCATAGGCTGTCTCTCACCAGGGCTGACTTGGCAGCTGCCGCTGCTGATGTGTAGGTACTGGCAACAAAGACCAATGCTGACCCCTTAATACACCACCATTCCTCAGGAATGCCAGCAAATGGCTCGGTGGAAGTTCTACTGCATCTTGGAGGGAACAGCAATTAGTTCTTGCCAGAGGTGTTACATATTCTAACTATAGGTTTTCCCAGCCTGCCTACAGTGCTGTCAGTAGAACTCCCATCTAAAGAATTGCAGAATCCCTGATCTTTTGACATGATATCACATACAACATTATCTCAGAATAAGAAACCAATTTTAGACAAATGAGCTACAACCTTAAGGGCAGAGAGGAAACATGTCTAGAACCCAGAGGATTCACCACACATATTTGATGCTGCTGTGCCCATTGATAACTATACATAGGCAATAACACCAAATATGGCCCAACAATAATAAGGCCAGTAAGAAATCAGACCTATTGGGGTTGAACATCTGGATGATCCCAGTAGGGTGACTAATTCACCCCAATTTGCCTTGGACTTTGCCAGCTTTTAGCACTGAAAGTCTTGCATTCAAGAAACCCCTTTGTGTAGGCAAAATAAAGTTTGAAACTGAATCTTGCATCCCAGAAACATCTCAATTGCAAATTGGGATGAGTGGTCAACTTACCCCAACAAGGAAACAACTCAAATCATTTAAAGGGCTGGCCACAAGTGAGAAAATCTAGAATGGATGGTAGAGGAGGGAGATGATGAATATAATTGATAACTTAGAATCAGTTGTAACAGCATGAACTTTATTAACTTCCCTTCAAATCTTTGCAGCAGATTACATCCATCTTTAAAGACTGGACTTGCACATCATCTCTTGGGGAAGAAGTAATGAGGTGGGCACTATTATTATAACAGTTTTACAGGTGATATAAGTGATACTGAGAGATTATGTAAATTGCCAAAGATCACAAAGCTAAATATTTGAATACAAGTCTCCCTGATTCCCAGTCCTGGAGCTCTTTATCACTATGTCATACTGCTATGTATGTATGCTCATGTCCCCAACTAAACTATAAATTCCTAGGGAGAAGAATGCATATCTCATTTATTTTTGAATTAAATAAGTTACTAAAGTGTTATCACAGCATATAATAGTATTAAATGTTAACTCCCATCTTGTGTATACCTCACTTCACCTTGCCATTATTTTATTTTGTTGAACGTAAGAACATGCTGTTAACTTCTTAATTTAAAATTACTTGAAGAAAATAAAAACTTCTAATACCTATTCATGTTAAGGTAATAAAAATCAACATAAACAGGAAAAAGGATATCATTTTTATTCTCTAAACTGGCACTATTCAACAGGAGTTTCAGGAATGCTGGAAGTATTCTGTCCATGCAGTTCAATATGGTAGCTACTAGCCACATGTGTCTATTGAGTACTTGAAACGTGACATGCAACTGAGTGATTGAATTTTTTATTTTAGATAATTTAAATTTATATAGCCACATCTGGCTAGCAGCTACCATATTGGAAAGCACAGGTTTAAATTCTATAAATTATAAAACTGTGTAACAAGTGATACAAGTTGCAGCTAAAGTCATTGATCAAATTATTCCAATAATTTTCAATTCTGATGTGACTCTAGCTTCTATCTGAGCTTTGTTTTGACTGTATCTCTTCCAATGATTTCTTCATGGAATTTATAGTCATTCATTACTGGGAATCCTGCCAGGCACCTAAGAGGGTGGGTTCACACGCTGCCCTACTTCTCAGCTTTCTGTTTTCCTCACTGCCTTCTTGGCCTCTCGGTGACTCTTTCACCATGAACTACAATGATATTTACCGTACCATCTAGATGCTCTCTGTATGCCAAGAACTGGTGCTGGGAACATTTGAACCAGAGGACAAGGGAGAGAGAGGAGGAGGCCAGAGTGGCATAAAAATAGGAGATGAGGTGGGCTGGATTTTTCTCATCCTGATTGCCAAAGCCAATGCTTTGCCAGGACCTTGTTTCATTCTACAGAGTGGCAAGGCTCCAGCTGATTGCAGTCTAGCTGATACATGGGGCAAAGTCAAAAGTGGAAAAAAATAAAAAAGGGAGAAAAGAAAGAAATATAAAGTATAAAAGATGGACTAGGATAGACAAGGGCTCAGTCAGGGCATCCGCTGAGGCTCAGACTCAGAGCAGGCTGACCCAAAGAGGATGGACAGTCTCATGTGACGTTCCTGTGGCCAGGGACCATTCGTGAGGATAGGTTGCTTGCTGAAGAGTCTACTAATCTAGATGTCAATGGGAGTCTTCAGGATATGCATACCTACAGACTTCCCCCTATCTAGAGATTTATGTGTTCCACCGGGGGTAAACTGTCTGATAAACTGAGCTCCCCAAACCCACGTGAAGGAAGGCTAAAACGCTGTTAGGGAATACATGCCACACAAGCAACTGTTTATGTCCTCAGTTAATAACTAAACCTGAAAACATGTGTGTCACTCCTTGGGCAGTGAGGCATCTCTTCAAGGGTTGAACAAATAGGTCTTCCTTAGTATGCTGTGCCATGCACCCCCATTATCTTTTCAAATAATCAACGGGAGATTTATATCTGGCCACTATCTTCAATCTCAGCTTCAGTACCCAAAGGGGAAAATGTCTTGGAATTACAATGGGCATGCTGTTATAATTGGTATTGATCGGTTGATTTATTAATTTCTACTGCTTTTTAATACCATTGCTCTTAGACTATTATCAGCCAGTACAGAATTACTGCAATATTTTAACAACCCATAAATTTGCTAAACCTGACGTTCCCATGGGAGTATCAGTCTTGAAGGCATGTAATGGCTTTCTTGCTATTAGTTTCCCACTATTTTGTCTTTGACACAATTTCTTTTCTCTCCCAGGCACTGTAAATTGTTTTAAAATCTTGCTTGCTTCTGTGTCAATTGAATTCACACGAGAATGGTACTTATTAGCCAGAGCCTGATAATTGAATAATTAATATTTTGAGTGATTTCTGGTTATCGCCCAGGGTTTACTAGTAAGGAAGCCAGTCGGAAGAACAGTGATTTGACTAAAGACTTAGTGAAGATTTGCACTCTGACCCCTTGAGCAACATATGTTACTTGTGGCATGGGCAAACAGAACTGGACTCTGCTGAGGTAGGATTCAAAAGAAGGTTAGGATGTTCATTGATAAAGTCAAGTAGAGTAGAAGTCTCACTCTAGGTATCTGGGAGGAAGTATTTATTTATTTATTTATTTATTTATTTATGTAAATTAGTGAAATTTACCAAAGGACTTAGGGAGAATCATGGAAGCCAAATGCTGGAGTAAGAGCTATTAACGTCATTTAGTTAGAGTTCTAGATAACAATTTCCAGTATTAAGGTCCCCCCTACTAAGCCTAGCTAGGAGCTAAGTGACTATCTCCACTCTGGCCTGAAATTCTTGTTTTTACTCTCAGCCCAGCAGATTCCTTTCTGTGACCTGATGACATTCTGTACTGGGATGCAGCTTCTTTGTTTCTGGGCCTTTATGACTATTTACAGAGCCCTCAGCCTTCCCATCTGTAAATGCTCAAAGTTCACTCCAAGTGCAGTCTCTAGAGTCCTCTGTTCCTCTACAGTGTGCTTGGCTAAATGCTCTGCCTATTATTTTATTGTGAACCCCAGGAATGAAGTATTTTTTGTTGGCCTCCTGAAGTCCTCTTTAACCTGAGAGTTCACTGGGCACAGCCCTTTCCCTGCCTGGATTCTTGGCCTCTTCAGAGTTCTATCCTGCCAGCTAGATCTGCTCTCTCAGACACATACTCAAGATAGGAAGTGTTACCCAGTGACTCAGCTTCCTTTGGTAGTATGAGCAAGTTACTCACTAGGGTTTGACTTGAAGCACCCCCTCCCTATTTCAGGGAGACCTTGACATTTAGTTATATAACTACACATTCTACCAGCATTAACAGCCCAGCAAACTTATTATTACAGGTACAAGGAATATTAACTGCTGAACAGATTGTTTTTTGGCTCCAGATGAAAGATGTAATGTGGTAGTGATAGCTTATGAGGGGTTATTTGTGTCAACTGATAGGTCCTATAATTAGATACCTGAAAACAAACTCACTCTTGTGGCCAAATATTTTGAGAAATTAACCAATGTTGTCTCTCTCTATAATATTTTCTCTCAGATTTTCTGAATCTGCTTTCATTCTCAAGTGAGGTCTGTGGAAGGGCAAAAGGCCATGCTATCTGAGAAAAAGTCATTTCCTGCTTTTGGTTTTCAAAATGTTAAACCTTAGGGATTAAAAAACGTTTCTAATGAAAGTAAAATGGCTTAGTTAAAAAGAAGAAAAAGGAGGGAGAAGGATCTTTCATAGACTAGCAAGAGATAACCACTGTCGGGGAGAGGGAAGCAGAAAGGACTATGTCCAGTGATTCAGTCAGTTCAGGCTGCTATACAAAATTACCATAGACTGGGTGGCTTAGACAATACATACTGATTTCTCACATCTGAAGGCTGGGAAGCTGAGGATAAAGGTGTCAGCATATACACTGTCTAGTGAGGGCCCCTTCCTGATTTGCAGATGGCCATCTTCTCATTGTGTCCTCACATGGCAGAGAAGAGAGAGAGCAACTCTCTCATGTCTCTTCTTATAAGGGTACCAATCCCATTATGAGGTCTCCATTTTCATGACTTAATTACCTCCCAGAAGCCCTACTTCCTAATACCATCAAATTCAGGGTTAGAATGTCAACATATGAATTTCTGTGAGACACAAACATTTAGTCCATAGCATCCAATATACTGGGTGACCCTGGGGAGGCAGTAAAAAGAGTGGCTGCATGGTATACCTGCACCAGGAATCTCAAACACCTACTATGGTAAATTAAAGTCAGGTAATATAAACAGTTGAAAAGGGCCTGGTGTTAAAAAAAAAATCTTGCAATGATTATAACAATGTCAATATCAACTGGCTCCCTGCCTCAGCTTTGGGGAGATAATGAGGTTGGATGGGTCTGTAGCAAACAAGAGAGGTAAACAGGCACCCACTTCTCAGCTTTTGTGGTTGTTGACACATGAAGAGGTGGTCCATTATTGCTAGATATTCTTATTTTCAAGAGAAGGCAGAAATGTTGATATTTTTAGTGAACTCTCCTGACTTTTAAGAGTTGGCTTAAATGATTTTAAAACATAGAGTGAGCCAAACAAAACACATCTGCAGGCCAGATGTAGATTTTTATGCCAATGATTTGCAACCTTTAGTCAAGACAGGACCACAGGCCACTTCAGCAAAGATTCTTCTGAGGGTGGCACAGAAGCAGCAGAGGGCTTTGAAAGGGTTGGCCTGATGGAGTCATGCAGATAGGGGCCATAGTAACTTGCAAACTGATGACCAAGGACCAGAAGACACCTTCATTGCCAATGTTTTGGCCCCGTGGCCTAACTCTAGGGGTGAGCAAGAAGTAGGAATTCTAATACACAATTAGCTCTAAAGATAATTGTTTCACCAGCCACGCGGGATGAAGGTTGAACACAGACATTGATTTGGGTTATGGAGAAAAGGCTGTGATAATTTTTGCACACAAGAATTTGTGGACTGAGATTTACACTTGCTATGTCCAATGACTTGTCAAACACTGCAAACAATTCCTCGGTGAGCACAACATGACTTCCAGCACCCCACCTATCAGGTATTCTCTGCATTTCTTTAATATTCAAGCCATCTAATGAGCTGGGTACTATGCTGTGAACTTTGTTATAGAGGAAGGGATTCTATTCCATGGAGAATCTAAACAGATAGTTGCCATACATTTTTTAGCAGTTTTATTGAGGTCTAATTATTATTTTTTTTTTTTTTGAGACAGAGTGTCGCTCTGTCACCCAGGCTGGAGTGCAGTGGCATGATCTTGGCTCACCACAAGCTCCACCTCCTGGTGAGAGGTGACAACATGCTGGCGGCCCTAGCTCGCTCTCAGCGCCTCCTCGGCCTTGGCGTCCACTCTGGCCATGCTCGGGGAGCCCTTCAGTCTGCCACTGCACTGTGGGGTGGCCAAGGCCGGAGCTGACTCCCTCAGCTTGCGTGGAGGTGTGGAGGGAGAGGTGCGGGCGGGAACTGGGGCTGCGCGTGGCAATTGCGGGCCAGCACAAGTTCCAGGTGGGTGTGGGCTCGGCGGGCCCACACTGGGAGCAGCCAGCCAGCACCACCGGCCCTGGATAGTGAGGGGCTTAGCATCTGGGCCAGCAGCTGCGGAGGGTGTGCCGGGTCCCCCAGCAGCACTGGCCTGCTGGCACTGTGCTTGAATTCTCACCGGGCCTCAGCTGCCTCCCCGCAGGGCAGGGCTCGGGACCTGCAGCCCGCCATGCCCGAGCCTCCCCTCCCTCCCCTCCCTCCCCTCCACCACGCCCGACTCCCCCACTCCTCGCCCCTCCTCCCCCTTAGACTTTTGTGTCTAGCTCAGGGATTGTAAACGTACCAATCAGCACCCTGTCAAAACAGACCAATCAGCTCTCTGTAAAATGGACCAATCAGCAGGATGTGGGTGGGGCCAGATAAGGGAATAAAAGCAGGCTGCCTGAGCCAGCAGTGGCAACCCGCTCTGGGTCCCCTTCCACACTGTGGAAGCATTGTTCTTTCACTCTTTGCAATAAATCTTGCTGCTGCTCACTCTTTGGGTCTGCACTGCCATTATGAGCGTAACACTCACTGCAAAGGTCTGCAGCTTCACTCCTGAGGCCAGCGAGACCATGAACCCACCGGGAGGAAAGAACAACTCTGGACAGGAGGAACGAACAACTCCAGACGCACCACCTTAATATCTGTAGCACTCACCGTGAAGGTCTGCAGCTTCACTCCTGAAGCCAGAGAGACCACAAACCCACCAGAAGGAAGAAACTCTGAACATGTCCAAACATCAGAAGGAACAAACTCCGGACATATCACCTTTAAGAACTGTAACACTCACCGCGAGGGTCCGCGACTTCATTCTTGAAGTCGGTGAGACCAAGAACCCCAATTCTGGCCATATTTTGGTGACCATGAAGGGACTATCGCCTATCGCCAAGCGGTGAGATCATTGCCTATTGCTGAGCAGTGAGACTGTCGCCTATCACCAAGCAGTGAGTACCATCAGACCCCTTTCACTTGCTATTCTGTCCTATTTTTCCTTAGAATTTGGGGGCTAAATACCAGGCACCTGTCGGCCAGTTAAAAGTGACTAGCATGGCCGCCGGACTAAAGACACGGGTGTCAGGCTTTCTGGGAAAGGGCTCTCTAACAACCCCCAACTCTTCAGAGTTGGGAGTGTTGCTTTGCCTAGAACCAGCTTCCGCTTTTCCTGTACTTCTGGGCTGAGCCGAGGGTCGACAGCAAGGAAAGCCATGCGGCTCCAGGGTCCCGACAACAAGTTGGTTGACCCTGCAGCCATTAGCGGAACTCTCAAAGGCATGTTGCCCAAGTCCTAATGCTTGCCAGACAAACTTCATCTCACCTCTTTTCTCCAAGGTTAGTCCCGCTTCTAAAAATCACTACCTGTCTCTGGTGCTTTTCTAGTTTCTAAGAATGACTTCTAGTATAAACTCTGTTACCTTCTTTAGGCACCCGGGCTCACCAATCAGAAAGACATAATTTTTGCCCAAAGCCCCATCGTAGGGGGGACTACCTGGAATTTTAGGATCCCTCCTCAGACTAACAGGCCTAACAAAAGCTATTCCTGAAGCTAGGATATGGGGAGCTTCAGAAATTGTATCCTTCCTATTCATATAAGTGAGGACAAAGGGTGTCACTCTTCCAACTCTGGAGATCCCTTCCCTCTCTCAAGATATGGCCCTCCACTTCATTTTTGGGGCATAACATCTTTATAGGACAGGGGTAAAGTCCCAGTACTAACAGGTGAATGCTTAGGACTATTAACAGATTTTTGAGAATGCATCAGTAAGGGCCACTAAATCCGATTTTTCTCGGTCCTCCTTGTGGTCTAGGAGGACAGGAAAGGGTGCAGGTTTTTGAGAATGCGTCGGTAAGGGCCACTAAATCTGACCTTCCTCGGCCCTCCATGTAGTCTGGGAGGAAAGCTAGAGTTTCTGCTGCTGTGTCGGTGAGTGCAACTATTCCGATCAGCAGGGTCCAGGGACTGTTGCGGGTTCTTGGGCAGGGGGAGAGACAAAACAAACCAAAACCACAGGCAGTTTTGTATTTGATGGGAAAAACTCAGGCATCAACAGGGTCACCCTTGAAATGCATCATAAACCACTGGGACCAATTTGACCCACAAACCCTGAAAAAGAGGCAGCTCATTTTTTTCTGCACTACAGCTTGGCTCCAATATTTTCTCTCTGATGGGGAAAAATGGCCACCTGAGGGAAGTACAAATTATAATACTCTCCTACAGCTTGACCTTTTCTGTAAGAGAGGAGGCAAATGGAAGGAAATACCTTATGTCCAAGCTTTCTTTTCACTGAGGGAGAATAAACAACTATGCAACGCTTACAATTTACATCCCACAGGAAGACCTCTCAGCTTACCCCCATATATCCTAGCCTCCCTATAGCTCCCCTTCCTATTAATGATAATCCTCCTCTAATCTCCCCTGCCCAGAAGGAAATAAGCAAAGAAATCTCCAAAGGACCACAAAACCCCCCGGGCTATCAGTTATGTCCCCTTCAAGCTATAGGGGGAGGGGAATTTGGACCAACCCAGGTACATGTCCCCTTCTCCCTCTCTGATTTAAGGCAGATCAAGGCACACCTGGGGAAGTTTTCAGATGATCCTGATAGGTACATA
The DNA here is from genome assembly GCF_000001405.40 of Homo sapiens. Taxonomy (NCBI): domain Eukaryota; kingdom Metazoa; phylum Chordata; class Mammalia; order Primates; family Hominidae; genus Homo; species Homo sapiens. Next base: position 152,562,122 of record NC_000003.12, read on the forward strand.
GATGTCCTACAGGGTCTAGGGCAAACCTTCGACCTCACTTGGAGAGATGTCATGCTACTGTTAGATCAAACCCTGGCCTTTAATGAAAAGAATGTGGCTTTAGCTGCAGCCCAAGAGTTTGGAAATACCTGGTATCTTAGTCAAGTAAATGATAGAATGACAGCTGAAGAAAGGGACAAATTCCCTAGTGGTCAGCAAGCCATCCCCAGTATGGATCCCCACTGGGACTTTGACTCAGATCATGGGGACTGGAGTCATAAACATCTATTGACCTGTGTTCTAGAAGGACTAAGGAGAATTAGAAAAAAAGCCCATGAATTATTCAATGATGTCCACCATAATTCAGGGAAAGGAAGAAAATCCTTCTGCCTTCCTCGAGCGGCTATGGGAGGTCTTAAGAAAATATACTCCACTGTCACCCGAATCACTCAAGGGTCAATTGATTCTAAAAGATAAGTTTATTACCCAATCAGCCACAGCTGCAGATATTAGGAGAAAGCTCCAAAAGCAAGCCCTGGGCCCTGAACAAAATCTAGAGGTATTGTTAAACCTGGCAACCTTGGTGTTCTATAATAGGGACCAAGAGGAACAGGCCCAAAAGAAAAAGCAAGATCAGAGAAAGGCCACAGCCTCAGTCATGGCCCTCAGACAAACAAACCTTGGTGGTTCAGAGAGGACAGAAAATGGAGCAGGCCAATCACCTGGTAGGGCTTGTTTTCAGTGTGGTTTACTAGGACACTTTAAAAAAGATCATCCAATGAGAGAAAAATTGCCCCCTCGTCCATGTCCACTATGCCGAGGCAATCACTGGAAGGTGTACTTCCCCAGAGGATGAAGGTTCCCTGGGTCAGAAGCCCCCAACCAGATGATCCAATAACAGGACTGAGGGTGCCCGGGGCAAGCGCCAGCTCATGTCATCACCCTCATTGAGCCCCGGGTACATTTAACCATTGAGGGCCAGGAAATTGACTTCCTCCTGGACACAGGTGTGGCCTTCTCAGTGTTAATCTCCTGTCCCGGACGACTGTCCTCAAGGTCCGTTACCATCCGAGGAATCCTGGGACAACCTGTAACCAGGTATTTCTCCCACCTCCACAGTTGTAATTGGGAGACTTTGCTCTTTTCACATGTCTTTCTTATTATGCCTGAAAGTCCAACACCCTTATTAGGGAGGGATATATTAGCCAAGGCTGGAGCTATTATCTACATGAATATGGGGAACAAGTTACCCATTTGTTGTCCCCTACTTGAGGAGGGAATCAACCCTGAAGTCTGGGCATTGGAAGGGCAATTTGGAAGGGCAAAAAAATGCCTGCCCAGTCCAAATCAGGTTAAAAGATCCCACCACTTTTCCATATCAAAGGCAATATCCCTTAAGTCCTGAAGCTCATAAAGGATTACAGAATATTGTTAAACATTTAAAAGCTCAAGGCTTAGTAAGGAAATGCAGCAGTTCCTGCAACACCCCAATTCTAGGAGTACAAAAACCGAATAGTCAGTGGAGACTAGCGCAAGATCTTAGACTCATCAATAAGACAGTAATTCCTTTATATCCAGTTGTACCCAACCCCTATACCCTGCTCTCTCAAATACCAGAGGAAGCAGAATGGTTCATGATTCTGCACCTCAAGGATGCCTTCTTCTGTATTCCCCTGCACTCTGACTCCCAGTTCCTCTTTGCTTTTGAGGATCCCACAGACCACACGTCCCAACTTACATGGACGGTCTTGCCCCAAGGGTTTAGGGATAGCCCTCATCTGTTTGGTCAGGCACTGGCCCAAGATCTAGGCCACTTCTCAAGTCCAGGCACTCTGGTCCTTCAATATGTGGATGATTTACTTTTGGCTACCAGTTCTGAAGCCTCATGCCAGCAGGCTACTGTAGATCTCTTGAACTTTCTAGCTAATCAAGGGTATAAGGTGTCTAGGTCGAAGGCCCAGCTTAGCCTACAGCAGGTCAAATATCTAGGCCTAATCTTAGCCAGAGGGACCAGGGCCCTCAGCAAGGAATGAATACAGCCTATACTGGCTTATCCTCGCCCTAAAACAATAAAACAGTTGCGGGGGTTCATTGGAATTACTGGCTTTTGCCAACTATGGATCCCCGGATACAGTGAGATAGCCAGGCCCCTCTATACTCTAATCAAGGAAACCCAGAGGGCAAATACTCATCTAGTAGAATGGGAACCAGTGGCAGAAACAGCCTTCAAAACCTTAAAGCAGGCCCTAGTACAAGCTCCAGCTACAACACTCACCGGGAAGGTCCACAGCTTCACTCCTGAGGCCAGCGAGACCAGTCTTTTAGAAAAAGTATAATTTGGAATAATTTGTTCTTATTTAATTTATGGTGGCTTCATCGAGTGTCATTTCCTTTGCTAAATTAAATAATTTGCTCTAAAATTTTACCTAGAGTTGTTCTTAGACTCACCAGGTATATTTTGTGGCATATACTTTTTCTTCCTCTTTGAAAACTGGAACAAGATTAGTCTGGTTTTTGTTTGTTTGTTTGGTAGCTTAGCTGGGCTTCATGGTTATTGGCAGCTGCTCAACAATGTCATCTGCAAATTCCCTCAGCTACTGGGATGTAATGAATCTGAAACAGGAGACTTGAACTAATTACAAGTTGATTGGTGATATCTGAAGATGTCTTCATCTGTTTTGACCTTCATCTCTCTCTTACTAATGTTTCTTCCCAGATTTCTAGCATAAGAATGATTTTATTTGGCAGACAGTATGAAAAAAGTAAAGAATTGAACAGTTTATTATTCACTGTTATACGTTCTCATTATACTTTCCTACTTCCAAGCAAGCTCTTTCTTGTTCTTCATCTGAATGTACCTATTCATTTTATGTACTTTATATGATTTTTTTTTAAGACAGAGTCTTTTTCTGTCACCAGGCTGGAGTGCACTGGTGCAATCTTGGGTCACTGCAACCTCCATCTCCCAGGTTCAAGTCATTCCCCTGCCTCGGCCTGCCAAGTAGCTGGGACTACATGTGGGCGCCACCATGCCTGGCTAATTTTTTGTATTTTAGTAGAAACTAAAATTTTTTGTATTTTTAGTAGAGATGGGGTTTCACCATGTTGGCCAGGATGGTCTTGATCTGCTGAACTTGTGATCTGCCCACCTCGGCCTCCCAAAGTGCTGGGATTACAGGCATGAGCCACTGCACCCAGCCACTTTAATAGTTTTTTAAGCCTAAAATTTCTCTGGCTTATCTTACATGTCTGGTGCCTATATTAACCTAAGTTTCATGTTTGATTAGTGGCCGAGCTCATTATATAACTACTTGTGCACTCATTTCAGATTCAATATGGACCCTTTCCTTTTCTCTAGATTGGAAGCATTTCAGCCTATGTAAATGAAATTAAATTTTCATGTGGCTATCAACCTTCTCAAATCACCAATCCTTTTAGAGTCTCAGACTATGTTATTATACCTACTTATTTTCTGAACTTGTGAAATTTGCCATCCTGAAAATTAGATTTTACTTTGGACTTGACTGACACCTTATTAGTATATCCTGGAACTGCCTTTCTCAATGTCCAACCAAAATACTAAGGAAATCAGAAAAAAATAAAATGTGCTTACACACACACACACACACACACACACACACACACATAAAAACACACTAGAACTAACAGTCAATTGATTGATAAGTCTATTGAAAAGCAAATTCACTGACTACAATGTTGAGTGAGTTTATAGAAACAAGAAAGTAGAATGAAAGGAATTTCTCTGTACCTGACCCCATTCAAAAATGCAGTGACTAGGCCAGGCACAGAGGCTCATGCCTGTAATCCTGGAACTTTGGGAGGCCGAGGCAGGTGAATCAATTTAGGTCATGAGTTCAAGACCAGCCTGGCCAACATGGTGAAACCCCATCTCTACTAAGAATACAAAAATAATTAGTCAGGCATGGTGGCATATGCCTGATACAAAGCCAAATATATCACAGAGAAAGAAAACAAATATCCTTCATGAACTTAGATACAAAGTTCTTTAATAACCTACTAAGTCAATTCAACAACATATAAAACTTATAAAAAAATTATATATACCATGACCCAGTTGGATTTATTTCAGAAATGCAAGATTGTCTTTATATTTGAAAATCAGTTAGTGTAGTATATACATCATAATAATAGAATGAAGGACAAAAATACATCACCTCAAAGATGCAGAAAAAGCATTTGATAAAACCCAACATTTATAATAAAAATTCTCAGCAAACTAGAAGAAACTTCATTCTGATAAAGGGCATCTACCAACAATTTAACAAAAGTACAATAATTGTACATTGCATTTTATAAACCATTCTTGAAATAAATTAAAAATTTAAAATAGACTGCCTGTGATCATGGATTGGAGAACTCAATATTGTTAAGATGACAATTTTCCTCAAATTAATCTGTAGATTTAACACAATCTTTATCAAAATCCCAGCAGGCTTTTGTGTAGAAATTGACAGGTTTCTCCTAAAATTTGTAAAGAAATGCAAAAGATCTAGAATAAACAAAATAATTTTGAAAAAGGAAGAACAAATTTAGAAAATTTTTACTACTCAATTTCAAAACATTTTGTAATACTATAATAATGGATACAGTGTGGTATTTGTGTAAAGATAGGCATACAGATAAATGGAACAGAATTAAGGGTTTGTAATAATCACTTATGATTTTTGACAAAGGTATTAAAACAATATAAGAGTGAAAAGATAGTCTTTTCAACAGGTGGTACTGGGACAAGTGGATATTCATATTTTAATAAGTAAATTTAGATCATTACCTCACACCACACACAAAATTTAGCTCAAAATGGACCACAGACATAATGTACCAGCTAAAACTATAAAACTTCTAGAATAAAAGGAGAAAGTTCTCGTGTTCTTGGTGTGGGCAAAGAGTTCTTAGACATAACCATAACAGCTAGGGCCATAAAAAAAGCATGATAAATTTAACCTCATTAAAATTAAAAACTTTTGTACTTCAAAAGACACTATTAATAAAAAGACAAGTCGCAAACTGGACAAGAAATTGCATATTATATGTCTAGTAAAGGTCTTCTATCCAGAATAGAAAAAAAAAAAAACTCTTACAACTCGATCACAAAAACCAAAATAACCCAATTAAAAAGAGACAGAAAACACTCACAGAGAAAAAAAAGTAACCTGATGAAAAAATAGGCAAAGGACATGATTACACATTTTTCCAGAGAAGATATTCAAATGGCTAATAAGCACATGAAAAGATGCTTGACATCATTAACCAACAGGAAAGTTGAAATTAAAAGCACAATATGATATCAGTGCACATCCCCTAGAATCTCTCTTGAGAAGATTATAGTCTGGTTGGAAAAGACAGACACATAAATACTATCTGTTACAGTTACTACCAGGGAAATCTAAATAGGGTTTAGTTAGACATAAAAAGGCCATGGATGAAAAACTGTAGCAATAGACAGGCTGGATACCCCTCACTAGACTATGATGTTTCTATGATGTTTTGACTCCCAGCTTTTCAAAGTCTCTTCCCCTAACAATGGCCCTGTTAATAATTTGCAAAGGACCTCACTTCACGTTTCTTTATTGCCTTTGAATAAAGTTTCTTCAAACTTTTATCTCTTGGGGGTCTACTTTAGATCTTTTTATTGCTTTGAATCCATCCATCCATCCATTCACTTATTGATTCATTCAATCATTCATTTAGTCTTATAATCAGTAAATGTTTATTGAGCATCTTTTATCACCAGCACTGTTCTAGGCACTTGGAATTCAAAAGTGTGAAAAAAAAAATAGTGAAACATGATTGCCCTAATAGTGCTTAACTTATCAGTACAAGAAGGTTTGAATTCTTCTTCTATGGGAAGAAGTGCACATGGTTTTTCTTGCATTTGTGCCCATCATTATTTCTCTTTCACCTATTCTTTGTTACACTCTAAAATTTATGTCTGTTAACCTTGATGTTAAATTCATCATGCCAATACTTCATAATATTTGATTATTTAGTTTAGTTTTCCTCATTTTCTCCACCAAATCTATGAAATTTTTCCCAGATGGCTGAAGTGTGTCTCTCAAACTCCAAATTCCCTGTTATCACCTTTTTCATAAATAAGGAATCAAAGCTTGCACTGAGCACTAACCAGAGTTTGTCATCTCGGCAGGAAGACAAATATAGCTGCTTCACTGCAGGTGACAGGGACAAGACTCCTGAATCCACGCCTAATGTTGCTGCTTAAAGACTCTCCTTTCTATTGACCTTGGCACTCTTTGGCCCTATTCTTGACATCTCTCACTTCTCTGAGTGAGCTTATGGGGGCTCAGTCTGATTAAATCAACCCACAGGCATCTGTAATTACCAGTCGTTACCACCACTGGATAATGTAACCCAGCAACTGTCAGAATGCTTAAAATGTTTAAAATAGAAGAAATGAAGACACAAAAATTATCCTGTACCATTTATTGTATTATTTCACAACAGATCTGATTTTTAAAAATTTTAGAAGTTGGTTCTCTTTTTGAGGTTAATAAATTTCATTAATTTATCAAAGGAAAGTTTAAGTAACTGTAGGAAAACATAATAAATAATTGTTCTTATTTTAGTATGTATATTATGGCATTTTCTGCTTTTGTCTCTATTTTTATACATGAATATTAACCTGTACCTGAAGGTCTTAGAAGTAGATGAAGGACTGGGCACAGTCGCTCACACCTGTAATCCCATCACTTTGGGAGGCCAAAGTGAGAGGATCCCTTGAGCCTGGGAGTTTGAGACCAGCCTGGCAACATAGGGAGACCTCATCTCTATTTAAAAGAAAAAAATTACCTAGATCTGTGGCACGTGCCTGTGGTCCCAGCTACTCAGGAGACTGAAGCGAGATAATTGCTTGAGCCTGGGAGGTCGAGGCTGCAGTGAGCTATAATTGTTCCACTTCGGAGAGGAGGACAAGAACAGAGCCTGAAGAAGTGAAATAAATATGGGTGTGGCTACATGAAAAAAAAAAAATTGTTCCACTTCACTCCAGCCTGGGTGAAAGAACAAGACCCTGTCTCAAAAAAGAAAAGAAAAGAAAATAGATGAAGGGACAAATATTTACTAACTCCCTATATTAATTAATGATAGGATGTAACTCTATCCTCATAATGATACTAAAATGTAGATATTATTGTTCATGTTCTTTGGAAGAAACAATGCAAGCTCAAATGTGATCATAACTTTATTCAAGATTATAGAATTATTAAGCAGGGAAGGAAGGCTTCATTCTCATATCTCTTTGACAGCAACAAACCTCCATCATAGTCCCATTGTGCCATCCCATATTTAAGCTTAAGAAGTAATGCTTACAATTAGAAGAGCCCCTCAATTTACATTAAAAGTGAACTGAGCATAGTAAGTATGGCTACATTTTAGTTCTAAATTCATCCTTGGTAAAATCTCATCATTGGAAGAAGTTGAAGAAAGATGAGATTCATAAGTTTTGGGGTTCAGAAGCAATGAATAATTTTTCTCCTGCCTCATTACTCAATTTAACACATGTACAAATGCTTTTAGGTACAATGAAAATACGTCTTATAGACTGCCACTTTGGGAGAAACATTCACTTTACATTTTGAGTGAGAGAACTAGATTTAAAATTCTCTTCACTACATTTTCAGAGACTCCTACAATTTTTAAAACTCTTCATTTCCTTAAGTCATTGTGTGTGCTATAATTTCAACAGTGTCTCCCTGGCTTTTGCCATCAGTGAAACAAACAGTCTTTCAAGAAACTGACCAACAAAACAAAAAATTACTGGTCATAATATTTTTGTTCATTTTTTTCCAACAAATATTTCATTTATGCTTATTGTTAGTTGCCTCCTTTAAATCTAGCTGAAAGGAGGGCAGATGATCTTGTTTATTTTGATGAAAATGCATCTGTAACTTAAAATATGACCATTAATGAATGGTCATATTTGGTTGGATTTTGGTCTTAGAATGCAAAGAAATACACTGGCCTTAATACTGTTGGAAAATGTCAAAATATACCTAAAAGCAAACAAGATGCCATTGCAGGCCTTCTCTACAGCCAGGTAAGGACAGGACTAAGCCTGCATATTGCCTCCAGGGAGCTTCCCTCCACACCTGCCCAAATAAAGCTGCAGAGCTTCAGTGTGAAAGTCTGAAACAAAGCTGAATCTTCAGCAGCACTGACTGTGGCCTGTGGGGACAGAAGGCCTAATCACTTCTAATCACTTCCCCCCACCCTCCCCCCCCACCCCCCCCATCTTCTTTTTTAGAGGCAGGGTCTTTCTACTTTGCCCTGCCTGGTCTCCATTTCTTGGTCCCAAAAGGATCCTCCCACCTCAGCTTTCTAAGTAGCTGAGACTACAGGCGCAGGCCATGGCTCCCAGCTTTCAGACCTTCTTTCAAAACATAAGTCAGATAACAAAACTTCTCACCTTATTAGAATTCAAACCCAAATCCCCCATGACTTTGCCTCCAGCTACATCTCAGACCTCATCTCCTACCCCTTTCCCACTTCTTACCAGCTCCCACCACTCACAAACACGCAAGGTATAATCCTGTCTAAATGACTTAGCAATTCTACATTCTGTCCCGGGAATTCTTTTCTTCAGCCATGGCCACTCAGATCACTGTTTAAGTTCCCTCAGTTCTCTATTAACATGTTACCTTTTTAGAGAGGTCTTTCTCAAGCATATAATATGAAATTAAGACTTTCTCTCTTCCCATTGTTTTGTTAAGTTCCCTTGTGTTATTTCTTATACCCTTTAATCACTACTTTGCACATGATGTATTGTTTATTGTCTCTTTGCCACTACCAGAATTAAAAGCTCCAGGAAGAGTGAATAAAATAGTCTTATTATTGCTTTCCATAGAATATCCCTGGCACATAGCAGGAACTCAGAAAGGACTGGTTAAATAAATTGTTAAATGAAACCAGCAAGATTTATTTTCTTTTTAACTTAAAACAACAAAAGTGATCAACAGAATGGCTTAATTGCTTTAATGACCAGGAAATGTAGGTGAATGATAGAGAGGTCAGTGGACTTGGCTAAGTCTTAAAATGAAACCCATGGTTTGGGTTGTCCCAAGATGAGAATGAACTCTAGAATCATTTTATGATCACTACATCAGTTTTTAATGTCACCCAATATGTTTCATTTACTTCTATTGGTCTCCTGTTTCCTCTTCTGAAAAGTTATAAGCTTTATAATCTTCAAGTTAAACTCATACCATCTCCTCCTTAAAAGGAAACAGAAGCAATACTAATGTGCTCTGATTAAGATTAGAAAACCCTATTTAGAAGATTATTTGTGTGTGTGTGTGTGCTGTTCTCTAATAGAGCTTCCACATAATGGCTTTTAACTTTTCAATATAGAAAATGCTTGATGAGATATAGCTAGAACAATCTGATCTGATACTTGGGGCTTTATAGCTCTCATACATTTTTGTTCAGAAAAAAAGGAATGATGAGCTAGCTGAGCATAATAATGTGAAAGAGAAAATGTGGTGATGGCATACTATTGTTCACTTAAAAATCTCTGAACATCATACTTCCTTTATTTTGTGCATGTATGAGGCCAAAAATATGCCTGCCATTATAATCAACTTCTTATCCCGATCTAGGATATTTTTATGAATAAGATAGCTATGTTTTGACTTGCTGTTTTATTTTCATTGTGCTGAACCTAGGGTTTTTTAATCTTCCTTTATAGAAACGAAAAAGTCTTGCAATGCTAGAACAAGCACATGATTTTAGAGGTTTCATTTTTAAAGGCCAATGTACTTATACATACACAATTAATTAGTTTTCTCAAAAAATATAATGTTCAATTTTGTCCCTTGTTCTTTAACATGTGATACATTATCAAAATACTGAGGTAAGGTTGCCAGGAGCTTAGCAAAGAAATGGCAATGTACATTCTTTTGTCCCCTAGAGTTAAGCTATTGTCACAGACATATCTATTAATTCCTACAGTTTAAACCGCATATATCTGTTCAATATGACCTCCTCAATTTGATTCACAAGAGTGTATTTTGAAGTATTATAATTGAATCTGTACAGTGACCACAAGGAGGGCAGGTAAGGGCAGAATTTTATTTTTGATTTCTCTAGAGAAGATGATAACAATGAAGTGAATTATAATTGAGTTCTACAAAACATGAAGACAGACAAATTTAGTTTTCAGATGTGTCTAAATACTTTATGCTTAGAGTTCAATACCACTTTAATATTTTATTTCTAAATAAGAAAATTACATTCTTTGAATTTTTGAAGATTGGGTGTGTTGGTAATGCCCTTGCCACTTCTGTCACCAAATCATTTTTTATTGCTTAATTTGTCACTACTGTAAGGAAATTACCTTTACAACCAAAGTATTTAAGTTACGACCTGAACACAGATTGGATATTCAGTGATCCTACTCAGGCACTACTGTGTTAATTGAATATTTTCCTTATTATTGCAAATCTTGGGGGTTTTTGTATACTTATATATTTATTAAGTGCTAAAGATTAGAAACTCAAACTTAGCTTCTGACTTCTTTTTTAATTAAGGAAAAATATATGTCTCTAGTTATAAGTGTTCTTATTATTGTAATTTTTAAAAAATAATCAAAATTTTGGCAGAAATTAAGTGCATCTGAAATAGCAATAGAATGAAAAAGATTGTTAAGAATAGACATTCAATGATCCTATGAAATCTAGCTACCTTTATCACCCAACCCTTTTAAATAACTTTTCTCTTGGCAAAACAAGAGAAAGTTATTTTATTTCATTCTCAAGTTTTTGTAGAAATACATTTCTTCTGTAGAAGAAAACAATATATAGATCATGCAATTGTGTCCTAAGTCATTTAATAAACAGTTCTTCACTTGCCCAGCTTAATAATCAGTCCTAATGCCCAGCTTAATTTGGCCTTTCCAGTTGTTTCATTAATTTTACTGCAAAATATTTTCTAGTAATAGTAATAGATTAAATTCAACGCATATTTATTGTATAGCACACATGGCCAATAAATCCTGAAAAAGCACCTTGCCTGTAAGGTAAGTGCTATTATATTTACATTTTACAGAGAAGAAAACTAAACTTAAAAGTCAAAAACATAAAGCCAGTAAGTGGGTAAGCAGAACTTTAATGCAAATATGTTGCTCTAAGCCCATGCTTATGACATTTGTTGTTTATTACTGAGAGAAGGGAAGTTACATGTACTGATTCCTTAATTCTTATCACATACTATGCAGGGTGAATTGCATATGTTACTTATTCCTTACCATGGCAATATAAATAATAAATATTTAATAACCCTATTGTACAGATGGGCAGTATTTGTTCCAGAAATCTGAGTTCTCTCATAACTAGACATAAAATCTTAAGAAACATATGTATGCCTCCCAAGAACCAACTTTTTAGATAAATGAGCATCTGGCTAGTGACTCTCTAAGCAATTATGTACTCTCCACCTACGAAACTTAAAATATCTTATCTGAGGGATTCACCAGCAGGTACTGCCATTACACATACCACTCCACCATGATCCAGCATCAATGTCTTGTGCAGACACTCCCTCCTGGGAGGAAAATATAATTGATGGTTATGCCTTTTCCCTTACCCCACTGTCAGACTCTGATTTCAGTAAAGCCCTACCAAGGCCCTCCCTTTCCACCTGTAGGCTCTGGAGAATACATACATAGATCCTTCCTCTAAGAACGTTGCAGATGCTTGAGCAACATTATTTCCAAGTTAACTTGCAGCTTTATTTCTGTGATTTTGTGCTGATTCCCCATAGAAGTACAGTTGCTTTAACTAAGTTTATATTTTAAGTGGATGTTGGCCATGACATCTCACTAAAGAAGTCCTCTTGTATACGGACCCCAGCTGAAGAAACAAAATGAAAATAAATGGGTGAAAGAATTCTCAAAGCTCAACATCCCTAAAGGCAAATTGACAGAAATGTCTGTTCAAAGAAGACAAAATCATGAGATTTATGCTCAATAGCGTTTTTCTTTTTCTACTTCTGTGGGGGCAGAAGATGTGATTTAGCAGATCTAGGAACTGGGAACTAAAAGTAAATAGTTCATCATTCTCCTCTCAGAGAAAGTCTTCTTATGGTACAGAGGAAAGATGAGATGAGGAGAAAAAGCCAAGAGAAACAGGCAAGATTGATCTTAATGCCTAGCTGTGCAGAATTTTAAGAATATTTCTGGGCATATTGTATATAAAGGAGAGGACATAAGTGGAAAGAAAAAAGCTGAAAATGGAGTGAAAGGTCAAAAAAAAATCCCAGCAAAACAAACTCTGAATAAAAGTCCCAGAAATTATAGATAGCATAAAGAGCCTAAGAGAAGTTATGTCTTCCTCTTAGGAATAAAAGATGAAAATAAGTGGAGCTATGAATAGAATTTATGATTCCACTAGTGACAGTTGTAAGCATGGAAAATGGTGCTTATGAATCTGGAGGTGAGGAGATGGAGAAAGCTTGGCAAACTGTCCTCATTGTTCAAATAATGTTACTGAGGCATCGCTGCCACCCAGTGGCCAACATCAACTTTAATGCTATCTGTTCCTGTTTGAGGGGGTGAGTTTCAGTATTTTTAAAAAAGAAGATATGAAGAAACAGTAAAGTCACTGCCATTGCTTCTCCAACAACCTCTAATTTGTGTTCTTTTCCAAGGCTCTTCTACTTGTAGGAGCCTATACTTATCTCAGTAGGTGCTTATCTCTTATGGAAAAGAATAGAAAATTACTTCATCAGGATTGTGTTTTAGTGACGCATCATTGTATTTTTCCATTTAGAAGGATTGGCTCATCTTTAATTTTTTTAATTTAAATATTTAATTGGCAGTCCTATATAGAAGGCTAAGCATTCAGTTTTTCTTACAAGATATTCGACAACCAACTGGCAGAATTTACCTTTTATCCCCTCACAGCATGATTTGACACGATGTTTTCTCCCAACTACTGTGTGCTAAAAGGGTCAGTCAAATAACTCTACATACAGTCCCAAGCTCTGAGGAAATTGTAGCATCAGGAGGGATGTAGAGAAGATGTAGAGAGAAAGAGTAAAACAGAGCTTCTTGCAACTTAAATCTTTGCTGCCTTAGTCTCAAAGCCTTGGAACTCAAGAAAACCACAGATTTACAGAGCTTTGACTGTATTTATAACAAGCTATCTCTATAGTTTTTCTCCACCATTGTTAATCATATTGCAGAATATCTTCCTTCTCAGTGTTAATAAATAAAATCACCACATTTTGTGGAAAAGTTTGGAACTAAATAATCTGGAAATTACCAACCTATGCTTCTGCCATATGGCACTGGGAGGCAGATACACAGACCTAGGCTTAGAATAATGTAGTCACAGATTCTGAACACATTCAGTTCTTTTCCTCCCTAGTAAGTGGTTCATCCAATTAATCCATAAGGACAGTGTCTGCTTTCTAAACTCTGGCAATCCAACACAACCACAGCATAGGCAACTGTAAAATAGATACAGGTTTTAAATTGAACCCTCTGCTTCCTTCTGTTAGAAATTGTCCTCATTCATTTTACTTTCTGTTCTTCTATCTTAATAGTTCTATTTTAAGTTTTTCTCCCAGTCTTTTTTTCTCTCTGAATAAATGGAAGAAGTGTTTAGCTGTCAAGAGGAAAGTATGGATGAAGAAGAGATGTTCAGGACTAAGTGCTCCTTAGTTTATTTCTGATTAAAGTGGTTGTTGGTAGTAACATCATATCGTTGACTTCCAAACACTGCAAGTATCTTCCATTAGTCAACTCAAATGCAGAAGGATCCCCCCAGAAGAACAATTATATGAATACATCTTTGGAAGACAAAATTTTCAAGGGGAAGAAAAATAAAATGTTAGATCAGACGCAGAATAGCTGAGTGTTTTTCTCCTCTGCTCTTATTTTATCTAGTCCTTCTACCATGTAAAGGAGGCCCCAGACCCGTCAGCCATACACCAGCTTACCATCTTCAAAGGTTTTGCCTTGTTTTTTATGTTTACTGTGATTTATTTAATCCTTTTTCTTTAAATTCACTTTTACTTAGCTTCATTCTAGATAATAAAATGGCAGAAATTATCACTTTGATGCTATTTTTTGTATAATTCCCATGAAAAGAAACATAACTATTAAAGAAAAATGTCTGCTACTCAAAAGCCAAAACCTGAAAGTTGAAGAGAAGAAAATAAAAAATGATATCTTTCTGTAGCATGCTTGGTATCTCTTTTCTCTCTCCCTCTGTCTCTCACACACATACAGACACACACTCAAACACATAATGGCAATTTGAGAGTATATTGATCTAAATGTTTAAGAATTAGATAGTTGAAAGAAGTAATGTAAAAAATATAATAATTTAAAGAATTGAAAGTAACTTCATATGAAAATTGTACTTCTGGCCATAATGAAATAATAAGGACCAGACTTAACCTCCTGCTATAAACACAGAAACTGGATGAAATATCTAAAATAAAGTATTTTTAGGCTTTAGGCAGTAGGCAGCCCAGGACTATTATCCCTGAGGAAAGGGAAACAATAGTGTGAGCCCTACAACCTCCCTAGCTTCCTGCCTAGAGGAAATTTCTGTACCATGGCCACATGGAAGGGGAAACCAGACAGAATCTAGCAGTCTTAGGGAGTTGAGGACAGCAATTGGAGTTCAGAGAGGCTGAATTCCTTTGAAGCTGTAGGACAGAGTTACAGAAAGGAGAGAACTATAAAAACAAAACAAAACAAAAACCTAGCTGCAGATTTGTTACTGGAATCACCTTGAGTCTTTGTTGAGTACTAGACAGTGCACATAGGAGTAAAACTCCATGACCTCAGACAACAAGCAACCTCGGATTTGTAAGCAGAATAATTTCTAGAGCTCACAAAAGCCAGGGTGTCATTCAAGCACCACCCAATCAGCATGAAGAGTCCTCGGTAGTCACTTGAGGACGTTCAGTACAGACTCCAAATGATCATGCTTTAGTGAAATTATCCCAGGAGTAAATGCTACTTAAAACCATCCCTGGCCAGGTACAGTGGCTCATACCTGTAATCTCAGCACTTTGGGAGGCTGAAGCAGATGGATTGCTTGAGCCCAGGAGTTCAAGACAAGCCTGGGCAACATGGTGAAATACCATCTCTACAAAAAAATACACTAGGCATGATGGCACATAACTGTAATCCCAGCTACTGGAGGGGTTGAGGTGGGAGGATCACTTGAGCCCAGGAGGTCACAGCTGTAGTGAGCTGTGATCGTGCCACCACGCTCTAGCCAGGGTGACAGAGCAAGACCCTGTTCAAAAACAAAACAAAACAAAACAAAATAACAACAACAAACCCAGCCCTAATACATCTTCAAAACAATACTCAAAGCAATCAAACTGGTCTGCAACTTAAGTGTCAAAACACTCATTAAAGACAAGAAAATCCAGACACTTAACAATATAACAATCACAATGTCCAACATTCAATAGGAAATCATTGGGCATGACAAGAGGCAGGAAAATGTGACCCATAACAAGGAGGAAAAGTATTTCAAAGAGAATATAAGCATAATGAGTACAGAAGTGAAAAAATAAAAGGAACTCAAGCACCCTCACACACGTATCACTTTGATCCTTATACCAATCAATTAAGGCATGACACAATATTATTTAACCCCATGTTATAGATGAGAAAACCAAGTCATAGGTATTGTAAATAAACTGCCAAAAAGACATGAACCCCATAGTTTTTAGAGTCAAACTAGAACCCAAGTCTTTTGAATCATTAATGTTCTTCAGTAGATGGTAGCATAAATCATAGTTAAAGGAGGTTACTGTGGATAGTAGTGGACTATGGTAAATTTTCTTAGATCATTGCAAGGCAAAATTATCAAGAAAAACTGTGCATGTGTAAATGTATGCCTGTGTGTATGCATGTGCATGTGTGTACCTGTGTGTACATGCATAAAGGCTATGCCATACAGATTATACAATTCCACACAATAATTACTCTTATTCTTATAAAGTTCATTTTACTATGCTGTGCTCAAATCTTAATATAGTTACCATTATAAAAATGACTTTTCTAATGGAACGAGGACTAACTCTTCCCCAATTCTAAAAGCAGGGCTCCAAAACATTGCCCTAAGGATGTAACTGGAGAAAAACGGAGGAAATTAGTTTTAAACTAAAAGCCACTTTTATGTGGCGAGGTCAGTATAACTCAGGAAAGAGTTTAAAAATTGAACTTACAAAACTTTCGTTACTGGAAATTTCTAAAAAACAACAATTTGTCTGGAAAAGGTCTGTATAACTTTTCTTAGAGGAAGAAGGCTAACTAGAAGATGTGTGACAGACTCTTTTAATTCTAATGTTCCATATCCATTATTCTTTCCTTATAATATCCATTATTCTTTCCTTAGTCACTGTGAATACATTTGAATGTTATATCCTATGGAAGGGATGTAAATTTCAGAGTATTAAAATATTCCCTTTTTATGCTGTACTCTGAAAAATGTAGGAGCTTACTATCATTTTTGAGTTATGTTACATTTAGAGCACGGGAATAGAAATGGCCAGGGATATGCAAGAGTCCATATAAGACCTCACTAATGTGAACACTTTGATGAATACAAACCAGTGCTTCCTTATGAGTGTACTGTAAAGACATATGTATATACTTATTTATAATATGTATAATAATTTTAAAAAGTATGTAAAAATGACACATATGCATATATATACATGCAATCATGCATGTGTGCATGTGCACACACATATATTTGAGAAACACTACATAGAAACACAGTATTTTTTCTTAAAGATTCACAATGCCTATTAACATGTTAAAGGTTTTGAAAAATTGTGCAATAACTTTTCATGCATTGGCAAACTACTCAGATTGGAATCTTGTTTTGAAAAATAACTGTTAATATCTTGCAGAGCTATTATTCCCTTGAAATCCAGTCTGGGAAACAATGTTAAAGATGCTAGCTTCAAAACTTTGGTGCTGAAATAGGACTTCTTAAATATAAACACAAGCTTATACCCTAGTAATTATTTGCTCTTGTTAGATTCAGTTTCCTTATACAACAAATAGAATAGTGATATCTATCTCAAAAATTTGTGTGAGATTTTAAATTATAAACCTTATTCTACACAGTATCAGGTGCAAAGTAAATTTTCAATAAATATTAATCATATTGGCTATAATTTGATTAAATAGATGAAATTGTGGAGAAAAGCTTTTTTCATTAAAAATCGTGGGTTGTTACTGCAAGAGAACTATGAGAAAACCCAGAGTAAAAAGGCATATCATGTTCAATATTCAAAAGAAGATATATGGACCGGGCACAGTGGCTGTCATCTGTAATCTCAGCACTTTGGGAGGCCGAGGCAGGTGGAATCACCTGAGGTCAGGAGTTTGAGACCAGCCTGGCCAATATGGTGAAATTCTGTCTCTACTAAAAATACAAACATTAGCCAGGCTTGGTGGTGTGTGATTGTAATCCCAGCTACTCAGGAGGCTGAGGCAGGAGAATCGCTTGAACTCGGGAGACGGAGGTTGCAGTGAGCCAAGATTGCGCCATTGCACTCCAGCCTGGGAGACAGAGCAAGACTTTATCTCAAAAAAAAAAAAAAAAGAAGAAGAAGAAGGTATATTATATATTTTCATTCACTTGACACCCTTTACAACCAAAGTAGGGGCAAAACATCCCAATATAGTGGCTCTCCAAGTTTCAGGAGGATCTTTACTAGCCTTTTTAGGCAAATAGAGATTTCTCTATTAAATAAAACCAGAAAAAGCTATCATTTTAAATGGAAATAATAACTGACCCCAAAGCAGTAACCAAATAGAACAGTTTGAAACGTCCGTTTCATTTAAATTTAGATGTTTTCAAAATGTTCATTTTTTAAAATTTAAAACCCTACTTTAAGTTTCTCTCAAAATTATTCCTACACTAAAAAGTAGACAGTGAATCTAATGGTTGACATTACTTTTCACTGAACTCTTTTGACTTTAGTTGACATTGGTAATTATCAACCAAGAAGTAATCACTTGCATATTTGAGGCCTCAACTTAGTATATGGCAGTAATTGACATTGAGGGAAATTTCAGGACATTATTCTTTTAAGAACAAAATCAAACTTTTCAGAGAAGTTTGTTGCATCTTCATCTACAGAACAGCATTCAAACATGAGCAACTAGAGTGTCATTTGCCAGAAAACTTTTGAATTGGACTTTCTGCCTAAGAATTAGTTTGTTCTTAGCAGAGTCGGCCTTAGAGACAAATCTAAATTTGAGATCAGCTCCCTGACTTTCAAATTCTGCAGATTTGAGCAAGATATTTTGCTATTCTGTGATTTGTCTTACTTATAAAAGAGAAATGATGTCATCTGTTATATGAGGTTGCAGAGGTAAGAAATAAGTGAGATCACACATGGAAAGCACCTAGAAGGGGACCCAGCAAGGTTTAAGTACCAAAAGATGGTAATTATATGTCTATCTATCCATAAGCTAGAAACAGAAAATTAAATATTTGTAGGTTAAAGCACATTAAAAAACAAATTCTTTAAAAATCATTTCATGACATTTTATGTATTCCTTGCCATCACATAAGTAAGATGGGTAAAGAAAATCTCCATGTCTTTGCTTGCCATTCCCCAAATAAATAACCCCCACCCATCCTACGTCTGCTTGGCTAGCTCCAACACTCTTTCTTTTGTAAGTTTTTCTCTACTCCTATCCCTGGCTGAGTTCATTATTTTATCCTCTGTGGGACTTATTTGGACTAATTATTCAATTTAGCCTGTATTTGTCCTGTCATTGATCCTTTACTATCCATGTAATCCTGGCTGGCAAGAGAAGGTGTTTACAAGGATCATTTTTCAGCTAGTTGCCATACCTCAGAACTCAAATGGCTACTGAAACTGTATTAAATGTAGTTGCTCATTCTGGAAGCCAGGGTACAAATTTCACACAAATTGTGATACCAAATACCATACAAATGTTCTCTATGTAATCTTGGATTACTTCATGGTTTTTTTGAAGATCTACTTAGTCTGATTTACAGACTCCTAGAGCAGAGTGATATCATGAAAGCAGGCTGCAATCTGTTTCTATACCATTGGGCAAAAAGTGCTAGGCTGTCTACTAATGCAGTGGCATTAAAATAACCATGGCTGGGTGTAGTGGCTCATGCCTATAATCCCAGCACTTTGGGAATCTGAGGTGAGGGGATTGCTCGAGGCCAGGAGTTTGAGACCAGCCTGGGCAACATAGCAAGACCCCATCTCTAAAAAAGAAAAATAAATAAAAGAAAAACAACCACTACCTACAAAAAAAATGCATTTAACATTTCAGACTTCTCCTTTTCCTCCTCCCTCTCTTTGTCTCTCTCTCTCTCTTTTTCTCTCTCTCTCTCTCTCTCACACACACACACACACACACACAAACACTTGTATACACACATAACTAAAAGAAAATATTCACAACATAATACTTTATAATGAGTGAGGGACTTCTACTCCAGTTCAGTTCTATTTTATTCCATTTTATTTTTTGATGCTGGTTATGTCATACTAAATTAATTTCTCATATTCCCAGAAAATTAGTGAGTGCTTAACAGCACATGAAACATTATATAACTCTCCTGTGAATTTTTGGGACCTTTGTTGTATAAGATATTTCACAAGTGCTCTACTTTCATATCAGTTTTCCCAACAAAATACTTGAATGTTGCAATGTTAAAAAAAATTAGATTGCATAAATAAAAGATATCTAAGAAGGTGTTTCTTTAAATGAGAAATGCTGTGCATCAAGGTCATAGTTTTCTAAATCCATAATACTAGCTTCTAATTTTATCCATGATTAGTATGACGGCCACTAGACATCTCCCACACACATTGCACAGTTATAAATTTGTTTTTACAATGAACGGTAGCTTCATAAACATGATGCATGAAAGATACACTTCCTGTGCTGTTCTCCAGACAGCTGGAGAGGAAAAGTCAAATCCTTTATACAAAGTCTCCTTGTTGTCATTACATATGGTCTGTAGTTTCCAGACAGAGTGTCACCCTAGAAGTTGGCAACGAGGTAGAGGAAAATGTCAGCCTTTTGCTTGAAGTTAAATGAAGTTCACCACTTGAAGAAGCAGTCCAGCCCCTAACTGGGTTCTTATGTGGACTCACTGAAGATGAAACTACAGTATCTGCCCAATTTCAAGGGAGCAAATGTAATTTTAATGCAAGAAAAGACTAGATGCATTTAATTAGACAGTATCCACAAAGGTACTGGAGAAAGATAATGAGTGAAAAAGGATTCATTTCTTAAACAGGACTCTAGACTCTACATAAGTAGCATGATGCCTTTTCAGCTCTATTATTTCAGGGAAAATGTGAAAAACAGCCTTTACCTTAGTCTGATGATATTCTCCATTATAAGAGCCTAACTCTCTTTGTTCTGGCTGCAGCCTTCTGATAGAACAGTTCTCAGTGTCGCTGGTTTCTAATGCAGATGTTCCTTGTGGAAAGAGAATACAGTGAACGTTCTAACTCCTTGGCAGTTCTTGATCAGTATAAATTAATACAATTGAATCTTGACTAATAAGATGAAGACCACAGATCTTTAAAGTAGGTAAAAAACTTTAAGAGCATTTCAACCTCTTTCTTTCACAAATCTGGAAATTGGGAACCAGAGGGTGATGTGACTTTCCAAAGCTGCGGATTAAAAGTTTATCTAGGTTGAAATGTCTCCCACAGTAGAGTACTCCAGAGTAAATGGAAATAATTAACAGTCCTCCTTCATTCGATTATTCTAGTTTCACTGGGAAAAACTGCCATTTCTGAGCATGCAAACCTGAGACTTTCTCCCCCAGCAGCACACCATCAAAGAGGCACAATTTGAGGGACCAAAATTTCCTACTGGGGGCAGAGAAATCTGAATCTAAACCCAGCTGTGTGGCATCAGGCAATTTTTATGATTTATTTAAACTTTCATTTTCTTATCTTGGGACATTAATACCACATGAATTATACCTAACCTACAAAGTTAATGTAATGATGTAATAAGTACCTACTAAATGTTAGTTGTTATTGAAATGTGATTTTTTTCTCTCTCTTATGTCTGAACTCCCTATAAATGGAACCCTGAAACTGAACTTCTGTCCCTATTTTCATTTCCAGGTTTTGGACACAGGTAGCACTAAACTGTCTGCTGCAATGATTCTCAGACAGTGGCCCCCAAAGAATACTATCATCACTACATGGGAGCTTGTTAGAAATACAAATTATCAGGCTCCATCCCAAATCTCCTGAATCAGACATGCTAAGGGTGAAGACCAGAAATCTGTGTTTTAAAAAACCCTCCAAGGAATTCTGATATATGCTAAAAGTTGAGAGCCACTAGTTTACTGGATTCAGAGGGAGTAGAGACAGAAATTGGCAAAAGGTGGTGTGATTAAGTCAAAGGACTCAATTTGAAGGCAGCTTCTAAAAGAAGACTGGACACGCATTAGAAAAACAGCTGTGAGTCAAAGCATCAGTCACAAGGGGCAGGGGTGGGATGGGGGTGGGGACAAGACAGGGCAAAATGCTCCGAGTCAGGAGATATTCCATCTCTAATGCACCTCCAGATAGAATGGAAAGTTCCCTTTAGACAAGTGGGGAAGACGATTTCATGGGCTGTGAGCCCAGAAACTTCATTATCCCAATTCACCTTAAGTCTATTAATTCTGTTAAATTCTAACATACCATAAAGAACGTTCACACAGAACAGCTCTTTGGGGTAAATCATAGATCCTCTTAGTCTGAAGGTTGATACTGATAGGCTATTATGACAACAAATATGACCCATAATTTCTTTCTAAATCTTATCATCATGATTTCAATGAAGTATTCTTAGAAAGTTACTTTGAATTTCTCAGCTTAGTAACAGAAGCAGAAACACCACACTTTGGCCTGGTTTAGCCCCTGACTCTTGGCCAAAAATGTAGCAACTACAACAATCAGCAGTGATCTAGCATCTGAAGAAAAATTCTGGAAGGAGGCCATAACTGCACGCAAACTGTATCCATGGGAGGAGGGATCAATCTCTTTACTCCATAGCCAGAGACATTTGTTATATTTATTTTCAAACTCTTACCTCACATTCTGCTATCTGTGCACATGTGCAGATGCCATGAGTAAAAGGAACAGGCCCACCCCTCTCTGTTCTGCACAACACCAGAGAGTTAATCTATTGAAGTCCCCTGCTTAGGAATATAAAATCTTTAATCTCTTGCAGATGAAATTTAGTCTCATCCTTTGTCTTATTCCAAAGACTGGAGTCTGTCTTGGAAATCAAGTTAACTCCCTGATTGCCTTTCAACATAGTCCCTGGACCTAGCTGCCTGAGATCCCATACATTTCCAGTGGCTCCCTGTCTCATTTCTATGCTTTACTTCTGTCTTTCTTTTCCACCTAAAGTATTTTCTAGCTTAACCAAGTTACCACCTTGATTCCCTTTAATTAATTCACTCATCCAAGCAATAAATATTATGTGCATACTTAGCATCACCACCTACAAGTTACTGAGAACTGCAGAAGTCCTGTTTCTACCCTCACATTGGCTCACAACTTAGAGGTAAGAGACAGACAAGGTGACAGACATTTCCAACATGGTGTGAGTAGTTTACAAGCTTCTAGAGGATGGGAACTCTGTTCTATTTACAGACATCATTCATGACCTCTAGCACACCCGAGCTGCCCACCTCACTAGAGTTTACACTACAGTGATACTGAGTTGAAATTAGGTCTAAAAATGGTGAAATCTTGTTTAAAGTTGTCCTTTTGGGGAAATGAATAGCAAAGAAAGTGGAATATCTAAGGAAAAAAATGCCTTTTCTGAGAAATTTTACAATTAAATGAAGGAGATACAAAAGAGATAAAAAGAAAATGAGAAAGCATTTGTGGGCTGACTCAGAAGAACCTCAAATGAGAGGTTCTCAGGCAGGAACAAGAATTCCCAGAAAGCCTGGCAAAGAACAGGCTCTCAAGTCATTCTTTTTGGTTTGGAGTGCCTGGCATTTGATGCAACCACTGCTGCCCCTTGCCCCATTCCCTTTAGGGAAATCTATTTACTTCACCTTGCCTCACCCTAGGACAGAAAATCTTTGTTTGACCTCCCATTTGCTTCTACCATTGCTGAAAACACTCAGTTTCTCCTAGAATAATTGCAGCTTGATATTTTATATCTTCATTTGCTATGTTGTTGACCAGGTGGTAGAAAAATATATTTTGCATCGTGATTATTATTGTATTAAAAGTTCTTACCTTTTATGACCATAAAAATGAGTACTAAAATACCCAGACTTTAAAAATCAATGTCACAAATCACATCTAATTGAAAAGTAAACAAATTCTTTCTTGTATGCCCTTTGTTATGGGATCAAATTTGTTTTTTTCTGTGAATCTTCAGATTAAATAATTTTAAGGGTATACTGCAAGGATATGCTTGAATCTGCTACATCTACCTATATAGTATACGCAGTATACAAAGTAGTCAAAGTAGATGATGGTGGAATTAGTACTACCGATTGTCCTGATACAAATCATTTAAATCACATGAAATTTTGTGAATCAAATGAACTTGGAAAATTTTCTTTAGTAGACAGTTAGCAAAGCTGATTTGCTGTTGTTGTTGTTGTTGTTTTTTTTTTTTTTTTTTTTTTTTTGAGATGGGGTCTCACTCTGTCACCCAGATTTGAGTGTAGTGGCTCAATCATGGCTCACTGCAGCCTCAACCTCCTGGGCTCAGATAATACTTCTGCCTCAGTCTCCTGAGTAGCTGGGATCACAGGGGCACACCACCATGCCTGGCTAATTTTTTTATTATTATCCATAGAAATGAGGTCTCACTATTTTGCCCAGACTGGTCAAAGCTGATTTTTTTAAACTACAAAATGTAGGCTGGAGTTTTTAGATAAGCTGGAATAATGGGGTTTACATGTAAATGAAGACATCACTTTGCTTTAGAAATGCTCACTGCCTTATAAAAAGGCAGAGCAGGTGAACTGTGTACTGTGGTCAGAAGATGAGGAGACCCATGTCTTCGGGATTCTCTTCTGCTAATAGTGTGTGCCTCAAATTCTACTGTGGAGACTGAACTCTTGATCTGAATCTCTCTGCTGAAAGGCATAGCCAGTTGGCCATAATAATTCTAAGTATAATTTGTTACTGGCCATTTATAGTTTCTGTTGAAAGAAAAATCTATCACTGATATATTAAAGGGAATAAAGAGAGCAGATATTAATTATAAGCTTTCTATACACAAGGCACTATTAATTTATCTCCCTTAATCTTTACAAAACTATGAACTCTACTGGGTTGCAGCACTGGCTGCCACTAGCCTATAGAATTTCTCTGTGCAAGTTAGAAAAAGCTGTTGAATCTGGAAAGAAAAAGTCGTAAGGCACATGGGTTGGTGAGGGAATGCAGGCTGGATTTTAGCCCCAAATCATATTTTCGTGCAATACACAAGTTTCACAACTGTTCATAGTGCTTTGGAAGTAGGTGTTATTATTTTAAGTGAGAAAATGAAGGCTCAGGGGCTATGTATTCTTCCCTAGGGCAGAAAACAAGTAAGTGGGGCAATCAGGATTTGAACTTTGGCCTATTTGATTCTGAACTTGTAATTTATTTCTTCATCTGTAAAATCAGAATAAAATGGTATTTTTGTTGTAAAGTTGTCATGGGGGGGTTGAATAAGGAGATTTATGTAAAGCATTTCACACTGTATCTGTATCTAGTATACTATATTATATTATACTCTATTCCCCTCCACACATACATGGAGCGGCAAGGATTAACAGCTGGTTTCATAACCTTTCCTCTAGTTTTGGAGACACTTAAGGATTTGATTCGGTCTAACCTCTCTGCAGCATTAACTCAAGAACTTGTTTAAGAATTTATGCCATATCCAAGATAAATGAGAATTGGCCTGTTGACTATGTTCTGGATGAACCTCTTTTACCTTATCTTTGAAATGCAGTCGTAAGGAACTTACTTGCATCAGAGTGGGGGAGACAGGTCGTGATTCACTAGGTAGGAAGGGTGAAGGGACCATTCATCTGTTGTCTTCCCTGAGTTGAGGTAGTCTACATGTACTCGGCCTGCCTCCTGTGACCACCATGTGTCCCAAAGGTAAAGTGACTGGGACATCAGAAACTGTGACTAGGAATCATGAATCTTCCACTGTGCCATTATTGCAGATGCTTGTTTCCTGTCTTATCTTAAAGCCAAAAATACTTAGGGCTGGTTGAAGCTTACTTTGCTTTGTGAGTTTGATGTTGATCTGAGCCCAAGACTGCAGTTTCCAGTACAAGCTTGTAGGTGGTGCATTACACTATTGGGTAGAGTAGAGATCAGGAGAGAGAAACAGAGAGAACATCTCTGAGAAGAGAGATAGGTCCTAAGATAAATTAGAAAATACCCAAGTTTCAAGAAAATGGAACAATGCAGAACAGGGGGAATCCTAGTGAGGAATTACTTGGTGCCTCTGCTTTACTATAAGTAGACATTTTTCCCAGCAGCCCCTGTAGGAGGACCAGACTTGGTATGATGGCTGGGTCCCAATTGCCAATTTAAGTCTTTGTAATGCAGTCTTAGAGCAGGAGAGAGACATAAGGCAATATTTCTTGTCTGCTTACTCTGTGCCATATGTTGTCCTTGGTACAATCTCTTATAATTACCAAAACTCTAAAGCCAGATAATTGATATTATTCCCATTTTATAGGTGAAGGAGGTGAAGCTCAAAGGCAAAAAAAAAAAAAAAAAAAAAAAAGTCAAGGCAGGCCAGAGGAGGTGGTAAAGTTAAGCACTTAAGCCTAGGTCTACTGTTGCTGAAGTCCTTGCTCTTCCTACTTTGCCACACTA
This sequence comes from Homo sapiens, assembly GCF_000001405.40. NCBI lineage: Eukaryota > Metazoa > Chordata > Mammalia > Primates > Hominidae > Homo > Homo sapiens. The sequence goes on from NC_000003.12 coordinate 152,588,018, forward strand.
CTTCAAAAATATTAATAGTATTAATTTTTGCTGATGGTGTATTTTAGCCAAAATGTCTATATCCATTTGTAGATAGATTTATTGAGCACTTCTTATGTACTAGGCACTATGCTTTTTAAAATCTTGTTTCATTTAATGTTCATGACACACCTGGGAAGTAGATCCCATTATTGCTTTTCACAGATAAGGAAACTGACCCACAGAGGTTCGTTAACCTGCCCAAGATCACACACTATGAAGTCACACAGCTATTCAGTGATACAGTCATATATACAAAAGGATCTAGAATTCCAGCTCAAATGGAGTGTGAATTCTTCTAGACCAGGAATCACATCTCAATGTATGTGTACTTCCCTAGGACATTAAAGATGGTGAAAACTCTGCAAGGACCAGTGGCTCACACCTGTAATCCCACACTTTGGGAGGACGAGGCAGGTGGATCACTTGAGGTCAGGAGTTCCAGACCAGCCTGGCCAACATGGAGAAACCCCGTCTCCACTAATAATACAAAAATTAACTGGGCATAGTGGCGTGCACCTGTAATCCCAGCTACTCGGGAGGCTGAGGCAGGAGAATTGCTTTAATCTGAGAGGAGGAGGTTGCTGTGAGCTGAGATCATGCTACTGCACTCCAGCCTGGGCGACAGAGTGAAACTGTGTCTTGGGAAAAAAAAAAGATAGTGGCAACTCAATAAAGTTTGTTCTCTCAGAATCTGGCTATCCATCCCTTGTCAGGGAGATATAGTTAAAAAATTGGACTAGATCACTATTTGTAACAGAAAAAGACTGGAAACAACCCAAATTCCCACCAGTAAAGAATGCATTGAATAAACTAGGTATGTTCAAATAGTGGAATAGTATACAACCTTAATTAAATGAGGAGTATTTATCTATATTTCTATGAAGCTATTACCAAGATATATTGTTAATTGAAATTTTTTAAAAGCAACTTATATAAGAGTGTACATAGCACACTACCTTTTGTGCAACAAATAGACAAATATATGTTTATATTGCTTTAATTATATAGATACGTTTACTTATGCTTTTATCTCTCTCTCTCTCTCACACACACACACATTAGGTTTTGCTTTAATATCTATTTAAAACCTAACAAACATGTCACTTATGAAGAAGGGAGAGAACAGAGGTGGGTAGGGTCAGGGATGGAAACTTGACTTTTCTAAAACTGAATGTACCTTGCTTTATGTTTTCATTTTGAAACCATGCTTATATATAACACAACTTAAAAAGTTGTATCAAAAAATAATAATTTTCAAAACCTGAAACAAGTGAACCAAACTATATATCATGTAGGTGACAATGACATGGAGGAGATTCAATTTAATCGGCTTTAATTAATAATATTTTGATCACACATTCTAAGGATAAAAAAGAAAACCACAAAGAAATATTAATATATATTCAGTAGGTTATTACTGAAAATACTGCTATTATTATTTTGAAACTATTGTGTGTATAGACATAAAATAAAGAATTATGTTAATATTTTCATGAGTTAAGATATGTTCAGAAGAAAGGTAAAGAGATATAAATATAAAAACTAAGAACATAAAAACACTGATATCTTTCATTGCAATTGGTGAAAATAATAGCATGAACTTAGGAATCATGTTTATTTTTCTAAAAAACTATATTCACTATTTTCTTACTTGTTCCACTAAAAAACCTAGAAGCAATGAAAACCAGGAAATAATGAATACTCCTGGTGCCCAGGCTGTGGTTTTTTAAAAAAAATATTTCCCATTAAAAGGAACCAAGACTCCTTAAAAAAAAAAACCGCTGATTCCAGGTCTGGAACAGGAAGTAGACAAGATGAATTTGGAACATATTGTTGTGCCTGAAAGCAAAACTATCAAAGGAAACTGCATGGTGTCAAAAGACAGAAACAAACTTGAAGGGCCTCCCTTGGCCAAAGTTGGGAGAACTTAAGTATCAAAAAAGAAAAATAATTGCAATGAATTAAACATGTTAAATAAAAACATTTAAAAATCGAAGACTTTATGATGGTATTTAAAATAAAAACTCAGTGGTCACTTTTGGAGCTTGTTAAAATACCAACAAAAATTACCCTGGAAATTTATAGTTAAGGAAAGAGACTCAAGCATATATCCTGCCTTTCCTGCAAGAACCAGATTTTAAGGCAACCAGATAGTTGACGAAAAAAAGTTCTCCTTGATGAAAGAAGGATAATAATAGGCTTGAAAAAAATCCCATTTTGAAAATTTTAATGAAGTAACAGATTTGGGCAATTATCACTGATGGTGGCTGTAACCATTAGGTGAACAATTAGTGGGGAGGTATTTGTAGAACATATGTGAGACTGGTGACACCTGAATCCTGTCATCAATCTAAACATTACTGAAAGTGTAATGTCCAGGCATTATATTCATCTTGATGTGATATAATGGAAAGTATATACTACCAACAGCCACTCCCCCCCAAAAGTTTCTGAATCATTAACTATGAATTTTAAGAAAGTATGGAAGATAAAGAAGCATGTTGAAAGCACCATGAAGATTATGGTCAGCCTAATCCAGAATGTGAGAAATTATGAGACAAATGACTCAGTTTCCTCAGCAAACAAATGGCACAAAAAGGAGGGGAAAGTGTTATAGATCGCAAGAAACTTAAGAGACATATCAATGAAAAGCAATATTTGGTATTATTTGTTTTCTGATTCTAACAGACCAGTTATAAAAATACATTTGTGATAATTGAAGAAAGTTGAATCAGCCTATTTATTCGATATTAATAAATTATTTATTAATTTTATTAGATGTGATAAGAGTGCCATAGTCATGCTAACAAGCATTGCTGATGAGATATACATATCAAATAATCTATTAGTAAAATAATATGCTAACTGGAATTCAAAATTATCTGAAAAAATAAAAGTTTGGTAGGCACAAAAAGAGATGAAGGAAGAAACAGCAGAAAATGAATAGTGGATGAAGCTGGTTGAGGAGGCATATGGATTCAATGAACCATATTTCCTACTTTAGGGAGTGTTTGAAAATGTTGGTAAGAAATAGTCTGAAATGTGAAGTACAAATATGGAAACGAGGTGGGCTGGTTCCTGATCCCAGCCTATTCTAAAAACTCGGAACCCCCAGGGAGGGTCATGGTGTTAGATTGAGGCCCACTGCAGGTAATTGACATCCCTGTGGCACCTGGGTGCTGCCCACACACTAGCCTGTAGGACGTAAGAAGACCTCGGAGACTAGAAATCACCTGCAGACTGGAGACAGGTTAAAAAGGGCTCTTAGCCCAAACTGATACTGAAGCATCTCAAATTTTATAATGCAAAAAGTTATTAAATCAGCAACATTTATATTGCCACATGCTTGCTTTGTATATCATTGACGTTGTTCCTAAAATGTGTGGTTAATCATTTCTGAAAATTTTATATTGATCTATTTTATATAATTTAATTCAATTTTGTTTAACAAACATTAATAAGCTCCAAGTGATCAAGGTACCATGGGGGTGGGAGTCAGGGTTGGGGAGTAACAAATATTAGAAAGAAAAAACATCTTGCTCTGCCTTTTTGGTGATTACAGTCTAACGGGAGGCAGGCAAACAAGCAGAGAAATGTGACATAAGTGATAAGAGAAGGACATGAGCAAATAAAAGCATTTTAGATGACTGAAGGGAACATAAGACCATGCTATCAGCCTTCCTGGAACACTACCAACCTACCACAAACAGCCACATTTAAGCCCTCTATCCTCTAATTCTGATGCTAAAGTTCTGATTCCATTTATAAGCCATCATCTCATCTCATCTTCTATGCAGTGCACGAGACTCTCTGAAATAGGTTGGTACCTTTGGACAATTAAAATGAATGCAGTAATTGGAAATATGAAGGTGCTCTCACAGGAATTGTGTTCTTGCTATGTTGTATATGCATGTGTAGGAATGTTAAAATGTTAACATGTCTTTGACTGCATAACTGCAATCATTATTAGTTAAATAGTAAAATGTTCTTTTCCAATTCTACTTTTATACATTCATTCACTTAACAAATACATATACCTCTGTGTGCCAGTCACTGTCTAGGCACTACAGACAAAGAAGTGGACTTGAGAGACAAGGTCCTTGCCTTTATGGGCTCATATTTAGATATCTGGAAATTAAACCAACTTGTAAACAACTATTTCAAATAAAGGATAAACAGAAGGAGGTGTGGGGTGGAAGAATGAATATTATTAGATTAGTCTAAAGAGGCCTCTCTTGAGAAACTACATTTGAGCTGAGTCCAAAATGATATAGAGGCAGCCATGTGAACAGATAGGGAGAGAGTGTTCCAGGCAGAGGGCACAGCAAATGCAAAACCTTTGAGAAGAAAACCAGCTTAGGATATTCAAGGATAAAAAAGAAGAAAAGAAAAACAGCATGCTGGAAGCAAACTGAGCTGGGAGATGAGTGGTACTATATGAGATTAGAGAGAAAGTCAAGGCTATGTGCAAGGAGTAATCATGCATCTCGGTTTCCTTGTAAGGTTCAGTCTCAGTTTGTACCTGTTGTCCTCTTCTTGACTAATAGGGCTCCTTTTATCTCACACATGTCCTAGAGGGGAGTAGAAATGATACTGTCACTCTACTCAGACTTTGGATCCTATTCCAAGTGCAGTGGGAAGCCATGAAGTGATTTTACGCTAAAGAAAGGCAAGATGTGATGTATCTTTTGAAAGAGCACTGTTATATTTTATGCAAAATCTCAACTGATTTTTCCCTGTTAATAATAACTAATACTGATGATGATTACTGTTAGTTTACTGGACCAACAGAGGTGATTTCCCAGGTCTCCACTCCAATTTTTTTTCACATGATCACATAACCACATAAGTCAAATAAACATGGACTGGACACAAATACACACTCATCTACTTATTCTCTATGCCAAGGCAGTGGAAGAATATGGAATGTGTAATATTTTATAAACGTCCTTTTACTAAATGTTATTAGTAAATTATTCCCTTACATATATAGCATTGAATCAACAGCTCATTCATCTTCAGGGAACATATCAAATATACTGTTTAGGTAGCATGATGGCATGGTGCTAAGAACATTAAATTAAGAGGAAGGCACCTTGAATTCTGGCCATTTGGAATAATTTGTTTAAACATGTTAGGTCTCAGTTTCATCAACTACAAAATGGAAGTTTAGAGTTTTTTATTTCTTTCAGGGTAGGAGTGTCAATACTTGAAAATAGAACTAAAATAATGTGGAGGAGAGAGTGAAAGTAAGGAGAATGGAGAGAGAAGAACTAAGACAAGGATTAGAAGGAGAAAAAAAGAATGAGGAGGGAAGGAGAGAGATGGGGAGAAGGAGGAGAAGAGAGTGAAAGAAGAGGAAGAGGAGGAGGAGGAAGAAAGCAAAGGGAAATAGGAAAGGAAAAGGGGGAGAAGGAAGAGGGAGGAAAGGAAAAAGAAGCAGGAAGAGGAAAGAAGGGAAAGGAAGAGGGGAAAAGAGAAGCCAGGGAAGGAAATTAAGCTGACAGAGTGAATCAGTCAGGGTTTTTGTTGCAAGCAACAGAAATTTGGTTTATTTAAGCAGAATTATCATTTATTCCCAAGTGGGCCAGATAATTGGCTTGGAGACTTTCACCAAGAACCAAGTCCAACTTTGTATTGCCCAACATAAAGCCTAGTAGGGCTGGTCTTATAGAGACACTGATGTCACTGTTTCCAGGCACAGATTTTGAGGCTTATACTGCAGATACTCATAGTGCCAGATGCTGACTAGAGCTCTTGCCACCCTAACCCAAAGGATAGGTCTTTGCATCATCAGTTCTCAAATCCACATCCTCCAAGAGAGCATCTAATTGGCAAAACCAAAGACACATGCCTGTGTCCTCTCTTCAAGCAATTTTCCTAGACTTTTTATGGAAAGAGGTCACTGTTTTTTTTTTTTTTTTTTTTTTTTTTTTTTTTTTTTTATTATACTCTAAGTTTTAGGGTACATGTGCACATTGTGCAGGTTAGTTACATATGTATACATGTGCCATGCTGGTGCGCTGCACCCACTAATGTGTCATCTAGCATTAGGTATATCTCCCAATGCTATCCCTCCCCCCTCCCCCGACCCCACCACAGTCCCCAGAGTGTGATATTCCCCTTCCTGTGTCCATGTGATCTCATTGTTCAATTCCCACCTATGAGTGAGAATATGCGGTGTTTGGTTTTTTGTTCTTGCAATAGTTTACTGAGAATGATGGTTTCCAATTTCATCCATGTCCCTACAAAGGATATGAACTCATCATTTTTTATGGCTGCATAGTATTCCATGGTGTATATGTGCCACATTTTCTTCATCCAGTCTATCATTGTTGGACATTTGGGTTGGTTCCAAGTCTTTGCTATTGTGAATAGTGCCGCAATAAACATACGTGTGCATGTGTCTTTATAGCAGCATGATTTATACTCATTTGGGTATATACCCAGTAATGGGATGGCTGGGTCAAATGGTATTTCTAGTTCTAGATCCCTGAGGAATCGCCACACTGACTTCCACAATGGTTGAACTAGTTTACAGTCCCACCAACAGTGTAAAAGTGTTCCTATTTCTCCGCATCCTCTCCAGCACCTGTTGTTTCCTGACTTTTTAATGATTGCCATTCTAACTGGTGTGAGATGATATCTCATAGTGGTTTTGATTTGCATTTCTCTGATGGCCAGTGATGATGAGCATTTCTTCATGTGTTTTTTGGCTGCATAAATGTCTTCTTTTGAGAAGTGTCTGTTCATGTCCTTCGCCCACTTTTTGATGGGGTTGTTTGTTTTTTTCCCAAACAGCATGGTACTGGTACCAAAACAGAGATATAGATCAATGGAACAGAACAGAGCCCTCAGAAATAATGCCGCATATCTACAACTATCTGATCTTTGACAAACCTGAGAAAAACAAGCAATGGGGAAAGGATTCCCTATTTAATAAATGGTGCTGGGAAAACTGGCTAGCCATATGTAGAAAGCTGAAACTGGATCCCTTCCTTACACCTTATACAAAAATCAATTCAAGATGGATTAAAGATTTAAACGTTAAACCTAAAACCATAAAAACCCTAGAAGAAAACCTAGGCATTACCATTCAGGACATAGGCGTGGGCAAGGACTTCATGTCCAAAACACCAAAAGCAATGGCAACAAAAGACAAAATTGACAAATGGGATCTAATTAAACTAAAGAGCTTCTGCACAGCAAAAGAAACTACCATCAGAGTGAACAGGCAACCTACAACATGGGAGAAAATTTTCGCAACCTACTCATCTGACAAAGGGCTAATATCCAGAATCTACAATGAACTCAAACAAATTTACAAGAAGAGGTCACTGTTTCCCACCCACACTCATAAGGTAGAAAATTCCTTACACAAAAAAAGCAAGATGTATGCTGGGCATACAAAAAGAATGACACATGTTCATTATAAGAGAACAGAGTATATTTAGTGATAAATTAGCTTTGTGGTAAAAATATTTTACTATGAAAATGGTAACACAGACCAGGTACAGTGGCTTATGTTTGTAATTCCAGCACTTTGGGAGGCTGAGGTGGGGGGATTGCTTGATTCCAGGAGTTTGAGACCAGCTTGAGCAACACAGTGTGACCCTGTCTCTACAAAATTTTTACAAATTAGCTGGGTGTGGTGGCACACATGTGTAGTCCCAGCTACTCATCTACTCAGGAGGCTGAGGTGGAGGTGGGAGGATTGCTTGATCCCAGAGGGTTGAGGGTACAGTGAGCTAGGCTTATGGCACTGCACTCCAGCCTGGGTGACAAAGTGAGACCCTGTTTCAAATTATAATAATAATAATAAATTATTTAAAAAATACTAAGAGAAAGAAGAAAGAAAGAGAGAGAAAGAAAGAAAGAAAGAAAGAAAGAAAGAAAGAAAGAAAGAAAGAAAGAAAGAAAAGAGGTAATATAATTGATCTAGGGTTAAGTGAATAAAGTATAATATATTTCTCAGTTCTGATTATTCCAAGGAATCTTTTAGTCTGGTGTCAGGGAGAGAATGGAGACCACAAATCTCTTTCCTTTTCTTCATAGCAAGATGGAAGAAGCCAAAGATTCGAGCTCTTTCTCTCAAATGTAGCTTTTCAAACAGCAAGTCCTAAGTCTCAAGTTAGGAAGTGAAAGTGTCATAGCTCTCTGATGCTGGCTAAAATTTTACTTTAAGTTTCTTGTCCTTGAAGAGAAACAGGAAGCACATTTTCTTATCAGCCAAAGCAGAATGAGTTCTTTTAGCAAGGTCCCACCCCCTGAGAGTGAACTTTGCACTGCCCAAATATGTGCGTGGAGCTCATTTGTGCTCTAATTGAATCCTTTAAAGCAACACAGCTGGAAGACTCAGATCTCACTTCCTTGATATTCTACAGTCTGCAGTTCATTTTTGCCAAGCCAAAAAGTGACTTGTGGAGGGAAAAATAACCCTAACAACAACAACATTTAAAAAGAAACAAAACCAGAGGAACTATCTGACATTTTGGTGCATCAGTTTAGTCAGTATATTCCTGCTGCTCGGAATAATTTCTCTGGACCTAGAACTCAACTTCTTCTTAGATAATTTATAATCATGGAAACCATACAGATCCCTGAGGTCAGGGAGCCACAGCGAGACCACATCCTTTGTTTTCATTTCTCAGCTCCAAGTTAAGCTGCTTATTGTGCCTGGATCCAAGATGTACAAATCATCCAGAGTGGCTGGGTTGTGTAAGAATGTTTCAACTGGCATGATGCCTGCTCTATCAATACAAATGGCTTAACTATTTTCTGATAAACCAAAGAATCATCCTACATGGCTCTCCTGAAACTGTAACTGTCTCTGAGCTGGCAGAGGAAGACTTGCAAGGGTTTTGTGTTTGAGAATCATCTGCAGATTGAGTTTTACAGGAGCTGGTTCCCTTACTTTGACACCCTGGGAGCAACTTCATATAAAGAACAGATCAGCATCTGAATATGGAACAGTAGGTGTCAGGCCTCTGAGCCTAAGCTAAGCCATCATATCCCCCGTAACCTGCATGTACACATCCAGATGGCCAGTTCCTGCCTTAACTGATGACATTCCACCACAAAAGAAGTGAAAATGGCCTGTTCCTGGCTTAATGGATGACATTATCTTGTGAAATTCCTTCTCCTGGCTCATCCTGGCTCAAAAGCTCCCCTACTGAGCACCTTGTGACCCCCACTCCTGCCCACCAGAGAACAACCCCTTTGACTATAATTTTCCTTTACCTACCCAAATCTTATAAAACGGCCCCAACCCATCTCCCTTCGCTGACTCTCTTTTCGGACTCAGCCCGCCTGCACCCAGGTGAAATGAACAGCTTTATTGCTCACACAAAGCCTGTTTGGTGGTCTCTTCACACGGACGTGCATGAAATTTGGTGCCATGACTCGGATCGGGGGACCTCCCCTGGGAGATCAATCCCCTGTCCTCCTGCTCTTTGCTCCATGAGAAAGATCCACCTACGACCTCAGGTCCTCAGACCACCAGCCCAAGAAACATCTCACCAATTTCAAATCCAGTAAGCGGCCTCTTTTTACTCTCTTCTCCAACCTCCCTCTATCCCTCAACCTCTTTCTCCTTTCAATCTGGGCGCCACACTTCAATCTGTCCCTTCTCTTAATTTCAATTCCTTTCATTTTCTGGTAGAGACAAAGGAGACACATTTTATCCATGGACCCAAAACTCCGGCGCTGGTCACGGACTAGGAAGGCAGCCTTCCCTTGGTGTTTAATCACTGCAGGGATGCTTCTCTGATTATTCACCCACGTTTCAGAGGTGTCAGACCACGCAGGGACGCCTGCCTTGGTCCTTCACCCTTAGCGGCAAGTCCCGCTTTTCTGGGGGACTTGCCAACCCCTTCTCTCCATGTCTCTACCCCTTCTCTGCTTTTATGGGGGAAGGGCAAGAACTCCTCAACCCCTTCTCCTTCACCCTTAGTGGCAAGTCCCGCTTTTCTAAGGGGCAAGAACCCCCAATCCCTTATCCCTGCATCCTGACCTCTTATCTCTGTGCCCCAATCCCTTATCACTGTGCCCCAATGCCTTATTTCCGTGCCCCAACCTCTTATCTCCATGCCCTGACCCCTTATTTCCATGCCCCGACCCCTTTCCCACTTTTCTGGAGGGTAAGAACCCCCGAACCCCTTCCCTCCATGTCTCTACTCTCTCTTTTCTCTGGGCTTGCCTCCTTCACTATAGGCAACCTTCCACCCTTCATTCCTCCTTCTTCTCCCTTAGCCTGTGTTCTCAAGAACTTAAAACCTCTTCAACTCACACCTGACCTAAAACCTAAATGCCTTATTTTCTTCTGCAACACCGGTTGGCCCCAATACAAACTTGACAATGGCTCTAAATGGCCAGAAAACGGCACTTTCAATTTCTCCATCCTACAGGACCTAAATAATTTTTGTCGAAAAATGGGCAAATGGTCTGAGGTGCCTTAAGTCCAGGCATTTTTCACACTTCATTCCCTCCCTAGTCTCTGTTCCCAATTCGATTCCTCCCAAATCCTCCTTTTTTCCCTCCCACCTGTCCCCTCAGTCCCAACCCCAAGCATTGCTGAGTCTTTCCAGTCTTCCTTTTCTACAGACCCATCTGACCTCTCCCCTCCTCCTCAGGCTGCTCTTCACCAAGCTGAGCTAAGTCCCAATTCTTCCTCAGCCTCCGCTCCTCCACCTATAATACTTCTACCACCTCCCCTCCTCACACCCGGTCTGGCTTACAGTTTAGTTCCATGACTAGCTCTTCCCCACCTGCCCAGCAATTTCCTCTTAGAGAGGTGCCTGGAGCTGAAGGCATAGTCAAGGTACATGTACCTTTTTCTCTATCAGACCGCTCTCAGATCAGTCAATGTTTAGGCTCTTTCTCATCAGACCCCACTAAATACATACAGGAATTCTGATATCTAACTCTGTCCTACAATTTAACCTGGAGTGACTTAAATGTCATCCTGACTTCTACCCTCTCCCCAGATGAACGGGAAAGAGTTTTTTCTCTAGCCCAATCTCATGCTGACAACCGCTGGCTTCATGAGCCAGACCTCCAGGAAGGCATTAGAGCAGTTCCCCGAGAGGATCCCCAATGGAACTACCAGGCAAATTCCCCAGGTATAGCTAGGCGAGATTACATGATTTCCTGCCTAGTTGAAGGGCTTAAAAAGGCAGCTTACAAAGCTGTTAATTATGACGAGCTTAAAGAAACTACCCAAGGTAAAGACGAAAACCCAGCCCGGTTCATGGCCCGCTTAGCAGCAACACTTAGACACTTTACTGCCCTAGACCCAGAGGGGCCAGAAGGCCGCCTTATTCTTAATATGCATTTTATCACCCAATCCACTCCTGAAATTAGGAAAAAACTCCAAAAATTAAATTCCGGCCCTCAAACTCCACAACAGGACTTAATTAACCTTGCCTTCAAGGTGTACAATAATAGAAAAAAGTTGCAATTCCTTGCCTCCACTGTGAGGCAAACCCCAGCCATATCTCCAGCACACAAGAACTTCCAAACGCCTGAACTGCAGCGGCCAGGCATTCTCCAGAACCTCCTCCCCCAGGAGCTTGCTACAAGTGCCAAAAATCTGGCCACCAGGCCAAGGAATGCCCGCAGCCCACCTGAACTGCAGCGGCCAGGCGTTCCTCCAGAACCTCCTACCCCAGGAGCTTGCTACAAGTGCCAAAAATCTGGCCACCAGGCCAAGGAATGCCCGCAGCCCGAGATTCCTCCTAAGCCATGTCCCATCTGTGCAGGACTCCACTGGAAATTGGACTGTTCAACTCACCTGGCAGCCACTCCCAGAGCCCCTGGAACTCTGGCCCAAGGCTCTCTGACTGACTCCTTCCCAGATCTTCTCGGCTTAGCGGCTGAAGACTGACGCCGCCCGGTCACCTCGGAAGCCCCGTAGACCATCACAGATGCCGAGCTTTAAGTAACTCTCACAGTGGAAGGTAAGTCCGTCCCCTTCTTAATCAATACAGAGGCTGCCCACTCCACATTACCTTCTTTTCAAAGGCCTATTTCCCTTGCCTCCATAACTGTTGTAGGTATTGACGGCTAGGCTTCTAAACCTCTTAAAACTCCCCAACTCTGGTGCCAACTTAGACAATACTCTTTTAAGCACTCCTTTTTAGTTATCCCCACCTGCCCAGTTCCCTTATTAGGCCGAGACGCTTTAACTAAATTATCTGCTTCCCTGACTATTCCTGGACTACAGCTACATCTCATTGCCGCCCTTCTTCCCAATCCAAAGCCTCCTTTGCGTCCTCCTCTTGTATCCCCCACCTTAACCCACAAGTATAAGATACCTCTACTCCCTCCTTGGCGACTGATCACGCACCCCTTACCATCTCATTAAAACCTAATCACCCTTACCCCACTCAATGCCAAGATCCCATCCCACAGCATGCTTTGAAAGGATTAAAGCCTGTTATCACTCGCCTGCTACAGCATGGCCTTTTAAAGCCTATAAATTCTCCTTACAATTCCCCCATTTTACCTGTCCTAGAACCAGACAAGCCTTACAGTTTAGTTCAAGATCTGTGCCTTATCAACCAAATGGTTTTGCCTATCCACCCCATGGTGCCAAACCCATATACTCTCCTATCCTCAATACCTCCCTCCACAACCCATTATTCTGTTTTAGATCTCAAACATGCTTTCTTTACTATTCCTTTGCACCCTTCATCCCAGCCTCTGTTCACTTTCACTTGGACTGACCCTGACACTCATCAAGCTCAGCAAATTACCTGGGCTGTACTGCCGCACGTCTTCACAGACAGCCCCCATTACTTCAGTCAAGCCCAAATTTCTTCCTCATCTGTTACCTATCTCTGCGTAATTCTCATAAAAACACACTTGCTCTCCCTGCCGATCATGTCCAGCTGATCTCTCAAACCCCTACACCTTCTACAAAACAACAACTCCTTTCCTTCCTAGGCATGGTTAGTGTGGTCAGAATTCTTACACAAGAGCCGGGACTGCACCCTGTAGCCTTTTTGTCCAAACAACTTGACCTTACTGTTTTAGGCTGGCCATCATGTCTCCATGCAGCAGCTGCTGCCGCCCTAATACTTTTAGAGGCCCTCAAAATCACAAACTATGCTCAACTCACTCTCTACAGCTCTCATAATTTCCAAAATCTATTTTCTTCCTCACACCTGATGCATGTACTTTCTGCTCCCCAGCTCCTTCAGCTATACTCACTCTTTGTTAAGTCTCCCACAATTACCATTGTTCCTGGCCCGGACTTCAATCTGGCCTCCCACATTATTTCAGATACCACACCTGACCCTCATGACTGCATCTCTCTGATCCACCTGATGTTCATCCCATTTCCCCATGTTTCCTTCTTTCCTGTTCCTCACCCTGATCACACTTAGTTTATTGATGGCAGTTCCACCAGGCCTAATCGCCACACACCAGCAAAGGCAGCCTATGATATAGTACGAGCCACTAGCCCACCTCTTAAAACCTCTCATTTCCTTTCCATTGTAGAAATCTATCCTCAAGGAAATAACTTCTCAGTGTTCCCCCTGCTATTCTACTACTTCTCAGGGATTATTCAGGCCCCCTCCCTTCCCTATACATCAAGCTCGAGGATTTGCCCCCACCCAGGACTGGCAAATTAGCTTTACTCAACATGCCCGAGTCAGATAACTAAAATACCTCTTAATCTAAGTAGACACTTTCACTGGATAGATATAGGCCTTTCCTATAGGGTCTGAGAAGGCCTTCTCAGTCATTTCTTCCCTTCTGTCAGACATAATTCCTCAGTTTAGCCTTCCCACCTCTATACAGTTTGATAACAGACCAGCCTTTATTAGTCAAATCAGCCAAGCAGTTTTTCAGGCTCTTAGTATTCAGTGAAACCTTTATATCCCTAACAGTCCTCAGTCTTCAGGAAAAGTAGAACGGACTAAAGGTCTTTTAAAAACACACTTCGCCAAGCTCAGCCACCAACTTAAAAAGTACTGGAGAATACTTTTACCACTTTCCCTTCTCAGAAGTCAGGCCTGTCCTCAGAATACTACAAGGTACAACCCATTTGAGCTCCTGTATGGACACTCCTTTTTATTAGGCCCCAGTCTCATTCCAGACACCAGACCAACTTGGACTGCACCCCAAAAAACTTGTCATCCCTACTATCTTCTGTCTAGTCATACTCCTATTCACCATTCTCAACTACTCATACACGCCCTGCTCTTGTTTACACTGCCAGTTTACACTATTTCTCCAAGCCATCACAGCTGATACCTCCTGGTGCTATCCCCAAACTGCCACTCTTAACTCTTAAAGTAAATAAATAATCTTTGCTGGCAGGACTATGCTGAATCCTCTTAGGCACTCTCTAATTAGATGTCCTAAGTCCTCCCAATTCTTAGTCCTTTAATACCTGTATTTCTCCTTCTCTTATTCCGTTTAGTTTTTCAATCCATACAAAACCATATCCAGGCCATCACTAATAATTCTACACGACAAATCTTTCTTCCAACAACCCCACATCACCCCTTACCACAAAATCTTCCTTCAGCTTAATCCCTCCCACTCTAGGCTCCCACGCCGCCTGTAATCCCGCTCAAAGCAGCCCTGAGAAACATCACCCATTATCTCTCCATACTACCACCAAAAATTTTCACCACCCCAACACTTTACCACTATTTCATTTTATTTTTCTTATTAATATAAGAAGACAGGAATGTCAGGCCTCTGAGCCTAAGCTAAGCCATCATATCCCCTGTGATCTGCATGTACACATCCAGATGGCCAGTTCCTGCCTTAACTGATGACATTCCACCACAAAAGAAGTGAAAATGGCCTGTTCCTGCCTTAACTGATGACATTATCTTGTGAAATTCCTTCTCCTGGCTCATCCTGGCTCAAAAGCTCCCCTACTGAGCACCTTGTGACCCCAACTCCTGCCCGCCAGAGAACAACCCCTTTGACTATAATTTTCCTTTACCTACCCAAATCCTATAAAACGGCCCCACCCATATCTCCCTTCACTGACTCTCTTTTCGGACTCAGCCCGCCTGCACCCAAGTGAAATAAACAGCTTTATTGCTCACACAAAGCCTGTTTGGTGGTCTCTTCACACGGATGCGCATGAAAGTAGGTGCTTTATTGTCACACCTGCCTTCCCTTCCTCTCCAACAATAGATTGGGCAGCACCCATGGATTAGCTTTTTCCTGCCTCCATCACAGATGTTCTCATTCAGACACGAATGTGAGCTGCTTCTTCTGCATAGAGCTCAGTATGGTTGCCTGACAATCTATTTTTTTTTTTTTAAGACGGAGTCTGACTCTATCGCCCAGGCTGGAGTGCAGTGGCGCAATCTCGGCTCACTGCAAGCTCCTCCTCCCAGGTTCACGCCATTCTCCTGCCTCAGCCTCCCGAGTAGCTGTGACTACAGGTGCCCACTACCATGCCCGGCTAATTTTTTGTATTTTCAATAGAGACAGGGTTTCACCTGTTAGCCAGGATGGTCTCGATCTCCTGACCTCGTGATCTGCCCACCTCGGCCTCCCAAAGTGCTGGGATTACAGGCCTGAGCCACTGTACCCGGCCCGGACAATCGTAACAGGATCTCTGGACATGCATATAAACAGTGGCCATGAGTCAGTCTACCCACTCTTTCCTACAAAACAATCATGTTTTTAAAGAATTTCTTAATATTTATCAAAGGCTCAGTATTTGTGGAATTGCTGGCAAATGCCAGCAGTTTAATGAAGGTGTAACAGATTGGTTTATTTCTGTGTTAGATTTGGTTTGTTTTCCCCCAAGATTAGCCTGTATAATTAAGAATTTTTTTTGGAACTTGGAGATCAATTCTTAAAGAAAATGGGAAATAGGCCACTCATACAGAAAGCAATCAGATTTGGATCATCTGGATTCACTTTGTGGATTAAAAGGTTGAAACTCTGAGATGAGTTTTCAACAAAAAAACTATTCCATATGTGAGGCATTGGGCTAAATTTAAGGATAAATTAAAAACTTTGGATTTTTTAATTTATTTCCTGTTGTCATTTTTGTTTCTTGATTTGAAGTTTCAAAAAATTGCTACTTGTTTGGAAATGACTACCTTGACTAATCCAGGGAAGGCATTAATCTGGTTAAAGGTGAAAGAAATTAATGCTGGAGAACTTGAGGGTGTTAGTTTACTCTCAGGAACTTACTGTGTTGTTTAGAATAAATAAGTGAAATTAGAATTACTGCCATTGCAACCGCCCAGTGGGTTCCCCTTGCCCACTGCCTGGACAGAGCCAACTTACCAAGACAGGGGAATTGCAGTAGAGAAAGAGTAATTCACACAGAGCTGGCTGTGCAGGAGACCAGAGTTTTATTACTCAAATCAGTCTTCCTGAGAATTCCAGGATCAGAGTTTTGAAGGACAACCTGGTGGGTTGGGGGAAGCCAGTGAGCCAGGAGTGCTGATTGGTCAGAGATGAAATCATAGGGAGTTGAAGCTGTCTTCTTGTGCTGAGTAAGTTCCTGGGTGGGGGGCACAAGGTGCCAGCTGATCCATCATGAGCAGGATCTGCAAAATATCTCAAGCACTGATCTTAGGATCAGTTTAGGGAGGATCAGAATCTTGTAGCATCTAGCTGCATGACCCCTAAACCATCATTTCTAATCTTGTGGCTAATTTGTTAGTACTAGAAAGGCAGTCTAGTCCCCAGGCAAGAAGGAGGTTTGTTTTGGTAAAGGGCTGTTATCATCTTTGTTTTAAACTATAAACTACAAACTAAGTTTCTCCCAAAGTTAGTTCAGCGTACACCCAGGAATGAACAAGGACAGCTTAAAGGTTAGAAGCAAGATGGAGTCAGTTAGGTTAGATCTCTTTCACTGTCTCAGTCATAATCTTGCAAAGGTGGTTTCACCATTGTATTCTGGGAAATTGTGGGATGACATTTGGGAGTGACTTAGCTTAGAAAAAATGGACAAGGCCAGAAAGGGGGAGGGAAGAGAGAAAGAGAGAGAGAGAGAAAGAGACAGAGAGAGAGAGAAGCTTGTAGTTATTCCAAAATTGTGATTTGCAAGATACTCTGTTTTAGAGATGCCCACACCCTTGAATGTTCAATGGGACCAAAAAGAGTACCTAAAAAGAAGGGAGAATTCATTATTCACCTTGGACCAAGCCAGCCATTAAAGAAGAAAGAGTTTTTCTTTGATCTCTGTTTCACATAGAAATGTGATCTGTTTTTCCTTGCTCTAACACAGCTGAGGTGGTTAGGTAAGGTCTAGGGAAATTTATTTCTTGGAATAAAAAATGGAGGTCAAAGAGGGCTAGGGGTGGCCTCCTCTAGAGTCTGGGTCTCCTGCTAAAGGTACTTTAGTTTCCCAAGATGTCTAGGCCAACTATTGAGAATAGGAGACCAGGAATGGATTTGTGACTGATGCTCAAACTAGTAAAATTATGTATGTTTGCCTGGAATATTGTATTTTACCTTCGGGCTTATTTCACTTTGCATAATGTCCTCCAGGTTGCCTGGAATATTTTATATACTGGAACAAAAAGCACAAGGGTGACTATGGTAGATCAACAGGTTTGGGTTCTTGGCGTCACCCATATCTTTAACAGGTAACTAACCCATTTGATCCTGCATGGTCCTATTTTAAATGCATCTACTCCATCTTCTAGGAACTCATGTAGCAACTATTCCCAGCATAGACAGAATTTTTTATCCAGTGGAGAAACACTAAGAAGTTTCTCATTCAGTGATCTGTAGATACACATACATATCCAGAATACAAGCACACAGCCAAAATAGGGTATGTCATTCCTGAGTACATGACACAAATATTGAATGATGAAAAAAAGCTACAAGCAGTAAGTCAGGAAATCACAGACACCTGGGAGGGGTGACCCAAGCCCTTTAATTCTGCAGTGAATAAAAATAGCTGAGAGATTTGCTTTGCATCACATGTGAAACCAAATTCTTCCACATTGAGATACATGTTGCTGCTCACTCACTGATTTCTGTTCTAAACATGGAAATTCCAGGAATGTGAGGGGTTCTTTTAATCTCATACTGCATAGTGTTGACCAGAGGTTTCAACATGTGTGTTTTCCTTGATTCAACCAATTTTAAAGAAGTTAAGCTAAAATTTAAAATCAGGAGATTTTACCTAAAAATCTGTTTCCATCTTCCTTTGAAAAATTGAAAGATAGGGGAACAATGGATTGACCTACTGCTGTGCAATAATGGTGCACTTGGCTGAGAAGCAGCTGTTCTCATTAGACAGGACGTGAGCTTTCTAGGACACCACAAATTTGATCGCTCGCTTTGTCTCTCTAACATTGAGGCTAACAGTTGCCAATCATCATCGCACCAGCACAACCAGTTTGTTGTTTTCCTTTTAGTATTGGAAATATTTATCTGCTGCTCATGTCTCTATCAATCGTGGGGTAACAAATGTCATGCGATGCCAACACAGCCACATGTTTCAAGAACAATGAAGAGCGTATTTGTTCATGGAAACACAAAATAGTTCTATGCATTTAATAGGCAAACCTTCCTCTTGCTTCACTCATATTTCTATCTGGTCCCTTCAGGCATTTGAGATTTTTAAATCCTGAGGCCAGGTTTATCAGAGGTTGTATTTTATCCTTAAACGCCCAGAGCTCCTTGGAATTATTACAATCAGATAAGTTGTCAGGGTAGTATAAAATATCTTCCTAGGCAAGGGAAAAATCTTATCCTGTGCACAGGGACTTTGAATGGGTTTTGAGTTTCTTCTTGCTATTCTTAGTCCCTTGTATCCCAAATTACAACAATGTACATTACATTTTAGTGAACTTGAGGTTTCTGAGTACAAATAATACAAGCCCCAAACAGTGAAATTCTTGACTCATATTTAGGAAGTAAACTTACGTTTTCCTAACTCAATAACTTTCTATTTGCACCCTTGGCATTTGCACTGGGCACTAGATTTAAGGGGTAGGAAAATGAAATAAAGGTACAGAATTTACCATTTCCACATCAACAAAGATTTGGAGTTAGTTGTTTTGGTGGCGGCCAATTTGGTCAAAGTAATTTCCTACCTCTATAACTTCTCTGAAAGCCTCCCAAAAGTATAAAATTATATGCAATCTCAGTTGTTAAAATGTCGTGTCCTATTAAAGATCTATTTCCTTGTCCTATGCCATTGTCCAGAAGTTTTAAATATTTTTTGCCATGTTGAAATGGCTACAGTATATTAGTTATAATTCTATGGCCTGGAATATAAATAATTACTATGTGTTAAATAAAAATTATAGGAGGCTATTGTTTTGGACTCAGCTTCTGCATAGACCCTAGCAGATCAAAATCAAAATCAAAATGGAGTCACTCATGCTAAATAAAGTTCCATATCACCAAACCTAAACTAAGTTTTTATCTGAACTTCCAAGAAATTAGAAAAGAGAGATAACCGCCAGTTTTCCAAAAAGGCCAGTTTAAATCTTTAATCCACATTATAATGAAGTTTTTTCTGCTTTAATCTTTACACAAAAAAGGTAGCCTGAAGTAATCTGATATTAACTAATCAGTTATTTTTCTATTGTTGTCTAAAAGTAACTAATACACTCTTTGTTCTTTGCTTCTGCTTTCTTCAGCCCTCGTCTGTCTATAAAGCTAAACTCTTCTCTCTTCTGCCCAATTCATTTGAACATTTACTATATTTTACAGAGAAAACTGTTGCCTGATTCTAGAATTGCAAATAAAGGTATTTGAGATCTTTAAACTAAATTTGTTGTAGTCTGGTCTTTGACAAATAAAATTTTCTCCATTAAAATATAGCAGAAAAAAATTGTTATAAAAGTAAGGTTGTTTTTGTTTTTGTTTTTGACAGAGTCTTGCTCTGTCGCCCAGGTTGGAGTGGAGTGGCATGATCTTGGCTCACTGCAACCTCCACCTCCCAGGTTCAGGCGATTCTCCTGCCTCAGCCGTTCGAATAGCTGGGACTGCAGGCGTGCGCCACCATACTTAGCTAATTTTTGTATTTTTAGTAGAGACGGGGTTTCCCCATATTGGCCAGGCTAGTCTCAAACTCCTGACCTCAGGTGATCCGCCCGCCTCAGCCTCCCAAAATGCTGGGATTACAGACGTGAGCCACTGCACCCAGCCTAAAGTAATGTTTATGTTGGCTCCACTCATCAGACAGTGAGATGTGGGGAGGTAAAAGGGATCTTTTAGAATTAGAATAATGAGCCGGGCACAGTGGCTCACACCTTTCATCCCAGCACTTTGGGAGGCCGAGGCGGGTGGATCACGAGGTCAGGAGATGGAGACTATCCTGGCTAACACAGTGAAATCCCATCTCTACTAAAAATATAAAAAATTAGCAGGGCGTGGTGGTCTGTGCCTGTAATCCCAGCTACTTGGGAGGCTGAGGTAGGAGAATCACTTGAACCTGGGAGGCGGAGGTTGCAGTGAGCCGAGATCGCACCACTGCACTCCAGCCTGGATGACAGAGTGAGACTCCGTCCCCCTCTCCCCCCGCCAAAAAAAAAAAAAAGAAGTAGAATAATGAAAGACTAAAAGACACAAACAACCATTGCTGAAAATCGCAGTAGGTTAACAAGAATAACATGCATAGCCATGAATAAGCAATGCATTTATATGAAAGATAGAGAATACATGCCTTGCATACCTGTTCATCATGTGAAAGGGACATCTGTGGATATGAGGCTAGGCCTGTGCAGTGCTTACAAGCAGACTTTAGTTAGTGCTGTCTTCAACAGTGCATTGTGTAACATTGCTGTTCATCTCAGAATTACACGCACTAGCACAGAGTTCTGTTTCTGCAGTGAATTGTACGTATGATGTATCTTTTATCTCACGGTAGTCAGCCAGATGAGTGGAGAGGAAAGCTCTCTGTTTTCTCCATAAGGAGTGCAGAGGGCTCCTTTTTCTTCTTTGAGAGTGCCGCCCAACCATCTTGCTTAAGCACCTGTGGTCTCATTTTCTTTCCATTTTTCTTGTTTTCGTGAATAATGAGGAAAGAAAAGAGCTTTTATCGAAGGAATGTGAGCCCTTTCAAATTATCAGGCCCAGAAAGGCATTAAAATGAGACAGCAATCATGCCCTCCTTCCCTGCTTTTGATCTATGTATTTATCTTTTGAAACTGCTTGCTATTGCCACAAGTAGCTATAAATGAAATAATGCTGCAGCAGTCACTATGACTCACACCCTCTAACTCAATAATGTTTAGCCAATCACTAATCAATGCTATTTCTGTAAACCAATGAGAATTCCTGACAAAACACTTTGTATAGCCCACTCTCTATCCCAATATTTGCCTTTAAAAACATGCTTGTAATAAAGGCCGAAAGGAGCTCATATCCAGGGTTACTTGGCTCTGAGTCTTCTGGAAAGCTGTCCTCACTTTGGCTGAAGTCAACTCTTAAAATTGTATTTTGTGCTTCAGCATCTTCCCTTTAGGTTAGCACTACTTTTGAAGCATACTACGGATTAAGCCATGAATGGAAATATTATCACATTTGTTTTGGTACAAAAGTACCAAGACAGAGTCATATCTCTTATTAAAATAAAAGTTCAGGCTGGGAGCGGTGGTTCATGCCTGTAATCCCAACACTTTAGGAGGCTGAGGCAAGAGGATTGCTTGAGTCCAGGAGTTTGAGACTAGCCTGAGCAACATGATGAAACCCTGTTTCTACAAAAAATTAAAAAATTAGCTGGATGTGGCGGTGCACACCTTGTAGTCCCAGCTACTTGAAAGGATGACATGGGAGGATTGCTTGAGCCCAAGAATTTGAGGCTGCAGTGAGTCATGCCACCTTACTCTAGCCTGGACAACAGTGAGACCCTGTCAAAAAAAAAAAAAAAAAAAAAAAGCAACAAAACACATGGAAGTTTATACAACAAGCCAGCACTCAGGGATTTGGTCAGTTAGGAATTTGAGGGCAGGTTAGCCAGGCAAGGCTGTGCAGTCTATGTGGAACCCTCAGCCCATTCAGAGCTCTGTTTTGCTCATCTTGTACCCTGAAGTGGAGTACTTCCCCTGGATAGAAGACAAGCTTTTTTTCTTTGCAAAAAGGTGCTTCTGTTGACTTCCCATTTCCTGGGAGTGGCTGCATATGCCTAGAGGGGTCACTTTTTCTTATTCATCTTCTCCAGGGAGGTCCTCTTTTTAATTTACACAATAGTGCCCTATAGGCTAGAGGTAGTTCTTCAGTAGTGAAAGTCCTCTAAGTCCTCTAATATCCTCTAAAACACCATAAAAACATACTACCTTAAAGAATGTAGCTGACTTTGACATGGAAGTGCATACCTAGAAGAAAAGAGAGTTCTGAAAAAATTGTATTGCTTCAGGAAATGTTTAGAAAAGTGAATGACTTGAAAACATAGAATGTCTGGAATATATCTCCAAGGGACAATGCTCTACTGATCACATACAGCCCTGTGTCAGCAAAAGATGCTGTTCTGTGCATTACTGATACAGGAGTTAGAAATAATTATTTAGGCAGATAGTGAGGGTAAGAGAGTCCTTGGTAAGGTTTCCTTTTAATAAAAAGCAGCCCCCAAATCACTTCTTTTCAAACAAAAAGCAGCCTGAAAAATCAAGCTGCAAGCATAGATGAGCAAGCTAAAAGCTTGCATAGGTAAACGCTGGCAGCTGTGCCAATAGAAAAGGGATACCTGGAAGCTAGGTATGTTTAACATGGAGGTTCCCCTCTTCCATTTTCTTTGTCACCGCATGTGCAGTAAAAAAACAGGCAACATGGTGCCGGCCAGGTAGAAACCCCATCTGTATAACAAAAGATTAGGATGGGATGGCCAGCTTCTTCATACACTATGCAAATGGCACACCCGGCCCACCAATCTCTCATGCCCTATGTAAATCAGACCACCACCTCTTCAAGCCTGTCTATAAAACTTCGTGCATTTCACCATGGAACCAGAGAGCCCTTCTCTCTCTGCAAGAGAGAGAGCTTTTCTCTTTTCTCTTTCTTTCGCCTATTAAACCTCTGCTCTTAAACGCACTCCTTGTGTGTGTCCACAGCCTCAGTTTCCTTGGTGTGAGGCAACGAACCTGGGGTATTACCTCAGGCAAACACTACCGCTTCATTGCAACCATCTTCATTTTGTCTCCATGTCCATCAACACTACCTCACATAGTAGGGCCTATCTTTAATTGGATGAGTTCCTGAAGAAGTGCATTCTGAGTTACACTCCGAAGGATAAAAAGGTTGCAGGGTGAATCCTGTGAATGTCTCTATTACTAATAGGTAATTTTAAAATGTAAAGACTGACTTTTATGATTCAAATCGTTTCTACAAAACATTTTCTGGAAATTGCCAAAAGAAAATGAGAAAATACCCCTCCCTCCCTGCCACAAATCTAATTTTTTTTTTCTTTTTTTGAGACGAGGTCTAACTGTCACCCAGGCTGGAGTGCAGTGGTGCCATCATGGCTTACTGCAGCTCGACCTCTTGGACCCAAACTCCTACCTCAGTCTCCCACCTGTAGCTGGGACTACAGACATGTGCCATCATGCCTGGCTAATTTTTTATTATGTATTTATTACAGAGATGGGGTCCCACTATGTTGCCCAGGCTGGTCTCGAACTCCTGGGCTCAAGTGATCCTCCTACCTCAGCAGCCCAAAATGTTGGGATTACAGGTGTTAAGCCACCACACCTGATCCAAATCTAATTTTTCATTCTCCAGCATGTCAGTAAAAGTCCCAGGGTTCACAACTAGGGTGCACATGTGCCTTAGAAAGAGTGAGTGTGTGTGTGTGTAAATGTCATTGTTATGCTTCAGCTTTCACATAAATACTCTCAAAGGCATGAAATATTTGTGCAAGCTAACTTTATCTGTGGCATTCTCTTGAAACTAGAATCTGGAGGGAAGGGATTACAGAGAGTTGGGAATAAAAGCAGGCCAGGGCTTTTTGGGGACACTTGTCCAGCTTCTGGTCTTCTGTGCCAGTGCTAGTGAGGCTGGTTGTTCTTCCTGTGTGCTTCTGTGAGCATGAAAATTCTGCCAAACAGTAAGGGAAGTTTTCTTCCAAATTGTACAAGTGCTTCTTTGAGAGTTGTTATAACAGCTAGAGCAGTCCAAATCCTAAGCCTGTGTTTGGAGCAGCAAAGGGCTTTCCTGGAACAGTGTGTTCAGAAATGTGTTTTTAATTATAAGACTGACCACCTGCATCTTTTATGCTGTCCTGGGGAGGCTGAGTAGGAAATGTTAGGGTTGACAGTAGGAGAGAATGACCCAGGGGAGGATGACAAGGGAAGGACAGGCATAGTATCACCATACTGTAAACCTGAAGAAAGACAGGGACTAAACGATCTACTGGAGTATGCTAGTGTGTGTGTATGTGTGTGTATGTGCATGTGATGGGAACTGTGGATGCGGATGAGAGTCTTAAGGTGTGTAATTAAAAAGACACCTGGTTGTAAAAAACATTTTGATGTCAAATGGGAAAAATTGAATGTGAATTTTTATATTAGTTAATATTAGAAAATTATTGTTACATTTGTTAAGTGTGGTAATGTTATTTTGAACATGTAGAAATAGCCTTTTTTTTTTTTTTTTAAGACAGGGTTTCACTCTGTTGCCCAGGCTGGAGTGCAGTGGCACGATCTCAGCTTGCTGCAACCTCCACCTCCCAGGTTCACGTAATTCTTGTGCCTCAGTCTCCTGCATAGCTGGGATTACAGGTGCCCACCACCATGCCAGGCTAATGTTTGTAGTTTTAGTAGAGAAGGGGTTTCACCATGTTGGCCAGGCTGGTCTCGAACTCCTGGCCTCAAGTGATCTGCTCACCTCAGCCTCCCAAAGTGCTGGGATTACAGGCATGATCCACTGCACCTGGCCAGAAATAGTCTTTTAAAGATGTTTATTAATTCTTTTTTAAAAATTTAGGTGTCTTTGGGGCAGAATTTCATATCCGTAATACATCTTAAAATATTTGAGTGTAAAAATAGTAATATAAGCAGAACTTAGGGAAGAAAAGGGGCTTAATAATATAAATGGTAATTATGAAAATATAGATAAATGCAACATAGATTTTAGAACAATATGTAAATATATAAACCTAAATTAATTATTACTTTTCAAAAAATAAAATTAATTATAATTTGAGCAGAAGAAATTATAAGAAGATACAGCTGGTGAAGGGGTTGCCAGAGTGTAAGACCTAGAAGGATAAGGGCTGGTGTCTGTGTGTCTTTGCAACCTCTACTTTCACAAAGCAGTACTCAAAAATGGCAACTGTCTATGGATAATGGATGAAGCTGTTCAATCCTTGCTTCAACTCTCAACCTCTTTACCCTGCAACCAATCTGAGGGAATCTTTCACACATACCTCCCCATCCTCTTTCACTATGAGGGTTGTAGGTGATGTTTCAAAGCTTTTTACCTCCAAAAGCAAAGTCAGTGATGTTGCTGAACCTGGAGAAAGCATCTTCCTCAAGGTGAAGGGCAGTAGAAATGCTGGTCAAGTTCTATGGGTACAAATATTGATGACTTAAAAACTCTCCTCTACTTTTGCTTCTTATGCACCTCTGGAAAACATATAACATGTAGTAGTGATGCTGCCTGGTCAGAATAATTGTTTTAAGCCTCTTATTTTGAAGAAGCCCAGCATGTAATGTTTTTCACCTGAAGAAAATTAAACAGGAAGATGCTCTTTAGTTGACTAAAGTCTCTATCCTTCAAGCAGACTACAAATAATTTAGTCTTTCTTTATATTCATTCCACAAATATTTACTGAGCAGCTATTAAGTGCACAACCCCAATATTAGGTTTTGGAGAAAAAAGACAAGTAACCACAGGCATTGTCATTGCTTTCATGGAACTTAACATCTAAGTGATTTTGTTGCCAAAATATGATATAATTTGTAGCATTTACTTCTGACCCCTCACCTCATCCCCATATTTTTGGTTAGTTTCAATCTTGTATTTTCTAAAAATTAGAAACGTTTCTATTGCTGTTGATTCTTTTTCCACCCCCAGCTTCTGGCTGGTGGTCAGAGTAAAGGAGCCAAAGTATCACAAGATGGGCTGCTGCTGTTGTGTTTCTGGGTCCTGCCGGAAGTGGAGGTTCTGGAAGCAAACCAAGGAAGCTGCTCTTTTGGAAGCCTTCCAAATCTGGTTTTGCAGAAAAAAACAAAAAAACAAACAAACAAAAAAACAGATTATTTGGAAGTTGTGGCAAGCAAAGTATTAATTCTCCTATCCTTCCTAGGCAGGAACCTAAAGCTTTAGAGTCCTGCATTAAACATACATCAGTATAGAGAGGATCAATTGCAAAGTCCTACTTTTCTTTGCCATTATTAGTTAATTTTCAGGAAGTATGAACTTCCTTGAATCATAACTTCTGTCTTTACCCTTACAGACAATGACAAGTTATATTTTTAAAAACTAGGACTTTAAATACACTTAATACTTACTTACTCTCAATACTCCAGCTTCATTTGTGATCATCAATCTCCATGATCCCTCTTCATGGAGATCAGCTACATATATCACCAGGTGGGGCTGCATGGCTGAATCCTGAAGGACCTAGTCACAGTTGTTGTTGGTATAACATGCCTGATGCAACAAGAGGCCCATGTTTTCTTTTGTTACTTTCCAATTTCCCTTCCTACAGGCCCAGTATGTACATGGTACTCAGTGAGATGCTGAGGAGCTTTAAACATGCTTAGATCTCAGGCTGAACTTACACAGTCCTGGGAGACTGAGGCAGGAGAATGGCATGAACCGGAGAGGCGGAGCTTGCAGTGAGCCGCCGAGATCGCCCCACTGCACTCCAGCCTGGGGGCGACAGAGCGAGACTCCGTCTCAAAAAAAAAGAATGTAGTCTTATAATTTTGTTCACAGTTACATGATTATATACTATACATGTCACCACCACTATGCAAGTATCTAGACTACATTTGCCATCTCATATAACGATATTATGGACTGAAAGTGAATTAACCATGATTATGCCGTTTATATACAGTTACTATGAATTCTCTAGCATGTCCATTGTAAAATAAATGTGCATAAAATATGCAGAATCATTTCTCTCCAATAATCTACTGGAGTTATCAAAGAGATAGTTGCCGTGATGATTTAAGAAAGTGGAATAGTTGTGTGCTTGCAATCAATATTATATGTTAAAGATTAAAACCCATACTTTTCAAACATCTGCCTGTAAGATAAAAGGTGTGAATCCTAAAGGAGCCAGTCCTTCAAGGTAGATTCCGAGTGGCTAACCGTGCCTTAATTCAAAACAGAGCCAAGTCATTTGCTGACTAGAGAGGTCACATGTGTATTCTGCATTGGCAGAAAAGATAATAGCATAACTTTGGGACTTTCATAGCTGTCTGTTCTTGTTCATGCCATCTGAATCAATGGCTGCTAGAAAATCCTATTTCACCCCTTAGGCCTAACCAATAGACTGTGAGCTGCATCAACCAATCAGAACTAAACAAATTTGCATCCCTCATTTGCATAGTGGACCAGAATGGAAACCTGGGCAGGAACTTTCTCTACAAAGGGCAACCCTTCCTTATTTTCTCAGATCACGCCTGTTTTTGTTTTTGTTTTTTGCACGTGTAAATCGAGTTTAGGCTAAAACTGCCTCCTTACATATCTTATGTTTGGCATAAAGGTTTCTCTGTACGTAAGTGAACTATATCCCAAATGGAGATGGAAACAGACTGTAACCTACTCTCGTGCCAGTAGCCGAGTTTTGGCCAAAGGGGGCCAACTGTTCAAATAGTGTTCAAATAAGACAAACGCCCAGCTGTAACCAATCCGGCTGTTTCTGTACCTCACTTCTCTTTTCTGTACGTCACTTTCCTTTTCTGTCCATAAAACTTCCTTCACCACGTGGCTGCACTGGAGTCTCTCTGAGCATACTCTGACTCAAGAGGCTGCCCGATTAGTGAATCACTCTTTGCTCCGTTAAATTCCGTTAAATTTAATTTGTCTAAGGTTTTTCTTTTAACATCCCAAAGGCTGCATCTCCCCAGTTTACAAACTGCTCACTGGGGTGAAGTCGCCTTTCTTTTTTTTTTTTGAAAACCCTTTTCAGTGGATTTATTAACAAAGATAAACCTGACAAATTACTTTAAAAATTAAACTAAACCTATCATCTGTTGAGCGGTGGTCAATACACTCAATAATAGGTGGCTTTTCATTCTCAAATAATTTTCTAAGTGTTTCCTTGGACACTGGTGTTTCACTATTTATTGTCCTGGAAATTATTTCTAGAAGATAATATTTTAGTGTATGGATCAGGTTTAAAAAAGGTAAACTTGGCCAGGTGTGGTAGCTCACGCCTGTAATCCCAGAACTTTGGGAGGCTGAGGCGGGTGGATCATGAGGTCAGGAGATCAAGACCATCTTGGCCAACATGGTGAAACCCCATCTCTACTAAAATACAAAAAATTAGCCCAGCGTGGTGGCACATGACTGTAATCCCAGCTACTTGGGAGGTTGAGGCAGGGGAATCATTTGAATCCGGGAGGCGGAGGTTGCAGTGAGCTGAGATCGCACCACTGCACTCCAGCCTGGTGACAGAGCAAGACTCCGTCTCAAAAAAAAAACCAGATAAACTTTATGTATTTTAAATGCTTAAGAAATATAATTTCTCCTTTTCTGTTTTAGCATAACATCGACATTTTTTAAAAAGCCAAAACTTTATATTAACTTTTTTCCCCAGCCAAGTTATTATTTGTTTTAAGGAATATTCTCAAATTGTACATTTTCTTTCTCACATCATCATTGGATGACATGTAATATGTTATTGTATGGTTCCTGAAGGAAAATACATGTTTTAACTCCCTGTAAAATAAATGCTCCAAAGGTACTTTATCAGAGAGAATGCTAGTTTGGGTCTTTTTAAAAAAACACATTAACAGTGGAAACATTCATCAATAGGGAATTGATTAAATTCTGGCACAGTCATACAATGGAAAGGAACACAGCAATGAGAATGATGCTATATAACTACGTCTATCTTTCCTAGATGAAGTAATCAGAGTTACATGTAATTTTTGTAATGTATGTGTATATGTGTATCAATGTGGTATTGTTTATTGATCCTCTAAGAAGTTGTTAGGAAATTCTATAAGAACTTTTCACAACACTAAGGCCACAGGCTACTTTGGAAATTCTGGTACTTTTGTGAGGGTGAGGAGAGCATTCTCCTTTACTAATCATGTGGTAAAGTTGCCTTACTGAGAATTTTTTTTTTTTTTTTTTTTTTGAGACAGAGTCTCACTTTGTTGCCTGGGCTGGAGTGCAGTGGCATGATCTCGGCTCACTGCAAGCTCCATCTTCCGGGTTCATGACATTCTCCTGCCTCAGTCTCCTGAGTAGCTGGGACTACAGGCGCCCGCCACCACGCCTGGCCAATTTTTTGTATTTTTAGTAGAGACGGGGTTTCACTGTGTTAGCCAGGATGGTCTCGATCTCCTGACCTCGTGATCTGCCCACCTCAGCCTCCCAAAGCGCTGGGATTACAGGCGTGAGCCACTGCCCCCAGCCACCTTACTGAGAAATTTTAATCAAGAGTACCCGTTACAGGAGCTTTGGTTTCTATTATTTTAGTTTTCCAGATAAATATTTGTCAAAATTTTGCAATTATTTTATTACCAATAGATCTAATTAAGTTTATATTAAAAACTGACAAGAGAAAATTATATCAGTCAGCTCTATAGAGGCAAGGAGAAAATTATCACTCATTATATTTTATATATAATCATTCATATTTTATCTTAATCCTTTTCTTTATCAACTCTTGATTTATATGCCTAGTCAACATTTTTAAAGATAGAAGAAACACTTCAGGTTAGAAGAGTTTCAAAAAACTGAAACTCATTTTTTTTATCATTTTAAATTTGTATTCATTTTTTTAAATGTGAGATAGGTAAAAATAGAGGCTGTGAGAGACAGGAGGTAAAGAGAGAAGATTTCAGTGGTGTTGAAAAGAGGAGAGATGGAGGAGACAAAGTTGCCTCATATCAAGAGTAAGAGAAAAGATTTGGTCCTTTTCTTATGAGTGTTGGACTGGGCTTCTTTGTGACCCTAGATAGTTCTTATTCATATTTTAAGTAAAATTATAGTTTGGAAAGGGTAATATTTCACATCTGAAACTGAAACTTTTCTTTCTTGAGTCAATTAGGTGGATGAGACCTAGCTGTTATATTCAAATGTCAGGCAGTCTCCTAAATATTATATTGAGGAAGACTAAGGATTGGACTTCACTCCACATTAGATTTAAACCTTTGCACTATGGCTCTGATGAACAGAAATTTAATGTTCTTTGATTTTCCAAAAAATGGAACCTAATTCACAAGTCTTTATGTCTGCTGTGTAATGACAACCAATTCACACTTGTGGGTAACCCAACCTTTGTTGACAGCAGTGCCTTTCAGGTAATTGTTCAGTAATACAGGATTCCAACAATCAGTTAAAGTTCAAGCTCCCAGGAAGAGCTGTCTTCCTCACAAGGGCCTGCCCTTTCTTTTCCTTGGGTTGACACTTGGGTGAGGAGAGAAGATTCACAGGAGTAGGGCAGAGGGACGGAATACTCTGCCTATTGTCCTTTTGTCCTCTCTGGCCTCTGCTGTAGCTCTAGGCCTTGGTTTTTACATCAGTATCTTCTTATCATCTCCAGCTGGTAGAGGAGAGAGGCAGAGCTACATAAATAATCTGGGGAAAGGGAAAAAAATGGACAAAAATTTCCCAATTGCATTTTTCCACAACTCATTTGTGTTTAGTTTTCTGCCAAAAATAAAGAAGAGGTTTACAGAGAATAGATGCCTTCTATATTAAGGGAATGATAGAAATATTACTTCATTATTATCTCCTTCAAATATCAACCAGCACACAAATGCCAGTATTTCATCCTATGAATAAATGTGAAGACACATTTATCTCATAACTAAAAGTTCTGTAAAGCATTTAAAAATGCTTATAGTTTATACTTATCATTACACAAAAATGCATATAAAATCCATTATTCTGTGCCCTCAAAAATATTCATTAAGGGTCCATGTCCCCAGTTACTTGGGGGAAATAATGACAAATTAGACCCTGTCCTTATGGAGTTTACAGTGTATTGGCAAAAAACAGTTGTCAAAAAAGCTATGAAAATAAAAATTGATGACTGTTATGATAGGGGAAATATATGGGGCTGACAGAGCATTTGGCAAGGGAATGGAGATTGAGTTTGAAATTGGAAGGACATGTAAGAGTAAATCTCTCTATGCCAAACAGAGAACAGCATGTGAGATGCCTTGAGATGGGGATGGCCATACTTTAAGAGAAGCCAATGGAGCCTCATCACAACTAGCAAATAGTTGTGGCCCAAAATGATGCTGGAGAAAAGCCAACTCTGAAACTTAAGGGGTATATTTACAACCTTGGAATTTATTCTGAGGGCAATGGGAAGGCATTTACTGGTTTTAAGTTAGATACTTATTAAAACAACCAGCCTGGTTGGAAAATGTATAATATTGTTGTAGGCCCCAAGTGGGTATGTGAGGTCAAAAATTTAGGTTGACAGCTGGCAGCAAAGGATGAAAAGAAGATGGACAGATTCAGGAGCTATTAAGAAAGTAAATTCAACAAGACCTGCTGATGGATTAAGTATGGGAGTGATCAAAGGGAAGAGTCAGTGGTGACTCCCCATTTGTCCTTCTGGTAGATGCTGTGCCAGTTGAGGGCATATGGGACAACAAAGAAGGGAAGCAGGTTGCAGATATGCAAGAGAGGAAGAGCTCCCTTTTGCATATATTCAGTTCGAGGAGTCTGTTGGGCCTGTATGTGGTTAGGAGACAATTGACTAAATAGGACTAGAGTTCATTGGAATTGGAAGTGCTTGTTGAAATCACCCGATATACTTGGCAGCTAAAGCACTGAGAACAGATGTGACAGCCTAGGAAGACAACATAAAACTAGAAGAGGATGCAAATCAGGACCCAAGGAAACATGGTGTTGAAGAAAAGGCAAAGGAAATGAAACTTTGAGAAGGAAAGGCCGAAACAGGTAGAAGTATCAGAGAGGACAAGGGAAGACAGCATTTCAAGAAGGAAGAAGTGGTCAAAATTGGTCAATGTTGCTGAAAAGCCAAGTAACATAACTTTTGAAAGTGGTCATTCACAAATTTGATGAGAAAAATTTCAGTGACTTTCTAGGGCCAGAAGACCTTAGGATTGAAACAAAGTGAAGGAATGGATCTAGGGTAGAAGAAGGTGGGCAAATGCACTCTGAGTGTATCTACTTATTCAAAAAGGCCTGTCTGGAATTTACATTTCTTCACATGGATTGAAATGCCTCCCCTGGATAAAAGAATCCAAGCTTTTATAAAAGATATCATTTTAAAGATATCTTCAATAAGGCTCATGATTGAGAGTGCAGCAGTAGAGACCATATTTTTGAGGATAGCCAAGAAAAATCTGAGTAAATACTGGGTTTGTCTTTCTTTTCTGCTTTCCTGCCTGAGCAGTCAGCAGACCTGCGAGGGCACTGCTGTGGCACCTACTGCACTGTTGTTGCTTAAGCTTTGTGCCAAGAGTATTTGCCAGCCTGAGTTGGAGCTGGCTGCTGCTAGTGTTGCTCCAACTGAGATGTCTAGTTAAGTCCTGCTCTTTTGTGAACTGAATAGCAGTCTTTCTGGCACTGCCTGGAGCTTTCATATCATTGTCATTTTCAGCAAAAGGAATAAAATTTTCAGTAAGATAGGCTCCCCAAGTAGAAACCAAGCCCGCTTTGAGTTTGTAATTAACGTACAGATCATACTGATAGCCTGGCCACTGAAAATAATTATTGAAACAAAGTTGGTATAAATACAATAAATAAATGCATTCTTCAATACAGACAGTTCAGAGCTGCTTAGACTATGTTATGATAAAAACAGTGTAGGAAACAGTTTTTAAATAGTCTTCTAGTACCTAACTTTTGTATTTTAGATAAATAGCTTAGAATGCTGGTGTCCAAATCAAAAAACTATCAAATCTAAATTAATGTGAATTCCATGGAGGCTTTTTGCAAGTGGTCTTTTGCACATGTGAAATGCCTGCTTTGTTTTTGCATTTGTAACAGCCTTTTTGAATTAGATTACAAACCAACCCTGTTTCTTGGGACCAGCATCACCACCAGGCTGGTTCTGAAGAACTGTCGTCTTTCAGTTAGACACCCACACGTCTCACTGAATTGCTCCCATCTGAAAACAATGAGGTAATTCACTATCCAAGTGCTCTCCAACAGACCGAAAGCATCAGTACCAAGCTGAAATCTTCAAATAAGGGAGGCTTTCAATGTTTGTCTAAAACTCCTTAACCTACTTGCAAAAAGAACAGAGACCATTTATTGTCTGGAAGAGTGATCTGGGACAGAAGACAGGAGAAAGGGAAAGCAGAAAACTGATGCCTGCTGATCTGATTCTCCAAACTAAACTCTAAAGCTGATATTAACCATGAGCAGAAATATGTCTTGTTCAAACAGCACATACATTGGCTGGCTGTGGGGTGC
The DNA here is from genome assembly GCF_000001405.40 of Homo sapiens. Lineage (NCBI taxonomy): Eukaryota > Metazoa > Chordata > Mammalia > Primates > Hominidae > Homo > Homo sapiens. Next base: position 152,621,534 of record NC_000003.12, read on the forward strand.
TAGGCTGAATTTAAATGGAGCTGAGGGAAGTGCTGTGTGTCAACCTCTTCGTGCCTTATCATGTTCGAAGTGGATTAACCTCATCAAGCATTGATCTGTTTCTGTAACAAGTTGTGACGGCTAACTGCTCTCTCTGCACCGCACGAATGGAGGTATTATTGCCATTGAATTTTAAGCCCTGGTGACTCACTGTGCTGAGCCTTATGTCTAGCAACTGAGAGAAGAAGAACTCAGCATCCAGCTTTTTTTTTTTGAGTGCCCAGAACAAGTCATGTACATTTTCCAAGCACTTGTCCTCTATTTAGTCCTGAATCTTAGTTTATGCTGCAGTAGGCCAACTTATTATTACTGCCTACTATACATTTGTCTTTTCCACTAGAAAGAGAACTTCTCAAGTAAAGGAATGTGTGTTTCCTTGTCTGTGACCTACCATTTTATCCCCAGCACCTGGCATCCCAGTGTTTGAAAATTTGTAGACGTTCAATAAATAGTTGCTGAGTGACTGAATGTTTGAAAACATCTCCTGCTAGTAAGAGCAAGTTGACAGTTAACCTTAACAGATGCTATTAATCTGGAAATAACATTTTTTTCCTGCTTGCCTACTGACACTTAAACTATTTCCTGGGACCAGACAGGAAAGACAATGACATCTCTTGTTTTATTACTATAAGAGAATGATTGACTAAAAAATAGTAGCTTTGTACTTCATAAGTCCAAGTGCCATCATATTCACTGGTTGCTTTTAATCAGTTACTCTGAGCTGCGTTCTTATTCAAAGAATATTAAAGCAGGAAGAACCTCAGAGATTTGCTAATCCAATTTGTGACAAAGCCAAGACTGGAAACCAGATCTCACTGTTCTACTCATTGTGACACTATGGTCCCACCTTTTCATTTACAAATGCATAACACGCACTGAAGCATTAAATCCCTCACCCCAAATCCCCATACTGCAAGTCAAGACAGAGTCAGGGCTGGAAAACCAGCACATGAAGTTGTAGTTCTAGTAGGAATCAAAGAAACTCAGCTCTCTGAGTTTTTCCCATGATTTCTATGAATAGTAAATGAACACATATTCTGTATATGGTGCCCATCCCATGATGAAATAGACAGCTGTGGAATCTCAGGGTTGGGAGGGATCTCAGATCCCATTAAACCACGCCCCTCCTTGGTCTTGGCTATTATATCTCCAGTGCTTGGAAACTCATGCACACAACCTCCTTTTCTCAGCACATATTGAATAAATCTAATTATTGGAAAGTTCATTCTTTAGAGCAAACATACAACTTTCCCTCATTGGTTTAATATGTATCCTTTGGGACTAGAGAGAGTAGGATTAAGCCCTCTTGATTATTCTAGGACCATGCTATCTGAACAAATTGCATTGCCTCCACAAGTCATCTCTCCTTTAGGATATATATCTGTCCACTGTATTCTTATTGCCATGGAAACTGTATGACTCAAGTGGTACACACATAAAGAGTAGCATTCAACTACCTAGAAAATAACCTAGGAATCAAAATGATGGAAAACGATACAAAGTGGTAACAATTCATAAATGAAATAAATACAACATGAAAAGTAATTAAAAATAAACACAATTTATATTTATTAAAGAGATTGTCTTTTCACGAGTAAAGATAGGGACTCTGGGAATAAAAACAAAAGTGGTAGAGAGGGCGGGTAAGATGAAGATTTTCTACGGCAGTTGCTCAAACCTTAAGCAGCCCCTTGGTAATGACAGTAGGTTCATTTTCATTGTCTCTGAGGTACGGGACCACTAAAATAAAAACAACAATTTAAAAACTTCCAGAGAGCTTTGACATCTGTAAGAATAGCTCAAAGCCATTGTGTGTATTACATGGATACCACATTGCATCAGTTATTTCAGGAAATTGTAAGATAAAAAAGTTTAAGATGACTGCAAAGGATTGAGGAAATAATCAAAAGATTGACCAAGTTTATGCATGAAGCACTGAAAATTGAATGTTTGGCCAGCATCTCCAGTTTCCTGTGGTTTCAGGGACAGAACCAATAAGCCCTGATGTTCATCTTTTGTTAGCCACCGACTTATTTTGTTAAGAAAACAGAAGTGCCTGTAAACTGGAATTAGAACAAGAGAGTAGAAAATTTCATTTCAAATTTGCTGAGCATAAAAGTTGAGGGTTGGGCAACAGCCAAGAGAACAAATCTGTAAAGTAGAGTAAAGCATTAAGGAATCTTTTGTACTTTGGGAGAGAAAATAAAGTATAAAAAACACTGTCAGAAAGATAATTTTGATCTTCCCTAAATTACGGACTTTTGTAACTGTGCATAAAGATGTTACAAAAATTGTTTCATCCAAGCGACTTCCCTCAGAGTCCAAACAAACAGTAGCGTAGAAACATTATTTGAATGTTTTTGATTCAAAAATACAATTAAAGAGGAGCTAAGATTGCTTTCAGAAGGGTCAAGATACATTAGATCAGTGTCTCCTTTAGGGCTTTCCTTCAACAGGAAGATTTGCTGTTTCCAAGCAGTCTGGCCACCACTTCTGATGACAGCTCCTTCTGAACAAAAAAAGTTCCATTTCCCTTTTCTTCCTTTTCCCTAGTGTTTCAAACTCTCCATTCATTTTTAACTCTATTTTCAATGACAAAAATTAAGAAATGATGAGGCTGTCTCTAAACATGACTCTGGGATAAGGTAAAGAATGTATACAGTCAGCCCTTTGTATCTGTGAGTTCTATATCCACGGATTTAACCAATAAAAAATATTCAGAAAAAAACAAAATTGTATCTGTACTGACACGTACAGACTTTTCTTTTCTTGTCATTATTCCATAAACAATATAACAGCCAGTCACATAACATTTACATTGTGTTCAGCATTACAAGTAATTAGAGATGACTTACAGTATACAAGAGGATGTGCATAAGTTATATGAAAATACTGTATCTTTTTCTGTAAGGGACTTGAGCCTCTGTGGATTTTGGTACCTGGGGAGGTCCTGAAACCAATCTCCCATGCATACCAAGGAACAGCTGTCTCACTTCATCCCTGAGAGTCTACCTGTGAAAATAGTCATAGCCAACATCTTGTACATACAAGTTCCATAATAATGTTCTTCATTTGTAGGCAAATGGCAAATATTGCAGCCTCACATCTTCATTTACTTATAGAAGATAATTCTTTCACTTCTGCACATGTCTGCTGTGTAAATGGCAAGTCAACTGTCTATAAATTTTATATTTTACTTTATTAATTTTTAAAAATTATGATTTTTTTGAGACACGGTCTCTCTCTGTTGCCCGGGCTGGAGTACAGGGGAATGATCATAGCTCACTGCAGCCTCGAACTCCTAGGCTCAAGTGATCCCCCGACCTCAGCCTCTGGAGTAGCTGGGACTACAGGCATGTGCCACCATGCCCGGCTAATTTTTTAATTTTTTTTTTTCCGCAGAGATGGAGTGTCACTATGTTGCCCAGGTTGGTCTCAAACTCCTGGGCTCAAGAGATCTTCCCTCTTCGGCTTTTCAAAGTGCTGGGAGTACAGGCATGGGTCACTGCTCCCAGCCACTTTCTTAAGTTTTTAAATGGGCTTTATTTAGAACAGTTTTAGGTTCACAGCAAAATTGAGCAGAAAGTAGGGAGTCTCCATATACCCTGCCACCACACATGCACAGACTTCCCCACTATCAATATTCAGAATCAGAGTGGTACGTTTGTTGCAATAGATGAAACTACATTGACATATCATTTTTCTTTACTTTTAAAGTGTACAGTGCCATTGAGCACTTTTGGTCAGACTTCTAACTCAGCCTATGGCAATGAAATCCAACTCTATTAGTAATATTTTATATCCCAAATTATTTAACGTTATTGCTTATCTTTATTAAAATCAAATGATCAATTAGCAGCAAACATCTAATAATGTTAAAGCCTAATGTTCAGGTAGTTCAGATTCATTTTTTATCAGATATCATTGATACATCCTGAAGGGTCATCTCAGATCCAGAAAATCAGAAGTTTCTTATCTTGCATTACTAGGAAAAGAATGTGACATGGCTGTTTATACTGTCTGGGATTTGTGACTTTGTCATACGCTTGGCAATCTCCAAAACCAAAATTTCATTTTGTCTTTGAAACATTTTGCTTTTTGGCTACTGTGACCATAAAATATTTTCTCCAAGAAACATCAAATCCTGCACAATTTAAAACATAAATAGGCTATTTAGGGTCCTGCTGTTTTACAAAGAAAAGGCCATTTATATTTCAGTGACCTCTATGTTAATGCAGCTGATGTGAGTATATAAAACAGGCTAACGGATGTATAGCCAAATGTGACCAGCTAACACTATTTTTTTCATGATGGATTTATTTATAGAGTGGAAAGTCAAATTGTAAAGTTGAAAAACATGATTTTCCAAGTAAGGTGAACCTGGGTTTGAATCCCTCCTTTTTTTTTTTTTTTTTTTTTGAGACAGGGTCTTGCTCTGTTGCCAAGGCTGGAGTGTAATGATGTGATCACAGTTCACTGCAGCCTCGACCTCCTAGCTCAAGCGATTCTTATGCTTCAGCCTCCGGAGTAGCTGGGACTACAGGTGTGTGCCACCACACCCGGCTAATTTTTGTATTTTTTGTAGAGATAGGATCTTGCCATCTTGTCCAGGATAGTTTTGAACTCCTGGGCTCAAGCTATCTGCCTGCCTTGGCCTCCCAAAGTGCTAGGATTTACAGGCGTGAGCCACTGCATTTGACAGATGCGAGTCTTGGTTTAAGCACACAGTTGGTGAGTGACTTCGGGCAAATTACTTAACTCTGCTGAACTTCATGTTTCAGTCTGTGAAGCAAGCCTAAGCATATCTACTTTGTAATGTTGGTGTCTGGAGAGGATTAGTAATAATATATTTAGAGCCCATGGCATATAGTAGGCACTCACATTATTACGCAATGAGAGTAAAAAGCACTGACTCTGGAGACAGACCAGGTATCTAAGCTTGGGCAAATTATTACACTTCTCTATGCTTCCTTTTCCTCATCTAAAAATGGTGATAACCACAGTAACTGCCTCATAGAGCTCTTGCAAGAATTTTAAAGATAATAGTCAACTCATGCAAATTGCTTACAACAATGCCTGGCACATAGTAAATGTTAAATAGTGTTTGCTATAATTATAGTTATTTCAAAGGACTAATATATTATCTTGGATTGGAAGCAACTACAGAGAAGAAAAACTATGTCAATTACCATAATACCTAGACAAGATTTTAGTTGATGTTATCAATTGATGGTCTAATGCTTCACTTTATTTATTTATTATTTTTATTATTCTTTATTTGAAACCTATTATGTACCTTTAGGCAGTTCAGGTAGTTTCCCAATTTAGAATCACCACAATGCCTGGCACATAGTAAATGTTAAATAACGTTTGCTATAATTATAGTTATTTCAAGAACTAATATATTATCTTCTATTGGAAGCAACTACAGGGAAGAAAAACTGTGTCAATTACTGTAATACCTGGACAAGATTTTAGTTGATGTTATCAATTGATGGTCTAATGATTCACTTTATTTATTTATTATTTTTATTATTCTTTATATAAAACCTATTATGTATCTTTAAGCAGCTCAGGTAGTTTCCTAATTTAGAACCACAATAAAATGTTCTGTATGAGTTGATAAAAATTTTGCTTCCCAAATTATTTCCTCCACAGCTTTTAGCATTAAAGTACAATTTGCTTTCCATGAACCAGTGTCTCAATTTCTAATTGAAAAAAATTAGAAATAAGACTTTGAAGTACCACCTAAAATGGTCATGTGTTCTAGAAAGCTATGATACAGTGGAAAAATCATTAGACCTGGTGTTAAACACACCTAAGTTTAGTCCCAGCTCTGACACCTACTAGCTATGTGATGTGAGGAATGTCAGTTATTATCTGAGTCTAATTTCTTCATATGCAAAAGACATGATTGTGTAAAAATATCATAATGTATGCACTGTCCTATACATTCTGAAGTGACACAAAGACATAAATATCTGATGTTTAATTTTTGGTGAGGTGATTAAAATCTACAGGTCCGATGACAACCTGTCTGAGGACAAGTTCTTGCTCTACTGCTTAGTTGGTGTCATTGCCAAGTTAGTTAACCTCATTATCACTCAATCTCTTCATCTATGAAATGGAGATAGTAACAGTATTTACCTCAGTTATTGTGGAGATTAAGTAAACCAATTCACAGAAAAGGCCAAGAATAAGCTCTGGCAAAGCAAGTTCCCAATAAATATTAGCCACCATTATCATCTCTGGAATATAAGATTTAAACACATACAACCACAAGAAAATAAGATAGTATAATTTAAATGCTGCAAAATAGAGCAAAAAAAATCAAGTGCCAGAATGAAAAATGCTGACAGGATATCAATATTCTGAGAAAGAATGCTATGGGGAGTATGCATCCCAGTTCAAATTTTTGATATGTGAAATCAACCAGCTATTGTATTTTATAAAAACTTATCGATTTTCTGTATTTTCAGAACTTTCCAGTGGTAGGACAACACGTTTCTGATCTCTCAGGGCACAGCAGATTGCACAGAATAGGTCTTTCTTTAAGGGTGGGTTACATGGAGAAAATCAGCTTCATTTGGGTAATGATATGATTACTAAATTTCTAAAATCAGATTTGTGATTTTAGAAAGGGTCAAACTAATTTAGAAGCAACTTTGTTCTAAATATACGTGAGATTTGAAATTTATTATTAAATCAAATATTTTAAAATCAACACAGGAAATTACTATTTAAATTATGTTGTAACACTCCTTTTTGTATACTTAGGAAACTAGGGATTTGCTTATACAAATTGCTGTTCAAGTGAGGTAATTCTATTCTGTTTCATATGTTATAACAAGCAAAAGAAAGCAAAACAAAACAAAATGGGGGGAGAATCCCACTTTTGATTATGTTTGATAATTTCCAGTATTTCTTAATATTTCTCTTAGAATTTTTAAATGGGAAAATGTAGATTTTTAGCATTTAGACTCTAATGATGCAAGTTAGTGACTGTTTTGTGGCATCAATTAGATTTGTAGCTTGTAATTAATGCTTCAGTAAATTCAGGATTTGAACAATTTACAGCAGGTTCCCATTTTCCCCTTGAGATAAAAATGATAGCCTCAGCTGCTATGACAGCTGCCAAATGAAGAGAAACTTTGGCACACCGAGATTATTGTGGCTGGAAAGAAATGAAGTTGTTTTTCCCTTCTAAATACGTAGTTATTAGTCAAGGAATCAATGCCTTTGAAATAAATAAAATGGTTTGTATCGTTGTACCTGAAAGCATAATAGATTTAAGCCTTGAATGTGCTTTGCAAGAACAAGGTATAATAAACCTGTCAGACTTAAAAATTTCAATAACTTACATATTTTGCTTCCATTTTTTTAAGATATGAAAGAAACACATAGTTCCCAGGAATATTTCAAAATTACAAAATATATAAAACAATTACAAAGGTACAGGAATAATATAACATTCATGGATATATACACGAATCAAATTAAGGAAGAAGCATATGCAAATCTGCTAGAGACAACTGCTTAACCCTCTCTTGACCACATCCATCAATCCTTTCCCCTTTCCCATCTTCTACACTATCAATTCTCATATGTACACACATATTTTCTGGACACTTTTACTACATATGTCTGTATTCCTAAAGAACCTATACCACTGCTTTATATGCTTTAAGGTTTATATGAATGACATCATGAATTCTAAAAACATGCTATATCTCTCCATTTTGAAGTTATTCTTTGGTAGCCTGAAGTACTATTTTTTATTTCTTTTATAAATACTTTACATATGGGAAAATATACATTTTCCTAGGCTTTTCATATTTTACTGGCTATTATTACTTTTTTATATTACATTTTAAATTGTTTAATACTTAACACTCATGCCTCTCATAGTTTGTGTAATAGATTCTCATAGATTCTCTAATTCTTTTTTTCCCAGGTACTATTCCAAGTGTTTTATTTATTTATTTATTTATTTATTTATTTATTTATATTTTATTTTAAGTTCAGGGGTACGTGTGCAGGATGTGCAGATTTGTCACACAGGTAAACATGTGCCATGGTAGTTCGCTCCACAGATCATCCCATCAGCTCGATATTATGCCTGGCATCCATTAGCTATTCTTATTGATGCTCTCCCTTGTCTCCCAACTCCAAATCCTCCAACAAGCCTCAGTGTGTGTTGTTCCTTCCCATGTGTCAGTGTGTTCTCATCGTTCAGCTCCCACTTACAAGTGGAAACATGCGGTGTTTGGTTTTCTGTCCTTGTATTAGTTTGCTGAGGATAAAGGCCTCCAGCTCTATCTATGTCCCTGCAAAGGACAGGGTCTCACTCCTTTTTATGGCTGCATAGTATTCCATGGTGTATAGGTACCACATTTCCTTTATCGAGTCTATCACTGATGGGCATTTAGTTGATTCCGTGTCTTTGCTATTGTGAATAGTGATGCAATGAACATGCATGTTCATTGTATCTTTATAGTAGAATGATTAATATCTCTTTGTGTATATACCCAGTAATAGGATTGCTGGGTCCAATGGTATTTCTGCCTCCAGGTCTTTGAGGAATCGCCACAGTGTCTTCCATGATGGTTAAATTAATTTACGCTCCTACCAACAGTGTAAAAGCATTCCTTTTTCTCCACAACCTCGCCAGCATCTGTTGTTTTTTGACTTTTTAATAATAGCCATTCTGAGGGGTGTGAGATGGCATCTCATTGTAGTTTGGATTTGCATTTCTCTCATGATCAGTGATGTTGAGCTTTTTTTTATATCTTTGTTGGCTGCATGTATGCCTTCTTTTGAGAAGTGTCTGTTCATGTACTTTGTCCACTTTTTAGTGGGGTTATTTGTTTTTTTCTTGGAAATTTGTTTAAGTTGCTTATAGATGTTGTATATTAGACTTTTGTTAGATGGGTAGATTGCAAAAATTTTTTCCCATTGTGTAGGTTGTCTGTTCACTCTGATGATAGTTGCTTTTGCTGTGCAGAAGCTCTTTAGTTTAATTAGATCCCATTTGTCAATTTTTCTAATTATTGCAATTGCTTTTGGTGTTTTTGTCATGGAATCTTTGCCCATGCCTATGTCCTGAATGGTATTGCCTAGATTTTCTTCTAGGATTTTTATAGTGTTGAGTTTTACATCCAAATCTTTAATCCATCTTAAGTTGATCTTTGCATATAGTGTTATAAATGGGTCCAGTTTCAATTTTCTGCATATGGCTGGCCAGTTCTCACAGCACCATTTATTAAATAGGGAATCGTTTCTTCATTGCTTATTTTTGTCAGGTTTGTTGAAGATCAGATGGTTGTAGGTATGTGGTCTTATTTCTGGGTTCTCTATTCTGTTCCATTGGTCTATGTGTCCTTGTACAAGTACTATGCTGTTTTGGTTCAGTAACTTTGTAATATAGTTGGAAGTTGGGTCACATGTTGCCTCCAGCTTTGCTCTTTTTGCTTAGGATCATCTTGGGTATTTGGGCTCTTTTATGGTTCCATATGAATTTTAAAATATTTTTTTCTAATTCTATGATGAATGTCAATGGTGGTAATGGAAACAACATTGAATCTATGAATTGCTTTGGGTAGTATGGCCATATTCATGATATTGATTCTTCCTATTCATGAGTATGGAACATTTTCCCATTTGTGTCCTCTCTGATTTCCTTGAGCAGTGGTTTGTAGTTCTCTTTGAAGAGGTTCTTTACTTCCCTTGTTAGGTGTTTTTCTAGGTATTTTATTATTTTTGTGGTAATTATGAATGGGAGTTCATTCATGGTGTGGCTCTTGGCTTGCCTGTTGGTGGTGTATAGGAATGCTAGTAATTTTTGCACATTTATTTTGCATCCTGAGAGTTTACTAAAGTTGCTTATCAGCTTAAGAAGCTTTTGGGCTTAGTTAATGGGGTTTTCTAGATATAGGATCATGTCATCTGCAAACAAAGAGAGTTTGACTCCTCTCTTCTTATTTGAATACACTTTATTTCTTTTTCTTTCCTGATTGTTCTGGCCAGAACTTCCAATATTATGTTGAATAGGAGTGATGAGAGAGGCTGGTTTTGAAAGGGAATGCTTCCAGCTTTTGCCAGTTCAGTATGATATTGGCTGTGGGTTTTTCATATATGACGCTTATTATTTTGAGGTATGTTCCTTCAATACCTAGTTTACTGAGCATTTTTAACATGAAGGGACGTTGAAATTTTCAAAGGCCTTTTCTGCTTCTATTGAAATAATCATGTGGTTTTTGTATTTAGATCTGTTTATGTGATGAATTACATTTATTGATTTGTGTTTGTTGAACCAACTTTGCATCCCAGGAATGAAGCCTACTTGATCGTGGTGGATAAGCTTTTTGATGTGCTACTGAATTTGGCTTGTCAGATTTTCTAATTCTTATATCTTATTCCATTTGGTTTTCTTTTGCCATGTGTGAATGTGTGTATGCATGCATCTATCTCAGTAATTATGTTTTTCATCTATACTCTTTTTGTTCTATTTTTATTTAAAACAAGTTATCTTGAATCTCTATAATACTTAATGGAGGTTTTTAAAAAACTTTATTTTAATTGGAATAAGAGCACTTAACATGAGATCTACCATCTTAATACATTTTTTAGTGTACAATACAATCCATTATTGTTGACCACAGGTGCAATACTGCACAGCAGATCTCCATAGCTTAACTGATACTTTATGCTAATTCATTAGTAACTTTCCATTTCCTCATTCCCACAGCCCCTGGCAATTATCCTTGTGTTCTTTGGTGCTATAAATTTGACTATTTTCAATAACTCACATAAGTGAAATCATGTAGTGTTTGTCTTTTTGCAACTGGCTTATTTCATTTAGCAGAATGTCCTCAAGGTTCATCTATGTTGTCAAAAATGGCAGATTTCCTTCTTGTTTAAGGCTGAATAGTATTCCATTTTCAGAGAACTATCATTGTTTTCAGTAGTGTACCACATTTTCTTTATGCATTCATCTGTTAATGGGCATTTAGGTTATTTCCAAATCTTGGCTGCTATTCTTTTATGTTTTCTAAATTATCTTAGGGCAACGTTTTTGTCTTTATTTTGGTCTTTTGTGTATGTGTGGCTCTTTTTACATGCCTGTTGACCCTCATTGCCTATTTATATTTAAGTCTGAAACCATGGGCTGATTGGTCTAGGTAGGTTCATGTGGCTCTCTGCTGCATTGCATAAAAAGGTATGTTCCCCAGTGGGTCCCTTGGAGTAGAAAGTCACTGGAGAGTCTGGGTATTACTGGGGCTGGTCATGTCCCTGGCAGAGTTTGCTGTAAAGTGAGAGAGAATGTTTTCAGCATTCTAATGAGAGGGAATTTCATTTGAGACACTAACACTCACAGAAGTTTGACTTTGCTTATCTTTAAATCAGAGGCTTGTTTTTTCTGCCTGCAGGAAAACATGAGTGCTTCTGCTCACTCACATGGGAGCAGAAGAAGGGAGAGGAGGTGCTGGCTAGTGAGGTTGTTCCTTGTGTGGACCTTTAACTCATCCCTCTGATTTGTTTTCGGTGGCATTTCTGCTCTTTCTGGTTCTGGTGAAAAGCCCCCTCAGTACGTATTCTGCACTGTTTGCCTTGCTTTATTTTATTCTTCAAAATACTCCTTTTTTTCACTCTTTAAGAAATTATTGAAACTTTTTTTGAAGACTCAGCATAGATTATTTTCAGTGTTGTAGATTCATCTATATTTTGTTTTTTGGACTTCCGCGCCATCTTTTATAGGATTCTAAAAGGGAGGGAAAGCATGCATGTGCTTAGTCTACCGCAAACCTCCTGAGTCTCTTTCAATAATTATTATTAATATTATAGTACCTAAACCAATATTTCCCTATTTCTACCTTTATTTACAGAATGTGCTCAATTTTCTCATTTCAGGCTGTGCCTTAGTTCATAAAGCCATCTCATTTCATTGCTCTGGGACCCTGTTCCACCTAGTATCCTGTCTATTCTCTCTTTCCTTCATCGTATAAATATCTTCTGTTCTCTCCAATTTTTCTTTTTCATTTTCCTTTAAGTGCCCCCATCTCTAATTTTAACTCTTATCCAACTTATTGAAAATGTACTAGTCACTTTCCTTCCCAGCTTTCCAAATTCTCTAAAACTTAGCGTTATCTGACTCCTGGTTTCTCTCCTCTGATACTGCTTTAGGAAAGGCCATTGACCATCTCTGCATCATCAAACTCAATGGACAAATTTAAATACTGTTTGTGACTCTGTTAATTACACCTGGGCTTCTAAGCAAACATGTTTTCTACCAGTGTTTATCCTTCCTCTCTTAATTTTTTTTTCAAAGTTGTTTCTCAGACTCCTGCTACTACCCTCAAACATTGTTACCCAGAATCCATGAATCCATTCATGGCCAACTGTTCTTAAAAATTTTCGACTGCCTGAGTGTTCTCACCCTTTCCTTCCTTTTCACTGTTTTATCTTTACTTTGATGCTGAGCTTTCTTTCTTTCCTTTTTTTTTTTTTTTTGGAGATGGAGTCTCTCCCTGTCGCCCAGGCTGGAGCACGATGGTGCGATCTCGGCTCACTGCAACCTCCGCCTCCTGGGTTCAAGTGATTCTCCTGCCTCAGCTTCCTGAGTAGCTGAGATTACAGGTGCGTACCCACCACAATGGGCTAATTTTTGTATTTTTAGTAGAGACCGGGTTTCACCATGTTAGTCAGGCTAGTCTCAAACTCCTGACATTGTGATCCACCCACCTCGGCCTCCCAAAGTGCTGGGATTACAGGTGTGAGCCACCGCGCCCGGCCTGATGCTGATCTTTCAAAATGGCATTTGATAATAATATCACTTATATTTATTATTGCTCACCCTGTTCCAGACCCTATGTTAATAATTTCACCTGCATTATCTTATCTAACCTTCACTCTAATCCCATATTATCATCTTCATTTTACAAAAGGGAACACTGACACTTAGTAAGCCTCAATAACTTGCTCAAGTCACATCAATGAAGAGGGAAGACATGTTATACCAAGGAGTTGTACGAAGGCTGTCTCATGCTAACATTGTGCTCTTACTCCTTTGACCATGCGGCCTCACAGGCTTACTTCATCTCTTCTATGCAGTTCATAGAGCACAGGTACACCTACCTGGCCTTCAGCATTCCTCAATGCCTTAAATAGGCCTTTCTACTTTGCTGTATTTTTTCTTAAAAAGTCACAAGTTTCCTTTTGAGGGCTTCTTGCAATTCAGTGAGTCCACATATTCTTTGGACTTTTCTTACATTTCTTTTTCTCATTAAAGCAAAACAAACACACACACATATACAAAACTATTCTCCTGGGCAAAAATATATATTCACAACCATATTAAAAGTAAAAGTAATACTTGTCTATAAAAATACCTATGACATTGTGGTTCCAGGCCTGTAAAGGCAGAAATTAAAATAGAGGAATTTTTAAGTTAATTCAAATGTACATATTAAGTCCTTCATATTCCATGCTTTAGTGTACAGAAGCATCCTGTGGAAGATTCCTGGAAAAGAAGATGGAAATTGTGAGAGCCAAGGGCCATTAGAAACAAGAGCCTGGCTGGGCATGGTGGCTTACACCCGTAATCCCAGCACTTTGGCAGGCTGAGGCAGGAGGATTGCATGAGCCCAGGAGCTTCAGATCAGCTGGGGCAACATAGCGAGACCCTGTCTCTACAAAAAATAAAATTAGCCAGGCATGGTGGTGCATGCCTGTGGTCCCAGCTACTTGGGGGCTGAGGTGGGAAGATCAGTTGAGGCTGCAGGGAGGCGTGATTGTGCCACTACACTCCAGCCTGGGTGACAGAGAGAGACCCTGTCACAAAAACATAAAATAAAAAAAAAAAAAAAAGGAAAAGAAACAAGCAACAAGAACCTCCCACCTAACTTTCTCAGAGGCACAGTTCTTTTCCAACTGCTTCCTGGTATTTGTCCTCTCTGCCCTGTCTGAAGTTGGCAGCATTCCTGTCTTTCAACATAGACTCTCAGATTGTGAACCTTATCTAATGTATTTTCAGTTCCCAGATTATATAGGTTCTAAAGTCTCTAGTAATTGATGCTGTTAATGCTAAGGAGCTGTCTGTCTTTGATAACTCCTGCTCACAGTGAAAAGATCCTCCTGGACTTTTCAGACCAGTTGTAAGCACTTTTTTGTCTCCTCAGTCTCTTCTTTAATCTATGTCTGGAGCAGGTGTGATGGACATGAAGTTGTGCTACCCAGATCACCCCTAAAGAAGGAAACCACAAAGAGACATAGAATTTGAACAGATAACTGCATTTGATTTATATGTTGTCTTTCTGTTCTGTCCTGGGCCCTCACCAGGGTCTTTCTTCATTTTATTTGCCAGTGCCACAGTTGCATGGCTGTGCACTGTATCACTCCTGGGGATTACCATCTATTTGGACTGCAGAAACAGAGGAGTCTGTAGAGTTGTACACTGTGCTGGCACCTCACAGGTCTGCCCTGATCAAGAAGCTTGATGCTAGTGCATAATTAAGAAGTGAAGAAAAAAGTGATGGCCACCATTATGCTACAAACAATGCTGTAAAGTTGTTTTTTTCAGGGAATATGAATTATTTTAAGTGAGCATGTAAGGCTGTCATTTTGACAATAGCTTTATTAGATGTACATGGATGAAATAATAGCAGTAGTAAGTGAAATATTTTAACTTAGAAACTCTGACTATTATTCTTTGAAATACCTTTTCATATTAAAAAAAATAAACTAGTGTTTTCACATTTTCAAGTTGAAGAACACTGTGGATGAAGCAACAGTAATCATCAGAGCATTATCCCATGAATCAGAATGGAGAATGAGTTTCCATTTCTTTGAAGACCGTGCTGTGTTTCAGTGAAAATAGTTTTAGGTCTATAACTTTATCGCAGATCCCATGATAACCAGGACCCATGATTATTCATTCATAAATGTATTTATTTTAAAAATTATTAAACACTGATAAGAGACTAAGAATGATCTATGAGTTACTGAAACCAATTGGAAAACTACTTATTAAGATCTAAGTCTTTGAGAATGTGCGATACATATTTTCAATACATATTTAAAGATGTGCTGTTTAGAATACAAAAAAAGTTCTGTTGATAGGAGAGCAACATAGAGTTCAGAATAAGAAAATGTCTATGACTGAAAAAATAACCAGGCATCAACTTACCTATAACTTATTCCAGTTTCCTTTCAAAAGAAGGGCTATGCAGTCAAGACACCGAAGATTATCATCAAGCCTTTGGGCACTTTCTTGCTGCATCACCTCGCTGACCATTCCAGAGATGTCTTTAATCACTTGTTCTCAATCCAGCCACTATCTCATTGAGAATTCTCAAAGTAATATTTTACAGAGAAGTACAAAAGAAGAACCAAAAGCTTTGATTAACGAAATCATTTTTGTAAGAGTTAAACATCCCCCACCCCGACAAACAACTTCTTTGTAAAGGATTTGTCCTTAAGATTTTAAAATGTAAACATAGATTAAGGCCAAAGATAGAAATTGTTCAATGTCATGAACACAATGTTAAAGCAGACCTTTGAAACCGGATTTTCCAGCTACCAGTTAATATTTTAGAATTATTACCATATTTGAATTATTACAATATGATGGCATTTCCTTATTTGGGCTTTGGCATCTGACACTAAGCACAGTTGCATAGTAGGTCTCAGGAAACAGATCCTCTGCTAGTAGAGATTGACTCATTACAAACCAGATTGATTTCTAATTCCTTCAAAGCAGTCTATAATCTTAATTTTTCATCATTCATATCACATTGTCATAACTGCCACATTTCAAAGAAAAGTGATTTGAATCCCCAGGTTCTAAAAATGGTGGATATGCTCAGAGAAATTAAATCCTCTTGGGGTCTGTTAATTAGCCAGTTCCACTTATCTGAGAAAATGAAATCTTAAGAAAATCTGATGCTGCTTGGTATTTGGAGTTTGGGAATTTCAGTGTAACTAATGTCATGTTGTGCCAGGATTCACTGTGTGGAACCATGAAGCCAGAACATAATCAATGCTGTGAAATCACAATACTCAGATTATAGAAAAATAAACTCTCCAATATCTGCCAAGGGAGTCATGAGGCTTCTTAACTGAAAGCCTACCTGACTACAGAACCCTTAATGGCAATTAGCTATTTGTCTCTGTTTTTCGATCTCAAAAAAATTTAAAAGTAGTCTCTGTCCCCATTTTGCGGAGGGGGTTTCCATTCAGAGGTGTGATGGACATGAAGTTGTGCTACCCAGATCGCCCCTAAAGAAGGAACTTTCTGCCCCAGCAGACAGCCTCCAGTTGTCAACTTTGGTAGGGTTTGACCCATCTGCAGAGAGCCACATTCCCTAGCACTCACTTTTTTTTTCAGGCAGAGTACCTGATTAAGGCAGAGGTATAGAGGCCCAGCCATCTCAGCCCAATGTGAGTCGTGTCTGATGGGCTATATGCATTCCTGCATTCTCTATGGGGAGTTCTCTCTCTGCCATCCTGCTTCCTGACCTTCACTTCCAAAGATGTCAACTCCTAATAATAATAGTAAGCCCCTATCTTTACCAGACTTTGTCTCAGTCTTTGCTTCTAGACAACTAGGCCTTTGACAAAAGATAAAATGACACAGATTTAGACATACACTATCTTGTGTTTGAGGAAATTCTGAAAAACACAGTCATATACAATTCAGCATGAAGATACTAGCAAACACAAAAAAAGATTTATTTAGTGCAGTTGGGCTAAAAATTGCATGTCTGTTGTTTAATTTTTCATCAGCTCCTCAGTCAAAGCCCACAGGCAAATCCCACACTGTTGACGCGTTTCTAGCTTTCTGGTAGCGCCTTCTCTTTTACTACAAAAATTGCCAACTTAAACAACAATGTTTCTAAGGGAATTGGATTAAAAGGAACTAAGGCAGCTGAAAAAATATTGCTATATAGAAGCCTTGGAAGAAATACACAAAATTCTAAGAATGTGAAAAGGATTACAGAAAAACACTTTCATTAAATTCGGCAAAATATAAGCCATTTTAATGTAAATGATCTATTGAGGATTATAGATCTTTGTGGTAAACAATTCAATGAAATTATTGTTTAATTAGTGCCTATAACGTATATGGCCTGCTGTACAGTGTAGTAAGAATTACAATAAAGTGAGAGCAGGAGATTCCTCTCTTCTGATAAAGGATGAAATATGAAAATATGTTAAGTGCATTTCAAATGTTGGGGATGGGGAGACAGGGAGAGAAAGAATATGCGTCTGAGGAAAAACAAAGCTTCCTGGTATCTGAGAAAGGTTATTAAAAATGAGTAATATCCTGCCAGGTAGGATTGAAGGGGTATGAAATCCCAGTTAAGGAAACAGCACGAAGGATGGAGAAGAAACTGTGTGTTTTGTTTGACTTCCACTGGTCTTAGTGTCTCACCCATGAAGGGAAGTAGTTGCAGAGAAATGGGGCATTTCAGACTGTGTTTTTGAAAACCACTTAGCCCATTAAATAGTTCTTCTGGGTTAACTTGCTTGAGGGAAGTTCTTGGAAAAAAGACCTATTATCTATTAGTACATATTTGAGCTCCTTGCAAATGTGCACAGTTTAGAAAGACTTGTTTTCTGTTTCTTTTTAAAATTCAGGTCTGTGCTTGTTCTTTCACATAAAAACGTCTGAGTACACTGTCACCGCACACATGCGCCAAGTCCAATTAAATGTTAGGGCTCAGATGCCGGTATTCTGTACACGTGTTCATCACTGCCTAACAGTAGTTGTGCAATAGTAAGTGAGTGGGTAGGATGAAGAATTGTGATAATATCTTTTACGGGTTTCATCTGAAGGTTTTGGAAGCTTCTTGGCTGAATTTTATTTTTGTGAAGGGGAATGTGAGCAGATGGTAGATGTTGTCAGTGATTTAACTTTGAAATAAAAGTGTCCAACTACCTCCTCTTTCCAGCTTCTAGATTACATTAAAGATACACAACAACTATGTATCTTTGTGAAAGTGTGTAATCTTAGCAATTACAAAAGTAAATGAGATGTTGAGATTGACATGATTGTAAATGTCACTCATAATGTTGCTCTAATTTTCTACTTATGTTTATTAAAGCTGGCTCATTGTTCTTATTTAGTGATGTTGAAATTTTAAAAAGTTAAAAATTTGGATATATAATATATAATACCTTTGTACTAGAAAAATAGCAATTTTGGGTATTTTAAATATGTATGATATTACCTGAAAAAGAATACATTTAACAGTTTGGAAACTTCCAAAACTGAGATACCTTCCAAAGAAGTAATTTAATGATCTCTTCTAATTTCAAAGAATTTCCTATGCCCTGATGTTTATTTGCAAGAAGTAAATGGATGAGAAAGAGTATCCATTACTATTTTTCAGGAAATAAAAATAGTAGAGCAAAATACCTTTTGTTTTCACCACAAATTTTCAGTAACAAAAAAATAAGCCAAACAAAAACTGCAATTAACATGACTATGAAGAAATATTAGTGAACATCTACTATATGTCAAGAACAATAATTGACACATAGTAGTTACTCATATTTGTTGAATGAATGAGAGTTTTTGGATATTAATTCCTAGTGAGAATGTAAAGAAACAGCCACATACATAACAATCAGGGTTTTAGAGCTAGTTTATTTAAGCTGAGTGCAGTGTCTCATACCTGTAATCTCAACACTCTAAGAAGCTGAGGCAGGAGGATCGTTTGAGCCCAGGAGTTTGAGACCAATCTGCGCAAAAAAAAATGGGATACCGTTTCTACAAAAAAATAAAAAAATCAGCCAACCGCGGTGCACTCCTGTGGTCTCAGCTACATGGGATGCTGAGGCAGGAGGATCCCTTGAACCCCGTAGTTCAAGGCTGCAGTGAGCTGTTTTTGCGCCTCTGCACTGCAGGCTGAGTGGCGGAGTAAGACCCTGTCTCAAAAACAAAAACAAAAAAGAGAGAGTTTATTCAACTAAAAACGAGCAAAAATATGAATCAGTATAGTTTTCAAAATATTTAAACATGAAATCTGAAAGTTATAACACTGAGTTCAACAAAAACTTGAAATTCTTAAGATGTCCAAAATAAAGCTTTACATCTAAAGAGAAGTTTTGAATAGTGATTTTGTTATGTATCTAGTATTTGGGCCAAAAATAGTAACATATGTTAAAATTACAAACAACAACAACAAAAAATATATTTCAGAGCAGAGCTGAGGAAAAGATAAGATGTAAAGCAATTGAGAAATAAGGAGATAATTCAATGTGATTACTAGCATCTTAGTATAACGTAAACAGTAATTTCTAAGAGCTCTGTTGGAAAAAAATGTATAGCAGAATTGATTACAAGGAAATATCTATAAGAAAATTGAAGTTATGGAAATTGATTTTTAAAACATCAATTTAACCTTTCCAAGAAAAATAATGAAAGATAAACAATAGGGCACTGATGGAGGATAAAGGGAAAAAAAATCTATCACATCTTCAATACTTAATCATAGAGCTTGTAAATCATAAAGGTGTAAGCCCAAAATTCATCTGTCTTGCTTTTAACAATTTAAGTAGCTTTGTTCCCATTTTACAGACAAGATCATTAAAGTCTAAAGAGATTTCTGAGTGAAAAAAAGCTAGTGCAGTTTTTCAATGTAGTAATTTTTACTTCTACCTCTAATTTGAATTTTATTTAAAAATTTGTTATCAAAATATAATTGTGAGGAGCCATTAAAAAAATCAGGAGACACTTTAGGGGTCTATCAGATATCTCTATCTATATCTCTATCTATCTATCTATCTATCTATCTATCTATCTATCTATCTATCTATCATTTCTATCTATCTATCTGGAGATTGTTTGCTTAATATTTTTTTCAGCTCTTCTAAACACATTTAGCTTAATGTTATAAAATACCGTAATATGTTCCTGGTGGTTATCTGTCATTTTATAGAAGTGGGATGCTCTAGACTATTCACTGCATCTTTCTGTGACCCCTCCCTGTCCTTTTAGGAGTCTCCTGCAATGCCTGTACCCTCACATAGTATGTGGTGTTAGTGGCAGTTGGTGTCAGCCTCCCACTGGACAGCCCATGTGTGAGACCTCCCTCACCCTCTAGCCTACTCTTAAACTCAGGACTCCCACAGTTAATCAAGAAATTTTCTTTAGGTTATCCAGGGTCATTTTCTGATGCTTGCAGTCAAGAACATTGAAAAATCACAATATTTATTTGTAGAAAAGATAATGATCATCTTTTCAAAATAATACTAACCCTTTAGACCTTGAACAGTCTTTAGTGATACTCAAATCAATTCACACATTTTTATGAATAAAGAAGCAGAAGCTTAAAGGGTGTTATGGGTTGAATTGTGACCCTATCTCCAAATACAATCACATTCTAAAGTACTAGGATTAGGGCTTTGACATATGAATGTCATAGGAAATTCAAAAATAATTTATTCATATGTTGAAGTTCTGACCCTAGTACTTCAGAATGTGACTGTATTTGGAGATAGAGCCTTTAAAGAAATAACCAAGGTAAAATGGGGTCGTTAGGCTGAGACCTCATGTGATTGATGTCCTTGTAAGAAGAGATTAGTACACATACACAGACAGGCGACCGTGTGAACACACAGAGTGAAGGCAGCCATATGCATACCTAGTATGGAGGCCTCAGAAGAAACCAGCCCTGCTGACGCCTTGATCTCAGACTTCCAGACCCCAGAATTGTGAGAAGATAAATTCTGTTGTTTAAGCCATCTAGTCCGTGGTAATTTGTTGGGCAGCCATAACAAACTAATACTAAAGTTGCTTGGCCACTTTAGTGGCCACTGTTGCTTGGCCACTGTTAGTCATGGGAAACTAGGACAGAAATCCAAATCTAAGAAACCCCAGTCTAGTGCTTATGCTGATTCATACATGCAGCAGTAAATCCGGGGCATGTATATTATGAGAATCACAGATATTATTCCAAGCAGTCCTGTAGCTAATGATGTGACTGAGTAGCATGTCATTTAAAGTTTCCAATTATGTTTACCAATCTGTAAAAATGGCTCTGAGATGGAATACAGGAATATGACGATCCACATACTAATATTCACACAAAAAACGGCTCCCGATTTTCAAACTCCCAAGTCATATGACTTCCAAAACAATCTATTAAATTTGGATAGAGACTTGTTTTTCAAGACCCACATTCTGGAGTATGATTCAGTGTGTCTTAAGAAAAGACCACACTCAACTGTGATTTCAGAAATAAATTACATTCTAAGCTTCTACCAGACAGCTTTATAGCTTCTGCCAAAGTCCATAATCAATCATTTTCTTAACTCATTTTGTAACTTAAATGCTGTTAAGCTACCAAAGGAATAATGCTAAATACAAATACACAAAAAAGAAAGAAAATGCAGCCTCTCCTTAATTCAGTGGAAAAGGGAGGGTGAGTAAAAGCTTCTCTGGGAGAATGAATTGATTCAATTAACTGTCTTAGTTAAATTAATCCCATTAGAGAGCCAAACACCATCCACTGGTCTGGAAAAAGTAACTTACTAAATGGTACTCTGGTCTCCTAGCAATTAATATAATATAGGTAGATAAACACACATACCCTAGAGTGTTTATTCATTGTAGCTCAAAGAAAACAATCAAAATATTCTTATTTTCTGTTCTGTCCTTGAAAGAAGTCCAGTATCTAGACTATTATTGTTGGATGAATCACACTCAGAATTTTATAAAAAGAAATTTCCCTTAAAGCTACCTTCAAAATAACCTCATTCAGTTTCTTACTAAGTACCTTTCCCAAACTTTTATTATATAATACTTCAGAAAAACAGGAACTCTTAAATAAAAAAAAAAATAAGACTTTTTTTTGATGGATTAAGTGAGAGATAGAAAGGAGGCCAAAGAATGTCTTGAAAATTTCAGCAAGAATTTTGAATTAATGAACAGTAGACAATAGTTTCTTAGAAAATTAAAATGAGTGATATGTCCTAATGTAAATATGTAGTCTCCTTAGGAATTAAAATTTAAAAAGCAAGACCATTTAAAGTAGCATCAGAAATATAGAATAGGACTAAATCAGACAAAAATCTGTACATTTAAAACTACATTGCTTGAAGAAATGAAAGAAAATACACTAAGAAAAATTCTTTGAGGTAGAGATGCAGTGAGAGTTTTTGTTGTTGTTTATAGGTTGCAAGACTCAATAGTATTACAATGTCAGTTTTCCCAAAATTGATGAATAAAGTGACTGCAATCTCAATCAAAATACCAATAAACCTTTTTGTGGAAATTGCCAAGCTGATTCTAAATTTCAAACAAAAATGCAAAGACATAGAATAGCTAAAAAAAGAAGTTGGAGGGCTAAAACTACCTGGTTTCAAAACTAATTATAAACGTCTCTGTATATAAACATGTAACAGTGTGTCATTTGTGTCAAGATAGACAAATAGACCAAAGGAAAAGAGGAGAGTGCAGAAATGGAACCACAAATATATGAACAGTAATTTTTTGACAAAAGCTTAAAGGCAGTTCAGTAAAGAAAGCATAACGTTTTCAACAAATAATGGTAGAACAATTAGATATTGATATGTAAAAAAGTTTATTTCTATCTTGTTTAATGTATAAACAAGTAACTTAAAGTAGATAATAAACCTAACTGTAAGACTGAAACCTGTAAAACTTTATAAAAATTTTGTGACTTTGGGTTAGGCAGTGATTCCCTAGTTTTGATATCAAAAGCACCATCCAAAAAAGAAAACAAATGGATTAATTGTACTTCATCAAAATGGAAAATGTCTGCTATTCAAAAGATACTGAAAGGAGAATGAAAAGATGAGCCACACACAAAAATATTTGCAAAGCATGTATTGGATAAAAGATTTGTATCCAGAATATATCCAGAACTTTCAAAACAATAATAAAACCCAAAAACCAAAGTTTAAAAGGATACAAAAAGTTGAAAAGACATTTTACAAAGAATATATATGGTTGACAAGTACATGACAAGATGTTCAACATCATTTGATAGTAGGGAAATGCCAAAAAAAAAGCCACAATAAGATACCACTAAACATCCATAAAAATTGCTAAAATTAGAAAGACTGACCATATCAAGTATTGGTAAGGATATGGGTGAACTGAACTCTTATACACTGAAGTTGAGTATGTAAAGGGGTACAACCACTTTACTGGACCAATCAGATTCACATTGAGGTCTCTTTTAAGTTTTTAGCCTTTTTATTCCTTCAATATCAAAAAGCTATATATATATATATATATATATATATGTCTGTGTGTGTATACATATATATATATAGAGAGAGCAATATATATATGTGAGTGTATATATATATATATATATAGAGAGAGAGAGAGAGAGAGAGACAGAGTTCTTCAATCTGAACTAAATTACAGTAGCCTCCCCTCTTCTGCAAGGGATATGTTTCAAGACCTCAAGTGGATGCCTGACACTGCAGATAGTACCAAGCCTTACAAAAGTACTATGCTTTTTTCTTATATACCAATGACAAAGTCTAACATAAATTAGGTACTCTAAGAGACTAGTAATAATGAATAATAAAATAGAACAATGATAACAATATACTGTAATAAGAGTTACGTGAATGTGGTTTCTGTCCCAAAATATCTTATTGTACTGCATTCACCCTTCTTGTGATGATGTGAGATGATAAAATGCCTACATGATGAGATGAAGTGAGGCAAATGGCGCAGGCATTGTGATGTAGCATTTGGCTGCTGTTTACTTTCTGATGATACACCAAAAAGAGGATCATCTGTTTCAGGAGACCTTGGAACATCTAGCCATGACAATGTCAATGGCAGGATGTCAGGAGCAGGTGACGATGATGACTACTGAGCAGGTAGGGTATGCAGCCTGGATACGCTAGACAAAGGGATGAGGCATGTCCTGGGTGGGATGCAATGAGCCAGCAAGAGATTTTATCACACTACTCAGAACGGGGTGAAACTTAAAACCTACAAATTGTTTATTTCTGGAACTCTCCACTTAGTATTTTCAGACCATGGTTGACTGTAGGTAACTGAAACTGCACATAAAGGGATCTACTGTACCATGTATTATTTTATACTATCAGTAGAATGCAAAATGAGTTAAATTTCTTCAAACTTTCTAACACCTTTCTTTTCATTCCCACTTTTTGACCTACAGAAGCCTTATTACTTTATTTTCTGCTTGTTTCACCAGCTCATGACTCCAACATGACTTACCTGATTTACATTCAGATAGACAACCCCCCTCCTCCTTGATCACTTTAGTCACTTCTGCTAACTTTGCCATGTTCCTTGTGTCCTTTGTCCTTTTCTACACCTCACCTCTTTCGCTTACCTAGCCTTAATCTTAAACCAATCTAATATCTTAAGTCCTTCAGTTCTGGTGTGGAAACCATACCAACCCTATCCACCAGGGCTGGCCTGCAGTCCACTCTGGCCAACCATGTATATGCTCACCGTAAGTAGTCTCTGCCATCCCTCACTTTGGCAAGTCAAAACCACCCACTAGCAAACTGTTACATTGTCCTTCACTTTCTCTGGTGACCCTCCATCCTACTTGCTCTGTGAAAGGAGTATCAGCAAAGTTGGGGTGGACTTTAATTCGGGATCAAATATTTGAATTGGCATTATCTCGAGTTTCCTGGGCTTTGATCACCGGAAGTACATCTAGGAACTGTGCCAAGGCAAAAAGAAACATGCAGAGGAGCATAAGGAGCAAGGTGTGATGCTGGGTGAGAGGAGTGAGATTGACTGGGGAAATTAGGAAGACATAACCTTCAATATAAGCCTTGAGATGGAACTAGTGGAAAAGAAGTTTAGAGAACTTTTCCAGAAAGGAAGACAGTAATGCAAAAACGTGGAAGCACGAGCATATTTGGGGGAGTTCATTAGCTATAGCAAAAAGCCCAAGAGCTCTAGGAGATAGGCACAGTGGAAAGAAGTGGGAAGAGATAAGGCTGCAGCTGAAGGTGATGCAAAATTTTGAAGCCTAAGTTTTGCTAGGTTAAGACACTTTTACTTTATCCTAGAGTAATAGCTGGTAAATAAAAATTAAGAAAACTGCAGAGTAAATTTTTTTCCTAAAGTAGTAATTAACAACAGTAAAAGATGATAGAGTGGGAGATTGGTAGGAAGGAGCAGGACTGGCCATGTGGGCATAAAGCCAGTGGAATCACATAGGGCCCAGCTCAATGTGCTCAGAAGGGTCTACTAGAAGGGATTTAATGCTCTGAGGTTGCTGTCTTGGTATTCTAAATGATAATTTTAACTTTCAACAATAAAGCCTGTGCAGGGGCTTGGAACCTCAGCTTTCAGGCATCCTCCTCCTGCCACTTCTCTTGGACAGCACACATTTTCCACCTCAGCTAACACTGCCATTTTTTCCACCTTCATCCCGGTGCCATGGGCAAGGAAGTGGGGATTAGCAGAGGCAGGCACAAACGCTCCAGGACATCTTTGGGGCCAGACAAGGCAGGGGCTGTCACTGCTCCTAGTTAGCAGCACAATGACATATTCAGCAGGCAATTCAGCCCATGTGGGCCTCTCACTTAGCTCCAATCCAGGTACCAAGTAAGTCCCATCATTGCTACATCGCATTTGCTACCTTCATGGAGGTTACTATAGCTTGGGAGGAGGCCCTGTAGGAAGGGAAGATGATGCCCGGCTCGGCTTTCCTGTTGCTGGTGAAAGCACCATGCATTACTTATTCCAAATGGCATAGGTGCAGCGGCTGGTGGGAAGAGAACCCAGCAACTGGAGGGCTAAGTCAATGTGTATGCTCCAAGTCATGGGGTGGACCACTGGGGGGGACCTGTGAAGGTTGGCTCTTGCATCACTGTGCTGGGGGAATATGACATCAAATAGTAAGTATAAAATACTGTGATAGGTCAGGAGACAGGGACCACAGAAGAAAGGAAATTGTTTTATGTTTTAATACCTTTAAAGGCACATTTTCATTTTATACTGGGCCCCACAAATTATTTAGCAGGCCCAGAGAGGAAATTAGTCGTACCTACTGTGGTCCAGGAAGGGGCCTAGAGTGGGAGAAACAGGATGATTTCTTCTCACCCTGCACTAGGTCAACTGAATTCTAGCAGCTCCTAGATTACTCAATTCCCTAAAATAATATTATGCACACTGCATTGTATTTAGAAGTTCCTAGTCAGTGTAACCTTCCTCCATTAAACTGTATGCTCCTTAAGTGTAGACTATCTTTTTAATTAAGACGTAATCTCAGCTTTCAAAGAGAACAAAATAATGAATCCTCAAAAATTGTGTGTTAAATAGCAGAAGACTTCAGATAGTGAAATACAGAAGAATAAGAAGTAAAAATTATGGATGGATATGTGTGTGTGTTGCTTTAACAGAGACCATAACCTCTGATATTAAGAAACGTGTGTAATCTAACAACCGTAGAGTAGTGGAAGCTTCCCTCTCCCTTATGCTAGAAGCTAAGGGCTATTTTTGCCCTGAAGGTTGTTGTTACCTAATCAGAGAAAGAAGTCAGGATAATTAATATGTTAATGGTAAAGCATCGGTCCTCCTTTCTTGCAGTTTAATAGAAGTTCCACATATCTTGAAAACAAAACTAATATTTGAGGAGCTTATGGGAGGGAAAACTCTATTGCCTTCATTCCCTACCCAAGACATAAAAGGCACAGGAGAGAAAGTGAAGAGGGTTTGGCTTTTTTGAGACACAAATTTCATTATTTTTCAGTTTGGGACAATAATTGTTTTCTTTCCTAATATCTAAAATTGTAAACAATTAAAATATTATGTCAGTAACAAGTGTAAAATATTCTGGCAAATCAATATCTTTACTTAACACAATCTCTGGAGTCCATTACTTATTACTTTGTCGTATGATTGGGTTCCTGCTGAATCTCACCAAATCGCACCAAAAGGGTGACAAAACAACTTCCTGTAAGCAAAGGACAAACAGTTAAGTAAGGTAAGTAAAGGGCAAAAGACATGTGCCAGGGGCAAGGAATTGGGGAGGGCCAGGGGCATGTAGGGCACTCCAGGGCAGACCCCGGATTTAAAAATACATTTTTAAATTTGTATAAAAATTTAATGTAGTTGGAGGAATAGAAAAAGCACAAGGACCTGAGAAAGGGCCTTTGCAGGCAAAATTTATTGAATTTTTAAGCTAAAGAGAGTGAGAAAAAAAAACCTCTAAGCAATACAAACAAATTAAGGTACTGTGTATGTTAGAATGTTAAGAAGTGCAAAGGATTTGGAAAACATTGCTGCAGAGCCTGAGAAGCATTTGCAGGTTGAGGTTACTTGTGTCTCAGAATCCATTGTAAACAAAACATAGGAAAGATAACAGAGTCATGGATCTCTATGGCTCTGTGACTTTAGGCAATTTCAACCTCTCAGATCCTTAATTTCCTTATTCACATGAAGGGTTGGATAATAATAGTTGATAGATTGATAATAATAATACTTGCCTTATAAAATTGTTATAAGGGTTAGAAATAGTTAATGCATGTGAAAGACTTAGCTCAACCTGGCATGTAATGAACATTCGTCACATGTTATCTGTTGTGAATGACAAGAATTAGTGAGAAAAATCTCAAAATTGCCTTTGTGATTCTGGAACTGAAACAGAGGGCAGGTTTTGACTTAGTTCTATGGTGATTAAAAGCTAAATGCTTCTACCTTTGTTTACCATCAACAGCTATATCTCTTTCTCATTTTTTTATCTGTCAAAATTCAATGAAAATATGCAAGTTCCTTTCTCACTGAGTCTTTTTTTTTTTCCTGTGTGTGTGTGCTTAGGGAAACAATATATTTACAAGCATTTGTCTTTCTCCTCAATTACATACTTAAACATTTATCTTTTAAAGAAACGAACAGTAAACACACATACACACACACACACACATGCACACACACTAATGGCAATACTCTTGGACAAATGATAGTTGCTTTTTTTTTTTTTTTTTCATGGAAAGAAGGAGGTTTAGTTTACAGATGTTTGAACCAGCTTAAGCTCCCCCAGGTCTCAACCTCTGTAAGTCTTCTGTTTTCTTCCTCTTTACCTTAGAGTCTTTTCCAATGATACAGTTAGACATATTAACTTTATTTTTTAAATCCATGCCTAATTGGTATGATTGTAAAAGCAACAGTAATTAGTTATTTCTTTGAAGGAGGAGATTAGAATAAAAAGTTATTTGTAAAGGGAATGAAAACAATTGTTTTATCACTGCTATTGTTATTTAGGGGTGGTGAAATCAAATAAAATTTTGTTCTTGGAGAAAGAATGGAGTCTCTTCAGAAGTGCCAGGAACTTTATAGGAATTTTAAGAAAGCCTGACCCAAATTACTTCTAGATCTAAAATATTTGTTCTTTTCTATGTAACATTAAAGTGAAAGTGATAAAATATTGTAAAGGCTGACATAATAACTGATGTTCAGAGCAGTAACTGTAAGTGACAAGGAGCTGTGGCTCATGGAAAATAAAAGCAAAACAGCTTTCCCAATGCTCTGATGATATTGACTAACTAGCAACGAGGGGTCTCATGATATATTTATGATATTTTCTAAATAACTCATGCATTTTTTAAAAAATCGATTCATTTTTCAGGGTGATAAGAGTAGCTGTGGTTTTCTTTCACTTAGGGTATGTGTGTTTATTCCTGATGTCTTTGTAAACACAGAGCTGAGGATGGTGATCCATCTTCATGAAATTCACTAGGCGCAGGCTTCACTGTACTTAAACAGAGTGCCAAAGCTGACATCACCTTCCTTGTTCTCACAGGGCTCCAGCTGGGTGAACTATGGGGCATTTGCCCGGAGTTCATGCTCAGCATCAGGGTCAAAGCAAAGGGAACTCTGACAATGATTCCATTGTGAACTTGTTCTGGGAATGCCATGATGATTCTCTATCATGTTCCTCGTACACTGCACCAGCACCACTGCTTCCCTTCCCAGTGAGAACCCGATCAAGCTTTATCATGCAGCCCAGAAGGGTGGGGGAAAGAAAAAGAATTAGGAGAAAATGTAAGTTGAAACAGTTGCTGTACTAACCTGTTGCATCCCCAAATGATGAATCTTATTTTTCCTGCTTCTGTAATTTCTGCCATCTACTCTAAAATAGAAATATTAGAATAGAGAAAATGTAAATGTCATTTTACATGTAAGGAAATCAGGACACACAGTGTTCAAAGTATTGACTCTAGAAGTGGAAATCAGGGGTTCTGTAATCCATTCAGGAGCTGATTCCTATATATTATTTTAGAAACCCTTAATACATTCTAAATCTGTCTCATTATTGGCTAAGTAGAAATAATCTGAGTACAGTATCAAGACATAGAAAAATGTACAGTTGGTATCTTTCCTAGCTTTAAGAGTTAAACTGTTAGGAAAAAATGTGAAAAACATTTCAATGGACAAAATCATTACTGAATGTTCTGTTAGAGTTATCTCTTTTCCTTGTCTTTGAACTATTTCACAACTCTATGTGTTGTAAAAAAACTAATAATAGGGGCTGGGTGCAGTGGCTCATGCCTGTAATCCTAGCACTTTGGGAGGCCAAGGTGGGCGGATCACCTGAGGTCAAAAGTTCAAGATCAGCCTGGCCAACATGGTGAAACCCCATCTCTACTAAAAATACAAAAAAATTAAGTGGGTGTGGTGGCACACTTCTGTAATCCCAGCTACTTGGGAGGCTGGGGCAGGAGAAGCGCTTGAACGCAGGAGGCAGAGGTTGCAGTGAACCGAGATAGCACCCCTGCACTCCAGCCTGGGTGACAGAGTGAGACTCTGTCTAAAAAAGGAAAAGAAAACTAATAATAGGTATCCATGGCAATGCAAATGAATTGTGTGTGGTAGAACTTAATTAGTTATTGTCAGGTGGATATTGACAGTATCACAACTACATGTATATTCACTTCCAAATTTCTGGGGATGTCTGTTGTATATGTGTGCTCTAAGAATTCTCCTTTGACGTGATTATAACATCTTAGTGGTACTCTCATTAATTAATGAATTAAATAAAATATTTGACAAAGTTTGCTTTCTATTTGTGTGGTAATAGTTTTACAATAAAAAATCCTTCATCAAGAGCTTTAAACAATTTATAGAAGCTTTGTTTTTTCTTTCAATTATAAACCTATAAGTAAAAAAATTCGCCACAAAATTAGAAATGTTCTGATTTGCTTAGTCAACTCCTATTAAATGTTTCTGTCTTTGGTGTTGAACAAAGGTTGTAAAAGTAATGAGATAATATGAGAATGTGCTTTGGGAACTGCGAATCTGGAGTCACTGGTCCATGAGGAATCTAGGATAAGAAGAAGGAAGCTGTGAAGAATGGTTGGCTAACAGTGCTGGCAAGGAATTCAGATCAACATACCTCTCAAAAGAATGGAAGTCTCTTAAACTCAGGTAATTGTTAAATTGGTTCAAGTGTATTATGGCAAGAATGCTTCTCTCTCCTTCCCTAATATAACACTGCCCTAAATGACTCCCTACCTCCCTGTTTTGTCTCACGCTTGACAGTGAAAACAAAGATAAATATTTGAGGAAACATAAACTCAATAATGTCATTTATTGGAAAGCTACAGTTTACAGATTCTTTGCATTTATTACCAGAGCTGTTCCTTACAACAACTTTATCTGAACAGTATTATTAGCTACATGCTGTAGATGAGAAAAGCAGTGCTCAACGAAACTAACTTGCCCTAGAGTATCCATCCAGTAACTGGTGAAGCTGGGATTTCAACTTCCTTTTCTTTTTTCTTTCTTTTTTTAAAAATCTTAATTCTGAAGCTGTTATGCATTATGGAACCTGTGTAGTTCCGTTCTGAGTTCTACTATCTGGTTCAGAATCTTGGCTCTACCACTTCAGCCCTCCCCCTCGCTCCAGGAAAGAAATCACACAAGCTTTTGGGGGGAAAGATTAGAATGGAAAGGTCTGAAATACAAGAGGAAAACCATAAAAGTGTGTGTGCCCAGAGGGAAGAGAGGAGAGAATTTCAATAAGAATGGGATGATTACCTGTGTAATCAGGTAATCAGCTAATATAGATGAAAACAGTATTTTGCATTGCGATATTAGATAGTTATAGGCCAACTTTGCCAGAAAACTTTAGCAGAGTGCAGACAGAAATGAGATAATAGTCTGTTATAGGCAGGGAGAATGTGGAGACAGGAGAAAGAAACTGAAAACACAGGAGAGGGATGAGACGCTGGTAAATATTTCTTAACAGACCCCAGAGAAGTAGGCAAGACCATCTAAAGGAGAGACAGATGCATGAGTCTTGGAAATCAGATGGTAAAAACCTGGTGGCAGGTTTGAATGTCTCTGTGAAGTAAGAGAGAAGGGTGCTGCTAGGGAAAGGGATTAGGGTGAAGGAGCAGCAAGGAAGGTGAAGGACAACTGGACAGTTTGCACGTGGATGGTTTTGACTTGCCATTGTGAGGGATGACAAAAACTGCATTCTCTGAGCATAAACATGGTTGGCCAGATAGTCTGCAGGCCAACTGTGAGTGTAAATTTGGAGCAGCACCTATCTGAAGGGTGGTGTGGTTTCCCCACCAGAATTCAAGAACCTAAAATAATGGAGTGGTTTAGGATTAGGGCTGGGGCCAAGTGTGATAGCTCACGTTGGTAATCACAGCACTTTGGGAGCCCAAGGCAGGAGGATCTGTAGAGTCCAGGAGTTCGAGACCAGCCTTGGCAACATAGCAAGAACCTGTCTCTACAAAAAATAGATAAATTTTTAAAAATAAAAAAAAGATTAGGGCTAGGTAGGTAAAATAGATAGGTTTAGGAAAGGACAAAGAATATGAGGGAAACAGGAATGCTAACAGAACTGGCTAAAGTGATAAAGGAGAAAGAGGGCTGTCTATCTGAATATAAAAGCAGTCGAGCTTGGTTGGGGTTGTGAGCTGGTGAAACAAGCAGAGTACAAAGTAATGAGGCTTCTCTAGGACAAAAAACGGTGGTGATGAAACATCCTCGGTCAGATTTCATCTAAAGGCAAGGTGAGCACACATAGGACATTGCTGATTAAATTGGAAAACTCCCTCTGTGTCTCAACCCTGGAAATATTAAAATGAATACATTATTAAACACTACTTTTTATCCTAATATAAACCATTTTAAACAGACTCCTCTTCCAGCTAAATCCGAAATAGCATTAGAATATGATGAGCTTATAAATCAGTAATGGTCTGTAGATGTATCTTATTATTTCTTTTTCCTTTGGGGGTAGGTAATATTGTTTTTGTCTGTCCGTGCTTTGCTTAGAAGCCATCCAAGTCATCTACCCAAACCCAAGAAACATGATAGCAGAAAGCCCATTTAAGTAATTCTTATAAGTGATATCTTTAGAGTCTTCTTGAAAATATAAAAGGGAAATGAGAAACCACCACACAAATCTCAATGTTCAAATTTCAAGATCTTAATCTATTTTATTTATGGACTTGATTGGGAATAAAGAAAAGCTAGTCACCTTTTTTTCTTTTTCTTTTTCTTTTCTTTTCTTTTTTTTTTTTTTTTTTGAGACAGAGTCTCATTCTGTCTCCCAGGCTGGAGTGCAGTGGCGTGATCCCGGCTCACCACAGCCTCCACCTCCTGGGTTCAAGCGATTCTCTTGCCTCAGCCACCTGAGTAGCTGAGATTACAGGCATGCTCCACCATTCCTGGCTAATTTTTGTATTTTTAGTACAGACAGGGTTTCACCATGTTGTCTAGGCTGATCTGGAATGCCTGCGCTCAAGTGATCCGCCTGCCTTGGCCTCCCAAAGTGCTGGGATTACAGGCGTGAACCATCGTCCCCGGCCCCCAAAACTAGTCACTTTCTATTCACGCACAGGAAAACAACCTATTTCCAGTCAGATCTCTGGTTCTCATGTTGAAAGATGGCAGAAAGCAAAAGGAGGAGGAGCAATTTTGATAGCTAAATAAAACTCATTTATCACCAGTTTCTATATTTTTGTGTGTTTGATAGATTTTCGCCTTGTGTTACTTGTTTGTTTAAAAACTGATGAAAATCTTAAGAAATTTAAAAGGAATTTGTCATTACTTAAGGACAGCAGAAGGGTTTCTTTTTCTTGTTTTCCTCTCACCTCTTTATGAACTCAGTATTAGTTGATTCTCTATGTTAATAGCAATATAGACACTATAAATACAAATCTAGAGAAAATCCCAGACTTAATATTTGCTGAAATTGCCCAAGAAAATGAGACATCAATTCTACTAGTCTTGAATCTGCTTAAACTTTCTCATCTTTAAGGAAATATTAAGTTAAAGTATCAATTTGGAAAACTTGCAAAATAATTTGGGGCAGGGTGGCAGGGCTGGAGGGGTCAGTGGAAGTGTTAATGATGGACTCCCTGAGATGGAGTTGGCAGTGGCACTCTGCAAATCAATCCAGAGTCAGAAGGCTAATGTATGCACACGAGTCTATTAAGCTCTTCTCTATAACAGGCTCAGCATTTTCCTTTCCATTTTTCTACCTGGAAATACTGTTAGTCAGCTAATGCACCTTGCTACAAGAAGCAAGAAAGACTTTTGGGATTTGGAATATAATAATGCCTTTGGTATTGTACAGATTAATTTTCTTAGCATTTTGCCTAACGTAAACTGGCCTAATGCAAAAAGGTTAACTTCTTTTAAATATTATTTTCAAATCTTAATTTTCATTTCAATATTTTAATATATAGCAATATAATTTTAATAATCAATTTCCCATTCAAATCCAAAGGGAAAGGAATGCAAACGAAACAAATGCAGGGAATCATATCAGAACCAAAAGAAGTTAGATGGAATTTAAGGGCCTTCTACATACTTAGTAATAGTTAATTATTTTAGGGATTTCAAATTCTATCTTAATTCAGTAAAATTTTAAAATGAAATTTAAATGAAAACATTTCAATGAATAAAATTTAAATGAAAAATTTTAAGATGAGTCATTCTTTTTCTGAATATGTTCCTTTGGGTTTTAATTAGAATATAGCATATGCACAAGGTAACCATCTGGGATGAGCCCTGAGCAAAGTCAGAACTACATCAGGAAAAGGTGGTTTTCACATTTGCTGCCTTTTCCCATTATCATGCTTTCTGGTACTCCTATTTCATGCAAGTGTTATATAATCAAATATCTTCATTCTTGAATTAATTTGGGGGAAAATTTTAACTTTTTTTCTGGCTTTATTGAGGTAAGTTAACACAAACCGTATAAATTCAAGGTATACAATGTGATGGTTTGATATACATATACATTGTGAAATGTATCTAATTACAATTAATTACAATTAACTAATTGCTGTTAATTATCAGATTAATTAACACATTCATCACCTCACATAGTTAACATTTTGTATGCATGGCAAGGAAGGAATGAGGACACAAGTTCTATTCTCAGCAAATTTCAAGTAAACAATACGGTATTAGTAACTATATTCACCATGCTGTATGTTAGATCCCCAGGACTTACTCGTCTTGTAATTGAAAGTTCTGGATTAATGTATTTGAACATTAACTTGTAAATCATTTTTTTGAGAAAACCTAAAGTGTTCTAGAATGCTATATTTTAAAGAAGAATTCTCAAAGTTTATTTATTTATTTTTTAGCTTATTTTCTTTATGGCTGCCCCATAGCCAGCCCCCTAGCAACTGTCTGCTCTTCGGCCTGATGCAAAATGTCAGGTCACTTGCTGGGAACAGAGTTTGGAGGGCGGGGGTCTGGAAATGAATTTAGAGCCGTAGGATGCAGGTTCACATTTTCTCCTGGATCAGCTATGTTTCTCCAGGCTTCCGGGTACGGATCTTCAGGGAAGAAGTAGCTAGGCACTCCCAAGAAAGCTCTCAGTCTCTTCAACTTCCTCATTTCAGCTTCCCTGCACTCTGGAATTAAACTTTTGTGCAGCCAGGCTGTGAGAACTGATGCATAAATCATGAGATAGGGCTTTATTAGGGGGAGTAAAGAATTCTCTCACATGGAAAATGTTCACAAACAGATCCTCAACAGTTGTTTAGAATGCCTGAAATTTGTTATTAATATATATGTACCACTGAAGAGTTACAGTGAATGTCAATAGAAGAATATAATTTTGCACGTCTCCATTTTGTCACCGTATCTTCAGTGTTTCAAAATCCTTTGCTCCCTTCCAAAAAAGATTCTGGGATTTAGTAACATAATGATACTAAGTTACTTTCTACTTAAAAACATATTAAAGGTAGAACTGAAAGATATTTTACAAGCCAAGACAGAATCCCGGCTCTGGAGTTCTGTTACTCTTGTAACCATTGATAAAATCACTCGACCGGAAGCTGCTGCTTGGAGCTGCATTCTGCAGTGCTAATTTTAAGTGTTTGATGTTATCAGCTGTACCAGGGAAAACCAAAGCAACAATGAGTGTCAAGTCTTGGTAGACCAAAGAAAAAGTATGCCTAGACTATTTTGTGAAAATTCAGATATCTCTAATTACTGTAAATCCAGATTCATGTGCCAGCAAACATTTGTTGCTAAAATTGTTTAAAATTCACTTCCATCACCTTCTTCATGAAAGCAGAGACCAACTTGACTATCATTGTTTATGCTGCCCTTTGAAAACTTTTCTGTGATCAAAGATGACAAAAGCAATGCAACAGCCTACTTCTCTGGGAAAAGCTAGCCCCAGTGCCTAAGGGAAAACATTCACTAACTCTTTTCATATGAAAATCAGTCTTTGTTCAGAGAAGGAGGGGAACAAGCAGAGACTTTTACTGGGACAAGTAAATCAAGCCTTCAGCAACTCAAGGAACAAACATACAAGACAAGCTCAACTCCTCGTTAAGACCAAATTAGGACAACACTACAAGAAAATAAATTGTTTTATCTGGTTGTGGTGCTTTGGGGATAGTTAATTGACTACTCAAATAACAACTTTGATAGTATATGAACTGTGACTGTGTTAGTAGGTTTTAATTAGCAGGAACTTTTTGTAAATTGGACAAAAACTTTTTTTATTATGACTAGGAAAACTGCTGTTTTCTATTTTTGTTTTGCTCTTTTAAGTGATACCGAACTTTAGTTAATCCCTCAGTCCTAAATTATGGCTGTTGCGAATGAGGGCTATAATAGTTATCCCATTTTATTTTAAATTTTGTATTAATGTTGATAGAGATGAAAGAAGAAAAATATTTGCACTCATGCTGAAATTGCAAAGGAACATGTGTGAATGACCTCTTGGATACTTGTTGCTTGGAAATGCGAGCAATAGTTTCTTTATTTTTATTTTATTTTAGTTTTTTGAGACATGGCCTTGCTCTGTCACCCAGGCTGGAGTGTAGTGGTATGATCAGGGCTCACTGCAGCCTCAACTTCCCTGGTTCAAGCAATCCTCCCACCTCATGCCTGGCTAATTAAAAAAATTTTTTTTTGTAAAGACACAGTCTTGCCATGTTGCCCAGACTGGTCTCGAAGGCCTGGGCTCAAGCGATCCTTCTGCCTCTGTCTGGAAAGCAGTAGTTTCTATGCAGTGACACCTATACTACTAACTATAATTGAACTTAACCTAGAAAAGCATTTTGCATGTTTAGCTTTTAAGTGTGTTTGACAGAAAAGGAGAAAGGAACCTGAAATAAGAAATAATCTAGTGATAAAATTGTTGATGTTCTCCTTCACTGTAATCCATTCCAAATATAGTTTATTTTGCTACAGAGCATGTTCTGTAATGTAAATGGAAATAAGATTGTTAAAGAGGGAATGATGTGAACATAACTTGGGTGATGAGAAGGCTCCTAAGGGATTTTCCCCCTGCATTTTGCACTGCCAGCATTTACACTGCAGCAGAGTGCAAAATATGCTAACAAAGCTGCATACAGCAAACCTTAGAAGAATACAGTACTGTACACCATGTCCATTCATCCTATCTTCCCAGGAGGTTGATCATGTGCAAAAGAAACAATGACAAGATAATGATCCAAAATCACCAGCCATATCTTTGCTGTGGTATGTGTGAAACTTGCATCTACTTATTACATAAAATGCTACACCTGTAACTTCTGATGGTGTTGTGCTTTTTTCTGTAATTCAGCAGTCTTTCTTTTACCTCATTCTGATAGCCTACTTTCATTTGTATTTGGAATAAAGTCATATTAGTTACTGTAGTATTGCTTTCTTTATTATGATTTTAACATTTTTTAAAAACTGTGATAAATTGTTATTGAGTAGGATTTGTTATTGTTGTTAATGCTCTGGTCATCAAGTGCATTAAGTTTTGAGTGGTCTATGCTAATTCTATTTTTTCCCCCATTAACTTTGTAACTTGAAGTGTGCAATGTAGCTTAATGCAAGCTTTTCAGAAATGCACGTGTATGTTATATCAGATGTTTGTACTGTGGTAGGACTTTCTCCCTAGTTCAGCTAAAGATGGGGTCCTTGCCATACAGCTATGTAGTATTAGGCCTGCAGACACTTTGAAGGGTGAGAAAAATGGAATTTATTGGAAAAAAGGAAAAAAGGGGAAAGAGGGACCCTCAGCAGAGTGAGAGTCCTGCTAGTATATGCTTCCCGCGTCACAGATTGAATTCCAGGTTCCACCCAGGAAGAAGAGGGGCCAGGCTCCTCCCCAGGGCAAACAGAGTGAACTTCCTGAGGCTCCACCCCAGTGTGCATTCCTCCCAGCACACAGGCCAGTTGGGGGTTCTCCAGTGACTCCTTTATATTTGGCTGTCTCGTTACTTCTAAAATATTTCATATTCATAAAATAAAAATGTTTTAATAATGTTATATATTTGTAAAGGCATTTACAATCTTCAAACTTCTGCATGAAAAATCTCTCAGAAGTCAAAAATGGATTTACTGTCCTGATGTAAAATAACCTGCAAATCTTACTTTCTAATTTTGGTGATATATGTGTAAAAAGAAATAAATCATCTCATGAACAAAATTAAAAAAAAAACAAAAACTGAGAAGTTGCGGTGAGTTCTGAGGCAGTACGGTGTGGCATGAGAATGCAGGCTCTGAATCTACAGACTGCCTGGTTCAAATACTAGCTCTGCCAAAAACTAGTTACATAAATGGAGCAGATTATTTAACCTCTCTTTATGCCTCAATTTTCTCATTTACAAAATTGTTGTTAGCATTAAGTGTGTTAATACTTATAAAATACTTCATATTTATATGTATGAAGTATTATTACTGCTTTAAAATACCATTGACTGATCACATTATTATACAGTACATATCTTCTACTGATATATGAGTTCCTTGAAGTAAGACCTATGTCTTATTGCTGTTACATCTTCAATGCATGAAACATAAGAAATGTTCAATCAGTGCTAGTTGAATTGAATTAAATTTTTTAATTACTATTTTTTGTTTTCCTTTGACTAGATAATTTGTTTGGAGATTCTTCCAAAGATAATCACTTTTCTTCCTGTGCAACCTATATATTTTTTAAAACTATTTTAAATTATTTAGTTTTAGAATTCTTTCTTATCTCTAAAATGTAAAAAGATATCAACAGATAGCATCAACAAATAGGTATCAGATGGTGAGATAAGAGATAACAAAAGCTGATAAATGTAAAAGCAAACAACAGTGAAAATTTGTGATATACAAGTTTCAGTTCCAAAGAAACAACGGATTAAGCTTTTATAAATAGCTAAAATGAATAACAATTCAAGTGAATACCTCTTAAGATATGCTACTCAACAAATGCTTTTTGAGCCAAACACTCTTTTGGATGCTGAGGACTCAGAAAAAGAAAAAAAGTGCTTTTCCTGAAAGTCTTCTGATATTATTAAAGGGATGAAACATATATATTATAACCCTTGACTAACACGGAGTCATAAAGTCTTGAATATATGAAGTCATGTCATAGGTAATTAACCAGATTGGGTTCTAACCTTTAAATAATCTCTCCAAGCCCGTCAGCTGTAAAAAAGTTGTTAATGTTCCTTCAAAATGTGAAATTCTAGAGCTTAATATCTATAAATAGAGCTTTCATTGTTATGCCTCAAAATTCAACAGCTTTCTCAGTTGACAGACATTTGTCTCATATTCCTTAAGTTACCTTTTCCTACTCAGGAATAACCTTTTCTTACTTTTCAAAGAATAAAAGACATACAGATTTGGCAACAAGTAGGTTATTAGTAACATTCAAGCAAATAATAGCGCAACTTTTTAATGATAGTAGATTTAATTATAAAGCCTTATAAAGGAAATTGATAATATATTCCAAATGAGACATCTTATTCGAATGCTCTGTGGATCATTAAAACACATTTATTACTGTTGGTCAAGGAATGCAACCCTATTCCACTTCATATTAAGGTGAGAATTATGAATTAATTCCTTAGTATTCATAATGTTTAAATAGATTAAGATCAATTTCCTTAAACTCCAGTGTCTCTAAATACCTTTCTAATTTACTGTTTCCATTGTCATCCGTTGTATAGCATGGTGTCTTTTACCTGGTCAACATATCACCTCCTCTTGCTGGCTAGTCTATGTATGTTCCAGTTTGACTGTTCAGCTATAGTCTGAGTAAGAACTGGATATGTCCTTGCTTTTTTGATGGCATAGTCCTTGTTGATTAGCTTTTCTTTCATCAGTACTCTTGATTCAGTCTTACTGTGCTCTGATCATGCTGTCTACAAGTAATGGTAAAGGGGGTGTTTTGCCTCCTATACACCTTAACATAGAAAAATAGATCACATAGTTTTTCACTGTGCATGATATTGAGTGGTTGTGTCTGCATTCTTTCTTTTGTGTCTCATACAGCTTGGCTCTGTGTCCCCACACAAATCTCATGTTGAATTGTGATCCCAAGTGTTGAAGGAGGGATCTGGTGGGAAGTGTTGGATCATGGGAGCTAATTTCTCCCTTGTTGTCCCTGTGATAGTGAATGAGTTCTCATGAGACCTGGTTGTTTAAAAGTATGTAGCAATTCACCCTTTGCTCTCTCTCCTGCTGGCCATGTGAAGAAGTGCTTGCTTCCCCTTTGCCTTCTGCCATGATTGTAAGCTTCCTGAGGCCTTCCCAGCTATGCTTCCTGTACAGCCTGTGAAACTGTGAGCCAATTAAACCTCTTTTCTTTATAAATTACCCAGTCTCAGGTAGTTCTTTATAGCAGTGTGAGAACAGACTAATACAATGTCATTTAATAATTTGACTTTCACTTCATCCTAATTTCCAGAGAACTTTGCTCCTAAATTACTTACATATTTATTATTTTATAGGGTTTCATACATATGTAGTATATATGTATGAAATATATATATAATAGGGTTTATATATATGAGAAATACATATTTTGTAGGGTTTCATACATACATATATATACACACACACACGTATGTAAGATTTCATATATGTATATGTATGTATGAAAACCTAAAAAATAATACAGGCAAAATAAGAGTAAATCTTCATGATCTTGGGTTAGGCAATAATATCTTAGATACCACACAAGCATAAGCAATTTAAAAATTTGATAAATTGTACCTAGTGAAATTTAAAACTATTGTGCTACAATAAACATGGTCAAGAAAATGAAATACAATCCATTGACTGGGAGAAAAGTATTTGAAAATTATATCTCTCATAAGAGACTTGTATTCAGAATTTATAAAGAATACCTATAGATAAATAATGAAATAAAAATGGACAAGAATTGAATAGACATTTTTCAAAGTGTATACACATTAACACGTGAAAATTTGTTCAGCACCATTAATCATTAGGAAAATGCAAATCAAAACCAAAATGAGTTACTACTTTACACCACTAGGGTAGCTATAATAAAAAAAACAGAAAACAACAAGTATTGGCAAAGATGTGGAGAGATTGGAACTCTCATACATTGCTTGTGGAAATGTAAAATGGTGTAGCCACTTTGGAAAACCATCTGGCAGTTTCTTAAAAAAAATTAAGCATAGACTTCCTATATGACCCAGCAATTCCACTGTTTATTACCTACCTAGGAGAAATGAAAACATATGTTCACTCGAAGACAAATTTACACAGCAACATTTTTCATAATAACCAAAATGTGGAAACTATTCAAATGTCAATCAACTGGATAAAAGACATGAAAAAACATGCCTTATACACATATAATGGAATATTACACAGCAATAAAAAAGAACAAGGTACCCATACGTACTATACTATGGAGAAACCTCAAAAATATTATGCTAAGTTGAGGGAGCCCAAAACAAAAGAACACATCTTATAATTTTATTTATATGAAATGTCTGGAACAAGCCAATCTATAGAACAAAAAGTAAATTAGTGACTGCCTAAGGCCAAGAGTTTGGGATGGAAAGGGTGGGTGGTGGGGAAGGGGAAGGGGTAGGAATAGGAATAGGGAATAACTACAAATAAGCAAAATATTTCTTCTCAGGGTGATGGAAATATTTCAAAATTAGATTGTGGTGATAGCTGTGCAACTCTGTAAATACACTAAAAAAAATCACTGAATTGCAAACTTGAAA
Organism: Homo sapiens; assembly: GCF_000001405.40. NCBI lineage: Eukaryota > Metazoa > Chordata > Mammalia > Primates > Hominidae > Homo > Homo sapiens. The sequence continues at coordinate 152,663,033 of NC_000003.12, forward strand.
CAGTGAATTTTATAGTATTTAAATATCTCAATAAATCTCTTTAAAAGTAATAAGGTACATCCAAGAATTATAAATTCAACTGCTATTTACATACTGCTGAAGTAAAATAAAATATAGAGATGAATGTCTGAAATTAAAATGTTTTTTCTGGGAAGAAAGAATTGCAATTTGGGGCATGTATGCAGACTGGCTGGTCTTGAGTATGACAGAACAAAGAGAAGGTAAGAGGTATTATTAAAAGGAGAAATGTTATGTATTGCTCTTTAAGAAACGTCATTGGCAATAGTGAAGTTTGGGGGAGCTGGTAAACTCTGACTAGTGAGTGATTGAACTGGGTAAAACTCGTCTTAAAGTTGCAGCAGGTTGTTTCAGTAGTCTTTAGATAAAACTGGCATCAGGTTACAGTTGGCAGGTTCAGCAGCCAGGCTTACAGACAATTACATTTTTGGAGCAATGTTATGTGCCCTGAGAGCTTTTCCCTGCTGGCTTTTCAACTCTGTTTTAGTTGGGTGTGATAAGAATAACCCAATATGTATTATCAACTTTCGCAATACCAAAGATGCTCATAGCTTTAACACAGATGTATTGTGAGGGAAAAAGACTCAGTAGTGTTGGAAATTGGAAATTATTCTATAAATTCTTTCTCTCTATAGTACACAAATTCTTCATAAAGTTTTCTGTCTTTTTTGGGGGATAGGGTCTTGCTCTGTCTCCCAAACTTGAGTGTAATGGCACTGTATTAGTCCATTCTAACTTTGCTGTAAAGAAATATCTGAGACTGGGTAATTTATAAAGAAAAGAGGTTTAATTGGCTCACGGTTCTGCAGGCTGTACAGGAAGCATGATGCTGGCATCTGCTCAGCTTCTGGGGAGGCCTCAGAAAACGTTCAATCATGGCAGAAGGCGAAGGGGAAACAGCCACATCAAATGACCAGAGCAGGAGCAAGAGAGCAAGTGGGGAGGTTCCACACTTTTAAATGATCAGATCTTGTGAGAGGTCACTTACTATCACGAAGACAGTACCAAGGGGATGGTACTAAGCCATTCATGAGAAATCCATCCCCAGGATACAATCACCTCCCACCAGGCTCCACTTCCAACACTGGGGATTATATTTCAACATGAGATTTGGGTGGGGACACATATCCAAACTATATCCAGCACCATCATAGCTCATTGCAGCCTTGAGCTCCTGGGCTCCAGCAATTCTCCCACCTCAGCCTTTCGAGTAGCCACCATGCCCAGCTTATTTTTAAAACATTTGTTTTTGTACAGTTGGGGTCTCCCTATGATGCCCAGGCTAGTGTCTTACACCTGACCTCAATTGATCCTCGCACTTTAGCCTCCCAAAGTGCTGGGATTACCGGCATGAGTCCTTGTGCCTGGCCCTACAAAGTTTTTTTTTGTTTGTTTGTTTTTTTTTTTTTTTTTTTTTTTTGAGATGGGGGTCTCACTCTGTCGCCCTGGCTGGAGTGCAGTGGCGCGATCTTGGCTTACTGCAACCTCCGCCTCCCAGGTTCAAGTGATTCTACTGCCTCAGCCTCTTGAGTAGCTGGGACTACAGGCTCACGCCACCATGCCCAGGTAATTTTTGTATTTTTAGTAGAGACAGGGTTTCACCATGTTGGCCCGGATTGTCTCAAACTCCTGACTTCGTGATCTGCCCACTTGGGCCTCCCAAAGTAATTTTTAAATAAAATTTAGTTAAAACGAAAACCAAACACTTCCCATTAAAGATGATACACTAAATTTGCTGTTTGTTTTTCTCACTGCATGATATGTAATTTACTCTTTTGAAAGTATAGACATTTGAAACACATCAGGAGTCTAATACTTCACTTGCTTTCAAATTTATTTTCACTTAAAGAATGAAAGCCACAATTATGAATATGATTTGCTTTATGTTTCATGTACCAACAAGTACATAGGAATGTGTATTTCTTAATCCAAGCTCTGTTACTAACAAGCAGGGTGACCTCAAGCAGGCTTCATAAATTCTATATAATTTTTCCTACCCTTAAAATGACAATAATAAAGGTATAGGCCCCACAAACATGTTGTGGACATTAAATCAATCAATACATGTAAGCCACTTTGAAGAATGCCCAGCAGATAATAAGCACTCAATAAACATAAATTATTATTGCTATATTTCTTTACTAAGATGAAGAGTTTTCTGAGGTCTTTTGTATACAAGAACTCCGTCAGAAATCATTTAATCCTCGTATTCTTTTGCTCACTTTAGACGTCTGTGAAGAAACAGGTAGATACATCTGATTCTAACCAGGTAGGAAAATATAGGCTGTTTTCTTTCAATGGACAGAGCAGTAAGGTAAAACAGAAATAATTGTGTCTACAAACTTTTGTTACAATGATGTGGGGCCTGGTACAATGAGAGCCTCATGGGTGTTACTCAGAGTGGTTTATTTCTTTTCCTTCCTCACAGTGGTACTGTGAGGTTGATGGTGTTGGCTACAACTTTACAGCTAAAGATGACAATGGTCAGAATAGAGAAGGTGATGAGAGGGTAAATGGTGTCCTTAAGGAGGGCTATTATATGTGAGCTAATGTGTCCAATACACTAGGCATATTAACTCTGGGCATAGTGTTACACCTATTTATACATGGAGACACTAGAGCTTAGCGATGGCAATATTCACTCAGTCAGCAAGCTAGATAGTAACAGAGACAAGACTCAGACTTCAAAGAAACTCCTATTATTCCCACAACAACACTCTGTCTTTCCCAAATACCAACCACACAGTCTGATACATTGAAAAAGTCAATTCTTTACTGCTTGAGATAAGTTGCAAGCCACCAATCCTTCCCTCCTGGAAGATTTTATTTGACAGCTGGGTACAGCTTGTGTCTCTTTTTTCTTAATTTTGAAATCTGCTCTTCCCTTTACCCTAGATCTATATAGTTCATTTTAATGTGGTTCTCTGCAGCCCACATTTTCCTGTTTAAATCTTTCCTCTGACAAGTGATCGTTTATAAATGCAATAACAGATATTAGTTGTGACAACTACATTGAAATAATTTGTATGGTAAAATTACTTCTAAATTAGTTTTTGGTAGTGCATAGATTTGCAGCTTAGTATTGTATAATTTGTACATGAAATTGGGTTATTCTGTCTGTGATTACAAAAACAGTCAGGGGCATGGGAGACATAAGAAAAAATTAAATTGATTAGTTTAAAGAGGATACATTAGTATGGCAAGAATATTTTTTTCCTGTCCATAAAATCCCACTTTAATCGTGTTATTCCCCATATCAGAACTCTCAATAATTCCCCAGTCCTTTTAAAAAGCAAACTGTTTATATAGTTTTCAAGTTTATCGGGTACTTCTCCAGTCACATCTCTCATAGCTTCTCTTAAAAACTTCCTGCTCAACCCACTGCCTGTTCAGCACATATCCACCTCTTTCATTTTATGTACTATTTACTTTCACTGTAATACTCCACATTCCTCTCTGGCTATATGCATCCTACTCCTCCTTCAAATCTCACTTACTTCATGAAGAGCCTTCCTTGCCTTCTCTCTCCTCTGAACTCCTATGTTCTTAGTGTAGTTGTCATTTACATGATTTTAGAGATAATTTGTAAATCCTGTTATATTTTAGAAGAGGAGAATGAAGATAAATTAGGTTGTGCAACATGACCTCTTTCTGATTGAGCTCATTAAGAACAAGGCTCATGCTTTCCTACGGTTACAACATCAAAAGGAAAAAAAAAAAAAAGAAGAACAAGGCTGATTTTAATTGCTCCAGGTGGTGGTGGATGCCTACAATACGGAAAGCATTGTGCTAAGAGCTTCTGGGATGCAAAGTGAATAAGATTATCTATATGAATTACCTACTTTCAGAACAAGGCTTTCTATGTCTTAAAATAAAGGAAGAGAAGGTATTGTCTGATATTTTCTGGCTTTATGACTCTGAAGGCCCTTTTATAGACTTCAGGAAAAAGTTTATATTAACACTAAGGAAAGATGTGAATGGTTTATTTGTCATCCAGCTTGGGAAATTCACTTCTCTGAGTGTCTTTCCAAATGTGCATATTGGCTGATGTGATGATTAATTTTATCTATCAACTTGGCTAGGCCAGGGGACCCATATATTTTGCCAAACACATCCTGATGTTGCTTTGAAGGTGTCTTTTGGATGAGATTATATAAATCAGTTGACTTTGAGTAAAGCAGATAACCCTCCATAATACAGGTAGGCCTCATTCAACTCATTCAATCAGTTGAAGGCCTTACTGGAAAAAAAAAAAAATAAAGACTGACTTCCCTAGAAGAGCAAACTCTACCTGTAGTCTGTCTTTTTATTCTTTCTTTCTTTCTTTTTTTTTTTTTTTGGATATGGGGTCTTGCTATGTTGCCCAGGCTGGTCTCAAACTCCTGGGCTCAAGCAATTTGCCTGCCTCAGCCTCCTAAAGTGCTAGGATTACAGGTGTGAGCCACCATGCTTGGCTCCTGCAGTCTGTCTTTGGTCTCAAGTGGCAATATCAACTCATCTCTGGGTCTCCAGCCTGCTGGTCTACCCTGAAGAATATGGATTTAGCCTCCACAATTGCATTAGCCAATTCCTTAAATAATCTCTCTCTCCTCTCTCTCTTCTCTCTCTCTCTCCCTCCCTCCTTTCTCCAACTTATTGATTATTTTTCTCTGGAGAAACAATACAGCTAAGGCCCAGTTTAGCACTAGTTGCCTATGATTTATGTATAAAATAAAATTTATTTTTCAAATTAGGGTTCAACTTTGTACACAAATCCTTGTCTGCATTAATTACTTTTCCTTAGTTTATATCCTTGAAGTGGAATCACTACATCAAAAGATATTAACATTTTTAAGATCCTTGATACTTATTTAGGTTGTATAAAATACCACAGGGCTTTGTGGCATGTTCCCTGAATTTATAATTTTGCAATTTGAATAGCGTAGAAGAAATAATTACAGAATTTTTGCAATTTGCATAGTGTCATTTATTTTACTTCTCTTTCTTTTCTATGAGGTGCTCCCTTTTCATTCTATGCCTTCGTGGATAACAGCAGCAATACTAGTCTATGAATATCAATTTTTTCCCATAGGCCTTAATCTTTTTCTGCTTGTGGCTGAGAAGATACCTCTGTCTAAAGCCACTCATATGAGAAACGAGTAGCTTCTAAAATACTGTTGGAGCAAAAAGGCACTTTCTAGCTACATGTGTAGGACAGTATACCCTTACAAAAAAGTTTAATTCAGTTCTCCTAAATATTATACATTCATTTTTACTGAACATTGACCTGAATGCACCCACACCTGTTATGCTGTTGTGCCATGTTTTTCTCTAAGTCTCCACTGATAGGACTTAGATTCATATTAATGCATTTTTCTTTAATATATTTATTCAGCAAATAGTTACCCAGTTTTTAGTATATGCCAGACACTGGGATACAGCATGGAGAAAACAGACTTTTGTCTGCTCTGTGGAGCTTACATTCTAGTGGGAAAAGCATATCTTTGCCAAATGCACAAAAGTTTTAAAAATTAAGAAAGTAAAAAAAAAAGGTAAAATGAAATGGTTGGAATTACAAAGTAGGAATGGGTTGCAGCTGATTTTTCTTCTTTTTTTCTAAGGTACATGAGCCATGGGAACATTGTATTCATGACCCTTTTGTAACATATAGCCTTTGGAGGGTCTGGATTCTACTTCCGAACTCTCACTGTTCTCTTGGGCTTGGTGGCCTCCCAGAACCCTGCCGGGTAAGCTAGAAGACGCAAAGCTTTCAAGGGAAGTGTTAGTACATTTGATAGAGTTATTTTAAATTTATAAAACTAAATTATGTGCATTATCAAAGCTTCATAAAATAATCAAGGAGAAAGAAAAATTGACAGTTCAACTTACAATCAAGAGAGAACCACTATAACACTTTAATATATTAAAATATGTAATTGAAATAAAATATGTACATATAAATGTACATACTTTCAACACCAGGCTCATATTGTACATAGTATTTTGTAGCCTATGTTTATACTTAAAATTACGTTGTGGGATTTTTTGCTGTTTTTAAGTATTTTCTCAGAACATGATATTGAATGACTGTAAGAGTGTTCGTAATGCACCTAACCCATGTACTATTGGTGGGCATTTATCCTTTCTTTATCTGTTTATCTTATTATAGCACCTCTGATTACTTCCTTAAGATAATTTCGTAGAAGTAAAATTATTTTATCATTCTTGATGCATATATCTACATACTCCCACCAACAATGTGTACAAACACTAAAGAGGTTATATTAAAGGGCAAAAATCAACCAAAGACTGGAAAGTAAGATGAACAGATAAATGACAGCAGTGCACAGTCTTACAGGTATCCACAGTGATAATTGCTGTCTTTGGTGAGGACTGTCTCTGTTCGGGTCCAACCATGTCTTTAGGTCCATGTTCACATTGGTTGTTTAATGGGCTGAGTAGTATTTTACAAGTAAGATTTGGGCATTCTTCCAGCTCTGGCCAGTATTTATATAGTCAAACTCATTTCTTTGCACAAAACAGCTGAAGTGAGACTCTTCCCTTGAAGGTTTCTGGGAGTCTGTAATGTGTTACTGGCAGGAGAATCGCTTGAACCCGGGAGGCAGAGGTTGCAGTGAGCTATACCCTCAGCCTCATAGACCTTCTTTCTGTCCCTTGAACTTAATTAAGCTCATTCTAATTCCAGTACTTTGCACTTCCAGTTCTGTATTTCTCTTTTCTCATGTCTCCTCTTCTCGATTTTACTGATTCTGACGTAAATGATCTAAAACATCTCCCTCCCCCCATTACTGCTCTCTTTCTTAATACTCTGCTTTATTTTCTTCTTAGTGCTTAGCATTATTGGAAATTACACCATTTATTTATTTGTTTTTTTCTTGTCTGTTTCTTCTTGATGGAATATAAACTCTATGAAGGCAAGGATCTTCTGTGGCTTTTTCAATATTTGCTATATCACTCTGCATTTTGAACTGTGCTGAATATAATAAATATGTGTCAAATGAATGAAGGCAAAAAGGAGTAAATGACAAGTACCAAATATACTAGCTCTGGGCTGGCAAGACACTCTACTTTTCTCCTAGTGTGCTCATTTTAACACAGAAAATTTAGCCTTTAGTTATCTCTATTCATTCAGTCTCAGCCTGTTTCTAAGTAAAGCTGTATTCAAATATGCAATTTAAAAAATCTTAATCTTATATGTCTTGAGAAGTGCCTTCCGTTCCTCAAGTAAAGCTGGAAGTTCTTACCTTTATCATCAGAGATAACTTTAAAATAATCCTATGCAAGTTTAGAGTTGTCCTACATCCTAATATTTGCCCTACAACATATTTAAGAAATTAAAGTCACACATCATTTTTTTAGTTATTCTTTAATTATTTTTAAATTTTTGTGTAAAGTTTCACATTACATTTTTGATCTCATTTTATTTACTGTTTATCTACTTTACTCTCCAATTTCTTAAATAAGATTAAAAGGCAAAACATACCAAAAGTCCTAAAGAAGTTGATTGGCACATGGCAGGCCCTCAAAATGGATTAATTATCTCTCTAGGAGTGTATCTCTTTATTTTCTGAAAAGACATAGAATGAAAAAAACCAAGAAGCAGATATCAAAACAATATGTGAAGGAGGGAAAATACTGTTATTTTTCCTTTTTAATCTCTCTTTTTAAAAAGCGTTATTGCTTTCTGTATCTTCTTTTCCAAAATTTGATAAATTGGGAAACTCATTCCAATAACAGTTAAGGAATATTCAAGAGAAATAGGATTTATACATTGATCTGAGCTCTGCCTGCTAATCAGCATATTGCTAATGGGCAGACATCTGGAATGCTGTTTTCTTAATGCAAAACTAGAGGTTTCAAACTGGTGGTCTCTAAGATGATGATGTTAAAGAAAAACTAACTGACTACAAAACTGGGTTACTTTACACACGTACAAAAAAATTCTTGTTTTTGGTTCTCTCAAAATAATGATTAGAAATCGGACAGCACTAACACCATAGTTCTAAATGGCAATATTTGGCTGCAGATATATACTGTCAGCTCTGTCCACATGGGGTATATTCTCTGCAGTGACCCACACTCATTTTTGTTAGGCTTTGCTCATTTACGCCACATTCTTGGCCCTGGAGACATCAGAATATGTTCTTCCTGAATGATGCGCTCTCCCAGGTACCTTATTTCCCTGACTCAATGGGACCTTGAGTATCCACCCCTGGCTTTGTTTTGCTTAGCCCACTGCCCCAACCTTACCACATTAAGAGAGACCAGGACTATTTTGTGCATTCTGGACTTGGGCCTGCACCATGGGTGAGGGCTGTGGTTTGTCTTCAGTTTGTGCCCAAGTTGAGGTGAGACACTTGAGAGAAAAAAAGAAAGGGGTGGGGAACCAAACAGTCAACCAAACAAGCAAAATGAAACAACCAGGGAATTAAGAGAAAATGGTAGAGAAGAGAAGTAAATCAGAGTTTTGGCTTTTCTCCCTCATCTGTCTGACTAAATTTATGTTGACTTTGTCTGTATTTAATTTATAGTGTGCCACTCATTTAGAATAGGCTTCAAAAATGTGAACTCCCCTCCAAATTTTGGCCTCGTTAGGAAGTGGAGAGTGTGTGATAGCGTTATCATTAAGAGGAAGTTTAAAAAAAAGCCAAAATTACACTTATGTATGTATTTTTGAAGAAACTCATTTTTTGTGCGTGTGGTTTGAGAAAAGCAAAATTTGGGAGGAATTTGGAAAAGAGGATTACTCATCAAAAGGTAGATGATGCTTAAAAACAAAATGGGAACGACGACCTTAAAAATGGGAACGACTGGGGAGAAAACTGACAAGGACACATTAGAGCTGCACTTCACTAGCAGCATGAATGTGGTAATGGTGAAAGGAGAACAATATCTGAAAGGAAATGAAGGTCTTATCATAGGAGCCACAGAGATTTCATTTTTGTTTTTCTGAAAATTATCATTATCAGCTGTGACTGCTGATGAAGGACCACTTAGCATTCCCCCCAAGGAATAATTGCCAACCTCCTCTTTGGCCCGACCTCACATGGACTAACACGACAAAGACATAATTTTGCCCTAATTCTGAAAAGAACAGGAAACAGTGATGTAATCTATTTGTTTAATTCTAGGAATCTTTCCCTAAAGTCTGCTTTTGCACTGCCAAACTGGGAAGGGATGTCTGGGGGAGTAATTAAAGGCTTTAAATGTGGAAGAAAGAGATTCTTAGTGCAGTGTGGGGAGTCTCAATGAGATTAATGGGAAACAAGGGAAATTTAGATGGACAAGCAAAAGCCAGTGGGAGTTATGTCAATACTGCACAAGGTGTTTAAGGTCGGTGCCCATGAGGGCTGGTCAGCTCCAGTTTACCCTTGCACAGTCTGTGCTTAGCAAATGAGTACTTTAAACAAGGTTGCCAGAGGCAGAGAAACGTCTGGGAAAGAGGTCTGGGAAAGAGAACAGGCTCCTGAAGGACTTGCGCTGCTTCCTGTTGCTTATAGATTGGTGTAGATAATGCATAAAGTCCTTTCCTTAGAACTTCTAAGTTTAGACTCATTAGAGTTACTGGTAAGACCTGAACACATAAAGTGTGCATGTAAAAATTACATTCTGTAATGCTAATTATATATATATATACCTTCAAATATATATACAGTCAGAATCTAATCTGACACACACATATATATATATATATATATATATATATATATATATATATATATACACCTTCAAATTAGCATTACAGAATGTAATTTTTATATATATGACAATTCTACAGGCAATCTCAGCTGGACATAGTCAAAACTGAAGTCATTTGTTTTCCTCCTGCTTTGCTGGCTGATTTGTTTTTCCATCTCCTTTACTAGTCTTTCCTCTTCTTTATAACCCATATGTGTTTGCCGAATTCAGAGACTGGTTCTCAGTATTCATGCTTCTCAGGTGAACTCACTCAGATTTATGGCTTTAGTGGTAGATATACTCTTACTGCCAAATTAATATCTGCATCGCTGACCCAATTCCTGAGTTTTGGGTTTATATGTTTAACTGCTTACTGAACGTCCCTACTTTACGGTTTCCAATCTTTTCAGTATCTAATAGATACTGTGTTACATGTATCTATTAGATACAAGTGTTACATGTTCAGAGAACTCTTGAGTGTAAACTTGATGATGTTTGGGGAAGATTTTTTTCTAGAGAAGTGCTAGAGATGTAGTCAAAACTTGCTACATATGTGGTGAATTAATAAATATCCTGATTTACTCCCAAACCTGTCTTTTGTCCAGTATTTTTTAAATTTTAGTTAATTTTACAGCTGTATATCTAGCTGCCTAAGCTAGAAAACTTGGAGGCATTCTCAACTCTTCCTGTACCTCACCTTCCATGTCAGATCAATCATTAAATTATCTTAATCTACATTAGAAAATTATCTGTAATCCATTTTTTTCCTATCACCACCATCACTGCATATTCTTGTCTTCTCTAACAAAGGCATTATACCTTTTGCTATGGACTGGATTGTGTTCTCCTTAAAATTAATATGTGAAGTCCCAACTCCCAATACTTCAACATGTAACTGTACTTGAAAATAGGGCCTTTAAAGAGGCCAATGGGGGGGCCTGAATCTAATCTGACTGATGTCCTTATGAAAAAAGAAAATTTGGACATACAAAGAGACACAAGAGATGCATGCACACAGAAGAAAGACCACGTGAGGCTACAGTGAGAAGCTGGCCATCTGCAAGCCAAGAAGACAGGACTCAGAAGAAACCAACCTTGTCAACATCTTGATCTTGGACTCGTAGCCTCCAGAAGAGTAACAAAATAAATTTCTGTTGTTTAAGCCACCCAGACTATAGTATTTTGTTATGGCAGGCTGAGCAAACTAATACATTCTTCCTAAAAAGATCCTCCAGTCTTCCCTAATAAGATGTCATCTTATCTCTCTCTCTCTCTCCCCCCCCACCCCCCACCGCTTTCTCTCTCTCTCTCTCGCTCTCTGTCTCTCCATCCGTCCGAAGTGGATTATAAAAAGAAAAAAAAAGTAAAGACAGAAAAATAAATATAAATAATACATACTCAAAGAATAAAACAGGGTCTCATGTATCTTTCTCTGTGGTCTTTATGCTTCCCTATGTGATCTTTCTTAAAGATGATCACAACAGTAAATGCGGATGTTACTTCATTGCTTCAAAGTGTTTGGCTCCTTATATCCTGACAAATTGCAAAGGCTTAGCAGTGTATTCAAATGCGATTTACCATTTGTTTTCCCCCACTTGCCTTTCCAAATCCATCTTATCTGTGGCCTAAGAAAGAGTAAAGCAAGAATCAGAATTCCAGAGAGAAGCAAAGAGGAGCGATAAAGACACAGATAACCGGGCTCCCATTGGAAACATGTCATTAATTAGAACACATTGACAATTCCATATTCATTGTCGTAGTAAATAAAGAGTAAAGAATATTATGGGAGGAAAAAGAAATAGAACTAAATTTCAAATGGGAAGCCTTAGGAATTTACCTGGAGCTGTCAAGGAATGATGCCTTCTGCCTGGAAAAACTCTTAATATCCCATAGATTCTAGGACTGGTTTAGAAGAGGCATGTGGAATCCAGAATACTGGAGATTTCTTTGATTGCATCTCTGTCTCCTCCTCTTTTGTCTCATTTTGCTTTTTCCAGATGTACTTGTAATACTCTTAGAGAGAAATAGGGTGTTTTTTTCTTTTTCTTTTTTTTTTTAAGGTTGGGCTGGAAATAGAGGGCTTTGGTCTTCTTGTAAATCTACTAGATACATGGTGCTAACATCCTAACTCTCTGCTCATTTCAATTTTGAGCTCAGAATATAGGCTTACAAAGATTGCCTGGGATTTGACAATTCTTGAAGCTCTAAGCATTTTTGAAGCATAAGGGTTCATTGCAGTTTTCTATACCAGAAGAACGAATATTACAGCTCTAAAGGTTAGTAGAAAGGATCTACTCTTATATAGATTGAAAAAACAATAAGGGAAAGAACTGCTTCCTGGAACTGATAAAATTTTATATTATCAGCATTACTAACTGAACAAACCCAAAAAATCTCCAGATTTTTTTTCTTTTTAGCTTGTGTTCCTTGTAAGTGTTAATTCCATAAAGGAGTATAGGTTTGGAGACTGAATAGAAGTAAGGTAATCTGGTGAATTCTAATAATTCCCCCTTCTTTGTCTCAGAAGATACAAGGGTATCCCATGTACTTCCCATAAAGAAAATATTAGAGAAGGCAGGTATATGAATTTTAAGTATTTCCTAGCAGAGGACCTTATGGTAAGAATATCTGATATCTCTACTGTTATGTCTCAGTAGGTAAACATACACACTTGCCTATTAATTAGCAGATGTTTCTTCTGTAACAATTACCAATATATTAAGACCTCTAGGACTGTGAGTGATACTCCAGGACAGAAAATCATTGAGTAGATCAATTTTTTGAATACTAAAACACTTATAAATTTTTTATTATAATTCTTACGAGAAAGTTAAACAACCTCAGCACTCAGCATTCAACATAATTTCAAACATATGAGAGTTCTTATTTGGGCAATTGTGACTATCATTCCTAGAAACAAAAGGGAGAAGACCTCCTTAATCAGCTCAGCCACATTCCCAGAAGCTAGGGTTGTGGAGCCAGGCTCAGTTTTGGCTCAGCCTCTAAGAAGTCTCCACCTGTAGGATAATGGGTTCTGTAGGTACTTGTGGAAAGTGACTTCTGTAGCTTTACAATGCCAGAAATAGTGCCATTGATTTTAATGATTGTACTTTTTCCAAGAAACTGAGTGAGTGGCCAAGAATCTGGGCAAAGTCACAGACAATGAGACATTACAGTCACCATGGATAGGTATCCACCTGGGGGCTGGCTGGAAGCCTTGCAAAATCTATCTAGAGTGGTAGACGTTAAGTCAGTGAGTGTTTAGGGGCTGAGGAACGTCAACGGCAGTAGAAAACTTTCTGGGCTGATGGAAATGTTCTATATTTTGACTGGGGGCTTGGTTACATGGTTATATACATTTGCCAAAACTCATCCATTAAAACTCATTCACTAATTAAAATGAATGAATTTTATTGTAGCTAAATAAAATTATGCCAAAGAATTGTTTAAAAATAAAAATCAGAGTTAGGATGGTGACTAACTTTAGAGGCAGGATCCTGAGAAAAAATAAGGAGGCAAAGAATATCCTGGAAATTTCCCTTTTCTGAGCCCTATGAGCCTGTTGTTCTTTCTCTCCCTGCCCCATAGGTAGGGTTCCCTGGAGGACCCCTCAGACTCCTCAGGCAGAACTTGTCTGCCTCTCTATTCTCTTCACAAAATTATTTACCCTATCTTCCCATGTTTGAGCTTATGATCTATTTTCACTCCTCATTTTAACCCTAGCACCTAGGTACTCTACAAATATGTGTTGAGTCAATTAATAGAAAAATAAATAAATGAAGGATGGAAAGAGCTCACTAAATTTTCAGCTCACTAAACTAGTTTCCTCATCTATAAGAGGCAGTTAATATTGCCTTTTCCATGAAACTGTAAGAATTACATGAAATAATAAGCTTGACATTTGATAGTTATTTTATCTTTTTCTTTCTTGATCACTAGATACTCCCCACACTAGAACAACCAGTTGTGCACTAAGAGTCAACAGAAACCCTGACAGAGAACCCCAGAGACAGGTGGTCATTGGACAGAAATGACAGGGTCAACTAGAGGGAGAATGATGGTGGCATAGACAGGGCTGTGAGGTGTATGTACTAGGTGATAGAGATGAAGGAGTGTTCCTCTACATCACAGTGTCCCTCCTTAGTTAAATGACAAATATTCTATTATAAGAAAATTAAGAGTTAAATATATCCTGTGGTGTAATGCTCTGTGAAGACAGGAATTAATGCCTGTATTGTTCCCTGCTTTATTTGCAGGGAATAAAGACTGGCACATTATAGGCACACAAATATTTGTTGTATGAAAGAAAGTCAAAACCAAAAAATATAGTCACTTTAAGTAAGACCAGAAGAAATGGGTAATACTTTTCTTTTTAAATGGCTTAGGATTTGGATTGCCATGGGAACTTTTCAGAATGGACTTTCACAAAAGCTTTGCTCTGAGAGCATGGAAGTTGGCTACAACGTTGCCTGGGAACAATACAAAGGAGGATGGTTTTGAATGTCAGTAACTTTTCTGAATATCCAGCCTACAAAATAAAACTTTTTCTTTAATTGTAAAGTAACAAAAGACCTCTGTAAATATTTGAAAAAGAATAGAGAAAATTAAACCATACCATTCAGATATATATAAGTTTAAGTTGTCGGTGTTTTTCCTTCCAGTCTGTGTTTTTAAGCAGAACATGAATAAATATATGCATACATTTTCAGAGTTGAAATTATAGTGTGGATGAATTTTTGCTTTCTGATTTTTACTACAACATCTTTTATGCATTTTGTCCTTAATAATTCTTCATACATTTTTAAATTTCTTCATATTCTATAGAGTGGGTATCCAACATTTATGAGAAATGAGTTTAGATGTATTGCAGAAAGATCGAGTCCTGGGCAGGTGCCATCAATAATGGCCAGCTCCAGAATGAAGCACGTGTACCTCTGTGATAATGATGTCATGCCCACCATGCCACTGAGAAGTAACACTTCCAGGAGTCAAAGAGAATGCATGTCAGACTAATTATATTACAAAGACAGCTGAGGACCTAGAGTTGTGAGGAAAAGAAATAACTTGTGAGGAAAAAGACCTACAGGAAAGCCAGAAAATCAATGCTTAATGCTCTGTCAGCCTGTCAAAAGTATTTTTGGCACCAAGAGTACTGTCCATTATTAAGGAATAGAGGTAATGACGTATTTGTATGAGTGCTGGCATCCTTCTCCACCTACACACTTGAGCAGCCTTGAAAGAAGAGGTTTCTAAGTGAATTGTAAAAGCTCTCTAAGATGGATTATTTTTGCTGTAATGATAGCTAACATTTACTTATTGCTTATTGTGTACCAGTATCTGTTCTATGTTCTTTCCACCCATTAACTCATTTAATCCTTACAACAATTCCAATAAGTACTTTCCATTATTATTCCATTATCCATATTTTACAGACAGAATAAAGGAGGCACAGAGAAGTTATACAAATTGTCCTGGCACAAAAAACTGATAAGACTTAAGCCCAGGAGTACTGGCCCAAGAAGATATTAGGTTGGTACAAAAGTAATTCTGGGTTTTGCATTGTTGGAATTTGCCGTTTGATATTGGAATCCATTCTTAAATAAATGTGGTTATGTTATACATCAATTTAACGGGCATTTCTTACTTTATGTTTTTTTGCTGCTTATTTTATGTTTATTTTAGACTATGGAAATGATGTTGGAGAAAAAGCAAATTTGAGCGATTTTCTTATTTGAGTTCAAAATGGGTCTTAAAGCAGTGGGGACAACTGGCAACATAACAATGCATTTGGCCTGGGAACTGCTAACCAACTCTTAGTTCAATGGCGGTTCAAGAAGTTTTGCAAAGGAGACAATAGCCTTGAAGATAAGGAGCATAGTGGCCGGCCATCAGAAGTTGACAACGACCAATTGAGAGCAATATTTGAAGCTGATCCTCTTACAACTACACGAGAAGTTGCCAAAGAACTCAGTGTCGACCTTCCTATGGTTGTTCGGCATTTGAAGCAAATTGGAAAGGTGAGAAAGCTCCATACATGGGTGCTGCATGAGCTGAGTGAGAAGAAAAAAATCGTCATTTTGAAGTTTTGTCTTCTCTTGTTCTTCACAACGGTGAACTATCTCATGATTGGATTGTGACGTACGATGAAAAGTAGATTTTATATGACAATGGGCAATGACCAGCTCAGTGGTTGGACTGAGAAGACACTCCAAAGCACTTCCAAAAGCCAAATTTGCACCACAAAAAAAGGTCATGATCACTGTTGGGTGGTCTGCTGCCACTCCGATCCACTACAGCTTTCTGAATCCTGGCAAAACCATTACATCTGAGAAGTATGCTCAGCAAATAGATGAGATGCACTGAAAACTGCAATGCCTGCAGCTGGCATTGGTCAACAGAAAGGGTCCAATTCTTCTCCCAACCGCGTGTTGCAAAACTAATGCTTCAAAAGTTGAACGAAGTTTTGCCTCATCTGCCATATTTGCCTGATCTCTCACCAACTGATCACCACTTTTTTAAGCATCTCGACAGCACAACTTTTTGCAGGGAAAATGCTTCCACAACCAGCAGGATGCAGAAAATGCTTTCCAAGGGTTCATTTAATCCTGAACCATAGATTGTTAGCTACAGGAATAAACAAACTTATTTCTCACTGGCAAAAATTTGTTGATTATAATGGTTCCTATTTTGATTAATAAAGATGTGTTTGAGCCTAGTTATAATGATTTAAAATTCACGGTCTGAAACCGCAATTACTTTTGCACTAGCCTAATAAGTAAGTGTGTACTTGTGTGTGTGTGTGTATTTAATATATATTTGTATATATAACTCATAGTGTGTGTGTTTGTGTAGTTTCCCTATTGGTGTCTTTCCTAATCTAGTGAAACCTTGCCTGTGTTCCCCTCCAACTATGGCCCAACTTCTTATTATCTGTTTACAAAACTTGGAGAACTGCACTGGCTATAGCTAATTTTCTTACCTCACATGTTTATTCCAGCCCACTGGAAACTTTATTTATTTCTCACGTTGTATTAACATAGTTCTCTATAAGACCACCAACAGCCTTCCAGATGCCGTGAAGACTTTTAAGACATTGTACTATTGGAGCTCTTTGTAGCTTTTAAAACAGTAACTTCTTTCAAGATATTCTCTACCATTTAGTTTCTATATTGCTGAGCACCCTTGTTTCTTTTTGTATTTTTATAATACTTCTTCCTCTATCTGCTTAATACTTTCTTCCACTTGGGACCCTTAACATTGATATTCTCCAGATTTTCATTCTCATCCCATCATTTTTCTCACTTTACACATTTTCCAAGTCTAACATCATCATTTTTGAAGTTTTTGTCTATCGCCTTTATGTGATAATTCTTCAGCCTGTACTTTCCAAAACTGGACATAAGTCTATTCAGACTTTTATATCCACCTGTCAACTGCATGTGTTCTGAATGGCTGATAAGCACCTTAAATTTAACATGTGTAAAGCTCAACTCATTATCTTTTTCCCAAAACTTGCTTTTTCTTCTGTGTACTTTATCTCAGTTAATAGTACCATGCTCCATCCTTCACTAGCTAGAATATTAGTATCATTTTCATTTTCTCACTTTCCCATCCCCACATGGCATTAGTTTTCAAGACCTTCTTATTTTATTTCCTAAATATTACCCAAGTCTTGTATAAATGATGACACTTTAGGTTCTAAGTAACTGAAACAAAACTCAGCTTCAATTTCTCTTAGGCAAAAGGGAAACTATAGGCTTATGTCACCTTGATTGGGGGAAATATAATTGGGAGAGAAGGGAATTAATGCTATCAGGTGTCTCTTAATTTCTCAGTCTCTCTCATATTACCCCCACACTGTTTTCTGCCTTTCTCTGTGTGTTGGCTGTATATCCTTCCTGGAAATTGCAGAGTTACAGCTTCATATAGAGATGAAAGGGTCCTTCTTCTTTTAATGCCAATCCTAGAACTGATTTTTATTGACCCATCTAGTGTTATGTCTCCCCTGCTTGGCCCCAGTTAGTGTGGTGGGCTGGAGAATAAGAAGATAGAAGGAACTGACAGATTTGATCCATCCACATAGTAGCCCCTGTTAGAACCACACTGTTGGCATGGTGGAGGGCAAGTATTTAATCCCTAAATGGAGAAGTTGGTTTTATCAGAAGAATCAGAGAAAGGGGTGCTGCACAGGAAATCCTACACGTCCATTACAAATTAATTTCTCCCTCTCTAACCTTATGCTTCTCTTGTCTTTCTTTTCGCAACTAAAGTACCATTAGAACTTTCTTTCTTAACTGCCTGAGTCCAAGTCTTTTCCTCTCTAAATATATTAACACAGAGATCTGATTTCATAAAAATGAATAAATAAGATTTGTGTGTGTGAAATCATTACCCATCTACACAACACTCTTCCAATGGCTCCATTCACTTCCTGGTTAAAGTGCATATTTCTTCTTCCTCCAAGAAGCCTAGACTCATACTTAGCAATTCAACCTGAAGAAGAGCTTTCATTTCAGGTCCAATATTTTACCCTGTAGTAATATCAATAGGTTTTGTTTGTACTGAACACAATTAATTTTTCCTTTGTTTCTGCTTCTCAGATTAGTTTGCCCTTCTGTCTTTCTTCTATGACTGATTCCTTACTCTCTCTGCCCAACTCCTATTCAGTCTTTAATGTTCAGTTCTTATATAAATCACCCAGGAGATCTCTCTAATAGGTGTTGAACTTCCTCAATAATTTGTGCATATTTGTATCTTTGCAAACGAATGCTTATGTTTTTATCTTCTCCACTCAAATGCAAGCTCCTGAGAACAAGAACTAAATTAAATTATCTTGACATCCCTCATACAACAACATTGTCTGGTGAATGATAATCACTCTAGAAATACCATGAAAATGAAGTTAAGAATGGAAATACCACAAACTCAATCAATCATATGAGTTATTATTTCTGAGCTACCTGGAAAAATTCTACTCTAACACATTTATAAATCACATTTTTTACTTATGTGAAACCATGTTACTTTTTAAAAATTATACCCATTATATCTGAGGTTCAATTTAAAGACCTTTTGTTTAATTATCTGTTTTGAAAATTAGATGAACTGATTATTTTGATTTTTTAAATAAGTGGATGATTTCCAGAATCATATGCTAGTCTATATTTTCCAACAGAGCATATTGGCCAAAATAAAATTTTTCTTTGATTCTGAAACTTATACTATCCCAGCAACACCATAATTTTGTCACTTATATGATGCTTTTGTCACTTATACAATATTTGAAGAAGGTTTTGGATTTTAGGTCGGATCTCTACTAACCCTGGAATTCTTTAAAAATGAATACTTTGGCCTGGCATGGTGTCTCACACCTGTTATCCCAGAAATTTGAGAGGCTGAGGCAGAAGGATCACTTAAGGCTAGGAGTTTGAGACCAGCCTGGACAGCCTGTCTGTACAAAAACTTTTTAAAAATTAGCTGGACGTGATGGTGCCTGCCTGTAGTTCTAGCTACTTGGGAGGCTGGGGTGGGAGAATTGCTTGAGCTCAGAAGGTCCAGGATACAGTGAGTGAAATCCTTCCTCTAAATAAGTAAATAAATAAATATCTTTATCAACCTATATTAGTGCAATCTGTTCCATAGCTTTATTTGTCTAAACTGATCACTCTTTTTTTCCTTTTTTAAAATAATGCTTACCTTTTCCTTCACTTGCTTCATGGAAAACTTTCTCAGTCTCCTTGGCTGCTCCATTCATTCATTCAACAATTACTTCCTGGGTCCTTCCTGGGAGCTGTCTGTCAGTCCCCCTGCTCACCAGCCACTTTCTCCCATATGTCTCTCTTGTTTACTCCCATGAAGCCATGTTGTGCTGAACAGGGACCTCTCTTCTGAGCTCCAAAACCATATATCCATTTGTTTGCTTTATATCATGGATTTCAATTGCTACCTCTGACTCAGCATATTCCAAACTGAACATAGGTTTTCCTCCCCAGTTTTTGCTTTCTTTTCAGTGAATGTCACCATTACTCATGAGATATACAAGCCCAAACACTGGGAATAAGTCTTATCTTTTTCCTGTCCTTCATCATCCTATCAATCACCAAATCACATTGACCTTGCCTACTTGATAGCTATGTAATCATTCCTTATTTTTATCTCTACTATCACGATCATAGTCTCAGTCACCATTACTTATTTTTTTGCACTACTCTAATTCACTAGTAAATAGTCCCTAGCATCTATTTTTACTCATCTCCAATCTATTATTCACATGTTTACCCAGTGATCTATTAAATAAACATTCATTTGATCATGTTGCTCTCATGCTTAAAACTCTAAATAATTTCCCATTACTTTTAGGACAAGATTCAAAATATTTAAAATGGCCCACAAAGTCTTACCTTCCTTTCCAAGCAATTATTATTTCTCTTCTGCATCTGGCTCTATGCATCAATCATGAAAACTTCCTTTTGTTTCTCAAAGAATGCTCTTTCTCACCTCAAGGCCTTTGTACACATTTTAAAATTGCATTTCTGTTCATATTAAGGCAGAAATAAATTATCCACATGGCTAGAAAACTAAAGCAGCACAAAAATCTGTAAAATAAAAAACTAAAAGCTTTCCTCTCACTCCTCCATGTCACTCTTCTCCAAATAACCAATGTCATTTGCCTCTTGTATATTTTCCTAAAGTGTGTGTGTGTGTGTGTGTGTGTGTATTTTGGGAGACGTGGGAGAAATGGGTGTGCTCTATACTCTGCAATATAGTACAATGATTAAAATACAAATTTAGGAACTTGCCTGCCGAATTCGAATCCCATTGTCTCGGGATGTTTAGGGTGTTGGTTTTCCAGCCAGAAACCTCTGTGGCCAGTGGTGCCTTTGCCCAAGTTTTCGCTGAGGCCTGCTGGGCTCATTCTGCCCATTTGGCCTGGCAGGCTGCACTCAACTCATGCTACCAGCCCAGATCCCACAACTGCTAAGGGTGAGCCAGGCGCAGAGTGGCAAGCAGTGTGTGAGCGAGCATGGGGTCCAGCCACTGTGCACAGCCAGGCATGCCAGCTGCAGTGGGGTGGGCAGCTGCAGGCACTGGAACAGGTGCCGGCTCCCTGCAAGGCTGCGGCTGGACCAGGCATACCACAAGTGGCTACCACTGCAGGCACCAGGGAATGTGGTGGCACCCAGAAGCTTGGAGTTGCCAGGAATTGCAGAGCCCCAAAGAGGGAGTCATAGCCCTGGCTCAGGGAGTTCCTAGGTCTGGGGTCACCGAAGGGCTGCAGTTCTTCTCTTCTTCTCATCACCTGCAACATGGCAAGTAGGGAGTGTGTTTCAGCCCTGTTTGTGTTACAGCTCTTTCAGTCCCATCATTTGGCAGGTCCTGAGTTCTTGCCCTGTGTCCAGGAGGAATGAGGTATGCGGACAACTGGAGGGTGAGCAAGGTGGAGAGGTGCCTCATTGAATGACAGAACAGCTCTCAGGAGACCTGAAGTGGGTAGTTCCTTTCCACAGGCAGGTCATCCCAATAAGCACCCAGCTCTCAGCAGAGAGGATACCCATAGTGGGTATCTCCTTTCTGCAGGCAGATAGTCCCAAGTGTCCAGCTCTCAGTGGAGGGAGACCCAGAATGGGTAGCTCCTTTCCACAGGCAGGTCATCCAATGAGTGTCCAGCTCTCAGAGAAGAGGGGACCCAGAATGGGTAGCTCCTTTCCACAGGCAGGTCATCCCAACAAGTTGGGGAGACCCAAAATGGGTAGCTCCTTCCTGCAGCCAGTAGTCTCAATGTCTGCGTGAGTCTGACTGAGTCCAGGATTTTTATGGGCTCAGAAGGGAGGAAGTGCATGCTGATTGGTCAATGGGTGGCCATGGGCAGGCCCAGAGAAAGCATCATAAGTTCTCATTCTGGGCTGTGGACTCTACCTGGAACTGACAGCTCAGCCTCCAGGCTTCAGGCCATCCCTGGCTTGAAGAGACCAGGGACCCACCCCTTTCTGCCCAGGAACCCGTCTGCCTCCTGCCATCAACATGTTGTCCATGGTGTCCAAGCTGTTCATGCCAAGGGATGCCTGCAGGCCCATGCTGAGCTGCCCTCAGCATCACTCCTGGCCTCTCTCCCACAGTCATCAGTGCCTGTAGTTAGGAGGGGACTGAGGAAGTGGGGGGGCTGGCATGTCAGCACCACCCTGAGTGCATGCACACTCAGCTGGGTTGTGACAGCACCCAGGCTCGGCCACAAATTTGCTCCAAAATTGGAGTGGGCATTGGAAGCAGGGAGAGGTCAGGGAGCAGGAGAAGGCACTTCTGATCCTGTGAGGGCAAGGGGGGTTTCCCGGGCTCCCAAGAGTGCAAGGATGCCCAGGTCAGGAGCCGTGGCTGGGTGGCTGCAGCTGCACCCAGAAGCTTGGGGCTCCCACCCTGCCAACTCAGTAGGGGGCGTGGCTCCCACCTGTTCCTGCCTCCCACCAGCTCCATAGAGAGCACAGCCCTGGATGCCCTTCCCCTGCTGCAACTGGCATCCCTGCAGTGGCTGCTCCAGACAGGCTGCTGGGAGCATCACCATCTCTGCCACAAACTTGGCTTGTGACCTTAGGAGCAAGTTACTTATTCATTCTGGGTCTTAATTTCTTTATCTGTAAAATGAAAAATCAGTGGGCTCTGCTTTATAAGTTGTGAATTAAATGAATATATATACACACAAAAAAAAAAATACACAGAGCCACATGTAGCTGATGCTGATTCTGCCCATAGCTGAGTATATTTATTTTGTTAATGTACACTAAACTTCAAAAATATCTATAGAATAAACACATGGGCCTAACATTTCTACTGCAAGATGGTCCCAAATCCAAATCCCGTTTATCACTGAGCCTCCAAAGGCTCAGTCTAACTGGTGGTTATATTCTGGGTTAGCTAACAATCAGAAAGGTCTGGACATTTCCTTTACCAGCAATGTATACTTACTTTAGCAAATAGGTACATGTCCTTTTGAGAAAGGAAAATGGAAACATTATAAAACATATTATTGATGCTGCTATTATGGCTTTTTCTCAAAGTGGCTGGTCCTCCCCTTCATTTGTGAGCTTTGAGTCTAAGAACTGTCCCAGGACTCAGTAACTGTCTACTTACTAAGAGGCTTTGGGGATTTATTATTGTGGGTCGAGTCAGTTCTCTGCTCACCAGGTGAGTTACATGTCCCAGACAGAATCTTGGTGAAATCCTATGATCCACTTAGGAAGCCTATGATCAATTAGCCACTACCTATGATTTCTGTAGATAAGACCATTATGAGAATTACTTTGGCTCTGCTGCTTGTTATGGTAACTACACCCCTTCTGCCATGCTGAGATTCCTGCAGTGTCTCCCACTAGCTTCTTCAACCTGTAAAAAACCTGCCACTTCACACTTTTTAAGCACTTTGGTGCTTTTCTCACCAGTGCATTTATCATGAAGACATAAGTTTCTGTCAACCCCTTTGAGGGGACACAGGGAGTGGGTTCATTGGTCACATATGGCACATATGATCTAAGACTTAGAGTGCCTTCCTTTGCCATACACTGATTATTTTTCTCATATCAACTTTATTCAGTGTGGATCACCATTGAATATAGTTTTTAGTCAACTGAGTGTTACTGCTGTTCAAGCTGTCATGATGAATTCCAAATCTCTGATGAATTCATATATATTGATGAATCTGACTGATGTAAAATTATATATTGCACCTTGGTCTAGCACTTTGGAATTCTATTGTCTCAGATATTCTCTATGTTTTGTCTAGAAAAATTATCAAAGTTTTGCAATTTCTTTGCTAGTAAGCTTTCTCTTTCAAGGTACAATTTGTGTTTATGACCAAGAGCCACATAGGGATTGATTCTACTTACAGGTCTAGGAATTTTAAAGATGGTGGTGGTAAGGCATAAAAAGACTTAACTTCCCATTACATTGTCTTCAAGCAAAGGAGGAACAAATTCTACAATAGACTGGAGATAAGGTGTTGCTTCTGCTAGCGAAGCATTCTCAGTGGAATCTAGGAATTTTGGATAGTCTGAGTCATCTAAAACTCTCCCATTTCAATTAATGGAGACCCATTCTTTCCCAAAGAATGTCTTAATTTTCCAAAGGAGACTTAGTGAGTCTGTGAATTCATTCTAGGTTACCTCATGTGGCAAATTATCTATTCCTTCCCTTGTGCACCATGGGCTACCCAAATCCTGTCCCTAGTGCTAGTTAGTTTTCGAAGCCATCGGCACCTATCTAATCCAATCTTAGTTTTCCTTAGTTCCATGAAGTGTGTTGCCCACACATTTTTTGATAGCCATTTCTGGATTACTCAAAGCTCTTAGTTTTATACAACAAAAGTTGAACCTGGGTGTTATTTTAAACATGATTTTTCCTTTTATTATATTTTGCATTGGGTTACTTTTTGATCCAACCTATTGATTTTTGTAGCTCTTTGTTTTAGCTGCTATTCCAATATGCAATTATTATATATGCAAACATTGGTAGTTTTCTCTTCCCCTTCAGTGTTTATGTCTCATTCATTTCTCTTGTATATTTGCTTTTGCTAATATTTACAAAACAATTTATTTAACGGATGTACATAATGGAGGTATTAGTGGGCATTCTTGTAGTGTTTGTGCCTTCTACAATTGGCTCACTATTAAGTTTATTGATGCTGACTTTTGGATTGAGGGAGATACATATGCAATAATAATTATAATGATTTCAAAGGTATCTATACTTACTCTACTAAAGATGTTTATGAAGTACAGGCATACCTCATCTTATTGTGCCTGACTTTATTGCACTTCTCAGATAACATATATATATATATATATATATATATATATATATATATATATATATATGTTATCTGAGATACACACACACACACACACACAGAGTCTTGCTCTGTCACCTGGGCTGGAGTACAGTGGTGCAATCTCGGCTCACTGCAACCTCTGCTTCCAGGGTTCAAGCAATTCTCCTGCCTCAGCCTCTCGAGTAGCTGTTATTACAGGTGCCTGCCACCACGCCTGGCTAATTTTTGTATTTTTAGTAGAGACAGGGTTTCACCATGTTGTCCAGGCTTGTCTTGAACTCCTGACCTCAAGTGATCCACCCGCCTCTGCCTTCCAAAATGTTGGGATTACAGGCGTGAGCTACCATACCTGATGATCCAATATTTTTTTCAAATTAAAGATTTGCAGCAACCCTGCATTGAGCAAGTCTGTCAGCACCATTTTACAAAAGCATGTGCTCTGTATCATACTTTGATAATCCTCATAATATTTCAAGATTTTTAATATTATTATATCTGTTATGGTGCTCTGTGACCAATTATCTTTGATGTTACTATTGTAATTGGGGGACATGACAAACTGTGTTAATATTAAATGGTGAACTAATCAATACATGTATATGTTCTGACTGCTCTACCAGCTGTTCTCCTATCTCTTTCCTGCTCCTTGGATGTCCCTATTCCTAGATAAAAAATATTGAAATTGGGTCATTTAATAACCTTATAATGGGAAAAAATGAAAGATAGGAGGCAGGACTAACTTCCAGCTCCCATTCTGACAGACAGAGTGGTGTGTAGAGACTCACATTGTGAATTTCTGCTCCAAGAACCACACAGGAACATACCAGGGAAGCCAACAGAATCCATAGACCTTTTGAAAGGGTGGATTGTCACTGCAGGCTCCATGGGACAGCGAGGAACTGTGAGTCGGCTTACTTTCTCAGCTGGGAGGCTCGTAGCCTGGGGCAAATTCTCAGCCTTGCTCACCAGCTGCCTGGAAATAAACTTGGTGCTGTTGAGGGGGCATGGTGGGAGTGAGACCGGCCTTTCACGGTGTGAGCTCTGTGGGAGCTGGGTGAGGCCTGTGGCTGCCAGCTTTTCCCACTTCACTGGCAACCTGTGTGATGCAGCAGAGGCAGCTATAATCCCCCTGGGAACATAACTCCATTGGCCTGGGAACCACACCCACATCCCCCACAGCAGATGCAGCAAGGAGAGTCTGAGCTCAGACATGCCTAACACTGCCCCTACCTGATGGTCTTTCTCTAGCCACCCTGGTAGCTGAAGAGAAAGGACATAACCTCTTGGGAGCTCTATGGCCCTGCCTACAACCTGAGAAACCTGAATACGTATCCAAAGGCAACACTAGGGAAAATTTGTATCCTCCCTATACTACCGCAGCTGATGAGCTCTTGAAAGAGCCACCTCCTGGCTGGCCACCAACCAACACAAAACTGGTGCACTCAACAAAATACAACTTAGAACCCTCACAGAGTCCACTTCACTTTCCTGCTACCTCCACCAGAGCAGGTGCTGGTACCCATGGTTAAGAGACCTGAAGATGTATCACATCACAGGATTTTTTGCAGACACTCCCCAGTACCAGCCCAGAGCCTGGTAGCTCCACTGGGTGTCTAGACCCAGAAGAGAAATAACAATCACTCCAGTTTGGCTCTCAGAAAGCCCCATCCCTAAGGGATAGGAGAGAGCATCACATCAAGAGAGGAGCCCGAGGGACAAAAGAATCTGAAGAGCAGCCCTTGAGTCCCAGACCTTTTCTCTGACATAGCCTACCCAAATGAGAAGGAACCAGAAAAACAATTCTGGTAACACAACAAAACAAGGTTTTTTAACACCCCCCAAAAAATCACACTAGCTCATTAACAATGAATCCAAACCAAGATGAAATCTCTGAATTGCCAGAAAAATAATTCAGAAGGTTGATTATTATGCTAGTCAAGAAGGCACCAGAGAAAAGTGAAGCTCAGCTTAAAGAAATAAAAAAAAAAGGATACAGGATATGAATGGATAAATCTCCAGTGAAATAGATAGCATAGATTAAAAAAAATCACAACTTCTGGAAATGAAGGACACACTTAGAGAAATGCAAGATGCATGGGAAAGTCTCCACAACAGAATGAAACAGGTAGGAGAAAGAACTTCAGAGCTTGAAGACAAGGCTTTCAAATTAACCCAATCCAACAAAGGCAAAGAAAAAATAATTTAAAAAATGAATAAAGCCTCCAAGAAGTTTGGGATCATGTTAAATGACCAAACCTAAGAATAATTGGTGTTCCTGAGGAAGAACAGAAATCTAAAAGTTTGGAAAATGTATTTGAGGGAATAATCAAGGAAAATGTCCCTGACCTAGCTAGAGATTCAGACATCCAATACAAGAAGCTCGAAGAGTACCCAGGAAATTCATCACAAAAAGATCATTGCCTGGGCACATAGTCATCAGCTTATCTAAAGTCAAGACAAAGGAAAGAATCTTAAAGCTGTGAGGCAAAAGCATCAGGTAATCTATAAAGGGAAACCTATCAGATTAACAGCAAATTTCTCAGCAGTAACTCTACAAGCTAGAAGGGATTAGGGTACTATCCTTAGCCTCCTTAAACAAAACAATTATCTGTCAAGAATTTTGTATCCAGTGAAACTAACCTTCATAAATGATGGGAAGATACAGTATTTTTCAGACAAAAAAATACTGAGAGAATTCACCACTACGAAGTCAGCACTACAAGAACTGCTAAAAGGAGCTCTAAATCTTGAAACAAATCCTCAAAGTACACCAAAATAGAATCTCCTTAAAGCATAAATCTCACAGGACCTATAAAACAATAACACAATGAAAAAAAGAAAACAAGGTATACAGGTAACAAATAGCATGACGAATAGAATAGGACCTCACATCTCAATACTGACATTAAATTTAAATGGCCAAAATGCTCCACTTAAAAGATACAGAATGGCAGAATAGACAAGAATTCATGAACCAAGTATCTGCTGTCTTCAAGAGACTCATCTGACACATAAAGACTCACATAAACTTAAGGGAAAGGGGTAGAAAAACATATTCCATGCAAATGGACACCAAAAGCGATCAGGAGGAACTAATCTTATATCCGACAAAACAAATTTAAAAGCAACAGCAGTTAAAAAAGACAAAGAGGGACATTATATAATAAAAAAAGACTAGCCCAACAGGAAAATATCACAATCCTAAATATATATGCAAGTAACACTGGAGTTTCCAAATTTATAAAACAATTACTACTAGATCTAAAAAATGAGATAGATGTCAACACAATAATAGTGGGGGACTTCAATACTCCACTGACAGCACTAGACAGGTCATCCAGACAGAAAGTCAACAAAGAAACAATGAACTTAAATGTTACCTTAGAACAAATGGATTTAACAGATATTTACAGAACATTCTACCCAACAACTGTAGAATATACATTCTATTCATCAGCACATAGAACATTCTCCAAGATAGATCATATGGTAGGCCACAAAACAAGTCTCAACAAATTTAAGAAAATTAAAATTATAGCAAGTACTTTCTCAAACAACAGTGGAATAAAATTGAAAATCAACTCCAAAAGGAACCCTTAAAACCATGCAAATACATGGAGATTAAATAACTTGCTCCTCAATGATTGTTGGGTCGAAAATGAAATCAATAATGAGATTTAAAAATTCTTTGAACTGAACGATAATAGTGACACAACCTATCAAAACATCTGGGACACCAAAAGCGGTGCTAAGAGGAAAGTTCGTACATTAAATGCCTACATCGAAAAGTCTGAAAGAGCACAAATAGACAATCTAACATAAAATCACACCTCAAGGAGCTAAAGAAGCAAGAATGAACCAAACCCAAACCCAGCAGAGAAAAAGAAATAACCAAGATCAGAGCAGAACTAAATGAAATTGAAACAAAAAAAAATACAAAAGATAAATGAAATAAAAAGCTAGTTCTTTGAAAAGATAAATAGAATTGATAGACCATCAGCAAGATTAACCAAGAAAAGAAGAGAGAAGATCCAATTAAGCTCAATTAAAAATGAAATGGGGGATATTACAACCAATACAACAGAAATACAAAAGATCATTCAAGGCTACTACAAACATCTTTACATGCATAAACTAGAAAACTTAGAGGAGATGGATAA
Organism: Homo sapiens; assembly: GCF_000001405.40. Lineage (NCBI taxonomy): Eukaryota > Metazoa > Chordata > Mammalia > Primates > Hominidae > Homo > Homo sapiens. The sequence continues at coordinate 152,691,704 of NC_000003.12, forward strand.
ATTCCTGGAAATATACAATCCTAGATTAAACCGGAAAGAAGCAGAAGCCCTGAATAGAGCAATAACAAGCAGCAAGATGGAAGTGGTAATTTAAAAGTTACCAAAAAAAAAAAAAAAAAAAAAAGTCCAGGACCAGAAGAATTCACAGCTGAACTCTACCAGACATTCAAAGAAGAATTGGTACCAATCTCAATGAAACAATTCCAAAAGACAGAGAAAGAGGAAATCCTCCCTAGATCATTCTGTGAAGCCAGTATCACCCTAATACCAAAACAAGGAAAACACATAAAAAAAAAAGAAAAGAAAACCATAGACCAATATCCTGATGAACATAGATGCAAAAATCCTCAACAAAATACTACCTAGACAAATCCAACACCATATCAAAAAGATAATCCACCATGATCAAATGGGTTTTCATATCAGGGATGCAGGGAGAGTTTGACATATGTAAGTCAATAAATGTGGTAGACCACATGAACAGAATTAAAAACAAAAATCACATGATTATCTCAATAGACACAGTAAAGGCATTTGACAAAATCCAGCATCTCTTTATGGTTAAAACCCTCAAAAAATCAGCATAAAAGGGACATAACTTAAGGTAATAAAAGCCATCTATGACAAAACCACAGCCAACATTATACCAAATAGGGAAAAGTAGAAAGCATTCCCCCTGAGAACTGGAAGAAGACAAGGATGCCCACTTTCACCCACTTCTATTTAGCCTAGTTCTGGAAGTCCTAGCCAGAGCAATGAGACAAGAGAAAGAAATAAAGGGCATCCAAATCAGTAAAGAGGAAGTCAAACTGTCACTGTTTCCTGATGACACGGTCGTATACCTACAAAACCCTAAAGAGTCATCCCAAAAGCTCCTAGAACTGATATATGAATTCAGCAAAGTTTCAGTTTACAAAATTAATGTACACAAATCAGTAGCTCTGCTATACACCAACAGTGACCAAACTGAGAATCAAATCAAAAAGTCAACTCTTTTACAATAGCTGCAAATAAAATAAATAAAATACTTAGGAATAAACCTAACCAAGGAGGTGAAAGGCCTCTACAAGGGAAACTATAAAACACAGCTGAAAGAAATCATAGATGTCACAAACAAATGAAAACATATTCCATGTTCATGGTTGGGTAAAACCATTATTGGGAAAATATCATACTGCCAAAAGCAAACTACAAATTCAATGCAATTCCATCAAAATACCATCACCATTCTTCACAGAACTAGAAAAACATTCTCAAAATTCATATGGAACCTAAAAAGAGCCCACATAGCCAAAGCAAGACTAATCAAAAAGAACAAATCTGGAGGCATCACACTGCCCTACTTCAAATTATGCTATAAGGCCATAGTCACCAAAACAGCATGGTACTGGTATAAAAATAAGCATATAGATTAATGGAACAGAATAGACAACCCAGAAATAAAGCCAAATACTTACAGTCAACTGATCTTTGACAAGGCAAACAAAAACATAAAGTGAGGAAATGACACCCTATTCAACAAATGGTGCTTGGATAATTGGCAAGCCACATGTAGAAGAATGAAACTGGATCCTTATCTTTGACCTTATAAAAAAATCAACTCAAGATGGTTCAAAGATTTAAATCTAAGACCTGAAACCATAAAAATTCTACAAGATAACATTGGAAAAACCCTTCTAGACCTCAGTTTAGACAAATACTTTATAACGAAGAACCCAAAAGCAAATGCAACAAAAACAAAGATAAATAGATGAGACTCAAACTGAAAAGCTTCTGCACAGGAAAAGAAATAATTAGCAGAGTGAACAGATAACCCACAGAGTGGGAGAAAATTTTTGCAAACTATACTTCTGACAAAGGACTAATATCCAGAATCTACAAAGAACCTAAACAAATCAGCAAGGAAAAAACAAACAATCCCATCAAAAAGTGGGCTAAGGACATGAATAGACAATTCTCAAAAGAAGATATACAAATGGAAAAAATGAAAAAATGCTCAACATCACTAATTATCATGGAAATGCAAATCAAAACACAATCTACAATGCGATACCACCTTACTCTGGCAAGAATGGCCATAGTCAAAAAATTTTTAAAAACTAATAGATGTTGGCATGGATGTGGTGAAAAGGGAACACTTTTACACTGTTGGTGGGAATGTAAACTAATACAACCACTATGGAAAACAGTGTGGAGATTCCTTAAAGAACTGAAAGTAGATCTACAATTTGATTCAGCAATCCCACTACTGGGTATCTGCCCAGAGGAAAAGAAGTCATTATACAGAAAAGATATTTGCACATACATGTTTATAGCAGCACAATTTGCAATTGTAAAAATACAGAACCAGCCCAAATGCTCCTCAACCAATGAGTAGATAAAGAAAATGTGGTATGTGTATATATATATATATGGAATATATATATATGGAATATATATATATGGAATATATATATATGGAATATATATATGGAATATATATATATGGAATATATATATTTGGAATATATATATATGGAATATATATATATTTGGAATATATATATGGAATATATATATGGAATATATATATGGAATATATATATTTGGAATATATGTATGGAATATATATATGGAATATATATATGGAATATATATATTTGGAATATATGTATGGAATATATATATTTGGAACATATATATATATGGAATATATATATTTGGAATATATATATATGGAATATATATATTTGGAATATATATATATGGAATATATATATTTGGAATATATATATATGGAATATATATATTTGGAATATATATATATGGAATATATATATTTGGAATATATATATATGGAATATATATATTTGGAATATATATATATGGAATATATATATTTGGAATATATATATATGGAATATATATATTTGGAATATATATATGGAATATATATGGAATGTATATATGGAATATATATATGGAATATATATGGAATGTATATATGGAATATATATATATTTGGAATATATATATGGAATATATATATATTTGGAATATATATATGGAATATATATATATTTGGAATATATATATGGAATATATATGGAATATGTATATATGGAATATATACATAGAACATATATATATTTGGAATATATATATGGAACAGATATATATATATATATCTATATATCTATATATATAGATATATATATATACACCATGGAATACTACTCCACCATAAAAAGGAATGAAATAATGGCATTTGCAGCAACCGGGATGGAACTGGAGAACATTATTCTAAGCGAGGTAACTCAGGAATGAAAAACCAAACATTGTTGTGTTCTCACTCATAACTGGGAGCTAGGCTATGAGGACGCAAAGACACAAGAATGATACAATGGACTTTGGGGACTTGGGGGAAAGGGTGGGAGGTGGGTGAGGGATAAAAGATTGGGTATAGTGTACACTGTTTGGGTAACGGGAGCACCAAAATCTCAGAAATCACCGCTAAGAAACTTATTCACGTAACCAAACACCATCTGTTCTCCAAAAACCTATTTAAATAAAAAGTAAATTATATTACTTTAAACAAATATTAAATAACCTTACAATGGACTCTAAGTGTTCAAGTGAAAGGAAGAATCACACATCTCTCACTTTAATGAAAAGCTAGAAATAAATGAATAAGCTTAGTGAGAAAGACATGTTGAAAGTTAAGATCGGCCAAAAGCTAAGTCTCTTGTGATGAACAGTTAGCTGAGATATGAATTAAAAGAAAAAAAGAGTTCTTGGAGAAAATTAAAAGCACCACTCCAGTGAACACAGGAATGATAGGAAAGCAAAACAGCCCTATTGCTGATATAAAGAAAGTTTTGTTGGCCTGGATAGAAGATCAAACAAGCCACAACATTCCCTTAAGCCAAACTCTAATCCAGAACAAGGCCTTAACTCTATTCAATTCTATGAAAGCTGAGAGAGGTGAGAAAACTGCAGGAGAAAAGTTGGAGGCTAGCAAAGGTTGGATCATGAGGTTTAAGCAGATGTTGTCTCCATACCATCAAAGTACAAGATGAAAGCAGGTGATAATATAGAAGCTGCAGCAAGTTATCCAGAAGATCTAGCTAAGATCTTTCCTGATTTGGAACAACTGATAAAGATTCAAAAGAAAAAGGAATTAAAAATGAAATTCTAAAAAACGATTTTAAATGTAAGCAATACTTGTTATTTTTCCCAGTTTAACATTTCTCCAGGAATGAAATTTAATGTTTTGAGCTGCCTTATAATGAAATGCATAAATAATTAGCATTTTGCCTCCAGAGGGTGATATTATCCAGCTAACTGGTGAAAGCACAATATTACATGTCATTTTAAATCAATCCCAAGTAGCTTTTTAAATGTAAGTCCCTAATTTTACAGCATCTTTATGTAAATTTTGGAAATAGATTTCTCTCCATCCTAGAAGAGCATCAAGTGTAATAAAGATTTTTAATGATATACCATCTGTTGTTAGAGCATATTATACAGACAAATGGATGTAAGTCTGGAAGTTACAAGTTGAGGGGCACTAAACGCATTTATTTGAGTACTATATTTTGAGTAGAAAGTGTCACATATGAAAATCACCCTCCTCATAAGTTTTCAGTCTTTGTTAAGTGCTACTACTAATGATGACATTGATGATGGTGTTGGGAGGAGAGTAAATGGTGATGCCAGTCTTGGGAAACATGTGTAAGACCCTCTCAGGAAATTGTTTTTAGAGAAACATAAGTTTGAAGCCATATCCAACCTTCTGCCCTCAAATGACATCACTAATTTTGTTGCATATCTTACACAGGAAATTCTCTCTAAGATAATTTTTGATGCTTCAAAAAATCAAATTTACTCCTTAAGACTGAATATTTGACACTTCTAAGGATATGTATAAAAATGTATTGTAGGTGCCAATGGAAGTTGAAAACTATGGCAATGACAGCATTATTGGAACTTAGCCTCCTGGGATGACCATTTTGTATGGGAAGACATTCAGATGGATGCTTTGATAAAAACTGCTACTTGTCCCCTATATCCATTTTCTTTTCATACATGGTAGTAGAATCCCTGATTTTTAGCTGGATACATGACTGCATGGAAGAAAGGCTACATTTCCTTGCCTCCTTCCAAACAAGATGAAATCATGTCACTTGGTTTTGGTCAATGGGATATAAGCAAAAGTGTCATGTGGCAACCTTGAATTTTCATTACTAGACAAACATCCATGCATTTTTTGCCCTTTCTTCTTTGTCCACATCTTTTTCCTACAGGCTGAAATGTGACAAAATAGTTGGACTGAAACAGTTACTTTGGCCCATGAGATGATCTTGAGATTGGAGGTCACATAAATAGTAGAGCAGCAAGAGATAGAATTCATATGCTTGAAACATTCATGGGATCCAGCCCTATGCAAGTCCTAGCCTGCATAACTTCAGACTTTTATGTAAGAGAGAACTAAGCATACCTCTTCTGCAAGTAACAGTCATTAGGTGCCTCAGCAACTCAAAAGGAACCTCACCCTATATAGTAAGTGTGAATAAGTTCCAGTGTGTTTGTTTAAAATATATACTTTTAGAATAACAGTAAAAACTCAATGTATAGTTTTAGAATAACAGTAAAAACAGAAGTGTTTTGTAATTTAATAAACTCAGTTATGCTTTATACTCATGTTTGTGTATTATCATTTAAATACTAATTTTCAAAAAACTTTGGGAGTTGGGAAAAATATTGGAGTACACTGAGGTAGCCAGGAATGGGAGTGGTGGTAAGGAGAAGCTGCATTCCAGATTTCCTCATACAGAGTTTAGGAGAGGATATGAGGCCTCTTGTGTTTTAACTGAAATCTAGAGTTGCTCAGTTCCCATTTGTTAATTCTATCACAAATATTTATTTGGTGACCATTGTGCTATAGGCAGTATTAGAGGGGATTACTATAGTGTAATGATTAAAACAGACAAGTTCTAAGTCCCATGGAAATTTTATTTTAGTGGGAGGACACAGATTGTAACGAGTAACCAAATAAATATATAATACGTGAGAGGTGATAAGCGTTATGTAGAAATTAAGCAGGATTAAGAGGTATAGTGGAAATGACTGTAGGTTAAGAGGGAAAGGGTGAAAATTCAGAGATGTTCTTTCAGTCAAGAACAAGGCAAGTATTAAATAAACTTATACTTAGGTCTACTGTTCTTAATATGTTCCAGCTCCTGCATGGTCCCTGTTGAGCACACACGAGCAAACAATGACCACCTTCTTCTTATCCCAAGAGCAATATGAAACTTGTGATAGTTAATACTGAGTGTCAACTTGATTGGATTGAAGGATACAAAGTATTCATCCTGGGTGTGTCTGTGAGGGTGTTGCTAAAGGAGATTAACAGTTGAGTCAGTGGGCTGGGAAAGGCAGACCCACCCTTAATGTGGGTAGGCACAATCTAATCAGCTGCAGTGTGACTAGAATATAAAACAGGCAGAAAAATATGAAAAAGAGACTGACCTAGCCTCCCAGCCTACATCTTTCTCCCATGCTGAGTGCTTCCTGCCCTTGAACATCAGACTCCAAGTTCTTCAGTTTTGGAACTTGGCCTGGCTCTCCTTGCTCTTCAGCCTGCAGATGGCCTACTGTGGGACCTTGTGATTGTGTGAGTTAATACTTCATAAACTCATATATATATATATATTCCATTAGTTCTGTCCCTCTGGAGAACCCTGATGAATACAACAATCATAAACTTGGAATCTCCTTAGAGCTTGGATTTTAGGATGAGAAAGAGGAGATCCAATATTTTTTCTCTGTTTCAGGTTACTTTTAAATTCAAACACACATCTTGACCATAACATTGGCCTTTTGTAAGATCCTAATCTGTGTTCACTATTATTATCCCAGAGATGATACCACTCTATTATCCCAGAGATGATGCTTTTATTTCTCATCACTTTTATCAACTTTGATGGATAGATTTTACAAATCTTTTGACACTGGGAAAGTAGTCCTATAACAAAAAGCACAGAATTCAAGGTGCAAAGAAAACTACATGTGTTTACAGGCATACCTCAGAGATACTGCAGTTTCAGTTCCAGACTACCACAATAAAGTGATTATCACAATAAAGTGGGTCAAATGAATTTTTTAGTTTCTCAGTAACTATAAAAGTTATGTTTACACTATACTATAGTCTATTAAGTGTTCAATAGCATTATGTCTTTAAAAATCTATGTATCTTAATTAAAAACACTTTATTGCTAAAAATGCTAATCATCAGCTAAGCCTTTAGCAAGTTGTAAAGGGTCTTTCTTCAATGCTGATAGCTGCTGATTAATCAGGGTGGTGGTTCTTGAAGATTGAGGTGACTGGCAATTTCTTAAAATAAGACAACAGTGATATTTGCCACATTGATTCACTCTTTAGTATATGAAAAATTTCTCTGTAGCTTGTGATGCTGTTTGATAGCCTTTTACCCACAGTAGAACTTCTTTCAAAATTGGAGTCAATCCTCTTAAACCCTACTGCTACTTTTTCATCTAAGTTTATGGAATATTCTAAATCATTTGTTGTAATTTCAACAATGTTCACAGCATCTTCACCAGGAGCAGATTCCATCTCAAGAAACCACTTTCTTTGCTCATCCACGAGAAGCAACTCTTTATCCATTCAAATTTAGCCATCTAGTCACATCATTAGACTTCACTTCTAATGTAGTTCTCTTTTTATTTTCACCTTTGCAGTTACTTCCTCCACTGAAGTATTGAACCTCTCAAAGTCACCCATGAAGGTTGGAATCAATTTCATTCAAGCTCCTGTTAATGTTGATATTTTGACCTCCTCTCATGAATCATGAATGTTCTTAATGACATGTAGAATGGTGAATTCTTTCCAGAAGGTTTTCAGTTTACTTTGCCCATATCCATCAGAGGAATTCCTATCTATGGCAGCTATAGCCTTAAAAAACATATTTCTTAAAATAATAAAACTCGAAAGCCCAAATTACTCCTTGATCCATAAGCTGCAGAATGGATGGTGTATTCGTCCATTTTCACACTGCTGATAAAACATACCCGAGATTGGGAAGAAAAAGAAGTTTAATTGGATTAATAGTTCCACATGGCTGAGGAGGCCTCAGAATCATGGTGGGAGGTGAAAGACACTTCTTACATGGTGGCAGCAAGAGAAAATTAGGAAGAAGCAAAAGCGGAAACGCCTGATAAACCCATCAAGTCTCATGAAACTTATTCAATATCATGAGAATAGCTCAGGAAATACCGGACCCCATGATTCCATTACCTCCTCCTGGGTCCCTCCTACGACACACGAGAATTCTGGGAGATACAATTCAAGTTGAGATTTGGGCGGGAACACCACCAAACCATATCATATCATTCTGCCACTGTCCCCTCCAAATCTCATGTCCTCACATTTCAAAACCAATCATGCCTTCCCAACAGTCCCCAAAAGTCTCATTTCAGCATTAACCCAAAAGTCTACAGTCCAAAGTCTCATCTGAGACAAGGCAAGTCCCTTCCGCCTATGAGCCTGTAAAATCAAAAGCAAGCTAGTTACTTCCGAGATACAATGAGGGTACAGGTATTGGGTAAATACAGGCTTTCCAAATGGGAGAAACTAGCCAAAACAAAAGGGTTACACAGCCCATGCAAGTCCAAAATCCAGTGCAGCAGTCAAATTTTAAAATTCCTTTGACTCCATGTCTCACATCCAGGTCATGCTGATGCAAGAGATGAGTTCCTATAGTCTTGGGCAGCTCCACACCTGTGGCTTTGCAGAGTACGGCCTCCCTCCCAGCTGCTTTCATGGGCTGGTATTGAGTGCCTGTGGCTTTTCCAGGTGCACGGTGCAAGCTGTCAGTGGATCTAGCATTCTGGGGTCTGGAGGATGGTGGCCCTCCTCTCACAGCTCCACTAGGCAGTGCCCCAGTAGGGACTCTGTGTGGGGGCTATGACCCCACATTTCCCTTCCTCACTGCCCTGGCAGAAGTTCTCCATGAGGGCCCCGCCCCTGCAGCAAACTTTTTTCTGGGCATCAGGCCATTTCCATACATCTTCTGAAATATAGGTGGAGGTTCCCAAACCTCAATTCGTGACTTCTGTGCACCTGCAGGCTCAACACCATGTGGAAGCTGCCAAGGCTTGGGGCTTCCACCCTCTGAAGCCACAGCCTGAGCTGTACATTGGCCCCTTTCAACCATGGCTGCAGCAGCTGGGACACAGGGCACCACGTCCCTAGGCTGCACACAGTACGGGACCTTGGGTCCAGCCCATGAAACCACTTTTTCCTCCTGCTTCTCCAGGCCTGTGATGGGAGGGGCTGCTGTGAAGGTCCCTGACATGGCCTGGAGATATTTTCCCCATGGTCTTTGGAATTAACATTAGGATCCTTGCTATTTATGCAAATTTCTGCAGCCAGCTTGAATTTCTCCCCAGAAAATGGGGTTTTCTTTTCTATCTCATTGTCAGGCTGCAAATTTTCTGAACTTTTATGCTCTGCTTCCCTTATAAAACTGAATGCCTTTAACAGTACCCAAGTCACCTGTTTAATGCTTTGCTGCTTAGAAATTTCTTCCATCAGATACCCTAAATCATCTCTCTCAAGTTCAAAGTTCCACAAATCTCTAGGGCAGGGGAAAAATGCCACCAGTCTCTTTGTCAAAACATAACAAGAGTGACCTTTGCTCCAGGTCCCAACAAGTTCCTCATCTCCATCTGAGACCACCTCAGTCTGAACCTTATTGTCCACTATCACTATGAGCATTCTGGGCAAAGCCCTTCAGCAAGTCTCTAGAAAGCCCCAAACTTTCCTACATTTTTCATTCTTTTTCTGAGCCCTCCAAACTGTTCCAATCTCTGCCTGTTACCCAGTTCCAAAGTCACTTCCACATTTTCAGGTATCTTTTCAGCAACACCCCACTCTACTGTTACCAATTTACTATATTAGTCTGTTTTCACACTGCTGATAAAGACATATCTAAGACTGGGAAGAAAAAGAGGTTTAATGGGACTTACAGTTCCACATGGCTGGGGAGGCCTCAGAATGATGAGGGGAGGTGAAAGACACTTCTTACATGGTGGAAGCAAGAGAAAATGATGAAGAAGCAAAAGAGGAAACCCCTGATAAACCCATCAGATCTCGTGAGACTTATTGACTATTATGAGAATAGCATGGGAAAGACCAGCCCCCATGATTCAATTATCTCCTCCTGGATCCCTTCCATAACTCTTGGAAATCTGGGAGGTACAATTCAAGTTGAGATTTGGGTGGGGACACAGCCAAACCATATCAGATAGTTTGTGAGCAGGCATGAAAACAGCATTAGTCTTCTTGTACAGCATTAGTCTCCATCAGAGCTCATAGTTGACCAAGTGCATTATCAATGAGCAGTAATCTGCTGAAAGAAATCTTTTTTTCTGATCAGTATGTCTCAACAGTGGGTTTAAAATATTCAGCAAAGCCTGCTGTAAACAGATATGCTGTCATTCAGGCTTCATTATTCCATGGATGGAGCACAGGCAGAGTAAGTTGAGCATAATTTTTAAAGGTTCTGGGATTTTCAGAATGGTAAATAAGCTCTGTCCCCAACTTAAAGTCACCAGCTGCATTAGCCCCTAACAAGAGAGTCAACCTGCCCTGTGAAGCTCTGAAGCCAGACATAGACTTCTTTCTAGCTATGAAAATCCTAGATGGCACCTCCTTCAAATAGGAGGCTGTTTGTCTACATTAAAAATTTGTTGTTTAGTGTAGTGATAATCATCAATGATCTTAGTTAGATCTTCTGAATAACTTGCTGCAGCTTCTACATCAGCACTTGCTTCATCTTGCACTTTGATGTTATGGAGACAGCTTCTTTCCTTATGAACTAGCTTCCTCTTCTAGCTTCCAACTTTTCGTCTGCAGTTTCCTCACCTCTTTTAGCCTTCATGGAATTGAAGAGAATTGAAGCCTTGTTTGGGATTAGGGTTTGGCTTAAGGGAATGTTGTGGCTTGTTTGATATTCTATCCAGACCAATACAAGTTTCTCCATACAAGCAATAAGGCTGTTTTGCTTTCTTATCATTCCTGTGTTCACTGGAGTAGCACTTTTAATTTTCTTCAAGAATTTTTTTTTTTTTGCATTCACAAATTAACTAATTGTTTAGCACAAGAAACCTAGCTTTTGGCCTATCTTAACTTTTAACGTGCCTTTGTCACTAAGCTTAATAATTTATTTCTAGCTTTTGATTTAAAGTGAGAGGTGTGTGACTCTTCCTTTCACTTGAACACTTAGACTTCCTTTCACTTGAACATTGTAAGGTTATTAAATCACTCAATTTCAATATTGTTTCTCCAGGAACAGGGAGGCCCAAGGAGAGAGTGAGAGATGAGAGAATGGCTGGTGCAGCTGTCAGAGCACACACAACATTTACATATTAAGTTTGCCATTGTACATAGGTGTGGCTTGTGATGTCCCAAAACAATTGCAATGGTAACATCAAAGATCGCTGATTACAAATCACTAGAACAGTTATAATAATAATAAAAAATTTTGAAAATATTGCAAAAATTACCAAAATGTGACATAGAGGCAGGAAGTGAGCACACGCTGTTGGAAAAAATGACTCCAACAGACTTGCTCAACACAAAATTGCCACAAACCTTTAATTGGTTAAAAATGCAACATCTTTGAAGCACCTTAAAGCAAAAAAAATAAAACGAGGTATGCCTGTAGTGGTCATGCCATCCTACTCACTACCCAGATGTGGTTGAGCAAGTCACTAAGCTCATTTCTCCATATGTAAGATGAGACAACATTGACAAGCTTTAGTAGTTAAATGATATCTTTCCAGTGGAGGAATGTGAAATTACTAAAAGACCCTTGACACTGGCAGTTATTATTATATCTATTGTTCTCTGAAGGACCAGGGAAAAGGACATTTTAGGGTGTTGAAATTCCTTGAAGCTCATGTGAATGCTGTGTGGGCAGGAAGAGCAGCAGCTTCTGGTAGGCAGAGTTTGAGTAAGCACATATTTGTTTAAACTTGTTTCCTTAATTTACTACAGCTATTACTCTCTGCCAGTAAGCACATATTTTTAACATTCTAGGAATAATTGTGAATTAAAGGGAAATTTGTGGAACATACACCTATCTTCGTATTTCATATTTCTATACATATGTATTAAATATTTGTCAACAAAAATGAAACGCAAGTATCTAAAAACAAAATTAGAAGATAATATCTAGCCAGGTGGAAAATTGCATCATATGTGACAAACAAGGTAAATAATCCCCAGCATAGAGGAAACTTTTAGACATGATTATGGAAGAGGTATATATCCCAAGAAAGTTAAGAAAGTATCTGAATTCACAATTTAAATAAAGGGCATATATGAGATATACGAGAAATGTTCAGATATATGGGAAATTTTCTTCTTCATTGATTATCAAAGAAAAGAAATTTACAGGTATGAGATGCTTTTTTTTTCTATTTGCAAAGATTTTACAAAAATTTATTTTGAAGGCTGGGTGCAATGGCTCATGCCTGTAATCCCAGCACTTTGGGAGGCCAAGGCGGATGGATCGCTTGAGGCCAGGAGTTCCAGGCTAGCCTGGCCAACGTGGTGAAACTCCGTCTCTACTAAAAATATACAAATTAGCTGAGCATGGTGGCACACACCTGTAATCCCAGCTACTTGGGAGGCTGAGGCACAAGAATCATTTGAACTCAGCAGGCGGATATTGCAGTGAGCCGAGATCATACCACTGCACTCCAGCCTGGATGGCAGAAGGAGACTCTGTCTTAAAAAAAAAATTGTTTGTAAAGCAGTATGTGTTCAAGAGAAGGGAGAAATGGACATTTTTGTATACTGCTGGTAGGTGTATGAATTGGCATAGCTAGAGAGAATTTCGTGATATGAACAAAAAGTCATCAAAATGTTCAAATGATCAAAAAGACTTGAAAATGGAACTCTTTTGTTTTATTTCTATAAATTTATCTAGTTAGAAATAATACAAAATGCACGCAAAGTTTTATAAACCTGGATATTCATCAGAGTATTTTTTAGAAAAGAAAAGAAAGAAATCAAAATACCTAACCACAGGGTATTGATAAAATGAACTATGTGATTAATAGTAAAGCCACTTAATGGTATGGAAAATTTCTTTAAAATATTGTTAATATACATAACATATAGTCACTAAATGAATGCATGGAGAGATATATTCAAAAAATGATGCGAGAGTCAATGAGCTGTTTTTCTTTATATTGAATTATAAATATTCCAATTAATTTATCTGCAATAAATATGCATTCATTTATAATTATAAATAAATCCCAACGAAAGTAATTTATTTGTTTTAAAAACTATTAAATACTGGGACCTAGGGTAGAAAATTCTACTCTCTAAATGTGCTTCCTTTCTCTGAAATTTATATACCATTCAGTGGCTAATGTGAGTTCTTTGTGGGTCAGGAGAGGTTAAATATTTCAAATTAAATACAGCAGAATTTGTCTTGGTTTAAAGGGTCATTTTGAGATACACATTGTGTCAATTCAAAGATCTGACAATTTCCCCCTGTCAAGGAGTCTCTCCTGCCATCATCCTTCCCTGAATGTGTTCAGGATGCAGAAGGAATACCATATGTCTAGGATGAGAGAGTCTTCTCCAGGTTGGTCTATGAATACACTGTCTTGTGCCACTGATTTCTGAGTATTGGCCTCTCTTTTAATTTTATTATTACTCAGATATGGTAAAGCCAACAGATCAATAGGTAATTCCCATTGAAAAGATAGTTTGTTACTCACAGTTCCAAGAGAAGGGGACACGTCACTTCACATGGGTGGCCACATGGGTAAGTACCAGGGTCAGGAGGTAAGGGAATTGAGGAAAAAGCAAGGGCAAGAGCCATTATTATGATATCTGAGGGAAGAAGTGGATGAGGTAGGGTAAGCAAGCTTAGGATTGGCTGGTTTGAATAATGTCAGCAGCCTCTAGGTTTAGGTGCTATTTCTAGTTATTTGGCACCTGGTGGTGAGGTGGTTAGGGCAGGGGGATAGTGGCCCTGAATGTAAGAGTTTAATAGAAATGGTTGGGGATGTAGGCATTGGATTGGTTGGTTTGCATATGAAAGGTGCACTTGCATGCAGCAAGCCCTTTACCATCTCTAGAAACTGGCTAGCCTTTGGAAGGGCAGACTCTCCAGGGTTAGCAAGGCCCCAGATGTGAAAACACCAGAAACACATGGTTAGTTCAGCCTTTCTTCCTGCACCAATCCCTAATAGAACTTCCCTTTCCTAATCTCCAAGTAGCTGATAACTCCAACACCCGTGGATCCTACGCTTAACTCACAAGGTTGCACCTCCTGCCAGTTTCTTGCCTGGATTTGCCTCTTCTGGCCCCTGGTTCTCTTGACGCTTTCACTTCACCTTATGTGGGACTGGGGCAGTTGCAGAATCTTCTGCTAACACCACATATGCCTAGGAAACTGAGGCCTGAATTCAGGCTTTCTGCTTAACCACCGACAATAAATTTTGTTCCTTTTCTGTAGTCCAGCAAATACTGGAGTCCTATACTGGTGGTAGTATTGACCCAAAGTAGCAAAGTCAAGATGACACAAACACCTCTGCTTTGGAAATCTCCCTCAGCTGTGTTTCTGGAGAACAGATATTTGGGTCTGATCTCCTGACTTTCTTTCCTCTCGTCCGGCCCTTTCTTTCTCTCCACTCCACCCTTTCCAATTTATCTCGTCCTCTAAACACCAGGAGAGCTTTCCTCTTTCCTGATAACATCCTTATTTCTCCATACTCTACACCTTATAAAAGCAACACTGCGGCTGGAGTCACCTGGGGCTGGCTTTTATTATTGAAGCTGTGAAAAGTCCAAGAGTTAGGTTTCACTGCTGACGTTAAACACAATGGTTTAGTGTATGTTACGGACGGACGTTTGTCCCCACAGTCTTCATATATTGAAACCCTAACCCTCATTGTGATGGTATTTGGAGATGAGTTCTTTGAGCACTGATTAGTTTTAGATTAGGTCTTGAAGATGGAGCCCTGGTCCAATAGCATTAGTGGCGTTATAAGAAGAGACATCAGAGTGCTTGCTTGCTTTCCATAAGCTCTCACTAAGGAAAGGCCATGTGAGCATACTGCGAGAATTCAGTTCTCTGCAAGCATGGAAGAAAAGGTCCTCACCAGAACTTGATCATTCTGGCACCTGATCTCAGACTTCTGGCCTCCAGAACTGCGAGAAAATAAGTGTCCATTGTTTAAACCTCCCAGACTGTGGTGTTTTGTATAGCAGCCTGCACAGATTAAGGCAGTATGTTGAAGTATATTATTCTTGCTACAATCTCATCCTAGTAAATTTTGCATGCCCACAAAGGACATTTAGCTCACCTGTATATCTTTCCTTTCCAGAAGAAAAATTTCTCAGGCTCTGTTATTCTTATCTCTTTAAGTTGATCGAGGGAAACTTTGGTACTGTGCAAAGTCCTCACCTTTCTCTGATAAAGGATGTTAACACTTTTCTCAGAGTGCTGAGCTTCTTTCTATTCCTAGCTCCATGCTTATCCTTTCAGGTGCCCTCCTTTACCAATGGGAAGCTTAGCCAAAACTACAAGCAATGCTTCCCCTGAGGTGGTATAAAGTATGGATAAGGCTTGCAGTCCTGGGGTGGAGGCATTTAGCAGCGGTCAGATGAAAGTCAGCAGGGCAGCCCCAGCCCAAATCTCCCACTGTGCTTCCCATTTGCCCAAGTCACTGTCTAATGTCTGGCCCTCAGTCACTGATTGAAGAGGGATAAATGTACAGATGGAGCCTCAGGGACCATTTCATCTTTCCTGCGATCTTACCAGCAGATGGTAGCTTCCACGTATGCATTGAGGTTTCACTTTCTGGCTCAGCTACAGTCTTCTATTTCAAAATAGTCTGCAAATATGCCTGAGGTCTCAGTGCATCTCCCTGAGCTGCTACTTCTGAAATTAAATTCTTCTCAAAAGAGTTGTTTGAAAGTTTAGACTCCATGTCAGGGGACTAAAAGATGACTTTCCAAATCCCTGTCTCTTTTGTTTCCCATATAGGTGACCCTGTATCTGGTTTTGCATATGGTTGTATTCACAGAATCTTGACCATCACCTAAATATGACATGGCTTCTGAATTCGGGTCTATTTTAGGTATAATACATTTTGACCCCTACATGTTGTAGTTTCAATATTTGCATATTAATATACAGATATAAAGTAGCCCAAATTTTCATTTTTTATTAAGTGAAAAAACAATAACAAAATTTGAGCAGAATATACACATATATATCCACATTTAGAGCCATCATAGCAAACCTGCAGAACATCAAAACTAAAGCAAAAACATTAAAAGATATCAGAGGAAAAAACTAAATTCATCTGAATGAATGAAGAAAGGAATGAAGTTTGAACCTTGGAAACGTTACACAGTTAGCTATCATTCAAGAATTGAATAATAAATGCAGATATGGAAGGCCAAGATAATTTACCATTCATGACTCTTACTGAAATAGTTAATAAGGGAAGTAGTTCAAAACGAAGAAAAGCAAATCATCACAGAAGAAATGGAATATAGGAAACAATGAAAAGAACAGAAATTTTCAAATATGCTGGCAAAAATAATAACAGAATGTCATATGTTTTGAAAAATATAAAACCAGAGGAAAAAAACTAATAAATAGTTTAGGAACTATTATCTGTCTATATGCAAATAGTTTGACCAATTGATGTTTGACTTTTAATTCGTTATTGTGGCTTTTTTTTTTTTTTTTTTTTTTTGTGAGTTGGCGTCTCACTCTTGTTGCCCATGCTGGAGTACAGTGGTGTGATCTCAGCTCACTGCAACTTCCGCCTCCCAGGTTCAAGTGCTGCCTCCCGAGTTCAAGCGATTCTCCTGCCTCAGCCTCCCAAGTAGCTGGGATTACAGGCACCCACCACCACACCCGGCTAATTTTTGTATTTTTAGTAGAGACGGGGTTTAACCATGTTGGCCAGACTTGTCTTGAACTCCTGACCTCAGATGATCTGCCCACCTCGGCCTCCCAAAGTGCTGGGATTACAGGCGTGAGCCACCACACCCGGCCTACTGTGTTTTTGACTACACTAACACTCCACATTTTTGTAGGGTAAATCTACCAACCTTCTCCTTTATGCCTTTTTAAAATTTTGATACATTATTTGGAAATTGTTTCTGGTACTCCAAGGTTATGAAAACTTTAATTTTTAAGAACTTATGTTGTTCTCCTATTTATAAAACTAAGAGGCACAGGAATCTACTAGTGTAGGAAATAAGAATATCCTTACACACTGAAATACAGGACAGGAGACATATTAAAGAAGAAAATTATAATTTTAAGGATTATGAGGCTAGAAAGAGATGAGATTTTGTTATAAAACCTTGAAGATTATTACAAAGAATTTAAATTTACACTGTATATTGCAAGTAAGGATACTAATTATTTCTTCTAGTTTACTGAGAGGTTGCTCTGTCTCCAAAGGGAGAACAATACCATCAATAGTCTCACTGGTAGGGTATTTTTAATTAGAGATTGACAGCATCAAATGTGACAAGACATTGTGTCTACTTTCTTTTTTTCAGATATTTTAGATTGTATTTTTAAGTGCTACAGAACAGCTTAAATGTGTAATGGAATTATTGGGTTGGAAAAAGTTCCAATTTGATGACAGTTGATTGAAGCAAAAGGTTAATTTTATTAAAGGCACATGTAGCTATCTACTCCAAAAAAAAAAAACCCCAAAAAGCTCCTTCCTCATCTTCAGATCAAAATTATACTTTTTTCCAAAGTGTGGATTGTGGGCCACTTTCATATGTATTATATATATGGCAACTAAAGTAAATTAAATTACAGAATATGGGCAAAAATATTTTCTGAATTTGCATGTATTTCCTGATGTATTGAGTGCACATTGTGGGACGAAAGGAGCACAGCCTTTGAGTCCAGATGGCCCCGGATTAGAGTTGCCAGATTTCACGAATAAAAATACAGGATGCCCAGTTATATTTAAATTTCAGATAAACAATGGATAGTTTTTTTGTGTCTGTCCCATGCAATATTTGATCAGGAAATGCTATTCTGGATTTAAACCCCAGCTCCACCTTTCCCTGCTGCATGACTAGGAAGTTACCTATTCTCTCAGACCTCAATCTTCACTTGACAAGTAGGAAGAATAATAGCTATTTTCATGTGGTTGTAAGTCTTTAAATACATTTTGCATGCAAAATACTTGAACAATACAAAAAATATGATTGCTGCTTAAGAAATGTTGTATTCTTTCCCCTCTTCTGAGACTCAATGTAGCTACAGGGAAAGAGCTGCAGCTATAAATTCACAGTCCTTTATGTCAAAAAAATATGTAAATCAGCAATTGATAAATTAATGATTTGGATATTGCCAGCCAGTGACTTAAAAGTTTGGAGGGTCAACAGGGCCTAGATTATTGCTCCAAATAGAATTTTTGATTCCCCATCCCCATCTAATTGTCTCACCAATTTTCTAACTTCAATAAAAGATATAATAATCTGTCTAGTGTCCAAGCTAAAACCTAGGAGGAACTCAATATGATCTCAATCAAAATAAGTAAATGTTTCCATAAAAACACAAAGGATATTAAAAATCCAAAACAATTTTGAAAAATAATGGAGCATACCTAACATTCAAATCTTGATTTTTAGTACTATTTTCCAATAAAAGGAACCAGAAGTCCTTGGAGAAATGGCTGGTTCTTGGACTAACACGGGGAATACACTAGATGAACCTGGAACATCTTGCTGTGCTGGAAAGTAAGAAGTGCTAAAAAAAAAACAAACCCACAAACAGCACAATGTCTTTGGGGGTATGTGAAAAAGACACAGGAGCCAACAGAAAGAGCTTCCAATGGCCAAAGCTGGAACAATTTGAACAACAAATAAAACAGTATTGGACTGTAACCCAAAGCATAAAATAAATATTCATGAGTTACTATTATAAGTACATGATTGAATAAATAAATAAATAAATGGGAAGAAGAGTCAAATTTCCCTTTCATGATTCCAAATAATTTATGTAGATACTCCACTCTCAAGGAGGCGGAAGACAACCCCCGCCTCCTTAATAGTGACTTCCTTCCAAACAGTACAGTATGGAAAGAAGGAAAAAGAGTAATTTATGTTGAAGAGACCTGGCAAACCCTATCTTACTTAGCCAGGCTATCGAGGTCAATATGAATGGTAATAAATTATATTGGTACTATGCATGCCTCATATGATGTGATGAAAATGCCACTTTACTTCTGTGATCTTGCTCCCAAAACCCCATAACCCTAATCTAAACATGACTTTAAAAGAACAAATTGAAATACAAGGGCATCCAACAAAAAATATTTAACCAATACCTTATGAAACTATCAAGGTCATCAAAAAAGAAAAGTCTGAAAAGCTGGTACAACCGAGAAGAGTCTAAGGAGATATGACAAGCAATGTCATATGGTGTCCTGGAAAAAAAAAAAAAAAAGGCAAACCTAGGTAAATGTGAAAAAAGTGTGGACCTTAGTTAACAACAGTGCATCAATATTGATTCATGAACTGTGGCAAATGAGTTTTAACACATGTATGAAACTATCTAACTACCACCACAATCAAGATACAGAATATTTACATCACTTAAGAGTTTCTTCTGTAAACTTTTAGAGTTAATTCTCCCCATCCTATCCCTGATCCCTTCCACTCCAAACACTAATCCGTTGTCTGTCACTATAGTTTGCAAACTGTGTCATCTTGCAAAATGGAACGTATGACCTGCAATTCTATTCTCCTATACTGATGTAAGATGTCAATAATATGGAAAAGTGGGTGCAGGGTATATGAAACCTCTCTGTACTCTTCTCAGTTTTCCTGAAAACCTAAAATTGTTCCACAAACTGAGAGAAAAAAGTTGAGGACTCTCAGTATCTGATTTCAAGATTTATTATACAATTACAATTGCAATAAACAAGACTATACAATTGGCATAAAGATAGACATAGTAATCAATGGAACAGAATAAAGCCCAGAAATAGACCCCCACATAAACAATCAATTAATTTCTTTTCTTTTCTTCTTGTTAATAAAAGTGCTAATGTAATGGGGGAAAAGATAGTCTTTTCAAAAATAGTTTTGGAACAACTGGATATCCATATCAGAAAAAAATAAGTATCATTACCTCACACCTTACACAGAACTAACTAGGTATGAATCATAGACCCAAGATAAAAGCTAAAACTGTCTTCTAAAGAAAACATAGAAGAAAATATTTGCAACCTTGAGGTAAGCAAATTTTTTAGGACAACAAAAAGCATTAGCTATTAGAAAAAAAGTAATGTTAATTGAACTTAACCAAAATTAAAAACTTTTGGTCCTCAAAAGACACAATTAAGAAAACAAAAATGCTCTCAGACACAGATGGGGAAAAAATATTCACAATACCTACATAATAAGACAAAAAGAAAAAAAGTAAGTGTAGGGAAAGTAAACAGTTTTAAAAGATAATATATGAATGGCCAATAATGACATTAAAAATGCTAAACATTATTAGCCATCACAAAAATATAAATTATATATATACTAGAATAGGTAAAGTTAAAAAAGATTGACAATAGCAAATGTTGACAAAGATGGGAGCAAGAGGAATTCTCATACATTATTGATGAGAATGTAAAATGATACAACTTTGGAAAACTGTTTAGCAGTTTCTTGAAAAATGGAACATATGACCTAGCAATTCTATTCCCAGGCTTACATTTATTCAAAATGTAATTTTAAAAAGTTTTATGAAAAGATTTGTACTCAAATTTTTTTCATAAAAAAAGTTATATGAAAAGACTTGTACACCAATGTTTCTGGCAGCTTTATTCAAAATAACCAAATACTGTAAAAAGTCCAAATATTCATCAATTAGTAAATGGATAGTGAATTTTGTTATAGCCATACAATGGAATAGCATGCTACAGTAAAATAAACAAGCTCTAGATTCATGTAACAACATGGTTGAGGCTTAAAAACATTTAAGCTGCCAGGCACGGTGGCTCATGCCTGTAATCCCAGCACTTTGGGAGGTCAAGGCCAGGTGGATCACCAGCTCAGGCGTTTGAGACCAGCATGGTCACTATGCTGAAACCCCGTCTGTACTAAAAATACAAAAAAATTAGCTGGGAGTGGTGGTGCAGGCCTGTAGTCCCAGCTACTCAGGAGGCTGAGGCAGAAGAATCGCTTGAATCCGGGAGGCGGAGGTTGCAGTGAACCGAGATTGCCCCACTGCACTCCAGCCTGGGCAACAGAGAGAGACTCTGTCTCATAAATTAATTAATTAACTAATTTAAGCTAAGGGAAAGACACCAGACACAAAAAGTATGTACTTGTATAATTCCATTTACATGAAATACCAGGCTGGGAGTGGTGGCTCATGCCCTTAATCCCAGCACTTTGAGAGGCTGAAGCAGGCGAATCATGAGGTCAGGAGTTCGAGACCAGCCTAGCATGGCAAAACCCCGTCTCTACTAAAAATACAAAAAATTAACCGGGTGTGGTGGCAGGTGCCTGTAATCTCAGCTACTTGGGAGGCTGAGGCAGGAGAATTGCTTGAACCAGGAGGCGGAGGTTGCAGTGAGTGTGTAGCAGGACGAGCCGCAGACAAAACTCCTCAGACACCGAGTTAAAGAAGGAAGGGGTTTATTCGGCTGGGGGCATCGGCAAGACTCCTGTCTCAAGAGCCCAGCTCCCCGAGTGAGCAATTCCTGTCCCTTTTAAGGGCTCACAACTCTAAGGGGGTGCGCATGAGAGGGTCGTCATCGATTGAGCAAGCAGGGGGTACGTGACTGGGGGCTGCAAGCACCGATAATTAGATCGGAACAAAATAGGATAGGGATTTTCACAGTGCTTTTCTATACAATGTCTGTAATCTGTAGATAAAATAACTGATTAGGTCAGGGGTCGATCTTTAACTACCAGGCCCAGGGTGTGGCGCTGGGCTGTCTGCTTGCGGATTTCATTTCTGCCTTTTAGTTTTTACTTTTTCTTTCTTTGGAGGCAGAAATTGGGCATAAGATAATATGAGAGGTGGTCTCCTCCCTTAAGTGGAGATCAGGCCATTGCACTCCAGCCCGGGCAACAAGAGCGAGACTCAGTCTCTAAATAAATCAATAAATTCAGAACTGGCTAGTGTTTGGAGCTGAAGGGATCAGGGGCAAAGTGGGGAGAATTAAGTCTAAAAGTTTACAGGAGAAACTCTTAGGTGATGTATATTTTCTGTGTCTTGATTGTGGTGGTAGTTACACAGTTTCATAATTTGTTAAAACTCATTGAACTGTACACTTACAAGTGTTGCATTATATGTAAATTATATCTCAAAAAGTTGATTTAGAAAGAAAAATGTATATACTGTGTGGTTAAGTATGCAGTTTATAGATTCAAATCACAGCTCTGCCACCTACTGTCTGTGTGACTTTAGTCTTGTCACTTAACATTTTCATGCCTTAGTAAGCTTAAATGGGGCTAACAATAGTACTTGTCCCATAGGATTGTTATGAGGGTTAAATGAGTTAATAAATGTGTGTGAAGTGATTAGAGGCAGCCTGGCACACAGCAAATTCTAAATAAGGAACAGCTGCTCTCATTACCCTTTGTTTTTCTCTTCTTTAACATCCTCATTCAATTCATCTGAAAATCCTATCACTTCTACTTGCAAAATATATCTGACATTTTTCTCCATCTTTTACTACTACTGCAAATAGCCTTTAAATTTATCTCTTTTATATTCATTCTTGCCCCCTTTCTCTGCCAAGTGGTTTTTAAAAATATAAATGAGTTCATATTACTCCCTTGCTAATATCTTTCACTGGTTTTCCTTAGCACCTCAATAAACTTCTAAACTTTTTATCATCACCAGTGTGGCCATTCCTGAGAGCCTGTCTATGCATTCTTCATCACTCCTCCCAGGCCTCCAGCTACATTGGACACTTTTATTTTTCTAGTCTTGGAATTCATTAAACTCCTTCATGTCTAAGGCCTCTGCACCAGCTGGTCCTTCTTCCTGGAACCCTCTTCATCCAGGTCTTTGAATGACTGACACATTTTTCAGCTCTCAGCTTGAAATGTCAACTCTTCAGAGAATATTTTCTGGACAACACAAATAGAGGAGTTGCCCATGTGCAGTATGATATTAATCTATCGTATTAAATTTCTACAAATGCTTTACTTTGAAACAATTAAAAACTTACAGAAGAGGTAATACTGTAGAAAGGAATTTATCCTTGAACTACTTGAGAGTAAGACTGTGACATGATGACCCAACCATTTCCTGTGATTTTAGTGCGTATTTTCTACAAACATAGACGGTCTTCTAAATAATCACAATACAAGTAACCTCAGAAAATTAAAATTAATACATTACTACCATTTAATTGTTTGGCTCTATTCACATTGTCCCAATAATATCTTTTATAACAAATAGATGCAGTTCAAAGTCATGCAATGTATTTAGTTGTCTGTAGTCTTTTTGATCGGAAAAGTTTCTAACTCTTTCCCTGACTTTCATGACCATATTCTTTAAGATTATAGGCCAGTTATTTTGTAGAATGTCCCTCAGTTTGGGTTTGCATGATATTTCCCTATGATTAGATTGAATTATGCATAATTGGCAGAAATATCACAGAAATGCTGCTGTGTTCCTCTCATTGCATCCTCTCAGGTGGCAGATGGGTTGGATTCTGCTGTTTATAAGCGATGTTCACTTTGATCACTTGATGAAGGTGGTGTCTGCCGGGCTTCTTCACTATAAAGTCACTCATTTCCCCTTGTAATTTGTAAGGATTTTGGGGAGAGGTACTTTGAAAGTATAAATATCATTTTCCTTGTTGAATTTCCAGTTTTTTCATTTATTGATTTATATCTGTATCAATGAATGGTTCTCTATTTTATTTAACACGTTTTCACCCATTACTATCACTATTTATTTTGATGCTGCAATTGTCCCAGATTTGGCTATTAGGAGCCTCTTCAAGCTGACTTATTTTCCCTTTTGAGATATTATCATCATCATTTGAGTCTCTCTTTGATTTCTGGCACAATAAGATGCTCCGGACTCATCTTGTACTTTCCCTACCCAGGCCCTGGAATTAGCCATCTTTTCAAAGAGACTTTTCTTTTGGCAGAAAATTGTATTTAGAATCCAAAATCTGGGCTTCAAGAGTGCTTATTGCTATTGTGGTATTGGTGCTTGAGCCTTCTCAGTGGAAAGAGCCAAGGAATATATAGAAAATATATAATTATATATATCATATAATCACATAATATATAATTATGTATTATATATAAAACTATATTAGATATTAGATATATTTGTTATATATTACTAAAATATATTTCTATTTACCTATTTATTTCTATACTTATCTGCAAATACATTGAAAGCCATGTTTTCATTCCAATCCAGTTGTACATGATTCATTCTAGTTGTCCCATTTTCTATTAATTGTAACTCGGTTTTCCAGAGGTGAGAAATCTGGCTTCTATGGTTTCTAGTGTATTTTCTTACATGATTAATTCTCCTATATGTAACCAGTCTCCAGTCGCCACCGTCCCTCTGTACTGCAGGTGTTCTCACCCTGTTCCGGCTCTGATAATCTACACTAAATGATCAAACTCCTTCTCCCCCTACATTGCTCTGCTCCATAGAATAGTTTTAGGGCTGAAATGTCCAGAAGGGAAGGGAAGAGAAAGAAGTAGAGGAAGATGAGTTCTGTTCCATATTCTTCATGCCAGTCCCCACAATGTAATTTACCTGTTTCTTTCTTTCTCTTTCTGTTCTTCCTTTCTTTCCTCCCTTCCTTTCCCTTCCTTCCTTCCTTCCTTCCTTCCTTCCTTCCTTCCTTCCTTCCTTCCTTTCTTTCTTTCTTTCTTTCTTTCTTTCTTTCTTTCTTTCTTTCTTTCTTTCTTTCTTTTTCTTTCTTTCTTTGTTTTGTATGTCTCTTCCAGCTAGAGCATAAACTACAAAGGCAGTCACCGTTTCTTTCTTGTTTCTGGAAAATTCTTGCACTAGGGAGACATGCAGTAAATGTTTGTTTCCTCAACAATGTACACATTTGAGAATTTAAAAAAAATAAACCACTTACTTTTCTTTGAATTAATATGAGTTAAGTCTCTATAACAGTGCAGATGGCAATCAGTTTGATTTCATATTTGACTCAACTAGGCTGTTTTAGACTTGTGAAAGTATAGTTTTAAATTCTCACACTATTATTTTGTAACTTTAGAGTTACTGCCACCAGGAAACAAAACTTATATTTCTTAGTGTTTAGTGATAATAGCTTACTATTTAACATTTTTAGGATCTTATTTATATTACTCCTCTCCAAAGAAAGAGATAATTCAGTTGCAGAGGTTTACAAGTCAGTCAATGTACTTATTCAGACAGTTCAACTGAAGACTTACTTTGTGCACTTAGGGCATGTAGTTTGTTTTTTTCTTTATCCATGTAATATAAATATTATCATTTTGGATAGCATAAAAAACTGATTTAAGTATAAATTATTTTCTACCTGTCAAGGAGATAAACAACATAACTCATTAAGTGGAAGATTTGGTTTCTTTATTTTCCTATTTCTTAGTATGATGTCTTCCAGAGGGAAAAGCTTTTGACTTTGAGACGTTCTGCGTGCTACAGCATGTCCCATGTGATATACTAGTTGCTAAGGTAACTGTGTTTTCCTGAAAATACCAAACTAAACAGGAGCCTGAATCATCAGTGCAATTTGCAGCTATTACATTGATTTAAATTTTCCTTAGCATTCAAATAAACACAGACTTCCCAGATAATTCTAGATCCTTTCTGTGACCCATCTTTCTCTGTCTTTGATATTCAAAGCGTAATTGCACAATTACACAAAGACATCAAAATATTTTATGAATTAGAACTCACATAAAATCTCAAGTTCCACTAATTAGGAATATGTGATAATTTAATCTGGATTGAAAATGTCTTTGCAATTTCTTTGTATAAGAATTTGCTAAGCAAAGGAGCAGAAGAAATTGGATGACAGGGCACCTAAGAGGTTAAACTTATTTGAGCCTTATCCTATTTTGTAAACAAATCGACATCTATAAAAACCATTAAATATTTTTTTGAAGCAGAACTTCAAAACAGAATCTGCACTTCAAAACATCTTGTTAAAAATAGTATAGTAACTGCATGTTGATAACTATGCATGTGTATTATATTCAAAAGCAATAAATCTGAAAGTCTTTATTTTTCTATCATTCACATATTTTCTAAATAGCTATTTATTCCATCAATTAGCAAGTTTATTTGTTACAGGTTTTATTGAATGAAGCAATTTAATAAGCTACATAGAATTGAATAGGTTTGGTGATTCTATTCATGAAATTGATGAAACTACGTTTTCATTGATTTCTATTAACTGAAAGTGTACCTTAACATTCTGAATGAATTTCTCTTGCATACCTTCTTTGATTCTTTATGTATTTTTTTAAATCAAGAAATTCGACTTCATTTTGAAATAACAGAAATATGTTTTCTGAATAGATTTAGTTTTAAGAGAGCAGATTAATATTTTTGGTAAAGAAATGTACATACCCGGTACAATGACAAAGAAAACTACTTGAATCAAATATTTCTTCTGTTTCTTGAGTCAAATAGCCAGAATTCAAATTCAGCTCTGCCCCTTGTCTGCGGTGAGACCTGGCTTGAACCAGTGAAAGCATCAGTTTCCTCTTTTGTACTTCAGAGATTATAATAATGTCTCCTTCTAAGGGTTGTAGAGAGAGTAAATCAGATAATCTCTACAAGGTATCAACAGGGTGTTTGACATATAGTGAGCATTATCTGCTATTATTTCTATTATCATTATTAAGTACATTGGAATAATAAACTCATTTTAAAAATTATTTCATATAATGAATATAATCCTTGGGACTCAGGCACTTTAGATTTCAGGAAATGCTATTTTAGCATTTTATCTCAGAGCCCTCTGAGGTATCTTTTGGTGAAAGCTCATACCTGCTTTATAAGAAATGAAGGTTCAACCAAGCAAATTTTTTAGAGTGAAGCCTGGCCCCTCCCTTAAATGACAAAGCTTTCTAGTTTAAATTAGTTTATTACCCACTCCCAAGTCTTAGTGAACAAGGAGTATTTGAACATTGGTTGACATTTTCTGGATGACTCAGGCTGCTCCTTATACTTCAAGTAGAATGCTGCAATCCAACATTGCCCTAGGAGATTTCTGAAATACAGGGGCCAGTGTGCCATGGACAACTGTGGTTTTCTGTTTGGTGTTTCCTTAGACTCCTTCCTCACTCCCAGCTGTCACTTCTGTGCCTTTAGCAGTTCTGACTCTGTCTAATCTGCAACAGAGTAATGGGGGAAGAAATCAGGTTACCAAGTGAAATAAAATGCCCAAGCAAGTAGAACAATTGACAATAAATATACATACAGTGGTAAGCCATTTGGACCAAGGATAGCTGCTCTGCTTCCTGTGGTGATTTTAGGGACTTTTGTGTTTGGGAGTGTGAGGTGGCTAGGATTCCAACACGCTAAATGAAACAGTTTACAATTAAACCTAGAGGTCTTGGGTGAGTTGGACATAAAGATGTAATGTTGAAGAATGTTTCATTTAGTGGGGACACTGTCAGTGCCTATCTATTCCACTCTTAGTAGAAGGAAAGAAAAATGAGTCATGCATGTTACATAATCAATTAGTCACGTGAGTCATACCAGTTCTCCAGAAGTAGCTTTTCATCTGCTCTCCTTCAGATAGTAATCTAATTGCTCTTAATTACAGTTAAAGTTTCTGCATCTTGGCTTACACTATATATTCTCATGTGGAAATTAATTAATTTGAAGCTCTTTTTAACATTTTTTGATAAAGGAGCTTCTGTAATTTTATTGATTAGAATCTGTCATTTGAAAATACTATATGCTGCCTTTAAACTCTGGAAGCTTTCTTCTTTTTGAATGTACACTTTTATACTAAGTCTTATTTTCATTTCTTTTCAGTAATAAAAAATTTGAAGATATGTTGTCCTATTTATCTGTATTAATTATATTGTTTACCTATTTATCATATCTGTTATTTTTGATAACCAAGATATTATTATTTGGTTGATTCAATATTTTTATTTATTTCAATATTCTTAGAGCTTAAACAAATATATACTATGGTCTTGTGAATCATTTTTCTATCATTATATGCTTATCAGTGAATAAATAAATGAATAAATGTTGATGCCAAGTTTAGTGTTACCTTAGTTGTTACACTTTAAAGAACTTGGTGGAGATACTTTTGTTGATGTTGTTATTGGTGGTATATTTTTGCTAATCCATCAGCTTATTCATTTGTTTTTTGTAATGGGTTGGAAGTTTTACAAGATGTGATTTTTGTTAGTATAAAGGAATGCAAAAAGGGGCTAAGCCTATCAAGCTCTCCATTATATATCCAGCACCTCACTAGGTACAAGACACATGGTAGATGCTCAATAAGTATATTTCAGATTTAATGAATGGATTCAGAATGCTCGAAAGAGGAAGGTTAATAAATAAGTAGACTTCTAATTTATTAGCTTATGGTGAGAGCTATGGCTATAACATTTCCCTGACTACTAAAATCTCCAACAAAATTTCATTATCCCTTTGTGAACAGTTCTATATGGGAAGACAAAGGCAAATGATAATTGTCTTCAGTTTTGGGAGATGACTATAAACTGCTCCCCAACTATGTCAGCCTTTTTGAAGAGTATGGAAACTGAACACTTTCTCACCCATAGCTCCATCATTGAGACTATATCGATCCACGAGTCAGAACACACCCTCCCTCCAAGAGCCCAGTCATTTATGCTAATGTTTCATGTGAGGATAGTCTTGCTTACCATATCATCCCTTTGATAACCACATTATTTCTTCAACTATGAAAACCATTCTTGTGTCATCCACGATATTGTAACTGAAACACAGGTTCAGCCGCATGCCGCTTGCAGAGTCCAATTAACAAGAGCAAGGCCTGGTATAAAGAAAGTGGCTTTTTATTCCAAGACTAGCTTAGGGGAGGAAGTATAGGCTTCCTGCCTAAGGATACCACTTCACTTTTGGAGTAGAAAGCATATCCTTTTAAAAGGGGGCCTGGCATGCTGGCATAAATGGCATACAGGGGAGGAAGTGAGCAGTTGGGGGTCCACATACTTGCTTTGGTGCCTTATCTACCAGGTGGTTGAGTTGGCATCTTCATGGGCAGAACTAGGTTGTAAAGGTGGCCAAAACTCACCAGAGAGGAGAGGATTTTATAGCAGGGATACTTTGGGTTGTAAATTGACTGTTTTCTCTTGAGACAGTCTCCTGGTGGGTGAGAGTTTCTCACTCTGGAGCTTCTAAGCACATAGTTAGATGAACCTGCCCTGTAAGGAGTGTCTGGTGAAGGGGAGGTGAAAGGCTATATTTGCATTTCTAAAGGGCTATGTAGGAAGTGGGGAACAAAGGAAAACAGAGAAGAGAAAAGAAGAGAAAAAATAACTCGTTCTCCTTTTCTTAGAAAAATGAGGGTACTCAGTCACACTATGTCAATCTCGTATCTTAAATTCCTGATAGTGAACTTACTTCCAAGTTAAAGAAGTCCTCAGTGTTTTTCCTAGTCCCTCATTGGAAGAATGACTACCAACATGAGTACACTTGGAAAGTGACAGATTTTTAAATGAACCATCCCCTTGTTGCTTGCTACTTTCCATCACGGCTCAAAATATTAAGACTGATATCTGCTTCTAGTCTAGCATGTCTATGATGTCTTCTTCACAATCATGTTGCTTAAAAGCACTTTTGTTAGCTGATCACTGGAAGAAGAGAAAAGATGTAAAAATAACATATCTATGAGTATATGACAAGTGACATATCTATGAATATATGACAAAGTGCTATCAATAATACAGATCATAAGAGCTAGAAGACTCAGCGGAAAGAGGCTTTGGAAAGAGATTTTATTCTACAAATAGTTGTTAACAACTTACTATGTGTTAGCATAGGTGTTTGTGGTGTAGGCTAAAAAGTGCATCCCACATCTTAATTCCTAGTACCTGTGAATTTTACCTTATATGGCAAAAAAAAGGTCTTTGTCCATGGTTATCAAGTTAAGAATCCTGAGATGGGAGATTACTCTGGATTATCTGGACCCAATGTCATCACAAGTGTCCTTACAAGAGACAAACAGAGGGATATTTGAAACAAACACGAGAGTGTGAAGACAAAGCAAAGGGAGATTCCATGAAGACAGGAGTGATGCAGCCACAAGCCAAGAAATGTCAGCAGTCACCAGAAATTGGAAGAGGCAAGACACAGATTCTTTCCCCTGGAGCTTCCTGAAGGAGCACAGACCTGCCATGCCACATTTTGATTTCAGACCAATGATACTGATTTCAGATGCTGGCCTCCAGAACTGTGAGAGAATAAATTTCTGTTGTTTCAAGCCACTATGTTTGTGGTATTTGTTACAGCAGCCTCAGAAAACTTATACAGTGCCTGAAGCTGTACCAATTTTTTAAAAAGACACAAACCTGGCTTTTTATTTACAAAGTGTATGATTGCTAAAAGTAAGACAGAAATTCTAACTAATAACTGCCTACTTTATGCCAGGCATGTAGGCACTTTATTTTCATAATTTCATTCTTCACAACTCCATTCTTTCTGCCTGACCAGCATTCACATTTTTTAGTAAGAGCTTTCACATTGGTGTAAGCTTTAACTTGGGCTTTTTAATGCAGTGGTTTGAATTTACATGTGAAGTTATGGGTAAATAGTGTGTGGTTAGCTAATAATAATAGCATTTGCCTTAGATGGTATATGTTTTTCAGTTTTTAATTTTTACTCAAAGTAGCTGTAGTTATTGGGTTTCCAGCTATTTTGATACCAAGCCTGTGAGGTTTGATATCAGCTATTCTGTCTGGAGTGAATATTAGGGAAATCTGAAGGCCAGACCCCAGTCTAGTCAGTTAATGAGTTGAGAGAGAATAGAAGAGATATTTCTTAGGGAGGAAAGGTTCAGCCGACAGAAAACCATAATTCATTAATCATTGTTTTTTTTGAGACAGGGTCTCACTTCAGTTGCCCAGGCTGGAGTGCAGTGGTGCAATCTCAGCTTACTGTAGCCTAGACTTCCCGGGCTCAGGTGATTCTCACATCTCAACCTCCCGAATAGCTGGGATTACAGGTGCACACCACCACATCCAACTAATTTTTTGTGTTTTTAGTAGACAACGGGGTTTTGCCATGTTGCCCAGGCTGGTCTCAAACTCCTAGACTCAGGCATTCCACCCGGCTCAGCTTCCCAAAGTTCTGAGATTACAGGTGTGAGCCACCGTGCCTGGCAGCAATCACTCTTATTAGCTATCATCTGAGCAACTGCTACTTATCTCTAAATATTCAAGAAAATGCAGAATTGGTAGGAGGCAGTCACCCTAGGAAGTAGTCCACAAACCCTTAGGGTTTGGAGGGGTCTGGATAAAAAGGCAAAATGCCATGTATAGTAGATACAGGTTGACTATTTCTTGTCTGAAAAGCTTGGGACCAGAAGTGTTTCAGATTTCAGAATTCAGATTTCTCAGATTTTGGAATATTTGCATATATGTAATGAGATATCTTAGAGATGGGACTCAAGTCTAAATACAAAATTTACTTATGTTTCATATACACCTTACATACATAGCCTGAATGTAGTTTTATACAATCTTTTAAATAATTTTGTGCATGAAACAAAGTTCATATAGATTAAGCCATCAGAAAGCAGAAATCACACTATTTCATCCACCCCTGTGGTGTCATGTTAATGCTAAAAAAGTTTTAGATTTTGGAGCATTTTGAATTTCAGATTTTTGGATTAGGTATCCCCAATCTGTATCATGTGTTTTCATCAACTCCTATGCCCAACCAAGCTTCAGTGCTGCTCTGATAGTTCCTCTGAGAACACCAGCCCCAGTGGTAGTTGCCATAGAGTTCTGAAACAAGAGAACTATTGATGATTTTCCCAATAATTGAACACAGTGGGCAAGGGAAGCAACAGAACTTTATTTTACTATGCCTTTTTCTGCTGCTACCAGCGGCCTTCTTCCCTTGACAGCAGGCTCACCATATCCCCACGCCAAAACATGCACCCTTCCCAACTACTTTCCTTCTCTCAAAAGCTTTCTCGCGTATTTGTTGATTCTTTCTTGGCAGTTGTATTTCCTTCATAGAATGTTAACCAAAGAAGAGAGGGCCCTATGAGCATCTCTCCAGAGCAGACATTGGACTTGCACATCAACCCCCAACTCAAGCTTATTTACAAGCCTAAATCTGGCTTCACTCCTACCAGAGTGAAGCCCCCAGATGTCCCACTACTATTAAATCTGCTGGACTCTCTGTCAGAAGGTCTGTTTCTTGGTGACTATCGAGATTGACCTAGCTTCTTAGGGACTTAAAGGCTGCAGGAGCCACCCGACCTCTTCTTTGCCTTGTGCGTATAGCCTGAGATTTCTCCTCTTTTCTCTCTACTGACTCTGGAAATCTGGGAGGTAGCATTAACTTTTCATGTGTTTTTTCCCTTTAAATGTTATATGGTATGCTTTAGTTTCTATGTCAATGCCAAAGTTGTTACAGGTAAAGCAATCTTCTTTTATTTCCACCTTCCACGCTCAGAAATTAGTCTTAATCAGATTGAAACATC
Organism: Homo sapiens; assembly: GCF_000001405.40. Classification (NCBI taxonomy): domain Eukaryota; kingdom Metazoa; phylum Chordata; class Mammalia; order Primates; family Hominidae; genus Homo; species Homo sapiens. Next base: position 152,724,448 of record NC_000003.12, read on the forward strand.
TGGACAAGAGAATGGGTACAAACTCCAAGTCTGGCCAGACAGACTGTCATAAAAATGTGAACCTTGGACAGAATGTGATAAAACCTGAAAAAGCATTGGAACCAGATGCTTTCAAAGAAAGTGCTTCAATTTGTCTGAGTTCCAGCCTTTAAAATTAGCATATTTTTAATATTGTTTAAGTTAGACAGTATATATTTGTCTGGTCAACAAAAACCTTACTTAACTAACCTAACTTGTAAGTTATTAGAAAAAAGTGAAATAAGATAATGTATGTAAAACATTGAGCATGATGCCTGGCACAATCATTCAATTGAATGTAAACTATGGATATAATTAAGGGTGATAGTAAATATCCAATCAGAATATGTACAAGCACTTTATGGAATTTATAAAGCACTATACAAATGCCAGGTATTACAAGTTTATTTTTATTTTTACTCTAAGGGGACAATTTAACATGTTCAGATTTTAAACTATTGTTACTTGAATTCACGTTAATTATTTAAAGGGTTCAGTCTTGTGTTCACTCCACTATATTAGAACTTATTGTACCTGTTCTTTCTCTTTAGATAAACAATGATAATGTGTTCAAATTAACCCAGTTGGAATTAATTAAATTAGCCTATTGGAAAAATAACATATTTGGGGTACATTTCTGAAGACCCATCTCAACGTTAAACGTTTCCTTAATAAATTAATAAAATCAGGTGATGGTCTGTCTCTTCTGACCATCTGGGTTTTGACACTAATTGCTGTTGATGAGTTCTTTCTGTTGAATTTTTAAGTTCAGGTAGAAACAACATTTCGTTCTTTATCATTCATGCTTCAATTCACACTTCCTCACTAAGGAGACTTCAAACAAACAGATTAGGAAAAATTAGCTGGGATATAACTCCAGGGTATGTTCATATACTTTAATTAGAAAATATGTTTAGGCTTATAAGTTAAATATTTCTAGATAAACTTAATTAAAAATAGATAACACCATCAAGTAGAAGAAATAGAATTAGGTTTTGCCTTCCTGGTGTAATCAGTAGATAGTTGACTAAGAATCTTTTTTGCCCAGATATAACAGGTGTGTACCGTTCAATCAACCAATTAGCAAACATCTTCTTAGTGGTTTTGTGCTTAGCCATTGATATTGCAGTTACTAAGGTTACACAAGATATATAAAAGAAGAAAGGAATTCTAGAGTCATAGACAGTTGAAGATTCAACTTCGCTACCTATTAAATATTGTATTTACTCTTCCTCGGCTGAAAATAAGGGGGGCTAATGGCTCAGCCAACCTTTCAAGGGGTTGATTGAATGAATAGTGCCTATGAGAATGCTTGGCAAATATCTAAAAGTTATTTTTTATAATAACTTTAATATATGGGAACTGATAAGCTTATACATTAACTAGGAAGGCATTATCAAATACAAGGTAATTTTTTTATCATTAAGTCCAAAATTGGTGATATAGACTACTTCTGGCAACATTCACAACTGGATCAGAGTTTTGTTGAGCCAACAAAATGTTAACTGATGTTTTTCTTATTTTGGTAAATATCATCATCTTGGAATCGTATTTGATACCTTTTTCTCTCTTAAGCCTATATCTGATCTATCAGAAAATCTTGTTAACTTTACTTTCAGAACAAACCTCAAGTCTGTTCATGGTTCACCACCTCCACTGTTGGAATCCCAGTCCAAGCCTCCATTATCTCTCACCTGGCAAAGTGCAGAAGCCTCCTAACTGGTTCACCTGCATTTACTTGTGCATCTCTGTTAATTATTCTCACAGTAGTCAGTGATTCTTAGTGAGCTAAAGCTTACCACATCACACACCTGTTCCCAATTCTCAAATAGCTTCCCATACATTTAGAACAAAATTTAAAAAGGTTACCAAAGTCAAAGAGGTTCTTCAGTGGGTGGCAATGGCTGCCTCTACACCTCATTTCCTCTCCCTCTTGCCTCATTCACTGGCTCCAGCCTCCTCTTCTTCCTCTTCCTCCTTAGACTCAGGATCTTGACAGCTGTCTTAGTGTTAGCTATTCTCTCTGCCTAAGATGTTGACTTCTATCTCACAGCAACTATAAAAGTACAAATACAAAAAATAATTCTGAATTGTGAAAGGGAAAGCTGTTGGCAAAAGGCAAAACAATATTTTAGAAAGCAACATAAAAGAATATCTTCATCACTTTGGGTGTCTTTGTTTGGGCTGCTATAACAAACTACTGTAGGCTGAGGGACTTATAAACAACAGATGCTGTATTTATTTCTCACAGGCTTAGATGCTGGGAAATCCAAGATTAAGGCACTGGCTGATTTACTGTCTTTTGAGGGCCCACTTTTTGGTTCCTTCTCATTGTGCCTTCTCACTGTGTTCTTTCATGGCAAAAAAAGGCAAAGGAGCTCTCTAAGGCCTCTTGGATAAGGTCATTAATCCCATTCATGAGAGCTCTTAGCTCTTCCCTCATGACCTAATCATCTCCCACGACCTTATCTCCTAATACCATCTGTGTTAGTCTGTTTTGCATTGCTAGAAAGGAAGACCTGATTCTGGGTAAATTATAAAGAAAAGGGATTTATTTTGGTTTATGGTTTTACAGATGTACAAGAAACATGGTGCTAGCATCTGCTTCTGGTGAAGGCCTTAGGAAGCCAACAATCATGGCAGAAGGTGAAGGAGGAGCAAGTGTGTCACATGTAAGAGAGGGAGCAAGAGAGGTTCCAGGCTCTTTAAACAACCAGCTCTTGCATGAATAGAGTGAGAACTCACTCATTACTACAGGGAGGGCACCAAGCCATTCATGAGGGCTCCACTCCCATGACACAAACACCTCCGACAAGGCCCCATCTTCAACACTGGGGAATCACATTTCAAAATGAGATTTGTAAGAAACAAACATCCAAACCATCACATTTAGAACTAAGTTTTAACATATGAATTTGGAGACAAGGGGGCATAAACATTCAGCCTATAGCATTGGGTAGAGAAAAGTTTATGAAATAGAACACAGAAACACATTAAAGATTACAAACTGGAGTACATTAAAATAAATACTTTGTGTTCATCAATACTATTAAGAGTGAAACTGCATCATTAAAGTATACCTTTTGGTTGCGTGTACTTCTCTGTATATGTTTTATTTCACACAATTGCACATACACATGAGTCACATACTTGGGAGAGTGACTTACATCCTTCTTGGGGGGTAATCCGTGAAGGAAGAAGTTATTGAGAGAGAGAGATAGAGAAAGAGAGAGAGAGAGAGAGAGAGAGAGAGAGAGAGAGAGAGAGAGAGAGAGAGAGAGAGACAGGACCTACAGGCTCCTTGAAGTGAAAGGGGGAGTTGCATGTTATGGACCAGGGAAGAAGATGCTGTTAAAGCACAAGAAAGAAAGTGAGAAGCCCAAAAATTTGGGGCTGGAGCGACGGTGAGGCCCAGTCTCTGCAGTGTCTGGTAACTGTGCTGAAACACATATTTCTCTCTACCTTATATGTGGTAGGTTATTGTGAAAAGCTCAATCTCTTGATTCTTGGGATTCTCTTCATTAAGTGCTTCTTCCTGTAAAAACCACATTACAAAAAATGAAATCGTTATGTATAGTTTTACCTTTTTTTCTATAGGATTTTACCTTTTTTTCTATAGGATTGAAAAGAACAAAATCACCTTTTCATGAAATCTGATTCAGATACTAGATGGCAATCCGACAATGCTGCTTTAACATGATTGCCGATTAATGAGTTCAAATTTTATAATCTTCAGTATGTATTAAAGAGAACAAATAGCAGTTTAAGCATTAAACAAATTAACAATGAAAATGATTTCTAACTATTTGGTAAACTTTGGCAGAGAAGAGCTCAATATTTCACACCCAATCAGGATCTGTCCTGTGATATATTACCACCATGAATAAAAATGTTATACCGTATATGGTTATCTTTCCCTAAAGTCAAGAATGTTAATTTGTGACCTCTGGAAATAAACTCATCATAGTTTCTAAATATCTTGACTCTGAGCTTTAAAACAAAAGCAACTTGTTGTAAATATTTAGTCAGTCATTATTAAATAGATCAGCTCAGCGTGACTATTCCAGCTGGAGGAGGAGAACAGATTTCTTGCTGCCCATGTCACTGTATAAACCATTGTTTAAATAAGGCTGAGAATGATGGAACTGATTATTTCTGCTCCTGGTATTCATTACATTTTCACAACACACTTGCCAATTAGAGTCCACATAATCTTAGAGCTAAAAGGAAGTCTGCAGTTAAAGCTTTCAGGTTATTTCCATCACTTGAATTTTCATTTGTAGGAAGTAATAAGGAGGAATATTTCTTTTGTGAAGTGAAAAAATTTATAGGTGTTTTGTGACTAGATATGTGGAGTGAGATATAGCTAGCATAAATCTAGCTCATTTGTCTGCAATAGAACTACCTATGCAATAGTGATAATTTTTTCTTGTCTTGATTCCTAATCACAGTCTATATTGCACAGTTTTTCTTTCCTTCCTTCCTTCCTTCCTTCCTTCCTTCCTTCCTTCCTCCCTCCCTTCCTTCCTTCCCTCTCTCCCTCCTCTCTCTCTTTCTTTCTTTCTTCTCTTTCTTTTTTTCTCTGGAAATAGAGTCTTGTTCTGTCACCCAAGCTGGAGTGCAGTGGCATGATCATGGCTCAATGCAGCCTCCACTTCCCATGCTCAAGCAATTCTCCCACCTCAGCCTCCTGAGTAGCTAGGACTACAGGCACACACTACCACGCCCAACTAATTTTATTTTTTTTCTTTTTTGTAGAGATGGGGTCTCATTATATTACCCAGGCTGTTCTTCAACTCCTGGCTCAAGCTATTCTTCTGTCTTGGCCTCCCAAAGTGTTGGGATTACAGGCGCAAGCCACTGCCCCGACCCACAGTTTTCAAAAAGAATATTCGAGTACAATTATGCATGCTGGTCTCTAAATACCTTCACGTCTGAAGTGTACTTTTAAATTTATGTCTACATGTAAGTTTTTCCTAAGAAAACTTACCAGAAGTCTAATTAATATTAAAAATATTTTACCCATCTGCCCATAAGAAGACTCATCTCAGACAATAGAATAGAAAAGGCCAAAATGTGATAAAGTTGAGAGGTGTAATTCATTATTGTTATTGCACTATCCATATGCGTTTCCAATTTGGAAACACATACACTTTTATGGATTCTAAAATTATACATTATTTTCTATATTTCTTAAAATTAACCCAATACAGTAATTACTGCATTTATTTATTTTTTTGGTGTTGATGATTAATAATTAAGCTTTCTCTGTTCCATTTCGTTTTCGAAGAATTTTCCTCATTATTCAAATTTAGAAAATGAAATTTTAATTTAGATCATGCCCCGCAAGATGTAACCACTCTTTTCTCTCATACGATACTTGACCACCTTAAAGGATATGAGTGAAATCTTCCAAACACTTCATGTTGTAAACACATTTACAGTAAAGTTATTTTACTTTGTTTTTTAAAAAATGAATGAAAACAGATACGGTGCCGTGTAAAGTTAACTCCTCTATAAAGTTAGCTTTTCTAATTGCCATATAAAGGAGGATAATTTGATTTCAATTTCCACAGCTACAGTGTAAGCTGCTGCTCATCTGGTCGTATTGTCTAGCTTATGTAAAAAGAGAATGTGTAGGCGGCTGAGCACATTTCATTACCTCTAGCACAGAAGTAACACAAAAGGCAGAAGTAAAAACTAGTGTGTGTGATGCATCTCAGTGTTCAAAACACTTCCGCAGCCATTGCATTTTAAACATAACAATGTATGGCCATATTCTTACATGGTTAGTTTCATGGGAGACAAGAAATGCCTGTGAATTGTCATCTTTGCAGGAGAAGTGGGAAAAAGAAAAAAGGATGGAGTATACGGATCGCTTTTAAGATTTTCATACTATCCCCAGAAAATTTCACTGAATTGGTTTGAGAATCCATGAGGGTGGTCCACTTTATCAAAGCCTGAGGTCTTTCCACTTGCCCTAGCCGAGTATGTACACAAACTCCAGACCTCCTCTGATGCACAAAGGATCTTCGTATGTGTTAGGGTACAGGACCCCTAGAAACAGTAAAAAGCTGCAGAGCTGACCAGGTGCGGTGGCTCACGCCTGTAATCTCAGCACTTTGGGAGGCCTAGGCGGGTGGATCACTTGAGGTCAGGAGTTCGAGATCAGCCTAGCCAACACAGTGAAATCTCATCTCTACTAAAAATATAAAAATTAGCTGGATGTCGTGGCGGGCACCTGTAGTTCCAGCTACTCGGGAGGCTGAGGCAGAAGAATGGCGTGAACCCGGGAGGTGGAGCTTGCAGTGAGTGAGATCGCGCCACTGCACTCCAGCCTGGGTGAGAGAGCAATACTTCATCTCAAAAAAAAAAAAAAAATTAAATGTAAGATTAACATAAATATATTTATATTAATGAATCAAGGAAGACGACAATTGATATTTAGGAGGTAACAAATCCATAAACACATAAAAAACATACAGAAAAATAACCTAATTTAGCAAACTTGAACACATAAATAAATTAATATAAATTACAGTATTTGGACTATTTAAAAATGTTTTAGTAATAATACATGCTGTAGGTGAGGATCTGATGAAAAATATCCTTATGTATTATTAGAACTATTTTAATGGGAAGAACCCTTTTGGGAAGCAATATGATAATAAGAATCAAGAATAATTTAAACTATACACAGTTCATCAGGTTAATCCATATCTGCATATCAAATTTAAGGTAATAATATAAAATTTATAAGGAAAAACTCAGAAATATATTCATTGCAGCACTATCTTTTAAAAAATGGAAAAATATAAGCAACTTAAATGTCCACTTATAGGAATAGCTAAATTACTCTGGGCATGTCAGCATACTAAAATATTAGGTATCTTTTAAAGATAAAAAATATAAAATGTATATATAATTTTATCTGCATAGTAACAGAGAATATGTGCTACGATGTTAAGTAAGAAAAGCAGAGATCAAAGCTGTGGACACATTGAGATGGCAACTATGCAAATAGAAAGCCTGCTTATTGCCAGACTCTAGAAGTGTTTTTGGAGAAATGAGAAAAGTTTTATTTTGTAAGTTGCCATGACCATGAGAAATATCTCTTTCATTAGGGTTATGTTGATGATACCATATTGGTACTATAAAATCAATTAAAACAGCACATATGTCTTCAAGAAAAAGACAGGAAACTCTTTGGTACGTTCTTCATCACATTTAAGAGAGGACTTACTACAGAAATGACATGCGTATTAGACACAGCTGTGGGAGTTATATGCAAGGGTAGATGCCAGGACTTGAGCTTGGATCTGGTTGTTACATCTGTGCCCTTGTGCCTGTCTCCCTGCTTGTTAGTTTACAGAATGAGTGGGTTTGAGGAGGTGTCCTCCTAGGAATATTTATGGATTTTTAAGTGTATACTTGTTTTTTCCAATTATGTTTGTATTTAGGCCGCAGCAATCCTCTTTTGGTGGCACCATTATATTCTTTTTGTAGGAAAGTATAATACCTAGGAAAAGATGTCTGTTATTAGTGAAATGATTGTGATCTCTGAATCTGAAGATGTCACTAAGGAGAGCAATGCCCTAACAGAAAGAATGAATGCTATCACGAATTTCAAGATAACTTGGAGACACTTGAAAATCTGGCAAGCAAATAGGTGTATATAGTGGATTAGTTATAAAAACCACTCTGCAAATTATCATCAAAGCCAGGTTAGATTAGGTGTGTTCATTTGTTCTCACTTGTTTATGAAGTTAAGACATTGATACCAAAATTGTATTTACTCCAGAGCAATTGCATTAGTGCATCTCACTACTGTTTAACATATACTAAGAAAATGCTCTTTTACCACCAAGAACATTAAGCTTAATTAGAACATATACTCATTGCTTAAGTCAAGTTGGTTGTCAATTTTAACACAATACTCTGACTAATCTAGCAGTATCACAGCCTAAAAATATATCTTTTTAAAGTTATAACCTGCAATTTAGAGTTAACATTTTATTATCCTTCTTCTTTGAAATTTATAACTGGTATGATTAACTTACTTGTAATTGCCTAAACATGTACCAGTAAATTTGATGATTCATAGATATTTGCACATCTACAAAGAGATTAGTATATATCTACATAGATATAAACACATATATTTATATGACATGCACACACGCCCCAAATAAGATCACTTTTAAAGAAACTAAAGAGGTTAGAAGTGAAATAAAGAGCAGCTTTACGAAGCTTCCATTTTCTGTCATATTCATCTCAAATGAAGTAAAAATTGATCACTATATTTAGCTAAATAAACTTGGAATAAATATAACCATCTCTTAAAATACGTGTCCTAACTGAAAGGTGAAAGAAAAAAGTCTGTTTTTGTCAGTTTTAGGTACAGAATACGCTGGAGAACAATTCAGGGTTTAGCATGATTACAGTCTTTTGTAACAAGTCAGAATTGATTAATCTCTCCTAAAATTTCATTTTAACTTAAAACCTTTGCAAAAACCACAATTCTTAAATAGAACCTTAAGGGGTCTACTCCATTAAACGTCCATTTCAAATAACCCTTAGCAAGTAATTTTTGGCAACACCGTATTTAGATATTACTTCGTGATTCTACATTGAGTTATTCAGAAAAAAATTGGTACTTTTAAAAGGGAAAATGGTTTAAAACTCTGTAACAGTTGTCATTCTCAAAATATTTCTATTTCTAGTGTTCTGATCTTGGCTACTTATGATTAAATTCTTAATTATGCTTCATATATTGTAGTTTTCTATAATTTCTATTCTTAAGCAGAGTTACTATGCATTCATTTTTTTCAACAAATATTTGTTGAATACCTACTATATATCAGTATAACCCATTTACACATGAATCTTATTTCCATGTAATTTACATAATACGTATTTTTAAGTAAGATATTCTTTACCATAAAATTAGTTCTCTTAAAGTATACAATTCTGTGGCTTTTAAAGTATATTCACAGATTGTACAACAATTACCACTATCTGATTGCAGAATAATATCACCCTGAAAAGGAACTTTAAACCCAATAGCGATCACTCTTTAATTCCCAATTCCCCTAGTTCCTGGCAACCAATAATCTATTTTATATCTTTATGAATTTGCCCATTCTGGACATTTTACATAAATCTAATCATGCAATATGTAGTATTTTGTGTTCAGCTCCTTTCACTTGGCATACTGTTTTCAAAGTTAATCAATGTTGTAGCAAGGATCAGCACTTTATTCCTTTTTGTGGCTGAATAATATGGCTGTGTGAATATACTGCATTTTGTTTATCCATTCATTGGTTATGTGCATTTGGGTTGTTTCTATTTTTTGGCTATTGTGCGTAATGCTATAAACATTATGTAAAAGTTTTTATGTGAACATGTATTTTCAATTATTTTCGGTATGTACTTAGGTGTGGAAGTAATTGCTGGGCCATATGGTAATTCTATGCTTAAGCACTTCAGGAACTGCTTGACTGTTTATCAAAGCAGCTGCAATATTTTACATTCCCACTACCAATGTATGAGTGTTCTAATTTTTCTCCATCCTCTCCAACACTTGATATTGTCTGTCTGTTTCATGATAGCAATCTTAGTGTGTGTGAAGTAGTATCTTATTATAGTTTTGACTTGCATTTGCCTCAGGGGAATCTCTATCTGTAGTGGGGTCTCTCTGTATCATGCAGAGTGATCTTGAACCCCTGACCTCAAGTGATCCTCCTGCCTCAGCCTCCCAGAGTTATGGGATTACAGGTGTGAGCCACAGTGCCTGGTCTTGTTCTTTTAAAGGACCGTTTTGGTTATTCTGAGTCATTTGTCCTTCCATATACATTTTAAGAAGAGCTTGTCAATTTCTGCAAAAATGACAGCCAGATTTTAATCAGAATTATATTGAATCAGGAGGTCAATTTACAGATTATTGCCATTTAAATAATATTTAAGTTTTAAATATCATTTATGCCATTTGTGCCATTTAAGTTTTCCAATCCATAATAATTATGCCATTTAAATTTTCCAATTCATAATACTTATGCCATTTAAGTTTTCCAATCCAAGAACATGAGATGTCTTTTTATTTATTTAAACTTCCTTAATTTCTTTCAATGATGTTTTGAAATTTTCAGTGTACAAATCTGGCACTTTTGTTAAATATACTCCCAAGTATTTAAATATTTTTTATTGTATCATAAATGAACTTATTTTAATTTCATTTTTGGATTATTTATTGTGGTATAGAGAAGACCACTGATATTTGTATACTGATCTTATATTCTGCAACCTTGCTGACTTATTGATTAGCTCTAACGACTCAGTGTTCTTGTTCATTGTTTAGAATTTTCTTTATAGAAGATTATATTATCTGCAATTGGAGATAATTTTACTTTTTCCTTTCCAATCTAGATATTTTTTATTTCCTTTTCTTGCCTAATTGCCCTGGCTAGAAACTTTAGTACAATTTGAATAAAGTTGGAGAGAGTGGATAACCTTGCCTTGCGTCTGATCTTAGGGGGAATACTTGCAGTCTTTCACCATTAATTGTGATGTTTTTATCAGGTTGAGGTGCCTTTTATCAGGTTGAGGAAGTTCCCTTCTTTTCCTAGTTTGAGTGTTACCATGAAGTGATATGGATGCAGTGCAAGTTGTTAATATGAGTTTCATATTGTATTGCAACAATGGGTAAGATTTCAAAATATATCTAATATCATCTATTTCTATGACAAGTACAGAAAAATAATCAAGTGTGGGAAAGAACCCAACATTAATGGTAAAATCTGTTTTTTTTTTTTGAGATCCTAATAAGTGTATTCAAGAGTAAAACTTATCTTTCCTCCCTAAGGTCACAAATTCAGGTTATCCAAGATGATTACAGTATGTGATAGTGATTAGTTCTGGAGTCAGGTTACCTGAGTTAAAATTCTGACTCCACCATTTTTTCTCTCCATGACCTACAGCAATTTACCTAATGCCATTTTTAAAATGTGTATAATAATAACTGCCACTTCAATGGTATGTTATGAAAATGAAATGAAGTTTAAGTATGTAATATGTATGGGTAATGCCTGACACATAGTGTATGCTCAATAGCAGGGTGATAGCAAAAAGGAAATGGGAAAGAAATACCTGAATCTTTCCTCTCACTCTCCCATCTCCTGCATGTGCTTCCCATTGGTCAAAGCCAGTAACAAACCAATCAAGAATCTTGGGGGACATCTTAAAATTCTGCCTCCCAAAGGTCCACAACATTGCATTCAAGTTTACCATAGTTTAGCTTTTGGTCATTGCTTTATTGTTAATGGAGTTCTTTCTCTTAATTGTGAATTCCTTGAGATAGGAATAATATATTTTCATAATTGAATCTAGTAGAAATTTAATAAATATTTTTGAATTGAATAAATGCCCTAAGAATGATACATACTTAATTAAGTATGGAGGAATTCAGAGGAAGAAGAGAAATGTTTTAGAAAATGAAAGAATTTGACAAGGACAATAAAAGGTCATTAGTTTCTTTTTTTCATTTAAGGTAATTTTTACTCTTTTCCCCACAACTATCTATGTTTTTGAAGTTTTTTTTAAAGAAGTAGTATATAAATATACTTTCTTTGTGAAAAAAAAAAGCAATACATAAGCATGTAAAATAACAAGAAATTTCCTTTCACCAGACTCTCCAAATTCCATGCCCCTCATCAAAGGTAACTATTTTTATTAAATTGACGTGAATTTTACCCAAACCTTTGTCTATACATTTAACACATAGATGTGTATATGTGCTATGGATGTGTAAATATTTAGTTATATAGTCTGAATTTTATACAATGTGGTACATATTTTCTGTTGCAATGTTCTATGTCCTGATTCTTTCACTAGAAAATGTATCTTTAAGATTTTTTCATCATATAAACAGTGCTACAATAAATATTTTGTACATGAATTTTCATGCACATTGGGAAAGTGTTTTTTTCTGCAAAATACCCTACAAGTGGGAATGCTAAATTGAGAGTGATGCACATTGTAAATACTGACAGAATAGGAAAAAATTTAAAATAACTTACATGCCTCAAATTTTATCTTGATATATATTCTAAAAAGTCTATCAATTTGTAATGAAAATATCTAGTTAAATGAACATTTAAGTAGTCAAATAACTATATATGGAGCATGATTGAGACTCCAGTTAAATAAAAGTACAAAGAGATTCATTATTGGTAAATTGGTTTTAAATGCTATCTATTTATCAACTTGTTTCCTTAAAGGGCTTAATGCCTGTATGAATTTCTAAAATGCCATATAATGCAGGTTTAATGGAAAAGAAAATAGAGGATACAAATAAAATAAACATTATTAACAGATTAAAATTGATCATAAGATAATATTTACCTTGAATAAACATGGGTATATACATGCCAAGAACCATGTTAAGTGCTCGGAACACAGAGTTAGATTGCCATTTAGAAACTTAATATTTAAAGGAGTATACAAAGATATCTTAGCTAAACTATGAATCTCTAGATTGGATTTTCCAGGGTAGAGCCTGAGATAGGGATTCAAGAGTTGTTCTGAGGCATGCTGTTTAGGACTAGCCTCTAAGGAAGGGTGTGAGGCAAGACAGAGAAGGGGAAAGAGCAGTACAAGGATGTGGTCTCAAGTAAAACCCAGCCATGTCCTTATGTGCAAGGTGAATTGTTCTGAAACCTAAACCACATGAGCATTTTTGGCCTCTGAGGCAAGGGGGTTGGCCTTTTGCATCCTTGTATGAGTCAGTCACTGGCTGTGTTACCCAAGGGAAGGACGTGGCTCTCATCAGCTAAGAGCAATTTTCCAATGAAGGGCCAATTGTGGAGCCCTTACAAACCGACACTTGCAACAGTTTTGTAATTTCTAGAAAGAAATTAGCAAAAACTATAAATAATTGGATATATTTAAACATTTGAGTCTTGCCACAACTTATGCAAATTTCTGGACCTTTATTAGTGCTTTCTTGACTCTTCTTAATATACTCTCAAAACATTTGTTATTTTTCTTCTTCCAACATTATTTTATATTATTTGTCAGACTGCTAATTAATTGGCTAGTTCACTAATCTATTTTTTACTGGGATCTTGTTGTGATGGGCAAGAAATATCTATTAACCTCCTTGTCTTTCTTAATCTGTATAGCTTCAGCCAGACCTAGAAGTTTATCTGCTGAAGCTGTATACACCCCATCAGTAGCCCATCCTGCAGTTGGCTAACTCTGATTCCAAATTCCTTTCCGGTGGCGTCCATCTGCTGTGCAAAATGTTGTGAAAAGGCTTCCTATTGACTGTGATTCTCCAATGTGCAGAGCAGAGGGAATGACTTTCCTCTTGATAGACTTGGGTGTGTGAAGAACTATCCCTCTTATAACCGCAATGAAATTTGAGTACTGGAGCGAAATTTGGTAATTTCATCAGTTCATGGTGTTTTTTTTTTTTTTTTAATGTAGTAATTTTCTGTTTTTAAAAGACTACTACTTCACAAAAGCCTAACAAGAAGATATAACACTAAGAGAAAACTTTGCTTATGGTTATCAATAAACTTTAGTTAATTAACAGTATAATAATTTTTGTATATAAATTGTATTAAAAGATATATACATTTTCCTCATTCCGCTCTTAGGCTACCTATTATATATGTGATGTTGAATAGTTGCTTGTTTCTGCATGCTCATTATATTTTTTAATATCACGAATCTTTTAAAGAGAAATAATAATACCAAATCCTGTGAGCAATGCCATTTTTACAAATACTTCTCAATTAGCTTACATGTATTAATTTAAAGACCAATTTTGTTAGTTCTGAAAAACCATTTGAAATTTAAACAAGGCAGTTGAATCACACTTCGTGTTGTTGCTTTTTTTTTCCTGGTAGGTGGTAAACAAATGGAGCTATTTTAGGATCACAACCATTTAAAATGTAAGATTGAAACATAAGCCAAGATTCAGCTATGACTTTGTTTTTCTGCAAGTAAAATTATTTGTTTTCTTCCCCAATGTTTATTCTTTCTTTCTTACAAAGTAATTGGATAGTGTTTTTCTCAAAGAACAGTGAACAAATATGTAATTTTGATACAGTAATGCATTGTTTTGTTGAGGCTAGGGTCCAACACAGTGGAGAAATATATTAGTTTCCTATTGAGAACACTGGTGCTCAAAATAACTGACAAAAGTCTGTTTCTCCTGAAAAGTGCATTTTGAAAAATTAGTTGTTCAGCGTGGTAGTTATTGCAAGAAAAAGCATCTGTTAACTGGAACAAGTTATGTTTTCTTGTGGAACAATGCAAAATTCAACTTTTGCATTCAAAGGAATTGGCAAAAAGCCTGAAATATGTGGGTTTCACTTTTGCTTGACATCTCTTTGCAGTCCAGAGTCACCACAGGACAAAACATAATTACACAACAAATGACTTAAAGGAGTAATACAAATTTATCTAAAATATTCAAGTTTGTGCCAGTGACAGTTCATTTATATGTTGAGATGATTAGTAAAACGCATGATAGGATTTTTTCCACTCTTAGTCAGAACACAAAATTCAGGTCTCAGCCATAACCTCCTGACATTTACAGATGCCAGATCTTTGTCCTACAGCAACTCAAATGAAATAATAGCATGATAGATATACGTACAAGTGTATTTATTCCCTTTTCTTTCAGACATTCTAATTTTTGCCAAATTTGATCCAGTGTGTTTATAACAATTGATTATTAGAATTCAGTTGTTGTTGCATATCTACTTCAGTAGAAAAATAGATCAAGGAAACTTTCACTAGCTTCAGGTTGTGCATTTGGAAAAAAATGTGTAAATCTTTTACTTTCATGCCCAAATCAAATATATCTGAAGTATAAGGAGCTACAATGTGAAGCTGACTAAAAGGAATGTTAATTTTAAAGCCTCAGTTATAAAATCTGTTCCCATAATTCTCAGAAGGCATTCCTCAGAAGGTTAGCAAAGTGGCACCTGACAGTTTCCTTTCACTGAGAAGTTACATGTTAAAATGAAAAGCATCTGCTTGGTGAATTTATCTATGCATCTATGTTTCTAATTTTTGTAAAATAAATAGTATCTTAAGAAAAGCATTTGTTTTTGTGTATCACTATGCGTACTTATTAAATTGTTTATTGTTTGTTGCCATAACATGAAAATTTTCTTTGTGGTACAAATTCTTCACGGAGAATAGAATCTTAATGATTTCACATTTGCCTTTTTATTAAGTAATGAGACGTGCATATTAGTGTGCTTCCCTTTTAACTATATTTACTAGGAAGCTCTGCCTACTTTTGTATTTAACTGTAAGTTTCCTTTATCCTAGATTGTCATTGTTATGACTTGAATGCCTCCTCTAAAATACATGTTGAAATTTAATTACTATTGTGACAATATTAAGAGATAGGACCTTTAACAGGTGATTAGGTCATGAGGGCAAAGCCCTCAAGAGTGGATTAATGCCATTATTGCAGCTGTGGATTAATTATCAGGGGAGTTTGGCCCCCTTTCTTTCTCTGTCTTGCACACTTGCTTCAGCCTTCTGCCATGGGATGATGCAGCAAGAAAGGCCCTTACCAGATGCAGCCCCTCAATCTTGGACTTCCCTGCCTCTAGAACCATGAGCCAAATAAATTTCTTTTCTTTATAAATTATCCAATCTGTGATCTTTTGTTATAGTAGCAGAAAATGGACTAAGACAGTCATATACTTATTTTACACTTCTTGCCTCTTTCATTGATTGTATCATTTTATTTTGTTCTATTGGTTATATTTTAGTCTATACTTTATTGTAAGCTATAATAAACTAAAAATTGAAATCAGAGCTCACTAAGTAATGCTGTTATCCAGACTTTAATGGGTACCAATACATCTCTGAATGAATCAATACATGGATGAATAAACTTTCTGGAAATAAAAATATTTTAAAAAATGAATTGAAAGTAAATTTCAGAAACTTTAAAAGTAAAAGTTGACATCATGGAAGTAAATGACAATACAAAGGAAATAATGTCAACACAGAGAAGAAAGTTATGATAGAACATTAGAAAGACTTGCATTTAAAGGACAGAACTATGCGAGGAGACAGGGAAGAACTGCAAAGGAAAATTCATAAAGAAGAGAGATTTTTAAAAATCTCTATCAGCATGTCCAGATGCTGCAGAAGACAGAAGAGACTGATTACTCCTCAAACAACAGATTTGTTTATAAGAAGGTCCAGATGACCTTCACGACAGCATTTTCAGTAAAATAGAGGCAAATTACAAGCAGATAAAGGGTATATAATAAGGAATAGATGAATTGTGACTATTGTTAGAAATTCAGCTGGGACATGAAGAAGAAAGATCCGCAAAGTAAGGGGACTGGGGAAGGGACCATATTTATAGGAACTGGGGAAAAGAAACCTACAACATACCATGGTGTGGAGTACGGGGTATGCAAAAAGTCCTGGTTGGAATATGAGGATATGTGGAAATTAATCCAGAAACCAATTTGATCTTGAGATGATAGGGTAGATCTCTGAAAAGAACAGTCCTTCTTTCAGAGAAGGATTTAATAGAAGTGTAAGGAGAGTAATGACACAGAGAGTTTTTAAAATAGAGAAAAGGTGAATTCAAATTTCTTACTTCAGACTCAAAGTTTTTATTTAAAAATAAAAAAATAATAAACTCAGAATGCAAGGGAGATGGGTTCAGTGAAGAAGGGAAAATAATAGTTCAGTTATTTGTTGTAACTACAAAAGAAAGTCAATGAAGTATTTTTCAAGCAGCAGTGAGAACCCAACTAAATATGCAGGATCTCCAATCAGATTTTGTTTAATGTTTCCAGGATCCCTGGATCAGTTGGAACTTTGGAGAGGTAAAGAAGACAGTAGGGGATTGAGAGCAAAAGCTAGAAATTCAGCCATTATATGATTCCTTTTTAAGAGATTTTTGTTCCTAAAAGACAATTATTAAATCCTAATATTGAGACATTGCCTGTTGTTGCAAGCAACACCATGTGCTAGAGGAAATAGGATGAGGCCCATACACCAGACTGGGTGGTTACTACTGGGGTAAATATGTGCAGATGCTTGGATTTTCTGAATTTTTAACTTACCTGTGAAATAGCAAAAATGACCTATGTATTTGTAAAACTAAATGTGATAATGTTTTTAACACGTTTAACCTATAATGGTCAATAGCCAGCAAATCATAGACACATGTTAACATCTATTAAATTTACTCTTGTCTAATTCTTTTGAATTTTAGGTTCTAGCAATTTGGTAGATTAAATAAATGTGACATTTCATCATTCTCTCCTCTTGTTAAAATTTCAGCATTCATTAATTTCACCTTTCTGCATTTAGTCTTGAGATTTCTTCCACAGGTCATTGTCTAGATTTTGTCATTCCTTTTGCTTCCCCAAAGTAATGTCATATGGCCACAAGGAAAGAAATACCCTTTGCTAATATGTGGCAGTTTTTCTTTTGTCCCTTGCCTTCATCTAGGTCAATATTAGTGATCTCTATTTATGGCTTTTTCCTGGCAAAAGAAATAACAGTTGTCAACTTAGCCTTGAACTGACCACGATATTTTCTCTATTAACCTAGCCCAAAACATGTTGTTGTCAGCTTCTATATACACTTCATTTTTAATTTTCCATGGAATTTTAGTCTTCTCCCTGCCAACATCTTTGGGATTTTTTGTAAGCTATTAAAAAATAAAAACAAAAAAGCAAAAAACAAACAAACAACAACAGCATAAACAAAGCAAAATCTCTCACCTACCTTGGGAGACATCAAAATTTCTGACTGCTTTCATAATCTTTTTTTCTTGGTACTTGTGGGATTTTTATTATATATAAAAGATAAATCTTTAAGATATATGTTTGAACATTAAAAGTAGTCATAATGCAGATTTATTTCCCAAGAATTTTGAATTTATGGTCTTGTTTTAAAAACCACTTTATTTTCACCTCTTCACAGATAATTTTAACTGAATCTGTGACAAAATAAGTTTCTATTCCATATTTGTATTATCTTAGATTAATGTTCTGTTAGTGAAACCCTTTACCTATGACCGACCATTACTGAAACCATGTAAGTAATACTCCCTAAAGCTGTCTCCAGCTTTATAAGTATTAAGCTGCTGCTTTAAATTTACTTTTTAGGTGTAGGCTCACCTCAAATTTGTTTTCCTCTAATAATATCTCTCTAAGCAATAATTTCATGGATCTTTCTGAAGGGTATACTTGCTCCCAAATATATGCTTTTCATCAGGAGAAGGCTTTAAATAGATTGATAATTATCACATTTGGAGCCATCTTAAATGAAGATGAGGAATTTCCCCTTGCTGTTGGGATCCTTTCTCCTTTTATCCTTTACTTCTTCTTCAACCCTATATCTAAACTATCAGTAAATTCTGTGGTATCTTCCTTCACTCCATGTATTAGTCTGCTTTCACACTGCTGTAAAGAACTTTCCTAAGACTTGGTAATTTATAAAGGAATGAGGTTTAATTGACTCACAGTTCCACATGACTGGGGAGGCCTCAGGAAACTTACAGTCATGGTGGAAGGAGAAGCAGGAACCTTCTCAACAAGGCAGCAAGAAAGAAAGCAGCTCAAGCAAGGGAAATGCCAGATGCTTATGAAACCATCAGATCTCATGAGTATTTACTCACTGTTATGAGAACAGCATGAGGGAAACTGCCCTCATGATCCAATCACCCCCCAAAAGGTCCCTCCCTAGACACGTGGGGATTGTGGGGATTATGATTTGAGGTGAGGTTTGGGTCAGCACACAAAGCCAAACCATATCACCACATATCCAGCTTATGGCTACTTCTCACCATCCTAGTTCATGCTTTTGTCTTTTTTTTCCATATGCTATTAAAATAGTTCCTTGCTGAACTCTGTGCCTCTTCCCCTGCTTCTCTTCTACATCATAGGCTTAATACAGTAGCAAAGTGGTCCTCTAAAAACATTTTTCAGATGACCTCACTCTTCTGTCCAACTCCCCCCAACCCAATAGTTTCCCATCTCTTTTGGAGTAAAATACAAAGTCCTACAATAAACAGTTGGCCTTACATGACTTAGGCCCTCTGCTATCTCTCCAACATCTTTTCTTACCACTCTTGTTCTTATTCTGATGACCACACATATTGACTTCTTCCTCCTAGTTGAATGCACTAATGCCTTTAATTGTCGAGCTTTCTGCTCCCTTTACCTGAAATCATTCCCCTGGATGAGCTCATGCCTCACTCCCTTGCTTCTTATAGATGTCTGTTTAAATTTTACCTTACCAGTGATGTCTTCCCAGATCACTCCAAGTAGAATAAAAGAGCAAATCAGTCAACATCTCACCCAGTATAATCTTTCCCTATTTCCCTTCTTTATCTTTCTCCATAGCACTCATTGCTATTTGATGTAATAGATTGCTATCTCTCTCTTCTCTCTAGGAAGAAATCGCCACAGGACAGGAATTTGTTCGTTGCTCTTTCTCAGTACCATAAACAAATGCCTGGAGTAGACTTCAGTGCTCAAATATTATATGTTAAATGGAAGAATAAGCATATGTATAGATCCTACTACCTGTTGTAACACAACATATTCCTTATTGAACTCTAACGCTAAAGGACTCTAGTCAATTGATTTTTCAGCATATTTCCCCAAAATTTTTGCAGAAATCAGTCTCCTGTTTTTGCCACCTTCTTTGCTGACTACCTGCCTCTAAGATATTTTTTCAATTTACAAATCTACCCTGAAAAGCAGTTAAACAAAATGATAAAATGCCCAGGATAACACTTTAATACTTCTTATCAGTTAAGTTAGAAAGTATGCTAGGACAGATAGAATGAACCTATTATAAATACTGAGCACTTGTACTGCGTTATTTATGCTAAAATACGGTTTTGTATTATGCATTAATTTCAATATCTGAGCTAGTCATATAACTATTACCTTATCTGTATTTCTGTCTTTCAGAGATACAAGATTAAAGTTCTTAAGCTCCAGAAAAGGCCAAGGTATGTGGTGCCTTAATGATACTGTGCACCATGCAGATAAATATTATGTACCTCCTCACACTGATTTTTAAAAAATATTTGTTCAATAGAGTTTAAAGATGAGGGGTCAGGTGCGGCAGCTAATCGTAGCACTTTGGGAGGCCGAGGCAGGAGGATCATAAGGTCAGGAGATCAAACCATCCTGGCTAACATGGTGAAACCCCATCTCTACTAAAAAATACAGAAAAATTAGCTGGGTGTGGTGGCGGGTGCCTGTAGTCCCAGCTACTTGGGAGGCTGAGGCAGGAGAATGGCGTGAACCCAGGAGGCAGAGCTTGCAGTGAGCTGAGATCGCACAACTGCCCTCCAGCCTGGGCAACAGAGCGAGACTCCATCTCAAAAAAAAAAAAAATTTGCTGGACGTGATGGTGCACACCTGTAATCCCAGCTACTCTGAGGTTGAGGCAGGAGAATCGCTTGAATCCAAGAGGCAGAGGTTGCAGTGATCTGAGATCACACCACTGCACTCCAGCCAGGATGACAGAGTGAGACTCTGTCTCAAAAAAAAAAAGAGTTTAAAGGTGAGGATGGGGATTTTGTAGGAAAGGAAACTAAGAAAAGACACTTGGTGGGAGATGAGGTACATTATCCATTGTCATGTGTCAATTCCACTCTGTCTCTAAACTTAGACTTCACCCCTCCCCACTGGGTAAAATAAAAACCTTGTTTTCATTTTTTGCCAGGCTTCTCAGCAACATCTTTTGGGATCTTACCTGTCCCATTCCAAGTAGCTTAAAAAAATAGTCCTTTCAGCCTCATACACTCACTGAGAGGAGTTCTATAAATAATCTTTTTTCTCCAGCTGTGTGCCCTTATAGATTAGTGCCCTGGGCAAGGGCCCAGCTGACTGACCCTTAATCCTGGCCTAGTCAAGATCTTACAGTTCTACCTGTTATTTGGGAAAGGTGAAGATTGTTCTTGCTAAAATTAGCAATATTTTAGTAAAATTAGCTAATATTTCTTAGCTATAATCAGTTGAATCCAATCTTTTAAATTTGCTACCTAAGTAAGCCCTTCAGAATATCAGCATTTTTTATTGTTATCATGGCTAGAAATCAAGCTTCAAAAACAAACAAACAAACAAACAAACAAAACTGTGTTTTTGCCAAAATCTAAGTTAACATTTAAAGTCAAAGAAAATTGCTTCTCTAAGGATTGGTTAAATGAATGAATCAACCAAATTGTACTGTGGTTAAGTTTGTTTGCTTTATTTTGCATTTAATTTACATTCCTGAGCAGGTTGTAAATGGCCTCTTAGGGTAGCTGTTAAGGAGCTTTATTCACTAATATGGACTGCCAGGGGATCTGTGGGACTCTGTTCTACATAGGTCAATGCTAATGGGTGCACAAAGGCAAAGGCAGCAATGACGGCTGGAGGGTTGGTGCCTTGTTAAATACCACAAGAGGAGGCAAGGATAGTGGAACAGCCAAGGTCAAAGCCCATGTAAAACCTCAGTAAGCTTAGTAGATTTTTTGTTTGTTTGTTTGTTTGTTCTTGTTCATTTGTTTGTTTCAATTCCAAAACCACCATTTCCAACAAGTGAAGCAAAGTTGGGTCTGGGGGAGGTTGGGATATCCATCAGTTTCAAAGCAATAGGTTTATGACTATTTATGTCTTTCTGGTAATGAGCAGAGACTAGATTAGATAAAATTGTCAATTATATTTTGTTACCTCTTAAAGGAAAGTGAAGAGGGAGGAAAAAGAAGATTACTTTAATACCTGTTAGTACTATGTAATTGTGTCCAGTATTCATTAGGGCCAGGTGGAATCTCAGGACTCTTCAAATGACCCTAAATCACCCCGAGGGTTCTTGGTACAAAATCTGGATGCTATTTCTCTAGCCACACTTAAGAATTCCCCATTCTAAAATGAGATTGGTTTTGCTAGTATAACCCAGAAATCAGTTGCCAGCATACTTAAGTCCTGCAGCCTACCAGGACTACCATGCACTTCAAGATTTTAATAAATCTGCTCTCAACCTCTTCTTATTGTTTGGAGAGAAAACAAGCATTCTACCAAATAATTAGGAGTACTTAAAGATTTTAAGCTTTACTTTCACTAAATTTTATGCTTCTACTTTACATTTAATCACCATTTCCTTTTCCATGCTTAATTAACCCCACTGAAAAAAAGTCTCAATTTCTAATACCTCAGAATATTATAAAAATAAGGCAGTGATATTATACCATTTCACTTCATTTTTAATTCAGCTTCAGTGGAACAATTTTTCTCATGAGTTATATTTTCATGCTTCTTGCAGGTATTGCAATTTTTTTAGTTCAGTTGCCAGTGTGAATTTAACCCTTTTATGCCTAGATATTTTCATATTCTTGTGAATATTCTTGACTTTTGTTCTGCATGTGGTTATTTGGCAAGAGTTTGATCCTTTTGGGCTTTAGTTTTAATGTTAGACCAGAGAAGAACTAAGGCTAATATTTCTCCAACAATGAGGCAAGATTTTTGTTTTTAAGGTCTCAATTTGTCACCCAGGCTGGAGTACAGTGGTATCATCACTGCAGCCTTGAAATCTTGGGCCCAAGCAAGCCTCCCACCTCAGCTTTCCCCATAGCTAGTACTTCTTGCCAATGCCCTCTAAATTATGAGGTTTTCTAGTCTGGCTGTTGCATAGAGGCACTGTTTTGATCCTGGGTTCTGTTTTGACCCTGTGTGGTCTCTGAGTGTTGTTCCCTTGAATCCTTCCACGTGGTTCTTTTCCTGAACTACCATTCATATATTGACCAGTAGTATAATGAACCCTTGAAGGGTTCTCACATCTTGGGTACTCTGCCTTGTAATTTCTAGCCGCTTTGGCCTTCCTGGACTTGCCGTTGCATCTCATCAATTTAGGGAGACTGCAGAGTTCTGCCTGGGTTTCTTTTCTCTTCTTGCCAAGTCCCTAGAGAGTAAGCTGAGCAATATAAGGGCTCAATTTATTTGATTTGTGACTGTCAAGGATCACTGCCCTTTGTTGTCTGATAACCAGTGTCTTATGTATCATTGTTTCAGATTTTTTTTTTACAGCAGCAAGAGAGAAATAAAAGAACAATAGATCTACAAAACAATCAGAAAATAACTAACAAATTGGCAATAGTAAGTATGTCAATATCAATAATTACCTTGAATGTTAATGAATTAAATTCTGCAATCAAAAGACATAAAGTGGCTGAGTGAATTAAAAAACAAGACTCAATTATATTTTGTCCACAAGAGACCCACTTCACCTTTGAGGACATACATAGAATGAAAGTGAAGAGATGGAAAAAGATATTCCATACAAATGGAAACCAAAAGAGAGCAGGAGTAGATATAGATACATAAGATAAAATAGACTTTAACTAAAAAAATGATAAAATCGGACAAAGAAAGTCATTACATAATGAAAGAGGACTAATTCATTAGAGGATTTAACAACTATAAATATATACGCTTCTGGTTTATAGAAGCATATAGCTATATAGAAGCAAGGTATGTAGAAGTACCTAAACACATAAAGCAAATATTAATAGATCTGAAGAGATAAATTGTAATACAATAATAGTAGGAGACTTTAATACCTCACTGTCAGCAATAGATAGATCATCTAGACAGAAAATCAATATGAAAATATTGGACTGAAACTACACTTTTGGTCAAATGGACCTAACTGACACATACAGAACATTCCATCCAACAGCAGCAGAATGCACATTTTTCTGAAGTGCACATAAAACATTCTTCGAGATAGATACTATGTTAGGTCACAAAACAAGTTGTAAAAATGTAAAAAAATTGAAATCATATCAAATATATTTTCTGACCACAATGCTATAAAACTAGAAACCAGTAACGGGAATTTTGAAAGATTCACAAATACATGAAAATTAAATAACATGCTTCTGAACAACCAATGGGTCAAAGAAGAAATTAGAAGAGAAATTTTAAAATATTTTGAAACACAAAAATTGACACACAACATACCAAATCTTCTAGGACACAACAAAATTGGTTCCAAGAGAAAACTTTATAGCAGTAAGTAATTACATCCAAAAGAGGAAAGATTTCTAATAAACAACCTAACATTATATCTTAAGGAACTAGAAAAAGAACAAACTAAGCCCAAAAAGTTAGTAAGAGGAAGGAAATAGCAAGGATCAGAGTAGAAATAAATGAAATAGAGACTAGATAAACAATAGAAAAGATCCACAAAACTGAGTTGTTTTTTCTAAAAAGATAAACAAAATTGATCAACTTTCACCTTTTTATTTTTACAGAAGCAAGAGAGAAATAAAAGAATAATAGATCTACAAAACAAAGAAAAGACTCACATAAATAAAGAAGACATTGCAACTGATACCACAGAAGGAATCATGAACCTATTAGGAACAATTACATGCCAACAAATTAGATAACCTAGAAAAAATGGATAAATTTCTAGACAAATTCAATTGACCAAGACTAAACTATGAAGAAGTAGAAAATCTGCACAGACTAATAATGAGTAAGAATATTGAATAAATGATATAATGTCTCCCATTAAAGAAAAGCCCAGAAAATGATGGCTTCCCTGTTAAATTCTACCAAATATTTAAAGAATTAGCACCAAATATTCTCATTTTTTCCCAAAAATTGAAGAGGAGAGAATACTTTCAAATTTATTTTTCGCAGCCAATATTACCCTATTATCAAAGCCAGACAAGAACACCACAGGAAAAGAAAGTGCAGGCAATATCCTTGAGGAACATAGATGCAAAAATTCTCAATAAAATACTAGTAAACAAAATTCAAGAGCACATTAAAAAGACAATTCATGATAATCAAGTGGGACTTATCCCTGGGATGCAAGGATTGTTTGGCTTATGCAAAGCTATAAATGTGATACCACATTAACAAATAAAGGGCAAAAAAAAATCATCTCAATAAATGCAGAAAAAAAAGCACAATTCAACATCCTTTTATGCTTAAAAGCTCTCAACAAATTAGCTATAGAAGAAATGTACTTCAATGCAATAAAAGCCATATATGAAAAGCCCACAGCTAACATGATACTCAATGGTGAAAAGTTGAAAACGTTTCTTCCAAGATCAGGAACAAGACAAGGATGCCCACTCTTGCCATTTCTATTCAACATAGTACTGGGAGTGGTAGCCAGAGCAATTAGACAAGAGAAATAAATGAAACATATCCAAATTAGAAAGGAGGAAGTTAAATTGTCCCTGTTTGCAAGTGAAATAACCTGATATATGGAAAATCCTAAAGACTCCACCAAAAAGCTGTTCAAACTAATAAAAGAATTCAGTAAAGTGGCAGGATGCAAAATTAACATGAAAAATCTGTAGCACTTCTATACACTAGCAATAAACTATCTAAAAAGTAAAATCATGAAAACAATCCCATTTATAGTAGCTACACATGCATGCACATGAAAGCACACACACACACAAACAAGGAACAAGACAAGGGTGCCCATTCTTGCCATTTCTATTCAACATAGTACTGGAAATAGTAGCCAGAGCAATTAGACAAGAGAAATGAATGAAACGTATCCAAATTAGAAAGGAAAAAGTTAAATTGTCCCTGTTTGCAGGTGAAATAACCTGAAATATAGAAAATCCTAAAGACTCCACCAAAAAGCTGTTTGAACTAATAATAGAATTCAGTAAAGTGGCAGGATGCAAAATTAACATGAAAAATCAGTAGCACTTCTATACACTAGCAATAAACTATCTAAAAAGTAAATCATGAAAACAATCCCATTTATAGTAGCTACACATGCATGCACATGCAAGCGCACACACACACAAACACCTGGGTACAAATTTAGCCAAAGAGGTGAAAAACATATAAACTGAAAACTATAAGACATTGAAAGAAATTGAAGAAGATAAATAAATGCAAAGATATACCATGTTCATGGATTAGAAAAATTATTATTGTTAAAATGTGTATACTACTGAAAGCAATCTACAGAATCAATGCAATCTCTATCAAAATTACAATGACATTTTTCACATAAATAGAAAAAACAATTATAAAATTTTTATGGAACCACAAAAGGCCTTGAACAATAAAAAAATCTTGAGCAAAAAGAATAAAGATTGAGGCATCACACTATCTCACTTCAAAATATCCTACAAAGCTGTAGTAATCAAAAGATCATAGTATTAGCATTAAAAACAGACACATAGACCAGTGCAACAGAATAGAGAGCCCAGAAGCAAACCCACGCATTTACAGTCAATTGACTTTTCAACAAAGGAGCCAAGAACATACAATAGGGAAAGGACAATCTCTTCAATAAATGATGTTGAGACAATTGGATATCCACATGCAGAAGAATGAAATTAGACCATCACCTCACACCATATACAAAAATCATGTAAAAATGGTTTAAAGACTTAAAGACCTGAAACTGTACAACTACTAGCTAAAAGCATATGGACAAAACTCTACAACATTGGTGTGAGCAATAATTTTTTGGATATGACCTCAAAACTGTAGGCAAAAATAGACAAATGGGATTACAGGAAGTTAAAAAGTTTCTGCATGGCAAAGGCAACAGGCAACAGAGAAAAAGATAACCTATGAAATGGAAGAAAATATATGCAAACCGTACATCTGATAAGGAGTTAATATCCAAAATATATAAAAAACTGAAATAATATAAGGAAGACAAATGGCCTCATTTAAGAATAGGCAAAGGACCTGAAGACATTTTTCAAAAGAGGACATACAAATGGCTAACATGAATATGAATAAATGCTCAACATCACTAATCATCAAGAAAATGCAAACTAAAACTACAATGAGATATCACCTCTCACTTGTTAGAATGGCTATTATCAAATAGACAAAATATAACTAGTACTGTTGAGAATGTGGAGAATAGGTGACTCTCTCACAGTGTTGGTGAGACTATGTACACCAGACCATGTAACTGAAATTACTTCAGCCACAATGGAAAGCAATATGAAGGTTCCTTTAAAAATTAAAATTAGAATAACCATATGATCCAGCAATCCCTCCACTGGGTATGTATGAAATTAAATCACGAATCAAAAAGGAAACTAAATCGGTGTGTATAGCTACACTGTCATGTTCTTTGCAGCATTATTCACAATAGCCAAGGTAAAGAATCAAACTAAAAATGTCCATCAAGAGATGAATGAATAAAGAAAATATAGTATATATACAGAATAAAATACTGTTCAACCTTAAAAATCAAGGAAATCCTGTTTTGACAAGATGTATGAATCTAGAAGACATTATGTTAAGTGAAATAAGCCAGATACAGAAGGACAAATACCACATGATCTCATTTACAGGTGGAATCTTAAAAAGTTAAACTCATAGAAGCAGAAAGTAGAATGGTGGTTACCAGGGACTGAGTTTTGGGGTGGTTGGAAAGATGCTGGTCAAAGAATATAAAATTTCAGATAGACGGGAGGAATAAGTTCAAGAGCTCTTTTATGCAACATGGTGACTATAGTTAATAACAATGTACTGTATTCTTGGAAAATTAGTAAAAGAACAGATTTTAAGTGTTCTTACCATAAAAAATGATATATAAGTTAATGTTTAGGTTGCTCTGTCTATGGAGTAGCCATTCTTTTGTTTCTTCACTTCTCTAATAAACTTGCTTTCACTTAAAAAAAAAGTTAATGCTTACGTTAATTAGATCAAAGTAACCATTCTGCAATGTATGCATATTTCAAAGCATCATGTTGTAAATGACAAATATATATACTTTGTATTTGTCAATTTAAAAAAATAATTAATTAATTTTAAAAAAGAGAAACTGGCAGGACATCCAGAATCCTTCCTTTGTTTGTGTACTAGACCAAATTCCCAGAAGAACTGTAGAGATTTAATAAAGGATATCTGAATAAAGTTGGAGATGGAACTACTGTACTAAACATAGGGATGTTAAGAAAACTAGAAGTATTTGGGAGTACTGAGGATAATTGGGATTTTTGTACTCTTAACTAACCTCACTGTTGCTTTCTCTCATCTGTGCCAAAGCATTAGCCAGCCTTTACATCATTTTTATGTGTAAAAATTATGTACTGCTGAAATAATAGTGCATATTTATTAAGTTTTTATTATTACATGACTTTTTATATTAAAGGTGATAACTACTTCATTATTTTAAAATCTGCTTACCTATTTATCACTGATTCTTTTTTGAAAATGTTCTCACAGATATGTCAAACATTAGGCAACACTATTCCAAAGGCTCAATTACTTCAAATCATCTATCAATCCCCTGGTGTTCCATTTTTGTTTTGTTTGCTTGTTCTAATTGAAGATCTGACTCTGACAGATCTTTATTTCTTGCTTCAATCTAGACTATTAGGTTTTTAGGGTTAAGTCACAGTAGTCATGCTGGAATGTCCCTTTTTTCCTCTCTTGTATAGAAGACAAAGTTTCTCAAATCCCCTGTCTCCCTTGTTCCTGATTTACTACTTCATTTTTCATGAATTATATATCGTGGTAGCTTCCAAGGAAAGAGTAATAGGAAGCATGTTTTTGTGAATTATTGCAGATCTGAAAATGTCTTTATTCAATCCTCACATTTCAGTGATACTATACCTTGCTTGGGTATAAAATTATAGGCTGAAAATAATTTTCAATCAGAATTTTTAATACTATTGTTATATATCTTTCGGTTTTTCGTGTTACTAGTCTAATATTTATGTTGTGAGTTTTAAAAAATCTGCCCTTTAAACCCCGGTCTCCTGAAACTTCATGATAATATGCCTTTGAATATTATATTATTTCATTAATTTTTTCTGGGAATTCAATGGGATCTTTTAAGTTAAAGACATAAGCCCTTACACTTTGGAGATATTTTTGATCATATCTTGATCATTTTCTTTCCTCTTTTTATACTCTCTTTCTCTCTCTAAAATTTGTACTTGTTGGATGTCGAACCACCTACATTAATCTATATTTATAATTTCTTTGTTCTTATTTTCCACATAGTTTATAGATTTTCCTGACTTCTAATGATTTATTTTTTACTGTAATTTACTCTATTTTGCAGTGCCCTTTTTTCTCTGATTGCTTTTTAAAAATAGTTCCCTCTTCTTGTTTTATATATGTATTATTTGACCTGTTCATATGTTTTAATTGGGTCCCATTTTCATAAATATTTTAGTCACTCTTTGTCATGAGAAAGAATTTTGTATCACATACATTACCTCTTCAGGAAACATCTGTATATACTATCAAATTACAAAACACTTACTAGAAGCTCTGGGTGGTGGGGGAGATGCTTGAGGTGTAGGACAAGGTCCAACTAGTTGACTTTACTTAGAGTGAACTCCTATACATCTCAAGCAACTCCTAAATCTCTAGAGGTCTATATCTGGGGCCTTTCAAAAACAATTTTTACACAGATTATCCTCCAATTTTCTTCAGGAAAAATTAAACATGGCAATAAGTATTCTCAAAACAGAGCAGAGGAAAGGGCTGTGGGTAGTATAGGGGATGTGTGTAGAACAATTTAATCACCTTGTTCTACCCTAAACCAATTTCTTGGTGTTCACTGCTTCCTGAATCAACTTCTCCAGAGACTAGACTTCTCTTTTCTCTTAGTGTGTATTTGTGGAGGGGTAAAGAGATTCTCAAACAGTCTCTGAGTGTTCAGTCTTAAACTGACTTCTGCTTTCCAGGTAACCTGTTTCCCCACAATCAGAGACTCTCAGGGGATTTGTGAGGTAAGAAAGCCCACTTGCCATTAGAAGCCCCTCTGTGTGATGAATTAGTTTTTGTCATTTTCTGCTTTGCTATGTCTGTTACCTCTCCTCCATCTTATTCCACTTTCTAATATATTGCTGTAAGGATTTTTCTGATGTTATATTTTCTGTTTTTCTCTTTGTTCTCATTAATTAACAAAATTTCTATTTTTAATTAATTTTTGTGGTGTTTGGGAGGGAAAGGATGTGATTACCTATGATCAGACCATTACATTTAACCGAGTCAGCAAATACATTTTTAAATATTTCTAGATATGTGTTAATTTCTTATCATTCTGTTTTCTCACCATAGATACTAAATGAACATGATGCAAAATGAACAACACATAAGTTTCTGAGAGAAAAGTCCTCATGCTGAGAAAGTTAAGAAATCCTTAGTAACACGGGGTTCTGAGTGAAGAATTACTAAAGGAGATTCTAGAAATCCTTGGTAGAATCTGAACTGTCAAAGGACTAAATTGAACAATTACTGCTCTCCCACTATTGCAAAGCCATTTCCTATAGTTGCTGCCACAAGCTAGAACTTCATCCTGGGCATGATTCAACCCCTAATTTGCAAATTTATAACAGCTCTTGGCTACTAAGCATGGTTTTCTTCTATAGACCATACTTCAATAAAATACTGTTACAAATAACAGATGGACAATGCATTCATTTGTAGATGGTTCCTTGTAATAATAATTTATTAACTTTTTTCTTTCTTAGGGCAGAAGTAGCAAACATTAAACTAAATTGCCTATAGCATAAATGGAAGGAACTTTTTAAGCAGGTGGGAATTTATTTAGACTTCTTCATTTAATGTGGCATAAAAAAGCAAAGCTAATAAAATGTGGGAAACTATTTTCATCATCAATGAACTTGTTAGTTTTGCATTTTTTCTTAGTTGAGTAAAAAATACAGGTCATTGATTATTTTGTTTATGAAAGCAAAATAAGGCATCAATCTTCATGCTTTCCATATTATCCTAGCAGAGTGATCCTACCAGAGAAAAATTAATATATATGACTCATGGTTTATATAATGATTAATAAGGTAATAGAAATGATATTTATATCTACATTTGTGACCCGAGAGAAAAGTCTATCCTAATAGACTAAAGCTATATTATGAAACTACTTACAAGGAATTCAATTCTGGTGGATTTTGTTTATTAGATTCAAATGTACTAGATTATAAAACAATAACATAATTAAGGCTATACTGATTTTATCTATAAAACCCACAGAAAGAGGAAGGGCAAAGTAGGGAAGAAGTAAAGTCATGTACAAATGGCAGCAAAAATGTTTTAATTAGGAAATATAAAGGAACACAAAAATGTGACTATCACTAAGTGATTGTTAGCTAAGGTTTCAACTAGAGGCCCATTGCCCATAGGAGGAAGCCTATCACAGCACACAAAATTCCGAGGCCCTCCATCGTCAGCTCCTGCTCTGGCAGACACTATCAGTGCCAGCATGATGCTTATTGCACCTCCTTTTTCCTTGCTAAGAAAACCTTGACTTAACAGAACAAGGTTCCTTGATCTTAGGAAATCTAGATTTTTCATCTGAGGTGGGCATGTTATCCAGGTAGAAGAGGAAGTTTTCTGGAGAGTTTCTGGAAGAGAATTTTTATCCCTGATTAGAAAAATACTGTAAGAGAAAGGGTATTTTTCTGTGCCACGCAACCTCTTACTTCCTACATTTACCATGGGGTTAGGATGACATGATTGGAGCCGCTACAGCCATGTTGATCCCATGAGGGGAAGGCCTCGAGAATGGCTTTTATTCTTGATGTAATTAAGCTACTGATCAGAGTCAATAACTGCTTACCATAAAACTTCTTCTTAGAAAAGTAAATTGTTAATTATTTAAGCCTATGTTGTTTGCGTTCTTGTTTGCAGCCATTAGCAATCTTCACTGACATGCCTGCCTCTCCTCCTTTGCCACTGTGCTCTGCTGCACTTGTCACCACTCTATACCCTAGCTATACAGGCCAATGCGCATTTCCTAAGATGCATCTTCTGTCTCATACCTCTCTCTACCTGGGTCTAGCAGCTCCTGTCCGAATGCCCTTTCCCTTCTGTTACCCTATGAACTTCCACTCACCTTCATTTAATGAGTTTCCACTTTACGACATTTTTTCTAGGAAAGTTTTCCTGTCACAAAATTCTCTCTTCCACCTCTCATCTTTTGTTTCACCCACTACAATCTGAACAGAAATATATTTTTTATTGTTTTCTGTGTTTAGGCCATACTCATTTTTTGGAGTCAAATATACAGGCTCATTTCTACGTTAGAGCCAGACTCTTGCTAGCAATGTCCTGGCCCAGTATCACTGCATGATTAGTTACTTTTTGTCCTTCAGGTTTTAGTGTACATCCTCTACAATGAACTTTAAATTCAGAGAGGGCAAAATCAGGTTCCTCTGATTCAAAGTTGCATCCTTAACACATCTGAAAGAGTGTTGAATTGAGTAGGTTCATAATAAATATTTGAAAATGAATGAACTGAATTTCATACTTTAAATGGGAAGCCCTTCAATGTCAGATGTGGCATTCTAGCTCTCTATGTAGATTACAAAATCTGGCCAAGTACACTTATACCCTTTGGGTGAAAAACATGAATGTTCCACAAATGCTGAATGAAAGAATGACAAGATGAATGACTGACATACCAATTTTACTTTTTATTCTTCTCTCTGGTGAAAAGCACATGCTTATTTCCAGGAAAGAATTTGCTTCTGAATATTAGGAGTGGCAACCTTTGTGAGGTCAATTCTCTGTAAGTAGATTATCTTTGTAAATCTGGACTTGAGTTTGAATAACCTTAAAAGCACACATTAAGTTTGAGTATTCCTAGGAAGATTAGGAAGACTTTGTTCCAAGCATCTATATATTGGACACCTGAGAGGTCAGGCCATTGATTCTTTTGTATTTTGATGGGAGTATCTATGAAAACATTACTCTTGCAAATATTTCTCTCCATAATAGAGATGGATGCATCATTAAAAAGTTAATGGTTAGTCTTTAGTCAGTAGAATTTTAGAGTAAAAACATGGAAGTAATAATTAGAAGTTTGGTTTAAGTTCAACATAAGTCTAACTCTCTTTACAAAGTTATCAACATAAATAATGTTCAAAATGTCTATATGTTAAATAACAAACATTGAAAATGTATACAAATCAAACATAAGAGCAAGAAAGGAAAACAGAACCTCTAACATTTGTAGGGACAGAGGAACTGAAAGAAAAATGTTCTGAGAATTTTTCAGCGTTTTTCTTTTTACACAACTTTCTCTAATTGTATTGATATACTCCATTCTATCAATCAACGTGGATCTACTTTTCGTCAAATACTTACAAGGGAATTGAAACAAAAACCACTGTTATAAACATTTGCTGCTCCATTCACCTTTCAAAATGCCTCTTTGAAACATCATGCTGTAATCATTAAATAATCTACTTCAAAATGCATATATGTTTCAAGATAGAAACTTGAATCAAATGCAATTTCCATTACTTAGAAAAATAAGATTTATACTGGTGAAATGTTTAGACTAAATACATAATATTTTAAAAATACCAAAGTATCTGTCATAATAGATGTTTTAGAAGATTGAGAAATGGAAAGTTACTTCAGGGTAGCACTATCTCATGAATAAGGGTAGATTTGAGACAAACTTTAGAATATTGAGAGGACTGAGCAAAAACTAGGTGAACACTATGAGAAATACATGTGTTATGAGAATGAAAATGCTCAAAGCCTGATACTAATGAAACCATATTACACATTGAAATAGATCACTGCAGAAGAGAAAGGGATTTATTTTATTACTGGTGCTAGGATATGGAAATGCTGTCTGATTTCAATGTCACCTTTGCTGACAGTAGTGAATCAGGTCATTAGAGAATTATCTCTATGGCCTGTTTGTTGAGGCTCCCGGGGTCTGGCTAGTGAGATCAGATTAGAAGATGCAATAGATTTTACAAGGTCATTTAGTATTACCTCTGTCTTTTTCGGCTTTAAATCTAACTATCTATCTGTCTATCTATCTATCTATATCTATCTATCTATCTATCTATCATCTATCTATCTATATACTGTATTCTTGAAGAGGTTTCTTGAGGATTCATCTGATGATTATGTATCATTATGGCAAAGAAAGCATGAAATGACTTCTTTAAGTCATTTCTATCCACTTATAAGTTCATAGCCAATTGAAGAGAAGACTAAGTCCCTCATATTAAAAGTTCTGTGGTGCTACTCTCTGAGCTGCTGGAGAAAAAGTGTGCAACGAGTGAAAACACACTTCTTCAGATCACATCAGACAGGTCAAGAGCATTACAGGATCATTAACTTGGATCTGTTATTGTATTTAGTACATAAATTCTTTTAGCTCATTACTAAGTGTTACGCCGTGTGCAAATGGGGAGGGGAAAGTCCAAAATTCATTCTGGAGAAAAATATTAAAAATAAAATGAAAACATATGTAAGCATATGGAAAGGGATTTGTAGTTAATGATGAAAATCTGCATTTATTAATTTTCGGGTCTGCATTGTATTGTTTCTAGTTCTAAGTATTGTAGCTTAGAGGCCATGCAAGAAACTTGAAACTAGGAAAATGGAAGAATTATGTATCATATTTTTGTTGGCATTTCTGATTAACCTTTCATGTTTTGTTTATATTACAAATAACACTCATATTCACTGTAATACATTTTCTGTATTAAATGTTGGGCAAAGACATTCATATCCCAAGCATTTATAAACATATGATTATGTTCCATAAAATTAGATCATTTTAAAAATAAGTGACACTTATTTTCTTACCAGATATTTTATTAACTTTATGTTTTTACTCATCAGGTAAGATGAATTTGAATTGCTACAATATAAATTTTATACCAGAAACTTGTGCTTAGGAACATATGTGGTTCATGCGGTCTGTATTTCATTTACTTTGATCACAAAATCATCTTTTAACAGAGAATTTACAAATTCAGTTGCATAATGATGACTTTTATTAAAGATTGAGAAGTTGAAATTTATCCACAGTAAACCATAGACAGCTTTTCATACCCTTTTATACTTATTAAAATTACATGAAAAATTAATCCTTCTAAGTCTTTATTGGAGTGCCTGTTTATTTTCTTGGAATTAAATAATAATATTCTCCAATGCTTGCTAAGATATTTTAAAGTAAACATAGTGCTTATTTCTGTAGATTAAAGTCATTATGTTTTCCTGTCATGGGAGAAATTGTGATCAGAAATGTGGAAAGTCAAAAATGTCCTATTTCTTGTTCCTGTCCCTTCGTCCCTCATACCTAACCATATCCTATTGCTTTTTTCTCCCTCATTTTCCCCATCTTCTGCCACTTTGGCCATTAGGATGAAGGAGCAAAAGTAAAAAAGAAAGCAATAATATAGGAATAGGTCAAGAGAGGAAAAGCTAAAAGAGAACTTGGATAACTTTTCCTCTCTTTAGAAGTGGAGGTGAAGTAATGCAATGCATGAAGCACTTATTTAGTGTCTTCCATATATAAGAGAATAAGAAAAAAGATCTGCAAGTGTCAAAAATAGGGTATAAATCTCCACTCTCCACTTGTCTCCTCTCTTACCTCCCCAAACATACTTCACAAACAACATTCCATATCTCTGTTTACAGAAATAGAATTGAGTCAAATTAAATTCTACTGACAGACAAAAGGCAGTCTTAGGAAAACTGAAGCAGTGAGGTCTAATTTTGGCAAGCTCTGGCTTGACTTTTTTTGTGTCCCCTCCTCTCATCTGGTTCTTTTCCAACAAGACTGAAATTTCACAAAAGGCCTAGATGTCCCTCAGCTACACTTTCTCAGGCTTACCCTTTCCACAACTCCCCAGATAAATTTATCTGTAGGCCATCTACTAATGTTCTGTCTGACAGAAGTGAATAAATGAATGAGTTACTGTATGTTAATCTGTTCTGTGCTTGAGAAGAGATTTAGTGTGGAAATGTGTTAAACCAAGGAAGTGGCTAAAATAATGATACCATAATGAGAATTTAAAGCACTAAGGTTGACCAAATGTGAGAAAAGATTTGACTTTGAGGAACCTCTTAAATCCGAAAGTATTGGAGGATACACGCTCTGTCACAGATGCCTGACTAGTGCTATAGCTTGGGGAGCTTTTGTCCTCTACAACAGGGGACTGCAAACTATTACTCGTGGACCAAATCTACCCAGCTGCCTGTTTTCGTAGATAACATAGTATAAGAACACAGTCATGTCCATTCTTCAGTGTTTCTGTGCCACAGTGGCAGAGTTTCAGCAAAGACCATATGATTCACAAAGCTTCAAATACTTACTGTCTGGCCCTTTCAAGAAAAAGTTTGCTGACCTCTACTCTATAGGAATAATAACATGGAAAAGAGGGGCAAGTCTTCTATCTTATTTCTATTTCTTTCTTTTTCTTTTCCTTTTCCCCCCCAATTTTTTTTTCTTCAATTATAGAACAGAGCAATTCAAACTTTCAGTTTGACTACTTAGCAAAAGCTAAAACTAATGAATCACGGTTATCTTAAGACATCTTCAATTTCTGCTGCTTTTACACTGTAGACATAATTGAATGAGCGGTTGTAGTGATTGTCTTGCTTTGGTTATATAACTCCAAATCAATTCCTATTTAGCTTCCTTTAATTACTTCTAATGACTGCGATTTATCACACAAGGAATTTACCTCTAACACAGTACAGAAAAATGCATATTGTCTTCTTATCTTACACTGCTAATGCATCATGTGCATAAAGGAGGCACAGATGTTTAGAGATTATAAATATTTTTGTGATAATATAGACGTAACACAAAACCTAGGCCATCACTCTTTGATGGAACTTTAGAATTACAAAGTGCTGGGCGTGGTGGCTCATGCCTATAATCCCAACACTTTGGAAGGCCAAGACAGGAGAATGCTTGAGCTCAGGAGTTTGAGAACAGTCTGGCAACATAGCATGACCTTGTCTACAAATAACAAAAAAGTTAGCATGGTGGTGTCTGTGGTCCCAGCTATTTGGAAGGGTGAGGTGGGAGGATTGCTTGAGCCCAGGAAGTTGAGGTTGAAGTGAACTGTGATTTCGCCACTGCAATACAGCCTGGGAAAGATTCTGTCCCTGCTAAAAAAAAAAGCACACTAAGATACCATTGCATTCTTCCAAAATAAAACTAGTATAAGAAAAAACTATAAAGTAGCCAATATTTTTAAAATATGAATTTTTGTAGTGCCTTAGTAGCCCATCCCCCCACGTTTGCATTACCCAAAACATGCTTCCCAGAAAGAGTTCTAAGTAAGTAGGTTAAGAGAGAAAAAAATAAGGAGGTCAAATAAGCTTAGGAAAGACAAAGTTAAATGGATATCCTTACCGTACAACTTCTCAGAAGTTTTAATGTAAAATGTTCACTATTAATTGCAAAGAGAGGATAGAATATGCTTTGTTTCTTAATTTACTTATTTACCCATTTTTTCAATAAATATTTTCTGAGTGCCTATTCTCTGCCAATCAGTTTTCTAGGTATCTGAATAGAGCATTTCAAAAAGTTCAAAGGTTACGAAGAGTTGGAGGATATCATGTAAATTTAGAAAGTTTTAGAAAGAATTCATGAAGGGAAAGGACTGAAAA
Source organism: Homo sapiens (assembly GCF_000001405.40). NCBI lineage: Eukaryota > Metazoa > Chordata > Mammalia > Primates > Hominidae > Homo > Homo sapiens. Next base: position 152,761,905 of record NC_000003.12, read on the forward strand.
ATGAGTGGAATTATGGTATGTGGAATTGACTAAAGGAGCTGCATTCTAGTAACTAGAAATATGACTACAGATATACATAAATGGGGGTTAATATACACTTATTGGATTTAAATGAATTACATGGAATGTGACGATTGCAATAGTATGATGAAATCTTCTGCTTTGAGAACAGCACCTTGCATATGTTGTTAGTTTGTACACACACGTTCTTGCATGCTCGCATACACACAACAATATACTGAAATAGACTTCATTATTAATCTGCTAAATATTAATCAAACTATTAACTGAGTTTTATTGCTTCTGAGGGATTTTTCAAATTTTACTTTTATTTAATGGTTTTTCTTCAGCATTTGTTTGACTTGTCAGTGTCATTATTGTTCTGAAGTCACACCTTCTAGTTTCGCTTTTACTTGTTCTAAGGGCATCAAACAAGCAAAATAAAATGTGATAATTTTATTCTCAAATGTTGTTTAATACATAAATGGTGATGCTCAGATGTTTTTTGTGGTCTTTCTGTTGTTAGCCTCATAATTTATTCAAATTGACTGAGGAGCAAAGTGATCTATTTAATTTACTGTTCTATTTAAAAAAGAGTTGCTTTGCCATATATTAATCTGACCTGGTGAAAAATTTGCATAGGATCAAAATGAAATATATGTAATGTTGAACTATATTTAACATATTTATAACTCCATTGGGATCACTCCAAACACATAACCAACTGCCAAATCAACATACTTCCTTGGATTCTAACAGGCATCTCAAACTTAACATGTCCAAAACTGAGATTTTGATCTTTCCCCAAAATCTGCTCCTCCCAGTTTTCTCTTCTCACATTTCATACCAATTCATCAGTGAATTTTATGGACTCAACTTTAACACATTCCACCTTGGGTTGTTTTCACAACCTCCTCTGCTACCAAATGGTGGGCCAAAACCTCATCATGTGTCTTCTAGATGATTGCAGAATCCTCCTACATAATCTCCCTAATGTTTATAGTCTCATCACAGCTACCAGAGTGATTTTGTTAAAGTTAGATTATGTGACTTCCTACTCAGAGCTGGCCACAGGCAACTGCATTTAATGTGAATTAAAAACCTGAATTCTCAGTGATGTAGAATGGCCTGCACCTAATTGTTACATCCCTGTCTTCCTCTCTTGGTATGTTCCCTTAATCACTCTGCTCCAGCCACTCTGGTCACCTCGAGGTTCCATCATTACATCTGATCAGACCTGCTTTCTCCACTTCGGATTGCTATTCAAATATTAACTTCACAGAGAAACATTTCCTAATAACCCTTTTTAAAATGTCAAGAACCATATTCCTCTTCCTCATTTTAGTTTCCCCACTGCCATTCATCACTTTCTAATATACTATATATTTTACTTATTTATTTTGTTTATAGTTTTTTCCCTCCAGTAGATTTTAAACTCCATGAGAGTTCAAATCTTATGGATACAGAAGTAGATATAGTATCTACTTCATAAAATAATTATAGGATTAAAACAATTAGCATATATATATAAGGTGCCCTGTACAGTGCCTGGCTTACTGTAGCTAATTTATACATTGAAGTTTCCATTACAGAATGGAAAAGCATGCAGTCATATGGGTCTGCCAAAATCTTGAAGTCAAATGGGCCAGTATGTGGAGCTAGCTCTGCCATTTACTACCTGCCTGGGAATCTTGGTTTGTGGTCTAATGCTGTATACTCAGACAGAGCCCAGAATAGTGCCTGGTACACACAGTGACACTTAACATATATCGAATAAATGAATAAAAACACTTTTTTGATAACTCAAAATTTACTTGTGGATTTTTTAGTATCTGAGGGATTGTTATTAAGAGCATGAGTTCTATCATGCCAAACTTACATAGTCTGAACTGATTTTAAAACATGCAATGAAATTAGTGCTTTTTTTTTGAAAAACAAATTCCTGATTTTAAGTGGCAAATATAATTCAAAAATATCTTCTATGTAAAAAGCCAATAAAAATGTGTTTGAATTATGTCAGCTTTCAATAATAGTGATAATAATATGTATAATTTTTATACTTACAAGGCATTGCTTATATTTTACCTTATTTTAAACTTTCCCCAACTCAGCATACAGGAGTTATTATCCCTGTGTTGCAGAAAAGATGGGCGAAGGAATTTCTACAAAGTCAGACATATAGTAAGTGGCAGAGCTAGCTTCAAATACAGGCCCATTTTAAATGGGTTAAATGCCCCAATTAAAAGACACAGACTGGCAAATTGGATAAAGGGTCAAGACCCATCAGTGTGCTGTATTCAAGAGACTCATCTCAGCGCAAAGACACCCATAGGTTCAAAATAAAGGGATGAAGCAAAATTTATCAAGCAAATAGAAAGCAGAAAAAAGCAGGGGTTGCAATCCTAGTTTCTGACAGGACAGATTTTAAACCAATAAAGATCAAAAAAAGACAATGAAGGGGATTACATAATGGTAAAGGGATCAATTCAACAGGAAGAGCTAATTATTCTAAATATATGTGCACCCAATACAGGAGCATCCAGATTCATAAAACAAGTTCTTAGAGACCTGTAAAGAGACTTATACTCCCACATAATAATAGTAGGGGACATTGGGCTGGGCATAGTGGCTTACGCCTGTAATCCCAGCACTTTGGGAGGCCAAGGCGGGCAGATCACGAGGTCAGAAGTTCGAGACCAGCCTGGCCAACATGGTGAAACCTTGTCTCTACTAAAAATACAAAAATTAGCCTAGCATGGTGGTGCAAGCCTGTAATCTTAGCTACTCAGGAGGCTGAGGCAGGAGAATTGCTTGAACCCAGGAGGCGGAGATTGCAGTGAGCAGAGATCATGCCACTGCACTCCAGCCTGAGCAACAGAGTGAGAATGTGTCTAAAAAAAAAAAATAGTGGGGGACTTTATCATCCCCCTGTCAATATTAGACAGATCAACAAGATAGAAAATTAACAAAGATATTCAGGACTTGAACTCAGCTCTGGGTCAAGTAGACCTAATAGACATCTACAAAACTCTTCACCCCAAATCAACAGAATATACATTCTTCTCAGTGCCACGTGGCACTTACTTTAAAGTCAACCACTTAATTGGAAGTAAAACACTCCTCAGAAAATGCAAAAGAGCTGAAACCATAACAAAGAATCTCTCAGACCACAGTGCAATCAAATTAGAACTCAAGATTAAGAAACTCACTCAAAACCACACAACTACATGGAAATTGAACAACCTGCTCCTGAATGACTCCTGGATAAATAATGAAATTAAGGCAGAAATCAAGAAGTTTTTGAAACCAATGAGAACAAATAGACAACGTACCAGAATCTCTGGCACTCAGCTAAAGCAGTATTAAGAGGGAAATTTATAGCACTGAGTAGCCACACTGGAAAGCTAGAAAAATGTCAAATTGACACTCTAACATCACAGCTAAAAGAACAAGAAAAGCAAGAGCAAAGAAATCCAAAAACTAGCAGAAGATAAGAAATAATGAAGATCAGAGCAGAACTGAAGGAGATAGAACACAAAAAACCCTTCAAAAAAAATCAATGAATCCAGGAGCTGGCTAAAAAAATTAATAAAATAGATAGACCAGTAGCTGGACTAATAAAGAAGAAAAGAGAGAAGAATCAAATAGACATAATAAAAAATGATAAAGGGGATATCACCACTGACCCCACAGAAATACAAACTACCATCAGAGAATACTATAAATACCTCTGCGCAAATAAACTAGAAAATCTAGAAGAAATGGATAAATTCCTGGACACACACACCCTCACAAGACTAAACTAGGAAGAAGTCAAACCCTTAAATAGACCATTAACGACTCTGAAATTGAGTCAGTAATAAATAACCTACCAACCAAAAAATGACCAGGACCAAACAGATTCACAGCCAAATTCTAAGAGAGGTACAAAAAGCAGCTGGTAACATTCCTTCTGAAATTATTCCAAACAACTGAAAAGGAGGGAGGGACTCCTCCATAACTCCTTTTCTGCGGCCAGCATCATCCTGATACAAAAACCTGGCAGAGACAAAACAACAACAATAAAAAACTTTAGGCTAATATCTCTGATGAATATTGATATGAAAATCCTCAATATAATACTGGCAAACTGAATCCAGCAGCACATTAAAAAGCTTATCCACCATGATCAATCGGCTTCATCCCTGGGATGCAAGGCTGGTTCAACATAAACAAAGCAATAAACATAACCCACCACATAAACAGAAACAATAACAAAAACCACATGATTAGCTCAATAGATGCAGAAAAGGCCTTCGAAAAAATTAAAATCCCTTCATGTTAAAAACTCTGAATAAACTAAGTATTGATGAAACATATCTCAAAATAATAAGAGCTATTTATGACAAACCCACAGCCAATATCATACTGAATGGGCAAAAGCTAGAAGCATTCCCATTAAAAACCAGCACAAGACAAGGATGCCCTCTCTCACCACTCCTATTCAGCATGGTATTGGAAGTCCTGGCCAGAGCAATCAGGCAAGAGAAAGAAATAAGGATATTCAAATAGGAAGAGAGGAAGTCAAATTGTCTGTTTGCAGACAACATGATCCTATATTTAGAAAACCCCATCATCTCAGCCCAAATGTTCCTTAAGCTGGTAAGCAACTTCAGCAAAGTCTCAGAATACAAAATCAATGCGCAAAAATCACATGCATTCCTATATACCAACAATAGACAGGCAGAGAGCCAAATCATGAATGAACTCCCATTCACAATTGCTACAAAGAGAATAAAATACCTAGGAATACAGCTAAAAAGAGACATTAAGAACCTTTTCAAGGAGAACTACAAATCGCTGCTCAAGGAAATAAGAGAGGACACAAACAAATGTAAAACATTCCATCTTTATGGATAAGAAGAATCAATATCACGAAAATGGCCATACTGCTCAAAGTAATTTATAGATTCAATGCTATTACCATCAAACTACCATTGACATTCTTTACAGAATTCAAAAAACTACTTTAAAATTCATATGGAACCAAAAAAGGGCCTGTATAGCCAAGACAACCCTAAGCAAAAGAAAAAAAAAAGCTGTAGGCATCATGCTACCTGACTTCAAACCATACTACAAGGCTACAGTAACCGAAATAGCATGGTACTGGTGTCAAAATAGACATACATACCAATGAAACAGAATAGAGACCTCAGAAATAAGACTACACATCTACAACCATCTGATTTTATACAAACCTGACAAAAACAAGCACTGGGGAAAGGATTTCTTATTTTATAAATGGTGCTGGGAAAACTGGCTAGCCATATGCAGAAAACTGAAACTGGACCCCTTCCTTACACCTTATACAAAAATTAACTCAAGATGGATTAAAGACTTAAATGTAAAACCCAAAACCATAAAATCCCTAGAAGAAAATCTATGCAAGACCATTCAGAACATAGGTATGAGCAAAAATTTTATGATGAAATTGCCAAAAGCAATTGCAACAAAAGCCAAAATTGACAAATGGGATCTAATTAAACTAAAGAGCTTCTGCACAGCAAAAAAAACTATCATCAGAGTGAACAGGCAACCTACAGAATAGGAGAAAATTTTTGCAATCTACCCATCTGACAAAGGTCTAATATCCAGAATTTAGAAGGAACTTAAACAAAATTACAAGAAAAAAAACAAACCCCATCGAAAAGTGGGCAAAGGATATGAACAGTCACTTCTCAAAAGAAGACATTTATGGGGCAAACAGACATGAAAAAAAGCTCAACATCACTGATCATTAGAGAAATGCAAATCAAAACCACACTGAGATGCCATCTCACACCAGTTAGAATGGTGATGATTAAAAAGTCAAGAAACAACAGATGCTGGCGAAGCTGTGGAGAAATAGGAATGCTTTTACACTGTTGGCGGGAACGTAAATTAGTTCAACCATTGTGAAAGACAGTGTGGCAATTCCTCAAGGATCTAGAAGCAGAAATACCATTTGACCCAGCAGTCCCATTACTGGGTATATACCCAAAAGAATATAAATCATTCTATTGTAAAGATACATGCACACGTATGTTTCCTGCAGCACTATTCACAACAGCAAAAACATGGAACCAACCCAAATGCCCATCAATGATAGACTGAATAAAGAAAATATGGTACATACACACCATGGAATACTATGCAGCCATAAAAAGGAATGAGATCATGTCCTTTGCAGGGACATGGATGAAGCTGGAAGCCATCATCCTCAGCAAACTAACACAGGAACAGAAAACCAAACACTGCATGTTCTCACTTATAAGTAGGAGGTGAACAATGAGAACACATGGACACAGGAAGAGGAACAACATACACTGCAGCCTGTCCACAGAGGGGAGGGGAGGGAGAGCATCAGGATAAATACCTAATGCATGTGGGGCTTAGTACCCAGACTACAGGTTGATAGGTGCAGCAAACCACCATGGCACATGTTTACCTATGTAACAAACCTGCACCTTCTGCACATGTATCTCAGAACTTTAAGCAAAACAAACAAAAACTCAAATGCAGGATTTGGATTTGCCTGCAAAATCTGCATGCTTTTCCATTCACTCTCCCATAATGAAAACTTCAACATATGGATTATTTACCGTAAGCCAAGCACTATACTAGGCATATTATATACATATGCTAATTGTTTTTATCCCATAAGCATTTTATGAAGTAGACATTATATCCTTATTGTATAGCATGGTGGTTACCAGTACAGACTTTGGAGCCAGACTACCTGGGCCAAATTCCAGCTTCACTACTCATTAGCTGTGACCTTGGACAAACATTTCTGGGCCTCGGGTTTGTCTAAAGATAAGTATTCTAAATTTGGGCGGGGGTGAGGGTGGGGGAAACCTGTCCTTTCTGGTTGTTTGAATTCCAGGTAAAAATAGGCTTTGCCTATTTTAGGGCATGATATTGCTATAGTTTGGGTAAATCTAGCCATAGTGTTTATTCATTCATATTTATCAACTTTGTGCTGTACACAGTATATAAAATAACCTTAAGTATTTCAGCAAATGATTTGGGTATTAATGCCAATTTAAAACTGTGCTGAAATAAATTTAAGGGGGAAAAAAAGAAAACCTCTCTCATGTAGCCAGATGAACCTGGCAGGGAATCTGAATAACATTATTATCCAACCACATCATTTAAAAAACCTGCTCAGGCCACATGGTTGGCTTTGCTGCTGTGATTATGGAAACAACTTTTCACTTTCTCCTCCTCTTCCTCTTCTTCCAACTGGCCTGCATTTTCAGTTTTAAGAAGTGGCACAGTAGTATTCTTGGGATCTTAGAGAGAATATTGAAAATTTAATTCACAGTATCTTTTAAAGCAATAAGAAAATAAACATCTGTTAATATTTATTAATTTATTTCAATTTATTGTTTGTTATTTATTAATATAGATGACACTGGTATTCTTACTGGATCCTTATGTCAGAAAGTAATTGTCTTATATGCAAGGCATCCTAAGGGAAGACGGGTGTATCATCATGCCAAAGGTTGGAAAATGTTCCCCCACCTGTTCTCTTTCTGCCTATAATGATGAATTTGTCTTTGTGTGCCTGATAACATGGATTTGCAGGTTATATTATCTAGTTTAAACTAAATTCACTCTTACCAAATGGACAAGTGGCTTAAGAAGCTTCCAGCAAGGAAGCTGCAGATGTTAAGATAATACTAATAAAGAAAGCAAAAGCAAAATACAAGAACAAGGCAGAACAAACATTTCTTCTACTCTGTGTACAAGTGCTTTCTCAGTCATATTGTGAAATAAGAATGATGACCTAATGGTATGTGTCAAGATGTCAGAAATTATCAAGAACATTGAAACAGGAAGATTGACCAACCATTGTTAATGGAAAAAAAAACTCATCCTAAGTGTATGCATTGTTTTTTACACCAGTTAATGATAAGTGCACACTTGATTGGCAGACACTTTAACTCTGAGCATCCAGAAGCTATTTCTCATGACAACTCAAAGTGGGTTTTTTTGGTATAATTAAAAATAAAATAAATAATGATTTAAAATAAGCTTATCTCATCCTTTAAAAATTCCATATTTGTGCATGGTTTATAATGCACATTTTCCATAGAATGGGACATGTCTATAATTTATAAATAAATTTTAAAATCCCATATGTTAAGGGTATCATGCTAAAAATGTGTTTAGGGATGGGAGTTAGCAAGTTTGGAAGACACCCTGGGGTAAATGGTAATTTTAGGCAAGTAATAGATAAATTGTATATAAGTTTTCTTTTTTTTAATACTCATCATGACTTTAGCTGATACAAAAGAAGCCTTGTTTGGCATGTATTTTTTCTAGGTTTCTCCAGATGCTCAGAATAAGTTTTTAATAAGCTCAGGAAAATATAGTTAACCAGTTGAAAAATTATCAAACGGCTAATGCTCTTTTTGTTAGGAATTAGTCTCCTAATAAATCCTTTAAAGGCCTATTTCTTTTCTTCACATACAAATGAATGTAATTGTACATTTTGTTATAAATAAAGGCACTAGAGAACTTTAGCGGGCTGAGTTTTCCATTAGCTCTTTTCAAATTCTCTCAGCCCTGCAGAGAAACCCAAGGTTCATTATGAAAAGAGTGATTTGCCACTAATCAGCAGTTCCAATGGCAATGAAGACATGTTTGTGTGTTCTAAGGCAGCTTAATTAGACTGTACTCTGAGATTTGCCTCACAAACCAAGCTAATAAGATTATTTTGAAACATGTGTTGAACTACCAGACCTCATTTATTGAAAATTAGTTAGAACAATTTATATTATAGGATAAATAATCAGTAATTTACCAAAGCTACTCAAAGAATCTTCTTTTAGCATGGCCATTGCAGAGGTCAAGATGTGGTAAAATATATGAGAAAAACTGCATAGAGATATTAATAACATATCCTAAACAAGTCCATCCCCCAGTAGTGTTGTCTGGGGTCTGAAATAGCAGTGACAAAGGCTTTTTACTGTGGTTTTTTTCATATATATATATATGTGTGTGTGTGTGTGTGTGTGTGTGTGTGTATATATACGTATATATATGTGTATATATGTATATATATGTGTGTGTGTGTGTATATATATATATATATATATATATACGTATCTGTTGCAGGAGCACAGTCTAAAACGTCTAGGAAACTAAGATTTATTTGCTGTGCTATCTTGGGTAAGTTATTTAAATTACCACGCTTAAGTTTCTTTATCTTTGAGATGAAGACAATAATGATATTTTTCTATAATATAGTTGTAAAGATTATTAAATGAAATAATGCAAATAAATGTCTTATCAAGTAAATGGTTAGCTGTGAGTTTATGTTTAATAATTGAAAATTATGTCATTATAAATAATTTTAATGGTACACATAACCAGTTACAAAGAGTGATGTCATACTTAGTATCAGGCCTTAATTGTGAAACATCAGAGATCTAAAGATTTTAATATGTGGTGACATCAATGTGAATACATGTCTTTTACCCTCTATCAGGAGACATTAGTTTAAACAAATAATGAATAATTTAAAAGTAAAACTTTTTACCAATCAATGTAATATTTCCCTTAATTTTTTCTAAAATTGACCAATGACTGAAATAGTTTATACCAGGAAGATGGTCATGTGTAGAAAACTTCTCTCTAATACATGAAATTAGAATAACTGATCTAAATTATCAAAATGAAAACTGCCTTCAAACTCAGCTATCATGTCTCACCTGTTCATTTTTGTTTGTGTTTCCTAAACCAATGTTATGGTAAAAGAAATGAAGCTGAAGAAGTAAGGACGTAGACGTAGAGCCTAATTTTTGTTGTTTAAATAATGTATTGTCTCTTGAGTCATAGAGGGTGATCAAAATTAATAATAACCATCCTGGCTAACATGGTGAAACCCCGTCTCCACTAAAAATACAAGAAAAATTAGCCAGGCGTGGTGGCGGGCGCCTGTAGTCCCAGCTTCTCAGGAGGCTGAGGCAGGAGAATGTCATGAACCCGGAAGATGGAGCTTGCAGTGAGCCGAGATCATGCCACTGCACTCCAGCCTGGGCGACAGAGTGAAGACTCCATCTCAAAAAAAAAAAAAAAAAAATTGATAATTAACATCAAAATCTAAAATATCATTGAAGAACCCTATTTCTGGAAATGTAGATAATCCCTTGAAAGTTCAAGTAAATCCGATTCAACCAAGATACTTCAACAACCTCCTGGGTCCTGGCCATTTGACTGTCTTTGGGCAATATCTTAAAGCTGGTGATGCTGGGAGCAGCAGCTCAGTTAGCCAAGATGGAGGGTCTAGTGGCAACATCTTTGTAAACCTTTTGGTCTTGTCACTGATGTTTCTAGTCTGTGTGTGGTGTGTGTGTGTGTGTTTGTGTGTGTGTGTTCAATTACTATTTCTTTATATTCCTTATTTTTCTTCTGTTGAAAATAAGAGCTGGTACTTTGAAGGTATAAGCTTCAGGTAAGAACCACATCTCCTTACAAATCACAGGGAAGACACTCACCTTGAAATGCCACATCAGTAGAGGACAATGGAACAAAGCTCTGCACATACCTTTCTTCTAGACTTTTATTTCCATGCAGAATGATTATCTTTGTTGATATCTGTTTAGGAAATCTGGAATTCTAAAAGATCAAGTACAGTTGTTTCCCAGGAACACTACTAACAGAAAGTACAACAGTATTCCTACTAAAATTCAGCTTTCTTTCTCTTGGTCTATAAGTTTACAGAAAAGGAGAATGGAGCCAGCCCAGTAGTGCCATGCCAAGGTGAAGCTCAGATAAGCCCCTCAGTAATGCCTTTGCACATTTTCACATTCTTGTTAACTCCAGCCTAGCAATGATTTTCTAGCCAAGTTTTGTGGCACCAGTTCCTCCCTGCTTTAGTGTACCTTAGATAAAGCCAACTCTGGTTAATAGTTTTCACTCCCTGTAATGAACATAAAAACTTAGGTTTTAGCTGCCCAACCCTTAAATCCATCATATTTTGATCACATGACCATCTTCCTGGAATTTCTCATTATGTGAGTTTTAGCAGTTCGTTGGATGCTGTCTTCCTAGAAAATATATGGAAAAATAATCCCTCTTCTCTTCCCTGGACAGCTATGGAAGAGGTGAGTGACCTGCAAGCCATATGTTTCTACTCAGCACTCTGAATCTTAAGCAAGTGATATAAAAAAAGGAGAGGCCATTTAGAAATTATACACCGGAATGTTGTAGTTCTGTGGCCAGCATTGAGTAAACAGCAGCAGTAATTCTGGAGTGCCAGCATCTTCTTAATTACACATTCTTGCTTGTTTGTTTGTTTTTGGTATTTAGGTGGTAATTCTTTTTTTTTTCCTTTTTTTTTTAAATTTTTGAGACGGGCAGGCTTGAGTGCAGCAGCACGATCTCTGTTCACTGCAACCTCTGCCTCCCATGTTCAAATGATCCTCCTGCCTCAGCCTCTCCAGTAGCTAGGATTATAGGCCTGTGCCACCATGCCCAGCTAATTTTTGTATTTTTAGTAGAGACAAGGTTTCACCATGTTGGCCAGGCTGTTATCGAACTCCTGACCTCAAGTGATCCACCTGCCTTGGCCTCCCAAAGTGCTGGGATTGCAGGTGTGAGTCCTGATGCCTGGCCTAGTTGGTCATTCTTTTTGTCCAGCCCTTCTTGATTCCAGGCCACTTTTGAGCCTGTTTCTAACATTACCATCCACTCTGTGAGGATGTGGGACATTTTTTCCACAATTTTCTTTGTGACTTAATTCTAACCCACCAGAATTTGACCTTTACTTTTCTTTCTAGACTTATCTCTAATTACACCCCTCAACAAAAACCATATTACTGTCAACCTGCTTGTCATTCTCTGAAAACATTCTATGACAAGCAGTTGTTCTCTCTTCCTCTGCCATGCCATCTCTTGACACATCTTCCATTCTTCATGTCCCCATGTGAATCTAATCATCTCCAATTTGGAATTACTCTTTCCCTTACTAATGGGAAGGCAGCATCATATAGTAAAAGAGAGTCATTGATTGGGACCCTGTCAATTCCTCTCTACTGTGCTTTATAGTCTCTATTGGATTTTATAGTTCATCTTTCTTCCAGAGAAATATTTTAATTTATTTAAGGTAGAACAGTTCAAAAGCAACATATGCATTCATCCAAATGATATTATTCCCTGCTATTCTAGGGATAACATAAGGAAAGAATTATTGAAACAATAACATTTAACATGTTAAATTTAAATTTTATAACGTGAATAGTAACTCATAGTAAGCACTCATTAAGTAGCTAAGGTTTGTTGAGAAAAGTAGTTGTATTAGTCCATTCTCATGCTGCTATGAAGAAATACCTGAGACTGGGTAATTTATAAAGAAAAAAGATTTAATTGGCTCACAGTTCCGCATGGCTGGGGAGGCCTCAGGAAACTCACAATCATGGCAGAAGGCACCTCTTCAGGGGCGGCAGTAGAAAGAATGCGTGCCAAGTGAAGGGGGAAGCCCCTTATAAAACCATCAGATCTCATGAGAATTCACTCACTCTTGAGAACAGCATGGAGGAAACCACCTCTGTGATTCAATTATCTCCACCTTGTCCCACCCTTGACATGTAAGGATTATTACAATTCAAGGTGAGATTTGGGTGGGGACACAGAGCCAAACCTTATGAGTAGCAAAAAGAGGCGAGGCTTTTAGCTAGAATCATTTTCTGTTGTTTTGCAACCAGACACACTGATGTGAATTTCTGCTTAAGGTTCTGCTTAAAAATTACCCAGCTTTGTATTGCATAGAGAATCAAGTCAACAGTAATCAGTTTGATTTTCAAAACTACCACATATGCCTGAAAAAATATCTAGCCATTTAAGATGGCACCACAGGATCTGACAAGGAAACTAGAAATCCAAAAACTGTTGCCAATAATTAGCATTGTCAATCTTCTCTTGCAGAACTTTTGTTATGATCCTTGAAGTTAATTGACAGCAAGCCTTGATGAACTTACGGGGAGGAGAAGATAAAAAGTAATAATAGAATAAGAAAACAGAAGTGTGATGTAAAGTAGGTATACCAGGCTATTATTTTAAAACCTTTGATATGTCTAAGGTTCTAAAAATGCAATCTCTTGGAAAGTTGATTTTCAGCTATAAAAACTATTTGGTTAAAGAGTAGAGTTTTGGCTTTCTGTTGGGTATAGGCTAATTATGCTAGTTACCAACCCCCACCCCAATGTGGTTACTAAGTTGTACTGTGCTGGAGTGAAGCTGTATTAGGGACTTTCTCTAGAAAACTCATTTTTATATAGGACCTATTAGTATAGAGATCTGCTTCACAAATTAAATAAATAGTTGTAATCTAATAGCCCTGCTTCATCATTCTTCTCCACCCAGCAAATTCACAAAATGTAATTCCAGGAAGAGATGGGTATTGGGCATCTGTAGGGTAAGATAGAGTGATGAGTATGTGACCTAGATTATTAGATTGACTTCTACCGTGTATTTTGGTATTGATTTTGTATTATCCTTATATAGAAATCCTATATTGAAATGTTCTGGTTTTGGGAGGATATGATTATATCCCTCCTGTAAATTGCTAGAAGGTAAATTGCTTTCTACTTAAATATTGAAGATTGAAATATGTCTGTCTGTGTGGTGAACTTAGCTGTAATGCAATGGCCTCTAACAGGTTTTAGCCACAGAACTCTTTATTTACATGGAACTGTATGCTGAAGACTTGCATGTAAAATATATAAAAGTGGAACTCTTTGTGGCAGCGTAGAATATCAGGAACCTCCATTTTGCTCCTTGTCAACCTGATGTTTTTTATACCACAATTGTCACTCCTACACAGTCACTCCCATGAAACTCATAGGTGATCTAAGAACTGAGGGTTCCAGAAGTCTGAGTTTAAGCTAAATGTCTTAGTATTTGAATATATATATGTATTTTTTAATTAATGTATTATTATGTAATGCAAGATGGGCATGTAAGCAGTGCACTATGTATACGTAAAACATTTTAATATAGACTGTTGTCAATGAAAAATCCGTATGTTTTCTACTTTTTTAAAACATATCTTTATCAAATTTGTTTTTTTTGTTTTTGTTGAAACCATCTAGATAGAACTCCTATTCTGATCATAATTCAAAGCCACTAAGAAGTTAGAAAAAGAGAGAGAGAAATCACAGGATACTGCAGTAGGAGTCTCATATCCGGGGCTAACTTACTGGCCATGTAACCTTTGGATGCATCTCCTCCTCTCTGAAGAAATGGAGCTGGGCTCAAAGTTTCCATATTTTCTAAAATTTCCTAAGGATAAGGATCACCTGTGGTACTTGCATTGCTAAAAGTACAAATTCCCACACTTACTCCAAACTCACTAAATCAGAATTTCCAGGAGAAGGCCTGGGAAGCTTGCATTTGACAGGGTCTCCAGATGATCTGCATCATTGAGAGTCTGGGAACCAATGAACTCAACATCTCAAACAACCATTCTGATTTTAAAAGCCTATGATTCTCTGTCTTTGTAATAAATGTTTTCAGTGAGGCCGTGGAGTTTGGAATAGAGATGGTGGCAGAAAGAAAAAAAAACTCATCTTTTAAGACAAAAATGGTGTTGAATTTAGCATTTTCCATAAAAATGTTAAAATAATTTAAAAATATGGAAGAGTTATAAGTTAGTTTTTTGGTTTTTTTTTTTGGTTTTTTTTTTCTAGATGGTGTCTGGCTCTGTCGCCCAGGCTGGAGTGCAGTGGCGTGATCTCGGCTCACCGCAAGCTCCGCCTCCCGGGTTCACGCCATTCTCTTTTTTTTTTTTTTTTTTTTTTTTTTGAGACGGAGTCTCGCTCTGTCGCCCAGGCCGGACTGCGGACTGCAGTGGCGCAATCTCGGCTCACTGCAAGCTCCGCTTCCCGGGTCCACACCATTCTCCTGCCTCAGCCTCCCGAGTAGCTGGGACTACAGGCGCCCGCCACCGCGCCCGGCTAATTTTTTGTATTTTTAGTAGAGACGGGGTTTCACCTTGTTAGCCAGGATGGTCTCGATCTTCTGACCTCATGATCCACCCGCCTCGGCCTCCCAAAGTGCTGGGATTACAGGCGTGAGCCACCACGCCCGGCCCACGCCATTCTCTTGCCTCAGCCTCCCGAGTAGCTGGGACTACAGGCGCCCACCACCACACCCCGCTAATTTTTTGTATTTTTAGTAGAGACGGGGTTTCACCATGTTAGCCAGAATGGTCTTGATCTCCTGACTTCGTGATCCGCCCGCCTCGGCCTTCCAAAGTGCTGGGATTACAGGCGTCAGCCACCGCGCCCGGCCTATAAGTTAGATTTTATTTTCAAGCTTCTTCTTTCAATTGGTGATTCCCTGTATTTTTTCTGGGTCCGTATTCTGTTTGGGGTGTTGTGGGGACTAAAAAATAGATTGCTATCTGGCTTTAAAAAGAATCTGTTCAAATTAGTATCTTCAGAGGCATCCATTGGCTTCTCTGGAACTTAGCTATCGGTCAGATGTTAACAATAAGATGTCATTCGTTCTTGGTACCACGGTTGCCTCAAGGCTGGCTGCTGCTTTTCTTGTTTCTCCTCTGCCACTCCTGAGAGCATACAGATTCTTCTACAGCTCCTGGGGACCAGGAAATCTCTGTGAACTTGTCTAAAGTCCCATGTGACTAGACATAACGTACAGTTATTTTCTTTTTGGAGTCTTGCCCTCTTCTTGTATATCCACCCCACAAGTAATGCACAGATTCCTTTTACTCATGAATCCCACAAAAATTGCCTGGGATTTTTATTAAACAGCTGTGTTAGAATGTTGCTTTGTATTTAATTCAGTTTTAAAAGCAACCTAGCTGAAATATAGACGCAATGTGCTACAGTAACATTTATTTGTAATACGTAATAGACGTAAGCACATACTTTTCTCTAAATCTTAATTGCAGCAAATATTTAAGTATCTCTTTTTAAGAATAATAACTGTTTTTCCCATGTTAACCTGAATTGCTAATTTGTTAAATAGGCTCTCTAAAACTTCATTCCAAATACTTCAAGGATTTCTTCATAGCTTAAATATAACAGACTATTATAATATATGCCGGTGGTGAGTAATCTAAGGCTTAATCAGGTGGTTTATCTCAAAATATTTTTTGAAATGACTTCAGGATAGAGAAATTAATTTCACACATAAATTGAATATACAAGTATCTTTTTCAAAAACCATGTAAATATTGTTATTGTCTCCCTATAAAAATGTCAGTAACATTCTGAAAAATTCAAAAATATTGCATCATTTGTTCCACGGCTTGCTTTTTGAGTTTATGACTTTACTTACGTTATTTGTCTTCTTATTGAAATTTATTTTGTCTCCCATGACATTGGAAGCAATTACTTTAATCTGTTTTATTTCTTAGAGAAATTCCTGATGTTTTTCTTGAAATGTTGACTTTTATTTCATATCTTACAGCTTGTTTGTGATACTAGAGACATCACATTTTTAACTGAACTAAACATAATGAAAGCAACTAAATGCCGTATAGCATAAATCAATAGTTTCCATTTTCTGCTTTTCAGTTTTTCCCACATGGTTAAATAAACGTACTTCAAACAACAGCATGTATTCTATTTTTTAACACTATATTATAATATAAATCCTTTTTTGTATTGCTACTTGGTCTTTACGACCATCTTTTTAATAATTACGTAATATGCTGACAGTTGCTTTGCCCTAATTTAACCAGTTCCCAAATTGCTAGGCATTTAGCAAAATCCATTTTTAAAAATATTATAAAGAACCATATATATAAAACCTTCACATACATACATTTTAGCCGGAACTAAAGAGGATGATACTACTGGGCTAAAGAGTGCTAATGTTTTTTTACAGCTTAAGCCATCTGTAAATGACTTTACAATTAAACCACCAATTTCGAAGTGTAACAATTTTAACGTATACTAACAAGAATACTTCTGATAAATTTCATAGCTATAAAATGATGTTTTGCTCTTTTAATCTTCATTTACTTGATAACTATTCATAGTAAGCAACTAATAGTATCTCCTACTGTGTGAATTAATAGTGGTTTCCTTTTATACTTAGCGTAGATATTGCTATAGAAATTCTGATGTAGAGAGGCAAAATACAGGACAAAATTAAATGCACATTAAAACAACCATGAGGAAGTGAATAAATATTATTATATTATTATATATGAATTTTTCTTTACTTTAAACTCATTCTTATATTTGAAATCTTTCCTATATAATTTTCTAGTCAAAATTTAAAAAATGATTTTTTATATAATTTCCTCTTATTTGAAAATCATCCATGGAATTTTCTATTTATAGTACTCTGTCCTAAGTGTTGAGAAAAGTTAAGGTGATAAAGTTGGTACAATTAGTATAATTATGATGCTATTGAGGATAGATACTATAGTATGGCTGACCATCACCTTAAAAGTCAGCATCTTAGTTTTGCCTTTATGCTTACTTTTAACAAACGCTTTACCTCACAAATTGCCTTTCAATATCAGAGAGTTAAGCTGTCAAATGTCAGAATTAGATTGGCTTGACTGCCTAATTAAATACAGATGCATCTGGAAAAGTGTTCTCCTGCTCTCACATTTCAGTCTAATATCTGCTCAAATTCATGATGACCCCTACATGGCCTCAACTTTAGAGCAAGGACAAACAGACAAAAATACCAACCCTTTCCTGTGTCATTGCTTAGTCAATTCTTTACCAGAAAAAAGCAATGATATATATGTGAAGACAAACGTGAAGGCAGACGGGGCACCCCAAGATGGGAGAGGCCTATACTGACATAACTCAATAATAGGGAGTCAGAATACATGCATGTCTCACTCTCTCAATGATCCCCACTATTTTTCAGAACTGTCACAATGCATTGAGAAGGAGATGAAAGTGGTTGAAAGTGGTGACTGCCAGTTTTTAACATTCTTGCCTAATGACATCATGCAGAAAATGGGAGGCAGCTGGAACTGAGAGGAAAGAATGCTTTAAGTCAGAAAATGTGAGCTCTAGCTCCAACCCTGCTCCTCACTCACTGCATGGTGTCAGAGAAGCCCCTCCACTCTTTAGAATGAAGTTTCTTTCACTGAAAAATGAAGGAGTTGATCTTCATGAGCTACAAGATTACTCATGATTCTAAATTTCTGAGATTCTCTGATCACCAGTAGATGAAAATTTCATTTCTTGAGTGCTTTGGCTAGCTTTATGATATTGTGAAAAATTGCAGCAAGGCTGAGATGCATCTATGAACACAATAAGCTCAGCTGGTTCTCTCTCAAGCAGTGAAAGAGGCAGTGCATTATCAATTGGCCTGAAGAAAAATCTATCATCTACATGATGTATGTAAAGGGTAAAGATTAGGAACAAGCTGGGAGATGAGAAATACTTTTAGGAATGGCAAAAATAAAGTCATCTAATAGATAAGATATTGAGTTGTATGCCACCATTAGTAAAGATTGTTCCTGAGAAGGCCACACTCGGACAATGCAGTGACCACACTCAGACATGGCCAAGGACTATTCTCTTTCTGTTAAACTACAGATGGTAGAGAGGGCACCACACAAAGATGGAACTTCTACTGTGTGTCTTCTTTACTAGGCGCTGGGCTAACCACCTCTCAAAGGTCAAGTCAATTATTATATTTTAAATTTTTCAAAATAAGCAGGTTATTTGCGTGTAGGTAAGAAAACTAGCAAAAACTTAGTGTCTAGCTTGAAACATCTTATTTCAACATTTTATTGAAAAGAACAAAGTAGAAACCACCCAAGCATATATTTTTCTCACTTTTCAGTGAGTCAGAGTTGGAGGGGAAGGAGACAATAATGTGTTTGACTTATAAGTAATGACTAATCAAGAGCTATGCAATTGCTAATTTTGTATCGTTCTTGAGCAAAAGAAGGTATTTTTACATTCATAAATCTATTCAGTTTTCTTTAAATACAATGAGTGAAGGTTAGATATTTTTATATTTTAAAATGAATAAAGAATCAATGTTTATAATACATGAAATTATAAACCACAGGCAGATTAGCAAATGGTAGGCAAATCTTATGCTACATTTACTCTGTCCTTATTTACAATTGACCTCTACTGGGCCTTTTTTTTCTATTAGAGGCTATTCCAGTGAAACATAGACTTTGAAAGAATTTTTTAAAATACATATAGCATAAAATGCAAAGAAAAATATCCACTAAAGGCCTAGGGCCTACTGGGAGCATAATACATAGATTCCACAGCATTAAAAGATTATGTTATAATAATGATAATGGTATGGAGTAATTCAGTAAACAAATGTTCTACATTTCATATGGAACAATTAGTTGGTAACTTTGCTCTATTGAACTGTATACTGGACCCCACTTCTTAGGATCTGTATGAATGCAGATAACTTATTTCTTCTTTCTGTGCCTTAAGTTTTTATTTTTGTAGAACAAATTTCATAGTTAGTTGAAATATATAGGGTTTTTATGAGGATTAGACGAAATCGACACGGAAAGTCTCACAATTGACACATATAAAGAATTTAATTAACAATGCCTTTAAAATAAAATGAAAAAAGCCCACATCAGCTAGAGGTCTTCAAAATCTCAGCTTGGTCTTGTACCAACATTATAACCCAGGAGAAATTACTTTAGCTCTTTGACTTTAGATTTCTTATATGTAGAATGAGTTAAAGATATTTAGCTTGCAGCATTGTTTCAAGCATTAGTGATAGTACATGTGAAGCACTAGCTTGACATTCAATAAATGCACTTTGTAGGTGTCAGCAAAATATTACACATGTATAAATTCATGAAAATGAAAATGTGCAATTATAAAAATTATTAAAAATCTGTTTAGATTTTTACACTCTTGGATTTAAAAACGCTTTAAATATTAGTGCTTCATTTTAATATTTATGGTTATTTCTATTATTTATCTCTATGAATGAGGTAAGATTTTTATAACATCATTAAAATGTAATAATTCAGTATGGAAACAATCTCTGCAGTTGGAAAGGAAATAGATGAGGGTTAGACTTAATGATTTTTCCCCCAAAATTTTCTTATATACTTATTAATGAATCTTTAAAAACAAATAGATGAAAACAAAGTGAAGAAGAGTTTAGTGACTAATATTTATTTGTATTTGCTAAACAATATTAGCATACTGTTTCCATGTGAGAGAAGGTTGGGGCTTTTGGTGTTTGCTGTTGGCTTGGCAAGTGGCTGGGACTCTATCCACGGAGACAATGTTTATCATCTCATATGCTACTCTATACACCTGGCTTGGTGTTTCAGTGTATTATCTTTGAATTGCACTTAATGATATTATAAATTTCCAAGCAAATCCACTGGGTTATGGTGAATCCTGTTATTTTCATCTTAGCGAGAGACTACTCAGATCTGTTATTTTCCTGGAAATAGAAACCAATAAGAAATGTGATGCTCACACACCATTGTAATAAAGAGCAAAACCAATCTAAGTTACAAATTTTATGTTTTACTGATTTGGTCCAACAAATTATATTTATATGTGATTCTAAATTCTTTCCTATAATGATGGTTCTCAAACATTTTCAGACCAGGGACCACTTCAGCAAGAGCAAATGATGTTTTCTGCCTAGCAACAGGGGTATACAGCTCACTTCTCATTTAGAATATGGTAATTATTTCTGATATTTAGCTAGGTGCATTTGATGTCTCATTAATCCCTAACCTCAATTCTAGATTCTTTCTCTGCTAATTGATCAAACCCAGTACACCTAATGATTTGTCCTGATATTCCACTTGGTGGTAATATTGTTTTACATATTCCCATCTCCTGCACATCTATTGTTTTGGTTTACACAATCTCCTCAGCCAGCAATTCTCTTCCTAAATATGTACTTATCAAAATGCCCCATTGCCTTGTTGGCTTCAGCTCCAGTAGGGAGCTTCCTAATTGCCCCAGCTGCAAGTGATTTTTCTGAGTGAGATCCTGGGACACTTTCCTTTGAAAGAGTCTGTATTACACGGGTATTCCATTTATTTGTGTACACATCTTATCTTCCCCATTGTAAGCCATTGGGGAGTTGCAACAATGTCATATATGTTTTTTCCTAGCACAATCCCAGCATATATATGACAATCAATATATAAATGTTAAATTAGTGAATCCCTCAAAATGACATTGTATTAGTCTGTTCTCACATTGCTATAAAGAACTGCCTGAGACTGGGTAATTTATAAAGAACAGAGGTTTAACTGACTCACAGTTCCACAGGCTATACAGGAGGCATGGCTGGAGAAGCTCAGGAAACTTACAATCGTGGCTGAAGGTGAAGGGGAAGCAAGCGCACATTCACATGGCCAGGAGGAGAGAGAGCAAAGGGGGAAGTGCTACACACTTTTAAACAATCAGATCTCATGAGAACTCATTTACTATCACAAGAATAGCAAGGGGAAAATCCACCCCCATGATTCAATCACTTCCCTCCAGGTCCCTCTCCCAACACTGGGGATTACAATTCAGTGATTTGAGTGGGGACACAGAGCCAAACCATTGCAGACATTTTTAAAAGAATCACTTTTCTCTCGATACATTTTGATTCCTCTGAAGGGATTCATTGGAATATCCCCTGGGGAGAGAAACATTTTCAAATATTCCTTACCAATGTCTTAGATCCTAATAAAATCACTTATGTAATATACTGCTTCCCCCATTCTACTGCTATTTTTGAGCTATGTGAAGACAAAAGTAAAATTACTCTTAGACTCTTTATTATAATATTAAATCAAATTAAAATCTAATTAGAAATGTATTTTCTCACACTAGAAGGAAGCATATAAATCATCACTGATCTAGGAAAGTTTCCACCAACAATGGTGTCATTATCTAAAATGGGAAATTTGGGAAGAGTTTTTCTTTTGGAGGAGGAAAGATGATGAATTTTGTAATTAGACAAATTGAGTGTTTTATATTTTAATAAGAAATTCAATTGTTAATTATCTGTAGGTCATGTTTAGAAACTTTGTACAATTTACATATTTGCCATGGCCATAGGAAGAGTTTATTTTACAAACAGTACTATGAAATGATGGGCATTATCACTCTGTATCTCATAGTGACAGAAATGACTATTGATTTTTTTGCTCTATGTTAGCTCTTGTAATGCCTGTGAAACAATGGAATGATTGAAGAGACCATTAGCCTTGTTCTTTTGCTTTTTAATGAGAGCACTTGATAACTTCATTTACTTTCCTATACTCTATTTTAGATCACTGCCTCTTCCTTGTTTTTTCCCTCTTCAGTTCATCATTCTGAGTTACCATTTACTTATTTGGGGCTGAATGCATTTGGCCAGGTTATCTTGCTTGGCTTCACGTGTCATGTTAAGAAAGTCATCTAAGGTCTGTATTATTTAAAGAACAACCCAATTAGACATGAGACAGAGTTGGAAAGGTACTTGGCCCCCGCCCACACTAATGAATTTTTTTCATAACCACTAACTACAAGACCTTGCAGGACCACCCCTGACCTGGTGCCATACCAGCTGATCAGACCTTGCAAACTGTATGAAGAAACTAAGACAAGTAGCATTCCACTATAAATCTTACTCAAGGGAATTAACCCTATTGCCTGCATGCACACAAGGTGTATACCCACGATGCTAGTCTGAAAATGTCATTTGCTCTTGCTGAAGTGGTCCCTGGTCTGAAAATGTTTGAGAACCACCATTATAGAAGATAATTCAGAATAATTTATAAACATAATTTGTTGGATCACATCAGTAAAATATAAGACCAGGAGAATGACTCATCCTGACCCCTTACCTCTTTATAATACTAAAGTCTCCACCCAAGGAGGGGTTTATCTACCATTTTTAATCATGTGACATATAAAGAACATTTCTACACTGACTTGTGCAACAGAAACCCCTCCCTAATCATGCTTAGATACTTTTCCTTTAACATGGGCCCTTTTCCCTCCCCAAATAAAAGATCCTGAGTGACTCCTCTCAGGGAGTCAGATGGGGAACTCTTGCTCCTGTACGGTATCTCTTGTACTTGAGCATAAGTCCTCAATAAAGCCTTGCCTAGGGAATTGCTTAGCCCTGTGTCAATTTCTGTTGCGTGGGAGCCCAAGAACCTTGGTCAGTAACAGCTTTCTTCGTGAATGCAGCAGGACCACAGGATGTGGGTAGCATTTTCTCTCCTGGAGGAGGAGACTTGAGAGCCAGCAGGACTGCTGGCTGCGAACTCTTCATGACAGAGTAGTGACCGTCTGCATTTCTGATTCAGTGTCACTGCAACTGGGGAGTCCCTCTAGCCTGCCCGGGACTCTTCAGGCTCCCTTGCCCACAGTTCTCTTTTCTTTTCTATCTCCATTGTTCTTTCTGGTGCTCTTTTTCCCTTTCTCACTTCCTCTTATTTTAACTGGCTTGGCCTTAGTAGACATCCATGAGGGAGAGATTGAAATTGTCAGCTTGGTTTTTCCTGGTTGGAGCCACTTTAACAGACATCCATGAGGGACAGATTGAAATGGTCAGTTTCCCAAGGCTGATCAACCCAGTATACAGTGGGTTGCAAGTGTGCATTGCACCCTTCCCCTGGCTTCCATGCGGTGGAAAAACTCTTTCAGGCATCCTGGCTCTTGATTCAGCAACTCTGTTTAAAGCCCCTTGCTACTTCACTTCCCTGTGTGGCACTTGGTGAGGAAAGGAGGTATGTGACCTTTTTTGTCCTTTGTTGGAGCATGCAGTTCTGTCATTCTGCATGCAGTCTTTGTGAGAAAAGAAGAGATAGTACTTGGATTCAATTTCTGAGCAATCCCTGTCCTGACCCACTTTCTCTTTTTGTTTGTCTAATGCATCACTTTATTCATTGTCACTTGGTTACTGCAGACTATGGGCTTCAACTCAGTAGGACCTCGACCAGGTATGAAGTTGAGGAGATAGAGAGGACTATCCAAGCCTGTACTCAGTTTTGAGTGGGAATTGACTCACTCTCCTCCCTTGACACTTTGACCTTCTTGCATGACTTATAGCACTGTGCTGTGTGGGACCTGGAGTGATCTCTCTTTGCAATCACTTGGTCTCAGAGCCTGCATCCAAGCCCTGGCCCTTTAATGGAAGGACATAGGAGGTATAGGCTGTCTCTTAAAAGGCTCCACCCTAAAGCCAATAATTCAGTCAAGAAATTTACACCTTTAAGGAAGCCTCCATGTCTCAGAATGTCTGTTTTTCCTGGCAGTTTGACTGAACTTTTACTTACACCGTTTTTCCTTTGTTTAAATAAAATATGAATTCCCTATTTTGTTTCACCTAAGAATTATCTCTTTAAAAATGCAAATTTGGAACAGCTTGGCTGACAATTGTTTAGGGAAGGGAACAGGTAATCAAGATACTGATGGTCTAAAATGAGAAAGAGAAACTTAAAAACTGGTAAATGAAAAATTATATAACAATGAGATCTGTTTCTATCTGTGTATTTATATGTGACATGTGTGTAATGTTTCATTACCAAAATATATGAAAGAGCTCTAATTAATTTGCTTAAAGAAAAGTGCTTAAATAAAATATTTTATAAGAAAAATAAAAACTTTAACTAATATGCCTTTTAGTTCATATTACTTTAATAATCTTTAATAAATAAAGACAGCTTAAAGATTATTAGTAAAATAAGTTAAAAACTTTTTATGTCAAAATTTAGACATTTGGTCTAAATTAGACAGGTCAGATACTGTCTTTATTAGATGCTTTAAGATCATGAACTGCTTTTATGACTTTTTATAAATGTTCAACTTGCCTGCTTTAGAGCTATTAGATTCCACAAGGCCTGGGGACATGTGGAGTTAGCCATGCCCCCTAGCAATGTGGGAAAGCATCAGACATTATCTGTGGTTGTGTCCTGTGTGCTAGACTCTGTACCTGGTATATAATAAAAAATATTTAATTGCTTCCCTTTTAGAGAAATAAAAGTTATATGTTTTTGATTAAAAGGCAAGGGAATGTGGTTTTTTTTAAAAAAAGTAAGTAATTTCATCCAGTTTAGAAGGTTTGAAGATGTTTTAAGTTAAAAAAAGATAAGATAAAGCTGAAGGTTTAAGCAAGTTATAGAAGGCTTGTGAAAGATTAACCTTGTAAAAGAAATTCTGCGTGTGAGCAAGTTGGCTCAAATTAAAAGGGTACTATTTAGTTTTTCCGTAATTAAACATTAACATAAAAACACACTGATGTAGGGCCAGAATATGGGCCCATGTGTCAGAATTACAGTGTTTTCTTGGAGCATATTTTTTCCTCTCTACCTGATTTCTCCAAAATCTGGAAACTATTTGTGAGTATTCTTAACTTATGGCAGTATAGTTATTTGCATAAGTGCAATAAGAATCTCCTTTCTTTTGTAACAGGACACAATTGGAGACACTGATTGTTTCACCAAGGCTTTATCTGAAATGCCATGTTTTCAGACTGTTTTCAAAAATTGGAGTTGACTTATAGAGCCAATAAAAACCCCTTGGAGAAACTGGCCTCATGTCTTATCTATCCAGTCCCTGTACAAGATTCCTGTGGTAAGTAAAGAATGTCACTTTCTTACAGTTCCAAGAGCCCCAAGTTATCTTACGACCTTGAGAGGAGAGGAATCACCCAATTCATCCAGCAAATGCAGGCACAGATAAATCCATGGCTGGGCTCATGGCTTTTAAAAAGTCTAACTGAGGCCAGGCAAGGTGGATCACGCTTGTAATCTCAGCACTTTGGGAGGCTGAGGCAAGTGAATCACTTGAGGTCAGGAGTTCAAGACTAGCCTGGCCAACATGGTGAAACCCTGTCTCTACTAAAAATACAAAAATTAGCTGGGTGTGGTGGTTCACACCTGTAATCCCAGGATGCTGAGGCAGGAGAATCACTTGAACCCAGGAGGCGGAGGTTGCAGTGAGCCAAGATCGCACACTGCACTCTAGCCTGGATAACAAAGCGACACTCTGTCTCAAACAAACAAACAAACAAACAAACAAACAAACTGAGATTCCTTATGGGAAAAAAAAGGTCCAAGATTCCTTATGGAACAAAGTTTCAGCAAAGCCAATTTAAAAAAAAGAGCACTATATACAAATGTGGCACTATATATACAAATTGTGGCACTATAGACAAATAATCAGGCCAAATATAATAAGACTAAAACTAATTTTGCAAATAAATTGGTCCTACCATGATTTGTCTTTGGTAAAAATGAGAGACTGGAGACAGAAAAATTATGTTTCAAGAAAAATTCAAAAAAACTATAGTATACCTATTTTTAGATTCTAGTCTTGTTCACTGTTTTGAGGTTTTTGATTATTATTTTCTACAATTTGTACTGAATCTTGTATTCCTTCTGGGCTGAAAGTCTCCTAACTTATGTTTTATATTTTTCTAGTCTATAACCCCTTGGGGCTCCAGAGCCTCCAATTCCCACACCACCACAACATCTCAGGTTACATATTGGGTC
This sequence comes from Homo sapiens, assembly GCF_000001405.40. Classification (NCBI taxonomy): domain Eukaryota; kingdom Metazoa; phylum Chordata; class Mammalia; order Primates; family Hominidae; genus Homo; species Homo sapiens. The sequence continues at coordinate 152,788,384 of NC_000003.12, forward strand.
AAATTCGTACATCTTCCAGGACAACTCCAACTCCTACTCTGCTTTTTAAAATGTGAAATACCCACCTAGGATCAACAGTTAAGCCTACCTTTAAATTTATGCAAAGCCTTTGACCCTAGAAAGGAACGGCTGTTACCAATATGTAAGAATGTGTGGGGTTGGAGACATGCAATAGACCCTTATATTAATATTACCCAATCATCCCAAAATGCCACACATAAGATGAGTGCACTCCCATGCTACATTTTTGTGTGTGCATGGGATGGCAAAGAATAGGTGTCCCCATGTCTAAGCAATGAAACTAACAAGGGGTCATATCTTATGGAAACTTCAGTGGTCTGTTTTTGTGTTCACAAAAACACTAAAGTCAATCATTGGACGAGCTCCTTCAAATTATTCACTGAGGTAGCAAGAGATTTACCAGGAGGTATCCCAGATGAAGACAAACTTTTTGGGGCTATTCATTGCTTTCCTGGTGGGGAGTAGCAGCTCATCAATGGGTATTGAGGAATATTTCAAAGACCATATTCATATTAGCTAATGAAACTGCCAATTCTTTAACTGATTTTGAAGAATCACTCAATTCACTAGCCCAGGTAGTTTTAGATAATAGAATAGCTCTACATTACATGTTTGCCGAACAAGGTGGGGGTTGCATGCTAACTAATTCCTCTTGCTGCGCATATATAAATGCATTTTCACAAATTGAAATTAGAATAGAAAAAAATAAGACAGAAAGTTACTTAGTTGCAACATACTCTAGATCAACACACTCTGATATTTCAGATGGCAGGAGACTGGTTTTCTAGCCTATTCACTTGGATTCCAGATGGCATCTGATTTGTTCTTATGGGCATGTTAAACTGGGCTTAAGGATGTTTACTAATTATCACTGATGCTATTTTATTTTTTTAAATAATTATTTATGTTATTCCACAGGGGTGAGGACTATTAAACTTTGTGCCTCTCAGGCTTGAAATCCCCCAGTCAAGCTAATGGTGGAACAACCAATACTATCCCAGGAGGATCTGAGTCCCTGTACATCATTAGACCAGTCAGTGAGAGATTTTTACAGCCTCCAAAGTTAGGCAGGGATGACAACCCCGATGAGCAGGAAATAGCTCCAGAAGATGAGAACTCTAGCCCCTTCTCCTTAAGAAAAAGGAAGATAAAATCTCTCAGGTGATTGGTTGTGGAGGGGCGGGGGTGGGAATGCGACAGAGTAGGGATGAGACTTGGGCCTCAACACCCACTAATGCATTTTTTTTTCATATCTGCTGACTACCAGACTTTGCTGTACCACCTCCATTAGTGCCATACCTGCTCACCAGACCTTGCAAACTATATGAAGAAACTAAGATAGGCAGCCACCATAAATCCACCATAAATCTTATTCAGAGGAGTTAACCCTATTACAGGCAAGACCAGCAGAATGACTGATCCTGACCTTTTGCCTCATTGTAATGTGTCTGGAGTTGGTTCCTTCCAGTGGGTTCTTGGTCTCGCTGATTTCAAGAATGAAGCTGCGGACTTTGAGGTGAGTGTTACAGCTCTTAAAGGTGGCACGGACCCAAAGAGTGAGCAGCAGCAAGATTTACTGTGAAGAGCGAACGAAGAAAGCTTCCACAGCGTGGAAGGGGACCCGAGTGGGTTGCCGCTGCTGGCTGGGGTGGCCAGCTTTTTTTTTTTTATATATACTTTAAGTTCTAGGGTACATGTGCACAATGTGCAGGTTTGTTACATATATTTACATGTGCCATGTTGGTGTGCTGCACCCATTAACTCATCATTTACATTAGGTATTTCTCCTAATGCTATCCCTCCCCCCTCCCCCGACCCCATGACAGGTCCCGGTGTGTGATGTTCCCCACCCTGTGTCCAAGTGTTCTCATTGTTCAATTCCCACCTATGAGTGAGAACACGCAGTGTTTGGTTTTCTGTCCTTGTGGTAGTTTGCTCAGAATGATGGTTTCCATCTTCATTTGGGGTGGCCAGCTTTTATTCCCTTATTTGTTCCCACACACAACCTGCTGATTGGTCCATTTTACAGAGTGCTGATTGGTCCACTTTACAGAGTGCTGATTGATCCATTTTACAGAGCACTTATTGGTCCATTTTACAGTGTGCTGATTGGTCCATTTTACAAACCTCTAGCTAGCCACAGAGAGCTGATTGGTGCGTTTTACAAACCTCTAACTAGACAGAAAAGTTATCCCATTCCCCACTTGACCCAGGAAGTCCAGCTGGCTTCACCTCTCAATAATACTAAAATCCCCACTCAAGGAGGAGCTTTCTGCCACTTTTTAGTCATGTGATGTATGAAAAAGTATGTTTCTACACTACGTTTGCACAGCTGAAACCCCCTCCCTAATCATGCTGACATAGCTTTCCTTTAACATTGACTCCTTTCCCTTGCCAAATAAAGGATCACAAGCTGGTGAACTCTCCCTCCTGTACAGTCTCTCTGGTGCTCAAACATAAGCCCCCAATAAAAGCTTTGTCTGGGAAATTTGCTTGGCCTTGTGTCAGTTTCTACTGCGTAGGAGCCTAAGAACTTGTGGCTGGTAACAGATTCAATGAGTATTTTTGTAATTGGAGGATAGGTTTTCAATAAGTAAGCATCATAGGAAAATTCTTATATCTAAAAAAATTTTCTTATGTGGGTAAAGTTTAACATTAAGGACTCAGACCCTCGAATTGGCATAAAGAGAATTTTAAACTAAAGACATCTGAGATTCAACAGATGCAGACGGAAGTCTTTTCAAGCTTCCCTTATCTTACTAAAAGCAGAAACTTCTGGGAATGACGCTAAAGGGAGTTTTATAGCCATGAAGATAAAAATGGAAAAGACCACTCACACATGCATAAACAAGCATCTCAAAGTTTATTTTCTCCTGTTTGTTCACTTAGGAATCTTTTGTTCTTTCCATAGAAGCCTTTTCTCTTGACCCCTCACCCCTATTAAGTTAGGTATATAAACCTCTAACTCTAGCCATTTAGTCAGCTGCTGCTTTTGTGCATTAGCATATGCATATAAATAAATTTTAGGGTTTTTTTTTCTGTTAATGTGTCTATTGTCAGTTAAATTCACAGGTCACCATTTACAGAATTTAAAAGGATAGAGGAAAAGTTTTCCTTCCTGATAACATTCTATCCATAATGAGTTTAAATATAATGGCTATTTCTGGGAGAAATGATAGTAAGAAAAGTGTTTATATGATGTATCACTAGAGATACACATGATCAATATTAAGGCTGATATTTTGAAAATATTATCTCCTACATTTTAAAAGTTTATGGTCACTGGCCAGGTGCAGTGGCTCATGCCTGTAATCCTAGCACTTTGGGAGGCCGAGGTAGGTGGATCACTTGACTTCAGGAGCTCAAGGCCAGCCCGGGCTACATGGTAAAACTATTTCTCTACAAAAAATATTAGAATTAGCCAGGCTTGGTGGCTTGTGCCTATAGTTCCAGCTCCCTGGGGGGCTGAAGCGGGAGGATTGCTTAAACCCAGGAGGTGGAAGTTGCAGTGAGCCGAGATTGTACCACTGCACTCCAGCCTGGGCAACAGAGCGAGACTCTGTAAATTAAAAAAAAAAAAAAAGAAAGAAAAAAAAAGTTTATGGGTTTATAGTTCCTTAAAGCTTGGTGGATTTCTTTGTTAAATATTTTGGTTAACAAACTAGAGAGGAATTAAAAGGGGTAAGTATCAAATTTTAAAAGTGTGAAAAATATATGAAATTAAAAGTTTTTAAAACATCAAAATACCAAGCTAAAAACAACTATACTAACTATGAGCTACTCAATATGCTGTAGGTACAAGTTTACATGGATTAAAGCAGAAGAGTAGCATTGTGAAATGGAAAGATCATGAGTTTAGAATTCAAAAAAACCTGTATTAAATTTTGGCTTTGCCTCTTCTATATGGCACCAATGGTGATATTAAGTAATTATTAAAAATTTCACCAACTGAATAGATATGATAACCTGAATTTGCTCTCCTCATTTGTGTGATGGGGGGATAACAATAATTTCCTTTAAGAGTTATTCTCCTGCTAGCAATAAGAGATCATGCATACATTGGAAAGATATAGCAGAGTACTTGATGTTAAATTAATAGTTGCTCTTATATTGCATCATTATTATCAAGAATCAATGACAAGACATATATTTGAAAATACATTTCCTTGTTAACTTCTTCAATGTTTCTTCTACTATGCACATGTTTGATGATGGAGATCACCTATCACATGATAAATGTGGATTCCTTCCAAAATTATGTTAATTAAAAAGTCAGTACAGTAATTTTGATAGTAAAAAGAATATTTAATGCTTAATCTTTAATATAATCAAATGATTAGGATAGTATCAATGACTTTTAAGGTATTTAAATATTGGTTAATATGATCATGTAAATTAGGAAATTAGAAGAAATGCCATTGTCTTTTTCTTATGATATAGTTTTGGGCAACTTGCTTTTCCAGCACACACAGAGTTAGATAGCATTTTTGCTTCGGAGAATTTATATTTCTACTTTCATTCCTTGTTTTATTCTTCAATGGATCACTTTTGAGCCATTGACCTTTTGTGGTAAACAAGATATATGTCATGAAATATGATGAAATGCCACAGTAACAGTAAAATGCACATCTAACATACATTAAAAATATAAAATATTTTAAAAACATTAAACAATAGTTCCTAGAGACATGAAAATATTTTAGCTAGTGAAACTCCCTTGCTCCTCCCCACTTTAACCAAGCACTAGAAGAGTAGAATGAACCAATGCTATCCATGTAATGTTACAATGACTTTAAACCTGGCCCACAAATGTGTGATCTTTGACTTGATACTACTGGGCCACATGTGTTTTAAATGTGGATTATTTGCCAACATACGTATTGAAAGAGGTTGCCTAGAAATCCAGATTTATGGCTACTCTTTGAAAACAAATACACACACACACGCCTGCACATGCATGTATATTATACATATAATAAATTAAGGTCAAATATGTAATACATATATACATAAAATATTACATGTATATATGTTATATAATATGTAGATATATTATAAATATATATTTTCTATATTAAATATATGATATGATATAATATATCTTGAATTCCTACATGGCAACAATTAGCTGGATTCCTTAACATCTTCCCTCTTTACAGAAAATGTACTCCCTAGGTCTTCATAGTTCCCTCCCTCCCTGTTTCTCTCTGATACTGAAAAACAAATTATAGACAACCTGCTTATTCATACACATGACCTGCCTCGTCCTTGAAGGAATTTTAATTTTAATTCTCTGTAACATATGCATACTTTTAAAGAATGAAATAGTTATAACAATAGTAGCTTATGAAAATAATTTCACATTCCAAATTTCTGAAATGCATATAAATTAAATTGCTTATTACTTCACTTTCTAAAACAATCCAAGTATCTCTAGACCACCTGGTCACTTGATGGGGATCACTACTGGTCTATGAACCCACTTTGAGAAACACTGGTTTATAGGATAAAGTACTAACTCCTTAGCATTGCATTAAAAAACAAATATCATCTGATCCTTCCCTTTCTTTACAACCTTGACTCATAAAACCTAACTCTCACCAAAATATTTTTCTCGACCATAAGATAAGATTCATAACTGTTAGAATTTGTATGCTCAATAATAAATCCTTTTGCTTAGGCTTTCCTTTGTTCAGCATATTTGCTCACATCTTTGTCTATCTGGCAAGATAATTTTGGCTTATATGTCAGCCTTCCTACCTTATCTGTCAACTTAACAGGAACATTCTTGTTTGTCTTTTTATGTCCACCATTTTTATAGTTCCTGGAACAAATTCAATAGGTAGTTTACAATATGTTTACGGAATGAATGCAAGAATGAATTATGTTGCTTTGAAACATTTGAATCAAAACCCAAACCAACAATTGAAATCAAAACCTAATCAACAGCTGTGGTGATTTGTAGAAAAGACAATTCATATTCTGAGTGTTTATTCTAAGATGGTAACCCAAGAAAGAACATGGTGTTTAAGGGCATGTATGAGTTGGGGACCGTTTATTTCAAGATAACTCTCATACTGAAGGATTTTCTTTTCTTGTCTCATCATTGAGGGTGGGAGCTCCATTGCCAAATTAATGAAAGACATTCTGCTCAGGTTGGTCTCATACTCCTGACCCCAAGTGATCCTCCTGTCTCAGCCTCCCAAAGTGCTAAGATTACATGTGTGAGCTACCATGCCCAGCCTAATTTTGCTTTTTAAAGCAATGGATTTGAATGGAAAGCAAATGAAAAAAACCTAGTTTCTTTATTGCTTATCTATTAAGCTCTCTATTTCTCATCTTTTTTCCCCAACAGAGTGGGAGCTATCCATAAAATGGGCAACAATCAACAATAACAACAGAAGTATGTCTTCCATGTGTTTAATACTTTCTGGGAACATGAAGCAGTTGAACTGTGAAGAGTCCTAAGTCTTTCTGTTGCATCCCTCCTTTTACTCTTCCCTGGCTTCTTGCCAGCACTGGAGTCATGTGGAATCTCCATGGCTCCTGAAGTTTCTCATTTTCAACACCAGGTGGTAAATCCTGGGCATCCTTCTTTGAAGGCATTTATAAACCAAGAGGAAGTGAGAGGAGGATCCTGTTGAAGGCTGGAATGAAAGTCTTTAGGTTCCAGAGCAGCTTTTAGTTTGAAGGAAATTTAGTCACCCCTTCAAATGTCATCAGGAGTAGATTCCATGTGATGGCAACTCACTGTAAGTAGTTGTACTCTGCTTTCAGTAACTCTAACAACATTCATCTGGGAGATAGTTAATTCAAGCTTTGGTTACGCTGACAGCAAAATTAATCTTCCAAGGAGATGTACTATATAGACATTGAAGATGAGATATCAGATTCAGTGTAAACATCTCTGTCAGTGAAAAGAGCTGGAGTTATAGCCAGGCAAATGCGTTAGAAATTACTTCATTAGGACATATCATAGAAGTAGATGAATTGAGAAAAAAAGTGTCTACTTCAAGCAAATTATGCAATTTTTAAATGAAGGCTAGAAAAAATAAGCATACTTTAATTTATCACAATTATGGACAATAGTGAAGAATCCATATACTTGCTCCAATCAGTAAATGGCTGCATTGCTTAATCTCATCAATAATGAAAGTGCTACAGTCGGTGCTCTGAGAAACAATTCTTAACATAAGGCACCAGTTGGTCTGGGAATAGCACAGTTTAAAAACCAATAAAAACTAATCTCAAACTGTGACATCGTATTATCCTGCCATGAGATACATTTTATCAGAGGGAGCAAACAAATATCTATAGAATTTATTTTGAAACATATATTTATGTCATTTGTCTCTTCAAATTATGCCAGGATCAAATAAGCTGAGTGAAGTATTACTGGATGTGAACTAAATTATGGTATAACAAATAAGATCATATTTCCCCAAACATGTAATCTATCACTGAGCTATTTGGTACAGTACACTACACTTAAAAGAGATACATTCTCCAAGATCTATACATTAAAAAGAACTCTAATGGTAACTGATACACACAAAAGTGGGTGGCTGTAAAGGAAAAAAAAACTAACCAAAAGTTTTCCAATATTTTAAAGTCACATAGTTTAAACATGTTGAAATATAGAAACTTAACCAGGCAGTTACATTATTCTGGTATCTTTTTAGTGTGGATTTTGGTTGCACTTAGGAACAGATGCATCACTATAGGGTGCATTTAAATATGTACTTTATAGCTGAGAAAAAAAGATCAGATTCAGTGGTATTTTCAATGGAAATATGAAAGAATCATAATTGCCACTAAAATGTCTACAGGTAACCCTTCTTAGTTAATACATCAATGCACCTCAGCACATTTTATGGAATCTTAGGCTGTGTGGAAAACAGTTAATGAAACTTTAACCTAGTAACTGTGGGGGCCAATGCCCTTGACCCCCTAAAACTCGCTGAAAAATTACTGATATGAGGCACATTGATTAATAGAATAAAAACTTACAAATTTGCTTAACATGTATACATGGGAGCCTTCAGCATAAAGACCCAAAGATACAGAAAAAATTGTCCATTTTTTTCAGCTTTTATTTTAGGATTGGGGGTACATGTGCAGGTTTATTGCAAACATATATTGCATGATGTTGAGACTTGTAGTATGAATGAATCCATCACGTAGGTAGTGAGCATAGTTCCCAATAGTTTTTCAGCCCTTGCTCCCCTCTCTCTCCCTGCCTAGTAGTACCCAATGTTTATTGTTCCCATCTTTGTGTCCATGTGTACCTAATATGCAGCTACAACTTGTAAGTGAAAACATGCAGTTTTCTGTTTCTGCATTAATTCACTTAGTATAATGGCCTCCAGCTGCATCCATGCTGCTGCAGAGGACATTATTTCATTCTTTTTTATGGCTGTGTAGTATTCTGTGGTGTATATGTACCACATTTGCTTTATCCAGTCCACCACTGATAGGCACTTGGGTTGATTCCATGTCTTTGCTATTGTGAACAGAGCTGAGATGAACACACAGGGTAAGTGTCTTTTCAGTAGAATGACATATTTTCCTTTGAAAGTGGGATTGCTGAGTTGAATGATAGTTCAACTCTTAGTTCTTTGAGAAATCTTCAAACTGGTTCCCACAGTGGCTGCGCTAACTTACATTCCCATCCACAGTGCCTAAGTGTTCCTTTTTCTCTGCAGGCTCACCAACATCTGTTTTTTTTTTTTACTTTAAAAAAAAAGCCATCCTGACTGCTGTGAGATGATCTCTCATTGTGGTTTTCATCTGCCAAATTGTCCGTTTTTATGCTTAGGTTCAACACAGTATGGATAGCTGTGTAGAAATATAACTGAACTAGGCCGGGCGCGGTGGCTCACGCCTGTAATCCCAGCACTTTGGGAGGCTGAGGCGGGCGGATCACGAGGTCAGCAGATCGAGACCATCCCGGCTAAAACGGTGAAACCCCGTCTCTATTAAAAATACAAAAAAAAATCAGCCGGGCGTAGTGGCGGGCGCCTGTAGTCCCAGCTACTTGGGAGGCTGAGGCAGGAGAATGGCGTGAACCCGGGAGGCGGAGCTTGCAGTGAGCCGAGATCCCGCCACTGCACTCCAGCCTGGGCCACAGAGCGAGACTCCGTCTCAAAAAAAAAAAAAAAAAAAAAAAAAAAAAAAAGAAATATAACTGAACTAAAAGAATATGATCGAATATTAATAGACTGAGTGGGCAAATCCAGCAAGGCCTGTCATTCTTGATTCTTCTTCGCCTCTCTGAGCATGTATTCCTTCCTTCTGGGTGTGGGGCAGGGCCTTCTCTGGAATGGGGGTCTTATGACCTGCAGTCAAACAAGGTAGGTTGAGTAATTTCTTTGTAGCCCATTTTTACACAGCTTGAACAGAGGGACAGAATAATATTTTTAGGTTTTATGGCTGGCTCTGGGGAAAAGGACTTCTGGTTTCTATCACCTACCTTTGGGAAGAGGGATTCTAGCTAACCTGGCGGCGAGGGGGAGAATGGGATTGAGAGACAGGGAGACAGGAGATCAGAGAAAAACTTTTGCTTCTGAGGCTCCTGCGGAGACCTTCGTTTGGGGCATTGTTTTCTAATCCCCAACACAATCCAGTTCCATTAAAATTTGTTTTTGTACTTGTCTTTTCAACAAACAGAACTCTATTGAAAATAAAGTAAACACAATGGAAAGAAAGCAAACAGCTCTTGATGATCAACTTTCATGACCTTTAAGATGTAAAAGAAACTTTTTAAAAGAACTCTACTTAATGTAGAGAGATATTATCTTTATCTTTGACAGGAAGGAAATGACATAGTAGTCTCTATCTTCCATGGTGAGTAGCTGAGGAGATAAGGTATGTAAAGTTCTGTGGGTCTATAAAATGCTGTAGAAATGTTACTTGTTAAAGAGCCAGGAAATCTATAGAATATATTCAGCTTTCCTGTGATTCTAGTTTCCATGAATTCTTTTCCTGTTTTTTTCCTTCTTTCTCCTGAATTGTCCCTGAATAAATTAAATAGCCTTACAAAGCTTCCTGATCCTAAGGAATTCTTAACATGCTAACATGTGGGGGACCACAAATTTAACACAATACAGCAACATGGATGCCTGTCTAGCTCTGTTCTCGTCTTCCTCATGGGCCCTCAATTCAGTTTACATATAGTCTAATACATTAATCATAAGACAACTTGACTTCTTTGTTCATTCAGTAAAACCTTTCTTCAGGGACTGCTATGTGTGAGACACTCTCCTAGGGGCAGGGAATTTAAAATGGACCAATGAAGAGCAATCTGCTATCATGGTGCTTATTTTCTGATGGTCAGCTTGTTACTTTTGTTGTTGTTGTTGTTGTTTTTTGAGACGGGGTCTCCCTCTGTCACCTCTGTCACCCAGGCTGGAGTGCAGTGGCATGATCTCGGCTCACTGCAGCCTTGACCTCCCAGGTTCAAGTGATCCTCCCACCTCAGCCTCCTGAGTAGCTGGGACCACAGGTGTGCACCATCATGCCAACTATTTTTTTTTTTTACTTTTTGTAGAAATGAGGTCTACCTATGTTGTCCAGGCTGGGCTCTAACCCCTGGGTTCAAGCAATCCTCCCTCCTGGGCCTGCCAAAGTGCTAGAATTATATGCGTGAGCTACCTTGCCTTGGCAGGTACTTATTCTTACACCTTTTAGGAAATATTAAGTCTTAGATAAAATACTCAGTTTCTTAGATGACTTCTCCTTCTCTGCTTCTTTCCCTAAAATTACTTTCTGGTATGGTATATGAGTAGAGGGTATGTGCCTACATGGCCTCATGATGGAGGTAAAGATTTGATGTTTTCATACGTTGACTTCTGGTATCTAGTGTGATGTCCCTTGTCTACTCAGTGAGAACGATGGATAAGTCAGCAGGCAGTTACAATACAGTGCGGTTAGCACTGTGATAGGGACATTATGACATGGTTACCACATCGCACAACTCCAGCAGCACCATTGCCATAGACCATGATGTAAATAATGCTCCCCTGAGTGTTTCAGTGCATGATTTCAGCACTTATATGTGGAAAGCCTGAGAAAAGCACAAAAGTGGACCATTCAGACTTGGAAATTAAAAGAAACAATATATATGGTCGCCCCTTGGTATCTACAGTGGGGGATGGTGGGGCAGGATTGGTTCCCAGACTCCTGCAGATCCTCAAGTCTTTTATAGAAAATGGCATAATATTTGCATAAATATAGCCTATGCATATCTTCCTGTATACCTTAAGTCATCTCTAGATTCGTTATAATACCTAATTCAATGTAAATGCTTTTTTAAATAGTTGTTTTACTGTGTTGCTTAAAAATTTGTTTTTTATTGTTGTGTTGTAATTTTTCTATTGTCTTCCTGAATATTTTCAGTCTGCAGTTGGTTGAATCCATGGGTGTGGAACCTTGAATTCAGAGGGCTAACTGTATAGTGAGACCTAAAGATATTGGCAGAAATTGGCTGTATGAAGGTGGAGGAGGGTGAGTATATAAGAATCAGTTGAGCAAAGACCCAGAGGCCAGAGAAAACATATCTTACAAAAGAATTAAAAGAAGTTCACTTTAGTTGGGGTGTTGAGCGGGAAAGAAAAAACAATGAGAATGTGTTGAACATCTTCCAACAGTTCCCACTTGTCCTTGGCCATTCCCAGAGATATGAACCAGAGACTAGGAGCAAGGATGGGGAGGAAAGATGAGTTCATTCTTTCACATGTTAAGTTTTAGGTGGATGAGTTGGTGGTCATCCAAGGAGAAATGCATAAGAAACTATTGTTATACACAGTTCTAACATCCAAAAGAACAATCTGGTAGGGAGATAGAGTAAGACAAAGGGGATAAATTTATGAATGTTGGCTAAAACCATGATACAGAAACAATTTTCCAAGGAGAAGAAGGTTGTCTTTTTTTTTTTTTGACAAATCTTACTTTATCAAATAAAATGTCACACATGGTTGAAGAACACTCAAATAGTAAGTCAAATATAGTCAGATGTTAAAGATTAGTCTTCAAATATTATAGCCAGTGATGCCACGATTGCCTATGATCTCTCCAGTGTAAATCCACACCCACACCTCAGTGGCTACCAAACCAGAGCAGCTTCTTTAACTGAGCTGTCTGGAGCTACCAGTTTGAGCACTATTGCCTATTTTTTCCAGGCTCTGAATTGCTCTAGGGATCTCAGCAGAGGTTGGAGGAACAAGCTCCACCCTGGCATAGTATCAAGGGCTTCAAATCAAGGCTTCAAGTAAGTCACATCAGTGTTCACCAGCACCAGGGCCTTCTCCACAATGTTACAGACAAATTGGGATAGAAAATCTGTTGCCCTAAACAGCTGGCTGAATCTGTTTGTCTTTTGGATCAAAGTATTCCAACAATTTGATAAAAGCTACTAAAAAATATAAATATACAAAACATATTTTGTAAATGGGGTATTATGTATTTCTGAAAGTGGGAGGAATCGGTGGTAGTTTCCACTCACCCACCTTCATTACATACATGTATAATAAAGCAACATACAACATTAAATTGTGTGTTTTAGACATTTTATAAATGGTATTATGCTGTCCTTATTACTCTGTGCCTTGGTTTTTCTCACTGATTTAATCACTTAAACACACATGAATCTAATTCATTTATTTACCTGCATTATGATATTCCATGTAAAAATAAGACACCTCTCATTTAATCTCTTGTTGATAGACATTTACATTATGTCTAATATACCGTTTGTATTAAGAAGCTACAATGAGCATCCCTGTATTTTGTTCTTTGTGCACTTGTGCAAGAGTTTATCCAAAATATATACAGTAGTCCCTTCTTATCTGTGGGTAATACATTCCAAGAACCCCAGTGGATGTCTGAAACCTTGAATACTATTTAACTCTATATATACTACTTACGGTATTTCCTATGTATACATACCTAGGATAAAATTTCTTTTATAAATTAGGCACAGTAAGAGATCAACAATAATAACTAATAATAGAACAATCATAGCAATATACTGTAATAAAAGTGTATTTTTATACACTTATACTCTCTCTCTCAAAATATCTCATTGTACTGTGCTTGGCTATATTTGGTCTGCAGTTGACTGGAGGTAACTGAAACTGTAGAAAGTGAATCCAAGGGTAAGAGGAGACTACTGTACTTAGCAGCTGCTAAGTCAAACAATTTTTAAAACATATTACGTATGTCTAAATTGCCTTCCTAAGTTATTCAACCAACTTATCCTCCAATCAATATTATGTGAGATTTACTCCACATTCTCTTCAACACTTGGCATTATCAGACTTCCACATTTTTGCCAGTCTAATGAATATGAAATGCTGTTATTATTGTCTTAACTTGAATGTTTCCATTCATTTCTGAGCATTTTTTTCTTTTGTTTGTTGGTCACTTAGATACCCTAGTCTCTAAATTTTATATGCTTTGCCCATTTATTGATTTGGTGCTTTGTATTTTTCGTATTGATTGACCTAAACTCTTTATATATTATATATAATAATCCCATTCCTTATACATCAAGCAAACATATCTTTCCATTCCGTGCTTATCTTTTATTTTATAACTTTGTTAAAGTAAATCAATTTTTGTTTTATGTTACTGTTTTTTAAAGTCCTTCCTAAGAAATCTTTCCTATAACAAAAGATCATAAATATATTCTCCTAAGTTTTCTTTTAGATACTATATTTTTTGTTGTTGTTGCGATAGAGTCTCATTCTGTCACCCAGGCTGGAGGGCAGTGGTGTGATCTCAGCTCACTGCAACATCTGCCTCCTGAGCTCAAGTGATTATCCTGCCTCAGCCTCCTGAGTAGGTGGGATTAGAGGTGCGCGCCACCACACCCAGCTAATTTTATATTTTTAGTAGAGACAAGGCTTTGCCATGTTGGCCAGGGTGGTATTGAACTCCTAACCTTAGGTAATTTGCCTGCCTCAGCCTCCCAAACTGCTGGCATTACAGGTGTAAGCCACCGTGCCCAGCCACTTTTACATACTATTAAATTTTTGCTTTTAAGTTTGGGTCTTTAGCCACCTGGAATTTCTTTGTGAGTTGAAGAGTAAGTTTTTTTTCCATAATAAGAACAAAAGTTTAAATATTTTAAAATAATCTGGCTATGTATTATAATGCCATTTCTGTCACATGGCAAGCTTCCATATATGCAGGGCTCTCCATTATGTTCCATTGTTCTTTTTATTTATCCCTCTGTCACTACCATGCTTGTAATTATTATAACTTTATGATAAGCTCTGATATTATATATAGGGCTTATTGTTGCAAATTCTTCCTTCTCTTCCAAAATATACTGGTTATTCTTGGCCTTTTGTATTTTCATGCCACTCTGTGATTATCTCATTAAATTTCATGAAATTCCTACTGGGCAGAGTACATTGAATTTATATACGAATGTGGGTATAACTATATTATTTATTTAATTTAAAACCTTTTGAATAAATACATATTTGAAAAACAAGAAGTGCTCTATTTTACTGGTCTGTGCTATCATTCTGGCGGAGGGGATAGATCATTTATTTTTATACAAATAGCACAATAACCAGCAGATGCAGAATAAATGTTCCTTGATTAACTAATTGAAAGAATGTATAAAGTAATAAATATAAACTTCTTTATGATCTTGTTAATAGTGGAGCTAAGTTATATCTATAATAAATGATTTATAGTGAATAAGGATGGCTTATTTCCTTGATTCCTAAATCCATTATGACAGACCTCCACTATAACTGCTGTAACAAGAAAATATTTTTGAAAATTGAATTTATAAGAGGGTTTAAATTTCTTTCTAAAGAAGCCTTTGATACACAGGGCGTGAATCTTAGAAACAACTTGCATTTTCAACCATGGAACATCTTTTATTGAATACCCCTTAAGTTGCAGGTATACGCTGCTGGGTCCTGGAGTTACAGCAGTGAACAAAAAGAACAAAGTCTATGCTTTCATGGGGCCTGCATTCCAGAGGGTATAGAGACTAAAAGCATAATAAATACCTCAATCACATTTTATGTTAGAGGTACTGTGCACCATGAGAAAAAATAAAGCAGAGGAAAGGAAAGGAAAAGTTGGTGGTGAGGGGTTTGCAATTTTATGTAGGATAAAGGTAAGGCTCAATGAGTAGCTGACAATGGCTTGAAGGAGGGAACAGAGCAAGACGTAAAAACATCTGGAGATAGTGTTTCAGGTAGAAGGAGTAGGCAATGCAAAGTCAGAGGAGGACCTTGTCTAGCCAGTCTGAAGAGTAACAAGGAGCACAGCATCATTAAGGTGGAGTGATGGGGGAAGAACAGCAGGTAAGGACACAGTATAGGACTTTCTAGGCCACTGTGAGGATTCTGGCTTTCAGCTTCTGGGTTGCAAAAACCTGTCTTCTATGAAAATTGTTTTTGCATGATTATTATTCTAAAGAAGGTTTTTAAGTTGTTGCTCACTAGATTATTGCTGTTTTAGAAAAGTTTGCTCACATTTTCTGTAAGATAATTTTGAAAACTGTATCATTATACATGTTTTTAAGTTGACTTCCAAAATTTTCATAAGTATTTTAAATAATTGCAAAGAATATGACTTCTGGTATACTGAAAATATTTAAGATCAATTGTTATGTTACTCTTTCAAATGTAGTGGACTTTTAATGCCTTAGCAATTTGTAACTATTATCATCTCTTTAAATGATACATGAATAACTCTCTAATGGTTGAAAACGTTACACGACTTCTTAACCTTGCATTGCTATTTCATGCCACATCCCCCAGAGAATTTTATCTTTATATAGAATACATTTATGCTTTAAAGTATTTTACTGACCATCTTAGCATATTTTGCTATATCAAGAAAGATATATAAATGCTCAAACTTAAGATTTTATTATTATTATGATCTTCATTAATATTCCTGTGATCATAATGCCCCAACTATTAAAATGTGTTTTCAGGACTAAGTTGCATTCATTATAGTAATAATATATAATTAATCAAGGCAACATAAATAAGAAATAAATTCTCATACAGTGATAGTTAACATAAAGTATAGTTTTATTGCAAATTATTTTGAGATATTTGGAGTACTTCTTAAAATGAGACAGGTTCAGCATAAATTTTATTCCTATTTCTTCTCAATTTTTTTTGATAAAGAAGGCAAATTGTGAAAATTTTATTTATGTAAATTAAGGGAATAAAAGGATTTTGTTAGAGCAGTGTTCCTCAACTCTTGGAATTCCTTCAGACTTATATGCCAAAATCACATTGTGCCATATTAAATAATTTTTATGATCTTTCGGTGGGCAATTTATTTGAATTCTACTTCAAGTTTGTTGGAAGCAAAAACTTGGTGCAAAAATTACATTGCAAATGGATTATTTATTTATTTATTATTATATTTCAAGTTCTGGGGTACATGTGCAGAATGTGCAGGTTTGTTACATAGGTATACACGTGCCATGATGGTTTGCTACACTCATCAACCCGTCATCTACGTTAGGTATTTCTCCTAATGCTATCCCTCTCTTGGCCCCCCACCCCATGACAGGCCCCAGTGTGTGATGTTTCCCTCCCTGTGTCTGTGTTCTCACTGTTCAACTCCCACTTATGAGTGAGAACATGCAGTGTTTGGTTTTCTGTTCTTGTGTTAGTTTGCTGAGAATGATGATTTCAAGTTTCATCCATTTCCCTGCAAAGGACATGAGCTCATCCTTTTTTATGGCTACATGTTGTATATGTGCCACATTTTCTTTATACAGTCTTTATCCAGTCTATCCAGTCTATCATTCTTTATCCAGTCTATCATTTCTTTATCCAGTCTATCATTGGTGGACATTTGGGTTGGTTCCAAGTCTTTGCTATTGTGAACAGTGCTGCAATACGTGTGTATGTGTCTTTATAGTAGAATGATTTATAATCCTTTGGGTGTATACCCAGTAATGGGATACAAGTGGATTTTTAAAACTCATTCTTTGAGGTAATTTATTTTCTCAGCCCAACACCAATATATGAAAATATTCTTTTGTTAGGTGTGTCAGAGATTTTTTATTTCATGGAACAATGCACCATGTTAAGATTCATGATAGATGAGAAGGACAATGATAAGGAGGGCAATTGAAGTGAGAGAAGGACAATTGTAAAGGAAAAAGGGAAAAAGTAACATTCCTACTTCAGGAATGTTCACAGCCAGATCAAATTGAGAACAAAGTTTCACATGGAAGTTGAAAATTTGGAATTTGATTTTCCTCAAAATATCTGTGGGTTTGCTTAGTACCTGAGAAAGTTTTTGTGCCTCTAGAGTTATGCATAGTCCAGACGAAGACAACTGCATTGAATCATTTTTTTTCCTCACCACTGAGATAAGAACACAAAGCCAATCATGCCAATTTGATTATTCTAGAGGTGGGAAAAACTTTTGCTTTAAAGTGATAGAAAAACAGTGTGGAAAAGTAACAGTAGAGTCAAGGAAATAATCAAGGTTATTTATTTTTATTGTAAATATTGGCACAGCATTCCATAAATACAAATCTAATAAATTTGTATTTTCTGGTGACCAAACTATCTAACAAATCACACTGGAAGTTATGCTACCAATGTGAAGTTATTTTTTATCTTGAAATCAAATAAACATTTTTTTCAGAAACCTGTTAATAGAAAAGATGGCATACTTTCCCCAGTATCCAACTGATTTTTAAATATTACCTTTTAGCACAATTATAAAAGTAGAAAATATTATCTTAAGTATATTCACCAGGCTTCAAGAAATAAAGATAGAAGAAAATGTGATGCTTTTCTAGGAGAACAAAACATTAGAAACATTTCCTAATAGGCAGAAACAGAAACTGAAGGTACCTTAAATATAGACAACCATTTGTTCTCTAGTACTTCCTTAGTTTAAACAAAAATGCTCCAGCCAGTGTGGAAGCTGTGTAAAAGCACTTTGATATCCCCAGCTAAGAAGGCATTATAATACATTATAACTCTTAAAAACCATTTTAAAATTTCAATGAGCAAACTTAAATCATACTCCCTTCTCTTTGCTTCTTGTAGGAAAAAATATATATCTACATTCACTAAGTCTGAATTCCTTGTTTTGAAATATTACTGGGTTAACTCACTCAAGTAGACACCTTTCACACCCTAATCCCAGTAATAATTGTGTCTTTCCTCATTCCTATGGGGGAATTACTGCTTGCAGTGATGTATAGCTTGTTGGCATATGTCTGCATGTTACTAAAAACTTTCTGAGTTCACATATACTGTATAATGTCCTGGTGGAAAAAGTGTGAAAGTGTGTGTTTGTATACATGTGCTGTGGAAGGTGTTACATAGTCTACTTGAGTAGTAACAAGTTCCTATTTATTACAAATATTCCTGAGAGGACCTATAAGAATCTTTCAAAACCTGATGCCCACTGTTTTAAAAGCTCTACACCTTGGGAGGCTGACGCAGGCAAATCACGAGGTCAGGAGTTACAGACCAGCCTGGCCAACATGGTGAAACTCTGTCTCTACTAAAAATACAAAAAAATAACTGGATATGGTGGCGGGCACCTGTAATCCCAGCTACTAGGGAGGCTGCAGCAAGATTGTCGCTTGAACCCAGGAGGCAGAGGTTGCGGTGAGCCAAGATTGCGCCACGGCACTCCAGCCCGGGCAATAGTGTGAGACTCTATCTAAAAAAAAAAAAAAAAGAAAAAAGAAAAAAAGCTCTACATCAAGCTAGGCTAAGCCAATCACCTATCTGTGAATCTTGACTGTGAAATGTGTGAAAGGACAGAGAAGGAAATGGAAGCAGAAGATGATGGGAAAGCATATGTCCCACTGTTTGCCAGGATCCTGCAGCTCTAACAACCATCTCCCTTTTTCTCCTTTTCCACCACTTACCATGTTTTTCTAGGAGAATCACCACATGATCCAGGAATTCCAAAGTCCCGCTGAATTATCTTTACACTACTAACAAATACTGAGGTTTACATAGTAACTTTATTTTTAAAGTTATTAAAAACAAAACAAATTTAGATCAAGCAACTTTGTTTTGCAACTACTTAAGAAATGGTAACTTCTGAAGCATGTTTTCAAATTTTATATTATCCATTTGCTTAAACAGAGTATTGTCATAAAATCACAATGACTCCATAATAAATGCTTCTGTAATAAAGCTCAAACCTCCAACTTGGATTATAAGGCCCTTTAGGTTTTGAGGTTTCGATTTCTGAATAACTCTCCAATACTCAATGCCATTTTCCCTCACCCTCACAACTTTCCAGACACACTAACCTCTTTTTAATTCTTCATCTTTGCCAAGATGTTTCCATATCAGGACATTCTTACTCTCTTATCCAGGAATGATGATTAACCAGTTTTTCAGATAAATCCAACCTTTTTAAAGTTTTCGCTCAGATGCTAGACCTACAGCTTTGGAGAACTTTTCAGACCATCACTTCTAAAAGAGTATTCCCAAACTACTCTCTATTTAAGTACTCTAATTATTTCCTTTATAGAAATGATCACAACCTGAATTAGTTCATTAATTTGTTCATATGTTTATTATCTTTCTTTGAGTGGACAAGGACCTCCTCTGTATACTCAGAGGAGTATACTCAGGATGTATACATAAAATAATGCCTGACCCAAGTAAAATAATCCCTGACCCAACAAAGGTAGTCAAAACCATTGTTGCATGACTGCAGGAAAAGTAAAGTGATTAGACCAAAATTAGAGAAGAATATTTGGTGCAAAACATACAGATTTATCCAAATGAGATCATGTGTTTTCAAAGCACTTACCAACGTGTTTTATTTTTATTTAAATCTGTTTTCTTACACTGGAATATCCATTTCCTAACCCTCAGAGTTCATGCATCTGTTTAGTTGGGATAGTGGCTGTGTGTTGGGTGGCATAATGGACACAGCCTAAGACATACTACCTGACCCAGCAGTATAAAAGGGATCTATTCGAATGGTCCTATATTTCCACTGGAAAATACGTACCCCTCTCACCCCTTTCTCAGTTGATTCTGACATCTATTTTTTCACCTACATGATAAAAATATTGAATCACAGATGGCCTTATAGGAAGAGTGTTGACATCTTCAGGAAGAACTTTGGTCTGGCATATGATTTATCCACCCCAGGTTGGGTGGGAAAAATCAATACCCAGTTGTGTAGCTTTGCTGTTGCTGAGTTGCTTTAAAAAATGTAATAGGCTTAAGTTAACAAAATAAGATTTCAGATCCACCCTTTTTTATTCCACAAAGTAGACAAAATTCACGACAAAATACGGACTGATGGTCAAACCTTCCCCATAGCTGTTAATAATGAGAAGGACATTATTATAAAAGATGAATGATTTTGCTGACCTGTTTCCCTCTCTGTTGGGTAATATAAGTATCTCTCACTCCTGCTGATAAAAACAGTTAATCTCTTGTGAAAGTCTCAGCATTTTTCCATACAAGCAGCTCTTTTACAAAAACTGCTCAAATGATTAGAGACCTTAGGAATAAGAAACTATTAAGTCAAAAATTATGCTCCTTAAATAAATGTTTCCTATGTAGGTTTCATTAAATTTTCACCAAAGACTAATAACTTAATTTGAGCTTCTCTTTATATAATTTTGGAACATTGTACTCTTTTATGAGAAAACGCTAGTAAGTTGTTTTCATTTTTATTTTTAAATGAATGGTGTTAGTTATTTTAGAAAATAACATCTTTATTCATTAAAGGCTTAGGGCACCTTATGAAATAATAGAAGGAGCACTATTTTGGGTCTATAATAGATGGATCTCTGAATGCCATATTACCTCATTTTTAAGTTTCAGGTTTGGAAATTTATGTAGCTTTAGTATATTTTAGGGCTGCTAAACAAAATTGGCCTCCTCACAGTGTTTCCAATAAAGGACCCCCTCCAAAAACCTAAAAAATTAACCATATAAATTTTTCTTGTGAACTCCTTAAAGTTTTGAAATGTATATGTTAGTGGCACAGAAAGATATTTTTTCACTATTTATTTGATAATTGTAATTATTTTGATTACCAGTATTCAAAGTTTCAGTTTTCCTTTTTTTTTACATAAGCATCAAAGATGAGAAAGGGAAAAATATAGGGATTTATACTTTTAAAGTTAACTTTTTAAACATGGTACATACTAACTTTAATTTTATGATTAGTAACACATGCCAACATAAATAGACATAGACTACTGTTAACAAGACAGCAAAGCCATGGCTCAATTTCTTTTAAAAACTGCTCACTGCAACGATTTTCATATAATTTCTTCATGCCTGTACATAAGGCAGATAGGAATATGCAAATATATAAATCACAAGGATGCAGAAGTCTTCAACGTGTTACCAGTATTAGCATCTGGCCTGGATTGCAGAATTCATCTCTGGCACCATTTATTAAGATAAATTTTATTATCTAGTTTCTTACTTTATACTTAAAATCCTGAATCATGTTCAAAACTTGCAGGTTTTTGCAGTCACTAAATGTTTGCAATAAATCTCTTAAAATACATTAAATTATTTAAAATAATGACTAAATTTATTTTAAACATATTTATATGTGCTGGGTTAGGTGATATTAAACAACTTTTATTGGGTTTGTAGTACTCTGTTTTACTAGAAACTGTATATAGCCAACTGAAGCCTCCCTGAAGGCAGCATACAGAGTGACTATTCCCTGAATAGTTCACTGTTATTAACTGGCATGCCAGTTCCTTCAAAGCACTTGACTAAAATTGCTTATGAAAAAATTTCCAGGTGATGGAATGAACATAATGTTAAAAGTGCCCACAGTTTTTGGTGCTGCACACTGTTCTTCACACATTTAATCGTGACAGTAACCCTGGATAATAGCCATTATCTCCCATTTTATGGATAAGGAAACTGAAGATTAGATAGATATAGAATGTTGTCAGGGTCTCACAGCCGATACTAGTCAAAGTCAAGATTTAAACCCACGTTTTTTTATTCTCACTCACAGTATAGTCCTTTCTCTCTCATAATTTATTAAATTCCTCTGTTTAAACATATCAGTAAAAGATGGTGGAAGGATAGGGTAGATGCTTTAATTCCAAGCCCCAGAAACCTGTCCCATGTTTTTTCTGAGAGTTTGAAAACTAGGAAAGAATATTATAGTTTGACTGCATATTGGGAGTGAAAGGGAAAGCAATTAATCCAATCATAAAAAGGAGGTGCACTGAGCAAACAATTTAAGAAGAGTTTTTTCATAACGTTGAAGGCTTAAAAGCATAGCAGTTGGGCAATATATTTTATGAAATACCTGTTATTTAATATGAGGCCGTAATTGAAGCTAATTTAGTCTTTCAGGTATGTTTTAGAATACAAAACATGCTCATTATCCACTGACTTATTTTACAGCTATGTTATTGTACATGACCAACAATCTTGTTTGATTCACTTTTTAAAGAGGTAAATGAAGCACAATTATGTCTTCAAGCAACAAAAAAGATAACAATACTATAATTTAAAGTGACATCTAATGTCCAATCTGTCCTTAGAATAGATAATTTTATGCCACACAAAGTTTAAGTCATAATTGGATCGCTATCTTTTTATTATTCACTTGTATTTTCTATATAATTCTTGATAATTTGGCCATTGACATTAAATTATAACTAGAAGCACAAAGTGGACTCTTGCTTTGGAAATATAATTACAAAAGACAAGCAACCAAAAGCAAAAACAGCCTCTAAGATGCAATAGTAATGTATATTTGTTATTTGTCTTCCCAACGTTTGTTGGGTCTCTATTTCTCCTTCTTTCAGCTTTGACGCTTGAATGGTGTATGATAGGCTAGAATAATGATCCCCAAAAGAAACCCAGATCCCACTCTCTGGAACTTGTGACTGCTATTTTATATGGCATAAGTAATTTTTCAAGTGTGATTAAGCTAAGGATCTTGACATAGGGAGATAATCCTGCATTACCTGGACAGTTTTGACATGTAAATTTCAAGGTTCCTTATATGAGGGAGGATAATTGTAGAAGAAGGCAATGTGACCACTAAAGCAAGATGTTACACTGTTGGCTTTAAAGACAGACAAAGGGGCCAAGAGCCAAAGAATGTATCTATAGAAGTTAGAAAGGCAAGTAAACGGATTCTCGCCCAGAGCCTCCAGGGAGAGCACAGCCTTGACACCTTAATTTTGACCTGGTAAGACTGGTTTCAGACTTCTGACTTCCAGAAATGTAAGAGAATAAATGTATGTTTTATTAGCCCACAAAGTTTGTGGTGATGTTTTAGAGCAGCCATAGGAAATTAATACAGATGGGGTTCAGGGGTGGAACCAGTGACCTATTTCTGTTTTTCTTTTTTTTTTCTTTTTTCTATTTATTTATTTATTTATTTATTTATTTATTTTGAGAACAAGTCTTTCACTGTCACTCGGGCTGGAGTGCAATGGTGCGATCTCGGCTCACTGCATCCCCTGCCTCCTGGTTCAAGCGATTCTTCTGCCTCAGCCTCCCAAGTAGCTGGGATTACAGGCGTGAGCCACCATGCCCGGCCCACCAGTGACCTATTTCTAAGCTAATCAATATATCCCATTTTTCTACCCACAATCAGACAGTTCAAAATGGCTTAAGTTACCCAATCAGAGGTAAAAGCAGGAATGCTGAAAAGAGATAAGGGAGTTGTCCCATTAGGCTGAATCTTAGAGGATGTGAAAGCTGGAAAGCTGAAGCCATCTACTGTTCACAGGGGAAAACCTGCATAAGTGTAAAGCCAAATGGAGACCTGGAGGAGATGTGAGTGCAGAGAGCAAAAGACAGAAAGCAAAAAGAGTAGAGGAGTGCAAAGGAGGAGGATTTGCTAAGTGCTGACAGTATTTGATATCTCAAGTACCTCAAGATATATCTTAAACCACCCTGCCCCCTGCACTTCTGTTAAGTGAACGAATCAGCTTCCTATTTTCATAAACCAGGTTGGCTGCCTTTTCTGTCATTTGCAAGTGAAAGGGCTACATGTGAACCCATCTTTAGGTTTGAGTTTTAATTTTTTTTTTTTTAAGTAACAAAGGTCAGTACAATTGTATGACTGATAGCATGTATACTTTACTATGTAAACATCATTGGAGACTGTATGAACAGGCACACTTCAAATATTTAAAAGATAAGATTATAAGCAATAAATATTAGAGCTGGCCACATAATCATCAGGGAGTAGACTGGGAAGACAAACCCTAAGGGAGGAGGTTAATTTACTTGGGCAGGATTCCAGTCCTATTTACTTAGGGACTCTTTTGCCAAATTCTAGTAGGGGTCCTCATACCTAATGTATCAGGACACATTATCCAATCCTAAACTACTTTATATTATGAATAAAATATTGCTTTAACTGATCTTTGTCTTTTTAAATATTAAACAGCTGTTTAGACATTTCTTTTGGTGCTGTTTAGTTACCACTATGTTTCAATCCCAGAGTAAATAGAGAAGATTGTCTCCCCACCACCAACACCTTTCACTTGCCACCAGCATAGAACATTTGTTTTCTGTGAAAAGAACCAATATTGCATTAAAAAATTAAAAGTCCATAGTTTGAAATAGACTTTGGTATCTGTAAAGTTACTATGGTGAGGTAAATTACTTGAGTGAAAGTATTGGATAAGTTCCACATTAGCTAAAAGATAGGACAGACAATTTGCAGATTGTACTTGCCGTTTTTGTAGGACATAGTCTTGTTAGGACTTTCTTTATTATCTTCAAGAGACAATTGTTCTAAGTAAAAATAGTAATAATGGCATAATAGAAATGTCCAGGATATAAATATGATTATCTTAAAGTTTTGCCTGAAAATATGAGTATCAGATAAATCGATCACTCATAGACAGCCCTTAATTTTCTCAGATGATTTGATTTTCTGATGTAGTAGCTGATTTGCAGAATGTATGATACCTAGTATTAGTAAATAACAACACCAATTCCTCCCATAAAAAGTTCAATTAAGTGCTCTGTTCTAAGTCTTCCATTTGAGGCTATTTCTATTGGTAAAAAGTTAATAATGTGACAATCTATATATTTTGTTGTTAAATATAACTCCATATTGATTTGATATAATATCTAGATATATAATCCATGACTGATGACTACTTGGAGCCATCTTCTGAAGAAAGGGAGGAAGCTGTTGAAAACAGACCAATGGCCAATCAGAGATTCAGTCAAGGATGGTCACTATAATTTTACCAGTTTCAATGCCTTTGTAAATGTAGAAGAATATATTTTTACTGAAGTACAGTCATTCTGGCAGAAAAGATGGTTAGGAGTAGTTAGGAGCGGCTTATCAATTAGGACTAATTTATACCGTGAAAATATTAAACCTAGCTTGTTTTTGACACCACATGCTTAAGTGACTTGTTCTCTCTCTCTCATTAGCCTATAGATGTCAATGCTTCCACTGAACACAGAAAAATAATATGCTGTTTCTCATATCTACCTAACGGTGACCACTAGACTATCAAATACCAGAACTATAATTTACTAGCTTCATTACCAGCTTCTTCCTGAGATGTTAACTTGTCAGTACCTGGAGACCTTGTCTAAATTTCGTGATTTCTTTCACTTGGGACTTATAAGTGCAGTTTCATTATTCCTTTCTCTCTAATAAAAGTTTATGTTATAAATACAAACTTTAAATGATAAATGGAGAATCTCTGAATCACCAAAGAAATTTTTATAAAGACACAGTCTGTAAAATCTAATTCCCACATGACCCAGATACAACAAAG
Organism: Homo sapiens; assembly: GCF_000001405.40. Classification (NCBI taxonomy): domain Eukaryota; kingdom Metazoa; phylum Chordata; class Mammalia; order Primates; family Hominidae; genus Homo; species Homo sapiens. The sequence continues at coordinate 152,814,167 of NC_000003.12, forward strand.
TACAAAACTTTTCATGTATTGGCTAGGCACGGTGGCTCACGCCTGTAATCCCAGCACTTTGAGAGGCTGAGGAGGAAGGATCACTTGAGATCAGGAGATAGAGACCAGCCTGGCCAACATGGTGAAACCCCATCTCTACTAAAAATATAAAAATTAGCTGGGCATGGTGGTGCACGCCTGTAATCCCAGATACTTGGGAAGCTGAGGCATGAGAATCCCTTGAACCCGGGAGGCCAAGGTTACAGTGATCCAAGATCGCAACACTGCACTGCAGCCTGGGCAATAGAGTGAGACTGTCTAAAAAAAACAAAACAAACAAACACACACACACACAAAACATGTTTTATGCATTAAGTAAGTAGATGAGTTAAGAAAACATGGTATGTGATTAAAATAGCAGTGAACCACATTCCAATGGCATATATACTTATTGCTTGGGATTTATGAGGGATTGGTTGCAGGACCCACCCCCTATACCAACATCCACTGATGCTCAAGTCCCTTATGGTGTAGTATTTGCATGTAACTCATGCACATTGTCCTGTATACTTTAAATCATCTCTCGGTTACTTATAATACCTACTATAATGCCCACACATCACTTCATTAGTGTGGATTCAATGTAGCATACTCGGTGTGGCAAATTCAAGTTTTGCTTTTTAAAGTTTTGTGGTATGTTTTTCCAAACAGTTTCAATTCTTGGTTGGTTGAATCCATTAATGCAGCACCCACGGATTTAGAGGGCTGACTGTATTTTTCAGTTATAGACACAACCTTAGAAATACTTTATGCAGAACTGATAAAGAATCCGTAGCACTACAATGATTCATAATAACAAAATGGACTTCATCCTTAAGAAATATCCAAATGAGTCGCTTCTAATTTAAATTTTTATAGCTAAATTAATTCAAAACCTTATTTCACTAATTTAATTTTCTACAATAAAGTAAAAAAATAGATAAATCACTTATCAAGAGAAAAAATAAGTTTTCTAAAACCTATGCCCTAGATTAAATACATATCCATTACAGTCTCTTACATAGTTTCTATTTATATGACCAAAGTTGACATTCATGATGACTGACCCTGAATCACTGTTGAGTATTGAATAATCAGAAATAAAATTATTTTCTTTACACAGCATACTAATGTTGTTCTTAAAAATTCACTAAAGTCTTCGATTTTAAAAATGCAATCTATACTTTATTATTATTATTTTTTAAAAGAGCCACTCATGCAAGCAAGTACAACAAACACACAGTGCTAAAAGACATAGTCAAAAAAGCAATTCCTTGATCAAGTCCATCGAACTTTTCATTCTTCTTCCCAGAAACAAAACAAAACAAAAAAACACTTTCAATGTTTTAAGTTCTTTCTTCAGGTTTGCTTTCTTGTAATATTCAGTAATGCTCCTAGGGTTGTTTGTTTGTTTTTGTTTTTAATTACATGCCTTATTTATTGGCTTCTTTTAGGTATTGAGAATTTACCTCTTTTGCACCACCCCAAATCATGTCCTTTTCCCTATCTTCACAAACTAAATAAACCATATTTTAAATTCTCAGTCTAGCTTTACTTCATTATATGTATGCAATTATTGTTCACTGTATTTCCAACCCTATCATGTACAAGTTTTCAACTAGGAATTAATAACAGACTTTTTTTTTAAAAGGCTTAACTTACTATGTATTTATGGCAAATTATTTTCCCTAACCTCCAAATATTTAGTAGTAATTTTTTCAAAAATTTGCTTATCAGATAATATGTTAGTTTTACTGGCTTTTCGTCTAGACCATCCTCTGCATTCATCTATCCTTCTTGGTCTAAATTAGACTGATTTCTTACTGGGTCTGGTAGTTTCTGGTAATTCTAACCTTTTTTACCAGTCTCTTGGGATCACCTATTTCCTGGATCCCATGTCTTCCTCTGTCTCAGCTTATTCTCTAATTTTGCTGTAATTACATCTTTTGGTAGCTTCTAAGGAAAAACTCATGAAAGATTTATTTTTGAGACATTGTATTTTTGAAAATATTCTCTCATTACATTTTGTTTTCATTTTTGTTGTTGTTGGTGGTGGTGGTGGGTTTTTTGGGGGGCTTTTGTTTGTTTGTTTGTTTGTTTTGTTTTTGAGAAGGAGTTTCACTCTTGTCGCTCAGGCTAGAGTACAATGGTGCGATCTTGGCTCATTGCTACCTCTACCTTCCAGGTTCAAGCGATTCTCCTGCCTCAGCCTCCCAAGTAGCTGGGGTTACAGGAGCATGCTACCAAGCCCGGCTAATTTTTGTATTTTTAGTAGAAATGGGATTTCACCATGTTGGTCAGGCTGGTGTAGAACTCCTGACCTCAGGTGATCCACCTGTCTTGGCCTCCCAAAGTGCTGGGATTACAGGAATGAGCCATAGTGCCCAGCTTCTCTCCTTACATTTGAATGATAGCTTAGCTGGGCATAGAATTTTAGGTTCAAAAAGCATTTTCCTTCAGAACTTTAAGGCATTGCTTCTCTTTCTTCTAACAATCAGTGCTGCTACTGACAATGCCAATGACACTTAATTTTATTTCTCTGCATGTATATTTTTCCCCATCTTTGGAAACTCTTAGGAAATCCTCTTCGAACCTTGTTTTCTGAACTTTTGCAAGGATGTGACTTGATTTTTTTTAATGTCCTGTGCCAATCATTTCTTAGTCTTTTGTACTCTGAGAGTTCACGTTTTTAAATTTCCTCCCCTCTATTTTCTCTGTTGACTCTTGAGCACTTATCATTTGAATGTTGGAACTCCTGGTTTGAATTCAAATTCTTCTCTTTTACATGCTACTTCATAACACTGTGTCTTTTTTTTCTACCTAGATGATATTTCTTTTAATAAATATTCCAATATGCCTATGGAAAAATTTTAACTGTATACTATTATACATAAGATAACCAGTAGATTTTTATTATATCACTTTTTATGATATCATATTTCTTTTGTTGTCATAATGTCTTCTTACTCACTGAAGCTATTATAGTTTTATTTTTCTGTTATGCTTTTCTTTGATTACTTCCCTTTGTCCCTTTCAGTTTTTTATGTTTGTTTTTGGGGGTTCATCTGTTTCAATTTACCCTTTCAGAATGAAGGCCTTCCTCAAATGACTGGAGACTCTTGGCTATGTATTTAGATTTGAAACTGAGGAATGCCAGTATCTGGAAAGGCATCTTTTGAGTAAAGAATGGGGTTGAAAGGAGAGCCCTTTGGATCACTAGAGAAGAATCAGTGAATCATCTGCTTAGGGTGGGAGTTGGAGATGTGAGGGAAGGGGTGGAGGGTATATGTGCTGCCTGCTAGTGTGCTTACAAAGAGGCCAAATGTCCGTCAGCTCATATTAGTTTCTTACCAAATCTTCATGGTTTCAGACCTGATGTCACCACAGTCTTTTATTTAACCTCAGGTCTCCTGGTTCAGAGTTTCAGAGCTGGGTAAGTAGAGAGTAAGTAGAGAGAGGAGGAGTGGTCTAGAGAAATAATTTCCTTCCTGTGAAGAGTGAAGGTAGAGACCTGGAGTTCCAAACCAAACCTAGGTTTCTCTTCCTTCACCATGTATATAGTCTTTCAACCAATCTTCCTGTTCTCACACCCTCTTTTGGCACCTGGCATTTCCAAATGATGACCCTTTTAAATGCAAATTCATTCACTTTCTGTGGAAGTTCTCAACTTCAAGATATAGCTCTCTTTTTTTCTGACACATCAATTAACACCACTCTCCAAAATTTGCTTAAATCTTTCATACCTTAATGTCTCATCCCCTGCTTCTTTTCACCCCTTATGGGTTAATATTATTTTTTGGCCTTATTACTATTTTAACAGTATATTGGAAACTAAGGTGGTCTCCATAATATGTAAAGGGAATACTGAAAAACAATTTTGGGTTAACTGTCCTCAAATTTTTTCAATAGACTTTATTTTTAGAGTAGTTTTACCTTTACAGCAATAGTGAACGTAAAATACAGATAGCTCTCATTTACTCCCTGTCCCCCACATACACACAACTTCCTCCACTATCAACATCCTGCACCAAAACGGTACATTTGCTATCTTTGACGAACCTACACTGACACATCGTTATCACTTTAAGCCCATAATTTACATTAGAGATTACTCGTGGTGTAGTACTTTCTATAGATTTGGAAAAATTTATAATGACACATATCTACATTATAGTATCATACCAGATATATTCACTGTCCTAAAAGTCCCCTGCACTCTGCCTATTCATCCCTCCCTCCCCACTAACCCCTGGTAAGCACTGATCTTTTTTACTGGATCCGTAAGTTTTCCTTTTCCAGACTGGCATTTAGTTGGAGTTAAACAGTGTGTAGTCTTTTCAGATTGGCTTCTTTTACTTATTGATATTCATTTAATGATCCTCTATGTCTTTTTATAGCTTGATAACTCACTTATTTTTAGAGTCAAATAATATTTCATTGTCTAAATGTACCAGAGTTTATCCATTCACCGAATGAAGGACATCTTGGTGCTTCCAAGTTTTGTCAATTATGAATAAAGTTGTCATAAACAATCATGTGCAATATTTTGCATGGACATAAGTTTTCAACTCATTGGGGTAAATACCAAGGAATGCAATCACTGGATCTTACAGTAAGAGTATGTTTAGTTGTATAAGAAACTGCTAAGCTGTTTTCTAAAGTGGCTGTACTATTTTGCATTCCCACCAGCAAGGAATAAGACTTCTGTTGTTCCATGTCCTCTCTAGCATTGGTGTTGCCAGTGATTTGGGTATTGGCCATTGTACTAGATGTGTAGTGGTATCTCATTGTTTTAACATGCAATTCCCTAAGGATATATGATGTTGAACATCTTTTTATATGCTTATTTGCCATCTGAATATCTTTTTTGATAAGAAATCCATTCAGATATTTTGCCCATTTTGTAATTGGGTTGTTTGCTTTCCTATTGTTGAGTTTTAAGAGTTATTTTTATATTTTGGGTAACAGTTTTTAATCAAATATGCCTTTTGCAAATACTTTCTCCCAGATTCACCCTGTCTTCTTATTCTTTTGACTGAGTCTTTTGCATAACTGAAATTTTATATTTTAATAAAGTCCATATCAATTATATTTTAATAAAGTCATCATATCATGGATTGTGCCTTTGTAAGAAGTTATTACTATGCCCAAAGTTGTCTAAATTTTCTCTAATGTTATCTTTTAAAAGTTTTATTGTTTTGCATTTTACATTTAGGTCTATGATCCATTTAGAGTTAATTTTTATGAAGGGTGTAAGATCCATGTCTAGATTCATTTTTTTGCATATGGGTATCCAGTTGTTTCATCAGCATTTGTTGAAAAGACTGTCTTTTCTCTATTGTATTGCCTTGGCTCCTTTGTCAGAGATCAGTTGGTTACATTTATGTGAGTCTATTTCTGGGCTCTCGCTCTCTCTCTTTTTTCAGACATGCAGTAGTGCAATTATGGCTCACTGCAGCCTTGACCTACTGGGCTCAAGTAATCCTCACACCTCAGCCTCCCAAGTAGCTGGGACCACAGGCATGCACCACCACACCAAGCTAATTTTTGTAGTTTTTGCAGAGCTATGGTTTTGTAAGTTTTCCCAGGCTGGTCTTAAACTCCTGAGTTCAAGGAATCCATCTACCTTGGCCTCCCAAAGTGCCAGGATTATGGATGTTGAGCCCCTGCAACTGGCCCTGGGCTCTCTATTCTATTCCATTGATTTGTCCATTTATTTACCAATACTACACTATCTTAATTAATATAGCACTATAGCTTTATAGTAAGTGCTAATGTTGGGTAGTGTCATACTTCTGACTTTGTTTTCATCTTACAATATTGAGTCAGCTATTCTAGATCATTTACTTCTCCATATAAACTTTAGAATTAGTTTGTTAATATCCTCAAAATTACTTGCTGAGGTTTTGATTGTGATTGCATTGAATTTATAGATCAAGTTAGTAAGAACTGACATCTTGACAACACTTACCTGTCTATTTATGGGCAAGGAATATCTCTCCATTTATTTAGTTCTTTTTAAAAAATTGTTTTTATCAGTTTTATAGTTTTCCTCATAGAGATCTTGCACGTTTTTTGTTAGATTTATACTTAAGTATTTTGTTTTTGGGTAGTGCTAAGGTAAAAGGTCTTGTGGTTTTAATTTCAAACTTTACTTCTTCTTTATACAGGAAAGCAATTAATTTTTGTATGTTAACTTTGTATCCTGCAACCTTGCTTTAGTTCAAGGAATTTTTTGTTGATTCTTTCGGATTTTCTACCCAGATGATCGTGTTACCTGCGAACAAAGACTTTTATTTTTTGCTGCCCAATATGTATTACCACCCCCACCCTCCTCACCGCCACCTTTTTTTCTTGGTTTATTGCATTTGCTAGGACTTCCAGTATAATGTTGAAAATGATCGGCGAGATGGACAGCTTTGCCTTGTTTCTGATCTTAGTGTAAAAGCTTCAAGTTTCTTACTGCTAAGTATGATGTTAACTGTAAATATTTTGTAGATGTTCTTTATTAATTTAAGGAAATTCTCCTCTATTTCTAGTTTGCTGAGAGGTTTTTTTTTTAATCAAGAATCAGTGTTGGATTTTGTCAAATGCTCTTTCTGCATCTATTGATATGATCATGAGATTTTTTCTTCTTTAACCTATTCATGTTCAGGATTACATTAACTAATTTTATATATAGAACCAGCCTTTCATACCTGGTTCAAATCCTGGGATAAATCCCACTTAGTTGTGGTGGGATTGTTGGATTTTATTTACTAATGTTTTGTTGAGGATATTTGCATTTATGTTCATGAGAGATACTTGTCTGTGGTTTTCTTTCTTTTTTGAGATGAAGTCTCACTGTGTCTCCCAGGTTAGAGTGCAGTGGTGCGATCTCAGCTCACTGCAACCTCCACCTCCCGGGTTCAAGCAGTTCTCCTGCCTCAGCCTCCCGAGTAGCTGGGATTACAGGCACAGGCCACCACGCCTGGCTAGTTTTTGTATGTTTAGTAGAGACGGGATTTCACCATGTTGGCCAGGCTGATCTCAAACTCCTGACCTGAGGTGATCAGCCCACCTCGACCTCCTAAAGTGCTGGAATTACAGGCAAGAGCCACCATGCCCAGCCTGTGGTTTTCTTTCTTATAATGTCTTTGGTTTTAGTATTTGAGTAATGCTGGCCTCAGAGAATGAGCTAGAAAATAAGTACTCCTTTTGCTTCTGTCTTCTGGAAAAGATTGTAAAAAATTGGTATAATTTCTTCTTTTTTAAAAAAAAAATTAACATCCACTGAAGAATAGAGTTTTCAAATCTCCATGGATAATAGGAAGTACATGGCAAAATAAATAAATAAATAAATAAATAAATAACAATTCCACCATCAGAAATTCATTTTCATTCTACTAGGATGTTGAGGGGAAAAAATGGAGGAGTTATCATTTAGCATACAGAGTAATACAAGCTAGTAAATATTAAAACTGTTATTTTCCTACTCTTCTTCCTTACTTCAGAGGTTCTCCTGTTTATAAGGTAGGGGACGTCGCGTTAGTTAAGGTGGGAGAAGAGACAGTTTAAGCACTTTAAAAAAATCTCATGAAAATAAAATCTTGAAATACTATAGGAAAGTTTTAAAATATATATGTATAAACAGTTTATTTTTATCCTTGAATATAAAGCATCACATATAAGTATACACACACACACACACACACACACACACACACACTCCCACTGCATTAGGTCTTCAGTTTGAAGGACAAATAAAATTGAAAAGATAGAGAGGACAGTGAAGAGAATAAATGTCAAGAAGAAAGATTGAGAGGCTACAATATTACAGAATATGTGGAAATAAAAGTCTATTGCCTCGACAGAAGAATAGGGTTTGGAAAGGAAGTATTGGACTATTATAAAGAGCCTCAAACAATCTTAGTGTAAATAAAATGGGGAGAAAATGTAAGTTTTTTGAGCACTAAAAAAACATGATAAAAGTTTCAATTTAGAAAAAAGAAAGAGAATACAAAATATTTTTGCTGTGCTGCCTGCAGACCCATATTATCTACTTCCTTATAATAGTGTTTCAAAGGCTATTCTAAGTAGCCTATAATAAAATTATAATCCAGATTTCATGGTATTAAGTATTTTTATAGTAAATGGTAAAAACAAGTACTTAAAGAACACTTTTATCATAGATATTATATAAAGAGTATATAATTGACTGGGTATAGAATCTCAAATATCTAAGTAGTTTCCTTGCAAAGTACAAGGTTTTAAAACAACACTTCCTTAAATTTATATAGCGTATGTTTTTCCAAGTAGCTCAAAGTACGAGTCCATTACCCAGTTCTCAAAAGATCCCAAGAGATGGGTAGATAGAGAAATTAATACTCCCAATTTGCAGAGAAAGAAACTGCATAGAAAGGCTAAGTGCTCATTATCAGGCTGTGGGGGAGCAAAGGCTAGAATCCAGGATTGATTCTACTTTTTTCTTTTTTTTCGAGACGGAGTCTTGCTCTGTTGCCCAGGCTGGAGTGCAGTGGTGCGATCTCGGCTCACTGCAAGCTCCGCCTCATGGGTTCACGCCAATCTCCTGCCTCAGCCTCCCCAGCAGCTGGGACTACAGGTGCCCGCCACCATGCCCGGCTAATTTTTTTGTTTTTTTGTTTTTTCTTTTTTTTAGTAGAGACGGGGTTTCACCGTGTTAGCCAGGATGGTCTCCATCTCCTGACCTCGTGATCCGCCCGTCCTGGCCTCCCAAAGTGCTGGGATTACAGGCGTGGGTGAGCCACCGCGCCCTGCCTGATTCTACTTTTTACAGCCTTGTGATATTTGTGTACCAAGGGTTTTGAGTTCTAGATAATATTTGTTGTATCATTCCTGCAAAGTAATCTAAATTTACATAGAGAATACCTTATCTTAGCTGTTAGTTAAGTTAGCTGTCTCTACTTAAAAAATAATTTAGTAGGAGAAAAGGCAGGTGTTAAGAACTGTATTAGAAGCTCAAGTTGCCGAGTTTGGAAAAGCAAAATGTAAGGGTTACTGGGTAAGAATGCAGAATTATTAGATCATTGTTGGCACACTCCACTGAAGATAAAAGGAAAACTTCAATCATTTTCACAGAGGTTTACAGTAACTATCAAGTCCTGATGTTTTTAACTGCCGCAAAGCACAAAAATATGCAGCACTGAGATTTCATTACTGAGTAAAAGCACACATCACATGGAAAGCACTGAGTTGCTTACACTAGCTAGACTAGGAAACAGTCATTCATCTTAGATGCCTTTGTGCTCCTAAGGGAAATACACCAGAGAGAGCCCCTTCTTGAGGCCCCTTCTAGTATTCTTAACTTAGTACTATCACAAGAAAGCCATTGGAGTAACCCTAATATTTTCAATACCTTGAGCCTAATGGATCCCATTTACTCATAATCCAGAATTTAGCAAATGAAATAGTGTTTGAATTTTAATGTTTATTTTCCACATGTAATATTGTATCTTACATATTTAGGGTCACAAGCGCATTTAAAAGTACTAGTTGTATTTGCATTTATTACTCTACCCTCAACCAACAATTTGCATGGCTCTGAAAATCAATTTCTTACGTTTTCTTTTCCCTTCAATTCTTTCTTTCTGTTTACTGTGATGTGGTGTACTCATCCTTTCTACAATGTGGTTTTTCCCACTTGGCACGTCCTCCTGTCTCCCTTACTCATTTATAGGCTTCTACATTTCTGCTCTCCCAGAAGGACTTTATCCCCATGATTAGGACCTTCTGATCCTTTCTTTTCCTTCTAATAATACCCAGTAAATTTTTATTTAAACCTCCATCTTGCCTGCTCCTCCCAGCTCCCTTCCTGTGACTCCTCTAGTTAATAATCTCAGCCATCTGGCTCCCAAATCTTTTTCTGTAATCTGTTTCGGTATTAGGAGGTACTTTATCCTTACATGCTTCTTTTGGAGAACTGCCATGTTTTCATATATTGGTTTTAATTAGGAGTTTGAGTTATTATTTTTTTTACAAAACTTTCTACATGGTATCTCTGCTTTGCCCTAGTTTTATTTCCTATAGCTAATGAGTTTTTTTATACCCTCATTGTCAAATTCAGCAGCTTTTAATTTTATTGATTTACTTTGACATTTATTCGTATTTCACTTGCCATATATTCCTTTTTAAGTTTATGATCCTTGCCTTTGTCTCAATGCCTTTATTTTCTCCTATGTTTCCTTTTTTTTCTGTTTTCCATTTCTATAAAACCCTAACTCTTCAGCAGATAACTGCCTTTTCATTATCTGTGAAGATTAAATTGGAAAAAAATGTAAAGTGCTGTGGACTTGGCACAGTAAGTGCTCACTAAATATTTGCTGTTATTTTTATAATCATCTTGGCAATGGCTGTGAATAACCACTATACCCTAAACCACTTAGCTTAGCTCACCCTATTTTCAAAAACACCTATTTTTTATTTTTCATTATGTCTACTTTCCTGTTTCCGATTTTCAGTTTCTCTTTGGATCTTCCTTATATTTTCCAATAAAGAATTTTTTTGGTCTCGTTGTTGTGCTTAATGACTCTTATTACAACTTCTTACTGATGTATTTTTGAATACTTGTTCCTTGTGTTATTTACTGTCTTTATGTTTTCATCTTTGTTCTTTTAATGGATTCACACTATAATCTCTCTTTCATTTTTGTATCTTACATGCTGTCTTTTATGTTTGATTTTTTAAAGTTTCATTTAGAACTATGTAAAAATGCTACATATTTATGCCATCTACCATTTCAATTCCTTTCCATCCAATAACTTCTGAGCAGAGAATGTTGGGATATAAAGATTTTGCAGTCACTTAAGGGTTAAGAGCTTTATCTTTGTTACTGGAAAGAAAATGATGGTTTACCTAATTCAGATTCTTGATCTAAACTTAACTGCTGCACCATGATATCTCTTAAGGAAATCTAGCTCTCTTCCTCCCTTTACACTGCTTCCCTGTGTTTTGGGTATCAAGCTTTCCGCTGTTGTGTCAGTCTTTCCTGTTTAGGATTGCCAGTACACTCTAGTTTTCATTCGTTTACCTTCTTAATATTATTTGTATCCTGTCATCCTTTAGAAAAAGGTAAGATATGTATCTATACTGACAGGAAGGCAGAATGCAACCATATATGTAACCCGATTTATGATATACACATAAATATATATTCACATGAATATAATTAAAGGGGAAAAATCTCTTGGACTATACCCTAGAGCACCTTGAGTTAACAACTTGAGTAGGTGTTAACACTGATTGCTCTAGGGTATGGAAGCTTGCAACTGTTTTTCTGTATGTGTGTATGTGCGTGCATGTGTGCACATGTGTGTTTGACATCTCTGCAGTATTTACAAAAATCCTATTCCTGGGTAATTAGTTGAGTCATTTTTGTTAGAAATGAAATACACTTTAAAAGTGATTGGTAAGTCTCTTTATTTCATCATACTTGTCATTCTAACAGGCTCACATAAGCCAAAAATGTAAGAAACAGTTTGTTCAAGCAGTCTACAAAAGGAATGTAGCTGATGCCATTAAATTAGAAACACTTTCCTCTCTAAAAATGCCATCACATCATTCCTTTCCAGAATGAGGAAGTCTGATAACAATTAAATTCTTTCTTTCTTTGGTGCTGTGACCCTGGCAGTAAGCCACAGCTTTCCCAATCAAATTTGAGATGTTCCACATGATAATCAATAGTCCTCCAGCTTCCCTTACCAAAGAACCACACAAGTCTCCCTTCCTTCATTTTCAATCCTGCTTCTTTCTGTCACACACACACATACATACACACACACGTGTACGCATACATGTGTGCTTTTCATTTCAGGGTGCTATAGTCATATAATCAGTCTTTTGAGGCCTTAAGTTATTGCATGTTTTATCTTTAGGTTCTGCTTTATCCAGACTTGTAGGAAGTTTATCAGTTCTTAAAGGTTTCTTTAAGGCCCAACTTTTCTTTTACCACTTACTCCTTTTTTTTTTGGCCTCCCCTCATTGCCCAAAAATTTACAGCTCATTTCCTTAATACATCTCCTTATATATCACCATATACCATATTCCTCATACAACAATTTCCTCATAGAACCTTTTTACACATAATATATTTAATGTTGTATATTTACATCTTCATAATGATATATTTCTTCTACAGTCTTTCCTTCTACAAGGAAAATGGAATGGGTTCCCTTCTCTCTCTCATATTCTAACTCTAAGTACTTCTAATCAAAATGGTCTTTTCTGAGGTAGGGAGAGTTTGTCTTCTTTCCTTCAAAAGGAAAAAAAGTCCCAGCTGATTTACAGACCTGCCTCTTATTTATCCTACCTGCTGTGTCGGTTTCCCTTTTCCTTTTCCCACCATGGCCTGAGTGGCAACTGTTTTATTTCCCCATCTGCTCTTGAGATGCCTATTCCATGGCCTTCCCTTCTCTTAGAGCCCCACATCCTTTTCCTGCATTTATTTTGAGCAGATGTTACCAGGAGCAGATGTCACCCGTTCTTTCATTTCGCCTTTCATTGATTATAACATGCTCTTGGGTGAATACTATAAAGGTGACCTTCCTCCCCAGTAAAACTATACATAATTTTTCCTTTCCTTTTTGTTAACTAAGAACACCAACCTTATCCTTCATTCCTAAACTACCTTCCCTTACTTCCTGCACACTCAGTTTATGACTTTGTAAAGTCTATGTTGGGTATACCTCCGAGTGGCCCCACTCTGGTGACAATCTTTGCCTGTCTCTAATGAAAAGAATTCAGTCAGTAGTTAAGCTCAGCTCCCCCTTGCCACTACTGTCCTTCACACATACATTTTCAAAACCAAACCCTCATCAATCTGCCATGTTGTTGGGTGATGCTAACTTTGCATGGTATCTTACTAATGTCTCTGACAGCCAATATTTCATGCCTGAAGAGAATAAACATAGCCTTTACCCAGGACTGGTTAACACAATCACCACAAACTTTTTCCAGCCTTGCTTTCCTCTTTCTCCTGAGGCACTCATTCTGTAAACCAAATGCGATTTCTCTGCTGTTCTGAAGCTCATGTCAAACTCCTCATTTCCAGGGACTCGAATTACTGTAAATATGTCCCTTTGGTTACTCTCAACTGAATTAATAGAGTCCCAGTAGCAATTACATGCCCTGGGGCTGGTTTTTGTGATGGAAGCAGAACCTCATAACTTATCTTTCATTGAAGAAAGCCTTCCACTTTCCCAGCAGAAATGCCAAGGTTATTTTCTTTCTTTCTATCATACTTTTCTCCTTACACCTTCGGCTAAGGAAAAATGGATGATGCAATAGTATTTTTTGGCCTTCTCCCTCCTTAGTTCATTCATTCTGCCCAGTTTCTTCATTTTCTCTGGAGACCTCTACTTGAGTGTACTCCTTGGCAGTTAATTTTCACCAATCTCTCCACTAGAGCAAGGCGGAAGAATGCAGCAGGCTCCCAGGGCCTGTGTTCATCTCTCTGGGAGCGCTGTTTTTCCCACCAGTCCCTGCATTGGTCACAGGTACACCTCTCCTGGAATTTGCCTGGAGATTTGCCTGCCACAGTTGCATTTCTTGAAACTCTTCTTTTTCTCCTCTCCCCTCCAACCCACCAATCACATCCATGGTCACATTGCTTTCTACACCAGAGATAGTAATTATCTCATTAGTTGATCCTCTCTGCTCCAATATCACCTAAGTAGCTAGTAGCTTGCCATTCTTTTTTTTTTTTTTTTTTTTCCCCCCTTGAGGTCTGTCACTCAGACCCTGGAGGAAGGCAGGAAGGCTCTGATCACGTGGCCCATCCCCTTCTCCTCCAGGCCAAAGTGAACTGAACCATACTATTGAGATTTTCCTCAGGAATCTATCATTGAATATAAGGCCAGGTTTTGAGTATCCACATTGAGTCATGTCCATACAGAAAGAGAGAGAACTGGTCAACAGAGAAAAGGAAAGAGAGGGGAGGAAAAAGAAAAGGAGGTAAGGAAAGAAAAGTGAGTAGTTGAACAGAGAAAGGCAGAGAACAGGGATCCTTTGTCTGTGAAGTAGAGAGAGTAGGCAAAATTCTTGATTTTCAATTTCCTGTGCCCACTTCCTTGTGAGCTCGTACTCTTTTATTTACCCAGTAAAGTCACTATATTTGCTGATGCTGGTTTTGATGGATTTGATTTCTTGTATCCAAATGCCTCCTTATCAAGATACACCCGTTAATGTAAAAACAACGAGTCTATTATAAATAATAATGATGATAACCATAATAATTATAGCTACCATTTATTTTGCACTTACTATTTGCTAGGCACAGTCCTAAACACTTTACATACAAGAACACATTCTCACAGCTATATTGTCATATAAGGATTATTTGATAGAAACATTAACGCAAGACAAGTTTGGCAATGTATCTTAGTTATACAGCTTGTAAGTGGCCCTAGCTGACCTTTGAACCCAGTTCTGTCTCTTCTCCAAGCCTGTGGGTTTAACCATGTGCCATGAACTAATCCATAAAAAGCACTCTAAACAGTGCCTGGCACATGTATGTCACAATTCAAGTTTCCTAAACCCTTCAGGCATGTTAGTCCTGGACAGAAGCAGCTATAGCATTTTTAAATTGGCATACAAAGCAATGTCAGACAGGATCACATAAAACCTTGCTACTCAGAATGTAGTGGCTGGATGAGGAGCTTGGATGTCAAAGGGAACTTGTTAGAAATGCAAACGCTTTGGCCCCATCTCATACTTAAAACTGTGTTTTAGGAAAATCCCCTGGGTGATCTGAATGCACATTCAAGTGCGTTCACTTGAGTGAGACTCAAAGTAGATGTTTCCAGTGAGGAAATTAGTATTTTACTTAGGTAGTTATTATCACTATGAGGATCTGTAAGATAAATATTTAGCTGCGGTATCAGCTGTCTAGAACTAAGGCTGAAAAATGAAGAAAAACAAAACTAATTTGAGATACTGAGGTTCTGCTAAACTCTATCATCGAAAACATAAGTATATCCAGAAGTAACTGATTATTGTTTGCCTGAAGCATTACCTAGTCTCTATGTTGGTTCTTTTCTAACTACAAATAACTGTTTATATATTGATTTTATTTTATAAACAATGTATGGGACTATTTCTTCTTACTAGGTTGACTCATTTGGTGCTGTCTTTGGCTACCCAGATATCTTTCCATAAGAATGTCTAAATTTTGGCTTGTTATAAGAAGACTGTCTGGAATTAACTTATTTTGCCAGCTTTTCCAAAAGAATTTCAACTAAAAGTAGCACCAGAATAATTTATAAAGACGGATACAATTAATGCTCATCTTTTTAAAGTTAGTTTATATTTTCAGTGCTACTGGTGAAAATTTGTCACCAACTCTTTGGACAAACAAATTCCAAAATCTGAAAGGTGACACCAACTGCAATTAACTTTAATCTTGAAAAGTGTGAAACATTCAGGACATAATTGAGATCAACATCCCAGGAGTAAACTGATGGAAGATGTGACTTACATAAGAAACACAGGGGTATTTCTTTATTCTTACACATGATTTTCATTTGCTTACTTGGAATTAAGCTTATGTATTCAAAATACAGATGTACCAAACATCAGTAATTGACATATGATAGATGTAATAATGACAAATAACTCTCAAATAATGTCATATTTTTATTCTTGGTGGTATCATAGGAACTCCGTATGGTTTCATAATTATGGTATAAGACCAAAGATTTAAGCAACTGGCTCTAAAGATACTTGTGTACCCCCAGGCTTTATAAATATTTATTTCTCTGTTTTCTTAAAATGCTAAGTATATAAGGAAATTGTAGAACAGCTGGCATGTAATACAGGATTTCTAGTCTGTTATCAGTAAATGTTCTAAGACACACCTTTAATAAAACAGAGATGTCAAAGACAAAGACAGCAAAGGAAATTTTTATCAGAAAAGGATGATTAAAGAAAGTTCTACAAGACAGGATGGACTAAAGTTTTTTACTCTGTATTTTAACAAAAATGCTTTTTGAAAGTATTGTAAAGTGCTCAGGACTAGGGACTAGGGCTTCATGTAGATGAGATAAAAGAAGTAAATATTTTAAAAAGAAGTATAAGAAAGGAGTTCCCTTGAATACTTATTCTTAACTTTGGAAGCAAGAAACTTTCTAAGGATGGAAGAAGGTTTAGGTGGCCTGGGATCTGACAGGTACTTGTAAGTGAAAAGGCACATATAGAGAACTTAGCTCAATGACATATGATTCAATAGGGACATTGGCCACATGACTGCATAGCTTGCATCATCTCACCACCTTCCAGGCACCTCCCAACACACCCAGATTTAAACCTAAATAATAGAAAAGCTATGCTCAGTGATATTTCCAAAACCTTCTTCCTATGCCTGTGCAAGTATCTTGCTTTCTCTTCCTCTGTCCCCCAAATACTGTTCAGGCACTATTTCTCCTCCTGTACTTCCCTCTTCCTCCTCCCTCTCCCACTTCTTCCTCTTCTTCTTCATTTCACTGTCTGCTTTTTATTATTATTATTATTATTATTATTATTATTATTTCCTCTCCCCTCTCCCCGCTGGCCTCCTGTTTCTTGCTCTCTTGCTCTCTTCTCCCTTTTTCCTCACTCAACTTCAGATCAATCCTGCTGGGTATATTCTGTGTCCTATACCCCTGCTGTGATTCTTAATGAAATAAATTTCAGGAAGCCTACTGATTGGATCCATGACAAGTGTATAATTTATAGGAGCAGCTGGGCCCTCCTTGGCACAGGACAATCCTAATTTTTTCTCTGTATACTCTCTTTCCAATTCTGCTCCATCTTAGCCTTCTCCTTCTCCTACTTCATTGGTGGACATCAGCTGGGAATTCCTTACACTTCTCCTATTTCTTTCTCTTATTTTCTTCTTGGGGAAGGAAAGGGTCTCCTCCCTTTCCTAAAGTGAATCTCAGAAGTTCAATTTAGAAGGATATCCTAATGATATCCTTCTAAAGGATATGAGATGAACCTTTATCTCATAAATCAGGGTCTCATCGTCTCTCCTCCGTAAATCCTAACAGCTGTCTTACCTATCAGCTCCCAACTTCCTTCATATTGCTACCAGAATTAGGTTTAGCATTTGTGGTATGATATTTATTTAGTCAAATCTGATGGTTTTTTGGTCTCTACTCAGATGGGAGATTTCATATTTTATGTTTATGAGAAGTTTCTTTTTCCCTTTTCTGCCTGTGGCCCTCAATTGGAATTTTTCCAATGATTTTCCCATTCTTAATGATTGTTGGATTTTCTGTGGCTTAAAGAAAAAGAAAATAGAGATTTTCTAAATATGGTGATAAAAATCTTTGTAAACATAATAAGGGCAACCTTTTTGTTTATGAGTCTAAAACTCAACAGATCTGATGTCCCAGTGATTTTCTCTCTCAGATTATAGGTAAATCGCTGGCTGTTTTTAAGAAGCCTATGTAGAGAAGTGGAATATTTAGAAGCTTCTGAAATACTCTTTGACTATCAATAACTTCAATATCTGGCTTAGAATTTTCTCTCCTGAGGGAAGGCTTCTGGGAGTAACGCTTTCTAAACGCAATCTGTGCTGGCCACTAAAAGTTAACGTTTCTCTCAGTGCCCCGTATTTGCTTTTTTTCATCATGGGATAGTGGCTGAATGCATAGACTTCAGTGACAAACAGCCTACATTTAAATCCCAGTATCTACTGTGTGACTATGGGTGAATTACTTAACCTCCCTGTACCTTAGTTTCATCACTTATAAAATGGGAATACAATGGCCAAATATCATCATGCATATTTTAAGGGTGAAAAGAGATAATCCTTTTTACATGTACACAGTACTTGAGTGTACAGCAAAGGCCTATTTTTATTGCTATTGTTATATTTACTATTATGGTTAGCTATATATATTATTTGCATTTCCAACTAAATTGTAAATCTCTTGAAGTCAGGTTCTTACACTGCTACTTAAATATAAGGGCATAAGAAGGGCAACCTTTTTGTTTATGAGTCCAAGACTGCCATTAAAAGTAATGGCAGGCCGGGCGCGGTGGCTCATGCATGCCTGTAATCCCAGGACTTTGGGAGGCTGAGGCGGGCGGATCATGAGGTCAGGAGATCAAGACCATCCTGGCTAACTAACACTGTGAAAACCCCGTCTCTACTGAAAATACAAAAAAATTAGTCGGGCATGATGGCGGGCGCCTGTAGTCCCACGCCAGGCAGGAGAATGGCATGAACTCGGGATGTGGAGCTTGCAGTGAGCCGAGATTGCGCCACTGCACTCCAGCCTGGGCGACAGAGTGAGACCCCGTCTCAAAAAAAAAAAAAAAAAAATTAACATGGAATGCTTAGGGATGTCACTTAAATATGTAAGAATTTTTTATCATGTCTTTAAGCCATCTATAATTGATGTTCAAATGTGAATAATGATTCTTAGATTTTTTCTTCATTAATAATAGTTGAATGTTTTACAAATAGAAAGTTATAGTAATTACTGAATATATGTAACTTATTCCCACAAGGCAAAATTTTGATTTAAAGCATAACTGAAACATAACTGTGTAGTTAAATATGTTGAATGCAAAAGCAATGCTTACAAAGTTTGTTTATTTATTTATTTATTTATTTATTTATTTTGAGACGGAGTCTCACTCTGTCGCCCAGGCTGGAGTGCAGTGGCTCGATCTCAGCTCACTGCAAGCTCCGCCTTCTGTGTTCACACCATTCTTCTGCCTCAGCCTCCCGAGTAGCTGGGACTACAGGTGCCCGCCACCACACCCGGCTAATTTTTTGTATTTTTAGTACAGAGGGGGTTTCACCGTGTTAGCCAGGATGGTCTCCATCTCCTGACCTCGTGATCTGCCCACCTCGGCCTCCTAAAGTGTTGGGATTACAGGCGTGAGCCACAGCGCCCAGCCCAAAATTTATTTTTTAACATCATTTTTTAAAAAGTCTGTGGTGCACTTAAAACAACTATCCCCCAATTCCTAGTAAGGTGTCAGTTTTCTGCAAGTACTTAATGGTATCTGGACTAAGTGTACATTTCAAAACACTCACATTATGAGTTAATGCATTTGCAACAAACTTCTGAGTGAAGTCAGATATTGCCTAGGTTGCAAATAAAAAATGCAAAGGAGTGAGGACTTAAGACCTATTGAGTACCCCTGGAACCCTTAATGGTTTTCTTTGCTTCCTTTTCTCTCTTAATAGACAATCATCCCACCTAGGACCATACTAATCAAACAATACACAAATGTTTCATGTTAAGGCTCAGAATCATAGACTCATATAATCAGGAGATTGGAAGGAAACACAAAAAGTAAGACTTTTCAAGACAACCTCATTCACACTGTTTACTTGAATTATTTACTCTTGTTTTATTATTAATTTTTATGCTGTTCAATTGACTACAATTCAAAACCCAGTGTATTCATACCATGTGCTAAGATATGCTCCTTCCTATATGTGTTCCTCTAAAGAACCATCTGGATCTTGTGGGGGATATTTTCCTTTGTGGTATCAAAGCCAGGAGCTCGTGGTTTTCCTTTATTTTTTAAGGGAACACTATCATGTAGCATCTGGGACCAGAAAGAAATCTTGATGTTATATATTTTACAGATATTTTCTTTTTGGATTTTTTTTCCTCTAAGAGAAAAGCTTTTGTTAATGTGTCATGTAAAAATACATTAACTAGTAACTTGTCAAGAAGTGCTAGATTCCATTCTTGTGCGGGTCCATTTATATATGTTCCTGAACAGCTAATATTTCATTTAGTTTCCAATTAAACTTGCTCAAATACATTTTTGAAGTGCATTGCTTAAAATTTACATTCAAGGCAAGAAAACGAGTTTGTCAGTAAATGTAGTAATTAAGGAAGTCCCAAGTCTGTATTTTTAAGATACTAGAGGTAATTGTAACTAATCACTTTAACTTAAAGAAATAGAATTGGAAATACCCCCCTCCCCCCGCCACCCCCTACCAAAACCATACCTTAGTCACTTTGGAATTATAACCGTCTTTTACGTCTATCAATATAAATGTATTGCATTTGGCATTCAAATTACTTTCAAAGGGATAAATTTCGAATTTTTTTTTTTCATTGTAGCTTCTGATCTTTAAATGTACTGAACAGGAGGATTTGGGGAGCTTGTCTTGTCTGATAGGTGTTAAGTATCTATGACGACAAATTTGAGCTGAAGCAATGTGCAATATGGACTAGTAATATCTTCACAAGACTATTTTGGAAATTCTCACGTTGATGTTATTAATGACGTGGGTTTATTAGCATTTGGGTAATTAAGAAAAAACAGTACTAGAATTTAAAAAAAAGAAAAAAAAAGGTAAGAAGGGCGAAACAGAGTTCTCCACTCCTCTCCCAACCCTCATTCCTTTGGAGGCTCGCGCCCTCTTGGAATAGCAGGTTCCTGCATGTGCCAGAAATCCGGTCCCGGCAAAGCTAGACGCTCTGCAATGACAGGCGTTCCCAGCTAGGGACTCCTGGCTGCTTGGAGCTTGAAAACACCTGGCGTGGTTCTCGAGGGCCCTAGAGGCTCCTGCTACGGACTGGTCGGCTCTGGGGTTGTAGGCAGAAGGCTCTAAGCGGTCGGAAGGGTTTCCTGTGTGTCAGCAACTTCACTTTGCCGAGATAGCTGGCGGAAGAGGGAAGGAGCGCTCGCGGGCCAATCGCCTGCCAGCAGCCACCTTGGAGCGCACCCCTCTCCCTCGCCGCCGACTCCGGTAGCAGCGTGCCGGCAGAGGCTGAACACACTCGGCCTCGGCGGAGACCTGCTCCCCAGAAGACGCCTCCTGCTTCCCACTGCGCCCTGGAGGACGCGGGCTGGCTGCTGGGCGAGCTCGGCGGAGGCACGCCCCTCGCCTCCCCGCGGAGTGCGGACTCGCCCCGGTGCCCAAACTCCGCCCACCCTCTAGGGAGCTCCGCTCTCCCGCCTAACCCCGGCACTCCGGACAGAGCTGGGCCTGGGGAAGGGGTTCCTGAACTACGCGGACGCCGAACGGGACGCGCTGCAGAAGCGCACGAGTCTGCGGCCACGCGCGCTCCGATGGCTGCCAGGAGCTGAGCTCAGGGTGGGCGGAGGAAGCGGTTAGACGCCCCGAAACTGAGCTGCACGTTTCTAAGGTAGGGAGGAGGAAGATGCCCCCAATTAAGTTGATCTTTGAGCCAAGGAGGCTGGGGAGCAGCCTCCCCAAGCTAGAGCCCTGCAGAGCGAGTTTCCCTTGACCTCGCTGCGCCTCTGGCGCGCTCTGCAGCGCGGACCCGCGGCCCCTCGGGAAAGCGCAGTCGGAAAGTTATCCGCGGCGGTTCCCTGCGCGCCCTGTTGTGTAAGCTCGGCGTTGCCAGCGGACGGAGAAGTTGCTGGCTTGCCCGATAGCCCAGTTCGGTGGCGGCCCGGGGCGGATTTCATGGCCCGCGGCGAACGCGGGGCCAGAGCTGGCGTGGGCGAGCCCCTGCGCGCCCCCTCCCGCGGGGATCCAGTTCGCCTGCTCCCTTCCGCTCGCTGGCTTTTCCGATGCTTGCTGCGCCCCTGGCCGCCGCTGCCCTCTCGCCGCCTCCTACCCCTCGGAGCCGCCGCCTAAGTCGAGGAGGAGAGAATGACCGAGGTGCTGTGGCCGGCTGTCCCCAACGGGACGGACGCTGCCTTCCTGGCCGGTCCGGGTTCGTCCTGGGGGAACAGCACGGTCGCCTCCACTGCCGCCGTCTCCTCGTCGTTCAAATGCGCCTTGACCAAGACGGGCTTCCAGTTTTACTACCTGCCGGCTGTCTACATCTTGGTATTCATCATCGGCTTCCTGGGCAACAGCGTGGCCATCTGGATGTTCGTCTTCCACATGAAGCCCTGGAGCGGCATCTCCGTGTACATGTTCAATTTGGCTCTGGCCGACTTCTTGTACGTGCTGACTCTGCCAGCCCTGATCTTCTACTACTTCAATAAAACAGACTGGATCTTCGGGGATGCCATGTGTAAACTGCAGAGGTTCATCTTTCATGTGAACCTCTATGGCAGCATCTTGTTTCTGACATGCATCAGTGCCCACCGGTACAGCGGTGTGGTGTACCCCCTCAAGTCCCTGGGCCGGCTCAAAAAGAAGAATGCGATCTGTATCAGCGTGCTGGTGTGGCTCATTGTGGTGGTGGCGATCTCCCCCATCCTCTTCTACTCAGGTACCGGGGTCCGCAAAAACAAAACCATCACCTGTTACGACACCACCTCAGACGAGTACCTGCGAAGTTATTTCATCTACAGCATGTGCACGACCGTGGCCATGTTCTGTGTCCCCTTGGTGCTGATTCTGGGCTGTTACGGATTAATTGTGAGAGCTTTGATTTACAAAGATCTGGACAACTCTCCTCTGAGGAGAAAATCGATTTACCTGGTAATCATTGTACTGACTGTTTTTGCTGTGTCTTACATCCCTTTCCATGTGATGAAAACGATGAACTTGAGGGCCCGGCTTGATTTTCAGACCCCAGCAATGTGTGCTTTCAATGACAGGGTTTATGCCACGTATCAGGTGACAAGAGGTCTAGCAAGTCTCAACAGTTGTGTGGACCCCATTCTCTATTTCTTGGCGGGAGATACTTTCAGAAGGAGACTCTCCCGAGCCACAAGGAAAGCTTCTAGAAGAAGTGAGGCAAATTTGCAATCCAAGAGTGAAGACATGACCCTCAATATTTTACCTGAGTTCAAGCAGAATGGAGATACAAGCCTGTGAAGGCACAAGAATCTCCAAACACCTCTCTGTTGTAATATGGTAGGATGCTTAACAGAATCAAGTACTTTTCCCCTCTTTAACTTTCTAGTTTAGAAAAAAATCAAACCAAGAAAATAGTGAGTTAAAAAAATAATAGAAGTAGAAATGCCCACATCCACACTTAGCTTGTTTGGGTTTGCTTTCACAGTCTCTCTTCCTTCTGACTAGAAGTATGTATAATAAAACAATACTACCTAGTTAAACATTTACTTTCTCTTTTGCCTTTAAAATGTGCAGGCTTTTCTGTTTAAAGTGTGTGTGCACATGAGTACTGGGGCTGTTTTTGATATTAGTAATTTCTCTAAGAAAACTAGCCCCCTGCAACTTGAGTTTGTGGTTTATCTAGCCTTTATTGTTTTTTTAAAATCCACAGTAGGAATAAAAAATCTATATTCTCAGAAATATCTAGCATGGTATATAACAAAACACTAAACTCATCAGTTCATCCGGCATCAGATCAATGGATCTCTGAGCGGGGTGTTTTTTTCAGTGTCTTATAAGCATAGATGATAGTTGACTGAGTTTCTTTAGGGCATTGAATAGACAAGTAAAGCTAATGAATTTAAAAGCCTGAAAAGTGATTGTTTTCCAGTTATTTCTGGAAAAGGTCTCATTATATATTGGGTGCTAAATGTTTGATGGGGAAAGCCTGCATATATTATCGTACTGGTAAAATGCATTCAAAATAATTAAAGTGCATGTATTTTCCTTGTAAACACCATGAGCTCTCTTAGACATCTTGTGATAAAGAGCATTTACTTGCCCCACTGCTGTGCAATGCCTTAGGACTTTGTTTGTGTTCCAGGACAAGTGTTCACTCACATCTGTAAAAACAATTTTAAGAATTGCAAATAAATTACAGACCAAAGATTGAGTAAAGTCAAATAACTGTTAGTAAGTTGAAGGATATTGGACAGGAGGACAGTATTTCAGAAAAGGAGAGGTTGACAGTCATCCACAAGGCATAGCCTCCAAGTATACTCTCAAATGTATGAAGCAACTGGGGTGGGCAGAAGACATTTTAGAATGAGGGCTTTAGTTTAAATTAAAGTCATGGTGGAGAAGACTCTTGCTTCCTCCAAGTGTTTGAAAACACAAAATGCGATATGAAAAGAAGAAATAGAATTTGTATAGGTTGCATTGATAGAATGGGAAGCTATAATCTTTGAATAAACCTTACATCTCAATATTTAAAGAAAAAACATATATATGGAGGGAAATATAGAGAATTAAAGTACCTAGATGCCATAGCACTGAAAAGTAAAGTACTACTCAAACTACTAATAGAAGACTATTGGTCAGTGTTTTCTATTATATTTGTTCTCTGCCAGGTGTTAATGAAAAATTTGTAAAATGCTTCAACAGTGTTAATAATTTTAATGAATATTGAATTGCTGCATGTCTAGTCCTTGAAATGGTCAAATTCTATATAATGAGAATAACAAGGTGAGATAATGCAATTGACAATCCCAAACAAATCCAGTGTCAAAGGAATTTTTAGTTTTGGAAGCTATCCCTCATAAAGTCAACATCAGAGTTTGCAACTGATGGTGGCATAACTTGTTTGAAAGCACTTTACAAGTAGAGCAACATGGGGCTGTATGTTAAGGCAAGAAAGAACCTTAGTGCCCCGTGGACCATAATGACAGGAAATTTTCAGGTCTTGATTTCAGTTCTTGCAATGCCTATGTAGATTGAGGATTTGTGAGACCTTCAGAGTAGCTTCACTTTACCCAATCTCTGGCCACTAAGATCAATGAAGAAAAGCTGTATTTAACCTTCCAAAGCAGTGATTCTTTTTACATGTTCAGTTTTAATGCATAGGATTATAGAAACCAAATCAAGAAGAAACCTACTACACCTCCTTATTTTGAGGAAAGAGAGGGTTAGCAAAGTTCTCACTTCATCAGGCTCAAATAACATCCGTTTTAGATTCCTACAAGACAAAATCTAAAATATGTCATTACTTTATTGACCTTGTTAAACAAGATCAATATCATTAAACTGACCAAGATGGAAATTACAGGACTTGTACCAGACTTGAACTTGTAGCCTAATGATACACATTTTTACAATATTTCTTCACCATTTAGTTTTCTTTCTTTTAGGTCTCAGGATGCTCAGCTTAATTTAGAGTATGTGTTAAGTACATTGTTTCAGCGTCCAGAGAATTTTGTGAGTGTGGATCCAGTGAGGAGGTGAACAGTAACTAGAAATGCTTGTTTACTACTTGGCATGTTTTTTCCAAAGTGTTTCTTCTTTAGCTTCATACATCACATATGGACACTGATGACATGTGAATGCATGCCACATAGTAACAAGAATGATCTTGCCAACTCCTTCCAAGCCAAAAGAAGCCTCTGGGAAGGTGTGCCAATGGTGAAAACGTACAGAGGGTCAGGGTGAAGCAGTGATCTCTATTGGCTGAAAAACTGATCAGGTCATATGATGATTGAAGTATGTTTATTGTAAGGGCAGAAATGTGTTGGCATTTGGATAAAAAACTGCTAACATTATAGAACTTATTACCTAACAAAATTTCACACCACAAAAAATATTTTAATGGCAAATTCAAGGTGTTTTATTGCTTACAAATCAGCATCTTTGACTCTTTGAACATCAATTTGTGTTTACATTGAAATGACAAAAAGACAAACTAAGAAGAAATACAGCATGCAAGTTGGAATTCAGAGTTAAAACCATGATGTTGCCGCTCAGCCAGCTATGTGACTGTTGACCCTTTCAAGAACACACATGGATTTAAAAGTTGGATGACATCCATTGTTGGGGCCTTGGGGGATATGGTAAAGCATGAAAACTAAACAGCCAGGAGCCTGTGAAATCTGCTACTGTATTTTCCAGGACTTCATTCCACTCCTTGGCTAAAAAAATCTTGGAAGTTTCACAGATTATGATGTGGACCTGTCACCTGTAAATTGTCTCAATCTACTCAGACAAGACACTAAACTGTCTTTGGATACTATAGATGTCAGTGCTTATAGCAGCTGGAATTTGGCTAGTGACAATGTTTAAAGATGTAATACTAGTTAGTATCTATTGAAGCTTAAACTTTGCTGGTCAGGTTGTAGCTATTGTAAAAGTATTTATTGAAGAAGCTCACAGTCCTTCAGTTGTACAGACTGAAAAACTTTCATGAAAGATCCAACATACTAATGTAAATTATATTTATTACAATGTATGATATTAATGTGTCAAACTGGTGTATTTTACAAAATATATAATGCATACATAAATAAGAGTTGTATATTACAGTGCTTTTCAAATATCAGTGTCTTGGAATATTTAAGTCTTCACATTTTTTGGTCTAAAATATGAAAATGTTTCATGATACAAGTGATTAATTTTCCCTAGTAGTGCTTTTGCATGTTTGCCTTTTTATTTAAGTTTTTTTCTATATAGACACAATTTGGTGTCAGACTATCATAAGATCGATAGTGAATATAAAATATCTTAGCCAAATGGGGTCTGTATTGTCTACATTTTATATATTAAATAAAAGTTTTTGTTGTCTTTTCAGGAGGTTTAGAGTATTGTCACTAAATATGATCAAAGCTTCCCTTTCCAAATGCAAAAGTCTTGTCCTACATTTAAAGTTGATCTGTCATGTTTTAGCAGTCAAGTGGGATGGGCATTATATAAACAACGTTACAATGTAAGGAAAATCTTTAAGGAGATGGGGAGAGAAAAAGGCAGCTGGTATAATCGGTTACTGCTGCTTAGTTCTACTTAATTTTTTGTGTTGCTTCTTCTTAAGGTGAGATAGCATAATCTTAACTGTTTTGAGATGGAATTTTAAAGTAACACACTACCAGCGAGTTCAACACTGCTATTGATTTTAATCTGTTTTTTTTTGTTTAGTTGATAACTTAAATTCCAAGTTTCATAGTGATAATTGTATATTATTTGGCTGCTGAATTCTGTTAGAGTTTTTTATTCTGTTGTACATTGTATTATACACATAATCACAAATTAATATGAAGGTGAATATATGTTACATATCAAAATTTGTGAATTTGAATTATAGTATGTTTTAGTGCTATTGCAAAAAATGTTTATTTTTATATTATCTGTGATTTTAATATAGATGATTGAACTAGATTTCTTTTTGAGTGATAGTGCCATTGAATGAGCAGTATGGAAACAGTGTTACTTGATATTTTGAGCTTTCTCAGGTTTATCTAAATCAGTGGTAGCTTAACAAAACCCAGACTAATTGTGTGTAATTGTATTTTTAATAAAAGGAAAGTACATTTCCTATAATAGCATAGTACTGTTTGCATGTAAGAGTATGCAAAACCTTGTGTGTGTGTGTGTGTGTGTGTGTGTGTGTGTGTCTTAGTGTGTGTAAGGCATGGCAGCCAACTTTGTATCTGCTATTTTTAGTACGAGCAGAGCTTCATAATTGTGGTCACTAGAACTGTACTTACCATGGACAGTTAAAACTGAAAAAGACTCAATAAAACTATGAAACATGGTTTGATGGCTTCTATGTTATTACAGTGTTAATACTCACAAGTTTTGCCAAACTTTAACAAATAATGTACAGACTGAGAAGTACTGTAAAACACATTGAACTAATTCAGTTGTTTTTTAAGGTGAAGACTGGGCTCTAAAAACTACGGTGTTAAAGGTAGAATCCTGGTGCAAGATAGGTAAAATTATCAATATTTGATATTCAATTGCCAATAGGAATGTGAGCTAATTTTTTATTGTAAAATACTTCATGCTACCTTAATGTGTGCTTCTCATACTGGTGTTCTGTGTTTAAAATGTTGGCTGTAATTTTTTCTCATCTAATTTTTAATCAGGGTAACCACGCTAATAATTCTTTGTGGATTCTATTTATTAGCATACATCACCTGCTTTTTCCAGGTTTGTTAAAAAATGTATTGTGCCACAGTGAAAATGGTGTACAATGAAATGGGAGCATGCTTAAAGCATTACCTTTTTTTTTACCTCAGTTGAGAAGGTAAGTGCACAATGGTCCTGTGTTTGGGTTTTCTGGTTGTGTGCTGAGATAGGTGCTCTATAAGGGAAACCTGTGGGTAGAAAATACAGATTTCTTGCAGCCTTTAAGACGTGTGTCAGTCAGT
Source organism: Homo sapiens (assembly GCF_000001405.40). Classification (NCBI taxonomy): domain Eukaryota; kingdom Metazoa; phylum Chordata; class Mammalia; order Primates; family Hominidae; genus Homo; species Homo sapiens. The sequence goes on from NC_000003.12 coordinate 152,842,058, forward strand.
ATTAACTCCTTAATTAGATGTACTATGCAGACTTTGCCTTTTGGGAATCCTCATTTATTAACATCAGCTTGAGTAGAGTTTTCTGTGGGCATATATGTATGTATGTGTGTGTGTATGTGTCTTAGTACATACATAGAAATTATATAGGAGATAATTATCTTTCTGACTTAATAATTTACCCTAAAGCTTTGAGCACCTTTTGATTTTTGAAATCACTGAGGGATTAAAGTCAGAGACCCTTTTCTCTCTACAAGTTAATATCCATTTTGATTCCCTCTCCTATTTTAATGATCTGAAAAGTTTATTTTCTTTCTTCAGGAGATTTTAGAATTTTTCCCCAAAATATGGTCAGATCAAATACAAAAAGCTTGTCCTAAATTCAAAGTAGATCTATTATGGCTTAGAAGTCTGATAGGATGGGGCATTACAGACAAAGCAGATGTCACTAGAAATCCATGTTAATGTTAACACTGTGCATACTTGGTTAATCCTGCAAGGTTATATTGCCTTGGGCTGGACCCTGGGGACTGACATCCCCAGTCAGCATGGCTGCTGGGACTGACAGTTCTAACAGCAGCTGTGGATGGAGTCAGGCCCCTGGGCTGAGCAGCTGACAGAACTGCAACTCTTTGGGAATGGAAGTGGGTAGGGGACAGGGGATGGGAGGCAAGTGGAGGCTGTTGGTACTTCAAAGAGGGGGAAAAATGCACTGTCTTTCCTGATTACCTGATAGGGAGAAATCACAACTGTGCAAAGTTGGAAAATTCATGAAGAAGACAGACTAAAAAAGATAGAGACCTTGGAAATGATCCACATCCATCACCTTGGTTTATAGGTGAGACTAAAATATTCACATTCAAAAGTGGAGCTAGTAAAGAATGTGGCGTTCTCATTTCTAAAACATTCCTCTCGTATCCCAAGACCTTTCAAACTGTAGGTCTTGACTCATGAAAGTGTCATGGAATAAATATGATGGGTTATGATTGACACTAACGAAATAGAATAGATCAGAGGCCATAACTCAGTAAGTAATTGTGGTTTTAATTTCAGACACACATACTAACACAACACAATGCATATACATACATTTACCTGTATTCGTGGCATGGGTCGCAGTGGACATTTCATTTTCTATTGTTGACATCATCAGAAAAGTTTGAAAATTCACTGCTACTCAGTAAAAAAGTGGCATAGAGTTAAAGGAATAGAGGATAAGAGGTTGTTTTTCAAAATTATTTTAACATAAATGCAGAGATAATTATGTTACTTGCACTTATTCTTTTTTCTTTTAATGTTATTTTCTTCTGAATATCCCTTTCTGAAGTCCCAAAGAAATTAAAGCATCCTTTTAGCCTACATCTAAGAATGACTATTTGTAGTTAATATAATTGAACCCCAGCTTTATGTAAACTTTGATAGCTTAACCTTCGTACTGTTTCCTCTGGTTTGAAGAGTTAACAGCAAAAGAGCAAACCTTCACTGTTTGACAGCATCAGCTTTGCAGTCAAAAAAACCTTAGCCTTGAGCCCACCTCTGCCACTTACTACTTGTGTACCCTGGGCAAGTTATTTAAACCTTGTTTGTTGTGTGTTCCTCAACCATAAAGTGGGCATTATAAGATGCAGTTCATAGGATATTGGAAGAATAGGCAAAGCATACAAAGTATGCCATTCTTGAGGCTGCTAAGGATTTTGCCACTCCATTAGCTATTTTATTGTTATTCTTATTGTTGTTCTATAATTTCTATTGTCTTCTTCCACACCATGGAGGCTTTGTGGGATTGAGAGATTGAGTGCATTTAATATTGTTCTTTTGGATACTCCATTGAATGTCTGAGGTCCGAATAACAGGCAAGTATTCAACTTTTTGATGCTTTGCACTGTGATATGCACTCTATGGGACAAAGACACAGAAGACAAAGTATGTGTAATTAAAAATATATTACAAGAAGGTCTTCTGACCTCTTCATCTGGGCCTTACCTCTCTAGTTCATGGTTTATTTTCAGTTACTGCAGTCCAGAGTCTGGTCTTCACTTTTGCAGATTCAGAAACTTGATCTTAGCTGTTCACCTACAGTTCACCAACTCCAGAGGACTGACTCATACCAAGCAAACTGACAAGAGAATCATTTACCAACTAGATTGCCAATTTATGAGTATACAATGACTATATCTCAGTCCCAATAACATCTGTTTGTTCAAGGAGGATATAATTATGGATCATAACTTACAATTAGAATAAAAAGGTGATATTCTTGAAGAGAAATTCCAGTAAGATAGAGCAGCTGAAAGAATTGCCTATCCCAGGAGATACTGGCCTTGATAATAAGCATCTACCCTATACTCTGCCTGCCCGGAACAGTTTAGCAGCACATGGATTAAAATTTCCACATTTTGTTTACTTTCTTTTAAAACTAGTCACTACCATTCTTCTTTGCATGCAAATGATGTTTTAATAATATCTCCCACCTGAGAGTATGGAAGGAGTATGGTGGTAAAGAGGGCTGCAATGTGTGCTAGGGTAGAGAGAGAGACACTTAAAAGATATCCAATTGGAAAAGTGCAGTAAGTCATTGCAAATGACATTCCAGCATTCAGGGCAGAGTTGTAGCATGAGATTAAAGTTTGAAAATCATCCACAGGCAAACAATAGCTATTAACCAAGGAAATAGAAGCAATTATGTGGGGAGTCCATGTAGACAGAGAAGAAAAAAGGGGCAGCAAGGGAGGAGGGAGCAGTGTGCTATAAGCAACACCACCAACAAGGATGCGATGGACAGACAGGATGGGATTGTCGTAGATGATCCAGGACTGAGACTGAGGAAATCAGTCTCAGAAGAGAATTTAGGAAGAGGTAATTCTGTGTCACCTGTTACAAAGAGGACAAAAAAGAGTCTGCTGGATTTATACATTAGAAAGCATTGGTGTTTTGGAGGGCATATTTAATAAAAATAGTAATTGTTACTGATCACTGAAGAAGTGTTTTAGTAGGAGGATTATAGGTTAGTCGCTAGAGGCAGAGAGATTAGAAATAGAAAAAGGGATAAAGAGGAATTGCTCAAAGCAAAAAAGCTCCACTTGAAAATTGGTGTATATGATGATGTCAAAAGGACAAAGGAGAAGGGGTAGACGAGGAAAAGGGTAGCTGTGGGTATTGAAGTTAAGTGGTGGCAAAGGCCATCAGAGTAGAGGAGAGCTGTAATTGTGAGGCTGAGACATTGTTTGGATCACGGAGTGGCAGAAAGACTGGTTTTGTAGAGGAAATTAATTTGAAGTTTGGTGAATGAGAGCACTGAGTAAGGGGGAAGCTAGCAAGAACTAGTTGGCATTAGTGTCAAAAAAAAAAAAAGATTTACATGGCAGTGGAAGACGAATGTCAAGAAACAGTGGGGAGTTGGAAGAATGTTCCTTTTCTGGTGTGCAAGAATAGCAAAATAGCAAACATGGTGTCTATTGAAAGAAGGAGTGAGGGGAATATATTTTAATTTTGACTTTTATTTTAGATACAGAGCATACATGTGCAGATTTGTTACATGGGAATATTGTGTGATGCTGAGATTTGGGGTATGGATCCCTTCACCTAGGTAGTAAGCATGGTACCCAATAGGTAGTTTTTCAACCCATGCCCCCTTCCCTTCCTCTCCTCTCTAGTAGTCTGATATGGTTTGGCTGTGTCCCCACCCAAATCTCATCTTGAATTTCCACATGTTGTGGGAGAGACCTGGTGAAAGGTAATTGAATCATGGGGGTGAGTGTTTCCTATGTTGTTCTCCTGATATTGAATAAGTCTCACAAGATCTGATGGTTTTAAAAATGGGAGTTCTCCTGTACAAGCTCTCTTGTCTGCCACCATGTGAGCTGTGGCTCTCACCTTCTGCCATGATTGTGAGGTCTCCCCAGCCACATGGTACTGTAAGTCCAATAATCCTCTTTTTTTTTTTTGTAAATTGCCCAGTCTCTGGTATGTCTTTATCAGCGGTGTGCAAACAGACTAATAGAGTAAATTTGTACCAGTAGAGTGAGATATTGCTGAAAAGATACCTGAAAATGTGGAAGCGACTTTGGAACTGGGTAACAGGCAGAGGTTGGAACAGTTTGGAGGACTCAGAAGAAGACAGGAAAATGTGAGAAAGTTTGGAACTCCCTAGAGACTTGTTGAATGGCTTTGATCAAAATGTTGATAATGATATGGACAACGAACTCCAGGTTGAGGTGGGTCTCACAGGGAGATGAGAAACTTGTTGGGAACTGGAGCAAAGGTGACTCTTGTTAAGTTTTAGCAAAGAGACTGGTGGCATTTTACCCCTGCTCTAGAGATCTGTGGAATTTTGAACTTGAGAGAGATGATTTAGGGTATCTGGCAGAAGAAATGTCTAAGCAGCAAAGCATTCAAGAGGCTATTTTGTGCTGTTAACGGCATTCAGTTTTATAAGGGAAGCAGGGCATATAAGTTTGGAGAATTTGCAACCTCACAATGCAATAGAAAAGAAAATCCCATTTTCTGAGGAGAAATGCAAGCCAGCTGTAGCAATTTGCATAAGAAACAATTAGCCAAATGTTAATCCCCAAGACAATGGGGAAAATGTCTCCAGGGCATGTCAGAGGTCTTCACAGCAGCCCCTCCCATCACAGGCTCAGAGGCCTAGGAGGAAAAAGTGGTTTCATGGGCCGGGCCCAGGGTCTCTCTGCCATGTGCAACCTAGGGACTTGTTACCCTGTGTCCCAGCCACTCCAGCCATGGCTGAAAGGGCCCAATGCAGAGCTTGGGCCATGGCTTCAGAGGGTGCAAGGCCCAAGCCTTGGCAGCTTCCATGTGGTGTTTAGCCTGCGAGTGCACAGAAGTCAACAACTGGGGTTTGGGAACCTCTGCCTAGATTTCAGAAGATGTGTGGAAACACCTGGATGTCCAGGCAGAAGGTTGCTGCAGGGGTGGGGCCCTCATGGAAAACCTCTGCTAGGGCAGTGTGGAAGGGAAATGTGGGGTCAGATCCCCCACACAGAGTGCCTACTGGGGCACCACCTAGTGGAGCTGTCAGAAGAGGGCCACTGTCCTCCAGACCCCAGAATGGTAGATCCACTGACAGCTTCCACTGTGCACCTGGAAAGGCTGCAGACACTCAACACCAGCCCACGAAAGCAGCCAGGAGGGAAGCTGTACCCTGCAAAGCCACAGGGACGGAGCTGCCCAAGACTGTGAGAATTCACCTTTTGCTTTTGCATCAGTGTGACCTGGATGTGGGACACGAAGTCAAAGGAGAGAATTTTGGAGCTTTTAGATTTAACTGCTCTGCTGGATTTCAGACTTGTATGGGGCCTGTAGCCCCTTTGTTTTGGCCAATTTCTCCCATTTGGAATGGCTGTATTTACCCAATGCCTATACCCCCATTGTATCTAGGAAGTAACTAACTTGCTTTTGATTTTACAGGCTCATAGGCAGAAGGGACTTGTCTTGTCTTGGACGAGACTTTGGACTGTGGACATTTGAGTTAATGCTGAAATGGGTTAAGACTTTGGGGGACTGTTGGGAAGGCATGATTAGTTTTGAGATGTGAGGACATGAGATTTGGGAGGGGCCAGGGGCAGAATGATATGGTTTGGCTGTGTCCCCACCCAAATCTCATCTTGAATTCCCACATGGTGTGGGAGGAACCTGGTGGGAGATAATGGAATCATGGGTGTGGGTCTTTCCCATGCTGTTCTTGTGATAGTGAATATGTCTCATGAGATCTGGTGGTTTTAAAAATGGGAGTTCCCTGCACAAACTTTCCCTTTGCCTGCTGTCATCCATGTAAGACATGACTTGCTCCTCCTTGACTTCTGCCATGATTGTGACGCCTCCCCAGCCATGTGGAACTTTAAGTCCTTAAACCTCTTTTTCTTTACAATTTACCCAGTCCCAGGTATGTCTTTATCAGCAGTGTGAAAACTGACAAATACATAGTTCACAGCATCTATTATTCTCATATTTATGTCTATGTGTGCTCAATGTTTAGCTCCTGCATATAAGTAAGAACACGCAGCATTTGGTTTTCTGTTCCTGCATTAATTTGCTTAGGATTATGGCCTCCAGCTGCATCCATGTTACTGCAAAGGGCATGATTTCATTCTCTTTTATGGCTGTGTAGTATTCCATGGTGTATGTGTATCACACTTTCTTTATTCAGTCTACCATTGATGGGCACCTACATTGATTCCATATCTTTATTGTGTATATTGTCGTGATGAAGATATGAGTGTAGATGTCTTTTTGGTAGAATGACTTATTTTCCTTTGGGTAGATACCCAGTAATGGGATTGCTGGGTCGAATGATAGCTTTGTTTCAAGTTCTGAGATAAATATTTACTGGGGAGTTGTCAGCAGATTTTTGTAAAGAAAGGTTGGGGTTACAGAAGTTTCCTTGGGAAAGAATTGTGTCTTCAGAATGCATACAAAGAAAGGGTAAGATGTAGGGTCAAAAGATAAGTTTAGAAGTAGGAGGGGAGCTGAATGAACTGAGTGCAGAAGAAAAGATCTGAGTTTGCTTACAAGCAAATTTGTACCAAAGATGTTATACTGTTATGGAAATTAAAAAGGCAAGTTTTAGAAAGATCCCAGGGTGGAAATAATTGGCATTTTAATAGGAACTTTGGCAATAAATTTTTCTATAATTCAGGTAGATTGTCTGTCCTTAGATGGAGTCAGGGATAGGGAAATAGGTTGGCTTCAGGTAGTGATTTAGAGCTTTGGCAATAGTTTTAAAACATGGCTGTAAATTCATTGTCATTCTCCCCATTAAGTGTTAGGGTCTACAGTCCATCCCATTGAATCTGAGAGGGCTTGTGACTGTTTTGGCCAACAGCATATGGCAGAAGTGATGTGTTGTGATTTCTGATACTAGATCATAGCCACATACAACAAGGACCATATAGCCTTGTTGGTTGAGACATTGTCTTTTGGACCTCTGAGCAACCACATAAGAAGCTGACTACCTTGAAACTGTATGCTGGAAAAACAACATGGAGAGATGAATTATTTGGTAAGGCCATGAAAAGAAGTGTGTATATATATGTGTGTGTGTGTGCGTGTGTGTGAGAGAGAGAGAGAGAAGCCATGTTCATAGCTTCTTCTTGATAAAATTTACTCTCTACTATTCTCCATTTGTGAATTGTTTTGTGTCAAATTAAGTGCTGCTTGAACTAGGGTACACTAAGAAGGTATATTCATGGAGAAAATTGTTACTACTTTGGATGTAAAGGTGGAAGAGGATTTAATATTTAAGGATAAGAAAGGAAGAAACTCCAGGTTTGGTTTTTTGGGAAGTGGGAGAGAGAAGGAAAAAAAGAGCAAATCTAGTGGAATGAGGATGGACTTGGGAGGAAGAACGGGAGAAAGCAGGCTCACTGTGGTTTAGTGGATGAAAGAAAGTAAGTATAACGAGGCAGAATAAAACCACACTGTAAAGGAATAAACAGAGAGGTTTGCATTCATTGCAGTAGGCAATAAAAAGCCATGAAAATTTTACATCAGAGGAATGACAGTTTGGAGATCTGGCAAGGGGAACAAGGAGACCTGCTAAGACACTGATGCTCTAAGCATGACATTCAAAGCATGATGGTGGTGGTAAAGTAAGAGGCAGAACCATAAAATATTTTGAAGAAGGAATAATCAGCAGTGGTGTCTACACACAATGGAGAGCAGGAAAGGAAAATTCAAGAATAACTGAGGTTCCACCTGGAGAATCAAGAATAATTGTGGTGACTCTTCAAGAAATAGGGTGCTGGAAAGGGGAGCAGGAGAATATTTAAAAAGCATGAAAATAGTGTATGAGCCTCTCCAGCCCCTGTGTAAGAAATATCACTCTATTTTTTATAGCTCAACTTAATTATTTTGAGCCTCTTTTTTGCTAAACTAGCAGAAATTTAATTTCACTTTATTCAATTCCCCGGCCCTTCTCCTTGAAGTTGTGACTGGAGTCCATAACGGTGAAGTTGTTGAAATGAGGGAAGCTGGTCCACATTGTCATTTCTCAGTGCTGGCAGCATGTGAGGTGGACTATCTCTGTGCAGTGTACTGCTTAGTCACCCCTGTCACTACTCACAGAAATCCCTTCATTTCTGCTGGGTGGACTCTATGCCCCTCTTAGGCTAACAGGATTTTACTGTTGGGGCATGAGATGGGCATGGGGTACCCTGTGAGTTCTCCTAGAACGTCCCCTTAGATCCCACACAGTCATTTCTATTTTGGAGGTTTTATGTCTCCCTGGATCACACATAGGAGAAAGGGCTCAGAGTACCCAAACATATTATTCTTGTTATCTCCCCATAGCCCAGGGTGTGGCTCAGGTCAGGGTCAAGGCATGGGCCTCTTTGTATTTCCATAAATGGGCAAGTTAAGTTTGAAGAGATGATGGGGCCCATTTCCAAAAAGGAAATGTCCTAAGGACAAGTCAGAGAAGAATGAAAGATAAACTTCTACTTCTGGGAAGATGGATTAGATATACTTTTCCCCATATCTGCTTCTAAGTACAACTGAAAACCCTCAACACTTTATATGAAATAAACACAGGAAGATTCTGGCTGATGGAAAGAAGAAAGCAAATCAATTATGGATCTCAAGAACTAAGGAATGACATGATGGTAAGTTCCTTGAGTTTTCTTTTTGCCTCATAAATCTCAGATTTGGAACTGAAGAAACCAGCAACCTGAACATGCCAATGGGCACAGACAGAAAAAGCCCCAACAAACCCTGCTTTTGAACGAAAGGAACCGGGAAGGAGCAGCATATCAAACAGGAAACTTTTCAATAACTGCTCTACTCCAGCCAAACAACTCAGAAAGAAACGTTACCCCATGTTCCCAGAGGTCAAGTGGAGATCCTAGATTTCCATCCTCACCAGGCTATAATGAGGTGCCTAACACAGCTGCCAGGGTAGTATCAGAAAAGGACAAGTAGAAACCTTTGGATTTTAATGCCTGTTGGGCTGTGAAAGCCTAACCGCCCACCCCCACCTTCCTTTTCAGCATCAGTGGAAAGCGAGCAGAGAGTTGTGACTTCTCCTACCCCTTGGTGGGAAAGAGGCCACTCCTGTGATGTCAGTAGACGGCCTGGGGGGAATAGTAACAAGACACTCCAATCCATTTCAGCCAGTGAGGAATCAGTGGAGGCCTGCTAGGGAGCTGGAACTTTCATCCCTACCACCAGTAATGAGGAGCCCTCCTAGTGGGTGTCAAAGAGGCTGAGTAGAGAACTTAAACTATGGCTCCCACCTAGGAGTATTGAGGTGTCACCCTCTCTTTTTTTTCTGCTAGAGCAGTGTCAAAGGAAGTTGGCTAAAACAGAGTTTAAATAAGACTCAGATTCTTAAAACATAATATCCAAAATGTTTAGGATTCAATAGAAAATCATGCATCATACCAAAAACCAGGAAGATTTCAAACTAAGTGAAAAAAAGACAACAGATGCCAACACTGAGATGACAGGGGTGTTAGAATTATCTGACAAAGATTTTAATGCATCTATCATAAAAATATTTCAATGAACAATTACAAACACACTTGAAACAGATGAAAAAACAGTTTCAGCAAAGAAGTAGAAAATCTCAGTAAAAAATACATACATATAAAGAAGAAATAAATGGAAATTTTAGAAGTGAAAAATACAATAACCAAAATTTTTTAAAAGTCAAACTTGGCTGGGCATGGTGGCTCATGCCTGTAATCCCAGCACTTTGAGAGACTGAGGTAGGCATATCACTAGGTCAGGAGATTGAGACCATCCTGGCCAACATGATGAAACCCCATCTCTACTAAAAATACAAAAATTAGCTGGGCATGGTGGCATGTGCCTGTAATCCCAGCTACTTGGGAGGCTGAGGCAGGAGAATCACTTGAACCAGGGAGTCAGAGGTTGCAGTAGGCCGAGATCATGCCACTGCATTCCAGCCTGGCAACAGAGCAAGACTCCATCAAAAAAAAAAAAAAGTCTAACTTCTCAGTAGATGGACTCAACAGCAGAGTGGCAGGACAAAGGAAAGACTCAGTGAACATGAAAGTAGGACAATGAAACTACCCAATATGGAAACAACAAGTTCGAAAAAGAAATGAACAAAGCCTCAAGGACCTGTGGGATTCTAACAAAGGAACTAACATGCGTGTTGTTGGGGTTCCAGAAGAAGAGAGAGGGTAGGGCTAAAAAAGTACTTGAAGAAATAATGGCCAAAAACTTCACAAATTCAGGAAAAGACATAAATCTGTGGATTCAGAAACCCAAGGAAATCTAAACCAAGACTCATTAAAATCATCTTTTGAAAACTAAAGATTAAAAAAATGTGGAAAGCAGCAAAAGAGAAGCACCACCTAAACTATAGGTGAAAGCAATTTGAAAGATGGTCTATTGGTCATTAAAAACCATGGAGGCCAGAGGGAAGTGGCACAACATTTTTCAAGTGCTGAAAGAATAATAAAACCACTAACCCAGAATCCTACATTCAGTGGCAAAAGCAGTGCTAAACCTGTGCTGAGAGGGGAATTTATAAAACTAAATTCTTAATTAGAGAAGAGGAAAAGACTCAAATCAACAATTTAATCTCTCAACAATTTAGAAAAATAGCAAAATCCAAAACAATCAAAAGGAAAAAAATAATAAAGGTATAAGCAGCAATCAATAAAAATGAAAACACATAATCAACAGAAAAAAATCAATGAAACAAAGAGATAGCTCTTTTAAAAACCACTAAAATTGAGAAACTTCTGTCAAGACTGAAAAAGAAAAATTGAAGACAATGACAATATCAAGAATGAAGCAAGTGATATAGTATAGACCCTCCTGACATCAAATAGACAATATGGGAATACAACAAACAACTTTACACACAAACATTTGATAAGTTATGTATATAAGAGGTGAAATTCCTTATGAAATAAAATTTTATAAATGAATTCCTCTGAAAATGTAAACTTAATACAACTCATCCAATATGAAATAATTTGAATAGCCCTGTAATTATTAAGAAAAGTGATTGTGTAACTTAAAAATCCCTTAAAAATAAATCTCCAAACCTAGTAGGTTTCACTGAAGAAATCAACCAAATGTTTAAAGAAAAAAATCACATCAATACTATGTAACTTCTTCCAAAAAACAGAAGAGGAGAGAACAACTCCCAATTCATTATATAAAACTAGTATTACTCTGATACCAAAACTAGACAAAGAGTATAAAACGAAGAAAAAAGTAAACTATATAAAATATCTGTAACACAAAACCTCTTAACAAAATATTAGCCAATAAAATTCAGCTATATATAAGAAGAGTTACCGTGGCCACATGGGGTTTGTTACTGGGACTCAGGCTGATTCAATGTTCAAAAATCCACTTATGTAATGATGATGTTAACAGTCTAAAAAAAGAAAATCACATGATTATACTATTGATTCAGTAAAACCATTTGAGAAAATACAATATGCATTCATGATAAAAACACTTAGAAAAAATAAGAACAAAGGGTAACTTTCTCAACTTGATAAAAAGCATCTATTAAAAACTTATAACTTAAATTATACTCATTGGTGAAAGACTAAATGATTTTCCTTTAAGACTGGGAACAAGGCAAAAACGTCCTCTCTTACCACTCTTATTCAACATAATTCTGAAAGTTCTGGCCAATATAAAGATAAGAAAAGCAAATAAAAAACACAAATATTGGAAAGGAAGTGACAAAACTGTCTCTCTATTTGTAGATGACATGATTGCTCATGTAGAAATTCCCAAGGAATCTTCAGAATGAAAGTCTGGGAACTACTGAGTTCAGCAAGGTCACAGAATACAAGATAAACATACAAATATCAATTGCATTTCTATATATTAACAATGAACAAATGGATGCTGAAATTTAAAATACAGTACATTTACATTAGCTCAAAAATGAAATACTAGTTGTAAGTTTATCAAAACATGTACAGGACTTACATGTTTAAACTACACAAAACTGATGAAAGCAATCAAAGTGCTAAATAAATGGAGACATACTATGTTAATGGATTGGAAGACTCAATTAAGTAAAGATGTCAGTACCCTCCAAATTGATACACATGTTTAATACAATCTATCAAAATCCCAGGAAAGCTTTTTATAGATATAAACACAATTAATTAAAAATTTATACAGAATGGCAAAAGAACTAGAATAGCTGAACAATTTTGAGAAAGAAGAATAAAGTGAGAAGAATCAAGACAACACAGCAATATAGCTATAGTAATTAAGACTGTGTGGTATTGACAGAGGGATCAACAAATAAATGGAGCAGGTTAGAGATCTCTGAAATAGACCCACACAAAAATGCCCAACTGATTTTTGACAAAGAGACAAAAGCAATTAAATGGGAGAAAGATAACCTTTTATAATAAATGATGCCGAAGCAATTGGACATCTATTGCCAAAAACACAAAACAAAACAAAACAAAAATAGATCCCTAAACCATTGATCTAAAATTTTATATCTTATAGAAAAATTAACTGAAAATGAGGCATGGGCTTAAATGTAAAATATACAACTATAAAACTCTGGAAAAATCACAGAAGATCTGCAGAGCCTAGGGCTAGGATACAGTTCTAGGTGACACCAAAAGCATGATACAAAAAAAAGAAAAAAAATGAGAAATTGAATGTCACCAATCTTAAAATGTTTTCTCCATGAAAGACCTTGTTTAAGAGGATAAAAAGACACACTACAGCTTGGAAGAAAATATTTGCAAACCTCTTATCTGACAAAGGAATGGTATCCAGAATATTTCTAAAACTCTCAAAAATCAATAGTTAGGAACACAACTCAAGTAGAAAGTAAGAAAAAGACTTACGGATATACAGATGGCAAATGAACACAATAAATAAGATTTATCATTACCTACAAATTAAAATTGCAATGAGATAGCACTACACATCTATCAAAAGGACTGAAATAAAAAACAGTGACAACACCAAATACTAGCGAGGATGTGGTGAAACTAGATCACTCATGCATTGATGATGGACATGTAAAATGGTACAGCCACTCTGAAAAAGTTTTTTTAACTAAATGTGAAGTCACCATATGACCTATAAATTGTCTCTAGACATTTATTCCAGAGAAATGAAAACCTATATTCACACAAACACCTGTACAAAAATGTTTATATAAGCTTTATTTGTAATAGCCAAAAACTGGAAATAACACAGGTATCTTTCAGTGGGTGATTGGTTAAATAAAGTGTGGTACAACTGTATCATGGGATTCTATTCAACAATAAAAAGAAATGAACTATTTTACTTATTTTTAATACATAATTTTTTAATAATTTTTTTAAATTTACTTTTTAGAGATGGGGTCTCACTATATTGCCCTGGCTGTCCCAAACCCCTGAACTCAAGCAATCCATCTGCCTCAATCTCCCAAATTGCTGGGATTACAAGCATAAACCACTTCACTTAAAAGAAATGAACTATTGATACTAGCCAATGACCTGGATGAATCTCCAGATAATTAATCTGAATGGGAAAAAAAATCTCAGAAGAATGCATATTGTATTACAAGTTGAGTATTCTTTATCTGAAATGTTTGGCAACTAAAGTGTTTCCAATTTCAGATTTTTTCACATTTTGAAATAGTTGCATTTACTTACTGATTGAACATCCCAAATCCAAAAATTTGAAATCTGAAATGTTCTAATGCGATCTTTTATTCAACATCATGTTAGTGCTCTAAAAGTTCAGATTTGGGAGAATTTCAGAGTTTTTATTTTCAGATTTGGGATGCTCAGCCTATATTCTATTCATATAATATTCTTGAGAAAGTTGTAGATATGGAGAACAGATTAGTGGTTTCTAGGTATTAAAGGAGGGGGAGAAGGTGGAAAGTAGATGTAACGATACAATGACAGTATGAGGGATTCTTGGGGTGAGAGAAATGTATCTTGACTTTATCAATGTCAGTATCCTGTTTGTGATATTTTATTATAGTTTAGCAAGATGTTAACTTTAGGGGAAACTGTGTAAAAGGTACATAATATCTCTCTGTATTATTCTTTTCAACAGCATGTGAATCTACAGTTGTCTCAAAAACCCTTTAAAAGTTTGTTTTTATTAAAAAGTTAAACTAAAATATTAAAAAGAGAATCAGAATAGCCAAAACTGGAAATAACTCAAATATCCATCAACAGATGAGTGAAAAAACAAATTGTATAGATCTTTACAATGGAATGCTATTTGCAACAAAAAGGAGCAATCTACTGACACACACAACATGGATGAATCTACGCTAGAAAAAGAAGCCAAACACAAATGAGTATATTGTATATTACCATTATTATAAAACAAATTCTAGACAGAAAAACTAAAAGATACTGATAGAAAATAGATGAAGAGAATAGATTAATAAACTGTGGGGGCAGGGGAGATGATGGACTGACTGCAAAACTGCATAAGGGAATTCCTGGGGTGATGGACACATTTCGTATTATGGCTGCAGTGACTGTTACAGGTGTCTATCTACATTTGTCAGTGCTCATCAAACTGTATATTTAATGTGACTGCATTTTATTGTATCTACATTAACCCTCAATAAAGTTGATTTTAAAGAAAGAAAATAATGAGTACAATTGAGAATTTAGAGCTGATATTGTGATTTTTTTTTCCTTTGGTCAGAAGCTATAGTGAGAGAGAAATGTGCCCAGGAATCCCTTTTGAGTAAAGTGGCAAGACTCAGAGCAAGAGAGACACTCAAGACAGGATATATTCGAAAGTGATGAGAAAGGAATGAGAAAAGCATGAGAAGTGATGAGTCCCTAAGGAGATTTGTTCAAAGGTCAAGAGTGAAAGGTAAGATCTTTGCAAATACACCAGTTTCAAGGGCTAGTGAAGAAGTCCTGTGTTTTTCTAGGACCTCAGAGTGGAGAATAGTCTGAGAGAGGCTGAGGGCTAAAGCAGTTGTCCACAGGTAAGGAAGATGCAGGGAGGGCAGGGCAAGCACAAGGCCCAGTGATATGGATGTTCACAAGTGCAAGCAAATTAACTCATGGTACTTGTGAAGATAGACAGTCAGGAGCGGAGCTGGAAAAGCAAAGTCAAGGGTGCAGCTAACCCAGAGTGATGGGTCAAGAGGAAGCCAGACAGAGGGAACTAGCCAGTAGGGTGACTAAGGCCAAGGCCAAGGGAGCACACCAAAGGAGAAAGCTGACTCATGAGACACAATCAGACTAGATCATGAGAAAGCTCAGGAAGGTCAGAAAAGAGGGTGTTGTGACACAATCCATGGCACCATATCTGTCACAGCTCAGTGGTGACACTTTGGCTGAGATTGGACTGGTTCCTTTTATGAGTCCAGCATCAACCTCTCCCCAGCTTGACCAGTCAGTCTTATAGCAGGTAGGTAGTCTGCCCACTTTACTGGGTTGTTTTGCAAGCTGCTATCTGTCAGTTTATAACTGGGTCTCCAGACCCTGGACTTTCATTATGGGATAGGACTCTGCACATCAAATGCCTGGAAGGTGCAAAGAAAGGCTAGACTTTTTGTGTCCTTCTTCTGCCTGATTTTCCCTGGTCCCTCATTCCCAAGCCAACAGGAAGAGAAGTAATTGGATAACAATGCAGAAATTTAGATACAGAGGAACCCAGTTACCAGATGGGTAGTTCAAAATGGAAACTAAGTGTATGAATGAAGCAGAAACAAGCAGTCATACCATAAGGTCAGGTAAGTCTTGTCATATGAATGCTTAACAAATTGGGGGCCTATATTCTATAGTGTTTAAGACTCAGGCCCAATTAAATTCAAATCCAAACAGTTACTAACTATGAGAAATTGAGTAAGATACTTAACCTTTCTGAGCCTTGGTTTTCTCAACCCCCCAAAAATTAAAAAAAAAAAAGGCATTGATCATACCTATCTCATTGAGTTCTTGTGCGGCTATAAATGAGATTATTTGTGTAAAGCTCTTTGTAAAACTGCCTGGCACTTACTAAGCACTCAATGAATGGTCGTTAATGGTGAATACCGGAATGTGAGGATGGGAACCTAAGAAATGCCGTTGGGTAGAGGTTGCCTGAAGAGGTCAGTGGAATCAGCTGCAGTTATAGGCAAACTCGGGAGGTTTGTAGTAAAACTGAAAAGACTCAGCTGAGGAAACCAGGACCGAATGCCCAGAGAAACAAAGAAGGGAAGGGGAAAATGTGGTGCCTAAGCAACCCAGAAGGAAGTAGTGGTCAGCAGCGTTAAATGAGGAATGAGAATATGCATAGAGGGAGAGCAGGGTGGTGGACCTCATAATAAGATGATTAGACTGGAGGGGAAGGAAGCCAGAGGGCAGAGGTTCAAGAAGGAAGTATTAAAGAACACTGTGTTCTCAGGGACAGAGTAAAAGAACCAGTTGCCCTGAAAGGCCAAATGGCAAAATGTATTGATTCTAAAAGTATGATGTTGTTGAGTGTCTGTTTATATTGTCATTGCTGTTCATGTCTCAAACCCTAAAAGAACAAGCAGCCCCTGGTTGCCAGGATGTATTACTCCTGCTACTTCCAAATCCAATTCTGGCAAGCACAGTCATTCCCCATGGTATTCCTGTTAGCATTCATACAGCACTCATTAGGATTGAAATCTTTTCAGCCTTGTCAGATTCCATTATATGGCACAACAAATCTTAACTTGTAGATTGTAGTGTTTCTTTGTACATCAACTCAGTTTTAAAATCAACTGCTAAGAAGATTATTAATCTTTTTGTGCGCTTATAGTAACGTCTTTCTCCATAATAAGACAATTATCACTTTATTGGATGTTCAGCAGTTTAAAAAATCCTCATTGCATATTTCACAAACATTTGAAATAACATTAGTAGGTTTCTCCACTTATTTGCATATAAATTTACAAAGTATTTCAGCTAGCTCATTGTCTTCTATATTCACTTCATATCAGAAATTTTCAACCATCTCTTTGTATCTGCCAGAAGAGCAAATAAATAAAAATAATGATAATTTTAAATACCACAAATATCTAGAAATCTCAAAATTGCTTTCTTTGCACAATAACAAAACATTTGGAGTAAAATGATAGTTGATCATAATTATATGTACTGTAAAACTACCTGATTATACCATTTGAACAATGTCAATTTCCCACAATACATTTAACTTCATATTATTATTATACTTTTCAATATTACATAAAATTTAGTCTGCCTTTGTCATGAAAAGTGCCCTCCAGTAATTTTCTCTTTTCAATTGTTTTTTAAGGAATATTTGACTATGACTCTCAAAACACTTCATTGCAACCCAACAACAGCAGAACGTTTTGTTCAGTACAAATTGTATTATTAAAGCGAAACAACTGCAGTTTCCAAATCTCTAACCAATAAGAAAAGCTTAAATTTTATTTTTTAATTTCTTGCAATTATTTTTTATGTCATTTAGAAAAATCTGTCAAATTCTCTGAACACTAATGTATCTGAGGAATTCTTTGACCTTTTGAGGGAATAAAACATGTTTTCTTAAAAATTGAAAATTATACTAGACATCTATTTGCCTAAAGATCTGTACATTTTTAACAATGATATCTAGAATTTTCTTTATTTTTCAGAATGATTCTCCTTTTAATAATTGAAAATGAATGAATAATTTAATCTACATTATAAAGAAAGAAAAATTTTGTTTTCAAAATCAGAATATGAAGTACTATATTCCAAATCCCAAAATACATATTGAGTACATGTTAGTTCAGACATGATGGGATGAGAGTGGGCACCATTGTAAATATCAAGAAAATATATTTAGGTAGCAGAATTAATAGGATTTATTGAATGTGCAGGGGATGAGGGAGAAGTCTAGGCCTCACAACTTCCAAATGTCTTGCTTGAACAATAAATGGGGTGAATTTCAAGGCCATTCACGAGGTCTGGGAAAAAAGATGGAAAATTGATGACTTTCTCTTTTGACTAATTGGGCCCAACACTGAAACTCTAATAAATATAATTTTGCATTTTTCAGCTTACTCATTTGCCTTTACTTAAAAGTACCTGGATATAAATAGAGCAACATTTAACTATGCTGAAGAAATATTGTTTAGAGGGCAATAGAAATTGTCATACAATTGCTCAATATAATTGCTGGAGTTATCTTGTTCAGAATTGTTCCACATATTCAATTTTGTCAAGCAAAGAAGTAGTATTTTATGCATGCAACAGATAGCTTTTGTGTGATGGTTATGTATTGGGCACTATTCTAAGAACTGGAGATAGAGGAGGGTTTGATGCAGACACAATTCCTGTTCTCAAAATGTTTACACTCTGCTGGAGGAATAAAAGTGATTATTAGAATTTAAATTATGAAAACAAATTAATATCAGATAGTGATAGTGCTGTGAAGAAAATAAAAGATAATAAGGAACATAGTAAGGAGAAAATGACCTGCATGGTGAAGAAAATGTGACATTATGCCTCTCTAAAGGGTTGGCATTTGCCCTGAGCCTTGCATGATGGGGAGCAAGCTGTTTGGAGATCTGGGAGACCTGTCCTTCCAGACAGTAGACTCCAGATTTTCTATACAGCAGCAATCTGGTTGGAAGAAGTTTAAGGGGACTTTTTTATAAGGTAACATTTGCAGAGAAAACACACTCCATTGATTTACAGTGTGTATTTATTTGAGGTGGGAGAAGATGATGTAAAATAGCAGGTAGCTGAGTGTACTCCCTTCACATCCATGAAGTCACGCTTTGGACTACCAGTAGTTCCAAGCAGAGAGAACAGCACAGGTAAAGGCACAAGGCAGGGACTGTCTTGGCTGTCTCAGGGGCAAGCATAAGGCCAGAAGGGCTAGAACACAGTGAAGAAACAGAGAAGTAGTAAGAGATGATCTCAAAAAGAGAGGGGAACCACCTCATGCCCAGCCTGGTAGACCATAGTAAAGGGATCTTAAACAGGATCCCCTTAAGGGGCCTTAAACAGGAAACTGAAGGAGTGGGAGAGGGGAAAGGTTCTGTTTTATGTATTACATCATCATCTGGTACAATTGCTATTAGTAATAGTCACTTATAAAAAAATAGTACATTTAAAAAGAAAAGGGAAAAATATTTGTTGTTATACTTTGAATGTTTTTATGTATATATTCACCTTCTTCAGACTGTATCTGTCAGAGATGCCACGTTACTGGACATCATTAGCACCTTCAAAATGTGGGGAAAGAGCTAGTGGTCTTTGGAAGAAAAAATATTCTCTCAAAATGGCATTTGCTAACACTGAATGCTGTATTTTATGTTCTGAAGAGATGCTCTGCTTGTCATCTCCATGTTAATAATACTCCAGATTTGGTGAACTCCTAATTAAAGATAACTAGAATAGTTAAAATAAGATAGAAAAACAAACTCTAATTAATGAAGCTATGTATTTGCCTCAAGACATCAGTTAATGCTTTTCCATTAATGGTACCAAATTTCTGATGATGTTGAAGTACTTTATTTGGGGCAGAGTAGGAATATTAAATCTTAAAATTGTTCCTTGACTTTTACAAATAAGGAGAAATCTATCATTTGCCTTAGCAATTTCTGACCAATGTATGCAAATAGAAGTATGAATTGCCTAAGAATTTCAGGATGATTTTGTTACATTAAATTGTAAATATAAGGAAAATTGGTTTTTTTATTTACAAGTTATAGTTTCATTATTTAGCAAGTGAAAATGAGATCATTAAAAGCAAGAGTTTTTTCTCTCTTGAAAAACACAAACCTAAGAGCTGTTCAAGTTGAAAGACTTTTTGAGGGTAATGCCACATAGTTGAGTTAATTAATTGATTGACTCATTGATTGATTGATTGATTCATTCATTCATTTGTTTATTCACTTTACAATTACACATCTACTATTGTTTTGGATGATATCCAGAAGAAAACAACAAAATGATCATTAAATGGATGGTGTGTATAATCAAATTGTTTACAGTCTAGTTAATGAAGCAAAGCAGAAACATACACTGTTTTCAAGCATGAAAATTAATATAAGATAGCAGCAGAAGAGATACCACAAGGCTGTACAAGTGTCTGAATGCCAGACAGCACTACAGATCATTCGGGTTAGGGGGAGGCTTAAGAAGGCCGAGTTCATTTGGTTGGGCTCCCTCCAGTCTGGACATTTTCAAAAAGTGTGCAGACAGGTTTCTTCAACAGTATATACTTCACTGAAGTCAGATTAGGGTTAAAGTTTACATCTGAAGAGCAGAAAATACAGCGGTCCCAAGTAAGTTTCACCATAACAGTTTTATAACCTTAAAAGGAAATGTTTTTCCTCCTAATCAAAAAGAACTTTGATTTATTCCATGCCCTATTATTTTATCTTTAGTGAAAAAGACATTTTAAATTGCATACTTGTAAAGCTTCTGAAAGAATCCTTTCAGAAATCCATCATTAGTTTTCTCTCCTTAGCATGACTACATCCTCCCTCAATGTTCTTTGCTACAGACTCAGGAAGCACTCATAGGCAAGGATTAAAATTTATTTAAAAGAATTTTGAAAGCAATTTCTGACCACTATGCTCATATAGAGGTATGAATTGCCTAAGATTGTCTTGATGGTTTCCTTATAAGTAATTGAGAAAATATAAGAGAAAATTAATTCTAAGATGCAGAATTTTGTTAACTATAAATTTATTGTAACATTGTAATTTGGGCTTTTTTTCTCTTCTTTTTTCATTTCTCCTTTCCCTTTTCCCTTCCCCTGCTTCTTCTTTCTGAATAATTTAGTCCTAAAGCCATTTGGTGGAACAGAGCGAGGTCGGCATTCCTGCAGCCTGAGGGAGGTGGAGTGGCCTAGTACAGGGTGCCTGAGCCCTGGTGGGTTGAGGGGCATCTGGTAGGTTTAGGTGGGCAGCCTGGCATGAGGTGTCAGAGCCTAAGGAGGGGGAGGAGGCGTCCATAGAGATGGTTGTCTCTGCATGGCCCAATCAAGGACAATATAAACATACAAATAAATAATGATGGTAGTGAAGAACTATAACCCACTGAACACTATAGGAAATCCATTCAGATACAGAAAAATGAATAAATTGAAAGTTGATAAAGAATGAGATAGAAACATAGTTTCAATGTACCAGCCACACAATTGATTACAAAAGGGAAAACTGACTTTACAGTGGAAGAGTTTTGCAGACTCTCCCTTATTTCAGTGATCAAAGTGAGCTTTAGTAATGGAATTAATCAAAATTATGTGATACCTGAGGATCAACAACACAGCATCACTCCTGTGATATTCCTGCCAAAGATGCACAGCTCAAATCTAATTATGAAGGAACATTGGACAAATGCAAATTGAAAACGTTCTACAAAACAGCTGGCCTTTATATTGCAAAAATGCCAAGGTCATGATAGTCAAAGAAAGACTGAGGAGGCTGTTATCATCGAAGGAAACTAAAGAAACCTGACAAACGTATAATGTGATTCTAAGCTGGATCTTTTTGTTAGAAAGGTCATTATTGGCACAATTGGTGAAATTTAAATGGAGTTCTGAGGAGTAAATGGTACTGATGTATTTGTGATAATTTATTACCTTTTTTGTAATTTCTTGATTTTAATGATCGTAGTGTGGCTGTTTAGAAAAATATCCTTGTTGGTAAGAAATACACCCCATACTATCCAAGGGTAATGGGGTAGCAGGTTGGTAACTTGTTCTCAAATGGCTCAGGAAAACAGAAGTTTATTATACAGTTACTTCTGAGTTTTCTATTTGTGATTATTTTAAAAATTATAATTTTGAATTTGCTTTTATAACCAATGACAATCCTGCAGTTTTGACTATGCAAATTGTTACTCTAAATATATTGATATTTATATAATCAAATTAGATGATCCAAGTACCATTATAAAGCATTTTGTCTGATCACCTGACAAATGATGACAGTACAAACTTATATTGGGGTTTCATTTGTATTCAGATAATCATTTTTCACATACTTTCTCCATTTTATGAAAGGGAAAAATGACTTGGTGATCAAGTGCTTTGTTAAATAGCAAACAGGATAATTTATTTAGTATTTAAATTTATTTTCAGTATTGAAGTCTAAAACGTGATTTTTTTCAGATAGCAGCAGAATAATAGATGCACTCTCATTATTCAAAAATAGTAAGATTTACTCATTACAGAAAGCAGAGGAGATAAGAGACACATAGTGTAACTTTGACTAATTTACTGCTCAATCCAATGTTACAAATTGCAAAATTATGCAATTTCTGCTGTAACTTCAAACGTATTCTTGGTTATTTAAGAAAACATAGAAATTTAATTAAATTAGACCCTTGATGAAAGTTCCTACCCAAATATATTTGAATCGGAATTTTAGCCCCCAAATCAGAGGCAATATTAACTAACATTTATAAAGTGCTTACGTGTGAGTCTTTTTCTGTAGCTAGAGCGATACATACCTACATGCCTACATGCATATATACATGTTTCATAATAATGTAATGTTCAAAACATCATCTGTTAGATACTATTATCATAATGCCCATTTTACAAATAAGTAAACTGAAGTCTAATAGGTTGCAGAAAGTCATACAAGTTATTAAGTGAAAGGTACACATTGTTAAGTGAAAGTATACCCGGAGTGTCCATGCTCATGCATCTCTTTACTAACCAGCTTTCTGAGGTAGGTAAGGCTGTCTTTAGAATGTCACTGGGCCCAGAGCAATTATGCCCTGCAACACTGTACCTTACCCCTCCTAAGCACTAGTGTTTCTAAGAAATATGGTTAAAAACCATATCTAAAGAAACTCAGAGTTGAAAGAAGTGACACAAGGACAGTGACAAGCTTTTTTATAAGTGAGGATATGAAATACCTCATCTAAGTGGTGGTGGGAATTATGGGTTGACTGAATTTATCTGAATCTTAAATCTTTTTGGCAAAATGAAGGCACACACATTTCATTTTTCTTAATCACCTTTCTGATTCACTGCCCTAGGCCAACAGTACAGTGGCCCTGAAGCAAGGGACCCAAGATAATCTTTACCTTCCCTTACCCACATCAATAACCATAGCAATATGCATTCACTTCAATCGTGAAAGGGGGCAGCAGTTAAGAAAAACATTGATTATTCTTGGTATCTCTTCTGATCTGTCTTAGAAACTATAGGATATCAATTTAACCTAAATTAAGCTAAGAATGGTAATAGATGTTAAGTCCCATATTTTTAAATTTATATATTGTTTACTTTTTAAAGTAAAATTTCTTGGGTTATTCCTATTTTAGATAGTAAATTGTTACGATAAAATTATTGTTAGGTAGATTGAAGTCCAGAATGGGCAGGGCCTGGTGGCTCACGCCTATAATTTCAGCACTTTGAGAGCCTGAGGTGGGAGGGTTGCATGAGCCCAGGAGTTTGAGACTAGCCCAGGCAACATAGAGAGACTGTCTCTACAAATTAAAAAAAAAAAAAATCCAGAATAGTTCTGCTTTGCTAATCTAATCGGGGCGGGGGAAGTATTTTCCCAAATTATCTTCAATTAAAAGAAATAAATTCCATGAGATTGTATTTAGTTCCTAGTTTTACTCTTAAATTGTACAGAAATAATTATCTTATAGAATCTAAATACTTTTTATTCTGTTACATAAAAGGAAACTTAGATTTTTCCCCCTGAAAGAGGTGACACAAACTTCTGTTAGAATTATATCTGATGCAAAATATTTTCATAGTGCCATAGTTAAATTAAGAAGATGTGCAGTATTTCAGAAGGATGGTTTTAGAGCTTACAAAACATGAGTTACATCTGATCTGGTAAGTGAATCAGCAAGATGCTAATGAGGTTAGAGAGATGTGACTGGCCCAGTCACAAGTAAAGAGAGAGTTGGCTATATTCCAACACAGAATATGATTCTCAGATGTTGTGCAGAATTTGGGAAGTGGGTCACCTCTTTCAGCCCAACTTAGTTTGCCAATTGGGTAATTATTACTCAAGTATAATAAAAAATGACACTAAAAATTCATGAGACTCCAAAATTAAGCAATTGACAGCATCTGAGTGCTAATAGCATAGAATTACTGTAAGGATAGTACTTGCTTGGGGTAGGTGCTCTGGAGCCAGATGCCTGGGTTAGAATCCCAGCTCTGCCACTTCTTATTATTAACCCAGTCCAACCTTTCCAAGCTTTAGTTCACTTAACTGCAAAATGGAGAGGATAATAGTACCTACTACTAAACATTATATGAGTAAATTCATGTAAAGCCCTTAGAAAGGCCCTTTGCATGTAGGACTCAATAAAAGCTATGAAAACAGTATGAACAATTCTGCGTGTGGGTGCTTATATATTTGTAATATATATAAAACAACTATTTTTTAACAAAAGATTTCATAACTGACTTTTATAAGTTTATGCAAATGCAGGAAATTATGCTTTTTATTTCTATGATGAGCTCATTCCTGCATTTTGCCTCCATAGATGGAAAAATAATTTGATCTTTAAAAATAAAATGACGAAGCTGCTGGACTGGCTGGTCTCCATTTGCTCCTCCAGATCCATTCGCTTCTGTGCTGTGCCTTGTTATGCTGTAGAAGGTTGACTTCTACTTTATCCAGCCCCAAGTCTTCCTTGCCCTCTTGTTTCTGTTGGGTTTGTCCAATGGGAAACACTGCTAGGAGATGGTAGAGTAGGAGGCTAAAAGGATCAAAGTTTTTTTTCTGCTCATTCCCTCCCTCCCAGTTCAAGCGTTGGCTGTGAATGTATTCCTCCATGGAAGGGATAGCCCCTTCAAAAGGCCAAGGCTCTTACTTTGTTCCATAAACCTTTCTCCTTTCCTCTTTTAATTTAGAGCTGTTAAAACCATCTAGCTGTTCCTAGTGCCTGAGGAAGGGTGCTTCATGATCTCTTGTCAGATCCCTTGTCTTTTTATTAAACTCTATTCAATGATTTTTTTTTTCTTTTATGGGTTCTGACTGATCCAGATGCCTTTAGTTTACTTATTTTTTTTTCTACTTTGTTAGTACTGTTAAGGCTCACCTTAACTCACCTTAAATTGTACTGTTTTTAAGTTACATATTTTAGATCATAATATACCTATTTAGAATCATTTTTAAAAATAAACTGGAAATTATCATAATGTCCAGATTGTTTAACCTCTGCTCCAATACGTAAATTCTGTGTATTGTAAGAGGTTTTTTAAATTATAGTTATATAATTTATTAGTACCACTCAAGAGTGGGGCTGGATACTAACTAAAGATCAATTCTAAATCAGAATTCCAGAAACACAGGCAAAGCCTTGAAATGGATGTATAGCAAAATCTTTTGCCCTGTCATGAAGTTTTGTTTTGTTTGTTTTGTTTTTAAAGAACTGGTTCACTCATAATTGTTGGCACTGTTATCAATGGCATATAACTATAATCTCATATATCACTATCTATAGATATATGAGATCTCATATATCTTAATAATCTCATTTTATTATAAGTAACGATCATAGTAGACTCTTGGGTATTCTGCCATCTGAAAATGTGGCTTGGAAAATAGCAGTGGCTAAGCATTTTTGGTTTTAAGGGATGATAAAGTGAAAGACTACCTTTTTCCCTGTATCCTAAAGCCAAGAAGCTGAATTATTTATTAGTATGCTACAAAAGTAAGACCAATGCACTGAACTAAGGATATGGTATGAAACCCAAGTATATCTCCCGTAGAAATGTGACTCATAAAAATAAATGGTCTTACTTCCAGTATAGGATATTTAACAATATCTCCAAAGAGAGAGCAGAGCTACAGTATTATTATAAAGACTGCATTACCCCTTCAGCTGAGGTCTTGCCCAACCCTTGCCATTCTATATATTTACCTAAAATGGATAGAAAACAAAGTATCTTTCAAACAGTAACTAGAAGGGCAAAAGAAACTTGGTTCAGCTATGCTAGGAAGAATCATGTGTGTACTCACATGATATCAACAACAAAAAAGCCTGAATGGAACTGCTCAATTATGAGCAATGTGAATGGAAATACCGCACAAATATACAAACATATCACAGTAAAATAAAATAAAATGTGCAAGAAAGAAGAAGAAATTAAGAAAAAAATATAAATTTCAAAAGAAGGATAAATATCCCAATATAGACGAAAACATACTTCAAAGCATAAGAAAATTCATCACAATGTCACCTTAGAGAATAATAAGAACTTGAATTCAAGAACTCCAAGCTAACATGATGAACAATAAAAATCAGGGCAGTTATAGATTTAAAAAAACAAAAGAAGGCTATAAACATCATCACAGAAATAAAAAGGTAAAGTAGAAAATAGACTTCACTAAAAATTGACACACATACACACAATAGGGAATGGTTTTCACCTAAAGGAAATGGTGACTGGCTACTTAATGGTAAAATTTGAGATGATTTTTAAATATTTATATCATCTTCACTTTTCTAATATTTAAATGGTTTGTGGTAAACATGTTTAAGTTTTACAAGTAAAAGACTGATTTACCTAAAAAATTAGGTGGTATATTATAGCAGACATTGTTAGTGCCCCACCCACATCCCTCCAGCCCTTCTGTGGGCTCCAGCTGACTCTCAACCCCAAGGTTCTCATTTCTCTGCTCAGGCTCCCTGGCAACCCGCCCCACTCTTGGAAATCTGCTGTACCCCACTACACACTGACAATGGTCCAGAAATGCTGGAAGGTTAACACCCACCCCAGCAGCCTTAAATCCACCTGCCTTGAACTTCAGGTGGGAAGTTTCTCCATGAGATTAACTCCAGTTACCCACCCCCAGTTTCATGGGCCCACCACCATGCTTATGTCCCCTGATCATTTCAAATTATTTGCATTCAAGTCCTTGTCTTGGAATATGCTTTTAGAAAAATTAATATATACATCATATAAAAATAATACAATATAGTAATGAAAATAATAAACACTAAAATTTTGAAAGTTTGTCAAAACAATTTTGAGCAATTAATATGATTATTTTATGCTTTTTGTTCACTTTAGGGTTTTACATTTTTCTATTATAAAGAAAAAATTCATAAATAAAAAGTGAAGCAAAAGATATAAACTAAAGTAAAACATTGAAACAAACATTGTTAGTGTAAAATAATAACCAATTTCTACACCTAAGCAGCACTAAGTTGGGAGTACTAAGTTGCAAGCCGTTTCCCTTGACAATGTCAATTTTACATGATGAGTCTGGAGGTCCATGCCATTCACTATTATCCTCAGGTCGGTATCCTCTCCCCTAGTTCCTTCTCTTTCCCTAACAATTGTTTTGATGCTGTTAATCTTTTGGAATTACACTGTCACATCATTGTACTATCCCATCTAATTTTCTGCCTAGACAGTACATTGTATATATCAGAAAAGTCTGTTTTCCAAAAAATAACCAATTTATGTAAAAATCATAAAGTATGAGACTGATAAAAACTCAATAACACTATTTATTGCAATTTAATAATTTTATAAATTATATCCAGAAACATAATGGAATTCATTCAAGGTCAAGGAGCTAGTTAAAAACGTGAAAATTGTCAGAATTAAAATGGAGGCAATTGTGTTAAAAATCCTGACAGATGGAGCTCGGGAAAGCAATGAAGAAAGGGTTCCCATTCACGAATGCCTGACAACAGGAATTGTCAGAAAAGACTGCAAAACCACAACCTTGCACAAAGGCCATTGCAACCTTGCACAAAAAAAAATACTTCTGCAAGGATATCTGCCCAGCAACTGCCTATCTGACTTCAAACTGGTGCCATCCTTATTATTGATCCTTGTAACCAGGAATAATTATCTCGAAATAATTGTGTACTCCTCTTCATTTTTCTTTAAAAACCATTGCCTTTCTTTACCCTCCTGAATAAGCACATAGTTTACTACGGTATGTGTATTCCCATTGCAGTACCCATGCTAAATAAATATCATTTTCTTTCAGAGTGCTTATTATTTAGATTAATAAAAGCAACGAGGACCAGAACCAAATAAGGTCTCCTTAATTTTAGCCCAATTATTTTCAAAGTAACTCCTCATTCCAAATCCCCTTCTCAACCTACTTCCCTATTCAAATGCTTGACAGACATTGATGTGAGGGTGACAGCAAACAGGCAGGCAAGACAGAAAAGGCAGTAAGAGACAGAAGCAATAGATAGAGCTTAAAATGGTAAAGCTCACGATCGCTTACTCAGGATTCAATATGATTCACTGATTTCTACAGAAGGGACATGGGTGCGTCTGACGGATTGAACGGGAACATTGATGCAATGAGTAGCAAGTCTGAACAGGGCTGAACCAAATCCATCCATCCATGTCTGACCAGTTTCTCTTCTAGGTTAAGGGTTAGTTCCAGTCTTTGCCACAACTCCTCTTCCTCTTTTGTTCCAGAAAGTCAAAGCTCTGCAGTTAAGAAGAAAAATACACCACTGAAACTTTCAGATGCCTTGAGACAAGATTCTTCTTCCAGAATTCTAGTATCATTCCAAGGCTGGACTCTTCAGAAGTGATTGCCTGCAAATTTAGGATGAGAACAAAATCACAGTTCAAGGTTAGTATTTTTGAAGGATAAAGAAAAGCAAAACATTAAAATATCTCCAACTAATGAACTATTGTCTGTTTTAGTATACTTTCATGTTTTTTTTAAAAAAGAGAAGTAAAAAGAAAAATGAAATCATTTTTATTATATGATATTCAAGGTCAAACGAAGCCACAAGAGTTCATATAGGGAAAGGTACCACATGTGGCATATTATGTCTTTTTATATTTTGCTGCCTATCACAGTCTTCTAAAGCTAAACTTTAAAGTTCTCATGTCATAAATTCTTTTTGCAAATTGTTGAATTATGTATTGTGTACATAACACAGTGCTGATCAGTATGGGCAATTTAGAGATGGGTAAAATGCTATCCTTGCAAACAAAAGGTTTATAATCTATTTGGTGAAAAATATAATTAGCATAACAAAAAATCAAAATAATTCAATGCTATTTGAGATTGACCAGGGTTGTTGGGGGAAGGATGAATAGGTACAGCACAGTGAATTTTTAGAGTATTGAAAATACTCTGTGTGATACTATGGATACACGTCATTATACATTTGTCTAAACCAACAGAGTGTACAACACCAAGAGTGAACCCTAATGTAAACAATGGACTTTGGGTAATTATGATGTGCCAATGTAGATTTATCAGTGATAACAAATGCACCAGTTTGGTGGGAGATGTTAATGATGGGAGATGCTACATATATGTGGGGGCAAGAGGCATGTGGAAAATCTCTGTACCTTCTCAATTCAGTGGTGAACCTAAAACTGCTCCAAAAAGTAAAGTCTGAAGAAAAGGAAGATATTATGAATACATGCCTATTTGCTTGATATGGGGTATGTATGTATGTGGAAGTAGGCTGTACACCCTTTTTACTTTTTGAGTTTTATACTATATAAATTTATTAGTAAAACTAAAACATACCAGGAAAGGAAGAGGAAAGGAAAAAAAGGAAAAAATAAATAAAAATAAATTTTAAAATGCGACTTCAAAGATCAGCTTTATTAATAAACTCAATCCTCCATGCTGGAATAAGCCACACCATCTGATGGCACACAATGCATGGCGTCTGTTTTCTTTGTGTTTCTCTTGAGTTTGTTTGAATGCTTTGTTTTAAAATTCCAGTCTTCACTTGACTGTGTTGCCAGAATTAAGGGAAGTATTGAAAAATCTATCCTCAGCCCACAATATTAAAAGGAGAGGATTCCTTTGACATCCCCACACTGTTGGCTGTATCTGTAGGAGACACTTGAGAGAAAGGTGAATGAATGAACGAAGACCAGACCTGAGAACGCTCCAATCCATGTTTACACCCTCCAGTGGAACTTTCCTCATCTTGAGGAAGCTGTATTCGCTTTTAATGAAGCAACTACAGATATTTCTGTTTTTAGAAAAATGCCTAGTGTGAGTACAGAGGAAGAAGTGATTACTTGTAATTGAAGAGTAGAGTAAGGAAGGCTTTTTAAGGGATTCAAAGTTTGATCTCAGGCTTGAAGAATTTCCACAGTGAGGATGGTGAGGATGTGGGAAGGACAGTCCAGGCTGAGGTGGCAGCACCAGCTAAGGCCCAGGGTATGAAAAGGACCAATTGAGGAATACCCCAAATGCCATTAAGGCTGACTCTGATGTTTCTAGTCTGGATAAATAGAGACAATAATGTGCTATTCACTAGGATTGGGACAAATGATGAATTTTTGTTTGAGGGATTATGAGTTGGGGAAATTTCAGTAGTATATTGGAGCCAGCATGAATGTCTCCCCCAACTCTGCCTTCAGTGATGTTAAGTTAGCAGCTTGAAACAGGCCATGATGAGAGTATTTACACTATATAAATTGGCAAATGCTACAGAACATCACTGGTTGGAGTGATGGTGGAACACCTCTATGACGTTTGTCAATTGGATCAGGGACTTAGGAAACAAGACAGGGATAAAGATAGGACCTTTATCCTATCTCTAAAGAAATGACTAAAGATGTAAAGAATTTTAGATTGAGAAAGATTGACTTTGAGATCGGGAGAGATTGCATTATGAGAAATGGAATAGAAACCAGAGAGATTTCTTAAGAGATATTTACTTTAAAAAGGTCAATAAAGAAGGATTCTATAAAAGAGACAGAAGAATTATGGAAGTAGGAGACACATTGGCATAGGTTAACTTATCAAGGATAAAAGACAAAAGTGTTAGTGGTGCAGAACTAATAGCCATCATCATCATGACAGCGCACATTTACTTCACAATTATTACCTGCCAAGGAATATACCATATATTTTATAAATTATCTAATTTAAATTTCAAATATCATAAGAAGTAAATACTATTATGCTTATTCGACATAGAAGGAAACTAAAGCTTAAATTGTTTAAGTAGCCTGTGCAAAAAGAAATAACTGATAACTGGCATAGCTGAGATGCAGACTAAGCTTTGTATCAGCCCAAACTTTATGATCTTAGAAACCAACTCAAAATAATTTCAGAGATCATTCATTGTAACAGACCAATGAAACCTCACATAGTTTTACTGTACTAGTCCATTCTCATGATGCTGATAAAGACATACCTGAGACTGGGTAATTTATAAAGGAAAGAGGTTTGATAAACTCACAGTTTCACATGGCTGGGGAGGCCTCACAATCATGGTGGAAGGCAAAGGAAGAGCAAAGGCACATTTACATGGTGGCAGGAGAGAGATTGTGTGCAGGGGAACTGCCCTTTTATAAAACCATCAGATCTCTTGAGACAAGAACAGCATGGGAAAGACCCAACCCCCTTGATTCAATTACCTCCCACTGAGTCCCTCCCATGACACATGGGGATTATTATAATTCAAGGTGAGATTTGGGTGGAGACACAGAGCCAAACTATATCATTCTGCCCCTGGCCCCTCCCAAATCTCATGTCCCTTTCACATTTCAAAACACAATCTTTCCTTCCCAACAGTCCCCCAAAGTCTTAACTCCTTTCAGCATTAACTCAAAAGTCCACAGTCCAAAGTCTTATCTGAGATAAGGCAAGTCCCTTCTGCCTATGAGCCTGTAAACAAGTTAGTTACTTTCTAGATACAATGGGGGTACAGGCATTGGGTAAATATTCCTATTCCAAATGGGAGAAATGGCCAAAACAAAGGGGCTCTAGGCCCCATGTAAGTCCACAATCCAATACAGTAGTTGTTAAACCTTAAAGTTCCAAAGTGATCTCCTTTGACTCCATGTCTCACATCCAGGTCACGCTGATGCAAGAGGTGGGTTCCCATGGTCTTGGGCAGCTCCACCCCTCTGGCTTTGCAGGGTACACCTCCCTTCCTGGGTGCTTTCATGGGCTGGTGCTGAGTGTCTGTGGCTTTTCCAGGTGCATGGTGCAAGCCGTCAGTGGCTCTTCTATTTTGGGGTCTGGAGAACGGTGGACCTCTTCTCACAGCTCCACTAGGCAGAGCCCCAGTGGAGACTGTGTGTGGGGGCTCCAATCCCACATTTCCCTTCCACACTGCTCTTGTAGAGGTTTTCCACGAGGGCACTGTCCCCAGAGCCGACTTCTGCCTGAACACCCAGGCATTCCCATATAGCCTCTAAAATCTAGGTGGAGGTTCCCAGACCTGAATTCTTGACTTCTGTGCACCCACAGGCCCAACACCCTGTGTAAGTCACCAAGGCTTGGGGTTTGCACCCTCTGAAACAATGGCCTGAGCTGTATGTTGGACCTTCTTAGTCATGGCTGGAGCTGAAACAGCTGGGATGCAGGGTACCATGTTCAGAGGCTGCATAGAGCAGGGGGAACCTGGGCCCGGCCCATGAAACCATTTTTCCTTCCTAGACCTCCAGGCTTGTGATGGGAGGGGCTGCCATGAAGGTATCTGACATGCCCTGGAGACATTTTCCCCATTGTCTTGGAGATGAGCATTTGGTTCCTTGTTATTTACTGCAAATTTCTGCAGCCAGCTTGAATGTCTGCCCAGAAAATGGGTTTTTCTTTTCTACTGCGTTGTCAGGCTGCAAATTTTTCAAACTTTTGTGCTCTGTCACCTCTTGAATGCTATGCCACTAAGAAATTTCTTCCACCAGATACCCCAAATCATCTCCCTCAAGTTCAAAGTTCCACAGATCTCTAGGGCAGGGGCAAAATGCTGTCAGTCTCTTTGTATAGCAAGAGTGACCTTTACTCCAGTTTCCAACAAGTTCCTCATCTCCATCTGAGACCATCTCAGCCTGGACTTCATTGTCGATATCACTATCATCATTTTGACCGTTCAACAAGTTTCTAGGAAGTTCCAAACTTTCCCACATCTTCCTGTCCTCCTTTGAGACCTCCAAACTGTTCCAATCTCTGTCTGTTACCCAGTTCCAAAGACACTTCCACATTTTCTGGTATCTTTACAGCAGCACCCCACTCTTTCAGTACAAATTTACTGTATTAGTCCATTCTCATGCTGCTAATAAGGACATACCCAAGACTGGGTAATTTATAAAGGAAAGAAGTTTAATACATCTCCCAATTACCTCACATGGCTGAGGAGGCCTCATGATCACAGCAGAAGATGAAGGAAGAGCAAAGGCATGTCTTACATGGCAACAGGCAAGAGGGCCTGTGCAGGGGAACTGCCCTCTTATAAAAGCATCAGATCTTTTGAGACTTATTCACTATCATGAGAACAGCACAGGAAAAACCAGTCCCCATGATTCAATTACCTCCCACCAGGTCCCTCCCATGACACATGGGAATTATTACAATTGAAGGTGAGGTTTGGGTGGGGACACAGAGCTAAACCATATCATTTACTTCCTGATTTTGGCCATTTCTATGATCACTAGTAAAGGATATGGTAGAAAAGCACAAAACAGAGAAGTAGTTGTATCTTTATAGTTTACAGTTATGACCAAAAATAAAGTAAGAACTTGGAAACAGAGATGACTTATATAAAACAAGCTTTTAAAGTTTTCTGTAAACATTAATTATCCAGGGTATAGTTCAGTTGTCAAAGCTAACTAAAAATTTGGATATTATCCAACACTTTATTTACAGCAGTCTTTAACATTCTTCATCTGACTGGCTTTATAGTGTCATAGAAACTACCAAGTAAGTTAGCTTAACTTAGTCATCACCACTTTTAAGAGTGAAAATGTTAAAAACATAAAGAAAAACTTTTTAGTGAATAAGCAGTTATGGAAAAAAGTTGGTATCTTAATAAGTTAATTGAATGATTAGCTATGGTGCTCCTTTTGAGAGAGAAGAGCTTTCTTGAAATATTAATATTTTAAAACTTATACCATGTAAGATTTTTGTTATATTACTGTAAAACTTCAACCTATTACAACCTTTTCTCCTGCATTTGTTGCCCACATGTTGGCCTCTAGTTACATGTGACATAAGACAAATCTATAAAAAGTAAGACTTTTATAGTTCTTACCATGTGATAGACACTATTCCAAGAGCTTTACATATATTAAATACTTTACTGCAACATTCCTACAAGTAAGGTAGTTTTACCACCCTCATTTTACAGATGGAAAAAAAGAGGCCTAGTTAAGTATATTAGACCAAGATTTCAGAAGAGATTCAAACCCAGGCAGTCTTCTGAAGAATGCTCTCTCAACCACTACATACAAAAACCCTTTTATAAGATGAAGCTTATTAATATAATAGCTTATATATAGATAGGTAAATCTGATTTTACAATATTCAAGTGATCCATATTCTAATGAATTTTAATTTGTAAACATAGCTAAAGTCATAAATTGGAGAAACTCAGAGGTGATTTATCTGACTACCTTTAAAAGAACTGGAAAAATATACCAAATATTTCAAGGTATGTCAACTGATACATAATTCATTTACTTAAAGTTAGTACAATAGAGCCAAGTGTGGTGGCACATGCCTGTAATCCCAGCACTTTGGGAGACTGAGGCAGGAGGATCATTTGAGGTCAGGAGTTCAAGACTAGCCTGACCAACATGGTGAAACCCTGTCTCTACTAAAAATACACAAAAAAATTGGGCATGGTGGCACACACTTGTAACCTCAGCCACTTAGGAGGCTGAGGCAGGAGAATCACTTGAACCCAGGAGGCAGAGGCTGCAGTGAGCCAAGATGGTAACACTGCACCCCAGCCTGGGTGACAGAGCAAGACTCCATCTCAAAATAAATAAATAAATAAATAAATAAAGTTAGTAAAATAGTTTATAAAAATTTAAAATTATTTCTAATTTTTAAAGAAAATTCTTAGACTATATTGCATATAATGTGCAAAATAACTACTATTATAATACTGTAAATGAAATCTCAACCTGAACCAAATTCACTTTGTTATAGTTGTTTTTCTTTACTTTTATGGCATATTCAGTTATTTATGACTGATATAATGCTGAATTTACAGTTGAGAACGCACACCTTCAATTACAGCATTATGCCAATGGCAAAATACAATTCACTCTACAGTAATTCTCTCAATTCTAGTTTCTAGCCTTCACTCAATTGTGTTGCCAGAGTTAAAAGAACTGCAAAATCAATCCTCAGACCAAAATATTAAAAGAGAAGAAATTCTAGTCTTTCCATCATCTAAATGAAAAGTAAACAATTATTTCAGGCACCTCTATATTTGACATTGTGTTGACAACATATTGGGATGAAAGTATAACACGTTCAGTGTTCCTTTGGATGTTAGGGATTGGATAGATGCTGTCAACATTAGCTAAAGACTGTGGTAGAAGGTATGTATTTTGAAACACAGCTGCCAAGACAATTACCCATTTTCACTTTATCTAACCTAATCTGTGGCTTTGCCTGTCACACAACCATAATCACTAGAGAAAGTCACCTTTTATTGAGTAATAGTTGCTTGTGAAAATATCTTACCTTTTATAAGTATTGGCAATTGTGGCTAATTGCTAAAGCTAATGACTACTTTCTCAAAAACATCAAAATATCTTATTAGTATGTATTTTTGGAAGTGCAAGTGTGTTCAGTTTCTCAACTTTCACAGTGAGAAGTCAACAAATGCATTAATTCTTTTTTAAAGTAATTCCCTTCAATTTGATGTCAAGTCAACCTTAACTTTTCTGGGTAATGTAAACTGCTGCTGAAATTAGGCAGGTATGAATTTCAATCCTGATTCTATTATAGATTGTTCAGCTGGGCTGTCTTGTGTTTTTTGCACCTGCTTGCTTTCCTTTGCATTTCAAGATGTCTCAAAGGAGGATGATGTATCAACTTATTAGGAATTCTTTAACTGAATGAGTTTCAAGAGGTTTTTTGGGTTTTGTGTGTGTGTGTGTAATATGGGCTTGGTAAGTGTATAAATTACAAGCATTTAACCTTTAAAACAACTAAATCACTAAACAAAAACAGCATTTATAAGTTCAGCAATACAGGATACGGTCTGGTAGAAAAATTTTCTTACATTTAGGAAACCACTGTGTAAAACCTTAGAATTCTGAGTTAGCATCAATCTTTTTATCTTACATTATTTTGATCTCTGGAAGCCTGGTTGTCAAAAGTACCCTGTCTTAGTTTCTAACAAAGATGGACATATTTGCCTTTTCCTATCTCCACGCAAAAAGTTGGACAAATACGTAGAACTCTATCTGACCATCTGGGTTTCATTTTAACTTTTACTTTACGTTCTGGTTCTTTACCTCCTCTACCAATTATACTGAAGAAATAAAAGAAGAGAACAGTAAAATTCCTGTGAAAGAATCACTCCAGGGATCTTGGAATTTTATTGGTTATCAAGGTGAAAGGAAACTCATTCTCTGTGATATCTGAAATTACAGGACTGATAATTTAAAGCCCTTATACCAATAGTTTGTATCACATATAAAAGTCCACAGTGGAACTTGAGAGAATCCTACATGAATTTCTAACTCTTCATACACACTATCTTACTATCATAAACATTGAAAACATTATGAAATAATCTGAAATGAATATGATTAGATATGTTTTTAGTAGTAGCCTACTTGAGAAATAATATTAAACCAACAAGACTTCTTTTAAAAATGTGCAGTATCCCAAAGCTATAAGAGATAAACAAAATTGTTTCATTCCTGGCTCCAAACTCTTGGCTTTTTACTTCCTCTGTTATACCTGCCTCTGTAACTCTTGAATTTGGCACATTTTTAGACTCTTCTCCTGCCATTGTGTATATTGGTTCCTGATATGGTTTGGCTCTGTGTCGCCTTCCAAATCTCATGTTGAATTGTAATCCCCATGTGTTGAAGGAGGGGCTTGGTAGGAGGTGATTGAATCACAGGGGTGGACGTCCCTCTTGCTGTTCTTGTGACAGTGAGTGAGTCCTCATGAGATCTGGTTGTTTAAAAGTGGGTAGAACCGGCTGGGCACAGTGGCTCACGCCTGTAATCCCAGCACTTTGGGAAACTGAGGTAGGCGGATCACGAGGTTAACAGATCGAGACCATCCTGGCCAACATGGTGAAATTCCATCTCTACTAAAAATACAAAAATTAGCTGGGCATGGTGGCACGTGCCTGTAGTCCCAGCTACTCGGGAGGCTGAGGCAGGAAAATTGTTTGAACCCGGGAGGTGGAGGTTGCAGTGAGCCAAGATCGCACCACTACACTCCAGCCTAGCGACAGAGCAAGACTCTGTCTCAAAAAAAAAAAAAAAAAAAAAAAAAAAAAGTGGGTAGAACCTCTCCCTTCACTCTCCTGCTCCTGCTCCGCCATATGAAGAAGGTGCTTGCTTGCCCTCCACTTTCCGCCATGACTGTAAGTTTCCTGAGGTCTCCCCGCAACGCTTCCTGTACAGCCTGTGGAACTGTGAGTCAACGAAACCTCTTTTCTTCATAAATTACTCAGTCTCAGGTAGTTTTTTATAGCAGTGTGAGAATGAACTAATACAGTTCGCCTGCCCGTGATGACTCCTTTAACCTCACTGTCTCTCCTATCCTCAAAGGCCAGTAATTGAATTTTCTGTAAAAATAGAGGATTTGCAAAGTTTCCCTTGTGCTTCACAGACATCTTCAGAAAGAAACTTGAATTTGACATGTTCAAAACTGAATCTACTGTCATCCAAACAAGCCACATCCTTCTTTTGACTTCTATATATCAGACCACACCACCAGCATTCTTTCAGTTACCCAAACTTCTTTTCCCCTTTCTCCTCATAATGTCAAGCCATATAGGCTCCACCTCAAAATTCTCACATCCCTTTTAGCTTTTCTATTCCAAGCTCAGTAACCTCTTAACCCGTTTCCCAGCCACCAGCTCTTACCATTTCAATCAGGCCTGTGAACCACCTCTCAAATAATTATTTTAATAACAGATCCAATAATATTACTTCCTTGACAAGAAGTCCTCAATGTTTCTCATTGCCTACCAACTTAACGTAAATTCTCTCTCTGGCATTCAAGATCATCTAAAATATATCTGGCACTTATCTTGCTCTACACCTTACACCCTGATTTGGACCTTAAACTCTCACCATGCTCAATAGCCCAATCTTCTCTGAACAGACCTGAACTTTGTTCCCTTGCTGTCTTCCCCCGCCACACCCCCACTAAGAATCATCCTAGTCCCTTCTGTCCAGAACAACACTTTCCAATAGAACTTTCTGTGAGAATGGAAATGATCTACAATTTTGTGCTGATGAATACAGTAGCTGGAAGCAACATGTAATAGTTAACTCTTGGACATTTGGCTGGTGCAACTGGAGAGTTAACTTCTTAATTGTATTTGATTCTAATTAATTTAAACTTTCACATGTGGCTGGTGGCTACTGGACAGTGCAAGCCTAGATGCTGTTTTCATTTCATAGAATTTTCTCCATTCTCTAGAGGTCAACCATCTACTCTGATGCCATCACTGATTTCCCTGGTTGGGATAATTTTTTTTTACCCTTATAATAATTTAACTGTGTCTTTTTCACAGCTTGTATTACTCAATAAGATAATATGAAAAAAAGCAGTGATGACAGGCCTAGATTCTAGATGCACATTGCCATACACTAGCTGTGTAACTTTGGGCAATTTTTCTCGTTTCTCCAAGCATCAGTTCCATCATTGATCATTTCATCATACCTCACAAGGTGTGAGGATTAAATAAGAAAAAAAAAAACAAGTAAAATGCTTAGTTTGGTTTTATGGTAAGTATTTGTGTGCAAATCATTGATAAATTCTTTACAATTATGAATTCAGTATCTGTTGAGCATTCACTCATCACTTTGCATGCCAAAATAAGTAAAATACAGTCCCCTGCCATCCTTTAACTCATAGACTGATGTGGCAGTGATTCTTATCTTAAGTGTCCTTCTGCATTTTGAGTCCTGA
Source organism: Homo sapiens (assembly GCF_000001405.40). NCBI lineage: Eukaryota > Metazoa > Chordata > Mammalia > Primates > Hominidae > Homo > Homo sapiens. Next base: position 152,880,807 of record NC_000003.12, read on the forward strand.
AGAGCAGAAATTGTGCTTGCTTTATCTTTAGGGCCTGCTAAGAGCTTTGAACGATATTAGGTACATAAGATACTATCAATAAATATTTGCTAAAAGAGTGTTAATCTCCTCCTCCACCCTTTTTAAAACATAGGTAGGCTTTGTTTGTACTTCTCCAATGACATCTATTTTACTCTATCTTGTATTGCAGTTACTTGTTTGTGCATTTAATCCATCCTCTCCCTACCTCTCAAACACTACCTAATCAATATATATTTGAGAACAGTGTCTACCTCATTGCTTTTGATGTTTATATTATATAGTCATTGTGTTCCTCAGGAATTCAGTAAGTGCTTTCCTCCCTTTTCCTTTTCTAGTAAATAAATGGAATTTAAAGCTAAACTGAGGTATCAAGAAATGAAAACAGGAATTTCTATTGTTCTCTGCACATGTATCCTGTGGGAAGGTTAAACAGGATTTTGACTTTACCAGTTCTTTTCCCATGCTTACTTTCAGATATTTCTCTATGAAGTAGACTATGCCCTGGATTGTGCAGTATAAAACAAATGTTTAGTTTTTTAGGTTTTTTTTCTTTTTTTAAATAACGTTCTGAACATTGTTAACACATGGCACAATATTTTAGATTCCTATGGATAGCAATGCTCCCACATTGTAGCTGCAACTTTGTGTCCCTAAGAATTAAGAATAGAGTATACTTTATGTGATCTTTATATAATTTTCTATACAATAATACCTGTCTAGTGTACACCGATTATAATACTCACTTGTGGAAAGATTTTTGGTGATATGGAGTGATTTGCCTAATCTTGTTTCATTTTTACTCTCTAAATCTTATTTTACAATTATAATTCCTATTATTTGAATGTATAGGTCATCTTTACTAGCTACAGTAAAGCCATCTTTATTACTCTAAAACACCAATTGCTTCTGAATCATGACACTCTGTTAAGGCAAAGAGTTTTTTAAATTTATGATTAAAAGTTATCCTTGACTTTCCATCTCAGAACTGTAAGTTGTAAAATACAACCACCACCAAATAGTTTGCAAGTAATAAATGTCTCTTTAAATATAAAAGAAAAATGATATTAATTAAAAGTTTTTAAAAGTGAAAATTATGCTTATAAAAATAAAAATCAGAAGTCATTTTTAGCCTAAAGCCAGCAAAATATAACTATTACAAATAATTTACAATTTAAACAATAAAATTAAAAAAGAAAGACTATGAATTTGACTAAAGTTATAAAGTGTAACTGCATGAGCTCACTGTCTTTTCTAATATATCCTACTAATTAGAAGCATACGAAAAATACATCTAAACACTAAATAAAAATTTTAGCTTGAGGTTTGGGCAATACTTATGCTCTTGAAATTATTTACCACTGCTAAGTAAGCTTTAAACTGGGTATAATTTAATAAATGTTAGGTTAAATCATTGGTGTTTTGTGAAATTCAACTAGTATTACATGATCCTGTCTGACTGAGGCTTTGCACATTCCATACACACTCTTCAGAGAAGATAATTACACACTGAGAAAGCTTTGCAATAAATCAGGTGGACTTCTGAAAGCAAATTACTATTAAGAGGTGAGGCACTTTTGTCATATTTGCTGGAATTTGCTGGAAAATCATATAGAAACATGTGATTTGTTTTATAGATTCTCAAGCTTATATTTATAATATTCTTCAACAGAGTAGATTATTTCCTTATTATTAACTAGGTGACCTTCCAGAATCTATTAGAATTTCTATAACCCCTAAACCCTCAGTCGTGTAATAGCACAAAATTAACAAAAAAAAAAGTCATCAAGTGATTATTTAAATAAAAACTGTTTTTATCACTTTTATTTTGGAATAAAAATGTTTTAAAGGGCACATTTTCACTTAGGAAATGCTGAAAGATAAACTGCTTCTTTGACATGGGAAACTAGAAACATATAAAGGATATCTTAAAATATTACATTGGCGTTAGCAGGGAAGTGAGTTAAAAAGGAAATGAGTGGAATTTCATAAAATATACCTAACTTAAAAAAAAGTATTAATCTGTTCAAATCAGTTCTTATATTGCTAGCTAGAATCTGATCTCTTTACTGAATCAATTTGTTGTTGAATAATATTAATGCCCCTTTTTTCATATTAAATATGGAATGACAATAAGAAGTCAGGGTTACTAAAGATAATGGAAATTTGATTTCCTTGAAATCTCTGCTGCTTTGTCTTTGGTGTCACCATTTATTTCTGCATTCTTTTTAAAACTCATTTTTCTGGATAAACTTAAAATTACTTAAAAGACTTAACTTCCACACTGAAAGAGCTTATCTGCCCTGGTCCCCTCTTTTACAGAGAATAAAATGAAGACCTATACAGATTGAGCAACGTGATGGAAATATAGACCTTATATGTGTTACTTCCCACTCCCTTCCCACTTTTGGAGGGTTTTGTTACAAGCTTTTAGACCCTCAGTGGCTGATGGGTCTAGAGATCTGAATATTTCTTTGTTTTCTACCTCTATTTTCCTTAGCTCATAGCTATCATCTGAATATCCTTGGCTATCTACTCTTGAATTTTTTCCCTCTGAATAACATTAGATTCTTCTATTTCTTCCATTCAACTGTGGCAAATACTAATATTTTAAGAATTAACTGCCTTGTCTCCAAGTTTACAACCAAACCTGTTATCTCTTAGATTTGAATTCCACTATATTCCAAAAACTCAGTGGCTCACAGCAATAGGCATTTGTTTCTTGTTCACACATTTGCGATTTGGTGAAGTTTGGTTGATCTAGGACGGCTGCTATTGATGCCACACTGCAGGTTGGGACTACAGGTCTACCCTATGGGTCTCTCATTCCTCTTGGACTAGTTACATGAGCATGTTATTTTCATGGCCTAAGGCAAAAGACTGCATCTTATTTCCCGAGCACATTTAAAGCCTCTGCTGGCTTCATGTCACCAACATTTCACTGGCCAAAACAAGTGACATACCCAAACCCATCATCGACAAGGCAGGGAAGATATTCCTCTCAAAGAGGTGAGGCCATTGGGCAGTGAGTGAACATTTGCTGAATAATAATTTCATCTGTAAACAAGTTTTAGAACTACTGCAAACTATACTGATATAATAGTCTCTTCATCAGATGTATTCAAATAATTTTCAATAAATACTTACTGAACATTAACTGGGTGCCAACACTATTCAATCCCTTGTTTTAAGAACACTCTTCCCACATTTAAATTGGTTTTTCATGGGTGGGAGGTCAATTTTTAGCTAATCTTTTGCCTTTCAATATCTATAATTGTTTTTCTTTGCATAGCAGTAAAATCCCTCAAAATTCATGAAACAAACTTGCTTGTGATTTAAGTATTAACTTAATTTCCTTTCTTCTTCTTCTATTTTAAGTTTTATTCTGTCTGTTATGTTCTTACTAAAAGTACACAAATTGGTTAGGTCTTTTCCACGTATCTTTTCTGTAAGACTCCAAGTGCAGCTGAAACATACTTTATGTTAAGGTCCACCTATACCACTTTACTTTAAACTTATGCTGAAATATTGCACATCAAGACCTTATGGTCATCCTAATTTGATTCAGAATGGTACTATAAATAGGGCCAAACTATGTATTCTGGATCCAGGCTGCCTGGGTTCAAGTCCTGGCTGTGTCAATTACTCTTGAGCAAGTACTTTAACCAATCTGTGTCTCAGTTTTCTCATTATAAACATCATAGTTATAATAGTACCTACCTTAATTTTGTAATGAAGATTAATAACTTAATTTATATAAATCTCTTAACATAATCCTTTGTAGATAATTACAATAAATATTAGCTTGGTTGTTATAAGCATTATTATTACTGTTGCTATTTTTAGACTAAGATGTAGGACAAATTGTTTAAAGCTTGAAGCTTCTCAGTTCGTGAAAGACTTTACCTTGATTGGAAGCTAATAATTATTAAGAATCAGACTAGGTGCAGCTGTTCCTACCTGTAATCCTAGTGCTTTGGGAGGCTGAGACTGAAGGATTGCTTGAGGTCAGGAGTTCCAGATGAACCTGGGTAGCATAGCAAGAACTCCCACCTGAAAACATTCTCTACTTAAAAAAAAAAAGAAAGAAAGAAATTTAATTAGCCGGATGTGGTGGTGTGTGCTGTCGTTCCTGTAGTCCCAGCTACTTGGGAGGCTGAAGTAGGAAGATCATTTGAGCCCAGAAGTTGGAGGCTGTGGTGAGTTACATGATTTGATGCCTGCGTATCTAACATCATGACCTGCCTTACACTTTTTTTTCCACGTGTTTCCAATGCATGTGGTTCTCAGAGCATAACTGCTGTTTCAGAACTCCTTGCTTTGCCCACATTGTTTTTAGCCTGAGGATCTCTAATGGCAGAAAGTTAAGAGGGAGCCCTGGAGCCCTGGAGCCCTGGATGGTCCTAAGCAGGTCACCCCTTCCTTGGCCTCCACATTTGGAGAAGTAAAAAGCAGAAGTAAAAGGAGGCCTCAGGACTTGGCATGCTTCTGGCAGGATCTCTTCTCTTCCCTTCTACTAAGACTAATCTCATTATGTTTTTGTCTCTGTTTATATCTTCAAACACAAAAATACCTGGATTCCTGGATAACCATTCATCTCTAGATTTTAAAATCAGTGATATACAGTGGTCAATGAGCCAACATCCTTTACTCCAGTATTTTCTATTTGTATTTCTAATATCTCCCTTTCTTGCTTATTTTAGTTTTTTGGTAGTATTTACTGACATCTGATGTACAACATAATCTATTTATTTGTCCATAAGGACAAGATTATTATCTATAGCCTGGCATATGGGATATAGACGTTTACTAAACGGATGAAGGAATGAATTTCTCCTCTGCTCCTTCCCCTTCTTCTGATTAGTTAACTCCTATTTATTCTTTAGCATTCACTTCTGGTGTCGTCTCCTACAGAAAGATTTCCCTGGTATTTCCAGGCTGAGGTTGTACACATTAGTCTCTTGTGAACTTTGGCTAACATGAGTCAGTTTTGTGGAGCCTAGACAGCATTATCTTCAAACATCATTGGCCAGAACTATCCATGCTTGGTACAGAGATGGATATCTGTCTGTCTGTCTATCTTTCTTTCTTTCTATCTTTCATCTATCTATACCTATATATTTATATCTAAATCTGGAGAAAATTCTGCATCCTTTTCCCCCTTTTCTATATGCTATATATTACCTCCTCTATTCCCTGAGGCGACCTTTCCTTTAGAATTATTACTATCCATTGTCTTGATGTGAAGTTCAGTGTGTCAGTGTAGCAGACTTTATAGAAAGGTACAGCCAGACCTCAGATTAAAACTTTGGTGTTCCAGAAGTTCCCCTGTCAGCCATTTTCTTCACTTAGATCAGACACTTTTACTTAAGTAATTTAACCTCTATATATTCACTTATTTAGATTAACTTTGAGTTCCAGAATCTGTGATTGGGAAATTTTAATTTTATTCCAGGTTGGTATTTATGAATGAGAGGCCAATGCACTGTGTTGGAGGAGAGAAGGTGGAGTAGATCATTCCCATCTAAAAAATATAACAAGCAAATGACCAAAAAAAAAAAAAAAAAAGAAAGAAAGAAAGAAAGAAATCAGGAAGCAACCCCTGATTAATAATCCCAGGCAGATCTAGAACCAGGAATCCATTCTGGAAAGAGATAAAGTGATAAAGACAGCTAAAAAGCAAGGTCAAAAACTTGAAAACATTGCAAGATGCATTTTTGTGTCCTAAAATATATGTATTATTGGACACACACACACACCCACTAGTGAGGTACAATGCCAGTTCCCACTCTCTTCAACCCAACCCTAAATACACACAATACTACAGAGTTTATCATTACTTCTTAATTCTGTGTGAATAAAGTTTAAATATTTATTGCCAACTATCATCCATGTTTGAAAAATCTTAGTGTAATCTTTGAAGCGTCCTTCTTGTTGTATAATTTTGAGGCATTTTGTTAATCTATTTGTCTAGCCATCAAAGTAGTGCATTTAAAAAAATCGCATCTATGGCTTTGTTTCTATAAACAAGTCACCCATGAGTGAGCCATCTCTAGCATCTAAAGTCAAAGCAGCAGAAGCCTGTCAGTCACCAGGGCATTGGCACACTCAAATTGAGTAAATTTGAGGAGAATTTTTTTTAAAAAAAGATTACTTCAAAGGTATGAATGGGGTACAGGGAAACCATGGAGGATAGTGCAATATGCCAAAGGTAATAACATGTTGTCACCTATAGGCTTAAAAGGGTGATGAGAGGAAACAATTAATGAAACCCAGAAGGACAGTTGTGACTTTTACTAGAGGGAGTAGTTGGTCCAAGGAGATCCCTCAATAATGAAATGAGGGGAATAAATACCCTACATCTATCTTCTTCCTCCCACCCATCTCCTACTAAGGTTCTTATTCCTCAAGCCAATTGGGTACTCATTTTACCAGTTAGATATCTAGGTTCAGATTTTCACTATAATAAATAAAGATGCAAAGAACATCCTTGTATATATTATCTATTTCTCAGATAATAATACTTTTTTTAGGCTAGCCTAGAAAAAGTATTATTAGATGACAACATATAAATTCTTATAAAGCATTTGACACTTTTCAGGGGATCTCTTTATCAGTGTTTAACTGTTTGGTTTTGTTGCACTATAGAAATGGAGTATAACCTGTATATATTATCTTTTTCTGTGTGGCATACGACATGTGTTGACCTACTTCTATATTTAACTGATACTGATGCTTACCACCAATCTTTTATACTCTAACTTTCTCACTGTTAAATTCTCAAATTTTAGTCATCTTTCAATTGGCTACACATATCTTCAAGTAGTTTTGCTTTTTCTTTAAGTAGTGCAAATGAGTGAATTGTTTTTGGAAGCTTTGCATATTTGAACATATCTTCGAGTACCCTGCATAAACAATAACTTGGCCAGGGACAACCACCTTCCTTCATCACGATGTAGATGTTACTCCATTTCCTGCTGGGATTAATTTTTTAATAGATAAGACTGGGGCGAAGCTAATGTCTTTTCTTTTAGAGGAAACTTGCTTTTTCTGACTAGGTGCTTTCAAGACAGTTTCTTCTTGTTTTTTCAAAAATTTTTCTAATAATTTATTAATTATTTGAGATATGAACAGTCCTGTTGCTCCATTCCAGAAAGTATTATTTAGTCATGTTTTTCATTGTTACTACTGTTTCAGTTGTTTGGATTCCTTCCTCAGGAATAAATAAAACAGATTAAAGCTTTTGGCAACTTGCAACACATTTGACAGTCAAGACTGGAGCTGTTTATAAAGAGCCTGTAGCCGCACCCCAGGGCCCTCTCCCCTCCTCCACTTTGAGACCTCTTGCTCTGGCCACTCTTCCTACACATTTGTACCTGGGTTCTGCTTCTCTGCTTTTAGGCTTGGTGACCTATGCTTCAGGGAGGCAGGTGGCTCCACATTCTGTTGGGGGTCTACCTTGTCTACCATCTTACTCTTGGTTCCAGTGCCCAAAGCCAAGTCTACCACCTACGATCTTTCTTATCCAGGACAAGAATTCAAACACTTCTAAGAGCCACATTTCCCAAATAGATGTTCTTTTTCTTTGTGAGGTAAATAGGATAAGTAGCTTTTAGTTGTCACATGTACATGATATCTTTCCACAAAAATGCTCAAACTGTTTTGAAAAATTAATTCAGAAAGATAATCAGTTGTTTAAAAAACAATCAGATGAATTCAAACAACCAATTTTACCTACTTACTAAACAGTTGCTAACCTGGTATGTCAAATGACCCATCCACATTTAATTTTCTTTTCTGAGATGATCATATGGTTTTTGTCCTTCATTCTGTTAATGTAGTATATCACATTCAGAGATTTGCATATATTGAACCATTGTAGTATCCTTGGGGTAAATCCCACTTGCTCATGGTGAATGATCCTTTTAGTGTGCTGTTGAATTTGATTCACTAGTATTCTGTTGAGGATTTTTGCATCTATGTTCATCAGGGATATTATCTGGTAGTATCCTTGTCTGGCTTTTTTTGCTGGCCTCATAAAATGAGCTTGAAAGTACCCCCTTTTCTTCAACTTTTTGGAAGAGTTTGAGAAGGGTGGGTATTAGATCTTCATGTGTCTGGTAGAATTTAATAGTGAAGCTATCAGGTCTTGGGCTTTGGGAGACTTTTTATTATTGATTCAGTCTCTTTTTGTGTGTGGGGCAGGGAGGGGGCTGGAGGCGGGAACAGAGTCTTGCTCTGTTGCCGAGGCTGGAGTGCAGTGGCACAATCTCTGCTCACGATAATCTCCACCTTCAAGGCTCAAGCGATCCTCCCACTTCAGCCTCCCAAGTAGCTGGGACTACAAGCACATGCCACCACACCCAGCTAATGTTTGTATTTTTAGTAGAGATGGGGTTTTGCCATGTTGCCTATGCCGGTCTCCAACTCCTGGGCTCAAGCGGTCCAACTGCCTTGGCCTCCCAAAGTGCTGGGATTACAGGCATGAGCCACCACACTCGGCCTTGATTTAATCCCTTTTATTTGTTATTGGCCTGTTCAGATTTTCTATTTCTTTGTTATTCAGTCTTGGTAGGTTTTATGTGTTTAGAAATGTATCCATCTATTCTAGATGATCTAATTTGTTGGCATATAATGGTTCATAGCATTCTTTTATGATCCTTTGTATTTCTGTGGCAAAAGTTGTACTACAGTCTCCTCTTTCGTTTCTGATTTTATTTATTTGTCTTTTTTTGGCTAGAGGTTTTGTTGATTTTATTTATCAATGTTTAATTTTCAAATTGCTTTAAATGTAGAGTCATAAGCAAAAGAACTCTAGAAACTAACTCAATGGTAGATATTCTTACTAATTATTCAAACTGTGTCTCTTTAGGTACCACTGATGCAGAATTAAAGATTAATTTGTTTCTGTTCTTTCATAACTTGAACTTATAGCTTCAGATTCCTATTGTTAAAGATGTTATTTTAGTCAGTCAATGATGCTTTACATAAAGCTAGTATTTTAGTTATACTCAACTTTAGCATGGTTACATACACAGCTTGTGTGTATGTGTATTTATGAGTACCTCTGCATGTGACTAAATGAGCTCCATCTATACTAATAATTTAAAGTTTTAAGTTTCTTGCCAAAATTCTGCAGTCATAATACCACATATCAGTATTTTTAACACTGAGTTTTCTAAAATTATAAATGAAAATCATTTGATTTATTTTATTTATCATATATAAGTAATTTTTTTAAAGTTCAGTATTTAGAATCCTAATTTCCATTGAAGTGATTACTTTCCATATATTCCATATTAGTTATTAATATATCTTATTACATAAAGAATGACTCTTGTTTTCAACAAATGTTAAACATCTATTGTTTACTATGCACTTTCTGAGATGCTGAGAAAATAGCAGTAAAATAGATGAAGTCATTTTATTCATGGAGTTTTCATTCTGGTTTATGAAGAAAGATGTATATATATATATAAACAAAATTTAAAATATATATACAAATTTTATTCAATAGTGAAAACACTATGAAGAAAATAATGTAGAGACTTCTCACTAGGAAAATAAACTGTTAATCCAAATACTCATGGTAGGGAAAGAATGAAGGAGTGGTGTTTAATTTTCAATCTTCTTTGCTTGTCAGTGATTTCTGGCTCAGTTATTTGATGAGCACTTGGCTGTCCAGCTTTTTCATAAGCATTACTATTGCATAGCTATTCAATTTAGTATTTTGTAATAGGATTTATAGTTTTTGCAATTATTTTTGAATAGCAAAGATGATAAGATAATTGATTAAGAATAAAATTTATGGCCAGGCACAGTGGCTCATGCTTATAATCCCAGCACTTTGGGAGGCCGAGGTGGGTGGATTACAAGGTCAGGAGTTCGAGACCAGCCTGGCCAACACAATGAAATGCCGTCTCTACTAAAAATACAAAAATTAGCTGGGCATGGTGGCAAGTGCCTGTAATCCCAGCTCCTCGGGAGGCTGAGGCAGGAGAATTGCTTGAACCCTGGAGGCAGAGGTTGCAGTGAGCCGAGATCACACCACTTCACTCCAGCCTGGGCGACAGAGCTGGACTCCATCTCAAAAAAAAAGAAAAAAAAGAGAATAAAATTTATTTAGTAGTGTAAAGAAAATAAAAGTTAGTTGACTGCAAGGAAAATGATAAGTGGGAAATAAGAGACAGTAACCAATTTACTGAGTCCTATTATATGCCATTTGCTGGGGTTGGTATAGTAGGGGCATATAGTATATAACAGCATGGATTTCCTGCCTTCATGTTCCTCATTCTGGTGGGAAAGAAGACATGCAAACTAACCAAATTATTAAATAGTATAATACAAATGTGGTAGGATAATTTATTGTAATATTAATTTCTGTCTAGTTTCTCATTCCTAAAAGATTGAAAGGTAATTTTGCTCCCTACTTCAAGTATAGAACAAAGTAAAGCAGTTATGTTCTATTTACCTTTACCAGCTTTTATGTACCAGGGCCCCAAACTGTAAATTTGTAGATGTGTTAGGTTGTTATTTCATTTCTATAAAGAAATACCTGAGACTGAGTAATTTATCAAGAAGAGAGGTTTAATTGGCTTGTGTTTCTGCAGGCTGTACAAGCATGGCACTACCATCTGCTCAGCTTCTGGGGAGGCCTCAGGGAGATTTTACTCATGGCAGAAGGTGAAGCAGGAGCAGGTACATCACATGGTGAGAGCAGGAGCAAGAGAAAAGGGAGGGAGGAAGTGCCACACACTTTCAAACAACGAGATCTCATGAGAATTCACTATCATGAGGATAGCACCAAGCCATGAGGGATCCACCCCTATGACCCAAACACCTTTCACCAGGCCCCACCCCCAACATTGGGGATTACATTCAACATGAGATTTGGGGAGGAGAAATGTCCCAACCATATAATTCCACTCCTGGGCCTCCAAATCTCATTTTTTTCTTCCATTGCAAAATATAATAATCTCTTCCAGACAGTCCCCTAAAGACTTTATTCATTCCAGCACTAACTCGAAATTCCCAAGTCCCAAGTCCAAGTCCAAAGTCTCATATGGAGCTGAGTTCCTTCCACCCATGAGCCTGTAAAATCAAAACAAGTTATTTACTCCCAAGATACAATGGTATTACAGGCATTAGGTATATTCCCATTCCAGAAGGGAAAAATTGGCCAAATGAAAGGAGCTATAGGCTCCATGCAAGTCTAAAACCCAGAAGGGCAGCCATTAAATCTTAAAGCTCCAAAATAATCCTTGATTCCATGTCCCATATCCTGGGCACACTGGTGCAAGGGGTGGTCTCCCAAGGCCTTGGGAAGCCCCACCCCTGTGGCTTTACAGGTTTTAGCCCCCACAGCTGCTCTCACAGGTTGGAGTTGAGTGCCTGTGGCTTTTCTAGGAACAGGGTGCAAGCTTCCAGTGGATCTACCATTCTGGGGTCTAGAGGACAGTGGCCCCTTTCTCACAGGTTCACTAGGCAGTGCCCCAGTGGGGACTCTGTGGGACCTCCAGCCCTACATTTCCCATCTGTACTGCCCTAGTAGAGGTTCTGTGTGAGGGCTCTGCCCCTGCAGCAGGCTTCTGCCTGGGCACCCAGGCTTTCTCATACATTCTGTGAAATATAGGCAGAGATTGCTTGCCAAGCCTCCTTCACTTTTTCACTCTGTGCAACTACTTAACACTATATGGAAGTCACCAAGGCTTATAGCTTGCACCCTCTGAAGCAGTGGCCTGAACTGTATCTGGGATCCACTGAACTGAGGCTGGAGCTGGAGTGGCCTAGATGCAGGGAGCAGAGTCCAAAGGTTGCACAGGGGAGTGGAGGCCTGGACCTGACCTACTAAACCATTCTTTCCCCCTAGGCCTTTGGACCTGTGATGGGAGGGGCTGTCTTGGAGATCTCTGAAATGCCTTGGAGGCCCTTTGCCCATTGTCTTGGTTTTAGCACTTGCCTCCTTTCAGCCATACTAATATCTCTAGCAAGTAGTTGCTCCATAGCCCCCTTGAATTTTTATCTCAATAATGCTTTTTCTTTCTTTGCCAAATGGCTAGGTTGCAATTTTTCTGAACTTTTACACTTTGCTCCCCCTTTAAATATAACTTCCAACTTTAAGTCATTTATTTACTCCCATATCTGAGTGTAGGTTGTTAGAAGCAACCATGTCACATCTTGAACACTTTGTTGCTTAGAAATGTCTTCCACCAGATACCCTAAGTCATCACTCTAAACTTCCATAGATCCCAAGGTCATAAACAGAATGCAGTCAAGCTCTTTGCTAAGGCATAACAAGAGTGACCTTTGTTCCAGTTTCCCATAAATTTCTCATTTGCATTAGAGACCTTGTCAGCCTCAAATTCACTGTTCATATCACTATCAGCATTTTGATCACAACCATTTAACCAGTCTCTCAAAAGTTCCAAACTTTCCTTCATCTTCCTGTCTTCTGAACCCTCCAAACTCTTCTGACTTCTGCCCATTACCCAGTTCCAAAATCGTTTCTACATTTTTAGGTATCTTTATAGCAATACCCCACTACTGGTACCAATTTTCTGTGTTCAGCCATTCTTACATGCTAAAAAGACATACTTGAGGCCAGGCATGGTGGCTCACACCTGTAATCTCAGCACTTTGGGAGGCCAAGGCAGGCGGATCATGAGGTCAAGAGATCGAGACCATCCTGGCTAACACGGAAAATATACTGAGCTATGTGGCAGTTAATAATCAGGCTATGGGTCAGAAGGAGGCAGTGGTAGTGTGGTCACTCCAGGAAGATGAAATTGTGCAAAGGATGAGGTATAAGGCTAAAGAAGATGTGTTTGAGGGACTGTAAATTCAGTCAGTGGAGTGTACTGTACGTTTCTGGAGAAGTAGGGGGAAGTGTTGGAGATGTAGCTAGTCAGGCTTAGCAGAATATTTGGTATGTCCTTGTCGCTATGCTAAGAAGCTTGGCTTTTATCCCTGAGTGTCCATTCAAAGATAATAATCTGGTTACTGGGAAGTTACCAAATTAGATTTACATATGAAAAGGTGCATTTTGGCAGCAGCTTGGAAAATGAACTGGAGAGAAAGGCAGACAAGACTGATGGCAGGGAGGACAGTTAGCATTCTAGATAAAAGATAATAAGGCCATCCCTAGGGAATGGATCACAAAGGGGCCTGATAGCTATTAAGAAGATTAAATTGATAGGATTTGGAAAGTGGCGACTGTGAAATGTATCTCTCAGATCTCCTGCACTGTAAGTAAATTAATCAGTGGATCCAGCATCTATTCCACTAGTTCCACCACTTCGTTCATAATGAGGCCATGATTCCCATGGGCTGCTTCCAGCCAATGAATGAGCATGGCTGAGAGAGCTAGTGCAGGCCATTCTTGCAGGATACAAGACTCCCCTGGAATACAAGACTCCTGTAACTAAAGACTTTGGCTTGAGTACTCCCCAGTGGCCTAATTCTTCCTACCCAGTCTTTCTTCTTTCCTGCCATAGACTGAATGTTTTTGCCCCCAACTGCAAAATGTATATGTTGATGTCCTATTCTACAATATAATAGGTATTTGGAAGTGGGGTTTGGAGGAGGTGATTTGGTCATGAAGACAGAGCCCTCATAAATAGGATCAGTGTCCTTATAAAAGAGAACCCCAGAGAGATCCCTTGCCCCTTCTGTCATACGAGGATGCAGTGAGAAGACAGCCATCTATCTATGAACCAGGAAGAACCAATCTGCTGATTCCTTGTTCTTGAACTCTTCAGTCTTCAGAACTATAAGAAATAAATGTATATTGTGTATAAGTCACCTAGTCTTATTCTGTTATAGCAGCCCAGACAGACTAAGACACTTCCCCCTTACCTTCAGTTGCCAGAGGTGCATGACAGGCTAAAGCCTCTTCCTATATACTCTTCTTCCTTTCCCTTCATCCTTCACAGGTGTTTCCCTTGAATAATTTCTTTTACATCTCCACCCATCCTAGTGTCAATGTCTGCTTGTTAAAGGATCCAAACTAACATAGTACTAATTAGGTTTAGGAAATAAGGACAAGAAAAATTCTAGGAGAAAAAAAAGATTCTAAGAGAACTCTTAGGTTGTTGTGGGGAACATTCATGAATTCTCATGACAATTACAAGAAGTACGATGAAAGGCTGCGAAAGACAAGGTCACCTTTGTATATATCATCTTTTTAGGATTCTTAGGCATTCTGGTACAGATTCCAATAGGGAATTGCATATTATGAATACAGAATTTATACGAGAGTTCAGAGATACAGGTATAAATTTGAGAAACAGCATATAGAAGTGGTAGTTTGTGCTGAGGCCATGAGTGAGACATCAAGGATATTGGTTGCTGTGAGGAGTGCTTCAGAGGGTGGGGCATAGTGGCTCACACCTGTAATCCCAGCACTTTGGGAGGCAGAGGCGGGAGGATCACCTGAGGTCAGCAGCTTGAGACCAGCCTGGCCAACATGGTGAAACCCCATCTCTAAAAAAAATACAAAAATTAGCCAAGCGTGGTAGCACATGCCTGTAATCCCAGCTGCTCGGGAGGCTGAGGCAAAAGAATCACCTGAAACCGGGAGGTGGAGGTTGCAGTGAGCTGAGATCATGCCACTGCACTCCAGCCTGGGCAACAGAGTGAGACTCCGTCAAAAAAACAAAAACAAAACACAAAAAACAAAACCCTAGAGGAGTGCTTCAAGTATAAAACTGGGAAAATTATAGAGGATACAATTAAAGAGGCTGAGAAATGGCTGGAAATATGGGGGAAATACACATGCAAAACACATATAATTCCCTTCATAGGACAATGAAGGGAAAGGTGTTAGTAAAGACCAGGCCAGTACTCCTGAGAGCCAGTATGTTAGGAAATAAAATAATTCTTTGGGCATCAAGTATGTTTGGTAGGCCAAGTAAGGGTTGTTTAAGTAAAGTAGTTGTGGACTATACCCAAGTACAAAATGTTTAAGAGGGGATGGAAAGTGAGGAAGCTAGACATTGAGAGCAGATTATTTGAAGAACTATGGTCTGGAGGTATGAGAAGAGAAAGGTGCTAGCTGGAGATTCTAAAGAAGTGTTTCTTTTTCTTTTTGAGATGGAAGAGACTTGAGTGGGTTCATAGGCAAGCAACAAGGAGCCAGGACTTAGAATGAGAGATGGAGATAGATGGTCTGGAATTTTTCTGAAGAGATAGGAAGAGATTAGACTAAGAACACAAGTGGTAGGGTTTACCACCAGTGAGTGAGGTCATGGCTTCCCTTCCTCTGAGCCAGGCGGTAGTGGAGACAGATACCTAAGTTTTTAGGTAAGAAGGGAAAAGTAAGGCTGATTCTATATGGCAGTTTCAATTTCCTCTATGAAGGATAAGGCTGGGAGGGAGGTGGTACTGAAATAGAAAGGGCTCAAATGCTTTTTGAAAAGGAGGAGATTTAAAATGGAGATGTGGTCCGAGAATGGAAAATTGAAGTTTAGGATTTCAGAGTTTCCTAATGATGAAAATGGAAGAGCACACAGTAAGTCAGTAGATAAAGAAAGCAGGAGGCATTCATTAATGGCTTGTTCACATGGCCACGAAGCCTCTTTAAGATTCTGAAATCAGCATGGAGGAATCAGCATGGAGGAAAACCTTGAGGCAGACCTAAAGCCCTCAGTGATTGTGAGATTGTGACCAAGCTGAAGAAGAAGAGTAAGACAGGGCTCAAACTGATGGTAGGAGTCTCAAACATAAGTTTCTGCTGGAGGATAAGCAAATAATTGCCTGCCAACAGCAGTGGGTAGCTGGGAGAGTACAATCCTCTTCTGCATACTTTGGAAAATTCAGACATTAAGAAGAAATGGCAAAGCTTCCTTGAGAGGATTGCAAAGAAAGTTGTGCTTTTTAGGCAGAGCCAGGTTTCAGTTAATAATGATTATGATAATAATAACAATGTTTTTTGACACTTACTTTCTAGGTACTGCTCCAAGTTTTTTTTGTTTGTTCATTTATGAGATGGAGTCTTGCTGTGTCGCCCAGGCTGGAGTGCAGTGGTGCGATCTCGCGTCACTGCAACCTCCGCCTCCTGGGTTCAAGCAAGTCTCCTGCCTCAGCCTCACAAACAGCTGGGACTACAGACATGTGCCACCTTGCTTTCCATTATACCTTCTGCAGTTTACTTAATTCATCCATATAAAAATACTTGGAGCATTTTTATATTTATTAACTTATTTATGGCAAGCAGGCAGAGAAGAGGGTCTGTGAAGAAGCTGAGAATGTAAAGGGGTTGTCTCTGATGAATTAAGTAAACTCCAGAAGGTATAATGGAAAGAATGACAAGGTTAGCAAGGGAAGGCAAGAGAAACAAGAGAGCATTGTGATAATTACAGTATTAGTTGTCTTGAGCACTTCACCATGGAAAGGGTTTTCCATGGCCAAATAGGGGAATCCTATTTTCTCACAAACACCACTGGTGTACTCCCAAGGAGAGTATATATATATATATATATATATATATATATATATATATATATATATATATATATATAAAACAAGGACCAAGAAAATAACTAAAATGATATCATTTACAACTAACTTAGTATAAAAATACTTGGAGCATTTTTATATTTATTAACTTATTTATGGCAAGCAGGCAGAGAACGTGGTCTTTGAAGAAGCTGAGAATGTAAAGCGATTGTCTCTGATGAATTAAGTCAACTCCAGAAGGTATAATGGAAAGAATGACAAGGTTAGCAATGGAAGGCAAGAGAAACAAGAGAGCATTGTGATAATTGCAATATTAGTTGTCCTGAGCACTTCACCATGGAAAGGGTTTTCCATGGCCAAATAGAGGAATCCTATTTTCTCACAAACGCCACTGGAGTACTCCCAAGGAGAGTATATGTAGATAACAAGGACCAAGAAAATAACTAAAATGACATCATTTATAACTAACTTAGGTTTCATCAGTAAATTACTAAAGCTTATGTGCAACCACTACTATTTGTGAAACAGGATGAATAAATGAGCCATAATGGCTCATTTTTGACTAAGGTTTAAAACCCAGACTAAAAGGAAACCAAGGCCATCTACTTAAGTCTTTCCCTTAGGCATACACTGTCTTCTCTTTAAAAATGTATTACAAACTTGGAGCCCATGAGCCAAATATGGGTTGTGTTTTAATCTGTAAACTATTTTTTATTTGAATTAATTCTCAAACTTAAGAAACAGGGGCTTTTGCATGTGAAAGAAAAGAAGGATAGAAAGAAGGAAAGAAGTTCAAATATAGCAAAAATTGGCTATGTTGAGTAGGAGCTAGGGTGGCCAATTTTCATCTCATTTTTTCCTGGGAGTTTTCCAGTTTTAGCACTGAGAGTCCTACTTCCTGAAAAACCCCTCAGTTATAGGCAAACCAGGATGGTTGGACATCTTAGGAGCAGGTACTCTTTTTAGATTGACACATTGTGCTTTGGGGTTCACCAGAATTGCCACCAAGCCAGCATTAATTATCTGGCTAGCCCTTGTGGGTCTCTGAGTTTTCTAGATTTTGGCCTATCACTTGAGGGGCTTATTAACAACTAATTTAGTCCTCCCACTCCAAGGCAATACCCACCAGCATGGAAGTGACTGACCTACTTAAAGAATCTTAGGGGAACACAGAAAAAAAAAAGAAATCCACATAGGTGAATGCTTATAGAAGGTGAACACTCATAGGCCAACCACAAAGTTTGTCAGCTTCTATCCCATGCATTCTTTGTGCTCTAAGGCCCAAGCTCAATAATAGCTTACTTTGATTCCTTGGTTTCTTGTGAGTGGACCTAGTTAGACACTTAGCCTTGGTTTCCCTATTGTGGTTGGAATCTACTTATATATATCTGGACTGGTTGAGTCTGGTGGCAGTGAGAAAGAAAAAAACGAGAGACACAGATGCAATTAATTGGTTTTCCTTCGAAAATTTTCCTTCAAAATCTGAGTCTGAAGAATCAGCTTGAAGAGAGAGGACCCAGGGACTATGGTGCTGAGGCTGCCATAGATTGCAGCTCAGTATGTTGTTGCTGTTGGTGTTGGTCTGACTGCACAGTGCTCCAAGACCTGCCACAAAAGATGCCAGCCTTGGCTTATGAGCCTCAAAAAGAACAGAAAATATGATATGTTAATATTCCAGGAACACCCAGTCCTGGGTAGTCCAAGAAATTCATGGAAGCTACAAACTCTGTATCTTGACTGATCAGTGATTTCGTCCCAGTCAATTACCATTTTTAAAACATATAAATAAATACTGCACAATGACCTATTATATAGCAAATATCATATATCCAGAATCGTTTGATGTGAAAATCTGGGCTGTTATTAAATACATTAAATGTTACAGTATTTCAATTGAACAGAGGTCCTCCAGGGTTAAGAAATGTGTGATATTTTAAAGATACCTCAGAACTTTCTCTGAAGTATAAGTGTGAGTGCTACTTATTAATAATAAAGTCTTATCAATTTTATAAGTAATAATTCAGATTAAACAACAGTTGCTACAGGTAAAGTCAAAATATCAAGGGGAGTGGTAATGAAATATTAATAGTAGTGTGCAAATGTTGGCATGGCTAGGTAATTGCTGTAATACGCCCTCCTGCTTCCCTAATTCAAAGATCTTGAGAAAGCAGGCTTGGCTGTGTTTATTACCCATAGCCCTCCAGCTGTCAGCAAGTCTCCCTGGGCACTTCCAAGACACCTGCCACTTTGGCACCAATGCTGAAGCACTAGACATCGGTTTTTTTGTTAGGAAAGAAACTGAGATGCCATAGTTTTATAGAGGATTTATTAAGGCTAAGCAGGTGGTTTACTCTATCAAGGGAACACATGAGAGGATAATATAGGAAAACAGAATGAATAGTCAGACTTATTCCATAAAAAGGAAAATTTTTCTTTCTTTCTTTCTTTTTCTTTTTCTTTTCTTTTTTTTTTTTTTTTTTTTTGAGATGGAGCCTCACTCTGTCACACAGGCTGGAGTGCAGTGGTGCAATCTCAGCTCACTGCAACCTCCGCCTCCCAGGTTCAGGTGATTCTCCTACCTCAGCCTCCCAAGTAGCTGGGACTACAGGCAAGTACCACCATGCCCAGCTAATTTTTTGCATTTTTAATATAGATGGGGTTTCACCATGTTGGCTAGGTTGGTCTCGAACTCCTGACCTCAGGTGATTCACCCGCCTCGGCCTCCCAAAGTGCTGGGATTACAGGTGTAAGCCACTGCACCCAGCCCCATATCTTTCTTAAAGCAGATTATCACCTAAGCAAATGACAGGTAATATATTAATATTTGTTGAATTAATATATTAAATAAATTATTAAACCTTTGGTCAAGTTTTAAGTTTCTGGAACCAATAATGGCTTTAATAATTAAACTAGTTTGAGGGATGAAAAAGCTAGAGTTGGTAGAGCTGTCTTATTGGAACAATTAGTTTTCTGCTTTCTGTCATAACAAAAAGTCTAGTCACTAAATTTATTGTTCTTATAATATATTCAAAGTACACACTTTTCTCTTTAATATTAATTTGCTAATTTAATATCTAGTATTGGTTGTGCTTTCCTTCAGTATTTCCTCATTTCTTATAATGCCAATATTGTTAATGGGCGATGAAGACTACATGAAATAGCATCAAAATGACACTAACTAGTAGAATAAATAGAAAATGGAGTAGATGAGACTCAATAGAAATTACCTTAATAAATAGAATGTCACCTTAATAAATAGGAAGTAAATCTAGGAAGAATAGCACTGAGAAAAGAGTCTAGGATTAAGTGACTGGGAAAAATATAGTTTAATCAGTGGTACTAAAATATATCTGTCCAATCCATGTCCCATTCTTGCTGGCAGCAACAGGCCCTTCCACTTGCACTGGTGGCACTTAGGAGGTCTGGTGTCCCTTGGCCCTCCATCCAGTGGCAGAAGGTAACTCAGGGCCACTATCTTCAGGCCCACCATCCAATACAGAGAGCCATCCAGACTCAGTGATTTCCAGCTCTCCACCCAACAGCAGAATAAAACCTAGGCCAGGCATTTCCTGGCTCTCTACCCAATGACAGAAGGCAATCAAATCCTGTGTTTTCTTGCCCTCCACCTGGCAACAGAAAATGATCTAGGATAGCCTTCCACTCAACAGCAAAAGGCAACCCAGAACCCACAGCTCCAGGTACTCCTGGCCCTGCACCCAGTGATAGAAGGCATCCTAGACAGGTGCTTTTGTCTCCCAGTGGCACTGTTGAGATAGAGTAGAAAGCCTGCCAGAACTGGATGGCTACAGGATGGGCCAGGAGTATTGCTCTCCATCTCTGAGGCCAATATGGAAAGGAATCAGATTTTGGAGATTGATGAAAACTATTTTAAAGCAGCCACCATAAAATTGTTTCAATGAGAAATCAAAACTCCCTGGAAACAAATGAAAAATAAAAAATCTTGCAAAGAAATCAAATTAAATATATAAAAAAGACTCAAATGGAAATTATATAACTGAAAAATACAAAAAAACAAAAACAAAAATCTCACTGGATAGGCTCCATAGTAGAATGGAGATGACAGTAGAAAGAATCAGTTAACTTTAGGACAAATCAATAAAACATTTTCAATTTGAACAACAGAGAAC
This sequence comes from Homo sapiens, assembly GCF_000001405.40. Classification (NCBI taxonomy): domain Eukaryota; kingdom Metazoa; phylum Chordata; class Mammalia; order Primates; family Hominidae; genus Homo; species Homo sapiens. The sequence goes on from NC_000003.12 coordinate 152,901,428, forward strand.
AAATAGATTTGAAAAAACATATTAACAGAGCCTCAGATAATAGGGGACAATAATAAAAAAATCTAAATTGTTATTATCTGAGTCTGAGGGAGAAGACAGAAAAAGTAGGGTTGAAAAAGTAATTGATGAAATAATAACTGAAAACTTACCAAATTTGATAGAAGACATGAACTTAAAGATTCAATGAGCTGAGCTAATCTTAAATAGGATGAAATGAAAGAAATGCATGCGGGCCAGGTGCAGTGGCTCACACCTGTAATCCCAGCGCTTTGGGAGGCCAAGGCAGGTGGATTACCTCAGGTTAGGAGTTTGAGACCAGTCTGGCCAACATGGTGAAACCCCATCTCTACTAAAAATACAAAATTAGCCAGGTGTGGTGGTGCACACCTGTAATCCCAGCTACTCTGGAAGCTGAGGCAGGAGAATTGCTTGAACCCAGGAGGCAGAGGTTGCAGTGAGCCGAGATTGAGCCACTGCACTCCAGCCTGGGTGGCAGAGCAAGACTCTGTCTCAAAAAAAAAAAAAATACAAAAAGAAAAAGAAATCCATGTAAAGACACATCATAATTAAACTTTTGAAAACTAGGACAAAGCAGTCTTAAAATCAACCATAGACAAGTAATGCATTAGATATAGGGAAGCACCAACTTAAATGACAGTAAATTTCTCGTCAGAACCCATGGAGTCAGAAGAAAGTGGCCCAAATTTTTGTGCTGAATGAAAAGAACTCACAACCTGGAGGGTTTTTTTTAATCTATCTTTCAGAAATAAAGACATTCTCAAAGAAGATAAAGAATTCATAAGACGTGACTGTATTCTTCTTTCTCCTCATGAATTTCTTAAATTATATTTGTTGCCTGGAGCAAAAATTTTAATGCCATTTGTCACAGTGTTCACTGTGCATATAAATGCTTGAAAATTATACAGTGATGCACTGCATAACAACATTTTGGCCAATGATGAACCAGATATATAACAGTGGTCCCATAAGATTATAATACAGCTGGAAACTTCCTATGACCTACTGACACTGCAGCTGTTGTAACATCATAGTGCAACACATTACTCATGAGTTTGTGGTGATGCTGGTATTGACAAACCTGCTGCACTGCCAGTTATATGAAAGTAGAGCCCATACAATTATGTACGATACATAATACTTGATAATGATAATATATGACTGTGTTACCACTTTCTGTATTTAATATACTATACATTTTATCTTTATTTTTAGAGTGTAGTTCCTCTACTTATTAAAAAACAATAGTTAACTGTAAAACAGCCTCAGGTAGTTCTTTCAGGAGGTATTCCAGAAGAAGGCATTATTATCATGACAGCTCCAGGCCAGGCATATTTTGGAGACTGAGGCGGGTGGATCACCTGAGGTCAGGAGCTCGAGACCAGCCTGATTAACATGGTGAAACCCCATCTCGACTAAAAATACAAAAATTACCCGGGTGTTGTGGCACATGCCTGTAATCCCAGCTACTTGGGAGGCTGAGGCAGGAGAATCTCTTGAGCCTGGGAGGCAGAGGTTGCTTGGACTCCAGCCTGGGCAACAGGAGCAAAACTCTGTCTCAAAAAAAAAAGAAGAAGAAGAAGAAGTGGAAGAAGAGGAAGAAGAAGAAGAAAGAAGAAAGAAGAAAGAAGAAAGAAGAAGCAGAAGCAGAAGCAGAAGTAGAAGCAAAAGAAGAAGAAAAAGAAGAAGAAGGCGGCTCCATGCTTGTCATTGTCTCTGAAGACCTTCCTGTGGCACAAGATATGGAGTTGGAAGACATTGATATTGATTACCTTGACCTTGTGTAGACCTAGGAAAAACATGTGTGTTTGTGTCTTAGCTTTTAAATTTAAGTTTTTCTTTTTTGTAGAGATGGGGCCTCACTAAGGTACCCAGGCTGGTCTTGAACTCCTAGTCTCAAGTAATCCTCCTGCCTCAGCCTCCCAAATTAGCTTTTAACATAAATTTTAAAAAGTAAAAAAAAAAGAAAAGAAAGGAAAAGAAAAAGCTTACCGAATGATATAAAGAAAAAATATTTTTGCATAGCTGTACAATGTGTATTTTAAGCGAAGTCTATTATTTAAAAAGTCAAAAAGTTTAAAAATTTTAAAGTTTATACAGTTTATAAGGTAAAATGTTACAGTAAGCTAAGGTTAATTTATTATTGAAGAAAAAATAATTGTTATAAATTTAGTGTAGCCTAAATGTACAGTGTTGATAAAGTCTTACAGTAGTTTAAAGAATGTCCTAGGCCTTCACATTCAATCATCACTCACTCACTGACTCGCCTATAGCAACTTTCAATCCTGGAAGTTCCATTCGTGGTAAATGCCATATACACGTGTGCCACTTAAAAATCTTTTATGCTATATTTTTACTGTACCTTTCCTATGCTTAAGTATGGTTAGATATACAAATACCACTATGTTAAAATTGTCATCAGTATTCAGTACATTAACACACTGTACAGGGTTGTAGCCCAGGAGCAATGGGCTATACCATATATCCTAGGTGTGTAGTAGGCTGTGCCATCTAGGTTTGTGTAAGTACACTCTATAATGTTCACACAAGATGAAATCACCTAGTGATTCATTTCTTATAATTTTTCTCTGTTATTAAGTGACACATGACTGTATTTAATAAATGGAGAGGGTAAAGTGTTTAAATGAGAGTAAACTTTTGATGCTTCACTAGAAGTGGTAAAATTTTGATACCAGTACATCATGATAAGCTATGTATGTATACTGTAATATGTTCATGAACCACTGAGAAAACTCTACAAGTGATATTCTGAAAAACATAAATAAAACAAGAAAGAATTCTAAAACTTTTAAAAATAATCCATGGTAAGACAAGAAGAGAGAAACAAAGGAACACAAACCAGAGGAAACAGAAAACAAATAATAAAATGCCAGATTTAAGCCCTATAATATCAATAATTAAGTGTAAATTGACTAAATTGATAGAAACTAATTGGAAGAGATTGGAAGACTGAATTTAAAAAAATAACCCAACTATACAATATCTACAAAAACTCATTTCAAACATAACAAGGTAAGCTGGTTGAAACTAAAAGAATGAAAAAGATATTATGCCACCATTAATAAAAAATAGAGACTATATTAACACCAAACAAAGTAGATCTCAGAGTGAAAAAAATTACACAGAGTGAAAGAAGGAGATCAACTGTAGGATCAATCCGCCAGGAAACATAGCACTAAACAGAGCTTGCCCGTGGAGCATTAATCAACATAGACCATATTCTGGGTCATAAACCAAACCTCAACCAATTTAAATAAATAAAATCATAAGGAGCACATTATCTGACAATAATAGAATCAAACTAGACATGAATAACAGAAAGACAATGGAAAAATCTTCAAACACTTGGAAATTAAACAATGTGCTTCTACACAATCCATAGATCAAAGAGAAAGTCCCAAAGTAAATTTAAAAATACATAGACCTGGCCGGGCGCGGTGGCTCATGTCTGTAATACCAGCACTTTGGGAGGCTGAAGCGGGCGGATCATGAGGTCAGGAGTTCGAGACCAGCCTGGCCAAAATGGTGAAACCCCATCTCTACTAAAGATACAAAAAATTAGCCAGGCGTGGTGGCTCACGCCTGTAATCCCAGCTACTCAGGAGGCTGAGGCAGGAGAATTGCTTGAGCCTGGGAGGCAGAGGTTGTAGTGAGCCGAGATTGTGCCACTGCACTCCAGCCTGGGTGACAGAATGAGACTCCGTCTCAAAAAAAAAAAAAAAAAAAAAAAAATAGACCTGAATGAAAATGAGTGTAGAAAATATCAAAATTTGCTGGATGCAGCTAAATCAGTGCTGAGAGGGAAATATATAGCATTAAATCCTTACTTTAAAAAAGAAGAAAGCTATCCAGACAACTCAAGTATCTATCCTCTAGAGTAAAATACGTTTATGATTTAAAATGACTTCTAGGCTTATGTTCACAGAGTGAGCAACAAAGTTCTAGGCTGGCAAATTTTGTATTCAGTTGAAACAGATTCAAAGAACAGTGAGAGATTAAAACAAAAATTTGTCAAGATTGAAATCCAGATGTCATGTTTATCCAGCTGGGTAACTACATGGTAACTTTATTTTAAAATCCATCATAGGTACTTTACAGATAATTTCCAAAAATGTGGATTAGTATATAAAAATCACTTAGCTCCAATCCCTAAATATAATTGCTTTGGAAATTTATTCTTCTGAATTTTTTGTGTGTATGTATTTTTGTTTATCTGTTAATTGAAATGTTTATGTCTGTGGAAGTTTCTATGCTATTTATGCTATTTTATGAGCTACTTTTTCTCCTTTAAAATATGATATGAATAGTTTTCTATGTTATTAGGCCTAGGCATTCCTCCATAACAGATTTATGATGATGTAATATTTATTTAATGAAGACTAATATTTAGCTAGCTTCTTATTATGAACATTTTAGTTCTTTCCAGTTTTTGTTTTTGTTGTTTTTATAACCATCACACTATCCTGAACATCATTATGACTATATCTTGAATCAGAGACAAGATGATTTCTTTGGTTAAATTCCTAGATATAAAAGTTCTTCTCTTTCTTTTTTTTTTTAATTTTTTAATGTTTTTTATTATACTTTAAGTTTTAGGGTACATGTGCACATTGTGCAGGTTAGTTACATATGTATACATGTGCCATGCTGGTGCGCTGCACCCACTAACTCGTCATCTAGCATTAGGTATATCTTTCTTATTTCAACAAATGCTCTGAAACGCCATAGCCAAAACCTTATTTTTTATATCTATTGTCCTTGAGATTAATAATTAACTTTTATAAGAAAAGTAATAAGTTTTCATTCTGCCTTAGAGTATAGGTACCAAATAACTGAATATGTGTTTTGGATATAACCTAAGGTTCAGATAAAAATAAATAATATGACCATTTTCAAAGGTATGAAACCAGCTAGTTTTCACAACACATGATCAACCTGTTGTCTACAGTGGCTTCTGGGGATTTTTAAGAGATTTAATAAATATTCTAAATAAATCAACAATAGTATTTTCAGACTTGTACCCTTTAAGGATAGTTGAAGAAACCAGAAGGTAGTGAGAATATGTAATTTGATTGTTCAAATATGTGCAAAAGATTGTTCTAATATGTGAAAAATCTTTCTAAAACCAAGGAATTTTTTAAATTGCTATAATTAAAGTGAGTTTTCAAAGGGATTAGGTGAAGGAATATTTTAACTTGGAGTCTTCAAGTAATTTAATAAAAAGTTGATTTTTTCCCTAAATAATACAGGAAATTGCCTTGTTTCTTAGTTATAAACATTTTCTCAATAAATAGTGCTGGGATAACTGGCTAGTCATATGCAAAAGAATGAAACTAGACCCCTACCTCTAACCATATACCCAAATTAACTCAAGGTGGAGTAAAGATTTAGATGTAAGAACTCAAACATAAAAATCCTATAAGAAAACTTAGGAAATGCCCTTCTTGCCGTAGGTTTTGGCAAAGAATTTATAGCTAAATCTCTAAAAGCAATTGCAACAAAAACAAAAATGGACAAATGGGACCTAATTAAACTAAAGAGCTTCTGCACAGCAGAGGAAATCCCCAACATAGTAAATAGAGAGCCTACAGAATGGGAGAAAATATCTGCAAACTATGCATCTGACAGAGGGCTAATAATATCCAGAATCTATAAGGAACTTAATGAATTAATAAGCAAAAAACCAAAACACCAAATTAAAAATGGGCAAAGAAAACGACAGACACTTCTCAAAAGAAGAAAACAAAGCAGCCAACAAACATTTGAAAAAATGCTCATCACTAATCATCAGAGAAATGCAAATCACAATGAAATACCATCTCACACAAGTTAGAATGGCAATTATTAACAAATCAGAAAACAATAGATACTAGTGAGGCTGCAGAGAAAATGGAATACTTACATGCTATTGGTAGGCATGAAAACTAGTTCAGCCACTGTGGAAAGCAGTTTGGATATTTCTCAAAGAACTTAAAATAGAACTACGGATTGACCTAGCAATCCCATTACTGGGTATAGACCCAAAGGAAAATAATTCATTCTGTCAAAGAGATACATGCACTCATATGTTCGTGCAGCACTATTCACAATCGTAAAAACATGGAATCAATCTAGGTGCCCATTAACAGTGGATTACATAAGAAAATGTGGCACATATACACAATGGAATACTACACAGCCATGAAAAGAATGAAATCATGTCCTTTGCAGCAACATGGATGCAGCTGGAGGCCATTATCCTAAGTAAACTAACACAAGAAGAGAAAACCAAAAACTACATGTTTTCACTTGTAAGTGGAAGCTAAGCATTGAATACGCTTGAACATAAAGATGAGAGCAATAGACACTGGGGACTCCTAGACAGGGGAGGGAAGGAGGCGAATGTGGGTTAAAGAACCACCTGTTCTGTACTATACTTACTGCCTGGGTGGTGTGATCAGTGGGACTTCAAGCCTCAGTGACATGCAATTTACCCATGTAACAAACCTGTACATTTACCTTTTAATCTATAATAACAGTTGAAATTATTTTTAAAATTCTTATAACACTTTTTTTTATCTTTCTCTGTTAAAAGTTCATTTTCCATATATAAGTTAATGGGGGGATTAATAGAAGAAAGGACTCCATTGTTACAGATAGTATCTTCTGGAATTTTTTTAAGTAATCATATTTGCAAACTAAGAATTGCAAGGTCTAGAGAAAGGTTGACTATATATTAGTGAAACTGAAAAGGTTCGAAGATGGTAACAGATAATTTTAAAAGATTGGTCAGTAACAAATACCAACTAAAATAAAACCCAATATTGTAGGCCTAAATAGGTGTGATTGAAAGTCCATGATAACAAATAAAATGTTTTTTTAACTTTTATATAATCAACAGACTTTAAAACCCAGCTGAAAAGTGTTTTAAGAAGCATTTAACTACACTGTATTTCAATACAAATAAACTGTACAAACCATATAGCCTCTGTTTTCCAGTTCAAATTCACACACTTACTAAATATAGGGCACCATGATTAAAACTTTATATATTTTATATCACTTTATTCTCACAACAGTGCTATAGTGTAGGTACTTTTCTTATTTTATTTTTTTTTTTTTTGAGATGGAGTCTTGCTCTGTCTCCCAGGCTGGAGTGCAGTGGCGCGATCTCAGCTTACTGCAACCTCTGCCTCCCGAGTTCAAGCAATTCTCCCGCCTCAGGTTCCCAAGTAGCTGGGATTACAGGCGCACACCACCATGCCCAGCTAATTTTTGTATATTTTTTTTAGTAGAGACGGGGTTTCACCATGTTGGCCAGGCTGGTCTCAAACTCCTGACCTTGTGATCCGCCTGCCTCGGCCTCCTAAAGTGCTGGGATTACAGGCGTGAGCCACCACGCCCAGCCTTCTTATTCTTTTATTACAACAGAAGAAACTGATGCTCAGAGAATTTGCATGACATGCTCGGAATCACATTGTTACTAAAGTAATCAATCAAAAGCAGACAGGCCATTTCCAGAGCATAAACTTATTCATCTCTTGGAAGAGCTAACACTCTTGATTTGTAAAATAATCTACAATTTTATTGAGTGTTCATCAACCCTTTACTATGTAATAACATCTAGTTCTAATGAGTAATAATTAAGGAATTATAAAAGTAAGTTTTCAAGTATAGATGAAAGTGATTTGTTTTTAATTTAGGGAAGGGAAAAATGGTGCTAAGTAATAGCACTGGAAATCAATAAAACATTATTCAAAGAATATTACTTCTGTTCTCAATAAGAACTAAAGAAAGTAGAGTTAATCCTGCAGTCTGTGAGTTTATCTTTAAATGTGAGAGAAAGAGAAACCTTAATTATCAAAATATTCCTCACATTAATCTTGGAAAGTGATTTAGAGTACACCTCAGTGAGCCACTGAGCCAGCACCCAGCTCTTCTGACCGTGCCCAGGATTATCTACATTTTGTCATGCTATAATTTGAAGTTGAAATACATGATTTCTCAAGGTCCCCCCATCATGCCCAAATTGTACAATCTATTACTTGTATAAACATACAGAGTATCTGCCAGCTTTAATAAGACGTAGGGAAATAATACACACACACAAACACACACACACACACACACACACACAGAGCTGTTTAGAGTATGGCATCAGGCTGCTCTTCTGTTCTTGTTATCTAGAAATAGCAGAGGGACCTTGGGTGCCCCTGACTATTCTCAAACAGGCATGCCCAGTAGAGTTGAACTTGGCTGCCACACACAGTGATTCAGCAATTTAACAACAGAGAATGTGAGAGAGAGAGAAGGAGGATTTTTCATATTGGGTTTGGATAAGGCACATATTTTGTTGTGCACAAATAAGGAGAGATCTAGAGTTGTTAATTTTGTTAGTTATTATAAAACTCAAATAATTTGTATAACTGGCTGGTTTATGACCAAAAATGCTATTTGCCTAATGAGCATTTAGAACGTGGAAACTGATTTTGAAGCTTGTAACAGAAATAGGATAAAATAAAAATAAAATAAAATGATGTTTACAGAAATGTATCTGTATTACATGGCTAAAGATATGGGAAGTTTTTTTCTAGTTATGAGACGTGTTCTACTTAAATTGAATAGACATCTAGGAGAGAGAGATTGAACATTTTATTAATCTTATTTTACAAAAGAGGAAGGGGAGGCAACAGAACATTAAAGGATTGTTTCTCAAGCTACATAGCAGGATGCAACATCTGAATGGCATTGCCCCCAAAATCAGCCTATGCCCACCTCAGTCCATTTGCACTGCAATAATGAAATACCACAGACTGCGTAATTTATAAACAATAGATATTTATTCCTCACAGTTCTAGACACCAGGAAATCCAAGATCGAGGAGCTAACAAGTTTGGTGTCTGGTAAGGGCTGCTTTCTGCTTCCAAGATGGCTCCTTGTTGCTGTGTCCTCTGGAGCGGATGAATACTGTCCTCATGTGGCAGGAAGCAGAAGGTAGAAGGGCAAAACGGGGCTGAACTCACTCCCTCAATCCCTTTTATAATGGTACTAATCCCATCCAGAAGGCAGAGCTGTCATGGCCTAATCACCTCCATAAAGGCCCAACCTCTTAATTCAGTTAAGTTTCAACATGAATTTGGGGACACAAACATTGAAACCATAGCAATGCCTCACTCAACAATAATGTTTTATGAAAATGTAGTATCAACTCTTCCTCAGATTGGCAGGTTTAAAAAAGCTAACCTTAATGTGAACTCTATCAATCTTCCTATCAAATAATTAGATGTGGGAGTGAATGGCCCCGTGAAGAAATGACAGCAAATAACCTTTTCCAAACCAACATTTTTTTTTCCAAGAAAACTTTGGCTTACTGTTTGTGGCTGCTTGGGTATGTGACTTTTTTAGATAAATAATTAGAAAAAAAGAAAAGGTGCAACCCTCCAAAAGGAAACTTGAAATCATTAGTAAAGAGAGAAAGAGACTTTCAAAGCCTAATTCTAAATTCCTTTCGGAGGTTCATATGAGCACTTTAGCTCTAGAACAATGTTTCCAGAAACACAATCTATCAATAATGACATTTATAGGTCAATTACTATTACCTGGGGAATTTGGTCTACTCTTATTTTACAGTATATCTGCCAAAAGAAAATCATATATGGCATGTTTTGACTTGGCTCTAGGCTTTCTCAAAGCTTTCATTTCTTTTTCAGCTGCAACTGTGAAACTTACCTGTTACTCTTTGGCCCAGAGCCAGTTCGTCACTAAATCTACAGAGCACTGTGTTTCTTTCTGTATTCCAGCCTGCCTCCTATTTCAATCTTTGGCACAAACAACAGAGTGCTAATAGTGAAGCCACAAAATATTAAGATGAGATTATTTGGGATGGGGCAGGGAGAGGGAAAATATGGAACTTTTTAGAGCCTGGAACAGACCAATCATGCGGAAAACACTTGGCTGTGGAAGGTACTTCCATTCCACCACTATGATGACAAGCCACTGTCTTCACAGTCGCTGAGAAAACTTGACCAATAGATTTGGAAGGCCCACTTGGGGCCTCTATTTCATTATTCATTCTCTTATTCCTTTATTCATCTATTCCCCCAGTAACTCATTTGGTAAGCCATTTAAGAAAAATTTTATTTTGAAAATTATGCAAGAGTCCTTCTAAAAATTTAACAAACATTCAAATTACCAGGAAATCTTGTTGAAATGCAGTTTCTTGTTCACATTCTGCATTTCCACTAAGTTCTCAGGTGATGCAGATGCTGCTCCTCCAAGGGAATGAGAAATATACTTCATTTTCCTTTTTCTTAGATCAGTGGTTTTCAAACTTGTTAGAAAAATGCAAACTCTTGGGCCCAACCCAGACCTACTGAATCTTGGAGTGGGATCCAATAATCCACATATTACCAAGTCCTACAGGTGATTGTGATGCTTGCTCAAGTTTCAGAACCACTGAGTCTAGACCTATAGCTCCCAAAACCTGGCTACACATTAGAATCACTTGGAGAGCTCATGGGTTAAGTCGTGTTCTGCAAAAAGATGTGTTGAAGTCCAAATCCCTGATACCTATGAATGTGACCTTATTTGAAAATAGAGATTTTGTAGATCTAATCAGTTTAAGATGAGGTCATACTGGGTAAGGATGAGCCCCATAGCCAATGACTGGTGTCCTTTTAAGAAGAGTGAGATTGGAGGCACGTAGACACAGGGAAGAATGCCACATGACAAAAAGGCAAAAATTGGAACAGTGCAGCTATAGGCCAGATAATTCCAAGGATTGCTGGCAACCACCAGAAGCTAAAAAAGAAGCATGAAACAGATTATTTTCTACAGCATTCAGAGGGAACATGTTCCTACCAAAACCTTGATTTCAGAATTCTCACCTCCAGAACTGTAAAAGAATAAATGTCTGCAGTTTAAACCACCACGTTTGTGGTACTTTGTCATGGTAGTCCAGGAAACTAATACAGAGCTTTGAAAAAAAAAAAAAAAAAAAAAAACCACACACACACACACACACACACACACACCCACACACCCACACAATGCCTCCTCACCAAACAATTAAATCAGAATCTCTGGGGGAGGGATCTCTACATGGGAATTTTAAAGTCTCCCTCAAGGTCAGGATTTAGATCCACAGCTCTGGATATTTTTAAACATAAATAGACTATACTTTATTTTCCAATAAGTCAAAAACACTACAAAGAGTGGAATATCAGTGTAAAATTATCCATAAGTTTCATGAGCATCAAAATCAGTAATACAGATAAGAAGTATACTGTCAGTATTTCTCAGAGTTTAGTTAGAAAAACACTGGTATTAGAATCACCTGCAGTCCACTAATAAAGTGGGTTGCTGGGGTCCATCTCAAACCTAATGACCAGAATCTCATGGGCTGAGGCCTGAGTAAGCACAAGTTATCAAGCTCCCTTAAGGTGACCCTTATGCATACTAAAGTTTGAAAGCCAACTGTATAGGGATGATCTAGCAGGTTTGAGCCACTGGGGAGGGTCTTTCTGAAGATGAGAAAACTGAATGAATGTAGGGAGAGAACACACCTGAGCAATGGCAGCAGTAGAAACTGTTGAGAAACGGCGGCTGGGGCAAAGGGGGCTCCTTTCTGGAAGCTGGTGGATGTCAGGCAGGGCTTGTGAGAGAGTATAGAGAACTCTGAAAGCCAGAGTGACAAAATACAACTGAAGAAACAGCATCAGCATTGTCTGGGAGTTTAGTAGAAATCCAGAATCCTGGGTCTTCCATAGCTCTACTGAATCAGACACTGGGTTTTATCAAGATCCCCAGGTGATTTGAGTGTACATTAAAATTTGAGAAGCACTGCTCCAGTAGCAGTAAGAAACCTGCAGGAAGTTCCTGAGCGACAAAGTGATATGATAAAATTATGGAATGGCAAACTTAGCTCAGTGGGGATATTTTAGAGCAAAATGGAATGCTCACAGTGCTTTCCAGCAAAAATTTCTGTAATGATGGAACTGTCCTACATCTGTGCTGTTCAGTACAGTAGCTGCCAACCACATGTGGCTATTGAGCACTTGTGATGTCGCTAGTGTGATGGAGAAATGAAACGTTTTATTTTATCTTAATTAAGTTAAAATGACATTTAACTAGTCACATGTGGTTAGTGGTTACTGTATTGGACAGCACAGACTCAGAGGCTACAGACATAAAGACTGTGGTGGTCAGAGGGTGCTCCAATCGCACCTGTGGGGATGACATTGTTGCATGCTATCAAATGTTACTTCTCACACCATTATTTTTACGTGTGCCCAGAAAAGCATAGGCAATCCAATTTTCTGCTGAATGAATAAATGAACACATGAATTAATGATTGTTTACTTTTGCCTCCAATCAACTTTCAATTATAAAGGATCGAATTATCCTGTCTAGTGCTTATGTAGTGGCTTGTGCTTATTGCTGATTTTTCTTTCATTTCCATTTTTGTTATTTGCATTGCCTGTCTTGTCAATAATATCACTTTCCGAAAGGTCAATAGAGACAAACACAAACTGAAAGGGATCTAATTGGTAAAGAAAAGAGACACCATTATTTACCTGAAATTTTTGTTTGGGTTTGTTCAGTCAATTTCAAATGTCTGGTGCTCCCCAAAGTCATTGTCTTTTTCCTTCACGAATAATTTATTTAGGGACAGAGTGACAGAAAAGATGTGAGTGACATGCCCTTGATTATTATTAGTGGTGTTTGTGTCGCATCCAATACAGGATTGAGAATGGAAGAACACATGGCTGTGAGCCCCAGCAGGCTATACATCTTGCTCTGTCTTTAACCAACTCTGTTTACCTCCCTCTTAATCCATGACCTTAATCCATGCCTCTCACCTACTCCATGCTCTGGAAATCAAAACACATCTCTGAGCCTCTTTGAAGCTTTATATGTACTTCGTATTCAAATTCTACCTCTTACAACTCTGGGACACCTGAGCTTATTCTCTGAGTGCTTCTTTCTCTTTTTACTTTCCACGTCTTATGTCTTCCTTCTTCATTATTAGTCATCAGTTTACTGACTCCTTTCTTCTTGAACCCTCTCCCCAGTTTTTATTAGCGTGGAGAGACATTCTCACTTTCTAGGCAGGCTCTGGCCAGGTGCGAAGACTTTAAGAGTAAGATCAGATGGAATTTTTTTTTGGTTTTTTTTTGTTTTTTTTTTTTTTTTTTGAGACGGAGTCTTGCTCTGTCGCCCAGGTTCACTGCGATCTCAGCTCGCTGCAAGTTCCACCTCCCCGGTTCACGCCATTTTCCTGCCTCAGCCTCGCGAGTAGCTGGGACTACAGGCGCCCGCCACCAAGCCCAGCTAATTTTTTGTGTTTTTAATAGAGACAGGGTTTCACCATGTTAGCTAGGATGGTCTCGATCTCCTGACCTCATGATCCGCCCACCTCGGCCTCCCAAAGTGCTGGGATTACAGGCTTGAGCCACCGTGCCTGGCCCAGACAGAATTTTTTCTGAAGCATCAGCATAATTAGATAGATCCCTGACGTTGCTATTTTAATTTTATTTTCCTGATACCTCAGTTCTTTTTGTAGAGATGGGGTCTCATTATGTTTCCAGGCTAGTCTCAAATTCCTGGCCTCAAGTGACCCTCCTGCCTCGGCCTCCCAAAGGCTGGGATTACAGGCATAAACCTCCATGCCCAACCATGAAGTTGCTATTTTTAAAGATATTTAATTGAAAACACAGTTTTAATAAATGTATTTATTCAAAAAGAGTTATTCATCATCAAAACACAGCCTCTGCTTGCAAGGAACCCAAAATCTGCTAGGAAGAGAAAGAATAAAAATAAATAACTTTAGTACAGTATTATTCTTTCAAAATAGAATGATTTGGGCACAAAATCATTCAGAAAGAGCAGGGAAAACTTCATCAAAAAGATAACTTTTGACCAGGGTCTTAAAAGGTAAGTAAACATTCTCCAGGTAGATGGGAGTGAGTCATGATAAAAGTGTGTTGTTATCTGAGAAATTCAATTCCACATGGCTAGAACAAAGGGTATGAGAAACTATCCTTAACTGCGAAATCTGTAGGCAGCAGATAGCTAATAGAATACCTTAAACATGGTGCTAAGGAATTGTGACTTTATCCAATTGGTGATGAGGAACCAGAGAAGAGTTTCAATGAAGATTAATAATTAGATCTTTATGTGTAAATATAGATATGGAGAGGATAATACTGGAGTCAAGAAGATAAGTTAATATGTTGTTACAACAGTCTGGATAAGAGGTGATGAGGTCTAAAATTGAGAATAGAGCAATGGGAATGTAGAAAGAAATCTGAGATAATTTAGGGGTGATAAAATTGAGTAAATTTCAAATGAGCTTTCCTTTTCTTAAAAAGTAATTTTCTAACAAATTGCTGCGCTGGCAACACAGAGCTGGAGATCAGATAGGGCGGGATGACTTTGGACTTTGAAATCAGAGAAGCCTGGACTTGAGACCCAAATCCATCACCTCCAAGGTGAGTGACTCACAGCCAGATACTTTACTTAACTCACCCCTTAGTGAACTGGAGGTAATTCCTGCCTTGCAAGATTATTGGATTACTTAAATAAAGTATAAAAAATGCCTAGCACACGTGGGCAGCCAATTAACATTAGCTACCTTTCTGCCCTCTTTTCCAACTTTAAAATACATGACAGTAAATCCTTTAATATAAAAAAAAAAAGACTTTTTTTAAATTGGCAGACTGGGAGTCTACAATATACATTTTAAAATAAGCAATCACTTTATTTTCTGACAGGATTAGGCCTAGTGTACCACTCTAATAAATTTTTCAAGTAACAGATATGTTAAATGCAACAGAACTGTAGTGTGTCTGGAGTTGACGTATTCTGATCAATGTACTTATTGTTTAAGACATCAGATTCAATAAAGCATTCCAATGCCACTCCCATTGCTGACTGAGTTTCTGATAGTAACTGAAAATCTCCAAAGCGGATATAATTATTTCTAGGCAAATGCTGTGCAGAAAGTTGTTCTCCCACTTCTGAGAATCTTTCAGAAACAATTTTAATTGGGATGTTCAGAGAGTCTAGGGAAATAATAATAATTTTGAATCAAATCTGCCCCTTTATGTAAGATAAGCAATTATCAAATACATTAATAGACAGAGACAACCAAAAAGAAAGATGTAGGCTGGGTGTGGTGGCTCAAGCCTGTAATCCCAACATTTTGGGAGGCTGAGGCGGGCGGATCACCTGAGGTCTGGAGTTTGAGACCAGCCTGACCAACATGGAGAAACCCCGTCTCTACTAAAAATACAAAATTAGCTGGGCTTGGTGGTGCATGCCTGTAATCCCAGCTACTCGTTAGGCTGAGGCAGGAGAATCGCTTGAACCCAGGAGGTGGAGGTTGTGGTTAGCTGAGATCGTGCCATTGCACTCCAGCTGAGGCAACAAGAGTGAAACTCAGGAAGGAAGGAAGGAAGGAAGGAAGGAACGAACGAATGGAGGGAGGGGAGAAAGGGAGAGAGAGAGAGAGAAAGAGAGAGGGAGAGAGGAAGAAAGAGAGAAAAAGAAAGAAAGAAGAGAAAGAAAGGAAAGGGAAGAAAGAAAAAGAAAGAGAAAGAAAGAAGAAAGAAAGAAGAAAGGAAAGAAAGAAAGAGAGAGAGAGAAAGAAAGAGGGAGGGAGGGAAGGAAGGAAGGAAGGAAAGAAAGAGGTAGAGCTCAGCATGGTGGTCCAAGTCTGTAATACCAGCACTCTGGAAGGCTGAGGCAGGAGGATTGCTTGAGCCCAGAAGTTTGAGACCAGCCTGGGCAACATAGCAAGGCACCCTGTCTGCAAAAAATAAAGAAAATTAGCCAAGCGTGGTGATGCATGCCTGTAGTCCCAGCTACTCAGGAGGCTGAGGTGGGAGAATTACCTGGGCCTGGGAGTTTGAGGCTGCAGTAAGCCATGATCTGCACACCAGCCTGGGTGACAGAGTGAGACCCTATCCCCTCCACTGTCCACCAGAAAGGAAGATGTAGTAACAATGATTGCTGTAATCCTCATAAAAATCATTTTGATTAAAAATTTCTACACCAGGCCAAGTGTGGTGGCTCACGCCTGTAATCCCAGCCCTTTGGGGGGCCGAGGTGGGCAGATCACTTGAGGTCACAAGTTTGAGACCAGCCTGGCCAACATAGCGAAACCCCGTCTCTACTAAAAATACAAAAATTAGCTGGTCATGGTGGCACACACCTGTGGTCCCAGCTACTTGGGAGGCTGAGGCATGAGAATTTCTTGAACCCGGGAGGCAGAGGTTGCAGTGAGCCAAGATCACACCACTGCACACCAGCCTGGGCAACAGAGCAAGACTCTGCCTCAAGAAAAAAAAAATATATATATATATATCTATATATACATACACACACACCAGACCAACCTGCCAAGAAACTATTTAAATTCGAAGACTAATAGAAAGATTTTGTTTTCATAATGTTTGTTTAAGTTTTGTACTGTGAAAAATAGAGATATCTCTTGAAAGTTAAAACGTAATTCCGTAACTAAATTTTCAGAAAAAAAACAAAGACTAAAACAACAACAAACAAAAATCTATCAGAATTTTATATTTTAATGCACTTACTTATCAGAATCTTATCTTTTAATACAAAAATTCACTTGCAAAACAATAAAAATAAGAAAGTTTGGCCTTCAAAGAGACCACTGACACGTAATCAGAAATTGCCAAACTACATCCAAAGTTTTGCCAAAGACTATAACCTATAGGAATTTTTTAATCATGACTCTAACATTTTTTTATTAACCACTCAGTGCCTGGTACTCTGATGATTACTATAAATGCATTATCATTTATAATTCATAAATCCCATAAGGTTGGGGCTTTGTTTTAGGAGGGAACACTGAGCCTTAGTGTTTAAATAACTTACTTAAACTTACTTGAACCTTAGACAGTTTAAATAACTTACTTAAACTTACACAGCTAAAAATGAGTTTACATGACTCCTACAGCTAGAAAGGCATTTAAGTAATTGGCTCAAACATACACAGCATTTGAACCCATGGCTATCCAGCTTGAAATTCCTGCTGTTTTGTATTACACTGGGTAGTCTTTGAAAGCCTCAGTATTATCACCCACAGAAGGGGAATGAGGCCTATTTCTAGGTGTATTCTTCAGGATTCCAACAGGAAATAAGTACACTCAAACTAGGCAATTGGAGATTCTAATAAAGGAACTATTTATCAGAGTGTGAGCAGGCATATGGGAAAAGGAACAGAACCCTGTGCTACCAATAAGGAAGAGCCCTTCTACCCTTGACCTTAAAGGGAAAGGAAAGGAAAAAGATTACTGGAAATAGAAAGATAATTGTAAAGAGTATTTCTGGCCAGGAGCTGAAACATTCCATAGGAAAAAAACAGCTGGAAGGATTGATATTACCATCACTCCCCTCTCAACCTGTGATCCTCTGTGATTGCCTCATGCCCATTAAAAAGTAGATGAACGGCCAGGCGCAGTGGCTCACGCTTGTAATCCCAGCATTTGGGAGGCCTAGGAGGGCGGATCACAAAGTCAGGAGTTTGAGACCAACCTGACCAACATGGTGAAACCCCGTCTTTACTAAAAATACAAAAATTAGCCGGGTGTGGTGGCGCGTGCCTGTAATCCCAGCTACTCAGTAGCCTGAGGCAGGAGAATCACTTGAACCAGGGCGGCAGAGCTTGCAGTGAGCAGAGATCATGCCACTGCACTCCAGCCTGGATGACAGAGCAAGACTCTGTCTCAAAAAAAAAAAAAAAAAAAAAAAAAGTGGATGAGTAGATGGACATTTTTCAAGTAAGACATGCAAGCTGCCAACAACTACATGAAAAAATACTCAACTGAGGTGATTGATCAGTTGAGTATGAGGTGATTTCTCAGTTGAGTATGAGGTGATTTTTCAGTTGAGTATGAGGTGATTTCTGGTTGAGAATGAGGTGATCTCTCAGTTGAGTATGAGGTGATCTCTCAGTTGAGAATGAGGTGATCTCTCAGTTGAGAATGAGGTGATCTCTCAGTTGAGTATGAGGTGATCTCTGAGTTGAGTATGAGGTGATTTCTCAGTTGAGAATGAGGTGATTTCTCAGTTGAGAATGAGGTGATTTCTCAGTTGAGTATGAGGTGATTTCTCAGTTGAGTATGAGGTGATTTCTCAGTTGAGTATGAGGTGATTTCTCAGTTGAGTATGAGATGATTTCTCAGTTGAGTATAGGTGATTTCTCAGTTGAGGTGATTTCTGAAGTGATTTCTCATGTTGAATTGCAAATTCAAAGGAGCAGCTTCAATCAAAAGGCGGGGCTTCTCCCGCCTTTCTCCCCGCATCAGTGGGAGAAGTAGATTGAAGCCAGTTGATTAGGATGTTTAGCTGTTAACTAAATTTTCATGGATTTGAATTCCACCAATCTAGCAAAAATAAAGATGCCAATTAAAACCACAATGAGATACTATCTTAGTGTGGTCAGAATGGCTATTACTAAGAAGAAAAAAACAACAAATATTGGTGGGAATAAAGAGGAAAGGGAACACTTATACACTGTTAGTGGGGGTGTAAATTAGTATAATCTCTATGGAAAACAGTATGGAGATTTCTCAAAGAACTAAAAATAAAATTCTCCTTCAGTATAACAATCCCACTACTGGATATCTACCCAAAGGAAAAGAAGTCACTATATAGGCCAGGTGCAGTGGCTCACACTTGTAATCCCAGCCCTTTGGGAGGCCAAGGTGGGCAGATCACAAGGTTAGGAGTTCAAGACCAGCCTGGCCAACATGGTGAAACCCCGTCTCTACTAAAAATACAAAAATTAGCTGGGTGTGGTGGTGCATGCCTGTAGTCCCAGCTACTTTAGAGGCTGAGGCAGGAGAATCGCTTGAACTTGGGAGGTGGAGGTTGCAGTGAGCCGAGATCACGCCACTGCACTCTGCACTCCAGCCTGGGTGACAGAGCAAGATTCTATCTCAAAAAAAAAAAAAAAAAAAAAAGAAGTCACTATATAAAAAAAGACACCTGCACTCATATATTTATCGCAGCAGTATTCACAATAGTAAAGTCATGGAATTAACCTGTGTCCATCAAAAGATAATTGGATTTTAAAATGTAGTGTGTGTATACACACACACACACACACACACACACACCACAAAATACTACTCAGCCATAAAAAAGAATGAAATTATGTCTTTTGCAGCAACATAAGTGGAACTGGAGGCCATTATCCGTAGTGAAATGATTCAGGAACAGAAAATTAAAAACTTCATGTTCTCAATTATAAGTAGAAGCTAAACAATGGGTACACAGGGTCATACAGAGTGGAAAAAAAGACACTGGTGACTTCAAATGGTGGGAGAATGGGAGGCAGGCTGAGGGATGAACCAACAACTATTGGGTGCAATGTATACTATTCAGGTGATAGGTACACTAAAAGCCCACATTTCACCACTACACAATATATCCATGTAACACAAATGCACTTGTACCTCTAAATCTATAAAAATAAAAATTTTTTAATATAAATAAAAGACTTAACTGAGAAAAAAGAATTTCATTCCTTTTATAGCCCAATAATCTATAATTCTCTGAATATATCACATTTTGTTTGTTTACTCATTAGTTGATAGACAGTTGGATCATTTTCATCTTTTGGTTATTCTGAACAGTACTGCTATAAATATTTTTGTACAAGTTTTTATTCGGGTACTCATTTTCAATTCTTTTGGGTTTATACCTAGAGTAGAATTCTTGGTTATACAAAATTGCGTGTGGTAGTCCTAAATTATCATATTTTTCTTTCTACATTCCCATTGCTCTATTCTCAATTTTAGACCTCATCATCTCTTACCCAGAGTGTTGTAACAAAGTAATTTATCTTCTTGACTCCAGTATTATCCTCTCCATATCTATACTTAAACATAAAGATCTAATTATTAATCCCCATTGCAACTCCTCTCTGGCTCCTCATCACCAATTGGATAAAGTCACAATTCCTTAGCACCATGTTTAAGGTATTCTATTAGCTACCTGCTGCCTACAGATTTAGCAGTTAAGGGTAATTTCTCATACCCTTTGTTCCAGGCATGTGGAATTACTTGAATTACTTGAATTGTTGAGAAACTACCCAGTATTTTTTCCACAGTGAGTGTAGCATTTTACATTTCCACCAGCAATGTATGAGGGCTCCAATTTCTCTACATCTCTATCATGCTTGTTATTTTCATGTTTTTATTACTATTATTATCCAGTTCACTTTTAAATAATGTTGTTGTTAATATTATTAGACTAACACCCTGGTAAAGATTTATAAAACATTGGTCCTCTATTTACCTCAGTATTTTCCATATTGGTCTCTCTGTTAGCCTAGACACAGTCATTTGTCATGCCTCATATATACATTTGTTGAACAAATCACTAAATATTTTTGAGCATTTACTACGTGCCAGATTCTGACTAGGCACTAGGGATAGAGGAATGAAGAGGGCAGGATTACCCTCAAGTTACTTATCAAAGAATAGAAGAGACAGACATTTATTAGTTTCCTGTCACTGCCATAGCAAATTACCATACAGTGGCTTAAAACAACATAAATTTATTATCTTAAAGTTCTCTAGGTTAGAAGTCCAACATAGGTCTCACTAGGCTAAAAATCAACATGGTGTCAGGGCCACTTTTGTTTCTGGAGACCTTGGGAAAGAATCTGTTTCCTTGTGTTTTCCAGTTTTGAAGGGACCTGCTTCCCCTGGCCAGTGGGCCCTTCCTTCATCTACAAAGCAAGCATCATAGCCTCTCTCCAACTCGGCTTCTATTGTCACATCTTTCTCTTAACCACAGCCAAGAAAAACTCTCCCCTTGCAAGGATTCATGTGATGAATTTGAGACTATCTAGATAGTCCCCACATCTAATGGCCCTTAATTTAATCACGTCTACAAAGTCCTTTTTGCCATGTAATGGGATACATTCCAGTATATTCTGTAACAGTTCCAGAGATTAAAGCACAGACATCTTTGGGGGTATTACTCTGCCTTGCATATACATGTAAATAAATAATAAAAACAGCCAACATTAAAAAAGAAAAAAACAAGAGAAATACCAACACCTCCCCCTCTGTAAGAGGTGGACCTTAACTACACCTACCACCCCCACTTGTATGTGGGCTGTGCTTAGTGAATTAATTCAGGAATGGAAAAGAAACTTTAGAACTGCATAGAACTCTCTTGGCCGAGGGATCAAGGTACACATCACTAGTGATAAGTCATGTTGATAGCACATACCCTTGATATGATGTGATGAGAAGAGTACTTTAACACTGAATCATTCTTCTCCTCAAACCCATAACTCTAGTCTGAACATGAGGAAAAACATCAGACAAACTCAATGGAAAGACAATCTACAAAGCACTTTACTAGTACTCCTCAAAATTGTCATGGTCATGAAAAACAAGGAAAGTTGAAGAAACTGTCACAGACCAAAGGAGACTATGAAGACACGATGACTAAATGTAATGTGGTATCCTGGGTGTGGCCTTGGAATAAAACAGGATATCACTTTAAAAAGTGTGAAATCCTAACAGCATGTGGAGTTTAGTTAATATTCATGTACCATTGTTGGTTTCTTGATT
This sequence comes from Homo sapiens, assembly GCF_000001405.40. NCBI lineage: Eukaryota > Metazoa > Chordata > Mammalia > Primates > Hominidae > Homo > Homo sapiens. Next base: position 152,923,072 of record NC_000003.12, read on the forward strand.
GTAACAAATGTAGTGTGAAAATGCAGGATGTTAACAGTAAGAGAAACTGGCTGAGGATATGTAGGAACTCTGTACTTTCTTTGCAACATTACTATAAATATAAAGCTATTCTAAAATTAAAATTTATTAAGCCTTTTAAAAAGCTGATAGAAAAAAACAAAAACAACAACAAACATCAATTTCTGGGCTCCACTCTAAGTCATTTAAATTTGAATCTTTGTGAATGCTCATCAACTGTTTTTAATGTACAGCTTGCTTGAAAACCATCGTCCTGCTTGAACGTTCCCAATACAGCTTCTCTAGTATCTCTTCACTATTTCTCTAATAATCCACTACTCTCTCCCTCACACGATATACAGCGGCCACTCTGCCCTGCTTGCTATTGCCCAAATGTGCCAGGAATATTTGAGTTTCACAACCTTTACAATTATTGTTCCCTCTCACTAGAACACAACTTCACTTAAATAACAGTATCGCTTGCTCTCTTGCTTACTTAAGATCTGTATAAAAACAAAAACAAAAGCAAAAAAAAAATTGTCACTTTATTATAGGATTCCCCAGGACCACCTTTCTAAAAATAGCAACCACTTCACCACCAGAGCTAACTTATTCCGTTTACCTTATTCTGTTTTACTTTTCTTCACAGGATTTAAGATTGCCTGGCATTTTATTACACGTTACGTGCTGATTTTGTGCCCTACTAAAAGCTAAGCTTCATGATAATTGGGACTTTGTTTTGTTTATTGTTGTATCCTCACTGTGCCTGGGAACTTTACATCCTGTGCCTGGAACACTGATTGTCATGTATTGGATGTTCAATAAATGTTTGTGGAATGCTTGAATGAATTCATGAATGAATGAGGAAAACTGACAAGGAAATCAGTGTGATGCTGCCACAAAAAAAAAAAAAAAATGCTATGATACATGGAAGCAAGGGTGCTTGGGAATGGGTCTCGACAGGCAACCAGCGCAGCCTGGGGAAGTTCCTGGAAGATCTGTCAGAGGACATGTTCCTGAAGGAAGTTGTAAAGGGTAAAAGATTGTTGCTTAAGAAAACTGCACTGAGGCTAGAATTTCAGACAGGGAAGGCATTAGAACAAAGACCTCAGAAGGTCTAGGAGTTGCATAGTTCAGTAGGACCGGGGTGTGGAGAAGAGCAAGCTGGGGTTTATGCCTCAAGGTGAGGTGAGGCTCAAATGGAAGGCTATGAAGAAGCATATAGGCCCCCTATGATCAATTCCACATGGAATTGGTCATGAGGAGTTAGCCTAGATTATCTTGGCTAATAGCAAGTGCTCAATAAATGCTTGTTGAATGAATAGCCAATAATCATAAGAAATAATATGTGGTCCATTTCTCATACTGAAAATGTTCACTGATACCAGTCTCTAAACATAGATCCCTTCTATATCTCTCTGCATATAGATTATTTACATTGACATATTTGATGGTAAAATATTTTGGTTAAAAAAAGTTTTTAAAAATAATTTAAAGTGGCTTTTAAAAACTTCTTCCTCTTGTTCTTATAGCTTCTCTGTCTGCATTTGCAGCAGTTTAAATAAACAGATATTTAAATTTTGTTGCCAATTTAAATTTTAGTATAGAAAAGGAGAAAAAATCTTATTAAGAGTAAAGTCTTATTCATTTCTATGCCACTCTACTTGTTATATTAAACTTTAAGTAAGTTTGGATTGAAGAATGTAAAATAAAAATGACTCAAAAATGAAATAGATTGAAGCAACCCTGCTTAGAAAAAATCTTGAAATATATTTGATGTGTGTTTAATTAATAAAATTAAAAATGAAAATGACCCAAGTATGAGATAATTTGAAATAAAACTGTTTCTAATTATTTCTTCATGTTCTAGGCAAGCGAGGTAGACTCTCTTCTCGGCAGTTCCAGGCATAAAATTCATTCATTATCAATTATTTTGCTATTTATCTAGCAAATAGTTCTTGAACCTCCAGGCCTTGGATTAAGTACTTGGGACAGTGCATATGATGATGAGAAAAACTAACATGCCCCTTGCCTTTCTTCAGCTTACAAGTGGGGACAACACACAAATATAAATGTTTATAGTAAAAAACATTACAAAGGAGAGTTTCATGGCCCTCTGAGAGTGTATATAATAGTGAGATTTGAACCAGTAAAGGCAGGGTTTCCAGGGGATGTAAATACTGAGATGTGATCTAAAGAAGGAGTAGGAGGAAGCCAAGGAGAGCCGGGTATCACAGAAGCCATAGGAGATAGCAGGTCATGAAGAGAATGGGCAGCAGAGTCAAATGATGCTAAGAGGACAAGAAAAGTGAAGACCGAAAATGTTCAATGGATTTAGTATTATGGTAACTTTAACAAGAAAGAACCTGGTAGCGTATTAAAACAGAAGCCAGATCAGATAGTCTGAGGCGTAAGTGGAGGAAAGGAACTAGAGACAGGGCGTGTATCCAATCCTTTCACAAAGTTTGACTCTAAAAGGGAAGAAAAGTAGGTAAATTAGAGAAACTCATGGGGCTGGGAGTGGTTGTTTTGTTTTTTGATTCTTGTTCATGGAAGAAGCTTGAAATTGTTTAAAGGCCTACAGAGAGATCAAGGTGGAGTGCCTGAATATAGAATAGAGAGTAGGCACCAAGCATGTAATGGGAAGCTGGGAGAGGATGGTCTTGTTTATATTAAAAGTGGAGGGAGGAAAACAAGCTGGAGCAGATAGTCATGTATTTAGGGTCAGGAATAAGAAATTCCTATCTTATGGTTTCTATTCACTATGTAAAGCATGAGATAGGGTTACCAGCTAAGAGAAGGGATGATTAGGGTTATGGTGATTATTGGAGGTTTGAAGATAGTGGAGAAGATTTGAAATGATGGCTGGATGGATGAGAGCGAGTTAATAAAAGAAACATAGTAGGATTGCCCATAATTGAAGACTTGTTTGAAGTCGGCACTCATGGATTTCTAACAGGCCACATCTTCATGTTGTGAAATAAAATGTTATTTTTATCCTCCCACCACTAAAAATATATGAGTTCTATTGTGCAGTACCTGGTTCAAGGCTCTCTCTTCAGCCTCAAGTTTTTAGGAGTTTCATCCTGAGGTTCTCCTGTTCTCACTTTAGAGTACACTTTTCCTAGGAATTTCAGTCAGGTGTATAATTTGCATTACCTTCTACAACAGAGGTGTCCATTGACTTGATGTCACTAATGCCCACTTATCTGTTTTGGCTTAAAAAGTGTTTTGTAAAAATCTTAAATGAGTTAGAGATTAGGAGAGCTCAAATTAAGATCCGGGTTTCTGGTTTCTCTTAAAAACTAAGAACACTGGCAGCACTGGACCCACAGTCCCACATCAATAGTCCATTGCACCTGAGCAGCAGCTGTCCTCTTAGAAGGGCGTGCTCCCTTCTGCTCGTCCCAGCCCCCACCATTCTTTATTATCCATTTCACTCATTTACTTTGTCCAGCAACTGTACCCTGTAAACATTTGACTTCATAATTCTTAAAAAGCAAATCTGTGACTCCCAAAGTTTTAATTTCAGCTCCAATATCTTTCTTGTACTCCAGATATCAGTAACCAACGGTTGATTGGATGGTCTTTAGGTGATCAAAACTCAGTATCTACAGAAGTAAATGATCTCCTAAATAATTTGCTGTGCTCCCACAGTGTAGATCCTGGCTTTAGTACCTCCATTCACCCTGTTTACTAACAAAACACCTGTGAGTATACTTTCCAAATACTTATTTTCTATTCAATTCCCTCTTTCATCTCCATTTCTTTAGACATTCATCATATGTTACTAATATGGTTTGGCTGCATCCCACCCCCCCGCCCCCGCAGCAAATCTCCTCTTGAATTAATTGTAGTTCCCAGAGTCCCCACGTGTTGTGGGAGGGACCCGGTAGGAGGTAACTGAATCATGGGGGTGGTTACCTCCATGCTGTTCTCCTGATAGTGAGTTCTCGTCAGATCTGATGGCATTATAAGGGGCTTTTCCCCCACTTCACTCTGCACTTCTCCTTGCTGCCACCATGTGAAGAAGAATGTGTTTGCTTCCCCTTCCACCATGATTTTAAATTTCCTGAGGCCTCCACAGCCATGCTTAACTGTGAATCAATTAAACCTCTTTCCTTTATAAATTACCCAGTCTTGGGTATGTCTTTATTAGCAGTTGGGAACGGAATAATACAGTTACCTACATGGGATATTAAATAACCCTCAATCCACAACCTCCACTTTTTCCTCTCTTCGAGTACTTCCTCTAGATAGCCACAAGATTAATCTTTTAAAGCACAATGTCTTTTCTGGCACACTAGCTTGATTTACAGCAAACTTCTCATAATTTTTTCAATATGCTGGCATGCTTCACATGTGCATCTTGCCAATTGCTGCTCCCTAATCCTGGAATGCCTTCAGTTTCTTTGATCCTGGTGAATCTCTATTTATCCTCCAAGACACGGCTCAAGTGTCCCCTATTCCTGGAACTCTTGATGCTAGAAAAGTAACTTAGGCAGAGCCAAATGGTATAGCCTTTACCATAGTGCTCTGGAGGGGTTGGCTTTTATACAGGACTCCCAACTAGACCAGGAGCTTGAGGGTAGAGATGGCAGTTTTGCAGTCCAGTTATCCTTAATACTTAGCTCCTGGTCACAATTGACACTAAATCAGAATTTTAAAAAATGAATGCCAAAATTCACATAAATAATGAGATCATATTGGAGAAAGGTTTCCTAACTTTAAAAGAAAGATTATTGATCTACCAAAAGCTTTTTAACCTCCAGATTCACTCTACAAGAATTAATTCTAAGACTCCAACCAAAAGGATGCAACATGCTTTAAAAACATTTCTTTGTGGTGTGTGTGATTGCATTTGTATGCTGTCGATAAATGAGAAAGATGGCTTTTCAAATTAGAAAGAATAAGCTACTTTCCCAGCACTTTGGGAGGCCGAGGTGGGCGGATCACGAGGTCAGGAGATTGAGACCATCCTGGCTAACATGGTGAAACCCCGTCTCTACTAAAAAATACAAAAAATTAGCTGGGCGTGGTGGCGGGTGCCTGTAGTCCCAGCTACTCGGGAGGCTGAGGCAGGAGAATGGCGTGAACTCAGGAGGCAGAGCTTGCAGTGAGCCGAGATCATGCCACTGCACTCCAGCCTGGGCAACAGAGTGAGACTCCATCTCAGAAAAAAAAAAAAAAAGAAAGAAAAGAAAAGAAAAGAAAGAACGAGCTACTTGATAAATGATGCAGGCCCGTTTGACTATTTTGTTAAATTAACGTAGACCTCTATATCATACTATGCACCAAGTTAAATGTAAAAAATAAGTCCATAAATAAAAGAAAGAATGCATTTAGAACATTTATGTAAAATTAGTGAAGGATTAGCCATTCTGAAGGCAGAAAACCAAGTAAATAATGGATAATCTGAAAATGTAAAAATATACAAAATTTCTGTTATTAACCAAAACTTCAAAACAATTAAACAACAAACAGAAGAAAATGCATGCCATCCATAAAAAGCATTTGTTTGTAGTTTTACTATATAAAACGGGCAATTTAATCAATAGAAAAAAATGAAAACAGATTGAAAGCTGAGGTCTCTGCTACTTTAAACACATTGGCATAAATAAAACCCACCTCAGAAACCTTTCTTATATACTACATGATTTTCTACTATCTTCTCAATTTGTGTTTTGCCAAGTATCTGATTTTATAGATAGGTAAACTGCTATAGTAGGTACTGATATATCTTTGCTGTTAGTTTTTATTTCTATGTTTTAAGTGGCTTTATCTAAAGCAAAGTGACTATGGGTACCTTTTGAAAAGCATGTAAAATTAAAGATAGGGAATGACTTCCTCTTCTGGACACCTATGTTCACTGATGACAGGAGACAAGAAGAAAGGAAATGGCACTCTTTTTGCTTCAGTTCCTACATGACTAATATTTAATCCACAGAGACTTGGGGAAGATTAATGATATAGTTATAAGTACCTTTCTGGATATCCTTTCTCTTAAATCTTTCTAGAGCTTCTGTTCTACCTGGAGCAATAATTATGAATGAGAGAGAAGGGCATACTTAGAAGATGTGATGATATAATAAGGTTGAAAGGGGGGTAAAAGTGAAAAGCATAAATAAAGTAATGAACACATAGGATAAAAGGAGGACAGGCTCATTAGAAAGGGTCAACTAGAAATATAAGGGACTGGCTCTCCCATTCTTGCATAATTCTCCAGGCTAACACCAGGGCACTGCTGATAGCTCAGGATTTGGATTACAGTTGTTTTGCTTCACGCAGTCCACATTTCTCAGAACAGAGGGTTTACTCTACGGAGGCAATTTGGAAACCTCAAGTATTAGGATATTTAGGTCTGTTGCTTTTCTTTCCATATTCCTTGAGAGAACAGATTTCAGATTGGGGTTATATGAGTGAGAGAGAAACAAGAACCAAAAACTATCTAAAGAAATAAATCATAAAACCCAAGTTATGATTTTTTAAAATTTAATTTATTGTTTAGATTAATCTGTTTAGAATCCTTCTTAACATCCTAGAATTCAATCAAGTGCATTTTTTATAACTTCCCATGGATATTAAGCCTCTCTGATTATAATGTGATATTTATAATACTAGCTTCAGATTAACAGGCAAAGCTTTAGGGAAAAGAAATGTATATAGAAGGCCGGGTACAGTGGCTCATGCCTGTAATCCTAGCATTTTGGGAGGCCAAGGTGGGTGGATGGCTTGAGCCCAGAGGTTTGAGACATGACTGGGCAACATGGTGAAACCCCATCTCTACCAAAAATACAAAAATTAGCTGATGTGGTGGTGGTGGGTGCCTGTCGTCCTAGCTACTCATGAGGGAGACTGAAGTGGGAGGATCGCCTGAGCCCAAGAGGTCAAGGCTGAGGTAAGCCATGATTGTGCCATTGTACCTCACCCTGGGTGAGAGAGTGAGACCCTGTCCGTAAATGAATAAATAAAATAAGTAATAAAATGTATATGAAAGGGGTGTGTAAAGTAGGCACCCACTGTAGCTTTAGACTGTGCCCAGTAGTATGGAAGTAAGGAATTATATTTATTTGTTTATAGAATACTCTAACCCATTATTTCCAAATAATTATCATGTTTTTATTCTTGGACTTGAATTTCTACATGTTGAACTTCAAATAATACTGAAGATTATCCTGTTTTAAAAATTATTCACCTTAAAAGAATAATATATTCCTTTGTGACTAATTTGTGAAATTTTACATACTTTTAACCATTTAGAATCTAACAAACATGGAATTAGAAAAAATAAAATGCCATTGAGTGTTGAATGCCACTGTGAAGCAAACACTTCTCATAAAACCAAAAAAAGCACTTTACTCTGAAGAAGAGATGAAGATTTCAGAGTGGAAAATCTCAGATGTAAGAAGTCAAAAAATTAGAAACACTGACACGTGAGAAGAGAAACAAATGCCAATGGAGAGTAAGACCACAACATTCTGAAAGTCTGACACAACTACAGAAGCAGAGTAGGCTGGGTCCATTTAGTCTAGGAACAAATTTTTTAGTGCTTTGCACCTCAATAAAGTCCTACGTCATTACCAAGGACAACATCTATGATGGTCTTGAGTCATCCTCTAAGAGAGAGAAGAGAGGAGTGATTATGTTCAGCATCCTCTACTGGCAAAGCATTGTAGTGTGTCCTATATTTCAGAAAATACTTCTGATGCAATAAGGGTATGCTTCAGTTATCTGGAAAATTCATCTATATGAGCCAGTTTCCTGGCAGTGCTGAATAAATGAAGCGTCATGAAATATAACTGTTGAAGAGCTATACAGATTTTGCAAAACCCTGCAAGTTATCCATTTAGAATAAATGGCTCATAAGTAGGTACCCAATCTTACATCTTCTCTGAGTTTTACGATTGCTACTGTTTTAATTTTAGGCTTGGAAGATTTCACAGAAGAAACCTTAATGGAATCTCCCCCAAAACATTGCTCAGGTTTAAAGAATAGCCCTTGAGATCAACTTTGCCCAAAGCTGTAAAATGGATCAGTGCATGCCATTTTCTCAGGTGTGTGCAGGAACCTGACTTTCGAAAAACTTTATCTGGTAAACACTAATAATCTTCAGCAGCTCAGAGTGGTTGGACTCAGAGTGTCTTTTTCAAATAGTGAGGATAGCTTAGATACAGTTTAATTACTCTTTAATCACCATATCAAACCTTAAAAAGGCTAAGGTGGCATGCATTTTGCATCCTTGTGAGAAACTGCTGTGCTTGTATTTTTGTTTCTCCATGACACAGGAAAGCAGCTGGAAGTCAGGGAGCTGATGCATCAAGGGGGAACCAGATCAACTCCCATCTCTAAGAATTTTAGTTGCCCTTTGGTTGCCCTGTCTTCTTAGTTTGTTTCCAGAACCTAATATGCTCTTAGGGGGAAGAATTAACTAATGTGTCCATCCCTAAATCTTCTGACATTCCATCTACCACTTCCATTTTCCTCTCAGTTCTCTAGTCCTCGGGCCTCATACCACCCACATTGTTAATCCATTCTCCCTGAACTTGGATAGCAGTTTCTTAAATTTTACTAAAACATATACCATTAGGTATATTATCTGACATCTGTGCTATGGTTATGAAATACTTTTCAGTGATTTTTGTGGATATTAGAACTAGATAATTATGCAAGAAGTCATTAGCTTCTAATTTCTACTCAAATTTATCACTTGAGTAACAACTTTTCAGATTATCTTAGGTGACATTTCCTTTACTCATTATAATCAGTCTTTTAGTGCTGGCAGCCATGTTATTTTTAGTAACATTCCATATAGCACCTTTCAAATTCTTCACCAAAAATGAATCTTTGTACCCTTCCTTCGGTGCCCCTTTTATTTTGACACATCCCAGTGATTTCTGACTCCAACTTATTTTTCCAGTTTAGCTTGGTTCACGCTGCCATTAACATTTTAAATAGCAAAATTTACTTTAACTAATGTAATTTTTATCAACTTGTTTTTACCTATCAGGTAGCTTGATTAGGTCATTTGTTTGAAAGCTCTCTGTTTTCCTACTTAGTAATGTTCTCAGGTTCCCTCTGAACATATAGTTTGACTTTCTAGCTAGCTCTAATCTGCTTTATGCTTTCTTGATGACTCCTTCCATTCTTTGGGTTGAATTTAGAAGCAATGTTCTTGATAAACAACACTTGTTTTCTAGCTCTTGTACTCACTTTCAAATACCACAGCTCAGTCCTTTGCAAAGATTTACCTAATTTTCCATTCATTTACCTATTCATTTTACATTAATATGAATACATATCAAATACATGTGAGTCTACTGAGCTCCAGACTGTGCTGGACACTGGACATACATTAGCGAAAATGACAGATACAATCTCTTCCATCACAGACCTTATGTTCCAGTGAAGAGGGCAGACCAAAAGCAAATACACTGATATACAAAACAATTAGAAAGTATGATACATTTTCTAAAAGGAACAAGCAAGTAGCCAAGGAAATATGGTAAAAGAGAGGGACAGAGACCATATAGGGTGGTCAGAGAGCCTGTCTCATGTGGGAGAAGAATCTAGCTATGTAAGAGCATTACAGGCAGAGGGACTCACACATGCAAAGGACTGGGGTAAGAGAGCACTTGGTAAATACTAGGAGCTGAATGAACCCTTGTAAGCATGTTGGGAAATAGAGCAGTGAGCTATAAGAATCTGGGGTTCCTGTAGTATACCAAATAGGTTAGAGGTCTGGTTCTAGTCTTGTCTACTGTAGCTCCAGGTCCCAGTGCTGAAGCACAAAGTTGCTGTATGACCTCCTGGAGCAGGGGAGCTGCCCAGACCCAGAAGAGAAGGGGCTTGGACAACTTCTGGGAAAATAACTTTTATCCTTCCATGTTTTCTTCCACAGTGAGAACCAAAAATAAGTATCTCAATAAATTAGCCTGCCTCATGTGATCCCTGTGGTAAAGCAAGTATCCTTGTGAGAAATACTAGAACTATATGTTTGCAGAATTGGAAGGGACTTGTTGCTTATCTGCCACAACATCTTTGCTACCATGGAACAACCTTGTTAAATAACTTAACATGTTGAAATAAGCTTTACTTCCTTTATAAGGTATAGTCGTGTTTGAGTGTTGGATTTTTTAGCATCCTGTCTATCTAGGATACATGTCAGTAAGTGGTTTAGTGGAACTTCTAAAAGGTTTCAAGCCACACATTGCCCTCCCTGTTGGATAACTCTTCCTGGGGCAAGTTGGAACAAAGAATGCTGGACCTGTGCCAAAGTCAAGCCTGGGGGTAAAGGTGAGAACTAAGAACTGAACAAAATATCTGCAAAATGAGAGCATGTGCAGTCTGAGACTTCAGGACAGAAACCAGGGAACCAAGACAAAGCCACAGGTTAAAGGAGGCCTCTATAGGATTACTTGTCCGAGATCCTGGAGCATCCTGTTATAGGCACTGACCCAGGTCAGGAAGCCACACTTAAGGGCTCAGAAAATGTTTGGCTTCCAGATAATTCTTGTTATTCATGAGAGACACACATATGCTATTGCACCAAGATTTCTAAAAGTTCGGAGTCAAGTTTTGCGACCAGATCAAAAAAGATGTGCAGCAGACCTCATGACTCCCATGCTTCTACACTGTATGTATGTGTGTCACTCATCTTTCTATTTATGTATTATTGGGTTTGGATTTATTTTTTATTTTTATTGTAATTTATTTATAATTACACATATGTCTATAAAACAGAGAGATAAATTGATTTGCCAAGGCCAATCCAGCCAATTAATGGCTAACCGATATTTCCACTTAGTCTAGTGTCCTTTCCAAAAGTTCTTGTTAACATTTTTATTATTGAATTATATTTGAGTGGGAACTCGGCATCAAAGAGAAAGCTTTGATAGACCATAAGTGGACACAAACACCGAAGACTGCTGGGATGCTAGGTGTGCCAAGCTGGAGGAATAGGACTGACCATGGAACCAGGAGGCACTCAGCACCAAAGAAGGGTCTATCAACAATTTTTCCTGAAGCTGGCCTACTTATTACATGTTATAATTATTTCCAATAATTCATTTTACTATCTAACCACTTCTGCTCGCTCTTTCTTCATGTACCATTATTCTGGGAACTGTATGTACTAATTTTTGTGTATACTTATACACACACATAAATATATATACACAAAAGACCTAGCTTATGTATCTATATATTATATAAAAAGCTTATTATATATATAAAAGCTGGGTCTTTTATGTATTTCCTTTTAAAATAAATGTATTATGGGCAGTCTAGAAGATGGCAGCAACAGGGGGCATTATTTTCTGATACTTCCATAATCCCCATTTAAAAACAGAGAAACAGCCGGGCACGGTGGCTCACACATGTAATCCCAGCACTTTGGGAGGCCAAGGTGGGTGGATCACCTGAGGTCAGGAGCTCAAGACCAGCCTGACCAACTTCGTGAAACTCTGTCTCTACTAAAAATACGAAAAATTAGCCGGGCATGTTGGTGGGCGCCTGTAATCCCAGCTACTCAGGAGGCTGAGGCAGGAGAATCGCTCAGACCCAGGAGACGAAGGTTGCAGTGAGCCGATATCGTGCCACTGCACCCCAGCCTGGGCAACAAGAGAGAAGCTCAGTCTCAAAAAAATAAAAATAAAAAAAAAGAGAAACAACATAACAAAACCAAAATCCCCAAAGACAATATTTAGAATAACTAGAAGACAGGGTATCCCCATGAAGCCAAGAATGCAAGCAAGTGAGGACCATTCACCAACAACCACAAGACATGCATGCTAGCAGCAGCTATGCAGGAGGAAGCAATGGGAAGCAACCTGGCATCTAAGAAGAGAAGAACCATAAAACAGCCAACAGCCATTCACTCGAAAGTGCCGTGGGGCAGTTTGAGGCAGCAGCTAAAACTACAAGGGGTTTTACCCACTCCAGTGGCAAGTGAATTCAAGAGCTTACAGTAGGTTGAAAAGGACTGAAGTCGTCTAGTTTCTGTGAACTCTGAAAATTGGCCCACTAAGTTCTCTTCCAAAATGGAGCTCCACACAGAGGAAAACTGCAGAGGATGGGATTAAAATGGAACAGGATAAAAGGCAATAGAAACCATGGAAAGAACGTCTTGATAAAAGTGGGACAGGAGAACAGAGACAGACAGAAGGAAATATCTTAAATGTGTAAGTAACTAAGTCATCTCCTTCAGAGAGGAATTGTTTTTGCTTTAGCTTTATTCCTGATGTCACCAACAACCCAGGCCAATGTCAGAAACTTAATTTTCAGGCTGAGAGTTTTCGTGGACCACACAGGTATTGTTAATACTGTCCCCTAACCCACAAAAGTACATGCCTCCAGCTAGTCCCAAGTCTATAATAACCTTGGTGATAGTGGTGGGTTGATTTGCCCTAATATATTCTTTTTTTTTTTTTTTTAGGTGGAGTTTCCCTCTGTCACCCAGGCTGGAGTGCAGTGGTGTGATGTTGGCTCACTGCAACCTCCACCCCCCGGGTTTCAAGCAATTCTCCTGCCTCAGCCTCCTGAGTAGCTGGGATTATAGGCGCCCGCCACCATGCCTGGCTAATTTTTGTATTTTTAGTAGAGATGGGGTTTCACTATGTTGGCCAGGCTGGTCTCGAACTGCTGATCTCAGGTGATCGCCCGCCTCAGCCTCCCAAAGTGCTAGGATTATAGGCGTGAGCCACCACGCCTAGCCTACCCTAATATACTTTCTATGAGAGTTGTACTTTGAATTTTTCCGCTTTACTAAAGTACTTCTGATCTGACCACCATACTTTTAGGGCTTGAAGCTTTGTTTCCAGAGCCAAAAATATGTGCCCAGTAAAAATCCAAGCCCTGAGCCATCAGGAATTGACAGACGCCCTCAGATTAAAAACAAACTCTAGATGGAGCTTGCTGCTGTTGAATCACTCTTCATTCTTTGGCCTCCAATTCTTTCTATTACTAGAGCTCAGGCTTATTTATTTAAAGCTTGTCATATTTTATCTAGCATTTCAGGTGTTCCACACCATGAGGGATTTCTCTGTATATTTAATCTGGCAAATTGATTAAAATATAAAATGTGTTTATCTATTTGCCATTGTGCATCCTAATTCATAGCTTTAAGTAAATATCTCCCATATACAGGCATAAAGTGGATGTTTTTGTCAAGATTTCCCTGAACTCCAGACTCATCTAGTTACCCCCAAACCAGCTACACCTATACTCTTAACATCTCAGTAAATGGCAACTTCAAACTTTCATTGCCCAAGCTGAAAGCCTGATAGTAATTCTTCTTTCTTTCTCTCCCACCCTTAATCTCATGCACCAGAATCCTTGTTAGCTCTGCCTTCAAAACATATCTAGAATAATATTATTTGTTACCATCTCAACCAATCCCACCACAATCCAAATCAGCACCAACTCTCACCTGGATTATTCTAATAACAGGTACTACACTTCTAACTTTTCCTTCCTGCAGCCTTGTCTCAACACAAGCAGAGTGACACTGTTGAAATACTAAGTTAGATCATGTCACTCTTCTGTCAAACCCTCCTGGTGGCTTATTTCATGCATACTGAAGACCTAAATCAGTACAAGGACCTGAAGGACTGCATCTGTCTGATCCTATCACCTACTACCATACCCCTTGTTTGCTCTGACTCAGACATATACACCTTCCTATTCTTCAAAAACGCTGAGCTATTTCCACTTCAGAATCTTTGCAGTGGCTGTTTTCTCTATCTGTCTGTAATGCTCTTCTTCCAGATATCTATCTGTATGGCTCCTTCTCTTACCTCTTTAAGTCTTTGCTGAAATGTCACCTTCTCTATGAAGCCTACACTGTTCACCCTATTTAAATGAATCCCCTACTCCAGCAGTTCAAGTCTACTTACCATGCTTTATTTTTTATAGTACTAAATATCTTTTCACTATACTATATACTGTGTAATATAGTTATTTCTTACATTTATTTTCTGTCTTTCCATATTAGAATATAAGCTTTATGAGGTCAAGATACTGTCCTTATTGTTTTGTTCTCTGATGTATACACAGAACCTAAAAGAATGCCTGACCACTTTGAAGGCACTCCATAAACATTAGTTGAATGAATGCATGAATGAAAGGTATCGTAAAGAAAATATGGTAACACATGGATTCTTTTTTGCTGTGCAAATTTAAATAGCATTATGGAAAATCTTCTAAAAAGAATTTGACATCATTAGAGAACAGAATGATTCTGAAATGGAAACTCATATTGAATTCTATCCAGATGATTCAAATCTAATTACTTTTAAATTTTTGTCAATGATTTTCCAAATGGACTGTTTTCTCCATGCTACAATGCATTTCTTGAGTTAGAGTGTCACCTTAAGACGTAACTGTGGTACTTGTATTGCTGTTCTCAGGAATAGTAGCTAAATGGAAGGTCTCGAGAATCAGACTCCCTTGAAATCCTGACTCCTCCATTTCTTATCTATATGACTTGTGTCAGCTCCTTTAACCCCTAATTCTCAAATTTCTTAGTTATAAACATCAAAACTGGGGGGCTAATTTGGACCCTCCATTTAAGCAGTGGTTTTTGTTCTGATTACTCCCATCCTTAGGCAATACTGTAATCCTTTGAATTCTTTGTTAGGAATTGCCAGAGACAACCTGGATTTCTTTGGTTAATATTTGTTCATACTTCCAATGACCTGCTTGCAGAATTATGCAATGTTAGTATTTTTTATCTATTGATGTTTAAACTTGGAAATACCTAAATGATATTATTGGTACCAATCTGTCTAGTAAAGCTGGAGCACCAGTTTTTATGGGCAGACGTTAAATGTCATAATATGCCAGAAGCTCGTAGCAAGAAGACAGGAGGAGACCTTCAGGTGCAAGTATTCCCAGGTTAGAAGACCAGCTGACATCTTACTCCCTAATGCTTTTGGTGAAAGTGAGGTGTTAAACTGTGAATAGATTGTGGTGAAATGTTGTAATGAAGTGGGTATCTGGAATGATTTACATAAGTCACTGTCAAAGCATACATTCTTTGACAGAGTATACATCCTTTGATTTAGTAAAACTGCAGGGTAGCTCCCATTAGGTTATGGGATATATTATTGAAACCCTTTGAAGATTCTGCAAGTCAGACTTACCTTTATCTTCTATCCATTAGCCTAGGCACTTCACAGACCAAGTCTGCTGCCAGGTTATCAGAACCACATTAAGTAGCCAAATTCACCCTGAAAGATATCCATTGAACAAAACATTTCATATTATTACATTTGGATTGCCTTGAGTCAGCCTTAAGTTATTTTGTTTCTTAAGTTTATTTTTAGTTTACTCTTAGAAACTCACAGTTTTCTTTAAAATATATGTGAGGACATTTGTTACTATTTATTTCTTATTTTCTTTCACTACAATCCAGTTTCCATTCTTGTAAGTTCAAACTATTGTAAGTAATTGCTAACACTTTTTCAGGAATACCAGAATACTCTTAGATGACTTCTGACATTTTACCTCACAGAATATGACAAAGGGAAGAAAGTAAAATACACTATCTATTTGTTATTATTATCTTTATTATTGCATTCACTATCTGGGTTTAGTTGTTACATTTTAATTCCAGATATATTAGAACATTTTGCACAAATACAAAATGTAGAATATCTTTGAGCAGCTTGTATAACACTTGCACCCTCAATACTGTTTAATAGGTACTGAGAGGATCTTTGAAATAAACTTCATATTTATGCAGTAAAATATTGCATAGCTGACACTGTTTCTCCTAGCCTCTGCTACTGGGACTTTACGAGGTATCACATTTCCTTTAGCAAATTTTTCATAATGCCACTGAATATTACACAGTAAAGAGCTGACCCCATCTCTTTTCTGGTATGTTATGAGCCACTTTAAGCCTGTCAACTGCTAAACTACAATCCAATGCAAAACACTGCTGTTTGCCTATGGGCTACAATTTTTTCATTATCCAATTTTATCTGAAATCATTTGTATACAATAAGACAACTTCAGCTGCAGGGGATGGAAAGCAAAATACTTGAGCAGTTCAGATTAAAAAAATATTATTTTGATTCCCTCTGTGCCCCAATTTATGGCCACTAGAGGGGTCTCTATTAATCAGCACAGCCTTCTTCTCCTGACATCTATTTAATCCTTAAAATATTAGATCCAGATCTTCCTATGGCTTATTTTCCCCATTCAAGCCACATGGTTATATTTCATGCTTTGTAGATTGCTAGAAGGAAAAATAGCAACCTCAACCTCCTGTTGCTTAAATAATAAGACATTTACTAATGCATTAAAAAGAAACTTGTTTCAATATGTGGTAGACACACACACACATATATGTAATCAAATCAGCAGAAATGAGATCCCAATCTTTGATGTCATTGACAGCTGTCAGGATGTGGTATTACTTGCCATCATCCTTCTAATGGAGTCACAATCGAGAAGGTAAAAGTCTAAGTAGTGCTTTGATGATGAGGAAATGTGCTATATTAAACAGGACTTTTTCTTTTTTTTTCTTCTTTTTTTTAAAAATTTATTTATTTATTTTTATTGATCATTCTTGGGTGTTTCTCGCAGAGGGGGATTTGGCAGGGTCATAGGAAAATAGTGGAGGGAAGGTCAGCAGATAAACAAGTGAACAAAGGTCTCTGGTTTTCCTAGTCCACAGTGTTTGTGTCCCTGGGTACTTGAGATTAGGGAGTGGTGATGACTCTTAACGAGCATGCTGCCTCCAAGCATCTAAACAGGACTTTTTCTATGACAGGTAACCTAAAACCCAACCAAAATGACATAAGCACAAACTAAATTTTTGTATACTGTGATTACAAGTCCAGGAGTAAGGCTGGCTTCAGATGGGTCTTAACTCAGGGGCTCCAATGATGTTACTAAGGCCTAATTCTCTACATCTCTGAACTTGGCTGTCTATGCATTTTCTTCATTCTCAGCTAAGCTTTCCACTCTTGATTTCTAGTTGGCTACTGCAGCTCCAGAATGTATACTTTCTCAGCTTTGAGTCCCTAAATAGAACTTTTCTCTGCTATCACATACAAAAAATACCAGGCCTGCTCATTGCCCAAACTTAGTTGTAAGTAAATCCCCAAATCAATCACTCTGATCAAAAGGATGTTTTATGCTGCTTGACTTTGGCCAACCTAAGACCCAACCCTGAAGGTGAGAGAAAGAAAAACACCTAAAGCACAAAGCCTGAAATGTAGAATGGGTGTTTCCCCAAAGTGTGGGGTACCAAGAGATGACTGGGTACTTTACTAGGGCCCTGGATCCAGTAACTGCTACAGTTTCTTTTCTTGTTTCAGGTTTGTAATTTCTATAGAGTTGGTAAGTTCTTCCTTAATATGTCAATGGACCATTTAGTCAGTCGTCAGTCCAACACATCATCTATTACAAGCAAGAATAGAGCAATAAAGTGAGCAGAGAAGGCCGGGCATGGTGGCTCACACCTGTAATCCCAGCACTTTGGGAGGCCAAGGTGGGTGGACCACCTGAGGTCAGGAATTCAAGACCAGCCTGACCAATATGGTGAAACCCCATCTCTACTAAAAACACAAAAATTAGCCAGGTGTGGTGGCATGCACCTGTAGTCCCAGCTACTCAGGAGGCTGAGATAGGAGAATTGCTTGAACCCAGGAAGCGGAGGTTGCATTGAGCTGAGATCGTGCCACTGCACTCCAGCCTGGGTGACAGAGCAAGACTCTGTCTCAAAAAATAAAAAATAAACAAATAAGCAGAGAAATATGGGGTCAACTGATGCCCCAACAACATTTACTACTGGCAATAATTAAGCATGACAGAGAGTGAAGACTACCAATGAATTGAGGTTTTAAAAAAGTTCTTTATAGTTATCTGAGTCATCTTCATGCTATACCTTTGCCTGGAGAACCAAGATCATTTCCACGGTTACAAAGACTCACTTTTATAAAAGCAACTAAGGGTATATGAACCATCTTAGGATTTAATAATGGCCCACACCAAGCTTTTGTCTTTGTGTATGTGTAGACACTAAATGTGTGAAACACACCTCAATAATTACTATTATTCTTATAAAGTATTTTGCTCTATGACTATTTAGTGCTTCTCCACAATCTTTTTTGTGTTGAAATGTCAGTCACACTGCCAAATAAATTATTTAAAAATTACATCTAAGTTAAGATTTTAAAACACCAAGATAACAGTTGATTAGTTAATTTTACACATTCATAAACTAGTTTTCCCTACTGTAATGAGTTGAGTGGCTGAGTTTTTGTGTCTAAACCTGTCTGGGGAGAATCTATTACCCGAAAGAGGTATGTTAGTCTAAAAGCCAAAGGCACTCCCTTTTTAATGTGCCATCAGAAATTTTTCTGGGAGGACTATTTTTCCCTAACTTTATGTGTGCATGTATGTGTGTGTATGTGTCTGTGGTTTTGTGTGTGTGTCTGTGTGTCTGTGTGTCTGTGTGTGTGTTTGTGTATAGTAGGAGGTACACAGGGAAGAAAGGAATTGTGAGTCTATATCTAACCTAGATATAGAATACAGTAAGAACAGTAATAGTTCTTACCATTTTAAGAACTGCATGAAGTACAATGGAAACTGCATCCAGATAATGGACTTATGGATTAAAAAAGTATCTTATTTTTGTTGTTTGTACCATTTATAGTTTTAATACTCGAAAAGTTTGTGGTAAAGGGGGCTTTGGTGAATAAATGTGGTTAAGCTCATAATTTCAGTAGAACACTATCATTACAAAAAGCCTTCATTGGAACCACAGTGGAAGAAATGGTAGCCCACATTTTCTCAGGTTACTTAAGTGACATTAGAGCAAGGGAACACGACCGTTCTATATACAGACTGAGGAGTATCTCGTAAACATGACTGCCATTGGTTAGGCCTGACCCATGGCCTTTCTGGTACTGAACTTGGCAGACTTTGCTTGGTTGGCATGGCTCTTTGTACCTGTTATAACCAAGTGTAATTATCCATTTGCACAGCTAAGACTGTGTCTAAACCTGTTGGGCAGAATTTTATTTCTTGGAAATAGCTCTGCTTGTCTTACAAACCACTCCCTCCTTATTGCATATATAGCACAGCTTCTTACAATTGCCAGAAAGATCCCTGTGGTGACCTCACACTGGGAGATATAAAACACTCTGCTAAATGCACATTAATAAACATTTTATGAAAGCAGAGGTATAATGCTCCTAGAAAATTATCTCTTTGTCAACTTTTGACACCTACAGAAACCCAGAAAAATGACACTCTCTTTTGTTCAAAAAGAAAGTACATGTTCACAACTATTCCATCTCTCCTCATAGTGGACAATATTGCGGAGCCAAATCTACAGGTATTACCCTGAATTCTCCTTTTTTGCTTTATGTGGCATAAAAAGCACCTGGGGCCTGGCCCTGTCTGCCTTTCCAGCCTCATTTCAACCAAGCCCTTCTTCCAGCACCACCCTCCAGCAACACTTAACTATTGCTCATCACAACAAGCATTGCTCATGCTGTCCCTTCAGGCTGAAATTTCCACTCTCCTCAGCTCCAGTTTAGCCCTTCTCATGGTTAACTCCTGTTCCTGAAATAATGAATGACTGGAAGAGCCGCTTTCCAATCACGGCAAGAATGTCCATTGGACCCAACCTCTCCTATAAAAGATGAACATCTCTTTTGTGAGAACAGAGTGTCTTCCCCAAAGATAGTGTCAAAATCTTAACCACTTTTGTGCTTTTTAATATCTTTCACACTTACTATTTCCGGGATGTCATTGCTGATGTCTATCTGTATTTGTTGGCTGGGAATCTCCTCTGTCTGATTCTAATTCCCACATATAGCCATCTGGCCAAGCTGACTTTCAACAATCTTTCGTATCTCTTCTGTTTTGATTATTCCCCAACACACTTCATTTCCAAGTCATTCTAATTATAAAGACAAAAATTATATTAACTTTCTTACATTAAATTATATCACTTCACAACTGATAGGAATTCATGATATACCAGTAAAATGAAGACTGTCGAGCCACTTTAAAGTTAATTTATATGCTTCCCTGGGACTCTTGAGCACTTGCACTGTTTATCTCCAATAATTCCTCACAGCTGTGTGTCTAAATTCAAGGAACACTTGATATTCAACAAACTCTGTATGTATTTAAATGTTTACTCCTTTAAACACAGAGTTTAAAAATAAAACAAACACAATAATTAGTTTGGAAAATGGAAGGAAATAAACAAATTTAACACGTAGAGTTAAGTTCAGTTAACTCAATTTTGATATGATTAAACCACTATAATGCTTCATAAGTAAATAAACAAGTACTCAGAGAACAAGTATCTGCACAGGTGACACAGTCCTCCCTCCTTTAAAAAATGCATAGATTGGCAGAAACCATTTTATTTGCATGGGAAGGCTTTAGACTTTTGTGCATATTGGTGGTATGGATTTTCATAAATGTGTTGAGAATGTTCAATTATACATGTTTTTACTTAATGGCTACTATATTCCAGGCCCTCTGTTGTGAGGGTGGGACAACAAAGAACTCACCGGCCAGTAGAGGAGATAGACACATGCAAGAAAGTGTAATACAGATGGCACCTGCAATACTATAAATATTTTATACAAACCATGTGTCAATTGCCTTATATAGGCAAGTACAAGGGTCATGAAAATACAAGGGGAGAAAAAACTTAATACTACCTGAGGTAGATAGAGGAGATTTCTAGAAAGATATTGATTTTCACAATTAACATTTGTACTGGCTTTGAGGGTTGAGTCACAGTTCACCAGAAGTGAAACGAGGATATTCCTAGCAAAGGAAGCAGTCACATAAGAGATCCAGGAAGGAAGTGCTGGGAATGGTGAGTGGGTGGTGGGAATGGAATGTAGGGTGTGGAGGGGCACTAGTCGTGGCAGGGCTGAAGCTGTAAATGTCGAGTAGAGCATAATCATGAAGTGCCAGTAGACCAGGCTGCAAAGTATTTGGACCTGGAGGTTGTCAGAGAATTATCAAAAGAGGAACCAGGTCTCCTATTTTAGAGATTCTTGGTGCTAGACCTCTGCTGATGGAAAAGATACTATTCTTCATTTTAGCATTTTCTCATCTTCATTTTTCAGCAACTAGTTTGTATGATGAACCCCTCAAAAATGTCTACATTTTTTGTAGAATGCTTCTTTTATCCACCTGGCTTGCTTGAGAGGACTTAGGGAAGCTCATTTCTTTGGCTTAAGTCTAAGTCTCCTAACATGATATGACTGCATTACCCAAAAAGACATTTCCTTGAAAAATGCTTTATAGCCATTTATGTCCAAGAAGAAGTTTCTGAGATATATTCTTGAGAGCAAATTCCGTAAAAGTGAGAGGGAAAGATTGTCTAGGAACACAAGGCACCTTTTTGATAAATGAAAAAATCTCTGTGGTTCAGCACTTTGAGTGGATCCTCTCTTTTGTGGGCCTTTCAGGCTTCTTGGCACTGCTGGATTCTTCCCATTGAAACGAGACACTTAGCAGGGAATAGAAACCCCAGTTGTCCAGTCATCTCTTCCATCCTTATTAACAGAGCAAAAAGAATTGGGATTTTTTATATATTCCACTTACTTAGAAAGTCAGAAAATATTAAAATGTCATCTCTGTATTTGTCACAGGCATTATATCAATGCCTTGTCAACAGCTATTCCAAAATCAGTGTGTCATTTTGCCTTTGTTAGAACTGAAACACTTAATTTATTAATTCTATTTCAGCTATGAGTTTATTTCACTGTCACTAATAGGATGAATGATTCAGACACTGCAGTTGTTTTCATCTCTTCACCTTGGGAGTAAGAATGACAATACATGCTAATTCTAACACAATGAACATTTAAATGTGCAGGAAATTACAGGGTGACTGAGTACTTTATAAAGAAAAGAGTTCATTTCCACCACATATAATAAAAACTCAGAACATTTCTCTGATTTTATTACAAATTCTTCAATAAAAATATTTTTATCAAATCCGGTCAATACACAGGGTACATGTTTATTTATTCCAGTTATTTTAGAAATTTTATAATCCTATTGTAATTGTTTTGAGACAGGGCACTGTTGCTTACATTGTATCCTACTGATATTAAGACATATCTATATTTAGTAGTTATATTATAAAGGACATAATATTATCCACCCCTGTACTAAAAATGGCCTATTTTAACAGGGTTCCAAATAAATTCCTGCTGATAAATGAAAGGAGATAATATAGCCACAGAATATTAACCTGACAGAGATAAAAGTACAGAATCAATGTTTGTTAGAAGTCAACCAAGTGTCTACTCTTGGGCTAAACGCTTTAAAAATTATATCTCATTTTATTTTTGGCAACATTGTAAGACTGATAGTATCCTCATTTGCTCTTTAAGAAAGCGAATCTCGGAATGGTTAAAAAATTTACTCAAAGTTACACATTTAAGCAGTATATCTGCCTCTGTAGTTACTTTATCTTTGTAGAAACTTCATATATGAAAAAGAACTAATCGAGGATGAAAATGTGTTAAAAAAAAAAAAAAAAAAAAGCAACAAGGCCTAACTTGTTCTCAGGCAGAGGGAAGGATGGTGAGGAAATAGAAAAAGTGTCTTGAAAGGTAGGCTTGCCAAATACATAATTTAGAATGTTAAGGGGGCCTCAAAAATTGTGGAATCCGCAAGTCCAACAACAGCTGTGTCTGACAGAAGTTAAGTGATTTGCCAAAAATAAAAAACTGAGAAGTGACAAGTTAAGAAACAAAGACCACAAGGGTTATGGTTAAGAAGTGACAACTTAAGAAACAAAGACCCTAGGTTAATCAACCTAGGGTTGATTAACAAGCTTTGATTAAGCACTTACTGCATGCAAAGCAGTGTGCTAGGCTGCAGAGACATAAAAACATACAATACACCCGAGGAGATTTGGGCCTTCCCTTGGGCTGGGAGCTGCCCTGTGCTGTTCCTGTATCACCTAGCTGCCAATACAGAGCCACACATTTGATGAATTTGAGACCTTTTAATCTCAAAACAGCTAACTTCTTAGAGTTGCCAGTCCCAGAGCATTTACCATTTATGCACTACTGTGTTTAAATGTTTACCAATAAAAACATTTCAATAGCCCTCTAAAGCTTGTAATTTTATTCAGAATATTGAGCCTGAATTTATCTTGTTCATGTGTTTCTTTGGCTAGCATCTTTCTTCAAAATAGTTTTCTTTTCTTTCTTTTTTTTTTTTTTTTTGGATGGAGTCCTGCTCTGTCACCCAGGCTGGAGTGCAGTGGTGTGATCTCGGCTCACTGCAACCTCCACCTCCCAGGTTCAATTCTCCTGCCTCAGCCTCCTGAGTAGCTGGGATTACAGGCACGTGCCACCACGCCTGGCTAAATTATTTATTCATTTGTTTGTTTGTTTATTTATTTATTTTGTATTTTTAGATGGGGTTTCACCATGTTGGCCAGGCTGGTCTAGAACTCCTGATCTCAGGTGATCCGCCCACCTTGGCCTCCCAAAGTGCTGGGATAACAGGCATGAGCCACTGTGCCTGGCCCAAAATAGGTTTTTATTTCAGTGAGCCACACATCTTTAGTGTGTTTGCGCACATCCAATATACTGTCCTCTAGTGAGTAGATTCAAAGATCAGCTAATAAGATACTAGTTATCTTCTCATAACAAATCCCAGAACAAACTATCCAATAATATACTTTCAAAGCTGGAGTGAACCTTAGAAAGCATTATAATATCATCACTGCTGTCATTATCTCCTTAAGGGACTTTACAGTGGGCCTGGTTATTTTAATTTTTAACTGCCCTCCTTACAGTTTAGACTTTGAGGGGAATAAGAAAGGAGAAATAATCTACAGGAAGGAATGAGGCCACTGAGATTGAACTGTTTATTCTAAGTAAGAAAACTGGTTAAGATAAATGGTGGACTGGAATCCCGGTGCCCTCTCTCTATTTCACTACTATCTGCTCTCTACCAAGCTGCCCCTTCTTTCTCGTCCCACCATGATGCCCCTGCCATGTGAGGCTTCCCTCTGCTAGCATCCCAGTGTACCTTTAAAAATTAAACTATAGTGTGAATGATAAAACCACTGCAAAATTGTCTTTCATGCCTTGAGATGGTGTTTAAATCTGTTTAATTCTTCACAGGGGTTTTTTAATGGATATCCTGTTTTGAAAGTAATTATCAAGTTGAATAGAATATTGTTATTTCCAAAGCCATCCTAAAACTTATTTCTACTGTTCAAATAAGAAAATTATTTTAACTTAATTTTAACCACCTTTTGAACTTTATAGAGATTAGAAATACATGGACTCAAAAGACATTTAAAAGAGGAGCTATTTGTATTCTAAAAATCTATATATGCATACTTTAATATGATTGATAATCTATTGATTTATTTAAGGACATGAGTACCTAGGTGTGAAATATTTAATTTTAGTCCTTAGTAATAATTCTTAAATACTTTATCTCTCAGGTTTCTCGTATGTAAAGCCATCTCTCAGGGTTTTTGTTTTTGCTTTTGTTTTTGTTTTGAAGCTTAACAAAAACAAGGTTTTTGAGTACCCGGACCCCTTCATGGTACAGCGTAGAAAATGAATAAACGATAGTTTCCTGCCATCCATTAATCCCATCATCAGCAAAACTTTATTCTAAAATTCAAAGAAATTTTTAATAAGCACATTTGCTGTAATGTTCAAGATACTTTGGTAAAAGCAAATTATAAAATATACTTGTATGTTATAGCTGCATTTAACTATGAATGCTGCTAAGAAGCTTTTGATTTTAATTCTATTCAAGGATCAAAAGTGCTGTGCATAAATTTAAGTGTATGATTTTATGGGTTCATGGATTTTCCTTTCCATTGTCGCTTCTTTACAACAGTGTTAATTAATAAAAAGAGATATGATCTTTTTTATGCATTCTCCAGCATTTACTATACTCATCTGTTTATAAAAATGGTTTCCCCTTTCCATTTTCTTTTTTAAATAATTATAGAAGTTTGTGCAAATCTTAATTGTCTAAATGACTTTATGAATTTCTGTTTAGTCACATAAATCTTCATGAAACTTTGTATCATCTATTACAGATATCAGATAATTCCAAGGCATCAGATTTGTAAATAATTATCAATAAAAATTTTGAAAACATTTCCCAAGCTTTCCATTCTAGCATTTAGAAGATCAACCAGAAGACAAAAAGTCAGAAAGTCAGAACATAATGTACAACTGTCTTTACTTTTCAAATGGAACTTTAAAAACTCCAGAAAAGCCTACATGGCATAAATCATTTTTGAAACAGATTATTTTCCTGTTTTATTTTTCCTCTCACTGTATCAGCCCATCAAGGATGTTTGAAGTATTTTTAACCCTGAACTCTGCAATCTAGTGATCGAGCAAATTATTGGCAAAAAGAGCTGCCTGTGCATGCCATTGTGGAGTTCAGCTCATTCATTCATGCTATCCCCAAAATGTTTACTCTTATGAAAAAGGAAATAAAGTAGTGCTAAAGGTTAACTTTTTATTCACAATATAAAGCCTTAAATCTTAATCCAGGTAAATGTATGTGCCTATTCTAGAGAGGATGACCATATGTCCAGATTTGTACCTGTTGTCCCAGAGTAATTATGATTAGTGGCCTTTTTGTCTTCCAAATTGTCCTAGGTTTAATGATAGATTTAAAAGTCACCTTAATTTTTGGTAATGAGCCTAATTACAAATAGCATGTATATTAATTGGTATAAGGATATGAACTTTTGGCTGAGTATGGTGGCTCACCTATAATCCCAGCACTTTGGGAGGCTAAGGTGGGAGGATCACTTGAGCCCAGGAGTTCGAGACAAGCCTGGGAAACATAGGGAGACCCCATCTCTACAAGAAACTTACAAATTAGCTGGGTGTGGTGGCATACACTAGTAGTCCAAGCTTTCGGGAGGCTGAGGCCAGAGGATGACTTGAGTCCAAGAATTTGAGGCTGCAGTGAGCTATGATTGCACCACTGCACTCCAGCATTGGTGAAAGTGAGGCTCTGTCCCCTCCAAAAAGAAAAGAAATGAAGTTTTCTATTCCAAGAGGATAATGACCGGAAGTGAGAGTATGTCATAGTTATATTCAAAATAAGGTTGATGAATTTTTATTTTTATCTACAACTGAATAATAATTCTAAAATTTATCGAAGTTGAACATTTCTTTTTACATAAACCACATATTCTCTGGTGTCCTTGACAATTTTTCAGTGTAAAACATTTAATAAAAGCAAAACAAGGGGAATATCAAAATTATCTGTAATCCCACTTTCTAGAGAGGATAGTTTGCCATTTTTCTGTATAACTAGATACATATCTTTTTGGCAAAATTGGGATTGTACTATTTATACAGTTTTGCATTTTGCTCTTTTTCATTTGTCATCATATCATGACTATTTCACTGATTAACTATTCTCCAAAATATACTGTTCATTGCTGACACATAATGTTCCAGAGTAGGTACATGTTGCTGTTTATATAGCCATTGCCTTAATACTGCACATTTACAGTTCTGCCAATGCTTTCCTATTATATGACTAAATGTATCTGCATTTGCCTGTACAAAACATTAATTAGATGAAATATTTACCTAAATTTACTTGACTGAAAAGTAAGACAAAGTATGCAATATACTTTTAAACCCATTTATTTCAAGATGAAATCATAGATTGCTTTTTCTTTCTTCCAGTGGTTAAACTTTAAAAATTGTTCATGTTTCCCCTGCATTTTTATTTGGCTTATTTGAAAATATACAGAGAATGACCTAGCAGATTTCTCTACTTGGATGTCCCAAAGATATTTCAGTCTCAGATGCCCAAAACTGAAATAGCATTCTTCCAAATCTCTTCCTACCTTGTGTGCCCTGGTAAATGGCATCTTCATTTATCTGACTTCCCAAGCTGGACCTGGCTCATGCAGCCCGCCCTGGTTTTCCTAATAGTTATCTGCCCTTTCTTGGTGCTCTTGTTTGGGCCCTTGTCATTTCTTGCCAGGACCATTGCAAAAGCTTACCGAACTCTCTACCTCTACTCTGAAATGTTTCCTGTTTATTGTCCTCAAAACCAATAAAATGATATTTCTGAAACATAATTCTTAGAATCAAATAAACGGGTTTAGAATTGTCAGTGACTCTTCATTCCCTACAAAGTAAAATCTAAGGTCCTTTAAAAGGTGAATAAGACCCTTCATGACACAGTTCCTTTCTCTCCATCCAACTTCATCTTCTGCCCTTCTGTCGTCTAAGTAACAACACTGACCTTGCAATTCCACAAACTTTCCAAATCCTCTCCTACATTTTTGCTTTTCTTTCTTTCAAGAATTTCCTCCTTCCCTCTCTAAACCTGTAAAATTCCTACTTATCCTGCAAGTGTGAATCAAATGACAGCTCCTCAGAAAGATCTTGATGCTTCTTCTCTGACATTCTTAACACCATAGTGTATATATATCGCTATTATAATATTTATTGCCTTTTATTAAATTAACTTGTACCTCTATCTTGATGTAAGGGACCAATGCTTAGCAAAGTGCATGGCACATAGTAGATAATCAATAAATGCATGCTAAGAGAATGAATGAATGAAGTAGACTTGAGAAGAAGCTGAGAATTCAGCTGGGCTCAGCTTCTCAGTGAATAGTTTGAATGTATTCGGCAATGTTAAACTCACTGCTTTTGGAAGCCACTCTTGGATTTTGAATTGTCATAGATAAGTGCTGTCTTATAGAAATATAAAGTAAAATAAGTCATTTTTAATTATCTAATAACCATGTTTATAAAGGTAAAAAGACACAGGTGAAATTAATTTTAATAATATATTTTATTTAATTCAACATACTCAAAATAATATTTCAAAATGTAAATCAATATTTAAAAATATTAATAGGATATTTTGCATTTTTCATACTAAGACTTTGAATTCCAGTGTGTATTTTAACTTCCAGTTTATTTCAATTTGAACAGCTAAATTTGTTTAAAATATTTGATCTGTATTTTGTTGAAAAATGTAGTTAAAAAGGTATATTCCCATACCTAATTGTTTCAAACCTGCTTAAAAGCTTTTCAGGCCAGGTGCAGTGGCTCATGCCTGTAATCCCAGCACTTTGGGAGGCAAGGGGGTGTGGATCGCTTGAGCCCAGGAGTTTAAGACCAGCATGGGCAACATTGCGAGATCCCACCTCTACAAAAATACAAAAAAATTAGCCAGGCATGGTGGCATGCACCTGTAGTTCCAGCTACTCAGGAGACTGAGGTGGAAGGATTGCTTGAGCCTGAGAGGTCCAGGCTGCAGTGAGCTGAGACTGGGCCGCTGCACTCCAGCTTGGGTGACAGAGAGAGACCCTGTCTCAAAAAAAAAAAAAAAAAAATTCCAATACTTAATTGAGTATCTATTGAAGTTTAAGTTTAAGTTTAAATTTAAATTTAAATTAAGTGGCCGGGCGTGCTGGCTCACACCTGTAATTTCAGCACTTTGGGAGGCTGAGGCGGGTGGATCACCTGAGGTCAGGATTGTGAGACCAGCCTGACCAACATGCCAAAACCCTGTCTCTGCTAAAAATACAAGAATTAGCTGGCCGTGGTGGCACGCACCCATAATCCCAGCTATTCGGGAGGCTGAGGCAGGAGAATCACTTGAACCTGGGAGGTCGAGGTAGCATTGAGCAGAGATCATGCCACCGCACTCCAGCCTGGGTGACAGAGCGAGACTCTGTCTCAATAAATAAATAAATAAATTTAAATGAAGGAAAATTAAATAGTATTACAAATTTAGGCCAGGTATGGTGGCTCATACCTGTAATTCCAACACTTTGGGAGGCCAAGGCAGGAGGATCACTTGAGGCCAGGAGTTAGAGACCAGCTTGGGCAACATAGTGAGACCTTCTCTCGACGAAAAACTTAAAAATTAGCCAGGTGTGGTAGTGCATGCCTGTAGTCCAAGCTACTCAGGGGCTAAGGAGGGAGAATCACTTGAGCCCAGGAATTCGAGGCTACAGTGAGCTATGATGGTGCCACTGTACTCCAGACTGGGTGACAGAGCAAGATCTTGTCACAAAAAAAAAAAAAAATTAATTAATTTCTCAGTCTAACTAGCCATATTCAAGTGTTCAATAACCACATGTGGCTAGCAGCTACCATACTAGACAATGCAGTTCTAGAAGTTTTTCTCATAAGCCAGAATCTTCCTCCACCTGTATTTAACTCATTATTTCTACTGTTGTACTCTGGGACAAAAACTGCATCTCCAACTTATATCTATTATCAGGCAATTTGTAAAGAACAAAGGAGAAATACTTTTAAAGAAGCTCACTATAAGTTTAATGAGAATACCATTAAAAGCTTAGACCAAATGTTGTCAATTACTGAATTATTTAGAATACTGTTCAAGAACCCCAGGTAATTTACATGGCATTTATCAAAAGTTATTCTCAATAAATATGTTTCTTTACAAGTCATTCTTTCTAAATATGCACATACTTTTTAACTAGCAAATTTAGGAAATTAATTATGCAGATCTCTACCGATAGAGAGTCCCTAAATAAGCTACAAAATCACAAGCCTTAAGAAAAAAAGACAACACCTGACCTGATGTAAATTACGGTAGAACCATAGTTGAAATGTCTGTGGGTATCTTGGAAAAGATTGTGGATTCATTTATTGTCATAACAGCTTTTGCCAGTCTCTGAGATTCATGCAAACTGTCCTTATGTGATTCTTACATGAATTGAACTCAGAACCTTGAGAGACTGAAAAAGAGATCAGTGTGGAAGCAGGTGGGCTTTGGCAGATGCAGCTGAAGCAATAATGAAGCAATCCTAAAGTGTCCACTGCTTTCTCCTTCCTTCTTTCCTTTCTTTTTTCCTGCCTGCCTGCCTGCTTGTCTTCTCTTTTAGTCTATTGAAAAGCAGCTTTGGGAACTCTAACTACCTTGCTAGGTTTGGTAAATTCCAAGGTGGGATCAATTAGACAATGAAAACTGAGTAGAGTGCCATTTATTTAAAAACGCTCTAGCTTCACTCAGATGCAACCAATTTGCATAATAGATAATGACCAACTAGACATGCATTTCATCTTTACAGTAGTGATTAAAAGAAATGGTACAGTTTGTGACAAAGATACAGGTTTTTGGCAAGTGAGATATTATCAAAAAAGAAGAGGAGAATGAACCTTTAAAAAGGCACTGATGTTCAGACTGTGTCATATGTAAGGAAAGAAAACAAAACTAATTCTCTCAATGTAACAACCCAAAAGAGGAAAAGGTACTTACACAAAATAAACATGAGTTTTTAACTCTGAGCTTATTTCAAAACATAAATGATAGGCCGGACTTAGTGACTCACGCCTGTAATCCCAGCACTTTGGGAGGCCGAGGCGGGCGGATCACAAGGTCAGGAGATCGAGACCATCCTGGCCAACATGGTGAAACCCCGTCCCTACTAAAAATACAAAAAATTAGCCGGGAGTGGTGGCAGGCACCTGTAGTCCCAGCTACTCGGGAGGCTGAGGCAGGAGAATCACTTGAACCCAGGAGGCGGAAGTTGCAGTGAACCGAGATTGCACCACTGCACTCCAACCTGGGTAACACAGTGAGACTCTGTCTCAAAAAAAAAAAAAAAAAAAGAAAAGAAAAGAAAAGAAAACATAAAAGATAAAGAACCTTCTTTTGTCTAGAACAGGTGTTGGCAAACTCTTTCTGTAAAGGGCCAGATAGTAAACATATGAGAACTTGTGGTCCACAGTCTGTCACCTACTATTTGCTACTTTGTTTTGTTCTATAACCTTTTGCAAATGTACAAACCATTTTAGCTCCATAGGTGTACAAAAACAGACAGCAAGCTATGTTCACTTGCAGGCCACAGTTTGCCAACCCCTAGTCTAGAAAAATTTCTTGTTCAGATATTAATAAGACATGAAAATTTTGAGCTAATGTTTTGCTCCAT
The DNA here is from genome assembly GCF_000001405.40 of Homo sapiens. Lineage (NCBI taxonomy): Eukaryota > Metazoa > Chordata > Mammalia > Primates > Hominidae > Homo > Homo sapiens. The sequence goes on from NC_000003.12 coordinate 152,954,024, forward strand.
TTTCTGTCTCCACCCAACAGCTACGTTTAAAAGCACAGCAATTCTCCTGAAGGCATTGTCAGTATGACAAACACCAATTGGCTTTTCAACTTAATGTTTCCTTAGGGCCTCTTTCATCATAATATTATAGCACATTTTTATGAGTAAGCTAAATTATATACCAAATAAAAATAAAAATAGCTAATATTTGTTGAGTTTTCTATATGCCAATTTACTTGTTATATTATTTATTCTTCACCATAGCCATTTTACAAAGTAAGTACCATTATTATCCTCATTTTAGAGATGAAACTAAGGCACAGAATAGTTACATAATGTGTTTAATGTCATAAGCCTAGTAAATGGAAGAGCCAGAATTAAAATTCATGTTACTTTAGAAGCAATGCACTAGACCAAGGGTTGGCAAACTTTTTCTATATTTTTGTTTTTATAGGCCATCTACCCTCTGTCATGACTACTCAACTCTGCCATTATAGTGCAAAAGTAGGCATAGACAATAGGTGAAGGAATAGGCATGTGTTCCAATAATACTTTATTTACAAAAACAGGCAGTGGGCCAGATTTAGCCTGCGGACCATAGTTTCCTATTCCCTACACTAGACCAGTACTTCTCAAACATGAATGTCATAAGAATCACCTGAGGATCTTATAAAAGTAAGGAATCTAATTCATTACATCTGGGAAAGAACCTGACCATCTAAATTTCTTACACACTCCAAGGTGATGCTGATTCTGCTGTTCAGGGACCTCATTTTGAGTAGCAAGTTTGTAGGCCACTGTGCTACACTGCTGGGTAAAGCAAGGTTTGTAAAAAGAATTGATTTCTTAAGGTGCATTATCAGTGACCTTTTCAAAGTGACCATTTATTGAGCAGGTAACATATGTCACATATTGTACCAAGTATTTCGTATCACTTCAAATGAAACTGTCATCTACCCTGTTCAAGCCAGAAACCTTGGTACCATTGGTTAGACCAGACTCTAGATCATCCAACAAGTCTAAAGTACAACCCACTATTTCAATTTTATTTCCAAAACATATTTCAAACTCATCCTTTTTTTTTCAGAACCTACCAACAACGACAACATATAAATCATGACTGTTTACCTAGACTTCTGTAACAGCCTCTTATTCTCAGTAACCAAATATGGCTTGTCTCCTAAATCCACTCTCCATACAGCAGCCAGAGTGGTCTTGTTAAAAGGTAAATTGGATCATATTACTCCCCTGCCTGAAACTTCTAAATGCCTTCCATGGCACTTAGAAGGAAAGCCAAACCTCTAAACATGGCATAGAAAGGATCTGGCCACTGCCTATGCAAACATTTTCCCTTTCACTCAGTCATGCACTCACTGGCTCTATCTCAGATGCACTGACTTTCCTTTAGCTGAAATGCACCATAGTCTTTCTCATTTAAGGACCTATTTGCCATGTCCTTCCTTCTGCTGGAAATCTTTTCCTTCTGCTTTTTCATGTCTTGATCCTTCTGATTTTTAAAAAATAAATTGGTCTGAACATTACCTTATCAGAAAAGCTCTTCCTTACCACTCAAATTAAAATAACCCCCTTGTTTTTCTCCCATAACATCCTGTTCTCTTCCTTCTTCGCACTTATCTGCAAGCATTTGTGCTCTTTGTGTATTGTGTGCCCTCTCAAGTAAACATCATAAAAGTAGAGACAGACTTCTTGAAACAAGATACACATCTAATGAATGTTTGTTGAATGAATGGTTAAGTTAATGAAGTTCCCACTAGAATATTCCGTCCATGAGGGCAGGAGTTCTGCCTTTTCGTTATTGCTATTTTACATGGCTCTCAGAGGAGTGTCTTGCATACAGCAGACACTTATTAAATGTTACTTGTAGTAAATGTCATTTAATATACATAAACTCTAGAATATTGGATACTATTATTATGCCTATTTAAGAAGTGAAGAAATAGGCTCAGAAACTTAACTTAATCCAGGTCAGAGAACTGTTAGTTTGTGGAGCCATGCTTTGAATACAGGCTTTACATGTACTTTTAACTTCCATGTTATGTGGTATCACTAAATATGTGGCAAGGTCTTCATCAGTAGATCTGTGAAAACTCCCTTAAATGTTTAACACATCATTAAAACTTTGATTTCTATGTAAAATATTAGCTGTGGGACATCTTCCTTTACTTGTTTGTAATTTAATTATTCTTCAGTAATCCAGGCCATACATTTTATATACCCAATAAAGCCATAAATACCTTGAGGATTTGATGAGTCTTTTATATAATTCACAGTAGTCTCAAAGTAAGTCATTAGATAGGACATGCTGTTGAATCTCCTCACATTTTCCTTTTTTTTTTTTTTTTTTTTTGAGACGGAGTCTCGCTCTGTCGCCCAGGCTGGAGTGCAGTGGCGCGATCTCGGCTCACTGCAAGCTCCGTCTCCCGGGTTCACGCCATTCTCCTGCCTCAGCCTCCCGAGTAGCTGGGACTACAGGCGCCCGCTACCACGCCCGGCTAATTTTTTGTATTTTTAGTAGAGACGGGGTTTCACCGTGTTAGCCAGGATGGTCTCGATCTCCTGACCTCGTGATCCGCCCACCTCGGCCTCCCAAAGTGCTGGGATTACAGGCGTGAGCCACCGCGCCCGGCCCACATTTTCCTTTTTATTATCATTGTGACTTGCTTGAATGTTGGTGTGCTTTCTTAGTACTTTCTTCCAATCTTCTTTATTCTTGAGGAAAATTAGTCCCTTGATATGTTCTACTTTAGCTATTAGAAATAGCTAAAATCTTCAATTTATGGAATGAGAGGCTTGAAAATGTAGATTTTATGTCTCAGAGCATGTGTGTATTTACTCAACCTTATAAAATTGGATCTTTTACTTGAGCAGTGAGACTTGTACCTCTTTAGCACCTGTGTATTTTGGCAACTTTGCTTTTGAAACATCATTTGGAGCACTAAGGGAACAATTGGTGCTTAGAGAGACATTAAAGAAATGCTAAATGCTATTTAAAATTTTGTGGGTGTTTTTTCTTGGTTTTGTTTGGTTTGATTTTTGGTGCATGGAAAAGAATAAGACTTTTGGGACATCAGCCCTGTTAAGAAGAAAATGGAATGTTTGAATTGCATCAGGTGAAAAATGTTTACCCCAATGTCACATTACTAAGTTAATGCATTCAGGACTCTCCCATATGAGAGAGTGGTAGACATAGTGTTAACATCACTATAAACCTTTGTCCCAGTCCAGCTTGGTGGCAGAAAGGAAAGGGGAGGGTCCAAAGATTATTACTATAATTTCTATCATACATAATGTATCCAACAAATGATAATTTATCTTCCTCTGGTTTATGTAATTAAGTTTTCCAGTTCAAAAACCATTACTCTTACTGTAGTTCTGAAGTAGTAAATGTAGCAGGGAAAGCCAACCTGTGGCTCATGTATGGTCATGTCCTCCTCCCATGTCTAAAGCAAACATCATTTATCCATTATGTCGCTCATTCTTACCAAGCCCAGAGGAGACCTCAGAATTCTTTTCAACATAGCCTTAAAGCCAGTTACTCCAAAAATTAGAATTGGAACCAAAGGTCAGCTCACAGCTATACAATTATTAGCTGCAAATGGGAGGTGAGGGAGCATTGCTAAATATGTGCCTATCAAAGACCTGAGCAAAGTGAAGCGATTACATAAACAGCTTTCACTTTGCTAATGAAGTAACTGAGTACCTTCTTCAAATATAACTAGTGAGTCATGATTCTAGAACTGAGATTCAAGTCTTCAGTATCTTTGAATTCCATCTTTTCACCATTTCACATGTCCCCTCATACATCTGTCTACACAGATTTATGTTTATATTACATACATTTTTATTTACCTAATCTACACTTTAATTCATTGTCAGAAGCGCCTTCTAACAATACCAAAGATTCTATTTGTATTTAATTGGAACTAAACATATATTGGCTGCCATACTAAATTTTACTCTATCCAGATTGAAAGCATTGTCCCACTGTTTTAAAATACCACAGATTTATTATTTACAATCAAGGGAGGCATGCATCAGTGTAATAATGTGTCTCAACTCAATTTAACATATTACATTCCCCAACTGGAAATGACACAGTAGCCAGGAAGACTAAACTACCATTTACTTTCCTTACTCCGTGTTCAGCTGTAGGCACTGGAGTATGAAATGGCTAGCTACATTCATTACTAGGTTCTGTAGGCTTCTGCTCACAATGTCCACCAAAGCTGCATTAACAGAATAAAATGTATTACAAAATTCCACCATACATTCCCAATAAACATAGTTCACAAAGTATAAATTAAGAGATAGAAATGTGTGTGTAATCATAGAATACATGTTTTCTTTAGCATACAAATTCTGACTATCTGAATATTTCTATCCGTTATAACAACACTACACAAAACTATAACAACTTGCAAAATATTTACTGTGCAGACCAAACCCTGCTGTAATAAACCCACTAATGCAAATCAGTGAAAATGTTTAAACTGTGCTAGAGTTCAGTGAGAGAAGTTAGAGTGCACTGCAGTCATACCTCAGCTATATGGGATCCAGCTCATTGTCTCCATCAGCTTCCACACATTTTCCCTGATGAATTAGCCCCTTTTAGGCACTAACTTCTCCCAGACAGTATATTTTGCTGTATGTGTCAAAATTAACGTGGTAATTCTAAAATTCATATGAAGATTCAAAAAGTTAGAAATAGCCAAGGCAATTTTGAAGAAGTATAAAACTATAGACTTAAACTATCAGAAATCAAGACCTATTGTAAAGCTATATTCATATGATATAATATCACACAGCAAAAATGTGATCATGTGGCCAGTGCGGTGGTTCATGCCTATAATCCCAGTACTTTGAGAGGCTGAGGTGGGCAGATCACTTGAGGTCAGGAGATTGAGACCAGCCTGGTCAACATGGTGAAACCCCATCTCTACTAAAAATATAAAAAAATTAGCCGGGCATGAGGTGCACGCCTGTAGTCCCAGCTACTCGGGAGGCTCAGGCAGGAGAATGGCTTGAACCCAGGAGGCAGAGGTTGCAGTGAGCTGAGATAGCACCATTGCACTACAGCCTGGGCGACAGAGTGAGACTCCATCTAAAAAAAAAGTGATAATGTGTTACCCAGATGCAGCTTCCAAAAAAAATATTTCTTTTATAAGGATTTTAAAAAGAAGCTTTCACTTATTTCAAAGCAGTAGGATATTAATCTCACATTCATATTACTTATTTTCAGCCCATTTCTTTCCTTTTTTAAAAATCCTACCCTAGAATTGACTGACCAGTCACAACAATCAGCAGATACCTTACACCTGTCCACCTCTTCCATGGACTGCCTCAATTGCAAATTGCCTTGTTTGTGGTCTGCCCTTTGCAGGGCAGTTCACACCTAGGTACTGAATATGTAGGGAAGGGTGTAAATGCTTAGCCATTTCAACTCAGCGTAGGACGCTGTGATGGGCAATACTCAACAGAGGTTTTATCAAGCCTGCATCACAGTTCAACTCTCTTCCCCGCCCAGTATGTGTTTTTAGAGAACCCAACATCTGATGAATAAATAATGCATGAATTGCTCATACATAAGTTTGAACAAAAGAAACCAGACACAAAAAAGTATATATTATGTGATTCATTTAAATTAATTTTTAAAACAAAACTAAACCAGAATGATAGAGATCAGAACAATGACTACCTTCAAATGGCTATTGACTGTGAGAGGGTATGAGAAAGCTTTTTGTCTGCTGATAATATTCCATACCTTCATCTTTGTGGTAGTTGCCTATATACCCATGTGACTATATACATGAATACTCAGCACTTGGATCAGCATACACACACACACACACGTACACACACAGTATGTGTGTGTGTATGTATATGTTCAGATTGAAAGGACACAAGGAATACCAAAGAGATTAGATAAGGAGGCATTTATAGTGAAATTTCAGAGTAGCATAAAAAAGAAAAAAATTCTAAAAGCTTCCAGAGGGAAAGAACAAAACACTTACAAATGAATAAATGTCATATTGATAACAAATCTTCAAACTGCAACTGCTGGATTCATGAAGTCAATTAAATTTACAATGAATGAAAAATCGTGATTCTACAATTCTGCACTGTTAAAGCCCAGGAAAAGAAAAAAAGAAAATAATACACAATACTTTACCTTCTTGAGCCTCAATTCATTGAAATGTCATATAGTATAATCTTCTAAAATAAAAATGCAGCATAAAGCTGCCTCAAGAATGTAAATGCATAAATAATAGCTGTAGTGGTGAGTCCAGTCACTACAATGATTTGGAAGTAGTCATGGGAATATACAAGATATCAATATATGGCCAGGTGGGGTGGCTCACACCTGTAATCCCAGTACTTTGGGAGGCCAAGGTGGGTGGATCACCTGAGGTCAGGAGTTCGAGACAAGCCTGACCAATATGGTGAAACCCCGTCTCTCCTAAAACTACAAACAAATTAGCTGGGTGTGGTGGCGGATAGATCCCAGCTACTCAGGGGCTGAGGCAGGAGAATTGCTTGAACTCGGGAGGCGGAGGTTGTGGTTAGCCGAGATTGCACCATTGCACTCCAGCCTGAGCAACAGAATGAGACTCTGTCTCAAAAATTTTATATATATATATAAAATAACTAATTTGATATGAAAATATCTATAAATTATATTCGTTGTTTGTTACCTACATGCATAACTGAAGGAAATGCTAAATCTCAGTGAGAACTAAATTAAAACAAAGACATGAAGTGGAAGCCAGAGGTGAGTTCAAATTCCAGATCTGTTACTCATTTGTACAAATAAGTTAGATAATTGCTTAAGCCCTTCGAACTACAGTCTCCTTATGTTTCAACGGAGATAATACTTTCTACTTCACAGGGCTGTTGGAAGGATTGTTAGATGATCTAAGAAGACTCTAGCAATGTCTCTAGTAGATTTGCCTGCCATCTGAAGCCCTTATATTCCACCCACTCTCTGTGAATAAGCCAAATCTTGACCTCTCCCCAATCTCTCTCAGTTTTAACTCAGCTTCCAACCTCAATTTTCAAGCAGAAGATTTCCAAATAAAGATGTATATTTTCTTATTTATTTGAAATGATATCTGGAATAGTAGTTTCCAACCTCCTCATTGGATTAGATTATATCCCTGTACATTCTGCAGGTAAGAATAAAATGTTTGACAGAGAAACACGTTGTATTGTTTCTGTCAATATGGATGCTGTTATATTGTTTGAAGCAAATTATTTTACACAAATATGGGTCTCGATATGATTATATGCTATGCAAACAAACATATACATGCATAAGAGACTGGAAACAGAATTCTGAACTGGCTCAGCTTAAATCCAGTCATCTGGATCATGAAATCAGCATATCTGCTACCACCTGGTGGTAGTTTACCCAAATTCTGGTTACACTTTCTTGTGTGCTTGAATACCTTGATCAATACAACTCTCAGTCTACAAATCTAAAGCATGTTGCCAAACTCAAACCAGTCCGGGGAGTACATTTCCACATTTTTAGGCATCTGTCCAGATGCTTCATTTGCTTTCCTTCACAGAGTAAATCATTACCAAATGGAAGTAGTGTTGATGCTTTCGCTATAGTACCATTCCAGCCTTATTTCCTATTATTTCCATTGAGGCCACACACACTCCAGCAAAATTATCTGCTCACTGCTTCTTACACATTGCCTGTACTCCTCTCCCCAGCTTGTCATGTCGTCTCTTATGACCATGTGTATGCCTACAAACCAAATAGTCTAATGCCATCTTCTCCACGAAATCTTTTCACTTTGCCCAGAGGGACATACTCCTTTCTCTTCTGTTATCTCCTAAAGCAATTCATTGTAACATCCATCCTCATACTATGTAACACTTAGTACTACAGTCATTTATATAGTTATTGTACTGAAGACTGCAGGCAATTGTAACACAATGGTAAGTATTTGTGTATCTAAACAGAAAAGGTATCGTAAACACACAATCTTTTGGTACCACTGTTAAATATGTGATCTGCCACTGACTGAAATGTTGTTCAGTGGTACATAACTATATGTGTTTGTGTGTATACATACATGTACATAGGCAAGTCCCTTCTGTCTATGAGCTTGTAAAATCAAAAGCAAGCTAGTTACTTCCTAGATACAATGGGGATACAGGTATTAGGTAAATACAGCCATTCCAAATGAGAGAAATTGACCAAAACAAAGGGGTTACCGGGCCCAGGCAAGTCCAAAATCCAGCGGGACAGTCAAATTTTAAAGCCCCAAAATGATCTCCTTTGACTCCATATCTCACATCCAGTCACACTGATGGAAGAAGTGGGCTCCCATGGTCATAGGAAGCTCCACCCCTGTGGCTTTGCAGGGTACAGCCTCCCTCCCGGCTGCTTTCACAGGCCGGTGTTGTCTGCAGCTTTTCCAGGCACACAGTGCACGCTGTCGGTGGATCTATCATTCTGGGGTCTGGAGGACGGTGGCCCTCTTGTTACAGCTCCACTAGGCAGTGCCCCAGTAGGGACTTTGTGTGGGGGCTTTGACCCCACATTCCCCTTCCACACTGCCCTAGCAGAGGTTCTCCATTAGGGCCCCACCCCTGCAGCAAACTTTTGCTTGGGCATCCAGGCATTTCCATACATCTTCTGAAATCTAGGCAGAGGTTCCCAAACCCCAGTTCTTGACTTCTGTGCACCCACAGGCTCAACACTACATGGAAGCCACCAAAGTTTGGGGCTTGCAACCTGTGAAACCATGGGCTGAGCAGTACCTTGGCCCCTTTTAACAATGGCTGGAGCAGCTGGGACACAGGGCACCAAGTCCCTAGGCTGCACACAGCATGGGGACCCTGGGCCAGGCCTACAAAACCACTTTTTCCTCCTAGGCCTCTGGGTCTGTGATGGGAGGGGCTGCATGAAGACCTATGACATTCTCTGGAGACATTTTCCCCATTGTCTTGGGGATTAACATTCAGCTCTTTGTTTCTTATGCAAATTTCTGCAGCCGGCTTACATTTTCCCTCAGAAAAATGGGTTTTTCTTTTCTACTGCATCATCAGGCCTTAAATTTTCCAAAATTTTATGCTCTGTTTCCCTTTTAAAATGGAATGCTTTTAACAGTACCAAAGTCACCTCTTGAATGCTTTGCTGCTTAGAAATGTCTTCTGCCAGATACCCTAAATCATCTCTCAAGTTCAAAGTTTCACAAGTCTCTAGGGCAGGGCAAAATGCTGCTAGTCCCTTTGCTAAAGCATCACAAGAGTCACCTTTGCTCCAGTTCCCAACAAGTTCCTCATCTCCATCTGAGACCACCTCAGCCTACACCTTATTATATATGTCACTATCAGGCTTTTGGTCAAAGCCATTCAACAAGTCTCTAGGAAGTTCCAAACTTTCCCACATTTTCCTGTCTTCTTCTGAGCCCTCCAAACTATTCCAACCTCTGCCTGTTACCCAGTTCCAAAATCACTTCCACATTTTCAGGTATCTTTTCAGCAACACCCGTTCTACTGATACCAGTTGACTGTATTAGTCCGTTTTCATACCCAATAAAGACATACCTGAGACTAGGAAGAAAAAGGTTTAATTGGACTTACAGTTCCACATGGCTGGGGAGGCCTCAGAATCATGGTGGGAGACGAAAGGCACTTCTTACATGGTGGTACCAAGAGAAAATGAGAGAGACACAAAAGCAAAAACCCCTGATAGGCTGGAGTGCAATGGCATGATCTTGGCTCACTGCAACCTCCACATCCTGGGTTCAAGTGATTCTCCTGCCTCAGCCTCCTGAATAGCTGGGATTACAGGCACCTGCCACCATGCCCGGCTAATTTTTGTATTTTTAGTAGAGATGGGGTTTCGCCATGTTGGCCAGGCTGGTCTCAAGCTCCTGACCTCAGGAGATCCGCCTGCCTTGGCCTCCCAAAGTGCTGGGATTACAGGAGTGAGTCACAGCACCTGGCCATTGTTTAAGAATTTTTATAGAGCATGCTCTTTAGCCCCCTTGCCCCACCTTTCCTAGAGGTTGGTGAGTGAAGCTGAAAGTACTCTCTAGTTGTCTAATTACTTGGTCTTTCTCGTGACCAGCCCTATTCTGGGGCTATTAGGTCCCACCCCATGTAACCTCATTAGCATGAATTCAAGTGTTATCAAAGGGGCTTATTGTGACTATCAAAAAATAAATACTCCTATCACTCAGGAAATTCCAGGGGTTTTAGGAGCTCTATTACAAGGGCAAAAAAACAATATACAGTATTTCAAATTATCCTGCAGGAGACGATTGAACTCAGTAAAAGCCATGGAGAAGATGGGATTGATATGAAAGATTCTGCAAAGGCCGAATCTATAGAATATAATGAGTGACTAGCAGGAGGGTAGGAAAGAGAAAAAACTCAAGATAGTTTTACATTTTTGAGTCTAGGTGACTGGGAGAATAGAGGAGAATGCGGAGTCTGTAATAGAAAACAATATTTAAAACAATCTCTTAAGAACAAATTTTTGATGCCCTGGTTTTGGTCTACTAATTTTCATAATTTATCACCAGAAAAAAAATTTACATCTGGGCTATATAACTCATGAGTATGTTATTATTAAAAGATGATAGAGATAGCCATGAAGAACCACTAGTAAATCTGTGAATCTTGGTTTCTTGGTGCTACTATATTTAAGGATAAGTGTATTTGTTAAATGTTCTGCATTTTTGTTAGTGGTACCGTTAGAACTATAATCACCTGGAGAGTCCCTCCTGCCCATAGCACAGATAAAACCAGTTCACTGAGATCATGCAATTGGAGTAGAGAAAGAGTTTTATTGACTCCAGCCTGGCCACACAGAAGAACTGGAGTTCTTCTCCCAGTCTTCAGTCTTGTCTTCAGTCTCCCCAGAGGCTCAAAGGCTAGGGGTTTTATGGACAATTTGGTAGGCAGGGGGCTAGGGGAAGGGTGCTGCTGACTGGTTGAAGATAAAATTATAGGGGTGTGGAAAATGGTCCCTGTGCACTGAGCTTATCTCTGGGTGGGGCTACAGGACCAGTTGAGTCATGAGTCATAAGTCCAGGTGGGGTCAGTCTGAAAAACATCTTTTAAAAAACACTTAGATTCTACAATAATGATGTTATATATAGTAGCAATTGGGGAAGTTACAAATCTTGTGACTTCCTGAGAAGTCAGGGATTATAGAAACTGTGCCTTCATTTTAGCAGAACTCTGGCCTCTCCTATAGTACTAATCTTGTGACCTTTCATTAGTCTTAAAAACAGCCCACGAACAGGGAAGGGATTAGTTGTAGGGAGAAACTATTATGATCCTTGCTTCAAAGTTAAACTATAAACTGAATTCTTCCCAAAGTTAGTGTGGTCTACACCCAGGAAGGATCAAGGATAGTGTGGAGGTCAGAAGCAAGATGGAGTCAACTATGTCAGATTTCTCTTACTGTCATAATTTTGCAAAGGTGGTTTTAGAACTGAAATTAAAATTGATACCTGGAGGTAAAGTGTTTCTATTAAAAAAAAAACCTAAAATATATGTAATTGGCTTTAGGACTAGTAGCTAGCATAGGGCAGAAAGCCCTCAAAAATTATAAATGGAGGCTGGACAGACTGTAAGGACATTGTTATTGAAGACTGAAGAAAAGATTACCCATGTTATGTAGTCGTAAAACATTTGGCAACATTTTTGCTTGCAATAGTATGGAAGATGGCTTGTAGATATAACTAAGAACATTTTCAGATGGCATTTTTTGAAAGTGCCAAGTGTTGTTTTTTAATTGTGTGTGATAAGAAAAAAAATAGATGAACTGAAGAAAAAGTTGTTCTGTTTTCAAGTAGCATATAGAGGAAACATTTCCAATCCCAGAATCACTGGTTTGGAAAATAAATTTTTTTGTCATTCTCAAACTCCCAGGTCACAAAATATACTCAAAGTAAATTGAAACCTAGAGGCAATGCCAGGGCACTGCCAGGAAAACACCACCTCACAGCCAAGATTAGTGCAGGGGTGTGGTTGTAAGATTCTGTGTTGAGATCTCAGAAAAATGTAATGGAGTACCTTTTAGATGCTCCCAGCCAGACAAAAGAACTTCTAAGAATCTTAAGATCAAGTCTCATAGACTCTCTCAGTTAAAAAAGTGGGCCTCCAAGAATCTTTTATTTATTTTATTATTATTTTTTAAATTTTTTTGAGACAGGATCTCACTCTCTCACCCAGGCTGGAGTGCAATGGTGCTATCTCAGCTCACTTCAACCTCCACCTCCCAGTGTCAAGTGATTCTCGTGCCTCAGCCTCCCCAGTAGTCGGGACTATAGGCATGCACCAGCACACCTGACTAATTTTTGTATTTTTGGTAGAGACAGAGTTTCATCATATTGGCCAGGCTAGTCTCAAACTCCTGGCCTCAAGTGGTCTGCCTGCTTTGGCCTCCCAAAGTGCTAGGGTTACAGGCATGAGACACCACGCCCAGCCCCATAAAGGCATTATTCTTATACTCTGTTTATCACATACACAAAAAAGAGCTTCTAAGAATTTTTAAGATGTCCCATAGCCCAAGGTAGAGATAGGCCTGCTTGAAATTTGTAGGTGTTTTTTTCTAATAGAGATTGTAATTTGATACATGGAAAACCCACATCATTTTTTAAAGAATTGTAAAAGCTTGGACCAAATAGTACAAAGACAATTTAAAATTAAAAAGCATCTGGGCCCCCAAGCTCCTATGGGTAGAAAGCAGGCTGAAAAAGCTACACAACTCTAAATGGTAGTTATTTCTATGGAAAAGGAGATATGATTCAGAGGGCAAAATAAAGAGTCCAAAGACTAAGTACATCCAAGAACCACAGAATTCACTCCCAGGGAGTAGAACTGCCCTAATCAAAGAATATTCCCCAATCCCTGAAATCAGAATAAATGACAACTTATGCATAGCTGGATTTCAGAGTTGCTATGAAATGGTGACTTCTATGGACTTCCTACTTTATCCCTTTTTAAACAATTATAGTTGTACCATCCTATATTAACATTTTAAGTTAGGAACATGGATGACAGATAATTTATCTGTTAGTTTATGGTTCTTGGTACCCAAGGAACTGCACCTGAGGAGCCCCATCTATACTGTACCTGATTTAATGACAATGGCTAGACTTTGAGCTCTGTCATGATGGAATAAGGCTTTTGGGATTTTAGGGAATGGTGAGGATATTTTGCATATTGTAGAAACATTAACTGTTGAAGCCAGGGGACAAATTCTGGTAGCTAATCTCCAAAGATAGCCTTCAATATTTTTTTTCTTCTTGGGTGCTTAGGCCATTTCCTAAATTATTTCCTTTTCTTGAATCTGTGCTAAACTGGTGCCTGGTTTTGACCAACAGAATACAGCAGAAATGACATTCCTATGCTTCCAAGCCCAGGCCTTAAGAACACTGACAGTTTCCACTTTGAACCTTTTAGAATTTAGCTCCCTTGCTACAGGAATCCTAAAACATATAGAGAGGCCATGCAGAGGAACCAAGACACCCTAACGCCTCAGCTGAGTTCCCAGCAAGAGCCAGCACCAACTGCCAGCTATGTGAGTGAGCCGACTTGTACTGTAGCATAGCCAGTATCCTGATGACCACAGTCTTAGCCAACAGCACATGGAACAGAAAAACCACTTTGCTGCATACATTCAAACACCCAGCTGAGCCCACTTAACCAACAAAATCACACAGATAATAAAATTGTAGTTTGAGGCTGTTAAGATTTTAAGTGATTTATTATGTAGCAATAGGTAAATAAAACAGGAATTTTTATTCTGATATTGGATCTTCAGTATAGAATAGATTTGTAAAATTCAAAGATACTTCCTGAAATATGTATTTATTTTTTCTTATGAAAAACCTATGCAAAGTAAAGTCTTAATTAGAAAAATTGGTATACAAAGAAAAATACAATAAACTTGTGAACTGCATCTCTTTAACTTGTTTTCTAATCAAAATATATAAAAGCTTTCTTTAAGTCAGCTTATAAATGATTTATTACATTTCAGTTATCTGGTGTTTGCACTGTGATAGAAATAACATTTTATTCTCCCGAGGAAATTTTATTTTTAGAGAACTGCTAAGTTGCTACAAATCTTTAAAGTGCTTTTTAGCCATAGTTTACCTATTTTCATTGTTCTGGGAATGTGTTGTAATTCTTGATTTATGAACTAGAAGACTAGATAGAGTATTGAAATACCAATGCCATAAGACGTGATGTGCAAATTTATAATTTAAATTCCAAATCTGTGATACCTTATTTCTTCATCTTTTTCAGTTTTTCATATTCCCTGAAAAAAGAACCAAAGGGCCACCTATCTTGTTACTCTTGAAGCATAATATTCTTTGACAGTCTGTACACTAAATCACATTGGAAATGCACTGGGAGAATGAGATTCAATTCTTCTTGGCCTCTTCTCTGTTACCACCCACTATACATACAAGAGGTTTTGACCTAACCCTATCAGGAAATTGGTTGCTTTAGAATTTGAAGAGGCAGGGAAAACAGACACATGACCTGACACTAGGCCAGAACTTATAAGCATCTATTTCCAGGATGACTCAGACCCGGCTTCAGAAAGCAGGACGATCGACTGAAAAATACAATGAGCAGAAGCCAGAGGGAAAGAAACTTTGACTCTAATCCAAAAAATAAATTCACAGATCTAAATCCAATAGTCAGTGCCCATGTTACCCTATCAGAAACATTTCCAAAGCTGATCACTCCTTCCTCCTGAAGCACTTCCTTCACTTGGAGTCCATCACAAGTGTCTCTGGTTTTTTTTTCTCCCTGACTGGTCACTGTTGTTCTCAGTCTGAAGTCCTGGCTTCTGTTCTTGCCCCAGCTTCTTAACATCAGAGTGTCCTGGGGCTCAGTTCTTGGTCCTGTATCTTCCCTATCATGCACTCTCTGTTAACCCAGTTGTGTTATTTTAAATACTCTCTGGTAGGCCAACAATCTTCAAATGTATCCCAAATCTTCAGCAGAGATCTCTCCCTGGACCTTTAGGCTCATAACCCTCAACTGGCCATGTACTCTAGGATGGATGTCACAACTTGACATGTCCAAATGGAGCTCTTGATCTTTCCCTCAAACTGTCTTTCTCACACTGGTAAATAGCAACAACATACTTCCAGTTGCTCAGGTCAAAAACCTCAGAGTCATCCTGGATTGCTTTCTTTACTTAAGAGATCACATTCAACCCCTGAGCAAATCTTGTTGCCTCTCTGTTCAGAATATATCCAGAATCTGACCACTTCTCACTATTTTCAAACAAGCAGCCTTGCACCCCTGGATTATTATAATGACTTTCTAATCAGTCTCTCTCCTCCTATCCTTATTCCCAAACAGAAAATTCTTAAGATAGCAGCCAGAGTGAAGTACTTACACTGTTAAGTCAAAGCATATCAGTTCTCTTTTCAAAATCCTGTAATGGCTTCCCATTTTATTCAGCATAAAAACGTTACAAAAGCATTCAGAGCCAATGTGGTCTGGCCCATCCATCCCCTCTTTGACAGGCTCTTACTATTCCCTGCTGCTGGATCACTACTTCAGCTATGCAGGCTGCCTTGCAGGAATTCCTTTGCCTCATTTCTTTCTTTTTTTTTTTTTTTTGGTAGAGACAGGGTCTCACTATGTTGCCCAGGCTGGTCTTGAACTCGGGAGCTCAAGTCAGCCTCCACCTCAGCCTCCCAAAGTGGTGAGATTACAGGCATGAGCCACATTGCCTGGCCTTCTGTTGCCTTATTGCTTTGCACTTGCTGTTTCCTCTCTTTGGAAACCTCCTCCCCTAAATATTTAGGTAAATTGTTTTCTTACCTCTTTTAAATCTTTGCTCAAACATTCCTATCTCTGGATAGCTTTCCCTGATGGTCCTGTTTATTATTGCAACCCACCCACACTTGACACTCTTATCTCCTTTCATGTTTTATTTTTCTCCATAGCATTTACCATCTTCTAGCATTCTGTAAAATTTACTTATTTATTCCTTAACTCTCCATCTCCCCAGCAAGAAAATAAGATCTACAAGGGTGGAGACTTCTGGTTTGTTTGCATTTTTTGCTGATGTGTCCCTGCCATCTAGGACAATGCCTTACATACCACAGTTGCTTAGTAAATATTTGCTAAATGAATGCTGATGCCATGTTACAGAGAGTCCTCTATCTCATCCTCTTCTTTATTAAACAAATTTTCCTCTCTATTAATTGCTCAAGAAAATGGTTTTTTTTAAAAAAAAAAGATACAAATAAAAAAACAAAACTAAAAGTCTCTGTTCTCAAATAAATTGGTCTTAGTATCATACAAAATGTCAAGTTTAGGGCTGGAAATATGGTGAGCTGAGTTGAAAATTGGTTTTAAAAAGAAATAAAAATAAAAATCAACTGGAATTAAGACACAAACCTTGTTTTTTAAAATCAAGCAGTCTTCAAAATATTTTACATACATAAAGCTATTTTGTTTAATAGGCAGAGCACTCTTTACTGAGTAGCTTCTTTGTGGCCTTACACTTTGTCTCAGGAGAGTTTTCTAAAACTAATGACACAAAGAATCAAGAGGTTCTCAGGAAGCTGAGGCAGGAGGATTGCTTAAGCCTAGGATTTGGAGACCAGCCTCAACAGCATAGTGAAATCTCATCTCTAAATAATTTTTTTTAATTAGCCACGTATGGTCGTGCACACCTGCAGTCCCAGCAATTTCGGAGGCTGAGGTGGGAAGCTCTCTCTTGAACTGAGGAGTTCAAGGCAGTAGTGAGCCATGATCATGCCACTGCACTGTAGCCTGGGTGTAGACTGAGACTCCATCTCTGAAAAATTGTTCTTTAAAAAGAGGAGGACTTGACGCTAACTTAAATTTTTTTCTTTCTAGCAAAATCTAATCTGGGCTTTTTATCAACTGTTAGAATCTTAAATAAAAGAGGTTTTGATAGCAAGCCATAAAATGAAGGTAAAATGACTATGCAGTTAGAAGGTACTTAATGTCAGCTCCTCATCTGACTTTTCTGAACAAGCACTTACTTGCCTGTGGTGACTGGGTCTGAAGCCTTCAAGTGTCTACTTTGGACTCAAATATCTTTATTAGTCCTCCCTGCACATGGACTACAGTACTTTTCACTCATGTCCAGTAAACGTAACTCTCTAGCATGGAGCCCTCGTTGGGACACTTAAATCCTAAGGGATGAAAGGAGGGCAGGTCTCGGTGTTTCCCAATCCATGCTTTTCTCTACACAGAAAAATATTCACCTTTAATGTCCAGATCTATGTGTGTCTTAAAGAGTGGGGAGATGGGAGTCATGCATATTTAAAATGGTCTTTCTTCTTTATTTCCTATTGCATAACTTTGTTGGAAGTGTTCAATTGTCTAGAAAATAATAATAATAATTTGTTTTAAAAAAAGTCTAGTATTTGAACATTAGAACTTTGAAATAACTTATTTTACTGCCCAAAAAGAAAATGTCACTTTTCAAAGAAAATTATGTGTTTTGGTAAAAAATATATATATATATGATAGTTTCTAATCAAAAAGAGGTTAGTCTTGGGCTCTGGTCTCAACCCATCTTCAGATTCAATCCCTACTCCAGTTACTTCAGCTTCCAGTGATAATCCGCAAAGCTTGTGTGCTTTCTATGTGCCAGCTATTAAGGGCCTCCTTAATGTGCCAGATGTCAGGCAAATAATTCTGTCAGTGTGATGTTACCTGGCTTGTCCAGATGTCTTCATCAACAACAGTGATCTGTCCATGGAACTTTTAATTTTTAATCTTCAAAATTTACCTATTCTGCATTTCATCTCCTTAGACCTATGATTTTTCTTTCCAAGAGTCAATTATTCTTTTTGGTTTAATGTATTACATCTTGAGATATGACTGTTCTAACAAAGGAAGATCCCTAGTGCAGGGAATTGAGGCACCTAAAACGACACTGTTATAGTGAAAAAAGAACATTAGATTATGAGTAAGAAGACTTTGGCTTGAGTCTCAGCTCTATTATTTATTAGCTATATGGTCTTAAGTAAGTCACTTAAATTCCTCAAACATCTGTTGCTACATACTCTCCCTATTTGATGTGGTAGAGATAAGATCACAGAATAATATGTTCAAATAATATTATAGCATTCTCAACAAACCCAACATTATATTATTGACTATGTGGATGGATTTAGGGAAATGTAGCCCTTTTTGTGACCTTCGGATCGCACTGTCTATGTGCTGCCTACACCACCCACATTTAGAGCTGTACCTATGTACGTGTATCAAAAAATAGATTCTGAATAACACGAGTGATTGCCATGATCACAGAGGAACTATTATTAAAAATATTACTTTGATTAAAAATGTCAGTTTTGAGAAGCTTTTAAAATCTTCCACCAGTGCTAACCTGACATCAATGACATTTCAATATTCGTTTTTAAAAGTTGGCTTTCCCAAACACCACATGTTCTCACTTGTAAGTGAGAGTTGAACAATGAGAATAAATGGACACATGGAGGGGAACATCACACACTGGGGCCTGTCAGGGGGTCAGGGGCTAGGGGAGGGATAGCATTAAGAGAAATACCTAATGTAGATGACAAGCTGACGGGTGCAGCAAACCACCATGACATGTGTATACCTATGTAACAAACCTGCACGTTCTGCACATGTATCCCAGAGCTTAAAGTACAATTAAAAAAAAAAAGTTGGTGGCCGGGCGCGGTGGCTCACACCTATAATCCCAGCACTTTGGGAGGCTGAGACGGGCGGATCATGAGGTCAGGAGATCGAGACCATCCTGGCTATCACGGTGAAACCCTGTCTCTACTAAAAATGCAAAAAAATAGCCAGGCGTGGTGGTGGGCACCTGTAGTCCCAGCTACTCGTGGGAGGCTGAGGCAGGAGAATGGTGTGAACCCGGGAGGCAGAGCTTGCACTGAGCCGAGATCGCGCCACTGCACTCCAGCCTGGGTGACAGAGCAAGACTCCGTCTCAAAAAAAAAAACAAAAGTTGGTTTTTATTTATATCTTTATTTAACTGAGCTTTGCATCTTGTGCATTTGTAAAAGACAGTGGCTTTCAGTAATCTTTTAGTTCCCAAATAAATTTGTTTGAAAATTTATCATCATCCCTATATATGTAAACATTTTCCCAATAGTTGAATGCCCAGACTTTTCTTCATATAGAGCATAGTAACACGAAAACCTACTTATATAAGAGTATTATTAAGTATTGAGATTTTTTCTTCATGAAGTGTGCATTTTGTCCATTGTTTTCAAATAAGTTTACAGGTCAAAATAAAGCCTTCTATGGTGATGATGAATAAACGAAGCCTTCTATGGTGAAAATGAGATTTTGATCTCCACCTCAGAAAATTAGAGGATTTGCTATAAAACCAAGAATGAATGATATTCACTCACTCACTCACCCAATATCTGTTAGTGATCTTTTATTGACAGAGTTATTTGCCTGACATTTGGCATAAAGCAGTGAACAAAATACACAATCAGTTTCTGTTTTCACAGAGCTCACATTCTCCATTGTACAAAATACAATCCTAGGTGGAGATGTAACCAAATGAGCCCTCTGAAACCTTAGATGGGTGTGTGTTTGTACACACACCTGTGTATATATGTATGCATGTATCATACACTTTTTGAAGCTGAAATCACATTTTAGAATGAAGTGGGAGAGGAGAAATGGGCTGTATGTTCCTCATGTGCAGAAAATATTCCCTGAGGGGTTTACCATGCTAACTAGAAAATTACTGAGTCATTATTTTCTCCGCTCAACATTCCATCCCTCAAAATCTCTCAAATCTTACAGCTGACATTTACCCCAGCTCAATACCCACCCAGTCTAATGGGAAGTCCTTGCTGCTGAAGCACCACTCATACCATTTATAATGCTACACCACATTCAACCTCTTTACTAATCATGCAATTTCCATTTAAGTTTTCTGATTTACATACCAACTTCACCTTTCACTTTTCTCAACCTGCGGTCTGATCTTCCCCCTTCTTAGCAACATGGAGTTCCTTTTCTATCTGGTTCATCAACCTTCCTTCTAGGCTCCCAACTCCTCATTTCTACAAAATCACTTCTCATGTCTTCCATCTCTTTTTCCTTTACCTCCAATTACCCCATCCTTTTATCAAACACATAAATATTAAAAAACAAAAATGGCAGTTCATTATCTTAGAGACACGGGTTACCTGAAATTGCAACTGGGCAACCATTCTCTAAAGATCTAAAGATCTCACTGACATAAGCAGAAGAACCATCCCCAACTGTTGTTTTTTGGCTGGCTACAGGGCACAGATAACAAATGGTTCAATGAATGTCATTTCTACTGTAAATAAATCTTGTAAATCTTACTGACAGTGAGAAAATAACATTGTCAAGGGGAAAGTTAAAATATTTGAAAACAAATAATCTTAAGAATATGGTCCTCGTGTTCAGCCATATTTCCTTACACAATGTCTTTCTTGGACTTTCTTTTCTTAACAATAATAATAAAATATTAATTTAAAATCATAATATAGTATTTTATAGTTTAAAAAAATTTCCTCATATATGATCTCTTAAGAAATATGGGTGGCAATAATGGTGATTAATTACTATATCTATTTTACAAAGCAGCAACTCATGTGACTGCCTTTGGCCACCCACCTAAGTGGAGGGTTGAGAAATAAAATCCAAGCCTTCTAAAATGGCAACATAAGATGATTCATTACAGTAGCACATGGTGGTACACATTTTATCTGAACTACAAAATGGGAATAATAATAGCACCATTCTAATAGATTGCTTTAAGAATTAAATGATATGATTCATAGTAAACACTCAATAAACTCTAGCTGTTTTGTTATTTATTATTATTACAATAGCTGGTAGCATCACTCATATAAACTTTCTTTAAAATTTAGCAATAAATATATGCTTCTCCTGGTAAATTCAGGCCCAACACATGTGAAGAACTTGGAGTCTATTGATATTTTAATAGATGTATATCAACCTATGATATATAATTCAATACAATAATAATATACAAATCCCTTTAAAAATTTTTTTATAGCCAGGTGTGGTGGTGCATGCCTGTAATCCCAGCTACCTGGGAGGCTGAGGCAGGAGAACTGCTTGAACCCGGGAGGCAGAGGTTGCAGTGAGCCAAGATCGCACCATTGCACTCCAGCCTGGGCAACAAGAGTGAAACTCCATCTCAAAAAAAAAAAAAAAGAAAGAAAAAGAGAAAAGAATAAAGTAGGAAGTCAATGGGGAAACCTGAGCTAGAAAATTAGAGCCCTTCTAGCAGAAATGAGGTATATCCCACTAAAAAAAAAAAAAAATTTAGATACAGGGTCTCACTCTGTCACCCAGGCATGGGTTCAGTGGTGTGATCATAGCTCACTGTAACCTTGAACTCCTGGGCTAAAGTGATCTTCCCAACTCAGTTTCCCAAGTAGCTAGGACTACAGATGCATGCCACCACACCAGATAACTAAAAACAAAACTATTTTTTACACATGGTGTCTCACCATGTTGTCCAGGCTGGTCTTGAACTCCTGGCCTCAAGTGATCCTTTCACCTCAGCTTCCCAAGGCAATGAGATAACAGTCAGGAGCCACCACACTCAGCCCACTTAATCATTTTTGAAACCATTTCTTCCTTAAGGAACAAGCTTCAACAATTTGATTCTTTTGAAAACAAACAATTTGATACTTGGCCTGCCAAGGCTACCACCCAATTTCCCCAAATCTCTCTTTCTATAATTTTCAATCTGACTATAATTATCTCCAAACAATAGGTCTTTGAGGAATTGTTTTTGGGATCATCAAAACAATTTTGACTGTGGCATCGCTTTTTATCATGACTCTATGTCACGCATAAGTATTAATCCATGTAGTCATTTAGCCCAGAAATGGGGATTTAATGCTGACAGTGTTGCATGCTTTCTCTTCTAGAGTTATTATAATGTGAACTTATCATTATTTTATGAAATTATTACGATCATGAAGATTCAGCTTCTGATCTGTGTTCTGGAATTTCTTAGCTGTGTGATTAAGGGCAAGTTTATTTTTCTGAGTAGAAAACCTTCATCTGCAAAACAGAGACAATATTAACTTCACAGAATCCCTTGAGAGTTACTTCATATTTCAGATTTGACTGTGGATGCAAGAGTGTTAAAGGCAGTAAAATGATACATTAATATGTGACTTTCATTGGTCTAAATGTATGCAATAGTCAGAGTGATTTCTAATATGCAGGGCCAGTTGCAAAGCAGAACTCTTTTCTCTTATTTCTAACTTCTAGTGAAAGTTACAAAGCACACTTCTTTTCCCTCTCTTAACCAAATGCCTTCTTGTGGCATTTCTTTAAAAACAAAAAGCTAAGGTGCCTATGGCTGCCGGAAAGAAGATACTGGCATTTTTTAAACTGGTTTTCTTTATCTTTTCCACCCAGAAGGCTAACGAGAAGACTGAGTGCTTATGCTTCATCATGCTTCCATTTCTGCACACTTTAGAATGACTTGCTATCACTTCTGGCTTTGAAAGTCCAAAGCCTACCCTGAAGATCTGACAAAGAAAGAGAACTAGAAATATTCTGAGCTTGTGAATAGACTCCCCCAAGTGTTTTCATTTCTTGGTCATCAAATTGGAAATGATTGGACCAATTCGATGTTTTATTCTCTTTGGCACTTAGCTCTATAGCACAGGGTTCTGGGGACAGTTTCTATTAATAGACTTAGACATTGCATCTAATTTACTTTGCTTGACCTAGCAATTAGTTCTACTTGTCCCCATCCTTTAACCCAAATTTTCATTCTTCAACTGTGACAAGATGGGCAGCAAGAAATAATATGCTATTTTAGGATTCAGCAAAATAGAGCTAACCTAAGAAGTAATTGGATAAGCAGAGTTTGTCTTCCGCCTATTCTTGAATCAGTACAGGGTTTCATGGAGAAAATTGGCCTTCATTCTCTAACGTATGACAGTTGGATAGAAATTTCTGGTATTTAGTCATTTGAGATGTATGTACATTTAGACTTTGAAAGTCTGATTTAAGTTTTAGTAGTTCTGCAAGTACAACATATAGTAACCAGAAGAGATAATGTCCCTGGCTTTCTGTAGCAGAAAAGGAATGTATAAGAAGTACAGCAAAGGTTCATGGAGTCAATGCAGCCTAGAAAACAAGATTTGGAAACTGAATAAGAATCAGGATAATAGCATAGGATCAACAGGAGCAAACAAAATAACTGTTTTTTTTGCAGGAACTACTGGAAGAGAAAGCCACCAGCTTCATTTGATCCAGATTTAATGCCCCAGGAAGAAGCATCCACTTAACAGAGGCTTTGTCATATACCATATACCATACCACTTTGGCTGGCAAGGAAGTGCTTAAAACGTAGTTGATTCTCAACCATTGAATGAATGAGTGAATGAATTTGTTGAGTTTCTAATTATAAAATATCTTTTGTTCGAGGCACTTCTATATGTCAAGACCATATGCTGAATTTTATTTTATTTTCTGACACCTTCAAAGGGCTAATGAGTCATAGATTATTTTTTTCTGTCTGCAATTCAGTGAGTCATTATAACTAACTCCATTTTATTTCAGCCCTTGTTTATTCCCCTCCAAAAGGGGAAGCTGGATGATATTATGAGGGGGCAGGCTGGGCACAGTGGTTCACACCTGTAATCCCAGCACTTTGGAAGGCCGAGGCTTGAGCCCAGGAGTTCAAGAGCACCTTAGGCAACATGGGGAAACTCTGTCTCTGCAAAACAATAAAAAATAAAAAAATTCGCCAGGCATGGTGGCATGCACCTGTAGTCCCAGCTACTCACGAGGCTGAGGTGGGAGGATTGCTTAAGCCTGGGAGGTAGAGGTTGTTGTGAGCCAGGATCACATCACTGCACTCCAGCCTGGGCAGTAGTGAGACTCTGTCTCAAAAAAAAAAAAAAAAAAAAAGGAGGATGCAGGATGTAATTTGTTAACTTACTAAGTCTGATTTTCATTTTTCTCTAAAGTCTTGTAAAATTTTGTTTGAGTAAAATACACAAGAGGCAGCAGGAGAACATTAAGAAGAGAGTTCTAGTGTATTCAGAGGGTTTGAAATAAAGGTACACATGAGAAGGAACAGAGAGATATCCTAAGTTGTTTGATTTTTTAAATGGATGTTTTACTGCATCCTGAGGGTCTGGGAACAGATTACTATGTGCAAAACACACCTTTTCTACCTAGATCAGACTTAACATCTGCACAAACCTCAAAAGCATCATTTATTTTGAAAAATAAAGTAAGACCTATGCTGAGTCCTGTCCACAGTGACCATCCCAGATGACTGCCCCCTGGTGAAACAAGACATTTCTCCAATCCCCACGTTATATTCTATCTCTATACCAGTGACTTCATATCACAAGTCCAGATGCACTCCAGAAATCAGGCCTATACTTTCAGCTGCCTACTTTGGATCTTCAAAATAACACAGGCAAAACAGAACTCTTAATTTTCCCCCAAACCTGCTCCTTCTGGTGCCTTCCTTGTCTCACCTAGTTCCTAAACCTAAAAATTATTGATCCCTTTCTTTTCCTACCACAATCACAATCTGGCAATAAGAACTGTGGTTTCTCCCTTCAAAACACACTTTGGATCTAACCAGTCCTTTCCATCTACACAACAATCAGCCTGCCCAAGTCAACACATCTCTTGCTTGAACAACCATGGTGGCCTCTTTTTGTTTCCTCTTTCCCTTTACATCCATTCCCCACCTAGCAGTCAGTGTTATCTTTTTAAAACGTGTATTCAACAATATCACTTCTGTAACTCATACCCTCCAGTGACCATCCATTGCACTTCAAATCAAACTCCTCTTGGCCAGGCACGGTGGCTCACTCCTGTAATCCCAGCACTTTAGGAGGCCAAGGCAAGTGGATCACTTGAGGTCAGGAGCTCAAGACCAGCCTGGCCAATATTGTGAAACCCCATCTCTACTAAAAATACAAAAATTAGCCAGGTGTGGTGGTGAGCACCTGTAATCCCAGCTATTTGGGAGGCTGAGGCAGGAGAATGACTTGAACCCTGGAAGCAGAGTTTGCAGTGAGCCGAGATTATGTCACTGCATTTCAGCCTAGGCAACAAGAGTGAAACTCCGTCTCAAAAAAAAATCAAACTCTTCTCCCTGGCTTCTAAACTGTATTCTAAACTTAGCTCAGAAATGCAACCCCATTTT
Organism: Homo sapiens; assembly: GCF_000001405.40. Lineage (NCBI taxonomy): Eukaryota > Metazoa > Chordata > Mammalia > Primates > Hominidae > Homo > Homo sapiens. The sequence goes on from NC_000003.12 coordinate 152,979,231, forward strand.
CCATTAAACCTAATTGACACCTGCTTTCTTTTGGTTTGCTGAACCATAGAAACTTTGCTCTACTTATTCCCTCTGCCAGCATGCTCTCTTCTCAGCATTACATAGCTACCACTTAGATCTCAGTTTAAATATCTGCTCCTTGGAGAAATGTTCTCTGGACATCCATTCCAAGGTAAACCCTCCATCATTCTCTATCCCATTACATTTAATTTGATCTTATAGTACTTGCTTAGTATAAATTTGTTAGGTCTGCCATAACGAAGTATCACAGACTGAGTGGTTTACACAGCAGAAATGTATTTTCTCACAATTCTGGAGGCTAGATTTCTGAGATCGAGGTATAGCAGGGTTGGTTTCTTTTGAGGTCTCTCTCTTTGGCTTGTAGATAGCTGTCTTTTCCCTGTGCCTTCACATGGTCTTTTCTCTGTGTGTGTCTGCGTCCTAATCTTCTATTCTTATGACACCAGTCATATTGGATTTTAGCTACCCTAATGAACTCATTTTAACCTAATTACCTTTTTAAAGACCCTATCTTCAAATAGAATCACATTCTGAAATACTAGGGGTTAGAACTTCCACCTGTACATTTAAGAAAAACACAATTCAGTCCACAGCCTTTGGTTATTTATTTACTTATGAATAAATGCACACATACTTCAAATAGAAAATAAGTTCCATGAAAACAGAAATTTTACCTGTCTTGTAAACCAGAATATCTCCTATATTGAAGGATTTCTAGCACAAAGTGAATATAGCTTAAAGTCTAGAATTAACTTGCAATTCATTAATTTATTTATTAGTATGAATATTCCTTTGGAAGAGCATTGACTATCAATAAAGCTTATGATGGCTTGTTCATTTACTCCCCACCTAATATGGTTTGGCTCTGTTTCCCCACCCAAATCTCATCTTGAGTTGCAATCCCCACATGGTGAGGGAGGGACCTGGTGGGAGTTGATTGGATCATGAAGGCAGTTTCCCCCACGCTATGCTCTTGATAGTGAGGGAGTTCTTATGAGATCTGATGGTTTAAAATTGACAGTTTCCCCTGGGCTCTCTCTCCTGCCACCTGTGAACAAGGTGCTTGCCTCTCCTTCACCTTCCACCATGATTGTAAGTTTCCTGAGGCCTCCCCGGCCATGTGGAAGTATGAGTCAATTAAACCTTGTTTCTTTGTAAAAGTCTCAGGTAGTATCTTTATAGCAGTGTGAGAGAACTAATATGCCAACATAACTTATTTTTAAAAATATGTATAATAAAATAAAATCATTAAAAATTTAAAATACACTCCTAAATTTTATATTCCTGGTAATTTTGTAATATGTACACTTTAAGAGGCAGTTAGGTTCAAATTCCTCCTAGAAATATTATTCAACTTAGAGAAAAAGCAGGTGATGCATTCTATTTTACTTTAGTAAAATTGGTTCTTGTCAAAGTTTATATTCAAACTCAATATTTAAAAATCTTTCAAGAAGTGGGTGGAGCCCACTGCAGCTCAAGGAGGCCTACCTGCCTCTGTAGACTCCACCTATGGGGGCAGGGCATAGCCTAACAAAAGACAGCAGAAACTTCTGCAGACTTAAACATCCCTGTCTGACAGCTTTGAAGAGAGTAGTGGTTCTCCCAGCACAGAGTTTGATATCTGAGAACCGACAGACGGCCTCCTCAAGTGGGTCCCTGACACCTGAGTAGCCTAACTGGGAGACACTTCCCAGTAGGGGCCGACTGACACCTGATACAGCCAGGTGCCCCTCTGAGATGAAGCTTCCAGAGGAAGGATCAGGCAGCAACATTTGTTGTTCTGCAATATTTGCTGTTCTGCAGCCTCCGCTGCTGATACCCAGGCAAACAGGGTCTGGAGTGGACCTCCAGCAAACTCCAACAGACCTGCAGCTGAGGGTCCTGACTGTTAGAAGGAAAACTAACAAACAGAAAGGGCAAACACCAAAACCCCATCTGTATGTCACCATCATCAAAGACCAAAGGTAGATAAAACCACAAAGATGGGGAGAAACCAGAGCAGAAAAGCTGAAAATTCTAAAAATCAGAGCACCTCTTCTCCTCCAAAGGAACGCAGCAACTCACCAGCAATGGGATAAAGCTGGATGGAGAATGACTTTGATGAGTAGCGAGAAGAAGGCTTCAGAGGATCAGTAATAAACTTCTCCAAGCTAAAGGAGGATGTTCGAACCCATTGCAAAGAAGCTAAAAACCTTGAAAAAAGATTAGACGAGTGGCTAAGTAGAATAAACAGGGTAGAGAGGAATTTAAATGACCTGATGGAGCTGAAAACCATGGCACAAGAACTACACAATGCAAGCACAAGCTTCAGTAGCCGATTTGATCAAGTGGAAGAAAGGGTGTCAGAGATGGAAGATCAAATGAATGAAATGAAGTGAGAAGAGAAGTTTAGAGAAAAAAGAATAAAAAGAAATGAGCAAAGCCTCCAAGAAATATGGGACTATGTGAAAAGACCAAATATACGTCTGATTGGTGTACCTGAAAGTGATGGGGAGAATGGAACCAAGTTGGAAAACACTCTTCAGGACACTATCCAGGAGAACTTCCCCAACCTAGCCAGGCAGGTCAACATTCAAATTCAGGAAATACAGAGAACGCCACAAAGATACTCCTTGAGAAGAGCAACTCCAAGACACATAATTGTCAGATTCACCAAAGTTGAAATGAAGGAAAAGATGTTAAGGGCAGCCAGAGAGAAAGGTCGAGTTACCCACAAAGGGAAGCCCATCAGACTAACAGCGGATCTCTCGGCAGAAACTCTACAAGCTAGAAGAGAGTGGGGGCCAATATTCAACATTCTGAAAGAAAAGAATTTTCAACCCAGAATTTCATATCCAGCCAAACTAAGCTTCATAAGTGAAGGAGAAATAAAATCCTTTACGGACAAATGCTGAGGGATTTTGTCACCTCCAGGCTTGCCTTACAAGAGCTCCTGAAGGAAGCACTAAACATGGAAAGGAACAACTGGTACCAGTCACTGCAAAAACATGCCAAATTGTAAAGACCATTGATGCTAGGAAGAAACTGCATCAACTAACGAGCAAAATAACCAGTTAACATCATAATGACAGGATCAAATTCACACATAACAATATTAGCCTTAAATGTAAATTGGCTAAATGCTCCAATTAAAAGACAGAGACTGGCAAATTGGATAAAGAGTCAAGACCCATCATTGTGCTATATTCAGGAGACCCATCATTGTGCTATATTCAGGAGATCCATCTCACGTGCAGAGACACACATAGGCTCAAAATAAAGGGATGGAGAAAGATCTACCAAGTGAATGGAAAACAAAAAAAGGCAGGGGTTGCAATCCTAGTCTCTGATAAAACAGACTTTAAACAAACAAAGATCAAAAGAGAAAAGGAAGGCCATTACATAATGGTAAAGGGATCAATTCAACAAGAAGAACTAACTATCCTAAATATATATGCACCCAATACAGGAGCACCCAGATTCATAAAGCAAGTACTTAGAGACCTACAAAGAGACTTAGATTCCCACACAATAATAATGGGAAACTTTAACACCCCACTATCAACATTAGACAGATCAACAGGACAGAAAGTTATCAAGGATATCCAGGAATTGAACTCAGTTCTGCACCAAGCGGACCTAATAGACATCTACAGAACTCTCCACCCCAAATCAACAGAATATACATTCTTCTCAGCAGTATATTGCACTTATTCCAAAATTGACAACATAGTTGGAAGTAAAGCACTGCTCAGCAAATGTAAAAGAACAGAAATTATAATAAACTGTCTTTCAGACCACAGTGCAGTCAAACTAGAACTCAGGATTAAGAAACTCACTCAAAACCACTCAACTACATGAAACTTAACAACCTGCTCCTGAATTACTACTGGATACATAAAGAAATGAAGGCACAAATAAAGACGTTCTTTGAAACCAATGAGAACAAAGACACAACATACGAGAATCTCTGGGACACATTTAAAGCAGTGTGTAGAGGGAAATTTATAGCACTAAATGCCCACAAGAGAAAGCAGGAAAGATCTAAAATTGACACCCTAACATCACAATTTAAAGAACTAGAGAACCAAGATCAAACTCATTCAAAAGCTAGCAGAAGGCAAGAAATAATTAAGATCAGAGAAGAACTGAAGGAGATAGAGTCACAAAAAACCCTTCAAAAAATCAATGAATCTAGGAGCTGGTTTTTTGAAAGGATCTGCAAAATTGACAGACTGCTAGCAAGACTAATAAAGAAGAAAAGAGAGAATAATCAAATAGACACAATAAAAAATGATAAAGGGGATATCACCACCGATCCCACAGAAATACAAACTACCATCAGAGAATACTATAAACACCTCTATGCAAATAAACTAGAAAATCTAGAAGAAATTGATAAATTCCTAGACACCTACACCCTCCCAAGACTAAACCAGGAAGAAGTTGAATCCCTGAATAGACCAATAATAGGCTCTGAAATTGAGACAATAATTAATAGCTTAACAACCAAAAAAAGTCCAGAACCAGACGGATTCACAGCCGAATTCTAGCAGAGGTACAAAGAGGAGCTGGTACCATTCCTTCTGAAACTATTCCAATCAATAGAAAAAGAGGGAATCCTCCCTAACTCATTTTAAGAGGCCAGCATCACCCTGATACCAAAGCCTGGCAGAGACACAACGAAAAAAGAGAATTTTAGACCAATATCCCTGATGAACATCAATGCAAAAATCCTCAATAAAATACTGGCAAACCAAATCCAGCAGCACATCAAAAAGCTTATCCACCACAATCAAGTTGGCTTCATCCCTGGGATGCACGGCTGGTTCAACATACACAAATCAGTAAATGTAATCCATCATATAACCAGAACCAAAAACAAAAACCACATGATTATCTCAATAGATGCAGAAAAGGCCTTCGACAAAATTCAACAGCGCTTCATGCTAAAAACTCTCAATAAATTAAGTATTGATGGGACATATCTCAAAATAATAAGAGCTATTTATGACAAACCCACAGCCAATATCATACTGAATGGGCAAAAACTGGAAGCATTCCCTTTGAAGACTGGCACAAGACAGGATGCCCTATCTCACCACTGCTATTCAACATAGTGTTGGAAGTTCTGGCCAGGGCAGTCAAGCAAGAGAAAGAAATAAAGGGTATTCAATTAGGAAAAGAGGAAGTCAAATTGTCCGTGTTTGCAGATGACATGATTGTATATTTAGAAAACCCCATCGTCTCAGCCCAAAATCTCCTTAAGCTGATAAGCAACTTCAGCAAAGTCTCAGGGTACAAAATCAATGTGTAAAAATCACAAGCATTCCTATACACCAAAACAGACAGACAGCCAAATCAGGAGTGAACTCCCATTCACAATTGCTTCAAAGAGAATAAAATACCTAGGAATCCAACTTACAAGGGATGTGAAGGACCTCTTCAAGGAGAACTACAAACCATTGCTCAATGAAATAAAAGAGGACACAAACAAATGGAAGAACATTCCATGCTCATGGATAGGAAGAATCAATATCGTGAAAATGGCCATACCACCCAAGGTAATTTAATTCAATGCCATCCCCATCAAGCTACCAATGACTTTCTTCACAGAATTGGAAAAAACTACTTGAACCAAAAAAGAGCCCTCATTGCCAAGACAATCCTAAGCCAAAAGAACAAAGCTGGAGGCATCACGCTACCTGACTTCAAACTATACTACAAGGCTACGGTAACCATAACAGCATGGTACTGGTATTAAAACAGAGATACAGATCAATGGAACAGAACAGAGCCCTCAGAATTAATACCACACATCTACAACCATCTGATCTTTGACAAACCTGACAAAAACAAGCCATGGGGAAAGGATTCCCTATTTAATAAATGGTGCTGGGAAAACTGGCTAGCCATATGTAGAAAGCTGAAACTGGATCCCTTCCTTACACCTTATACAAAAATTAATTCAAGATGGATTAAAGACTTAAATGTTAGACCTAAAACCATAAAAACCCTAGAAGAAAACCTAGGCAATACCATTCAGGATATAGGCATGGGCAAGGACTTCATGACTAAAACACCAAAAGCATTGGCAACAAAAGCCAAAACTGACAAATGGGATCTAATTAAACTAAAGAGCTTCTGCATAGCAAAAGAAATTACCATCAGAGTGAACAGGAAACCTACAGAATGGGAGAAAATTTTTACAATCTACCCATCTGACAAAGGGCTAATATCCAGAATCTACAAAGAACTTAAAAAAATTTACAAGAAAAAAATCAAACAATCCCATCAAAAAGTGGGCAAAGGATATGAACAGACACTTCTCAAAAGAAGACATTTATGCAGCCAACAGACACATCACAAAATGCTCATCATCACTGGCCATCAGAAAAATGCAAATCAAAACCACAATGAAATACCATCTCACACCAGTTAGAATGGCCATCATTACAAAGTCAGGAAACAACAGGTGCTGGAGAGGATGTGGAGAAATAGGAACACTTTTACACTGTTGGTGGGAATGTAAACTAGTTCAACCATTGTGGAAGACAGTGTGGCAATTCCTCAAGGATCTAGAACTAGAAATACCATTTGACCCAGCCAAAACCAAACCAGCTGTTTTGGTTACTGTAGCCTTGTAGTATAGTTTGAAGGCAGGTATATACCCAAAGGATTATAAATCATGCTGCTATAAAGACACATGCATACGTATGTTTATTGTGGCACTATTCACAATAGCAAAGATTTGGAACCAACCCAAATGTCCATCAATGATAGACTGGATTAAGAAAATGTGGCACATATACACCATGGAATACTATGCAGCCATAAAAAAGGATGAGTTCATGTCCTTTGTAGGGGACATGGATGAAGCTGGAAACCATCATTCTGAAACTATCGCAAGGACGGAAAACCAAACACCGGATGTTCTCACTTATAGGTGGGAATTGAACAATGAGAACACATGGACACAGGAAGGGGAACATCACACACCGGGGCCTGTTGTGGGGTGGGGACAGGCGGGAGGCATAGCATTGGGAGATATACCTAATGTAAATGACAAATTAGTGGGTGCAGCACACTAACATGGCACATGTATACATATGTAACAAACCTGCACGTTGTACACATGTACCCTAGAACTTAAAGTATAATAAATAAAAAACAAAAACAAAAACAATCTTTCCCATTTTACTTTTATCAATATTTTGTATAAAACTTATGTGATTAAAAAGAAAGTAATCTTTACAACTGGAAGGAATATTAATGTGTTCCCTGCTGTGTCCTCAGTGCCTATAACAGTGGCACATAACAAGTACTCAATAAGGCTTGCTGAATGAACAAGTATAATACAATATACTGCAGTTAAGTGATTTCCCCTGTGAGACGGAACGCACTCTTAATTAGGAAACAGGCCACTGCACCTTTAAGGGGTGCTCTAATATCTAATAAGTTTATGGCACATCCCATCAAGCTTCAGTGTTGCTAAAAATGTCATTCTGGTAGTGCTCTCTTATTTTTTATATCACCTAAGAGAAATTCTGAAATACAAGCTCATGGGTTAAATTAAAGCAGAAGCTATTTGTGACAAAATGTGAATTCAAATTTTCCTTTTTCTCTTATCTCTTTGGCAAAAAAGTTCAATAGGAGACAGGTTTTACTCTATGAATAACAAGCAGCATTTAATTACAATAGACAGAATGGGAGCAAAGTTATTTACAATGCAGCCACCCGAATTCTCCAGTGGTACCTTCCACTTGGCTGTCGGCTCAGCAATGCTGACTTGGGAGAAGAGTGAAGCTCTAGGTTCTGTCATTTTTGCTTTCAACATATATATGTGGAAGAGTTTATCAAGGTTTCAGGCCCCTATTTATTATATGTAAAATAGAAGCACTCATTTTTTAAAAAATAAATTACTTAGAAAATGTAAGATAATAAATATAAAAGCATAATTTATATTTAAAATAGTCTCACACTTACTGCAAAACACATTGAAAAAGTTCATTCTGTTGACATTTACATTAGGATAAAGATAAGATTCCACTTTAGTTCCAGAGATGACAGTTAATCTTATGGGTTATAAAGTTTGCAAAAATAAAACAAAATAAACTTCTTCAAATTGACTCTGTGTGTCATGTTTATTATGGAATTATAAAGGGTAATGTAAAGCGATTAATAAATTTTCCCACGGTGAAGACCTCACTTGGCAGTGGTTTCCTGGGGAGCAAGTGGGAATAAGGAATAACAAATTGGAAAAAATTCATTGCATGGGGAGTGATTAATGGACAGAAAACCTCTCTGTTAAAATTATACTTTTATTTATTATTTGGACTTTCTAAAATATTTATTCTGTAATTTTTCTTAAAAAGCAAGCAAGATTTTAAAAAAGAATACAGCATGAAAATTATTTGATTTATTTAAATAAATATTCCTAAATTAAGTAATGTTACAAACGTCTAAAATATAAATGCGAAAGAATGAAAATACATAGAGAAAAAGGTCCGGGACATTGGCCATGGCAATAATTTATTGGATATCACATCAAAAGCTCAGGCTACAAAAGCAAAAGCAAATAGTACTACATCAATCTAGCAAGCTTCCACACAGCAAAGAAAACAATCAACAAAAGGCAAAAAAAAAAAAAAAAAAAAACAAATTGGGAAAAATTTGCAAACCATGTATCCAATAGGGAGTTAATACACTAGATTTATAATGAACTCATACAACTCAATAGCAAGAAAATATATAACCTGATTTTAAAATGGACAAAGGTCTGCATGTGGTGGCTCACGTTTGTAATCCCAGCACTTTGAGAGGCTGAGGAGGGATAATCTCTTGAGCTCAGAAGTTTGAGTTACCAACCTGGGTAACATAATGAGACTCCATCTCTAAAAAACAAACAAACAAACAAACAAACAAATAAATAAATAAATAAAATGGCCAAAGAACTTGAATAGACATTTCTCCAAAGACAACATAAAAATGGTGAACAGATACATGAAAAGATACTCAACATCACTAATCAGGGAAATGCAAAGCAAAACCACTATGATATCACTATGATATACCACCTCACATCTGTTAGGATGGCTATTATTAAAAAGATAAGAGATCACCAGTGTTGGCGAGGCTATGGAGAAGAGAGAACCCTTATACACTGTTACTGAGAGTGTAGATTGGTACAGCCATTATGGAAAACAGTATAGAGGTTCCTAAAGAGATTAAATACAGAACTACCATATGACCCAGCAATCCCTCTTCTAGGTATGTATCCAACGAAATGAAATATTTACCCTGTAAAGATATCAGCACTCCCATGTTGACTGCAGCATTATTCACAGTAGCCAAGATATAGAAACAACCTAGGTGTCCATCAAGGGATGAATAAAGAAACTATGATGTGTATATATAAGTAATGGAATACCATTCAGCCTTGAAGAGGAGAATATCCTGCCATTTGTTACAACATGGATGGATGGGCCTGAAGAACATTATTCTAAGTGAAATAAGACAGACACAGACCATTAGAAATCCCCGAGATTCCCCTCAGACCTGCCCAATGCTCCAGAAAAGCACTTTAGATTACTTTGGTATCATTTTATTGTAAGTGTGTTAATTCACAAAAAAACTTTCATTAACCAAGTCTGAACTTAAATATTCTAAAAAGAAATTTACATCTCCCAGCTTGTATACTGAGCCACAGGGCAGAGCTTTTCTCATTCGGAGAAATCCAGTATCCACAAGTAGGAAATATACCTGGAAAGATTTCTGTAGCCACCAGGAATCTCGGGTAGTGTTCTATTGCTGTAGAACAAGCCACCCCAATTTACTGGATTAAATAACAATTATTTATGCTGTTCACGGTCTGCAGTTTGGACAGAGCTCACGTGTGGCCAGCTGTGATGGCTGGAAGGGGATTGAAATCATCTGAAGTCTCATTTGCCCATATGTCTGGGTGTTGATGCTGGCTGTTGGCAGGGGCCTCAGCTGGGTTTGTTAGCTGGAATCTGTTCACATAGCCTCTCTCCTGTGCTGCTTGGCTTCCTCACAGCTGGGTGTGAAGAACCACTATTCCAAGAGCTACAGGTTGTGGGAGTTGCCATTTTCTTAAGGTTCGGAGCCAGAAACTGGCACAGTGTCACTTGTATTGTATTGTATTAGTCAAGCAGTCATAGAGCCTAGGATCAAAGGCGCTTTGCCTCTGAATGGGCGGGGTATCAAAGAATTACAAGTCCTTTTTTTTTTTTTTTTTTTTAATGAGATGGAGTCTGTTGCCCAGGCTGGAGTGCAGTGGTGCCATCTTGGCTCACTGCCACCTCTGCCTCCCAGGTTCTACTGCCTTAGCCTCTGAGTGGCTGAGATTACAGGCACATGCCACCACGCCCGGGTAATATTTGTGTTTTTAGTAGAGATGGGGTTTCGCCATGTTGGCCAGGCTGGTCTGGAACTCCTGACCTCAAGTGATCCACCCGCCACAGCCTCCCAAAGCGATGGGATTACAGGCGTGAGCCACAGTACACGGTCTATAAGTCCATTTTAAAATCCACTGTAGATAGCAATCCTGTTTCAGTTTCCGGGATTAAGTTGACATTTTCCTCAAAGGATCTGAAATTATCCCTTAAGGTTACTCAATAAATTATTCAGATTTAGGCTGATGAAAAAATATGCAACTTACTTTAATGCTTAAATAATTTCCAGACCAGAATTGGAAGTCACTGGACACACTTCCCATTACTGGGGACTTCCTAATGCAGTTCGATTTATTAAGGTGCTAGGCAAAAGGCTTCATTGTAATAATAATTAAATAAACCCGTGCTTCAAGTAGCATATTCTGATTGTTATGATAGCTAAGCATTTACAATAGTAACCAAAAAGGTTAGATTGTAATGTGTTTGGATATATATATCCTTAGGATGGAAATTCCCATCAGAGCCATCTTTTATAAGAGACCACACCCTAAAATAATTCTTGGTGGGACCCACTTCCTCAGAATTTGGAAAATTTCTGGGGATACATGTTGACTACCTGAAAGAGGAGGAGAACTGAGGGGTGGCCAGTGAACTGTTGAGATATCATTAGCTGACCTGAAGACATGGAAGATGCACTATGAAGTGTTTAACTGCAGCTCTATCCTTTGTATGCTTTCAGAGAAGGCAGAGAATCATTTGGATTGAGTCACTGTGATTACTGGAGTCATTGGCAAGGGTTTTTCTGATGACTTCTTTATGTATGGTTGTCCATCAGAAATAAGAACTAAATATGAGGGAAGCTGAGTCATTTGTGTATTTGTAGTAGTAAGATTTAGGTAATGTATTAATCTGGAATCTTAGACTAATTTGTTCTATTTGTACTATATCTGAATAGAAATACAAATTAATTGATTCAACCCAGAAAATTCTCCTCAGAACTATAAAACTGACTATTGGCTGGGCGCGGTGGCTCATGCCTGTAATCCCAGCACTTTGGGAAGCCAAGGCAGGTGGATGACTTGAAGTCAGGAGTTCGAGACCAGCTTAGCCAATGTAGTGAAACCCCGTCTCTACTAAAAATACAAAAATTAGCCAGGTGTGGTGGCAGGTGCCTGTAATCCCAGCTACTTGGGAGGCTGAGACAGGAGAATGACTTGAACTGGGGAGGCAGAAATAGCAGTGAGCCGAGATTGCACCACTACACTCTACCCTGGGCGACACAGTGAGACTCCATCTCAAAAAAAATAAATAAATAAAATAAATAAATAAATAAATAAATAAATAAATAAAGTGACTCTTCTGATATCACGGGATGCTCTTGTACCCTAATTGACTCAAAACTTATACCCTAGTTGTCTTTTTTTTATACATCTCAGGTTCAAAGAATTGTGTTGAGCATAAGTCTTGATTAGTGATATAGCACTCATTAAACAATTATTGACTGATTACCTACTTTATATCTGGCAGTCTCCTAGGCACTTGGGGAAGACATGAACCAAACAAAGATCCTGGCCTCTTGGAACTTACATTCTAGCAGAAGAAAACAGATAATAAATAATTTAATAAGTGTATAATACAAACATTTTTATTATAAATTTATGTATCCTATTAATTAGAGTTACAAATTAATATTTGTTTGCCTTCTCTATTAATCAAGGTTCTCCAGAAAAACAGACCCAATAGGATATATGGAGAGATATATAAGAAGGAATTTTTTACGAAAATTGGCTCGTGAGATTATGGAGGCCATGAAGTCCTACAATATGCTCTCTGTGATCTGGAGAATCAGGAAAACTGGTGCTGTAATTTATTTATTTATTTATTTATTTCAATTGGTTTTGGGGGAACAGGTGATGTTTGGTTACATGAATAAGTTCTTCAGTAGTGATTTCTGAGATTTTGGTACACCCGTCACCTGAGCAGTGTACACTGTATGCAACTTGCAGTTTTTTATCCCTCACCCCCTCCCACTCTGTCCCCTGAGTCCCCAAAGTCCATTGTTTCATTCTTTTGCCTTTGTGTCCTCATAGCTTATGAGTGAGAACATATAATGTTTGATTTTCCTGGTGCTATAATTCAGTCTGAATCTGAAGGCATGAAAGGCCTGAGAAGTAGGGGAGCAATGGCGTAACTCTCAGTTTAAAACCAAAGGCCCAAGAACTGGGAGGTAGAAATGAAGCACTCGTGTACGTCCCAGTGTGGGCGGCAAGACACCCAGGTGCCGAGGCAAGAGACTGAGGGCACGAGCTGTTCCAGTATAATAAAATATATAAAACAACAAGAGTTATACTAGATCTCGAGCATAGACATGATTATATATGAATATCATTAATCATTAGTTTGTAGCAATTACTCTTTATTCCAATATTATCATAATCCTCGCTCTATAATCATAACCTAGGAAAAACCAGGCCATACAGAGATAAGAGCTGAGGGGACACAGTGAGAAGTGACCAGAAGACAAGAGTGCGAGCCTTCTGTTATGCCCAGACAGGGCCACCAGAAGGGCTCCTTGGTCTAGCGGTGATGCCAGCGTCTGCGAAGATGCCCGTTGCCAGGCGGACCGTGGTCTAGTGGTAGCGAAAAGTGTCAAGGAACAACACCCGCTACTTAGCAGACCAGGAAAGGGAGTCTCCCTTTCCCTGGGGGAGTTTAGAGAAGACTCTGCTCCTCCACCTCTTGTGGAGGGCCTGACATTAGTCAGGCTTGCCCGCAATTATCCGGAGGCCTAACAGTCTCCCTGTGATGCTGTGCTTCAGTGGTGACACTCCTAGTCTGCCTTCATGTTCCATCCTGTACACCTGGCTCTGCCTTCTAGATAGCAGTAGTAAATTAGTGAAAGTACTAAAAGTCTCTGATATGCAGAAATAATGGCATAAGCTGTCTTTCTTTTTGTCCCCTCTCTCTGCCTGGGCTGCCAGGCAGGGAAGGGCCCCCTGTCCAGTGGACACGTGACCCACGTGACCTTACCTATCATTGGAGGTGACTCACACTCTTTACCCTGCCCCTTTTGCTTTGTATCCAGTAAATAACAGCGCAGCCAGACATTCGGGGCCACTACTGGTCTCCGCGCGTTGGTGGTAGTGGTCTCCCGGGCCCAGCTGTCTTTTCTTTTATCTCTTTGTCTTGTGTCTTTATTTCTACACTCTCGTCGCCGCACACGGGGAGAAACTCACCGACCCTGTGGGGCAGGTCCCTACATCCTGGAATCTGAAGGCCTGAGAATCTGGAGCTCTGATGTCTGAGGATGGGAGAAGCTGGAAGTCCCAGCTCCAGAAGAGAGTGAATTCACTATTCCTCTGCCTTTTTCTTACATCTAGACCCTCAGCAGATTGGACAGTTCCCCGCTACATGGCTAAGGGCAGATCTTCTTTACTCAGTCCACTGATTCAAATGCTAATCTCTTCCAGAAACACCCTCACAGACACCCAGAAGTAACGTTGTAGCAGCTATCTGGGTATCTTTTAACCAAGTCAGGTTGACACACAACATAATCATCACATCCCCTTCCTCAAATTCATAAATTAATTCCCTGTTCTGTCAGTGCCCTACGAACAGCACCCAGGCATCCTTGTTATTTGGGTTCTCATGAAGTTGGGCCAATGCGAGGTAGAAGTTGGGTTACTTCTTTCTCATTTCCCTCCTGCTGGGGTCTATGTTTCTGGCAGAGGCTGTGTCCCTGTGTCCTGCTGAGGGTCTTCCTCTCCCAAGGCTCTAGGTCTCTCCAGGCCCCTTCTTCACCATTTCCTCCCCTTGCTCCTTCCTTAGGTCTCTAAGTGTCTCTGTATTCCTTGTCAGTGCCCTTAACCTTGACCACAACTCTGCAACTAGTTTCTTCATTAAATCTTGTTGAGTTATACTCTTTTTTTTTTTTTTTTTTAGTTATCTGAGGTATTTTGTTTTCTGCCAAGATTCTAATTGATTATTATGTTACATCGATGGGAAAAAGAATAAATGCAAGACAAGGGGATCAGGAGTCAAAATGGTCAGAGTAAGCCGCATTGAGAAAGGGAACATTTGAGCAAAGACCTGAGGAAGTCCATACATTGCCCCTATTTAATTTAATTTGTTATTTTATTAATTTTCCCTAGGCCTGCATGCTTAATCCAATTTCTATTCTTTTTTCCCACAGGTAAACACTCTTAGGTATTTAATGTGTGTTCTAAATATATATGCATGTATATATATATATGCATACATACGCACATATAAGTATATACATTTTCTAAATACGCATACACACATATATATACATTTATATATACACATACACATATATACATAAATACTCATGAACAGTATGTTTTTAATTGCATAAATGGTTTTGTGCTACATCTCATTTTGCTTAATTTATAACACAAACTTATGTTTTTGAGATTTTTCCTTGATGATACATGGATTTAGCTAATTATGTAAACTGCTGTGTTTTCATATGCAAATTATATCATTTGCATATATTTTATTTATCTCTTCTTCAATTAATGAGCATTTAAGTTATTTTTAATTATTATTATAATGAATTTTATAACATTTTACTAAAAACAACATTTAAGTTATTTTTAATTCTCTATTATTATAAAGAATTTTGTAAAAAAAAGAATTTTGGTACATGTCCTTTAGCATGTCGTTTTGCATATCTGAGTAAGATTTTACATTCTCAAAAGATATGAAGCCCTTAACTGGAGTACAGCTTTCACTAAAAAGAATGTTCAAAGAAATAATGTAAAGTTAACAAAGAAAATGAGTCAACTCCCATTCTGGTATATTCTAGGTGAGGAAGAATAGCATTCTTCAGTCTTTTTTTTTTTTTTGAGACTGAATTTCACTCTGTCGCCCAGGCTGGGGTACAATGGCGCAATCTCGGCTCACTGCAACCTCTACCTCCAGGGTTCATCAAGTGATTCTCCCGCCTCAGCCTCCAGAGTAGCTGAGATTACAGGCACCCACCACTGTGCCCAGTTAATTTTTGTATTTTTGTAGAGACAGGGTTTCACTATGTTGGCCAGGCTGGTCTTGAACTCCTAACCTCCTGCCTCAGCCTCCCAAAGTACTGGGATTACAGGCATGAGCCACCATACCCAGCCTCTTAATTCATTTTTCACTTTAAAATGAAACCTGCTGGTTCACAGAAAAAAAATTCTCAAAAATTAAGTAACCAGCAAAATCATCTTGAAGCACAAGATGTAAACACAACAGAAATATTTTGAAATTTTTGACTATCATATAACCAAGAAGAAAGGTGTTTGAGATTGAATATATTTAGGGAGTTCCAATTTATGTAAAAGTATGTAACATGAGCCAATAGTTTAAGTTCCTCACCTACCAAGACTTTTAAGTTGAATGAAAAACAGTAAGTCCTGGAGGAACCCTAGAAAAAGTTTGTCCTTTCTTCTCTTTTAGATCTCATATTACATATTTCCGTGTACAACAGTTTTAAAGCAATGCTTATTGTGATCAGTGACAACCACCTACTCAAATGTTTTAAAATATCTTTAGGATTGGCCTCTGAAACGAAAGGAAGTCATTGAGCTATCAGCCTAGTGATGCTTAAGTAACTATGATAATTTATACAAAACATTAATTATGCTTCCTATTGGATTATCTGCTATGCAAATAACAAATATAAAGCTAAATAACGTTTCATGATATTAATTGCTTTTTCTTCTTATATCTCTCCCCACCCCATTTCAAGCAGTTTGTCAACTCCTGTCTTCTTTGAACTTGGAGCACAACCAAACCCACTGAGGAAATTATGTTATTTGCTGCTCCCTAGAACAACTTTTTTTTTTTTTTGAGATGGAGTCTCACTCTGTCACCCAGGTTGGAGTACGGTGGCATGATCTCAGCTCACTGCAACCACCGCCTCCCAGGTTCAAGCAATTCTCCTGCCTCAGCCTCCCATGTAGATGGGATTACAGGTGTGCACCACCATGCCCAGCTAATTTTTTTTATTTTTAGTAGAGACAGGGTTTCACCATGATGGCCAAGCTGGTTTCAAACTCCTGACCTCAAGTGATCTGCCCACCTCGGCCTCCCAATGTGCTGGGATTACAGGTGTTAGCCACCATGCCCAGCCACAACTTTTAAGAGAATTAGTAGCTATCTGAAAAAAATATGGCAGAGTTGAAGTAGATAAGAAAGGAATGAGATATGGCTGTGCACGGTGGCTCACGCCTGTAATCCCAGCACTTTGGGTGGCTGAGGCAGGTGGATCATGAGGTCAAGAGATCAAGACCATCCTGGACAACATGGTGAAACCCCATCTCTACTAAAAATACAAAAATTAGCTGGGTGTGGTGGCGCACGCCTGCAGTCCCAGCTACTCTGGAGGCTGAGTCAGAAGAATCACTTGAACCCGGGAGGCAGAGGTTGCAGTGAGCTGAGATCGTGCCACTGCATGCCAGCCTGGTGACAGAGCAAGACTCTGTCAAAAGAAAGGAAGGAAGGAAGGAAGGAAGGAAGGAAGGAAGGAAGGAAGGAAGGAAGGAAGGGAGGGAGGGAGGGAGAGAGAGAGAGAGATACAGGAGTCTGATGTGTCTTCAGCCAAACATGCACAGAGCCTTTGGTGCAATGCCAACAGAAAGTAACATAAGTTGAGAGAGGAATAGTTGTGGATGTGCTAGGTCAGGGAGGACATAAGCACATAGGCAGCCTTGGAAAACATGCCTATGCCCAAAGAGTGGCACAGATACAGCAGGGGACTGAAGGACCCGAAGGTATATGAGAGTGAGTCCAAAGATAAGGCAGGGCAACCATGGATGGGATGAATGACAACAATGGCCCAGGGAATCAAGAACCATAGATAACGGCCGGGCGCAGTGGCTCACGCCTGTAATCCCAGCACTTTGGGAGGCCAAGGCGGGCGGATCACCTGAGGTCAGGAGTTTGAGACCAGCCTGACCAACATGGTGAAATCCAATCTCTACTAAAAATACAAAAAATTAGCCGGGCATTGTGGTGCGTGCCTGTAATCCCAGCTACTCGGGAGGCTGAGGCAGGAGAATCGCTTGAATCCGGGAGATGGAGGTTGCAGTGAGCCGAGATCATGCCACTGCACTCCAGCCTGGGCAACAAGAGCGAAACTCTGTCTCAAAAAAAACAAAACAAAAAACAAAAGAACCATAGATAACCAAGGGCCGGATGGGCACCCTCAGCCCAACTCACCTAAACATTGCAAATAAAACAGATAGGTAGAGAAATGAGGAAGGTTCCCTTGCAACAAAGAGGTTATTGTTTGATTTTTTACACCCTCTTTTCCCATGGCTAGACATAAAGAAGGGGCAATTAAAATCTTTCTGATAGAAAGGAAGCGAAGCTACAGAAAAAGAAAGAATATTATATTTTTATATACCTGAGTTTATAGACTCAGAATTATTCATATTTAATCATGGTAATCATTGTATTGATGTTACTCATGAGTATGAGTTATATGCTGTTAAATCCAGTGCTTCATTGAATTTGGGCTCTGCCAGGCAATTGCCAAAGAGTGGTGTTACATGGAGCAGTTGCCACATCGACATGTAAGAATACATAACTGGAGGAATCTAGACTAACTACGCAACAACATTCATCATATGAATGACACAGAAATCCTCTCAACTCTCACATGTGTAAATGTTGGGGCCAGGACTTTACTTTCTGTGAAGTGCTCTCAATACCACTATATTCGTTGTCCCCTCTCCAAACTCTTTGGCCAGCAATCTTCCATCTAAACATTCTGAACCTTACACTTGCTTCTCCCAGCAATAAGTCTAAAGTTTGCTTCCTCTGCTACTCTGAGGTCAGCAGCTACAAGTAATTTCTGTAGACCAAGGAAGTGGAGTTACTACTTAATTCCTTTCTGAGTTCTCCTTTCTCCATTCTGAACCCTCTCAATCTTCCCAGAAGGCATGAACAAATTCCCCTCTCTGGAAGTCAGTCACAAAATTTGGCTCATATTCACTCTCTGATGGTTGGCTCATCATCTCTTCCTGAGATTCATATGAATGCACAAAGACACACTGATAATAACCATGGATTACATAAGTGTTCTATGGTACGGATCTTCCTAAATGAAGTATCTGTTCATGATAAATACACAACGGTCAAATTGTTTTTCCTCTTAGGTCAGGCCTTTTGCCTTTTTTCCATCCATTGATGTCATGTATGTCAAATTATTATTCATGGACTTCTGTTTACTCATGAACTTTTCCCAGCTTTTGGCTTTTTATGCCACTCCATGGCATTGGCTTCTGGCAGATTTCCCAAATATCATACAACTAGCTTATTTTATCTTTCACTAATCAATAACTGAGACAACCTCTTCAACTTAGGCACTCAGTATATAGAAACACAAATGGTTAACAACATTGTCCATCTGCTAACAAAGCAGTAATACAGATTTTCTCACTGAAAAACTGAAATATATTACCTAAAGACACAGAAATAGTGACAATGAAACAGAGTCAAGAAGGAGCTGAAGGCTGTCATGGAGTTGAATGGGGGGATGAAGGGTGAATGCTGTAAGACAGAACTGAACTCGGCCTTCTGCCCCTCTCTCTCTGTAGCTATGTCCCCAACTAAATACCCATCTATTATGAGACTTCATTGTAGAAGGTTTTACTGGTAGAAACAAACATCTAAGAATTGTCCAGATCATCAGTCCTCATCATAAAATTACCCACTAAGTGCTTTTCTCTGCATTTGCCCCAAAACAACTGGCAAAATACTTCCACTGTGACTTTGTTGTTGTTGTTCAGTAGCCTCTTTCTCTTTCCATTTTCTGTGGCTTAATGTCATTGATTACTTTGTAAATAATTTACCTAGTAGGTAATACTGAATTTCTGTGAAGCATTTGATCTCTTCCAATATTTATAGACTTTAGAATAGTAGCAGCAAGTGCAGGGTTTTCACTAATGAACCAGGGAATTTAAAATTCCAAAACCAGTTGTATCATTAAAACTTTAGCGTTCCTATTTCCCTGAGCGTGATTTGATTCCATATCATTTTCTGCTGCTGGGCTGTAGGAGGATTATAGGTCTGCTCTGATGAGCAAGCACCAGAACCCAGCTGGGGGCAGAATGTGATAGCAACACAAATAACAGAGGTTTAGCAATAATCTCCTCGGGTAAGGGACAGAGCAAAGACATTGACAGGTGTCTGCAATTAATTTCAAAGCTTTTGTACAAGCTAGAATTGAATTTTAAATCTCTTGATCAGAAAAGTCAACAATAGTGTGACATCCATCAATAATTCATCATTTCTAAAAATCCTTTGAGCATATCTAAGCGAACATCAGTTTGGAAATGAAAAAAATGTGAATTCCCATCCCACCTCTAGCATTTATTTAACGTGACATTTAAATCTTTTGTGCTTCAGTTTCCTGACACTTAAAAAAAAAAGAGTTGCTTATTATTTTAATGAGACTAATGCTTACACTCTGAGTTACTTGTAAGGTGATTGGTTACTTTAATGTTATTATAAGTAATTTGCATTTCATCCTTCGGTCCATTATTTTATTTACAAATTTTTTAAAATTTTGCTGAGCATTATTCTACAATATAATGCACTGTAACAGTAATTGCTAGTTGCTTCTTAATGTTTATTATCTCCTTTTCTCTTTGGTAACGAAACTCTTATTTTTATCTTGGCATGTTTATATCTAGGAAAAGACTACCATTCCCCACTTCAGTTGCACCTAGATATGGCTGTGTGACTAAGTTCTAATCAATAAGATAGTTGCAGAAATATGTGGAGACTTCTGGGTAATCTCCCATAAGAGAATGACTGCATTCTTTCTTTTATTTTTCTTACTGCTTAGAATGGAGATACAGGTAGCTGGAGCTCTAGCAGTCATATGCAAACATGAGGATGAGTGTCATATCACAGAGAAGGGACACCAGAGAAATGCAGGGAGCCTAGGTTTCTGAGCCTAGGTATCTATACAAAAATTAGCTGGGCATGGTGGTGTGAACCTGTGGTCCTAGCTACTAAGGAGGCTGAGGTGGGAGGATCAACTGAGCCCTGGAGGTCTAAGGCTATAGTGAGCCATGATCGTACCACTGCACTCCAGCCTGGGCAAGAGAGCAAGACTCTGTTTTAAAAATAAATAAATAAATAAATAAATAACCTGTTTATTTTTTTAAATGGAGCACATTGATTCTGTAGCAGAGATCATTAAAATAATTTAAATTTGCAATTGGAATTGTCTTCAAATATATCATTATAACACTAAATAGATTGCGATGTAAATATGTATATGTGTATGTGTATATATATGTATGTGTGTGTGCACGTGTATGAATGATACATAAAACTTGTGTGTAATGAATGATACATAAACACTCTAGGCTGGGAGCAGTGGTTCACACCTGTAATCCCAGCACTTTGGGAAGCCGAGGCGGGTGGATCACCTGAGGTCAGGAGTTCGAGACCAGCCTGGCCAACATGGCAACACCACATCTCTACTAAAAACACAAAAATTAGCCAGGTATGGTGGCGAGTGCCCGTTATCCCAGCTACTTGGGAGGCTGAGGCAGGAGAATTGCTTGAACCCGGGAGGTGGAGGTTGCAGTGAGCCAAGATCACGGCATTGCACTCCAGCCTGGGTGACGGATCAAGACTCTGTCTCAAAAAAAAAAAAAATCTAGAATAGATTCTCCTGCAGACATTCAGTTACCCTGTATCACATATTATATTTGCCCAAATATCCACTGATATGTCTGCTTAAATACTTATTTTGTAAAGTGAATTCATAAAGTTTTTCCTCAGTTAAAGATAATGTGCCTTTAATGAGAGACACCAAGCCTGACCCACCCAGCTAAGCTGCTCCCAGATCCCTGACCTACAGAAACTGAGATAATAAATGTTTATTGTCCTTAAAAAAAAAACTGATATGCCTGATAAGAAAGCTCATTTACATAATAATTAACATTTTAAGATAAAGATTCGTCTAGTACAGAACGTAGGCAACCACATATAAATCACATATAAACCACATATAAAATTTGGCATATCTAAAAAGTTTAGTCAATAATAAGGATGTAAGAAAAATGGTAAAGATTAACCTGAATGAAAAAAGGAATCAATTCCTTACTGTGTAATACATGATGGATATTACTGTTTTATGGTCCAACATGGAGTTAAATCTGTGAACGTTCATTCATTGTTCTCACCTCAGAATCAGAGGTCACTCTTATTAACATTTTTTGAGAGTCTACATACTAGAAACTGAGCAAGATGTTGGAACTATTTCTTGTTTAAATGTCACAAATTTCTGGAATGTGATACTAGACTGTATAGCTAGTGTAGAAACTATAGCTAAGAGAAGTTGGCTATGTTGGCTGAGGTCACACATGGATAAGTAGTAAAGCTCACATTTAAATTAGACCCTCTGACATTATGCACTTTTATTAACCCTTGGCCAAACTGACACTCCAGTACTTGACTAACTCAAATGTTGAGCCTTGTCTTAGTCTGAGCATTGTCTTATTTTGTGCTGCTATAATAAAATATTAATACCTAAGACTGGATATTTATTAAGAACAGAAATTTATTTCTTCACAGTTCTGGAAGGTGGGGAGTCCAAAATCCAGGTACTAGTATCTGGTGACAGCCTTCTTACTGTGTCATCCCATGGTGGAAGGTCAGAAAGTAAGGGAGAGGGAAAAAAATGGACCAAACTTGCCCGTTTATAATGACTCATTCCCTCAATAATGTATTATTCTATTCATGAGGGTGGAGCCCCCCTTATTAAGCCCCACCTCCCAATACACTATTGCACTGGGAATTAAGTTTTCAACACATTCTTTTTGGGGGACACAGTCAAACCATGGCAAGCATCTAAAAAAAAGTACATGAACAAATCCAATAGCTTTAAACTACATGATACAATGGGATGAGTGTCCTAAGTCTCAAAACATTTGCTGTGCAATGAGCTTCTTTTATAATGTAACAAACATGCCATCCTTGAGTCATAAGTAGCTATAACCCTGGTTACAAATATCAACAGGTTGGAGGACACAAAAGCGCTTTATTGTATAGACTTGAATAATGAATAATAAAGATACATAATTTAGTATTTCTCGTCCAAGGGTCCTAGAAAGTTTTATAAGCCTATATAGCCAGGATCAGCAAACTTCATGTAAAAAGGGAAGATAAACATTTTAGGGTGTGTAGGCCTGTACAGTCTTGCTCACATATCCTTTGTTTTGTTTTGTTTGTTTGAAATCCTTTTAAAATGTAAAACAAGCCCAGGACAGATATTATTCTTTGTAGTTTGCCAATTTCTGCAAGAGAAATAATTATTCTTGTATTCAAAGCAACCACAAAAAACAAACTTCCTGGCCACTAAGAAGAAAGTTAACGCCCTTGACCTAATCCCAAAGTGGTGCTACTAAACTATGAACCATAAGATTGACATTGAGGATAGTGATTAACACTTGCTTCTGCATTGTCAGGGACCCAATACTGTAATCTTTCATTTATATTCTAGTGCAAACACAGCAGTCTTCTGAACTGTCTACTATTTGGGGGGTTTACTCCTGGAAATAAGTAGTATGATTCTCCTATTATATATAAAAATAGACTCAGATGTGAAAAATTAAAATACTTATTCAAGGTGACATAGATTTTAAGTAAATGGAGGGCATAACAGAAAACTAGATAGAAATAATCATGTGATTTTTTTTTTTGAGACAGATTTTCACTCTTGTTGCCCAGGCTGGAGTACAGTGGTGCAATCTCAGCTTACTGCAACCTCTGCCTCCTGGATTCAAGTGATTCTCCTGTCTCAGCCTCCTGAGTAGGTGGGATTACAGGCGCACACCACTAAGCCTGGCTAGTTTTTGTATTTTTAGTACAGATGGGGTTTTGCCATATTGGCCAGGCTGGTCTCGAACTCCTGACCACAGGTGATCCACCCACCTTGGCCTCCCAAAATGCTGGGATTACAGGTGTGTGCCACCACACCCCGCCCCATATGACTTTCCTTATTCTTTCTATTGAGAACTTATCTTCTGAAAGTAGAATATTATTTTCTTAGTACACATGAATATTTGTCAAAGGTGTATTGGAATTTTCTAAAGACTTCAAAGATAACATTTTCTTGAACTCTCTCAATTTTTATCATGCACATTTCCATAACTTTCTTCAATGATTGATCTACTATGGAAAGCAGCTGCTATGGAACAATCTGATTTACATACTGAATGTCTTAAACTGTCTGGATGAAGATAATGTAGTCATAACATCTATTTTCTTTTATTCAGTTAACTGGGAAATCAATCACTTAGTCGAATTCACATTTTCAGGCTTATCAAACTTCAAAATTCAAAAGGATTTTGTTTACTTTCAGATTAGCAAACCATATGCTCTCTGAAGCTTCAAAATTTTGATCTCTCAATAAAACTACATTTCTAGGTTTCAAAGCACTTGAAAAGCTTTTACTTAGAGCAGGACAAAATATCAAGTGGATTATGGGCTTGCATCAATTCCCAAAGGTAATTGTTTGATTGTAATGCAAAGTTATTTTAATTATCACTAAACTCACTATGGCTGGAATCACCACAGAGCTATAACCAGCAGAAAATTACATATGCATTAAATTGAAAAGCTCATAACTATGGACATTATTTTCATTACTTTTGAACTGTAACCATTGTGGTACATGGTAATTTGTAGTGAATATAAAAACCCAATTATGAAGTAGTTATACTTCTCATAATCGCTCTATTGTCTTAATTGTGCATCCTGCTTTCTGGCTGCTAGACTTGAAGTCGATCATATCAAGTAAGACTTAAAATCAGAAATATAATGCCATTAATGTAATAATTCTTTATTCTAATTTGTCTTTAATTCAAATGAGCAAACCCAAGAAGCTAATTAACTGGTCCCGGAGGTAAATGCCAAGATCTCTAAAGTGGCTGGTTCATAGGCTTTTTTTCCCTCTGGAGGCCAACTGCTTAGCTTCAGAAAATAGGTAACAGGCATACAGGCATAAATTTGACCATTTGTAAAGGACAAAGCAGCAGGAAGCTTATTGATATTCTTCTCTTTTTATTTTCTTCAAGCTGCAGGCTTGACAGCCAGTTTTCCTGAGAATTGATTGCTTAGACAAAAGATGAACTTGAAATATATTCAGCTTTTAAAGGGGAGAAAAAGTGATAAAATATGAAAGGCTGTACTTATGTGCTGATATTGAATGAAACCCATAGCAATGAATTTCAATCTGATCATTAGATTACATGTGTTGATTTTATGTCTGCATAAGGTACTAATTTGCTTTAGAATCCTGTTTCCTTTCAGAAGAGTGACCTTGGGAGGAGTGACCTTTTATACAAGTGCCCAAAGAGTAGAAGCAATAAATATAGTATATGGCCAGGGTGACAAGAGGGCAAAGCTACACCTTCACATTAGATATGCAGGTCTTGATTCTGTTATTCATGCCAGTGCTCCCACAGAGCAAACATAGCCATAAACACTTCTATTTTCCTACACGTCTACATATTTCCTTAAAATAGAAGGGTGGATAAACATTCCACAAAACATTCTAGCTACCCAGGGCATTGTGAGACCTGAAAATGGAATTGAGGTGGATTTCTTATAATAACCCAGATTTTACCTAACTGATCTCCTTGCGTCCACCTCCTGTTTCCTTTTTTTGTTTGTTTGTTTTTTGTTGTTGTTTTGGTTTTTTTGTTGTTGTTGTTGATATGACCACTATATTTATTATTAACAAATCAAATGTGGAGAAGGAAGGCTAGGTGAGATTATCAAAGGATTCCAAAGCATTTCAGTTGCTTTTCTTTTCTTTTTTATTTTTTTCAAGACGGAGCTTTGCTCTGTTGCCCAGGCTGAAGTGCAGTGGCACAATCTTGGCTCATGGCAACCTCCACCTTCTGGGTTCAAGCAATTCTTCTGTCTCAGCCTCCAGGGATTACAGGTGCCCGCCACCATGCCCAGCTAATTTTTGTATTTTTAGTAGAGATGGAGTTTCACCATGTTGGCCAGGCTGGTCTGGAACTCCTGACCTCTTGATCCGCCCACTTCAGCCTCCCAAAGTGCTGGGATTACAGACTTGAGCCATCGTGCCCGGCCCTTCAGTTGCTTTTCTTTGTCCATTTTGAGCTTCTCCACTTACTGACTTACTGAGTCCAAAGTGGGAAATTGCTGGTGATTTCCTGAAATTTTCAGTAATACCTGTATCAAAGTTATGAACTCTCATCATAAGCTTGTGTTCATCAGTCATTGTTGGGATACTCATTTGGTTTTCTTTAAATTTTCTTTTTTTGAATTACTCATATTCACACAATGAAAAATACCTGTTTTATCTCTGTCTTCCAGTCACCCAGTTCCTCTCTCTAGAGTCAATCAACATTATAAGTTGAATTTATCTTTTTCTCCTCTCTTTTGAGGAATATGATGGCAATCTATATTCTATTTGTTACTTTAATTTTTTTCCTTTTTAGCAATCCATTTAGGCCGGGCGCAGTGGCTCACACCTGTAATCTCAGCACTGTGGGAGGCCAAGGCGGGCGGATCACGAGATCAGGAGATCGAGACCATCTTGGCTAACACGGTGAAACCCCGTCTCTACTAAAAATACAAAAAATTAGCCGGGCATGGTGGTGGGCGCCTGTAGTCTCAGCTACTCGGGAGGCTGAGGCAGGAGAATGGCATGAACCCGGGAGGCGGAGCTTGCAGTGAGCCGAGATCGCGCCACTGCACTCCAGCCTGGGAGACAGAGGGAGACTCAGTCTCAAAAAAAAAAAGAAAAAAAAAAACAATCAATATATCTTGGAGTTGATTCCATGTCCATACACAAAAGTCTTTTTTGTTTTTTTATAGGTGCATTATATACATTTATCTTATTAAACCAGTCCCTACTGATATACATTAGGTTGTTTCTAACCCTTTGATAATAAAAACAATGAAAATGAATATATATGTCATTTTACCCATGTGTAACTGGATCTCTAGGATAAATTCCTGGTAATAGAATTGCTAGTCAGGTCTGGCTTACACCTATAATCCTAGCACTCTGGAAGGCCGAGATGGGCAGATGACTTGAGGCCAGCAGTTCGAGACCAGCATGGCCAACATGGCAAAACCCCATCTCCACTAAAAATATAAAAATTAGCTGTGCGTGGTGGCGTGCGCCTGCAATCCCAGCTACTGGGGGGGCCAAGGCATGAGAATTGCCTGAATTCAGGCGGCGGAGGTTGCAGCGAGCCGAGATCACGCCACTGTGCTCTAGCCTGGGCGACAGAGTGAGACCCTGTCTCAAAAAAAAAAAAAAGAGAGATATGTTGGTTTATAATTTTTATATGTATAGCTCAACTCCCCTCTGCAGAAGTTGATACAGATTTATGCTTCCAGGAATGTATGTTTCTCCACATCTTCCCCAACACCTTATATTATTAAACTTTAAAGCCTTTGCTTGTCTTTTACTGTTAACTGCCTAGTCATAACTTTTTTTTCTTTTTAGAGATAGGGTACAGAGTCTCACTCTGTCACCAGACTGGAGTGCAGTGGCATGATCTCGGCTCACTGCAACTTCCACCTTCCGGGTTCAAGTGATTCTCCTGCCTCAGCCTCCCGAGTAGCTGGGACTACAGGCGCATACCACCACGCCGAGCTCATTTTTGTATTTTTAGTAGAGATGCGGTTTCACCATGTTGGCCAGGATGGTCTCCATCTCTTGACCTCGTGATCTGCCCACCTTGGCCTCCCAAAGTGCTGGGATTACAAGCGTGAGCCACCACACCCGGCCTCCACCTCTTCTTTTCTCTGACATATTCAAATTAATCTTCCCAGACCATCCTGGCATTCAAAGACTTCTTCAGTTTGATCCTTGTCTTCTAGAGGGAGTGCATGGACTGGGTAAAGCACTGAACCAAGAAACAGGAGTCCATGGTTTGAGTCTCAGCATAGTCTCCAATAACTCTGGGACATTAGGGGAATTAATTAACTCCTCTTGCCTTCAGTTTCTTCATACAAAATGATCTTAATGAGCACTATGATCCTTTAAAGTTCAAAAATTCTGAGTCTACTTATCAGAATGTCTGACATGCTATAAAGCTCTGTCTCAAGTCTTTCTGGACATACTCACCAGACCTGTGGCAGACCCCAAACCCAAAAACAATTTTAGAGAACTTTTTCCTCAAGTCTACTTTGCAATACCCAATACCTACCCTTCCCCATCCACATTCCCCCAGAAAACAAAAGTCTTCTCTGATTCTCTAGTCAGAATTAATTTCTCATTTATTCATACCTACACTTTATCCAAATTATTTTTAGATGTATTTATCATCCCTAGTAAATTATGAGCTCAAGAAGGAAGAGACGCTGGGCGCGGTGGCTCACACCTGTAATCCCAGCACTTTGGGAGGCTGAGGCAGGCGGATCACAAGGTCAGGAGATCGAGACCATCCTGGCTAACACGGTGAAACCCCGTCTCCACTAAAAATACAAAAAAATTAGCTGGACGTGGTGGCGGGCACCTGTAGTCCCAGCTACTTGGGAGGCTGAGGCAGGAGAATGGTGTGAATCCGGGAGGTGGAGCTTGCAGTGAGCCGAGATCATGCCACTGCACTCCAGCCTGGGCAACAGAGCAAGACTCCATCTCGAAAAAAAAAAAAAAGGAAGGAAGAGACACTACTTTTTTGTATTTGTGGTCCTAAGCCATTTAGTATAATGTTTTATAATTAATGCAATCTCACATAAAAATACTTGACTTATATAATGTATTAGTCGAAAAATATTTCTTAAATTTGAAAAGCTATTGTTTTAAGTAAGCAGATAATTTTGTTTTGGCTTCTATGTGATTTTTTTTTTTTTGATGGAGTCTTGTGCTTGTTGCCCAGGCTAGAGTGCAATGGCATGACCTCAGCTCACTGCAACCTCCATCTCCTGGGTTCAAGTAATTCTACTGCCTCAGACTCCCAAGTAGCTGGGATTACAGGTGCCGGCCACGATGCCTAACTAATTTTTTGTATTTTTGGTAGAGACAGGGTTTCACCATGTTGGCCAGGCTGGTCTTGAACTCCTGACCTCAGGTGATCCACCAGCCTTGGCCTCCAAAAGTGTTGGGATTACAGGCCTGAGCCACTGCGCCTGGCCCCTTGTGAAATTTAATGAGAAAAAAATTGAATTGGAACCCTGAATTCTGTGATTACAGCATAAACGCATCATAACTAAAGGCACTGAATTTAAATTGGATCACTCAAATAGTATATTCCATAAAAATCAAATACAGTCATTTTATCACTATTTAGGGCAAAAATCAATACAGCCATCTATTCTGTATTTTTATTCACTTCTAGCCACATATGATTATTTACGTGTGAGGACTATATGTTACTTCAAAAACTTCAAAGTTCAGTGTGCCCATCTTAGGTTTTGTAACCATTGAGATATAAACTGAGAGGGGAGGGGAAATTAAGATTTGTCTGTTATTGACTTTGTCTCCATGACCTTTTAAGCATAACCAAAAGTCTATGTGCTTCTTTAAAATTGGTAAAAAGGAAATAACCAGCCAAATACTGGCATAGTTCTACTGCCTTTTCTGTCCTGCTATTACATGGTGAAAAGCACATGCACACACAGACATCTGTATGTGCAGCCCACAGAGACCAAACATGTTTTTCCATACCTCAAGACAGTGTGCTAAGAAAGCAGAGGAAAGAAGAACAAAAGCCTTTTCAGTTTTCTGCCCCTATCAAAATGTAACATAATTTCCTGTCCTAGCATTGAATTCTGAAATTCAGTTGTCACCAAAAGTCGCAGCAATGGTGCATCACAGAATCTTTGGGCTGTGATAACCAGCTGGCCTGGAACAATATGCATGCCCCTTCTCACATACTCTAATATACACGGCAGATCCAGGGAAAACCGCAGTGAGTCAATAATGTATGAATTAAAAACAAACTAGCAAAGGAATGATATGAAGATACTGTTAAGATATAGAGGAGGAAAACGGCAGCAAAACTTAGAAACTAAGAGAGCATTTACAACAAAAAATCAACTGCAGATGAAAGTTATGATCATATATTTCACTATGAATTGTACCAAAAGCTTAACGAGTCAATTCCTTAATGAAAGAAGGTCTTAAGGAAAAAATGAAAAACTTGAAAAAAGAAATGACAAAAACAACAGAAGGAAAAGAAACCTGAGAAATGTCAGGAAATAAGTAGAAGGAAAAAATATAATGGAAGTGAAGGCAAAATCAAAAGAAAAGCAGAGGGTTGAAGAATATACAGAAAAGTCTAGGCACGGTGGCTCACGCCTGTAATCCCAGCACTTTGGGAGGCCAAGGCGGGCGGATCACCTGAGGTCAGGAGTTCGAGACCAGCCTGGCCAACATGGTGAAGCCCCATCTCTACTAAAAATACAAAAATACAAAAAATACAAAAATTAGCCAGGTGTGGTGTCATATGCCTGTAATCCCAGCTACCCAGGAGGCTGAGGCAGGAGAATCGCCATATAATATATATATATATATATACACAGAAGGCTGCAGTGAGCTGAGATCGTGCCACTGCACTCCAGCCTGGGCAACAGAACAAGACTGCATCTCAAAAAAAAAAAAAAAAAAAAAAAAAAAAAAAATATATATATATATATATATACACACACACACACACACACACACAATTGTATATATAAATATATATGTGTGTATATATATACACACACACAATTGTGTATATATATAGAAAACACAACAAGAGGCAAAGAAGATAGAAATGGAAAAAATGAGCAGAATAAGATGGAAACAAAGAGCTAAAATAAATTAGAAAAAAATAATATTTTTTTCTAATTTATTAGAAAAGCAAGAGCTGGGTGAGGTGGCTGACGCCTGTAATCCAGCACTTTGGGAGGCAGAGGCAGGAGGATTGCTTAAGCCCAGGAGTTCGAGACCAGCCTGGGCAACATAGTAAGACGCTGTCTCTATTAAAAAAAAATAAATTAAGAAACAGAAAAAGAAGGCAGTAAGAGATCCAACCCATACATAATTGTATTTCCAAAAGTAAAAGAACAGAATAAGAAAATGGAGCCAATAGGCCAGGCACAGTGGCTCACACCTGTAATCCCAGGACTTTGGGAGGCCAAGGTGGGCGGATCACGAGGTCAGGAGATTGAGACCATCCTGGTTAACACGGTGAAACCCCGTCTCTACTAAAAATACAAAAAATTAGCCAGGCGTGGTGGCAGGAGCCTGTAGTCCCAGCTACTCTGGAGGCTGAGGTAGGAAAATGGTGTGAAACTGGGAGGTAGAGCTTGCAGTGAGCCGAGGAGCCGAGATGGCGCCACTGCACTCCAGCATGGGCGACAGCGTGAGACTCCCTCTCAAAAAATAAAAATAAAAATAAAAAAAAGAAAGAAAATGGAGCCAATATAAAAGATATGTTTCAAGTAAACATCCCTGATATAACATTTGAAGAGTTCACCATGTGCCAAAGAATATTGGCCCAAAACACTGAGACATATCCTACCCAGTAAAGTTACTAAACCTTGATGTAAAAAAAAAGGAATACTTTGGAAAGCCAAGCACTGTCTGGTAATATTCTATTATTTATTTTGATGGTGGTTACTCAGGTGTGTGCATTTGATGAAATAATTCATCAAACTGTACACATATGATTAGTGCATTTCTCTTTCTCACTGTGTGCATATATATATAACATATATATTTAAAACATATAGAGAGTATATAATTTTAAAAGTTAAAAACCAATATGAACCAAATAACATGGTATCAATATATACATAGCAAAAAGCATAGAAGATGCAGGGGAAATAGAAATAACTATTAGTAAATTTTAATTTTACTCTCTCAGTACGTAAGAGATCAAATGGACAGACAGAAGTACACAGGTCTAAATAACATAATTAATAAGGTATATATAAATATTATATTTGAACACTGCTGAAAATAGAGAATGCATCTTCCTTTACAGAGCTCATGAAACTTTCAGGAAAATTGACTAAATATTGTCCTCAAAAAAAAAAATCAATAAATTTCAGAAAGTAAAAATTATTTCAGAAGGAAATAAAGTTAAACTAACTCCCGGCTGGGCACGGTGGCTCACACCTGTAATCCCAGCACTTTGAGAGGCCGAGGCGGGCAGATCACCTGAGGTCGGGAGTTCAAGACCAGCCTGACCAACATGGGGAAACCCCGTCTCTACTAAAAATACAAAATTAGCAGGGCATGGTGGCACATGCCTGTATTCCCAGCTACTCAGGAGGCTGAAGCAGGAGAATCGCTTGAACCAGGGAAGCAGAGATTGCAGTAAGCTGAGATCATGCCATTGCACTCCAGCCTGGTCAACAAGAGCAAAACTCCGTCTCAAAAAAAAACACTAACTCCCCCACAAAAAGCATAAGACTCAGATGGTTCCACCAAAATTTTAAAGAATGAATGAATATGTGGTATTACATAGAATAAGAAGGAAAACTTTCCGATTATTTTTGAGAAAGCAAAATTGAAATCAGAACTAGAAAAGATTTTAAAAGGAAAGAACAAAGAAAGGGAGGGAGGGACTACAAATTCATCCCACTAACGAATAGTAATGTAAAAATCTAAAGTAAAATGTTAAAAACTGGAATTCATCCCATCAGCAAAGAAAAAAGTCTCGAAAAGAAGTTTATTATACAAATGCAAGAGTATTTTAATATTATGAAATTTATTAATATAATTATCTATGTAATTAGACCTAAGGACAAAACTTATATAAATATCTCTACAGTCATTAAAATACATTTTTATAAAATTTCACACTCATTCTTGATAAAACATACTAAAATAGGAATAAGATAATATGAATAATATGAAGAGATGGGAATATCCCATCTATTATCTATATAAATAAGATATGTGAATAATATAAATAGATGGGAATATCCTATCTATTATCTATATGAATAAGATATGTGAATAATATAAATAGATGGGAATATCCTATCTATTATCTATATGAATAAGATATGTGAATACTATGAATAGATGGGAATATCCCATCTATCCCACTTGTTAGGTTGTCCTTAACCACTACTATTTAATATTGTTCTGGAAGTACCCCCCAGTGCAATTAAAGAAATGAGAGGTATAAACATTGCAGAGGAGAGGGAACTATCACTGCTTGCTGATGATATGATTGAATTATTAGGAATCCCAAGAGAATAGATTGGAAAACTAAAAACAATAAAATAATTTAACAAGGAAGCTGAGTACATAAGTAAAATGTAAAAATCAGGCACTTTTCATATATAAACAACTACCACTTAGAGGATACAATGAAAGAAACACCCTACTAAAATAGCAACAAGAATAATAAAATACTTAGGAATAAGCTTGATTAAAAATGTGTATGTCTCATAAGAAGAAAACACTTATGAAAGACAGAGACAAAAATAAATGGAAAGGTATTCCCTGCTTTGGGATTAAAAAGCATTAAATTAAAAGGGAGACCAAACCAGAAGAATTCCTGAGCAGACAAAACCAATTAGGCCTCTAAGTGACATCAACTTAGCTTGATTTGCAAACCTATGCAAAATTTAAATTGAGCTATTTCTTATAAATGTCTATGTTAAGCAAAAACAGAATTTAAGCTCAATCTATGAGAAGTAGCCAAAAAGTAATAATTATATAACTGAGGACCTTCCAAGGTGATAAAACAAATCAGGCAATCGTATAACTGAAACCAATCAAATAACTTATTTTGCTTCCACATTTATCCTGCAAATAGTTGCCCCTGACAATTTGTTATCAGAACGCTAAACCTTTTTTGGTCTGGTGTTCTCTAATTCATAAATGGCTTCTAACTCAAATAAACTCTTTAAAATATTTTAGCTGGTCTTTGTGGTACACACCTGTAGTCCCAGATACTCAGGAGGATGTGGTGGAGGATTGCTTGAGCCCAGGAGTTTGAGGCTGTTATGAGCTTTGATAACCACTGCATTATTCGGTGACAGGGCAAGAACCTGTTTCAATAAAATAAATAAATAAAATAAAATAAAATCACTGTGCCTCAGATTTTTCTTTAACAAAGGGTCAACATCACAAATGTCAGTTCTCCATAAGTTCATTTATAAACTTAGAGAAATCTCAATGAAACACCAATATTTTTTAACTCTTCAAGGTGAATCTAAATTCCACAAGAAAAAAACCACAAAGCATTGTATTTGTTTATTTCATTATTATTTACTTAAATATTTGAATTTGTAAAATCACATATATGCAGCATTGTTTGTAAAATTCAAAGACTATAAGCAAGTGTGCATCAATAAGGGATTTGTTAAACAAATTAAGTATATCCATACAAGGAAATTCTAGGCAGCTATAAAAGAAAAATTCTGAAAAATAAAAAAAATGAGGGAGAAATAGATTTACCACGTGTTATTAATAAAACATGTTATATTGCCTTCATAAATAAAACAATATAGCAATTGTGCATGAATAAACAGAAAGGCAAATTAAACAAATAGAATGCACAAAAATAGAACCTGCAAAAGAGAAATTAAGTATATGATAAGGATAGTCTCTCAAATGACTCAGAAAAAGGCAGACCTTCCAATAAATGATGTTAAAAAAAATGGGTACACTTCTACGCAGGGAAAAAGTTAGATTCATTTATCACTCCATCCATCAGGAAATAAATCTATATAAATCAAAATATTAAATGTGAAAATTAAACTATAAAAGTAATAGAACGAAATATTGGATTTCTTTCATAATTTCAAAAACAATTGCTTTTCCAAACATAACTCAAAAATCCAGAAGCCAAAAACAAAATGTTGATATATCTTATTTCATTAAAAAATAATTTCTGCATAAGAGATACCATAATCAAAATCAAAATACACACAAGAAATTGAAGAAAAATAAATGTCACTATTAAAAAGTTAATTGCTCTGATAAATAAAATCAAGCTGCAAAGATTGATAACCCAACAGAAAAATAAATGGAGAAGGGATATGAACAGACAGTCCATTGGAAAGAAAATTCTACTGGTTCTTAAACTCAAAGATGATAAAATAAATGCAAAGTAAGGCTGATTGTGGTGGCTTATGTCTTTAATCCCAACACTTTAGGAGGCTGAGGCTAAGAGGATCCCTTGAGTTCAGGAGTTCAAGACCAGCCTGGACAACACAGTGAGACCCGTCTCTATAGAAAATTTAAAAATCAGGCCAGGCGTGGTAGCTTACGCCTGTAATCCCAGCACATTGGGAGGCCAAGTCGGGTGGATCACCTGAGGTCAGAAGTTTGAGACCAGCCTGGTCAACATGGTGAAACCCTGTCTCTACTAAAAATACAAAAATTAGCCGCGTGTGGTGGTGGGCTCCTGTAATCCCAGCTACTTGGGAGGCTGAGGCAGGAGAATTGCTTGAACCCAAGAGGCGGAGGTTGCAGTGAGCTGAGATCACACCACTGCACTCAAGCCTGGACAACAAGAGCAAGACTCCATCTCACCAAAAAAGAAAAAAAAAATTAAAAAATCAGCTAGGCATGGTGGCACATGCCTATAGTCCCAGCTACTCAGGAGGCTGAGATGGGAGGATTGCTTGAGCCCAGGAGGTCGAGGCTGCAGTGAGCTGTGCTTGCATCACCATACTCCAGCACGGGCAACAAAGTGATACCCTGTCTCACAAAAATAAATAAATAAATGCACATTAAAACTCACTGAAAGACTATGTTTACCTATTATTTTTTCAAAAGTCCCCTAGTTTGGTAAGAATCTGTATGATAAGGATATGGGTATATAAGGAATATCATACATTTGTGGTGAAATTATAAATTAGTACCATGTCTATGGAAGTTTATTTGGCATTAAGTTTTAAAATTACAGATATATATATCCTTTTGATACATCTTACCATTTCTGGGAAGTTATACTTCTAAAGTATAATTTCTAAGTATTTCTAAAGAAGTACTTGAATATTTGTAAAATCACATATATGCAAAGGTATTCATTGTGGCTCGGTTTGTAAAGTCGAGAGTATATAAAAGTATCAGTCAATAGGGGATTGATTAAATAAAATATGTATATGCATACAAGGGAATTCAGGTGGCTGAGGGAAAAAATGAAGACACTGTCTACACACCAGAGGGAAATATCTCCAAAATATAGTATTGCAACAGTAAACAAAGCAACAACAACAAAGCAAAATGCAGATCATCAGGTAGAGAATGTTACCTTTTGTATAAAAATGGCAACAAGGTGCTGGGCGCTGTCTGCTATTTTTATGTGAAAATCCTGTTTCTTTTTCTAAGTACTAATAAATTTGCTTTTGATGAGCTGCTTTAGAGCTTGCCCACAATCAACAGCAACCTCTTCAGTTGGTATATTTATTTATTTATCTTTAGAAGTGCTTTTTTTTTTTTTCAACTGCTCTTGCCAGTACCTAGCCTCCAGGAGCAGTTCCCGTTGTTATAGATCCCTGTAGTTGCTTCAGCAGGCTGAATCAGTCACAGCTTCTCTCAGTTTCCAACATTTAATTCATCTGAGCAAAAGGACATAAATTCATGGAAGTGGCTGGGTTTTCTCCCATAATATCTTCACCTATTTTCAAAATCTATTCTCTATTGCCAGCATTTGAACGACTCTTTTAGGCCAAAGATCTCCTTCCTTGACAGAAAAGATGAAAAGGAATTCAGGGATAAAAGAGTTCCATTTTCTCTGTCATTTCCTAACACTTAATTATTAGTTCCAATTGATAAGTTATAACTGTCTTTTTCTTTTTTTGAGACAGAGCCTTGCTCTGTTGCCCAGGCTGGAGTGCAATGGTAAGATCTCAGCTCACTGCAACGTCTGCCTCCCGGGTTCAAGTGATTCTCCTGCCTCAGCCTCCCGAGTAGCTGGGATTACAGGTGCACACCACCATCTCTTCATTTCTTTTTTAGTATAACTAAAATAGTGCATGTTGGTGTCCTAGCATGTTTGGTAAGCCTTGGCACATCAGAGAGATGATAGGTGTTATGGTGTGGCCCATAATACTTCAGGTTTTAAAGAGAGACTGCCTCAGCTTAAATTTTGAGTTCACTTACTAAGTGTATGACACTGGGCAAATTAGTTAACTTTTGTTTTCCTCTGCAAAAAAGAAGTTGATGGCACCTAAGCTTTTTGTGAAATTCTAATGCATAAACACATAAAGCACTTGGTTCAGGACCCAGTCATTCACACAAGAGTTTAGAAGCGATCCAGTAAGAGTGCGTAAGGCCTCAGATATCGGTGCACACCAATGCCAATAAAACAAGAAATATACAAAGTGCATTTGAAACAGGAGCTTCCAAAATTTGGTAAATAAGACTTCACAGGCTTTCCTGAGTACTAGTGGGATTAGATTTATGACAGGAATATAGTCACTGTAGGACTGTTTGATGAATCCGAGCCCTTTTTCCTCCTGGTGAAAGTATCTTCCTCAATATAGCCTCTGTGATTGGCAAAAGCTGATCTCACTCCCATTTACGGAGGTGGGCCCTGATTAGTTTAAGCTGTTAAACAAATTTTAGGGGAGGTTATTATTTTAGATGGAGCTCCTTCAGAAGGCCCTGAAAGACCAGACCAAACCAAAATGGAGCCACTTGTGCTACGTGCAACGTAATCAATCTGAACCCTGAAACAAGACAGTTCTCCGAAAACAGAAGATTTACAACAAAAATTTATAGAAGGGGCCTAGTTTAACTGCACATAATAAAGAAGCCCCTTCTCTTTTAACTCTATCAATCCACTTTTTGTTCTCTTTTTCTGCTTTCTTCAGCCCTTTTCTTCCTACAATGCCAACTCCCTCTGCACAGCCCATCAGAGCACTCATTCTATTTTATAGAATGAGATCTGAATGACATCTTGCCTGACTCTAGAATCATAAATAGATCTTTAAACTACATTTGTGGTAATTTTGTCTTTTGACAAAGTTAATCAGCATACACCATCTACTAGCC
Organism: Homo sapiens; assembly: GCF_000001405.40. Taxonomy (NCBI): domain Eukaryota; kingdom Metazoa; phylum Chordata; class Mammalia; order Primates; family Hominidae; genus Homo; species Homo sapiens. Next base: position 153,016,629 of record NC_000003.12, read on the forward strand.
AAAACTGATTGCCTAGAGATGGGCGTGTGACCCACCTGGACATTGAGACAGAAGAAAATGTGTGTTGAAGCCTTTAGGGAAAGAACTTCTTTACTTTTACCATAAATCCACAGAGGAATTCTATCGTACTGCTAGTTGTGAACACAGCCAGTGGAAGCAGTCAAAAGACATTTTTAACACTTTAGGATAAAACAAAAAAGCAGCTAAATTACAGGTTTTATTGCTGAGCTGCTAGATCAAGCCTTATCTAGGGCTCAGACTAATTCCTGATTTTATTTTATATGAACAAGTAGATCATTTTTATTGCTTACCCTAGTTTGAGTTAGATTTTCCATTAATTGGTATCAAACGTATCTTAACTGATACAATGATGGAATAGTATTGCCTCTTGAAAAGAAGCAGGCAAATTAGTATTGTTTACCAAAGAGGAATGTATCTGTGTGCATAGACATCCACAAATCTAAGATTGTATGCATGAAGAAGCACACGAGCAGAGAAACTCATGCTGATAAGGACAAAGGGGGACAGAACAGAAGGGACTTGTTAGAAGTAAGCTATATGCCACCCAGTCAGAGGAAGAAAATGGATGCTTCATTTCTCAAACATATTACTGTTTTCATTCAGCCAAATGCCAAACAGTCCTGTAGATGAAGAACACCAGCTGAGCTGAAAATGACATCAAGACTGCTGGCTATGAGGGACAGATGACTTCCTGGAGTATACTGTCATGTCTTTATTTGAATTGTATGAAGAAGGGCTTTAAGGAAGCATTCTAAAGCATTAGAGGAGGGCTTTTGTAATATCATCCAAGGATGGGGAAGAAGAGAATTTTTTTTAAGCAGTGAAGTATTGAACATGCATGCTGTGGTTACATTTTGAAAAGTTACTGTCTGGGATTGTTGAGCTGTTTTTGATAATATTCTGCTTTATCTAAATTACATCACCATGGCCAGGGACAGTGGCTCACACCTGTAATCCCAGCACTTTGGGAGGCCAAGGCGGGCAGATCACCTGAGGTCAGGAGTTCAAGGCCAGCCTGGCCACTGTGGTGAAACCCCATCTCTACTAAAAATACAAAAATTAGCCAGACATGGTGGTGGCACCTGTAATCCCAGCTACTCGGGAGGCTGAGGCAGGAGAATCACTTGAACACCGGATGTGGAGGTTGCAGTGAGCTGAGATCACGCCACTGCACTCCAGGCTGGGTGAACAAAATAAATAAATACATACATAAATAATTTTTTTCATGTTTAAAAAATAAATTATATCACCATATAAATCAGAGGTAACAGATGTTCCACTATAGTGGCAAACAGAGCTGAATGTAGGTAGGTACATGGGAATGGTAAAGGTGCACAGGGCACTCTAAGGAAAGAGAGGTGTGGGGAGGTATCTAGGGCTGCGCTGAGTCCACATTCAGCCAATCAGGACTGTGCTAACTGTTTGGCTGGTTTGGACATGAGTCTCCTGTAGAAATGCCAAGGAAAACAACCCAGAGAGCCTGCATACTTTTATTTGAAATTTAAAAAACAAAAATGGGGCCGGGGCGATGGCTCACTCCTGTAATCCTAGCATTTTGGGAGGTCGAGGTGGGTGGATTACCTGAGATCAGGAGTTCAAGACCAACCTGGCCAACATGGTGAAACCCCGTCTCTACTAAAAATACAAAAAAATTAGCTGGGTGCAGTGGCATGCGCCTGTAATCCCAGCTACTCTGGAGGCTGAGGCAAGAGAATCGCTTGAACACAGGAGGCAGAGGTTGCAGTGAGCCGAGATCGCGCCACTGCACTCCAGCCTGGGCTACAGAGCTAGACTTCATCTCAGAAAATAAATAAATCAATAAATATAAAATTTAAATTTAAATTTTTAAAAAAAACGGGTGGATTGTTTTTCAAGTGATTCCTGGGTGAGATTATAGACTTGAGGTTTCTCTCTCTCATAAATCTCTCTTTAGTGTTGGAGTTAAGAGGTTTGAGTTTACTAGGTATGTGGAGAACTTAGAACATGGCCTGGTTCAGTGTAGGCACTATCCATGTTAGCTATTACTATTCTTTTTTTTTTTTTTTTGAGACGGGGTCTTACTCTGTTGCCCAGGCTGGAATGCAGTGGCACGATCTCGGCTCACTGCAACCTCTGCCTCCCAAGTTCAAGCGATTCTCCTGTCTCAGATTCCTGAGTAGCTGTGATTACAGGCATGCACCACCACACCTGGCTAATTTTTGTATTTTTAGTAGAGACGGGGTTTCACCACGTTGTCCATGTTGGTCTCAAACTCCTGACCTCAGGTGATCCACCCGCCTCGGACTCCCAAAGTTCTGGGATTACAGGCGTGAACCACTGTATCCAGCCTGCTATTACTATTCTTAATGTAGGACAAAATGTCCAGAGAAAGAAAGTCCTCTGGCCATAGACCTGGGCCAGCAGAATCTTGTCTGTTGTTAGGCTCAACCCTCCTTGATGCCTCCCATTTCCTCCTTCAAGAATGACCACTCTTGAGCACCAGGCCACCTCCTCGGAAGATGATGGTTCCACAGACAGAGATGTAAGTACAGGCAGATGGAGGGCCATGCCAGGTGGTGGTGGAGGGTCACTTCCTTTCAGATCTCTGAAAGGTACGTGGCCATGTGCCCTCATTCGGCCTGAGAGCTTAAGCCTCCTGATATTGAGTGCTGAGAACACCCTGCAGGTGCAATGCATTGTTGTTAAGTCTGACATTTCTGGAGAAGGTTGTGGGGTAGATAGATCATGGGCACTGTTCAGTTCATCCTGCCAAGTGTCCAGTTGGAGCGGTGATATGAATTAGTATCATCTCAGTCACTTGTAAGCATTATCCATCACAGGCTCCCAAGATGGGTCTCATCATGGCAAGTAGTCTCCATCGAGAGAACCAGGAATGGAAAGAAGGTGTGGCTGATTCACCTCAACTGAATCATGTGGAGGGTGGAAGGAAAGAGAAAACCAAATGCTGCTAGCTAGGAGAAAGTGTCTGTTCTTCCTTCCACAAGAAAGGATAAGGGCTGGACAAAAGAAAAAAAGCACTGAATAGGGTTTTAAGAACACTAAACTTTACAGAGCATTTTAGAAGAATGTTCTCTTTCAGAGAACATGAGGATTAAATAGACCATATTAAGAATTTTTTTCGACGGGGTGCAGTGGCTCATGCTTGTAATCCCAACACTTTGGGAGGCTAAGGGAGGAGGATTGCTTGAGCCCAGGAGTTTGAGACCAGCCTGGCAACATAGCAATACCCCATTTCAGAAAAATAAAAATTAATTAGCTGGGCACAGTGGTGCGTGCCTATAGTCCTGGCTACTCAGGAAGCTGAGGCAGGAGGATCACTTGAGCCCAGGAGTTTGAGGCTCCAATGAGCTATGATCTCACCACTGCACTCCAGCCTGGGTGACAGAGCAAGACTCTGTTTCTTAAAAATGAAATTTTAAAAAAAGAATTTGTTTTTGTCATTGGCAATATATTTGTTTCACACAACTTATGGTAGTAGAAAAGAAACCTTGAAAAATAAGTGGTATGTAAACTATTCACACGGAATGAGCTGTGTGATTCAAAGTTAGAATAGGATACCTTCAGCTGCTAAGGTCAAATTAGCAGCCTTAGGGTTAAATTTAAGGAGTGGGAACTTCCCTAAACCCCATCCTCATTTCTTCCACATTATCTACCTATAATAAGGACATTCAAAGGGAAAGCTTTCCTATAATGGCAGCCTGACAGAATTTGATAGAAACTAGCAAGCTTCTGGAATCGGAATAGAACTAAGTCTAGCTCTAAACAGACTGTCTATGGCGATGGATCCTTTTAGATGCTACTTCAAATTCTATGGCCCATGTTAACCAGCGAGCCTGGGGCTCCCAGCTGAAACCTATTCCCATCAAGGGAGGAATCTTGGGACCTAGTTTCACTGAAGCACATTTCAGTTGGGGAACAAAATATCCTTTTCAGGGAAATTTGCTACCAAGGGATTTAGTAGAACTTGCTAGAGACTCTACTCCCAGAGCTGAAAAGACAGTGGAGCCAAAAGACAAGACAGATCTCCTAGACCTTTCCATTAGTGACCCCCTCCTGACTCCCATTTATTGACATTTAGATGGGAGTCTCAGCTGATTATTTTCTGTTTTGGTTACAAGGGGGCTAAAATAGCCACCTCTCTTCATATAAAACTCAATTGAAAAAAAAAAGAATGAGTTTCCCCTCTGATTGTTGTATGCCTTTGACATAATACTTTGAGGTAGAAAAACAGTGATGTTCTTATGCATGTAGAATGAGTATCTGTAGACCAGCCATCAGGTCTTGCTATGGAACGTGGGCATTTTAGAAGGATATAAGAGAAATGTGACAAAAATCCAGCCTTTGGTGGTAGACTGGGAAAGATTTCAGCCAGCTGACAATGTGTGACTGAAAATAAGTATTGCTTGTGTGATGTGAAGAGGGTGTACCCAACGCCGGGGCACTGACATCAACACACACAGGCAAGAAAATAGCCCTCCAGCTAGGGCCCCAGTGAGTCCTGCCCTACCCAGAAGAATCGGGAAATACAACTCTGGGTATACGGGAAGTTATTAACAAAACCAAGGTGTGGGCCAGATGCAGTGACTCACCCCTGTAATCCCAGCACTTTGGGAGGTCGAGGCAGGTGGATCACCTGAGGTCAGGAATTCGAGACCAGCCTGGCCAACATGGTGAAACCCCATCTCTACTAAAAATACAAAAATTAGCTGGGCATGGTGGGGGCACCTGTAATCCCAGCTACTCAGGAGGCTGAGGCAGGAGAATCATTTGAACCTGGGAGGCAGAGGTTGCAGTGAGCCGAGATTACATCATTGCACTCCAGCCTGGGTGACAAGAGTGAGATCTGTCTCAAAACAAAACAAAACCAAGGTGTGGGAGGAGGCAAAGCAGGGTGAAGGAAAACAAAGAAAGGGGTCTAGGAGAGATGCTCCTGCTGACCTGAAGGTGGAGAGTAGTCCATGAGGGAAGTGCCAAGAATTCAGGGCTAAAGTCACATGTCCAGGGCAAGTTGAATAGAACAAAGAAGCCAGTCTTGACTTTTTGCCACCAGGAGATCTCCACATATATCTTGGTCCTAAAGTAGCACACGACTAGAATATTCTCCAGGGTTTTGTGTATGTGTTTGACTTATCAAATATTAAGATCTTTTTCTTATCCTTCCACATTGGTGCAAAAGTTGCACATAATACATCTGCTTCTGTTCCCTTCTAATTAGTCCATGACCATTAAGGGACTGGGCTAGACAGAGTGGACATACGAGATAAGGAATGCTTTTAGAGAAGAATCTCAAATCCATGATACTTAAACTCTACATGCTCAACCTCACAGAACCACAAATTCCCAAATGGATTATGCTAACAAACTCCTTCTGTATCGGGATACAGAAGGAGAAGCAATAAAGGATACTTACAGTATTCACTTGAAGTTTTCAGATACAGCAAAGAGGGTAATAAATTTGGTGTCCTAATAAGCTCTCTGCTCTCCCCCGTTGGAGCAGTGACACCAGGGAATTAGTTATATGAGCAAGGTGAAGATAGAAATGTATAAACACTATCTAGGTGCAGTGGCTCACACCTGTAATCCCAGCACTTTGGGTCGCTGAGGTAGGAGGATCGCCTGAGCCCAGGAGTTCAAGACCAGCCTGGGCAATATAGCGAGACCATGTCTCTGCAAACAATTAAAAATTAGCCAGGCATGGTGATGTGCACCTGTGGCCTCAGATACTCAGGAGGCTGAGGTGGGAGGATCACTTGAGCCCAGGAGGTCGAGGCTGCAGTGAGCCAAGATTGCATCACTGCACTCCAGCCTGGGTGACAGAGAAGAGACCCTGTCTCAAAAAAGAAAAGAGGCCAGGCACAGTGGCTCATGCTTGTAATCCCAGCACTTTGGGAGGCTGAGGCAGGTGGATCACGAGGTCAGGAGATCGAGACTTCCCTGGCTAACATGGTGAAACCCTGTCTCTACTAAAAGTACAAAAATTAGCCAGGTGTGGTGGCGGGCACCTGTAGTCCCAGCTACTTGGGAGGCTGAGGCATGAGAATGGCGTGAACCCGGGAGGTGGAGCTTCCAGTAAGCCGAGAACATGCCACTGCACTCCAGCCTGGGAGACAGAGCAAGACTCCGTCTCAAAGAAAAAAATAAAGAAAAAAAAGAAAGGAAAGAAACAGAGAAACAGAGAGAGAGAGACACAGGAAGAAAGAGAGAGAAAGAAAGAAAGAAAGAAAGAAAGAAAGAAAGAAAGAAAGAAAGAAAGAAAGAAAGAAAGAAAGGAAGGAAGGAAGGAAGGAAGGAAGGAAGGAAGGAAGAAAGAAAGAAAGAAAGAAAGAAAGAAAGAAAAGAAAAGAAAGAAAGGAAAGAAAGAAGGAAAAGAAAAAGAAAAGAAGAAAAGGAAGGAAGGAAAGAAGGGAGGGAGGGAGGGAGGGAAATCTATGCTGGCAATCTGAGCTACAAAGTCTAGGATACCTTTGAGAGCCCCCTCCCCTTGCAGTGATGTGGTAATAAAGTAAACCCTTGAGTAAGCCCCAGTCAGCAGGCCATATCTCTCATACTTTAGAAGTGGTTGGTGGCTGTATCAGGCAGTTGCTGAAGTGCAACTATGGCAGTAAAACAAAGCTCCACAGCTTAGGAGAGGCTTCTAACATAAAGCAACAATAAAAACAGTTAAAACTCATATGGTCCTTACTCTGTGCCATGCACTCATCTAACACTTCACATTTGCAGTACTAATATGTTTAATTCTCAGAATGCCCCTAAAGCCTAGGCACACTATTTCCCCATTTTATACATAAGGAAACAGAGTGAGGCACAAGAGGTATATGACTTACCTAAGGGCACTTCACCAAGCATATGGAAAGAAGCACAAATGCAAACAGTCACTAGAATCCCTAGTAGTACTGGTTATAAAGCAATCAACGAGATGAGTTGGGGAAAGATTACATTTGTCTAACTAACATTAACGCTGACATGAAAACACAAGCTGAAGAGATCATCATAGAAAATTTATGGGTACAGGCTCCCTGTTGTGTATCTTTTTTAAAAATAGGAAAGTTATGAAGCCCAAGAATACGTCTGGGAGTTTGGAGAAGTTTGAAAAACACTGCTCGTGTTCACTGAGGCCATGCAAGGGGGAGATGTTTGATGGACATGCCATCTTCAGTCTCTGACCAGTGAATGTCATAGTCTGCAGTGCAATCAAATCATATCTGATCATATCACTTCCCTCATTATAAATCAGTAATAGTCCCACGGTGTTACAGAACAAAATTTAAATTCCTTGGTATGACCCACAAGACTCTTCATAATCTGGCCTCAACGGGCTTCCAAATCATCCCATCCAACATCCTTCCCCTGCATCACAAACCTCCAGCCACAGAGAACTTCTTGCCTGGCCTCAAACACGCCATGTGTTTTCATGCCTTCCTGTTTCTTCAAAACATGGCCTGAAGACCATCTGCATTGGAGTCAGCAGAGGGACTTCTTAGAAATGGTGACTCAGGGTTCCGCTGAAATCAACTGCCTGGGTATTTGGCCGAGGAATCTTCATTTTAACGAATTCTCCAAGAGATTTATTTTTGCTGTGCATTAGTATTTCAGGGTCATATCCCATTCCTTATGATGAGCCATCTGTCCCATCTGCCCTCAACAGATCAAATATCATCTCCTCTAGAAAATCTTTTTATTCCTTTCCTTCTCCAGATAAAATTGCCCTTTGCCCCTTCTGTGCATCCACTTTTCCCTGTTCAGAACTATGGCACTTATTGCTCTTATTTTTGTGACCTAGACTGTGATTTCTTTGGAGATCTTCATTCATTTGGCAACAAGCTTTTATTGAATGCTGAAGATCCACTGATGGAAGAACCAGCGTGGAGACCCATGGAGCTTAGAGTCTAATAAGGCCACAGGAAAGCCCTATTACAATGAAGTGTGCTGCATGCAATGAAAGGCAGCAGAAAGGGTGTTCTGCAGGCCATGGCGGGGGTTGGAGATATTTGGACTGTCATGGGGACCAGGGAAGCTTCTAAGTAAAACTGATATCTAAGTTGATTCTTGGAAAAGGAGTAAGAAGTACCCAAGGGAAGAAGAGAGCATACTCCAGCTAAAGGAAAAAATTCACTAAGGGCTGGGCGCGGTGGCTCATGCCTGTAATCCCAGCACTTCGGGAGACTGAGGAGGGTGGATTGCGAGGTCAAGAGATCAAGACCATCCTAGCCAACATGGTGAAACCCCATCTCTACTAAAAATACAAAAATTTACTGGGCGTGGTGTCTTGTGCCTCTAGTCACAGCTGCTAGGGAGGCTGAGGCAGGAGAATCGCTTGAACGCGGGAGGCGGAGGTTTGCAGTGAGCTGAGATCGCGCTACTGCACTCCAGCCTGGCAACAGAGTGAGATTCCGTCTCAAAAAAAATAAAATAAAATAAAAAATAAGTCACTAAGGCCCAGAGTGTGAGAGTGCGTGTGTGTGTTGTGTGTTTGTGCACACGTGCAAGCGAGTGAAAAAGTGATACTCAGATTATCCTCCATAATAACCATAATAACCAGATGTGTATATCTATCTGGAGTGTTTTTTCTGCCTTCCTTCATAATTAGTTTAAAGTCATATTAAACAGATTTTCCAGTCTCAAAGAAAACAAATTTTCCCTAGATGCTGTCAGATGGACACTCGAGCTTCAAACCTAACAATGCCTAATATCACCCTCTCTTTCCCAACCCCCTCTGTGTTGGTGTGTGTGCATATGCGTGTGTATGTGTGTTGTCATGAGCCTGTGAATGAATGAATAGATGCATACATTAAAGCATAAAATGTAGTTGATATGGTGGGACTTAGCATAGTATAAATGCTATATATTTTAGCATTTATGCATAGTATATATTAGCATTTGTACATAGTATAAATATTAGGATTAAACATTTCTAGGTTCAAATTCCAACTTTGTCAGTTGTGGCTAGGTAACTTTGGGCAGGTTATAAATGCGTTCTGGACCTCTCCATTTGTATGATGAATGTAGCAATATTTATCTCATAAGAATAGTATCCTGATTAGATAATATAAGGCACTTAACATGATGCCTGGTAGATAGTAAGCATTTTTTAAAGTATAGTAGTTACTCAGTTTCTGGATTTAGATATGGTTTTCAAATCCCACACCATCCCTTAATAAATCTGTGTAGCCTTGGGAAATAAACCGAATTAGTTTACTTCAGTTTCCACCAGAGTCTCCTTATCTAGTAAGTGAACGCACACAAGACTCACAGCCCAGTGCCTGGAACACAGGAAGCACTGAATAAATTATCATTTCCATCATTGTTATTATTACTTTTCATTACAAATATATTTTTTAAAAGTATAGTAGTTACTAAGCTTCTGGATTTAGATGTGGTTTTCAAATCTCATGCTACTTCTGCCACTTATATATGTTGTTTGTGTGCGGAAGATTAGCTTTCTGAAATAAATACGATCATTTCACTGTTACAAGGCATCTTTCATTTATCCTAAAATATAGTTTAGACCATTGTTTTAAAAATGACATCCAATTACAAGTGATTACCACAAGGTGGCTCCAGACCATTACTATTATTACTAAGTATGTCACATTTCAGAGAAAGAGTTGTTTCCCAAGCAATATTTTGAGAACAACTGTGTTTTTGTTTGTTTTACAAAGATATATGGTACTATAAAACAAATTCTTCTTCATTAGTTTCTATTTTTCTTCCTGTGTCCTTTTGAAAGGTAAGCACAGTTTTAATTGAAAAATACATATTCACAACGTAGCTCTAAAGATAAATTAATTGTGGCTGATATTTGCTCAATCATATCATTTTTCTGTATCGATATTAATATCTGAAATTAAACTTTTGGGCCTTGGTCATTTACGTTCATATACTATCTAGTATTTTTATAAGTAAAACCAAAAATCTAGTTATTGGGAAATAGAATGAAGGACTGTTTTTTTTGTTTTTTTGTTGTTTTTTTTTTCTCTCTTATTATTTTCATTTTGGGGGGGACTTTTCTTTAAGTTTGCATTTAGGAAATTGATTTCAAAATGCTTTACTTTTCAAAATAAATGTATGAGGCTTTCAATAATGCTTTTTATGGTGTTTGCTTTCATGGTTCAAGATCCTAAATGATTCAGATAAATTTATTTAAGAATTAATGTGGAGGGGCCAGGTGCGGTGGCTCACACCTGTAATCCTAGCACTTTGGGAGGCCAAGGTGGGTGGATCACCTGAGGTCAGGAGTTCAAGACCAGCCTGGCCAACATGGTGAAACCCTGTCTCTACTAAAAATACAAAAATTAGCTGGGCGTGGTGGCAGGTGCCTGTAATCCTAGCTACTCCTGAGGCTGAGGCAGGAGAATTGCTTGAACCAGGGGAGCAGAAGCTGCAGTGAGCCGAGATCATGCCACTGCACTCCAGCCTGGGCAACAGAGCGAGACTCCGTCTCAAATAAATAAATGAATACAATACAATAAAAAATAAGTAATGTGGAAAGGGCTGGGTGCGGTGACTCACACCTGTAATCCCAGTGGGAGGCCAAGGCAGGAGGATCACTTGAGGTCAGGAGTTCAAGACCAGCCTGGCCAAAATGGTGAAACCCCGTGTCTACTAAAAATATAAAAAAATTAGCCAGGTGTGGTGGCGCTTACCTGTAATCTTGGCTATTCGGGAGGCCAAGGCAGGAGAATCACATGAACCTGGGAGGTGGAGGTTGCAGTGAGCTGAGATTGTGCCACTGTACTCCAGCCTGGGCGACAGAGCAAGACTCCATCTCAAAAAAAACAAAAAAAACAAAAAAGAATGTGGAAAGGGACCGGTACAGCAGAACCATCAATTTCTTTGGTCTAAGAACTGCCTCAGTGTTGCCTTTGTTTGGTCTGAAATTTTTGGCAGTTTGAAATTCTACAATTATTAATTGTGGAAAAAGATGTTTGTCCACTGATCTCCCGTGAAAGCAGAAATGAGACTCTGACACTGCTATTAAAGCCTCCTCCTGGGCTTACTGCTGGGAGTTTATTTTTAGTATTTTGTTTCTCCTAGAAATTGGGAATTCTGCTGCATCTCTTTCCCTGGGAAACCTGCCGGCTTATACTTAGTTTACCTCCTGCATGGACTTCTAGATTGACTGCGAAAATGTTTTTCTGGCCCCAAATTTTCATTTACTTGCCTCTATTAAGAAATTTATGTTACGCATGAACATTTTGTAATATATAATACTTTAACATTACAAAAAGCCATCTTCCAAGTAGAACAGTCAGAACATAAGCCTGTACATATATACACACGTGCACACATTATTTAAATGGCATTTTAATTTTCTATCTATGAATTGTGCCATCTTATCTGAATTTGAACTTGGGGTTCATGCAGGATCTCTAGAGAGGACCCACGCTCTCAGTTTACCACAGGTCTACCCTCATTCACCTTTCAGCTTCATTCACTTGTACATTCTGACGGGACTCAATGCATTTGAGACAGGGTCTCACTCCCATTACCCAGCCAGGGTCATGCCACTGCACTCCACGGATGATGGTAGTGACACCCTATCTCAGAAAAAAAAAGTTGGGGGGAGGGTTGAGTGGGGAAAGGGAGGTGGGAAACAGTTTGCCTCATGAACAAATAAAGAATAATTAATTCATAGGTTGGGGACTAGAGTCTAAGAGCATTAAACAGGACTTTAGAATTCCACAGTCAGAAGCATAAATGGGAGAAAAGATTCTACCTCCTTGTATTTCTGTTACTGTCTCACCCATTTCTCACAGAATTTAGACCAGGAAGATGTGTGTGCGTAACATGAAAGATCTACGTGATAATAAACATGAAATGGCGAAATACTAAAGCCCAACTAAGGGACGGGTAGCAAGGGCTTTCCACAGTTCAACGCAGGAAGGAAGAGGGAGTGCAATTATTTTTATGCAGCGGAGGAGTTGTTCAGATTACAAATGATCTGGAAGTTGTTCTGCCAAAATCCAGAACAGAATAATACATTCTCAGTGAGGGACCTGGCATACTGCACAAACACAGACATCATTTCAGGGGAGTAAGTCACCAGGGCAAGCATTTTCAAAAGAATACTAGGAGCAGAAAGAAAGTAATTAAGCTTTGTCTAATTCTAAACACAAGTAGTTGTAGACATAGACATGCATTACTTAGAGACTAACTCTGAGTAACTGCAGATGGAGAGAATTCTCTTCGACTAGTGATTAAGTTAATGATATTAAACAGTAGGCTAGGTGGGATCAGTTGAGAATATAAATCCAGGATAAAGAGAAAACAAGAGGGTAGAATATACAGTTTTATCATATTAGACATATCTTTTTTGTTCATGGGGATGAGCTTGTATATAGGCAAAATGTATTTTAAAGCATGCTTATGTTAATTTACCCAGAAGAGCCCTAATATTCAGAACTCTCAACTCTATCCTGTGCTAAGTCCATTATCAAATATCTCCCAGATTCATCAAATAGAAGAAAACTACACTTTCTACCCAAATGGGATTTCCTTGTCACCTGATTTATACCTGTTCATAGGTGGATTATATCATAGAGACACTAAAAATTGCAGGAAAAGGTTGTCGGGATGAGGGTGAGACAAGTGAGGCACAAAACTTAAGGTGGCACTCACTCTCAAGGCCACGCAAGTGCATGTCAGCACCTGATAATGAGTGCCACCTAACATTTTGCATCCTGGGTAGCTCAACTTGCCTTAGACCTGGTCCAAGCTCCGTGGGTTCTCTCCCTGTATTTGCCATTTTCGTAAAGTTCAAGTGGGACATAGTTGATGTTGCCACTATTTTCAGGAGAAAGCCTGGCAGGAGAAACTGAATTCCTCACCTGCATCATTGCCAAAATGTCTCCTTCCTCCACCGGCTGTTCGGTGAGATAGAAAGACAGCTTCAGCTGTCTCATTCCACCCACCCCAGCAGCTGCTTGGACCTACTCCAGGCAGTATACAACAGGAATGTGTGTATGGTGGCGGGGGTGTGGAGGGCCTACAGAAATGCTTACAAGACTTGTCATGACTTAAGCTGTTCTTTAGATATTTTTCCACAAAATCTCTTTATAATGCATCTTGATATACTTGGATAATATAACGCTTATGCTTTTCAAGAGCAATTTTAAAAATCTATCAGTTGTTTGATGTTGATGGAATCTAATGGCCCAGTTTTGAAAACATTTTTTTTGAAGACCTAAAAAGATTATTTTTATTGAATTGTATACTTGTAGAGCTGAGAGAAAACTTAGCAAATTTTAATTTCACCTTTATAATTTTATATACTTTTCAAAAGATGCATTTGGTGACAAAATGGAATTTGCCAGAAGTATTGTAAGAACAATTTTAGTTTTTAAAATTTTTATTTTTTATTATTTATTTTATTCATTTATTTATTTTTGATTTTTTTTTAAGGAGTCTTGCTCTGTTGCCCAGGCTGGAGTGCAGTGGCACTATCTCCACTCACTGCAACCATCACCTCCCAGGTTCAAGCAATTCTTCTGCCTCAGCCTCCTGAGTAACTGGGATTACAGGGATGTGCCACCATGCTCAGCTAATTTTTGTATTTTTAGTAGAGAGAGGGTTTCGTCATGTTGACCAGGCTGGTCTCAAACTCCTGACCTGAAGTGATCCACCCACCTCAGCCTCCCAAAGTGCTGGGATTACAGGCGTGAGCCACCATGAGAGAAAAATTTTAATGTAAATATGTGAGCATCTACGTGGAACCAAGACACGTGAAACAAGAGTTAAAGGATACACATGTGTCTTTTCAGAGTCATAGTGTAGGGGGAAAAAAAAGAAATAATTCTGAGACCTAATGTGACTTGACTGTAAAGGAGAAATGGAGAAGTTAATGAATTGATATGAGTTAAGTCAGAAAAATTGCCCAAAGAAAAACACTCTGATCCCATAATGAACGGAAATTACCATGAGTATCTTGATTATCTGAAATAAGATAACGTAGGCATAGGCAAGTAAGGTGAAGGTTTTTATCTGGGATGATTATGAGTCTATTATCTAACAGGATTTTAAATTGTATGCTTTCAGATACACAAAAGTAGTAAAGTTAGGAGGATATTATACGTGTTCTATGTTAAATGAGTTCCAAGAAAGAGTCAGTATCTCTTTCTAGGACCCAAGAATCAGCTCATAACATTAGAATTCAACATAGTTAAGTGAACCTGATAATATAAAACATACCATGAGACCGGGCGCAGTGGCTCAGGCTTGTAATCCTAGCACTTTGGGAGGCTGAGGCGGGCGAATCACATGAGTTCAGCAGTTCCAGACCAGTCTGGCCAACATGATGAAACCCCATCTCTACTAAAAATACAAAAATTGGGCTGGGTGCAGTGGCTCATGCCTGTAATCCCAACACTTTGGGAGGCCAAGGCGGGCAGATTGCCTGAGGTCTGGAGTTGAAGACCAGCCTGACCAACATGGTGAAACCCCGTCTCTACTAAAAATACAGAAATTAGCTGGGCGTGGTGGTGCGTGCCTGTAATCCCAGCTAACTTGGGAGGCTGAGGCAGGAGAATTGCTTGAACCAGGGAGGCAGAGGTTGCAGTGAGCCAGGATCATGCCACTGCACTCCAGCCTGGGCGACAGAGCAAGACTCAGTCTCAAAAAAAAAAAAATTAAAAATTAAAAAATAAAAGTAAAAACACAAAAATTAGCCAGGCGTGACGACACATGCCTATAATCCCAGCTACTTGGGAGGCTAAGGCAGAAGAACCGCTTGAGCCCAGAAGCTGGAGGTTGCAGTGAGCTGAGATCAGGCAACTGCACTCCAGCCTGGGTGACAGAGGGAGTCTCAGTCTCAGGTAAATAAATAAATAAAATAAAATATACCATGAAATAGTAGCTGGTGGTAAATGGCTAGGGTTTCACTCATTTAAAAGCAATGAATAGAATATACATTACCTTCTTAGGAAGTTTGCCAATAGACAACTCATTTTTCTCTTAGAAAACTATGAGACCCTTTACAGTTAGTATTTTCAAAATTATATTGAGTATATTCTCATGTTGTTACATACTGAGATAAAATCAACAAAGCAACATACCTGTTATGATGTATTTATATGAATCTTCAGATTTAAGCTTTAAAAATATCCCTTCAATCTCTCCAACTGATAAAGAAAAAAATGGCTGAAAAATTAAGGAAAAGCAAATGCTTCAAATTTAAAATAATGTAGGTTTTTTCCTGACTACGTAAGCAATACATGCTTATTTTAGAAAATATAGTAATTAAGAAAGGAATGAAAGAGAAAGGAAAAGAGAGGGAGGAGAAAAGAAAGAAAGGGAGTAAAGGAAGGAAGAAAGGAAGGAAGGGAGAGAAGGAAAGAAAGACCAGCAAAAGTAGATATATTTCTACTGGACAGATTTGCAATGGTCTAAACATTCTAAAAATAACTAAGACTCATGCCTATCCATGCATGGATAATTATGCCTTTCTGCCTATGTCAGAGGGTTTTCTGGTTTTAGGGAAGGTTTGCTTGTTTGGGGGTTTTATTTTTTTATTTATTTTTACATTTGATCTTCTATAATTTTCTTGTTCCTACTTCTTTTAGATTTGTAATGCCTTTCCATATTACATTTTTTATGTGAGGTCAAAAATGTTTTTAAACAGGTGAACAGTATAAAGGTAAATTACTGGATTTAGATTCAGAATGTGGGATTCTAGACTTGGGTCAGTCTATAAATGAGGCTTGGTCTCACAGAACCTCCGGTCTGATACTCAGATTCTTTAGAAACACTCTAGATCCCTGATAAACATTATTCAACTTCTTGAAATTATTTGTAATGTTCTGTATATCATTCATCACTACCTGATATTTTTTTCCTTATTCACTTATTGTCTATACCACCCAACTAGAATGTAGACGCCAGATAATCTTTTCTTGTTCACTGGAATATCCAAGACCAGCACCTGACATGTAGTAAGAAGTTAATAAAAGCCTCTTACTACATAAATATAACCTAAATGTAAGGTGAATTTTCCCCCAAAATTCCTAGAAAAGAAAATAGCTACGTACATTCAAGTTCCTCCAAAGTCTCTCATGCTATGGATCAATTTCGTAAGCCATAAAATACTGCTTAGGATAACATTAACCAGAAACTACCCTGCAATCATTTCTCTACAATTAATGCTAGGTGCGGTGTTTACAAAGATCATCTGTTAAAGTTAGTATAAAAGAAGGCAAAGGTTAGCAATCTCAGTATTTATTCTGGGTTTTGATACCATGTTTGCAAGTGTTGGAGGCCATTATAAATAGGGCTTTAAAGATTATTTTAAAAGTAATAATGGTTATTGCATTAAAAGGATTAGAAAAATAAACCTACAGGAAGAATAAAAATGAAAATAAAACTGTACTAATACATGTGAATGGGAACCTCCAGTGTCAACATTACACATGCAATCACAAAGTGCTGTATCTCACTGAGACACAAGTGATGCCGCTCTGATAATGTAAAAATAGCTCTGCTGATGACAAAGACACTGATGTCAAAGATTTGAAAAGGCTGAATAATTTAAGTGTGGCTGGGGAAAGAAAGCAATATTTCTAAATGACTATATGTAGATAATATATAATTAAAAATATATATAACTAAAGCAATAAATTAAATATATAAGTGAATAATGCACTGTTTCATCCACATCCTTTGAAGTTTACATTTTTGCATAGACAAAAGTCTTATTTGGAGGAATTTTTGCTTGGTAATAAACAGTAAGTTTATTTTTTTAATCTATCTTGTTGTATATTAATTGTGGTATTTCAATATGAAATTTTTTTCAGTTCTGTATGATGCTAAACCATTAGATATTTAACTATTGTTTCTCAGCTATTTCTTCTTATTCTCTTTTTCAAAAACTCATAATAGAGTTCTGGAGCGTCTGTATAGCATATCTATGTCTGTTAGCTGCTATTTCATACAGATTTTTAAATCTTTTATCTCTTTGTGCTGGATTCCCTATATTTCTCAGTATCTTTTTCCTAACTTTTTTTTTTTGAGACAGAGTCTCCTTCTGTCATCCAAGCTGGAATGCGGTGGCACAATCATGGCTCACTGCAGCCTCGACCTCCCAGGCTCAAGAGATCCTCCTGCCTTAGCTTCCTAAGTAGTTGGAATTACAGGCACATGCCACCATGTCCAGCAATTTTTTTGATTTTTTGTAGAGACGAGGTCTCACTATGTTGCCCAGGCTGGTCTCAAACTCCTGGATTCAAGCCATCCTCCCACCTTGGCCTTCCAAAGTGCTAGGATTACAGGCATAAGCCACCAAGCTGGGCCTTTTTTCTTAATATTTTTAATTTTTCTCTTCAATTGCATTTAGTCCTGAGTTAATCCTGTTTATTATTTTTTCTATAATAATATTTTTTAGTTCCAAAGTTTTTACTTGATTCTTTTTCATGTGCTACTGTTTTTGTTTCCAATATTATTATTATTATTTTATTCTTAAGTTTTGGGTGTAGCTGTTGTTGTTTTAAGACAGGGCCTCACTCTTTCACCGAGGCTAGAGTACCATGGCATGATCTTGGCTCACTGCAGCCTCAATCTCCCCAGGCTCTGATGATCCTTCCACCTCAGCCTACCAAGTAGCTGGGACTACAGGTGCCCACCACCATGTCTGGCTAATTTTTGTACTTTTTGTAGAGACAGGGTTCCTCCATGTTGCCCAGGCTGGTCTCAAACCCCTGGGCTCAAGCAATCCGCCCACCTTGGCCTCCCAAAGTGCTAAGATTACAGGCGTGAGCAGCCGCACCTGGCCAAGGTTGTTATTCCTTATCTCTTTGCTAAATCTGGTAAAAGTCTTAAACACATTTGTTGTATTTTTTTCAGGTAGCTCTATTATTTTCATTTGATACAGCGTTTATATTTCCCAGCCTTTAATTTTTTTGATTATCTTTGCAGCTATAATATTTCGATGTACTATGAAATTGTATGTATTTATTTATTAACCAATCAAATAAGCAGCAGGGAACTATGAAATTTTGGTTTTCAAGCTTGCTTTGATGGGAGATTATTTTTTTCTCCATGTTCTTTGCTTGGTTTTCTTTTATGCCCTTTCTTCATACTTCTCTCTCCCAGTGCTGCACCACCTAGACCACTGGGGACCCCAATCCAGAACCAGGTCATGCATAGGTGACTTTGCACTGATGGGCAATACTGGAGCAAATGTTGGTCCAGGCATGGCATCAGTGGGCTGGCACAAGCCCTGGTTGGAAGGCAGCTTTTACTTTCTCCCTCCTCCTGCTTAAATAGCTCTATATGAGCTGTAACTCCAGTTGTTGGTCAAAGGCTTTTTTTTCTTCCTTCCATAAGCTGGGAAGTCTCTATCGCAGGCTTTATTTCAAGCAATAGGCTGGGTTCTTGTCCCGTATTCTTCACAGATTGCAGAAGCTAAGTTTACATCTACCTCTCCCAGCTGCCGGACACAAAACACAGCAAGCCCACTTCCCTCCCGCCACGTTTCCATCACAGTTACTGACATCGTTTCTGAGCAATGCTGTATCTTTTAAATTTTCTCTTTATATTATAACTCTTATTTTATGTATTAGCAATGTGAGGGGCAAAAGAATCTCAATGTTGAACAATACCAACAGAAAAGTTTTGGTGGCATTTGTTTTTTGTTTGTTTGTTTGTTTGTTTTTGAAATAGAGTCTCGCTCTTGTCGCCCAGGCTGGAGTGCAGTGGCGCGATCTCGGCTTACTGCAACCTCCGCCTCCTAGGTTCAAGCGATTCTCCTGCCTCAGCCTTTTGAGTAGCTGGGATTACAGGCGCCCGCCACCAAGCCTGGCTAATTTTTGTATTTTTAGTAGAGACGGGGTTTCACCATGTTCGTCAGGCTGGTCTCGAACTCCTGACCTCAGGTGATCTGCCCGCCTCGGCCTCCTAAAGTGCTGGGATTACAGGCGTGGGCCACTGCGCCCAGCCAGCATTTGCTTTTAACCAAAAAGTAGGAGGTTACTTTTACATAAAAAAAAATCAACTTTTCTTCAAATATAGTTAAAATCCAGGGACTTGTCTTATTTTCTGCTGTATCTCCAGCTTTTAGAATGTACTAAGAATACTATAGGAGTTTAAGAAAGGATTTGTTAGGCTGGGCATGGTGGTTTACGCCCGTAATCCCAGCACTTTGGGAGGCTGAGGCGGGCAGATCACGAGGTCAGGAGATCGAGACCATCTTGGCTAACACAGTGAAACCCCGTCTCTACTAAAAATACAAAAAGAAAAAAGAAAAATTAGCCAGGCATGGTGGCAAATGCCTGTAGTCCCAGCTACTAGGGAGGCTGAGGCAGGAGAATTGCTTGAACCCGGGAGGCGGAGGTTGCAGTGAGCCGAGATCGCGCCACTGCACTCCAGCCTGGGTGACAGAGCGAGACTCCATCTCAAAAAATAAAAAAAAAAATTAAAAATAAATAAAAAATAAAGGAAAAGATTTGTTAAGTGAATGATTTGCTGTTCATCCCTGAGTTAGTGGGGCAAGGAAGAGGGTAGAAAGAGAGAGATAAAAAATTACACAGCATAGTGTGATGTTGCCTTTGATTTGATCATAGTCTAGTAGAAGTGACAACACTAATATACACCACACAACACACAGTTAAGACAATATGTAATAAATTTCTCAACTTGATCATGCCAATTACAAGTGCTATGGCATTTGATAAATTTACAAACTGTATCCAGCCATAAATTTGAATAAAGGAAAGAGCAGGGGGAAATGTAAATTATTGCTACATATATTTAAATTGGGTAGGTGCGGTATAGGGAAGGGGAGAGTCATTAGCTATTCCATTTATTGTATTTAGTTCCCTTTGGCCAGAAGGATGCGGTCACAGCTTTGGAAAAAATAGTGCGTATCTTGGGAAATAGTGCAAGGTCACCACATTGACAGTAAATGTCAGAGGTTAATTGTGCAGTGCCATTTCTTTATTAAATATATAAGTTCAGGCTGGGATTGGTGTCTCAGGCCTTTAATTCCAACACTTTGGGAGGACTAAGGTGAAAGGATCCTTTCAAGCCAGAAGTTTGAGACCAGCCTGGATGACATACCAAGACTCTGTCTCTACCAAAAAAAAATTTTTTAAGTAGCCAGTTGTGATGATGTGTACCTGTTGTCTCAGCCACTCAAGAGGCTGAGGTGGAAAGATGGCTTGAGCCTGGGAGTTGGAGGCTGCAGTGAACTATGATCGAGCCACTGCACTCCAGCCTGTGTGACAAAGTCTCACTTTATGTGAGACCCCATCTCTAAAAAGAAAAAAGAAAAATATATATCTAGGTTCAGAACATAGACAACTTGCTTACAGACCTTCGTGAATGCAAAATGTGATAATTCTTTTCAGAAGAAAGATTTTTTAAAAAAATAAGCAGGGTCTCCATGGTAACCATAAAGGCAAATCTTGCTTTGTGAGTATTACATCAACATGAACAGCTGGAACAGGTTGAACAAAAATGGCTGGGGAGAAGAAGGTGGGGGAATTTGGAGAGAGAGTGAATAAAGAAAATGACAACCCAAACCAGAAGCTGTGTAACTTATGCCTTGATTCATTAGTACTGCATTCAAAGAAATCAGAGTTTCGAACCTTTTTTTCAAAGGTACTTCCCCTCCATCCTGTTCAAATCAAAGATGGTAAAAACTATTATGCTATTTTTTAAAAGAAAAGTAAATGATTTGAATTAGATATATTTTAAAAATCAGTGGGCTTTGACAGATAAGGGGATATTTTAAAAATCAATGTCTTTGACAAGAGCCACACAAAGAAAATGAAAACCAGATATATATGCACAGGCTCAGATAATGAATTAATGCAAGAGGAAAGCTGTACCGTTGAGGAATTTCTTTTCACACTTCAAAAAAAACACTGTATAATGCATGTCCATATAGCACAAAGACACAGTATTACTGAATCACTTGTTAGTAGATGCACTACTAAGAATTCAAAAACGCACCAATGGGTGGTGAATCACTTTTTTCGGAATGGAACTATTTTTCTATCCACTTCGTGGCTAAAAATATGTATATAAATTTTGGTTTACTTTTCCTAGATATATGGGGAAATAATTCCAATTATAATCAATCAGCATAACAGGATTATTTATGACAATTTCTAATCAAACTTTTCATTTTGAGATTGTAATTTCAACTGCATAAAGAGTACATGCGACCCCTCCATGTTATTTCTTACATCTGTGTATTTATTTAATTGTAAATTAACTGTAAATTTACAATTTACAATTAATTTAAATTATTTTATTTAAATACTTAAATTTACATTTAAATAAATGTAAATTAATTTTCAATTAAATAAATACACAGATGTAAGAAATAACATAGGCCCCATGTACTCTTTATGCAGTTTTCCCCCAATAATAACATAGAATATACTCTAAAATTAATAAATATAATAAATAAAATAATAAAACATAAAATATACTACAAAATTACAGCAGGATATTGACATTGATGCAATCCATGGATTTCTTTTTTTTTTTTTTTTTTTTTGAGACAGAGTCTCATTCTCAATGGCTCCATCTCGGCCCACTGCAACCTGCACCTCCTGGGTTCAAGCCACTCTCCTGCCTCAGCTTCCTGAGTAGCTGGGACTACAGGTGCCCGCCACCACGCCCAGCTAATTTTTTTTATTTTTAGTAGAGATGGGGTTTTACTGTGTTAGCCAAGATGGTCTCGATTTCCTGACCTCATGATCTGCCCGCCTCGGCCTCCCAAAGTGCTGGAGTTACAGGACTGAGCCACCACGCCCAGCCTTAATCTATGGATCTTACCCAGATTTTTCCAGTTGTGTGTATGTGTGTATGTTTAGTTCTATGCTATTTATCATGGGTAAGTTTGTGTATCTACTGCTACAATAATGATACAGAACAGTTCTGTCACCACAAGGATCCCTGGTACTGCCCTGTTATAACCATATCTACTGATTTCCTGCCCAGTTACCCGATGCCTAACCACTGAATAACCACTAATCTGTTCTGTTTCTGTAATTTTTGTCATTTCAAAAATGTCGTACAACTGAAAGCAGTACCTAAAAAAAAAAACAAAAGTTTGTTTGTTTGTTTGTTTGTTTGAGACAGAGTCTCGCTCTGTCACCCAGGCTGGAGTGCTGTGGCGCAATCTTGGCTCACTGCATCCTCTGCCTCTTGGGTTCAAGCAATTCTCCCTGCCTCAGCCTCCCGAGTTGCTGGGATTACAAGAGCACGCCACAATGCCTGGCTAATTTTTGCATTTTTAGTAGAGACAGGGTTTCATCAAGTTGGCCGGGTTGGTCTTGAACTCCTGACCTCAGGTGATCCGCCCATGTCCGCCTCCGCCTCCCAAAGTGCTGGGATTACAGGCATGAGTCACGGCGCCCGGCTGTACCACAGTTTGTTTAACCATTCACCTGCTAAGGAACATGTGGGTTGTTTCCAACTGGGGGCTATTATAAAGCCACTGTGATCATTTTTGCACAGGTTTTTGCAGGAACTCAAGTTTCCTTTTCCTGGACTAAATCCCCAAGGGTTCAGTTTGCCTGGCCATATGGTAATTGCATGTTTAGTTTTACAAGAAATTGCCAAATTGCCAGAGTTGCCCACCGGCAATGTATGAGTGATCCTTTCTGACATGATTTTTAAAAAGCAAATTAAAATAACTATTACCTCATCAGAACAAAGAAATTAAGATGATTTGCTTATTTGCTAGAGGTTTTTATTCTCAGTTGGTCTGGGTTCAAGTCCCAATCTTGTTATTTGATAGCTATGTGACCTCTGAAAAGTTATTCAACTGTAGCCTCAGTTTCTCCATTTGTAGAATAGGAATAATGCTATACTTATCTCACAGATGTATTGTAAAGGTATAATAATTGCTTGGTTTATTATTATTTATGACATAATTATAAAGAGGT
The DNA here is from genome assembly GCF_000001405.40 of Homo sapiens. Classification (NCBI taxonomy): domain Eukaryota; kingdom Metazoa; phylum Chordata; class Mammalia; order Primates; family Hominidae; genus Homo; species Homo sapiens. Next base: position 153,039,539 of record NC_000003.12, read on the forward strand.
AAAAGAGATACCTATGAGGTTAGTGAAAAACACCACATACTTTACCATACTCTGACAATTTCTGTATAAGAAAAAGATTCTGGGAATGTTTCTTAGCTGTGATACAAAAATGATTTTCACATCTAAATCCTTTCATACTTGAAATTTACTACATTATTGATCATAGTGAAATAGTGTCAGAAATAACTATAGTTTTGAAATGATAGGGAAGTAACAGGGCTACCTCTCTAAAGTTTACCAAATGGTAAAGCATACTTTCACAAACCCAAGGAATGGAGAAGTTCAATTTTATTGAAAGTTGATTGGATGGGAAACAAAATCATTTTAATAATGAAGTGGAAATACTAAAATATGGCAAGATGACTGATAGTAGTATCAGTTGATCAGTTCCTCCCTGTTATCAGTTGCTTTTTTTTTTTTTTTTGAGACAGGGTCTCTCTCTCTCTCTGTTGCCCAGGCTGGAGTGCAGTGGCACAATGACAGATCATTGCAGCTTTGACCTCTCTGGCTCAAGCAATCCTCCTGCTTTAGCTTCCTGAGTAGCTGGGATTATAGGCACGTGCCACCACAGCCGGCTAATTTTTGTATTTTTTTGTAGAGATGGGGTTTAGTCATGTTGCCCAGGCTGGTTTCAAACTCCTGAACTCAAGCAATCCTCTCACTTCAGCCTCCCAAAGTGCTAGGATTACAGGCGTAAGCCACAGTGTCTGGCCTCAGTTACTACTTCTAAAGAAAGGTGAAAAAAAGAATAAACTGGGTACTTTTTTAAAATTCTCTTATCCAAAAAATTATTTCAGAGGAAATGATAGTGAACAGATAATTGTTCTAAAAGGAGCTTCCATTTCTGTGTGTTTTTTGTGTATGTGCCTGTGTGTGTGTTTGCTGAGAAAGAATAAATGCAAATAGCTATTAACTTCCAAGTCTTGATATACAAATTTAATCCAAAAAAATTAAACTTTTTTTTTTTGAGACGGAGTCTCGCTCTGTTGCCCAGGCTGGAGTGCAGTGGCATGATCTTGGCTCACTGCAACCTCCGCCTCCCGGGTTCAAGAGATTCTCCTGCCTCAGCTTCCAGAGTAGCTAGGATTACAGGCACTGGCCACTACACTCAGCTAATTTTTGTATTTTTAGTAGAGCACCCAGCAAAATTTATACTTACTAAAATCACAATTAACTTTTAAAATGTTTCAGGCCAGGTGCGGTGGCTCATGCCTGTAATCCCAGCACTTTGGGAGGCCAAGGCAGGTGGATTACCTGAGGTCAGGAGTTTGAGGCCAGCCTAGCCAACATAGTGAAACCCATCTCTACTAAAAATAGAAAAATTAGCCAAGCATGGTGGCGGGCACCTGTAATCCTAGCTACTCGGGAGGCTGAGACAGGAGAATCGCCTGAACCTGGGAGGCGGAGGTTGCAGTGAGCCAAGATCGCGCCGCTGCTTTTCGGCCTGAGCAATGGAGTGAGACTCTGTCTCAAAAAAAAAAAAAAAAAAAAAAAAAAAAAGTTTCTAGTCTCTTTGTCTTTTCCTTGAATTTAAAACAAAACAATAAGCTATTTTCATTTTTAATTTTTCGTTCAATTTAGAGTTTTCTTTTTACTCATTCTGATTTAGTTTCCAGAAATTTAAGGTAGAGTGCTAAAAGGTAAATTTATATATTTTATGGGAGAAACACACTTTGTAAATGACATTTGTGACTCAGTATGGAAAATTTACCTTTGGCAGGAACTACCCTAACTTGAGGTAGGAAAATCAAAGTAAATTTGAATCAACATCTTACATCAGTGTATAAAAACACCAGAGTGCCACTTTTAGTAGCCAGAAAGCTTAGCACAACATAGATGCTGTATGCGGAAGTTTTGCTTCCCTGTTTTTTTGTTTGCATGATAGAGCATTCAAGAAAGTTCTTGTAGCTTAGTTTTTAAGAGTTTATTAAATTATAGCACCCCTGAAATGGTAAGCAGAGTTTTTGTTTTTGTGCCTTTTTAAATTGTTCTTTCTATGGTATTCACCTCCTCCTCGTCTCAATTCAAAGTTCACCAAATACATTTTGTTAGATTTGTCTTCAATTTTTCCCTCTGTTGATTTTATAACATGCAGAATTATCTCTTATTTATTTAAAATAAATATTCTGGCCAGGCGTGGGGGCTCACACCTTTAATCCCAGCACTTTGGGAGGCTGAGGTGGGCAGATCACTTGAGGCCAGGAGTTCCAGACTAGCCTGGCCAACATGGTGAAACCCAGTCTCTACTAAAAATACAAAAAAATTAGCCAGGCATGGCAGCGCACGCCTGTAGTCCCAGCCACTTGGGAGGCTGAGGCACAAGAATCACTTGAACATGGGAGGCGGAGGTTGCAGTGAGCCGAGATCATGCCACTGCACTCCAGCCTGGGTGACAGAGCAAGTCTCTGTGTCAAAAAAGAAAAAAAAAAAAAGAAACTAATTTCAAAAAATAAATTATTTACATAAAATAAATATTCTTTTTACATTAATTCTCTTTTCCATTAGTGTTTAAACAAATATTTCTTACTATTTATTTTTTATTTTCCCTTTGCATGTTTTAGCTGAGATGTTTTCAGTTGCAAGCAAAAGAAAAATTATCTCTAAATCACTTTTAAAAAGAGAAACTTTATTATCCATAAAATAAAAAGTTCAAGGTAGGAAGGCCTCTGGTTAGTTAATGACTCAACAATCTTATATATGCCCATCTTCCCATATGTTCACTTTGTCATTCTCAGTGTGTGAATTCATTCACCCCATGGTCACAAGATGACTGTAGTGGTTCCAGGCATCGTGTTGTCAGAAACCAATGTCAACAGGCAGAAAAGGGAGCATTTCTTCCTTATGTTCCTTTGTATCCAGGATGAGAAACTCCTGGGTTGTCTGATATCCCATTCCAAACCCCTTTGCAGGGGTTCTGCAAAGAACCCCTAACATGATTTTGAGGAACCTACAACAGTGACAATGCCTTAGCGTAATGCATTCTAATTTCATTATTTAAAATGATGTGTAAAAGTTGTGCTATCCTTTCAAAAAATGTAGACATATGCTCTCTCTCTCTCTCTCTCTATATATATATATATAAAATCTCTCAAATCCTATATTTTTGCCTCCATTTATATTTATTTATTTAAAATGTAGTCTTGCTCTGTCATCCAGGCTGGAGTGCAGTGGCATGATCTTAGCTCACAGCAACCTCCTCTTCCTGGATTCAAGCAAGTCTCATGCCTCAGCCTCCTGAGTAGCTGAGATTACAGATGCATGCCACCACGCCTGGCTAATTTTTGTAGTAGAGACAGGGTTTCATCATGTTGGCCAGGCTGGTCTCGAACTCCTGACCTCAAGTGATCTGCTTGCCTCGGCCTCTCAAAGTGCTAGGATTATAGGCATGAGTCACTGCGCCCGGCCTATTCATTTTGTTTTAAATAGGTTCACATAAAGTTCATGCAGTATGCTAGATGGCATTCTAGATGCTGAACGTTGAGCAAAAACTGAGAGGCGAAAGTCCCTTCCTTCTCCAAGTCACGTTGTTTATACCAGTGAATGTTAATTTCCTTAATAAGTTTCAAATTAGTGTCTTAACCCTGAAACTCAAATGTTTCATTATACTATTTTTTCCTATATAGGAAATACCTAAACTCTAAGGAAATTCACTCTTTCAGTTGCCTTCCTCCACTTAATCACTAGATGGCGCCCAAAGAATCTATTTCCCTCCCATTGACTGGAGATCGAGCATAGCTGAAAAGGCAGCTCTTCATTGTGTAAAAAGCCCAAGGTTTCTTTTTTTTTGAGACGGCGTCTCGCTCTGTCGCCCAGGTTGGAGTGCAATGGCGTGATCTCAGCTCACTGCAACCTCCGCCTCCTGGGTTCAAGCAAGTCTCCTGCCTCAGCCTCCTGAGTAGCTGGGACTACAGGCACCCGCCACCACGCCCAGCAAATTTTTATACTTTTAATAGAGACGGGGTTTCACCATGTTGGCCAGGATGGTCTGGATCTCTTGACCTTGTGATCCGCCTGCCTCGGCCTCCCAAAGTGTTGGGATTACAGGCGTGAGCCACCGCGCCCAGCCAAAAGCCCAAGGTTTCTGTTCTCTGTTCAATTTCTATTTTTTTATGTGTTATTTGGGGAAAAATGCACAGATATTTTTTATTATCACTTGGCATTTATAATGCATTTTTTAGTCTTTTTAAGTCCACTACAATTTTGTAAAGCCCTTTCCTTCTCAGTAAGTCAGTTTTCCATTCCTTTATCTTATACAACAATAGTTATTTTCTTATTCTGATACTTACACTGCTCTGCTTCTTTAGAAACATTTGACTCATTCCCTTCTCCTGAGAATTAGTTACCAAGCGTCATTCCTGCATTCCCTGTTCAACATTCTGCCACCATTGCTTTCAAAGTGTATCCTGAGAAATGCCCCAGTGCGCTTCTGCCTTCCAGCTATTTTGGCGTTTCACAACATTTATATCTCCTTTAGGTGTTTATGCCATAATAAAAATCTAGGGAACCAAAATATGTATGTTTGCTTTCATGAAAAAGGATTTCTCATCTCCCAGACTCTGTTTTCAGAGAGAGAGAGAGAAAAGCCCACAATACAGGAAATTATTTTGACTATGAGTCAAATCCCAACTAAGAATTATGAAATTCTTATTTTGTAATATTTTTCCCTCTATATTCTGCACTAAAACTTAAGAAAAACTCTTCTGTCCATATAATTAGTCAAGGAATAACATACTGATGATTTATTAAAATTATTTATGTAGGTATTGTCTTGAAATATATATGTATTTATCTATGTGTGTGTAAGAGAGTGAGTGCATGTGTACTTATATGTGAGTAAACCCAGCCTGAGAAACATAGTGAGAAATTTAAAAATTAGCCAGGCGTGGTGGTACGCACCTGTAGTCCTAGGTGCGCACCTCAGTCCTAGGGAGACTGAGGCTGCAGTGAGCCATGATAGCGCCACTGCACTCCAGCCAGGGCAAACAGAGCAAGACCCTGTCTCAAAAATAAATAAATAAATAAATAAATGTGAGTAAACACACAAACATATATGTAAAACACACATGTTACCTTTCCCTTTGTCACCTACACCCTAAGTCACTGCCACTCAATTTAGGAACTGAGCTCTTTGTGATACCTGGCTTTGCAGAACTTGAATCAGGGTCTTTGATCCACTTTCTTAAACCAGTTGTTTTTCTTTCCTAAAGATTATGCTCTGAACTGGAAATTCATCCTTTTTCTATTGTATATGGACTGTAATTAAGGATGTTTCTCACAGACAAAATCTTCCTTGGATACAGATGTTGCTTCTCCTGTGCCTTGTCAATAGCGCAGCCCTGCATGACTGAGGTGGAGGTAGAGTTTCCACACTCATTTATTTGACAAACTCAATAAACTTGACATTTTTGCACCTTTTTATTTATTCGTGTTACCCATTATATCTCGTGGAGACTGAGGGATTGGCTTGCATTCAGGTTTTGAACTTGTTCACTTGGTTTCTTCATCTCTCTTCTCCATTTATTAGAGAAGAGATTAAGGAACTAGGGAGGTGACTGTAATGCTCAATTAAGACAAACCCTTTAGAAAGCATAGGTGAAGATTTTCTGTAGCGCAACTACAACAGATCCACTGATCTTATGTCTCTTTCTGTAATCAATTAGAAGGAGGATGTCTCCATGACTACAAACTGGAAAACTTATCAGTCAAGAACCTGTTTTCATTTAGAAAATTCTCTAGAATTGTAGAAACTCCTAGTTGGAAGACATGTAGAGTAATATATAGCATTGGTTTTCAACCTCAGTTATGCAACAGGATCCCTAGAGAGTTACAAATTTCTAGGTTCCACCCTAGATTACTGACCCATAATTCCCAAAGATGAGCCCAGGAATTTGGACTTTTCAAAGCAATCTTTCATTTAACTGCAGGCAATCTGACCCTCATTCATGGACTGGCATTTGAAAAAGACAAATCCAGGCTTTTAAATTACTACCCATGGCAAGTTTGAATTTTTGTTTAATTGCCACCATTCTTGGCTAAGTGGTCTTTCAGGGAATGGAGGAAGGAATGAGGTGTTTGTTTGTTTGTTTATACGTTTGTTCGTTTTAACTCCCCAGCATTTAGCATAGTGCTGGTACTAATATATGCTCAAGAAAGTTTGTTCTTGTTTTGATTGTTATTTATTACACAGGAAAAAAAATTTGTTTATTTTGAAAGATATTATTACTCTAATTTAAGATAAGAAACTGAAGATTATACAAATCAAATATCTTATTCAAGGTAACAGAGCTGGTAAGTGTTAGAACTAAAATTCAAGTCCAGACCATATTACTTCAAGCCCATGCACCTTAAGAAGCTACTTGAATACCTCAAGTGATGGCTGAAATGACTGTTTTCAAAGCCAGGAATTTTTATCATGGGATACTTCTGATAAATAATAGTAACAGTGTGATGATGATGAAACAACTAGTGAGCCCCCATTTGTTGAATCCTTATCAAGGCCAGCTGCTACACTTAGCACTTAGCATACATTGACTCATTTGATCACTATAATAACACTGCAAGTTACATATTATTTTCCTTACTTAACAGACAGGGAAATTGAGGTTCAGAGTGGTTAAACATCTTGCCAAGCTTATACAATTAGTACATGAGGGAGAAAATATTTAAACCCACGACTTTCTGACTCTATAATTTGTCTGTTAACCACTGTCTTGAGCTGCCACTCGTTTGAAAACTGCCCAACAGCGACCCAAAGCCTATATTACCGTAGCCTTTGTCCACTGCTTTTGGTTTTTCTTTTCTTTCTTTTTTTTTTTTTTTTTTTTGAAACGGAGTCTGGCTCTGTCGCCCAGGCTGGAGTGCAGTGGCACGATCTCGGCTCACTGCAAGCTCCGCCTCCCGGGTTCACGCCATTCTCCTGCCTCAGCCTCCTGAGTAGCTGGGACTGCCGGCGCCCGCCACCACACCCGGCTAATTTTTTGTATTTTTAGTAGAGATGGGGTTTCACCTTGTTAGCCAGGATGGTCTCGACCTCCTGACCTCGTGATCTGCCCGCCTCGGCCTCCCAAAGTGCTGGGATTACAGGCTGAGCCACCGCGCCCGACCTGCTTTTGGTTTTTCTTAAGGTGCTACAGAATAGAAAACTTAGTTCTCTATGTCAGGTTAACTTTTTGGTTATTTGGGAAAAGAAATAAAGTCTGATCATTTGCAGATTAACATCCAAGTTCCTTCAACAAATCCAGACGGTTGGTTGTGTCCCCATCCCCTCTCATATGGCCTCGTTTGGAGGCCTTCCATGACAGCAGTGCTTTTCTCCCATTGTGCCGGTTGACACCTTGGTCATTCGAATTGTGATCTCTTGAACTGGACCAGACTGCCCAAGGTTAGAAGCAGCAATAGGCCAACTGTGACTCTAGCCCATAGGCAAGAAGTGTTTCTAAATAGGTTGACAAAGAGAATTCATCATTTTAGGGCTGTGATCTGTTTCCTGTCTTCTTTTCTTTTCTTTTCTTTTCTTTTCTTTTCTTTTCTTTTCTTTTCTTTTTTTTTTTCAAATAGAGATGGTATCTTGCTATGTTGCCCAACTTGGTCTCAAACTCCTGGCCTCAAGCGATTGACCTTGCCTCAGCCTCCCAAAATGCTGAAATTGCAAGCATGGGCCTGGCCTGTTTTCTGTTTTAAAAGGTAATATTGGGCTGGGTACAGTGTCTTATGCCTGTAATATCAACACTTGGGGAGCCCAAGGTGGGAGGATCATTTGAGGCCAGGAGTTTGAGACCAGCCTGGGCAACATAGTGAGACCCTGTCTCTACAAAAATTAAAATTAAAAACTTAGCTGACAGGCAGGGCTCGGTGGCTCACACCTTTAATCCCAGCACTTTGGGAGGCCAAGGCGGGTGGATTGCTTGAGCCCAGGAGTTTGAGACCAGCCTGAGCAACATGGTGAAACCCCATCTCTACTAAAAATACAAAAATTAGCTGGGCGTGGTGGCGCACACCTGTAATCCCAACTACTCGGGAGGCTGAGGCATGGAAATTGCTTGAACCTGGGAGGCAGAGGCTGCAGTGAGCCAAGATCATGCCACTGAACTCCAGTCTGGGCAAAAGAGTGAGACCCTGTCTCACAAAAAAAAAAAAAAAAAAAAAAAAAAATTAGCTGAGCACAGTGGCTTACACCTGTAGTCCCAGCTACCTGGGAGGATCCCTGAGCCAAGGAATTTGAAGCTGCAGTGAGCTATGATTGCCAGTGTACTACAGCCTGGGTGACAAAAGGAGACCCTGTCTCAAAAAAAACAAAACAGCCAGGCACAGTGGCTCAGGCCTATAATCCCAGCACTTTGGGAGGCTGAGGCGGGTAGATCACCTGAGGTCAGGAGTTCGAGGCCAGCCTGGCCAACATAGAGAGACCCCATCTCTTCTAAAAATACAAAAAGTAGCCAGGCGTGGTGGCAGGCACCTGTAATCCCAGCTACTCAGGAGGCTGAGGCAGGAGAATCACTTGAACCCAGGAGGCGGAGGTAGCAGTGAGCCGAGATGGTGCCACTGCACTCCAGCCTGGGTGACAGAGCAAGACTCTGTCTCCAAAAAAAAAAAAAAGTAATATGATAAAAGAGTTGTTTTGTTTTGCTTTTAATTACTTCTACCTTTGTAGTCTAAAGGTAGACTGAAGTAAATCAAGAATTAATATTTGGACTGGGTGTGGTGGCTCACACCCATAATCCCAGAACTTTGGAAGGCTGAAGCTGGCGGATCACCTGAGGTCAGGAGTTCGAGTCAAAACCAGCCTGGTCAACATGGTGAAATCGTCTCTACTTTAAAGATACAAAAATTAGGGCTGGGCATGGTGGCTCACACCTGTAATCCCAACACTTTGGGAAGCCGAGGTGGGCAGATCACAAGGTCAGGAGTTCAAGACCAGCCTGACCAACATGGAGAAACCCCGTCTCTGTTAAAAATACAAAATTAACCAGACGTGGTGGCACATGCCTGTAATCCCAGCTACTGGGGAGGCTGAGGCAGGAGAATCGCTTGAACCCGGGAGGCAGAAGTTGCAGTGAGCCAAGATCTTGCCATTGCACTCCAGCCTGGGCAACAAGAGCGAAACTCCATCTCAAAAAAACAAAAACAAAACAAAAACAAAAACAAAAAAATTATCAGGGCATGGTGGCACATGCCTGTAATCCCAGATACTCTGGAGGCTGAGGCAAGAGAATCACTTGAACCCAGGCGGCGGAGGTTGCAGTGAGCCAAGATTGCACCACTGCACTTCAGCCTGGGTGACAGAGTGAGACTCTGTCTCAAAAAAAAAAAATTAATATTTAAAGTGTTTGTGCTCACTTCTTCACAAGCAGTATTTAGTTCAACCTTAAATGTTTGAACTAGCAAAACAACTAATTTCTTTAAAAGGAGAATACATATTTCACCCAGATGGGTTGTCGATAAGGAATATTTTGGTATATTGGTAGTTATGTGATAGATTAGAAACCTGGTTTTATTCTGATATCCATCTGTACAGAAAAATGCCAGAATAGCCAACTAATATAAATTCTATTATTTCATGTTAAATTTTATTGAGTTCTCTTTATTTCTCGAAGATAAATTCATTAATGTCCACATTCCATGGTTTTTATTTTTAAGTGGTAAATTGCTGTCCAGGCAATTTCCCTCTGTTCTTGTGAATTCTCTTAATTAAAAATGTTTGTATTTTGGCCCAGCGTGGTGGCTCACACCTGTAATCCCAGCACTTTGGGAGGCCGAGGCGGGCAGATCATGAGGTCAGGATATCGAGAGCATCCTGGCTAACACGGTGAAACCCCGTCTGTACTAAAAATACAAAAAATTAGCCGGGCGGATGCCTGTAGGCCCAGCTACTCGGGAGGCTGAGGCAGGAGAATGGTGGGAACCCAGGAGGCAGAGCTTGCAATGAGCCGAGATCGCACCACTGCACTCCAGCCTGGGCGACAGAGAGAGACTCCGTCTCAAAAAAAAAAAAATTGTATTTTATATGTTCTGACTAATGAAAGATAAATTAAAAAGAAAAAAGATTTGTATTTTATATTATAGAAGAAAAAATATCTTTATCAGACATAATAATGTAGTCTTTCTTTTGAAAGTATTAGCTTCAGCCGGGAGCGGTGGCTTCACCCCCTATAATCACAGCACTTTGGGAGGCCAAGGCAGGCGGATCACCTGAGGTCAGGAGTTGGAGACCAGCCGTGGTCAACGTGATGAAACCCCCATCTCTACTAAAAATACAAAAAATCAGCCGGACATGGTGGCAGTCGCCTGTAATCCCAGCTACTGGAGAGGCTGAGGCAGGAGAATCGCTTGAGCCTGGGAGGTGGAGGTTGCAGTGAGCCAAGATCGCGCCACTGCACTCCAGCCCGGGCAACAGGAGAGAAGCTCCATCTCAAAAAAAATAAAAATAAAAAAGAAAGAAAGAAAAGAAAAGAAAAGAAAGTATTAGCTTCATTATTTTAAAATTATATGAAATTGCCTCAAATTGCTTTAATATTCATGTTATTAATCATGAAGAAACAGTTCATCGCTAAACACAAATGAAGTCATTTTGAGAAACTGGTGAGATATTGAGTGGGGGAAGATACCGTGACATGATCCCATTTCAAGATAATCAGAAGGGTTGGATGTACAGAACCAATCTGCCCCGATTACCTTTTCATGAGGACTGCCACCAAACAATGAGAAGAATATGTCCAGTAATATGAACAGTGAAGAAAACATACTTAGTGGGAGTGTCTCCATATCTTTATCTAAGTAATATCTAATATCTCATCTAATATCACTAAATAAAAACTCTCTAAATTACTAATATATAAAAAAAATTACTAACATAAAAACTCCAGAGTTTCTAGAACTTAATTGGGAATTAAGGATCAGTGGCTCAGATTCTGGCAAGTTTTCTTTTTATCTGATGTTTGAATTTAAAATTTGTTTTCAATTTATTTAAAATGCATTTTTGGGTCTGGTGCGGTGGCTCACGCCTGTAATCCCAGCACTTTGGGAGGACAAGGCGGCCGGATCACTTGAGGTCAGGAGTTCGAGACCACCCTTGTCAACGTGATGAAACCCAGTTTCTACTAAAAATACAAAAAAAAAATTAGCCGGGCGAGGTAACAGGCACCTGTAATCCCAGCTACTCGGGAGGCTGAGGCAAGAGAATCGCTTGAACCTGGGAGGTGGAAGTTGCAGTGAGTTGAGATGGCACCACTGCACTCCAGCCTGGGCGTCAAGAGCAAAGCTCCACCTCAAAAAAAAAGCATTTTTGTACTAGATACTCCAGGCCTTTGGTCATTTCCTAACCCCTGCTGGTGGGTGGCTTTTGAGTTACCACCTCAACATCCAGTTTTTCAATTTTTTTTTTTCTAACAATATCCAAAGGAATTCAATCCACTTCTAATTTGTACCTTTGACCCAATACATGCTGGAATGGGCCCTGCCTGATGAACATTTCCCAGCACCAATTTACCCCCCTCTCAACAGAGTGACTAGTCCAGGGAGAAGCATGTGACTCAAAAAGAGCTGGTGAGAACGAGTATATCCCAGCGCTTATGTGGGAATCACAGTCTACTCAAGAGCCGTGAGGTGGAAGTTCCTGAAGGGTAGAGCCTCTAGGAGGCACCATGTGGTCCAAAGCCAACGCTTCAGAAAACTTGAGAGAGAACTAGAGAGAAATGTGAACAATGGTCATATTTATCGAGGTCTGGGACCAAGCTCTACTTCTGCCTCTACCTCTGGACTCCTAAATTATGTGACCGAATAAACCCATTTATTATTTAAGTCCCCTTGATTCAGGTTTCCTATCACTTAAGAATAACTCAACTTTTCTGAGCCTCAGTTTTCATTTGTAAAGGGTTGTTAATATTACCCACCTCATCAGGTATTTTCACTGATTAAGTCAGATAACATTTGTAAAGTGCACGGTATGTGCAGAGCAATGAGCAACTATTTAATCCTGCTTCCTTTTCTTTTCCTCATATCCTCTTACAAACTTCTGTGTAGTGATGAGTCAGACCAATGCTCCATCTATCCAGGAAGTTTTCAGAGAAGGGAGTGGTGTACGATAAGAGCTGAGGCCATGATCCTGCAGGAGAGCCACAGTCCCCAGTGACTCTCCTGAGACCTGACTGGAACCTAGTCCTTTTTCCAAGGGGCTTTAGCCTTCAGTCATGTTGTTATGTTATCTGGCAGAAAAACCCAGACAGTTCTTCAGGGTAAGTGGTCAAACCACTGGCTAAACAGACTAGATTTTTCTAATAAGCGCACTGCAGAGGGGCAACCTTTAAACACGAATAGATATTCTGTTTTCCTAGATATAAAGCTTATGCAATACAATAAATCTTGAGTGCAGATATTTAAAGATGAGTCTTGTTTTTGATGAGAAAAATTTTAAGGAATTACAAATCAAGAAGATGTTCAACCTAAACTACGATAAACTGTTCCATTTAACTGTGAGGTATGTTTGTTGTTGTTGTTATTTGGTCATACAATTTTGGAAGAGGAGCTTGTTCAAACCCTTATATAATAGACGAGTAGACCAAGGCCCGGAAGGGTGATGTGGCTTGTTCAAACCCCTCCGCCAGCCGAGGCAGAGCCAGGGCTGCTGACTCACAGTCTAGTGTTCTTTAAATAGATTGTGCTCCATCCCAGCCTCTGCTTAACAGACTCCATTTCACTTTCCATTACAAACCAAGTGTCTGACAGACACATAAACACCCATCAAGTCTAACAAGCATAGCCAGTTTTCCCAAAGGTAGCACAGTTGTCATCTGTGAGTCAGCATTAGGCCCCATGGACACATTTCCTTATGGTGCACAGGTTCCCAGCCCAGCAAGTCATGTAACAGGGCACAGCTGCCATGTAGAACAGGGTTTTACGACCTCAGCACTCTTGAAATTTTGGTGAAACAATTATTCCACAGCAGAGGGCAAAGTGGAGGGAAAACAGGGTGCATTATAAAATGTTTAGCGGTATCCCTGGCTTTGACCCACTAGATACCAGCAGCAGCTTTCCAGTTTTGACAACTAAAAATGTCTCCAGATATCCTAGAGGAGGAGAGCAAAATCAGCCCTTTGAGAACCATTGCTTTAGAGAAAAGTATGTTTTCAATGGATAACCCTTAAACTACTTTCTCCCACACTGCAGTGCTAAATGTAAGGAGAAGAAAAATATCACAGAAGATGTCAAGTCAGCTTGGGATCTGGTACATTTTTTCATGCAAATTATACTACATTTTTATTTGACTCCAATATTTTCCATTTCCATCAGTAAATACTTCTTCTGCCTGAAAATCTGTCATTGTTAAATTTTCTTTAAACTCCTAAGTATGTTAGAAGAGCAGACAGTCTTAATTTCTTTCCCTGATGGTATTTTAGGTTGATAGCAACGACTACACCTAGAAGGGCCTGATACTTTGTTAATTACCACAGCAGTAATGAAGTATACATTAAATAAGAAAAAAACTTAACATTGGAAGACAACCCCAATAATTCAAAGGAACAACAACACGGATTCCATGGAAAGGGAGAGATTGAAAACTGCGCAGACTATACACCCTTCAAATTCCTGGTCATTGGACATCCTTACTGAAGGAGCACATGTTTTCTTTCTTTCTTTCTTTTCTTTTTTTTTTTTTTTTGAGATGGAGTCTCACTGTGTTGCCCAGGCTGGAGTGCAATGGCTCGATCTCAGCTCACTGCAACCTCCACCTCCCGGGTTCAAGCAATTCTCCTACCTCAGCCTCCTGAGTAGCTGGGATTACAGGCGTGTGCCACCATGCCAGGCTAATTTTTTATTTTTAGTAATGATGGGGTTTCACCATTTTGGTCAGGCTGGTCTTGAACTCCTGACCTCGTGATCCTCCCACCTCGGCCTCCCAAAGTGCTGGGATTACAGGCGTGAGCCACCGTGCCAAGCCAGAGCCCATGTTTTCACTCCCAAGAGTCTCTGCTGAGCTCTACAATGCTGTGGACTCACAGTTCCAATGCAGAAGCTGAGATTAGTGTCAGAAGAAAAGTACAACCAAAGGATGCAGAAATATGGAAAAGAGAAACATGAGAAGAAGTGGAAGAAGAAAATACAAATGAGAGGAAGGTAGGTGTAAAGTAAAACCTGCTAGAGAACTATAGTCATGACCCTGGAAAAAAATATTTTTAAAAAATTAAATTTTTCTCAGCATGGATTATTTTTGTGGAACTTACTTAAAATGTTTCTTTTTTAGAAAGTTTGCAGCAAAACAGCAATTTCTTTTCTATTATTTAGAATACTTCACTATGTCAAATTTACATTATTAAATCTGACAGAACAAGAAATAATACCAAATACTGCATCAATCCTACATAATCAGTCCTTCTGAATATCATAATGTTCCTGCTGCTATTCCAAGCTGTCCTTGGAGATATTGCAGCCCCACAGTATACAAAAGGTTTCTTTTTTTCCTTCATGATTGTCTAGGACAACACATTCTTATATTTCATTTTTAATCATCTAAAGCTTTTCAGATATTCCAAAGTACGCCTTCAATAGTACAATAAATGAGATCCAAGATTTCTAAGAGCTTTATGTTTCTTTCTTAGTGTGGTTGATAATATGCTGTTTCTGCCTCTTATTGGGTACCAGATGTGGAGCAGATAACATAAGAAGAGGAAAATAAGAAGGCTATTCATAGGAGGGCCAGATTCATATGAGAGTGAAAATAATTTTGCCAAACCAGGAAACCTCTTTCTTTAAAAAGTATATCCATTCAAGTGCTGAGATATGGTAATTTAGAATGATTTTCACCTTGGCCCAGAAATCTTGGGTAGAAACAGCACTATTAAAAAAGTATTGAGTGGCAATTCTTGGTAGGGAGAGAGGAGAGCAGAGAAACAAAGAAACAAACAAACTCTCATCTCAAAAAATTATCTGGAATTACAGATTAGATTATAAAGATGCTCTCACACTTGCAGAGTTGTCAGATTAAGGATTTTTTTAAAAGAAAACTCCAGATTACATTTTTCTGCATAAATAATTATTTATACTAATAAGAGCAAGATAGTAGAGAATTTAAGTACTTTTATTCTAATTATTTATAAGTAAAAGAGTATCTCAATAGTTCCCAAACGTGACCACAATTAAATCAATTTAGTACTCTCCTGTAGCTCCTAATTCAGTAATTCTGAGATGAGGTTTGAAACCAAGTCCTTTTTTAATATCCTTAGGTAATTCTGATGTTTTATTGGGATTAGAAGCTACTCAAGAATTCAAGTTAAGTGACAGTTTTTTTAAATACCCACACATTATATTAGAACTATATTCGAAGTGGTCGGGCTTGGGACCACTTTAGGAGGCCAAGGTGAGTGGATCACCTGAAGTCAGGAGTTCAAGACCAGCCTGGCCAATATGGTGAAACCCCATCTCTACTAAAAATACAAAAATGAGCTAGGCGTGGTTGTGGGCACCTGTAATCCCAGCTACTTGGAAGCCTGAGACAGGAGAATCGCTTGAACCCAGGAGGCGGAGGGAGGTTGTGGAGATCATGCCACTGCACTCCAGCCTGGATGACAATGAGACTCTGTCTCAAAAAAAAAAAAAAAAAGAACTGTATTCAAAGTGACCATATCTCTCAATGTACCCATTTTATCCACAGCAAAGCCATATGTGCTCCTGCTCCATGTGTTGCTGACTTTTTGGGGATCATATAGCTCTTTGCTGATCTGATTAAAACTGTGGATAATCACTCTGGAAAAATACACATATACAGGTAAAATTTTTGTGTACAATTTTAGAGTGTCCATAAATTGCTGAAACCCATCTAGGGAGAAAAACCCCTATTTGAATGATTGCCCCTGTGGTTTGTAAGAATTCATAGTCAGCAATTCTCCTGAAGGTTTAGCACCTAAAGATAGCTTGTGTGTTTTCTGAAAGGATGTTACTAGAATTAAGAGACCAGGTATAAGAAACAGCCAGGCGGCTGGGAGCGGTGGCTCACACCTATAATCCCAGTACTTTGGGAGGCCGAGGTGGGCGGATCACCTGAGGTCAGGAGTTCGGGACCAGCCTGACCAACATGAAGAAACCCTGTCTCTACAAAAAATACAAAAATTAGCCGGGCGTGATGGTACGCACCTGTAATCCCAGCTAGTTGGGATGCTGAGGCAGGAGAATCACTTGAACCTCGAGGTGGAGGCTGCAATGAGCAGAGATTGCGCCACTGCACTCCAGCCTGGGCAACAGAGTGAGACTCCATCGAAGGAAGGAAGGAAGGGAAGGAAGGGAAGGAAGCCAGGAAAGTCATAGGCAGTAATCAAGAAAGAAAAAGAAGGGAAGGGAAGGGAAGGGAGGGGAGGGGAAGGGAAGGGAAAGGGAAAGGGAAAGGGAGAGAGAAAGGAAGGTAGGGAGGGAGTGAGGGAGGGAGGGAGGGAGGGAAGAGCGAGCCAGGAAAGTCATAGGCAGTAATCCAGATTATTGCATTAGTCTCTTAAGTGGTCTCTCCACTCCACTATATCTCACCTACCCTTCAAGGTAACCCTATTGGTCAAAGCCATGCAGGCCCAGACCTCTGCCTGGTCCAGCCTCAATAGTTACTGCCCTGCATGTTACAGTCACCCAGGAAGCTCTTAAAAATACAGATAGTCCTTGACTTACAATGGTTATAGTGGAGATTTTTCGAACTTACCCTGGGTTTATCAGCATGTAATCACATTATAATCGAGGAGCATCTGGAGTTAAGATTATTCAACTTGAGAATTTTTTTATTTGATGATAGGTTGAGCAGGATGTTTGCCAGGATCCCATTTATTAGTCTGTTTCACACTGCTGATAAAGACATACCCAAGACTGAGTATGTCTATTAACAAAAGAAAGAGCTTTGGCCGGGCACGGTGGCTCATGCCTCTAATCCCAGCACTTTGGGAGGCCGAGGAGGGTAGATCACGAGGTCAGGAGTTCAAGACCAGCCTGGCCAAGTTGGTGAAACCCCATCTCTACTAAAAATACAAAAATCACCCGTGCATGGTGGCAGGCTCCTGTAATCCCAGCTACTCAGGAGGCTGAGGCAGGAGAATTGCTTGAACCCAGGAGGCGGAGGCTGCAGTGAGCCAAGATCCCGCCACTGCACTCCAGCCTGGGTGACAGAGCAAGGCTCCTTCTCAAAAAAATTTTTTAAAAAAGAAAGAGGTTTAATGGACTTACAGTTCCATGTAGCTGGGGAGGCCTCACAATCACGGCTGAAGGCAAAGAGGAGCAAGTCACATCTTACCTGGATGGCAGCACGCAAAGAGAGAGAGCTTGTGCAGAGGAACTCCTCTTTATAAAACTATCAGAGACTTATTCACATCACGAGAACAGCACAGGAAAGACTTGCCCCCACGATTCATTTACCTCCCACCGGGTCCCTCCCACCACACATGGGAATTCAAGATGAGATTTGGGTGGGGACACAACCAAACCATATCATTCCACCTATCTAGGAAGGCAATAGTCAGTAGCTGGAGGAGGAAATTAAAGTTTGGTTCGGTATTCAAACTCTTCTCTTTTAGATTATTCTTCTACAACTTAGTTTTGGAGGATACCATTTCTTTTTCCTAGCATCTAAAGGAAGTTAGAAATACTATCGTCTGTTCCTTCATAAAAATTATTTAAGTGACCGAATGAGTAAATAGGTTTTATCTCAGTCTGTGGAACTTGGGCCTGCAGGCCTACAGCTCTAAACATGTAAGGTGTGTTAGGGGCATATACTCCCAACCACATTTGTTCAGAAGTCTCTCTAAAAAAACAAATCAATAGGTGTTACTATCACATCTGGGTTTAAGTTTAAAAAAGAGTTAGGATGGTTAATTTTGTATTAATGATATCATTTTGGACATATTTATCTTGAAGTAAATAATAATAAAGTTCTTTTATTGAACACCCTCTATGTGCCATGTTCTGTTCCAAATACTTGCAATGTATTAATAATGTATTTATTCCTCACAACACTAAAAAGAAGATGCTATTATTATCCCCACTTTACAGGTGAGGAAACTTAAGCACAAAGAGATTGTATAACTTCCCCAAAGTAACATAGCTAATTTATTGTATTTTATTAATTAATTTATTTTATTAATCAATTTATCTGTAGAGATGGAGTCTCACTGTATTGCCCAGGCTGGTCTTGAACCCTTGGGCTCAAGCAATCCTCCTGCCTCAGCCTCCCAAAGTGCTGGGATTATGGGCATGTGACATCACACTCAACCTAAAACTTTTTCACCAAACTTTGAAGTCTCTTTTTGTTTTTAATATGCTACACTTTTTTTGTTTGTTTTTTGTTTGTTTGTTTGTTTTTTGAGACAAAGTGAAGCCTCACTCTATTGCCCAGGCTGGAGTACAGTGACTTGATCTCAGCTCACTACAACCTTCCCTTCCTGGGTTCAAGCAGTTCTCCTGCCTCAGCCTCCTAGGTAGCTTTACAGATGAGGAAACTTAAGCACAAAGAGACTGTATAACTTCCATGCCTGGCTAATTTTTGTATTTTTAGTAGAGACAGGGTTTCACCATGTTGGCCTGGCTGGTCTCCAGCTTCTGACCTCAAATGATTCACCCACCTCAGCCTCCCAAAGTGCTAGGATTATAGGCATGAGCCAGCGCGCCTGGCATATATGCTGTAATTTTGAATAAGAATGTCAATCAGACCAATATTTTTCCTCTAAATGAAGTAAATTTTATCTCTGAGATGTTTTCTATCAGTTTGTGAAGTTTTCATGGAAATGCTTCTGAATAGTAGTATTCCCAATTTTATCGATCTAACTGAAGATCTAAAAATAATTAAATGGAAAACAAATGGATGGAAGCAAAACAAAAGGATGAGTATCTTTGCATAGATACTGCTTCTATTTGCAGGCCGAGTGCAGTGGCTCACGCCTATAATCCCAGCACTTTGGGAGGCCGAGGTGGGTGAATCATTTGAGGTCAGAAGCTGGAGACCAGCCAGGCCAACATGGTGAAATCCTGTCTCTACTAAAAATACAAAAATTAGCCAGGCATGGAAGTTATACAATCTCTTTGTGCTTAAGTTTCCTCATCTGCAAAGCTACCCAGGCTGGAGTACAGTGGTGTGATCTCAGCTCACTGCAACCTCTGCCTTCCAGGCTCAAGTGATCCTCCTGCTGGGATTACAGGTGGGCACAACTATGCCACGCTAATTTTTGTATTTTTGGTAGAGGTGGGTTTTTGTCATGTTGCCCAGGCTGGTCTTCAACTCCTGACCTCACGTGATCCGCCTGCCTCGGCCTCCCAAAGTGCTGGGGTTACAGATGTGAGCCACCCATGGCTGGCTGATGTTTCATTTTTTTTAATAACTCAGGAACTTATGGCTCATATAATTAAAATAAGGAAGAGTAAATTTGCACATTTTCTCAGTTCAATTAAAATTAAGATCTCTGTGATGTCTCTTATCTTCAGTTGTTTTATATGTGTTTCCTCAACCCATTTTTATGAATTAAAACTGAACCTTTGTTAAACATCTGACACTTGGAATACTCCCTGAAATTGAATTTCTTTTTGACACTTGGAATACACCCTGAAATTAAATTTCTTTTGGGGGTTTTCCATTATTTCTTCTTAAGGCAAACTTTTGGCTGCACATAAGCACTCAGCTTTCATGCCGCTCCCTTTTGGAAGATGAAGTATTATACATACTCCCTGTCTTTAAAAATGGTAATAGCAATAATATAAACAACAGCTCCCACCATGTGACATCAGGAAGGAATTGTTCCTCCCAGTTCAGTGATTACATTGTGCATATGGGGGAACAGCCCTTGAAAATGGCTCATAATGGTTCCATTTTGTCCTTGGATTGCAATATATTGTTGGTCATAAAACCAACATGTTCTGCCAAAAACAAAACTGCAAATTGAGACTGGACAGGGATTGCCATCCAATCTGTCACTGTTTATAGTTACCACTATTAGTTTTAGTCTATAACCAAGGCTGAGACTCTCTATTAGGCTTCTGACAGGCTGAATACATATTTGCTTGGTAATTATACTTTAGGATGTACACCAGCCACGTGGTATTTTTATTCAATGTACATTGTTTAATAAATAGAGATAACTGCCAGGCCTGTTAGCTCATGCCTGTAATCCCAGCACTTTGGGAGGCCGAGGCGAGCAGATCACCTGAGATCGGGAGTTCCAGACCAGCCTGACCAACATGGAGAAACTCCATCTCTACTAAAAATACAAAATTAGCCAGGTGTGGTGGCGCATGCCTGTAATCCCAGCTACTCGGGAGGCTGAGGCAGGAGAATCACTTGAACCTGGGAGGCAGAGGTTGTGGTGAACCAAGATCGTGCCATTGTACTCCAGCCTGGGCAACAAGAGTGAAACTCCACCTCAAAATAAAACAAATAAATAAATAAATAAATGGAGATAACTAAAATTGTATAACATCTGACATACCAATGGTCTACATAGCAGCAACTTTTCAAGGTTCTTTTTTGGGAAGTTAACTGACATTACTTGTTAAGTATTTAAGGTTGTAAAATATAATAACAAAGGCTAGCATTTATGCAGCACTTTCTAATTTAGAGTCTTCCTATGCAGCTAATTATTTGAGTTTCACACTAATGCTCTGAGATAGGCACAAATTTTTCAGTGCCTATTCAGGAAGAAAGAAAGTCAAGAGTTGGAGCCAAGTAAATAAATGTGGACACCCAAGTACCAGTTTAAAATAAGCCTAGGCCAAGTTGTTTATCCTGAGTCCTCAAAGCTCAGAAATGTACAGTGCTTTAAGGTCTTTCTAGAATTGAAGATCAGTAAAGTTAAGCCTGAAGACCAACTTGTGATCTGCTGGCATCGACCTCTGAATATCCGGTTTTAAAATTTTATTTATCAGGAAGGGAGGGAAGGAGGGAGGGAAGGAGGGAGGGAGGGAGGGAGGAAAGAAGAAAGAGAGGGAGGAAGGGAGGGCAGGCTGGTTCTAGGAAGGAAGGGAGGGAGGGAGGGAGGGAGGGAAGGAAGGGTGGACTCTTCGTTGCCTGTAAAATAAAATTTTTCTAAGCACCACGCACCTTGCATTCTAAAAAGCTTGATCTTGTTTTCAAGACTTTTAGTGAAATCCTGAGTTGTGAAAACGGTTTATTCCCTTTTTCTGCCTCTCAGACTAGGAACCCTAGTTTCCTTATCTACAAAATTAGATGTATGCATGTGTGTGCATACACACAGACACACACACGTGTAACACATTTCAATATTACTATAGGAAATAACTGAGACAACCTATTTTTAAAAAGGTCTCTTTCCTTGTTTTGTTTTTTGATGTGTACATTTTAAGACTATTCAAACTGAAATGTCTGTGTATTGTTTTGGCAACAGGAACCTTATTACAGAATTATACTGAACTAGGAAAAAATGATTTTGACCCAACTCTGCCCTGGACCATTGTCCACCTGCCATGTGTCTCCTAGACCAAGGAACAGCTCTTTATATCAGGGGCCAAATGGCTCAACACTTGCCTACCCTACGGAGTAATACTTTTTCAGCTTTTCTGTTTTAAATATGACCTATATGTGTCTCTGATTTATAAATTTTGTGAATAAGGGCCTAAGCCAAAGAATATTGTGTGTTTGTTAACTGTTTCTATAATATGTAAGCCAAGTTCCAGTGAGATACTATCTATCAGAAGCTTAGCCAGGTTGGATGTTTTCAAATTATGATGATTAAGAGACAAAGCATTTTATTATCTGAATTCCTTGGATAAATGGTAGTACCTTTGGATGAGGCAACAATATCCATAATGTTTCTATTACTAAACTGTTCTTAGTTCATCTATTTGTATTGACTTCAGCATTCTGTAATTAACTTCCTCTGAAAACAGAGTAACATTTATATTTACAAAAGTAGCAACTGTAGCTAACATTGTATGGGGTAGTTAGTAAGTATTGGGCACTGTTATGAATAATTTATATGAATTAATTCATTCATCCTCACAACCATGCTGTTATTCCTGTTTTACAGAAAAGAAAACTGAAGCTCAGAGCAATTAAGCAATCAAAGTCTTACTACTATATTTACATTTTTTTCTGGGATTAATTCACTGTTGAAAATTTAAAACTATTAGCTATGTATATTTTTGTCAGGAAGACAATTATCATTCCTATTCTTATCCCAGACCAAGATGGCAATTTTGTTCAAGAGTAGTTTGCAAACTCATAGCTGTTGTTTAATCCTTTTAGAAAGCCTCCCTTGTTACTCAATTTACACAGTTTCATTAAAATAAGATTTAGATAACCAAATCTAACTTATTGGGGGTGGGGAGCCTCTAGTGCATTAAAACCATTATATACAATTAACTAGTAGGTTAAATTTTGGACAAACAATCCTCAGATACACTATATGGCAAAACAAAAGTAGTAGTTTTAAGCAGAAGTCATTGTACAATATTAAATACATATCAATACCAAGTCCCTAAGATAAGGAAATAGGAAAGAGGAAAAGTTCTAGGTTTTGTTTTGTTTTTTGGGTTTTTTTTTTGTTTTTTTTTTTTTGAGACAAAGCCTTGCTCTGTCTCCCAGGCTCACTGCAACCTCTGCCTCCTGGGTTTAAGCTCCCAAGTAGCTGGGATTACAAGTGCACTCCACCACACCCAGCTAAATTTTTTTTTTTTTTTTTTAGTAGAGACAGAGTTTCACCATGTTGGCCAGGCTGGTCTGGAACCCCTGACATCAAGTGATCCCCCCCGACCTCGGCCTCCCACAGTGCTGGGGTTACAGACGTGAGCCACTGCGCCCAGCCTTGTTTTGTTTTTAACTGTCAGTTCTTTAGCACTTATCTAACCAATCCTTGACTGTGTGTCTCAAAGACAATTGACAACAAGGAGATATGCAGGACTCTTAACACCAGCTGAAGCAAATGACTTCTACAGAGTGAAGGGCCCATCTTTATTTATCTTCCCAGTAGGAAACATTCAGTGGATCATAAGAATTAAAAAATTAGTGCTATCATTCAATTTTTTAAAATAATTTATATCTGTGGCTGCGTGCAGTGGCTTAGGCCTGTACTCCCAGCACTTTGGGAGGCAGAGGCGGGCGGATCACTTGAGCTCAGGAGTTCGAGTCCAGCCTGGCCAACATGGTGAAACCCTGTCTCTACTAAAAATACAAAAATTAGCCAGGCGTGGTGGTGCACTCCTGTAATCCCAGCTATTTGAGAGGCTGAGGCAAGAGGAATGGCTTGAACCCAAAAGGCAGAGGTTGCAGTGAGCGCAGATTGTGCCACTGCACTCCAGCCTGGGTGACAGAGACTCTGTCTCAAAAAATAACAATAATAATAATAGTAATAATTTAGATCTGTAAAATGGTTCTATTTTTCCCAAGTTGAAAATAAAAAATTATTTTCTGTTCGTCCTTTCTTTATAAAAATGTTTTGTGGCCTGGTACAGTGGCTCGTGCCTGTAATCCCATCACTTTGGGAGGCCAAGGTGGGAGGATTATTTGAGCCCAGGAGTTTGAGACCAGCCTGGGCAACATGTAAAACCCTGTCTCTATAAAAAAAAAATTTTTTTTAAGTTAATGTTCTTGTATAAAAGTTAGAAAAATGAACAGTCTTATCTTAAAATCTTCTCCCTCTCCTTCTCCTCACTCTGCCTCCCACTTCCCCTCTCCCTCTGCTGCTTCTTTTTTCTTTCTTCTTTCTTCTTCAACTTCCGGGCTCAAGCAATCCTTCCACTTAGGCCTCCTGAGTAACTAGGAATACAGACACAAGCCACTGTGCCCTGAACTAAAATCTTCTTAATGAATAGGTGCTTCTTAAGGGTAAAGTATAGTTTCACAAAACTCACAAAATGATTTCAAGTAGCATGTAATCTCACATTTTTTTATAAACTGCCCTTATAATGATACCTCGAACCAGCATCTCTGAAAACTTCAAAGCTATTCCTATATCATTACATCTTTATCCCCAAAAAACCTCTGGGAGAATGCAGACAAGCTGTTATTACACCCATTCTACAGACAGGACAACTAAGATCCAGACTGCTTTGTATCACATAGTGAACTAGTAGGGTCATAGAATTTTCACATCCTACGTTCATTGTGAAGCCACATGTCATGTACCTCTAGAATTAAAAGTGTTCTATTTTTGAATCAAGGCTTTGTAAAATGTCAGGTTGTTTAATCCTAATTGATCTCAGTCAGCTCTTTCTTTAGGTCCTCACTATTTGCATATTCTAATTAACTCTGCTCTCTATTTTAGCAAATGTATATATACTTTTATTTTCACGATGATACTATAATGCTTGTCTCTTTTAAAATGAGTGTGTAGGGCCAGGCGCAGTGGCTCACACCTGTAATCCCAGCACTTTGGGAGGCCACGGTGGGTGGATCACCTGAGGTCAGGAGTTCAAGACCAGCATGGCCAACGTGATGAAACCCTGTCTCTACTAAAAATACAAAAAAAATTAGCCGAGCATAGTGGCAGGTGCCTATAACCCCAGCTGCTCGGGGGGCTGAGGCAGGAGAATGGCTTGAACCCAGGAGGCAGAGGTTGCAGTGAGCCGAGAACGTGCCATTGCACTCTAGCCTGGATGACAAGAGTGAAACTCTGTATCAAAAATAAATGAATAAATAAAAATAAAATAATAAAACAAAGTGAATATCTATTTATTGTAACAATTTTAGAAAAATATTAAAAATAAAAATCACCTATTATCCCATCACTCAGAGATGTCTACCGGTGACACTTCGTAAACATCCAACATCTATCCGTTTATTTTTCTACATAGTATATATACATATATGTATACATATATGTGTATATATGTATATGTGTGTGTGTGTGTGTATATATATGTGTATATATATACACATATATATATATATATTTAGAGAGAGAGAGAGAAATTTTTTGTTTTGTTTTAGAAACAGGGTCTTGCTCCATCCCCCAGACTGGAGTGTAGTGGCACAATCATAGCTCCCTGCAGCCTTGACATCCTGGGCTCAGCAGTCCTCCTGCCTCAGCCTCCTGAGTAGCTGGTACTATAGGTGTGCCCCACCACACCTGGATAATTTTTTAAAATTTTTTGTAGAGACAGGGTCTCACTATGCTGCCCAGACTAGTCTTGAACTCCCAGGCTCAAGTGATTCTCCCGCCTCCTCCCAAAGTGCTGGGATTACAGGCATGAGCCACCATGCCCAGCCTCATTTTATATGTTTTACTTCACTAATATGTGCTGAACATCTTTCCATGTTATTAACATGCCTTACAACCTTTCTTCTGGTAAATGTTATTGAAGTATAGCAGACATGCAGAAAAGTAAACAATCATTAGTGTAGAGCTTGACAAACACTCACAAAGTGAACATCCCCATGTATCAGCCTGAGACCAAGAAATGGAATACCCGCAGAACTCCAGAAGCCCTCTTTGCCTACCTCCCGTCAGGAGGCCCTCCCAAAGTTAACCACTACTTATTTTTGCCTGGTTTTGAGCCCTATACAAATGACATGTAGTATATACTCTTTTGTGCGTGGCTTATTTTGTTCAACATTTGAGTTTATTAGGTTCATTCATGCACAAATTCTTATTAATGGCTGCATAGTCTACTATATAGTTAGTACAATTAAATCAAGCTCAAAAGGAAAAAGTTCTCTTTTATGGAACATTTAAGCTATTTTGCATTGTTCATTATCATAAACAATGCTATAAATATCCTTATTGTTTTGTTCACATTCTTGTATATTCCGTAGGATAAGTTCACAGAAATTGAAATGTTGGTTGTAACGACAGTTAAAGCTCCTTTTTTTCTTTTCTTTTCTTTTTCTTTTTTTTTTTTTTTGACAGGGCCTCACTCTGTCACGCAGGCTGGAGTACAGTGGCACAATCAGTGCTCACTGCAGCCTCAACCTCCCAGGCTCAAGTGATCCTCCTGCCTCAGCCCTCAGAGTAGCTAGGAATACAGGTCTGTGCCATCATGCTGAGCTAATTTTTTTGTATTTTTTTTTAGTAGAGACGGGGTTTCACCATGTTGCCCAGGCTGATCTTGAATTTCTGGACTCAAGCAATCCTCCCACCTTGGCCTCCCAAGAGTGCTAGGATTACAGGTGTGAGCCACCTCACCCTGCCATGTTAAAGCTTTTGATGAGTATTACCAGATTACTCCTCAGAGTGGTGAAAATATATTTACACCAGTAGCATGTGAGTGTGAGTGGCTGTTTTCCTAGTATCTTCTCCATCAACACATATTACAATTTTCCTTACTCCTTATGGTTGCTGGTGGTTTCTAGTCAGAACATATTATAGCTATTAATAGTAATTTACTCAATTCAAATCTTGAATTATTTCAGAGAGAGAAGGACCAGTTTTTATTTTTTTAAAGTAAGTTTATTTTTATATGAGAGTTGTATGCACTGGATTTTGTTTAATATATTACTCCTCAGTTAATAACTTTTCTTAAGTAATAGCAGACATCATGATACAGGATTCCTTCAGTATGTACAGACTGATCTACCTAAATAGTTTACTTCTCAAACGTTTACTGTTCCAGGGTCTGAAATGAAATATAAATACGATGTTCTTGGCCGGGTGTGGTCTACTCAGGAGGCTGAGGCAAGAGAATCACTCGAACCCGGGAGGCGGAGGTTGCAGTGAGCCGAGATTGCGCCACTGCACTCCAACCTGGGTGACAGAGCGAGACTCCATCTCAAAATAAATATATACCTACATACATACTATGTTATTTATGCCTATATTTAAGTCACTTTCTAGTCCCTTAAGTATAGAGATTTACTAGTGTAATTAATAATTACTACCCCATGTTTTCATAACTTGAATTTTTTCTTTCCATAAGTCTTTTTTAAAGAACTTTATCTTATTCTAAAGATGACATGATTGTTTGATTGTTTGAAAATACAAATAAGTAAGAAGAAAAAAATCATCTATATTCCCTGCTTGTTTGAGAGGTTTTTGCTATCTCAGTGTAGTCTGTTTGTTCATTTGTTCCTTCTCTCTCTCTCTCGCTCTGGCTTCTTTTTTTTTTTTTTTTAATGAGACAGAGTCACTTTTTCACCCAGGCTGGAGTGTAGTGGTACAATCATGGCTCACTGCAGCTTCCATCTTCTGGGCTCAAGGGATCCTCCCACCTCAGCCTCCCAAGTAGCTGGGACTACAAGCATGCACCACCACATCTGGCTAATTTTTTTATTTTTTAGAGACAAGGTTTTGCTATTCTGCCCAGACTGGTCTCCAACTCCTGGCCTCAAGTGATCCTCCTCCCTCGGCCTCCCAAAGTGCTGGGACCACAGACACCTGGCCTTATTGTAGTCTTTCTGATATACATTTATATAGCTATTTTTCACACACGAGCAAAAAAAAAAAAGCTTTACATATGATGTTTTATAACCTGCTTTTTTTCTCTTAACATGTTATAGACAGTTTTCCATCTAATCACCTCTTGATCCAAACAACTTTACTCAATCAATTAGTGTGTCTATACCTATACACAGTCTCTCCAGAGTGGTTATATGTATGTATATCTATCTATCTGTCTACACACACATACATCCACATACACACACCAAACTATAAAAATAGGTGAGAGTTCCTTTTCCTTGTGGAATTATGAAATTATGTCACAATTATGTGTAGTGTTGAAAGAGTCGTGGCAAGCAGTGTGAAGAAGAAGAGGCGAGAACCACCCCCGGACCGACCAAAGGCTGCACGCCGCTGCACCTCGCGCCCAGTGCCTATGTCCCACGGCTGTCATCCCCGCCACCATGCCTAAGAGAAATGCTGAAGGGGATGCTAAAACAAATAAAGCCAAAAGGTGAAGGACAAACCATAGAGAAGATCCGCGAGGTTGTCTGCTAAACCTGCTCCTCCAAAGCCAGAGCCCAAGCCTGAAAAGGCCCCTGCAAATAAGGGAGAGAAGGTACTCAAAGGGAAAAAGGGAAAAGCTGATGCTGGCAAGGAGGGGAATAAACTTGCAGAGAATGGAGATGCCAAAGAGAATAGGCACAGAAAGCTGAAGGTGCTGCAGATGCCAAGTGAAGTGTGTGTATTTTTGATAACTGTGTACTTCTGGTGACTGTACAGTGTGAAATACTATTTATCAAGTTTTATAAAAATGCAGAATTTTATTTTACTTTTTTTAAAGCTATGTTGTTAGCACACAGAACACTTCATTGTTGTTTTTGGGGGAAGGGGCTTATGTCCCTAATAGAATGCCTCCGAAGCTGGATTGATGTGGGGAAAACACCTTTCCCTTCTAGTTTTGAGAGACTTCCTCTTGGCTCCCAGGAGGAGAGATTCCCTGACTTTGACACACATGGCCTCTTGGCACAAAAGCCTTGTGGTATGGAAAAACAAATTCATATTTATGTCCCCTTCTCCCTTTCCATCTTTCATCATAGACTTAATTTCCTTAAGCCCAGACATCTGTTGGGACCTGACTCCCAGTTATTGGTTACCAGTGTGTCAGGCAATCTGGACTTTCCAGTGATGCCACTTAGATGGCACCTGTCAAAAGAGCAGTGGTTCCATTTCTAGATTGTGGATCTTCAGATACATTCTGCCATTTTCATTTCACTTCCTGAAAGTCAGGGTCAGCTTGTGAAAAGTTGTTAAACAACATGCTAAATGTGAAATGTCAACCCTCACGTTAAACTTTCCCTGTTCAGAGCATCAGATGAAGACTTCATTGGGTTTTATGGTGGCTTTCTGATTTTTGGTAGTCCATTGAAGAAGAGAGTTTGAAAATTGCTGTATACTGTTAACGATTGTCTGCCCATGTCCGCCTGAAATACCATGATTGTTTATGGAAAGTATCTCTAATAAAGCTGGATACAGTTTGGCTTGGAAAAAAAAAAAAAAAAGAAAGAAAGAGTCCTGGCATCCAGGGAGGCCAGGTGAGAATGTGTTTATTGATGTAACTTCTCTTGACTCTAGCCCATCCCCTTCTTTTATTTTTCTCCTAGTACCTCTGTCCTACCAAAAGGAAAGTATCAACTCCTCCTTCTTGTCTTTCCTGTACATTTCTGTTTCCAGCCAGGAATTTTGAATGCAGAGGTCTACAATTTTCTTCCATCATTTTCTAAACAGGCTACTTCTGAGAAACAGTCAGGTAGCTACATTTGTTTCCCCTGAGTGTCACTGTTGTTTAAATTTCACTTACAGTCATGCATGCCATGCTTATCAATTAGAAGTGCTGTTTCCATTCATTAATTGTATGAGCCGATGGTACAATAGTTAGCTCACTAAAAAGATATGTAATCACTGTATAGGACGTACAGTTTTAAATTGTTAGGATTTGAGGGCCGGGCGCGGTGGCTCACGCCTGCAATCCCAGCACTTTGGGAGGCCACAGTGGGTGGATCACTTGAGGTCAGGAGTTGGAAACCAGCCTGGCTGGCTGGACGCGGTGGCTCAAGCCTGTAATCCCAGAACTTTGGGAGGCAGAGGCGGGCGGATCACGAGGTCAGGAGATTGAGACCAGCCTGGCTAATATGGTGAAACCCTGTCTCTACTAAATATACTAAATAATTAGCCGGGCGTGGTGGCGGGTGCCTATAGTCCCAGCTACTTGGTAGGCTGCAGCAGGAGAATGGCCTGAGCTGGGAAGGGAGAGCTTGCAGTGAGCCGAGATCACGCCACTGCACTCCAGCCTGGGCGACAGAGTGAGACTCCGTCTAAAAAAAAACAAACAAAACCAGCCTGGCCAACATGGTGAAACCCCGTCTCTACTAAATATACAAAAAAAAAAAAAAAAAATTAGCCAGGTGTGGTGGTGGGTGCCTGTAATCCCAGCTTCTTGGGAGTCTGAGGCACGAGAATCACTTCAACCCAGAAGGTGGAGGTTGCAGTGATCCAAGATTGCACCACCACACTCCAGCCTGGGCAACAGAGCGAGACCCTGTCTCAAAAAAATAAATAAATAAAAATACATTGTTAGGATTTGGAATAGGTCTAGTATTTTTCTAATACGATGTGAGGGTGGGGGAGTGGAGAAAAGAGCTCATTACTGTAGCTCCACAGCAACATATTTACAAGAATATAACTTTCTAGTTAACCTATCAAAAATGAGTGTATATTTTTAATGTTATTAATGTTTAAATTTGGTATACTTGCATACTTCACCAGGCAATGCGATGAGACAAACAGTTCCCTAATTTAACTTTTTGCCCAAGATAAGATAAGTAACTGTTATAAAACTGTAGTTAACTCTTCTTGGTTTCAGTGAGAAAAAAAAAAAAAAGAACTCCCTCTGAGGATCAACGGTGATTTATTCACTAAGCCCAGTCATTGTTTGAGTATCTTAAAGGGTATTAAACGTGACATATTCATGTGAAAAGTTTGTCTTCTTTGTATTTGACAGAACAAAATCCACAAATCATTAGACCCAAAACTAAACTTGAGATGAAAGGTCATTGCTTTTTTTCCACCAAGCCATCTAACCAAGCTTAAGCACAAATATAAAACCATCTGTTTACCAGGAGGCAAAGGAGCACAAAATCCATTAGTGCCATATGTATCAACAGAAGTGTGACTTCAGAGCCGCAAATGTTTTCAATATTTTTCCTTCATTATTTTCTGCCAGAAACTTAGTTGGAATGGTTTTCCTTTCCATAAAATGCACCGAATTTCAGTTTAATTATGTAAGTCCTTCCCCCCTTATTAAGTAATTACACATATTTTCTCATCCATGTGTCTATATTTCACAAGTAACTGCTTCCTTTTGTTGGCAAGAACAGAAAATTAACTAAAAAAAGAGGGAAGCAATGAGATTTTATTTTCAATGTCTGTCCCTTCTTTCTCCTTAGGGGAACTAACACATCTTCCAATGCATCACAAGATAAAGATGCTGACTCAGTCTATTAAGTCATCCCTGGAGTCTGTGGCACAGCCCTTAATAAGACAGTTTGCTGTACAAAAAGTTGTTTTATTAAATGAATGAAAAATAACTTTTCCTTGCACAAAATTGTCCTTAGTGAAATAACTTAAATATGAGACCAAATTCTCCCATACTTATCCCAAAACATTGCAGAGAGCAAACAGAAAGTCAAAATGACAAAATTGCTTAGTTAGAAATTATGCTTTGAAAATTTCACCAAAAATGGGAGGTTAATTGTGGTTGACATATGGGAGTGAAATTCTTGCCAACTGAAAAAAAAAAAAAAAAAGTGAGCAGAACTTCAGAGGGCGGGGGAGGAAACAAAGTAAGTGAGAAAGTTTCAGATACAGTGTTAATGGTTGTACCTTATTTATGTGGATATAGATTTGTCTAAATAATAATCCTTTGCACTTGTGGCTTATAAAACATAACATTTTTATATCCATTACCTCATTTGATCCTTACAACAATCCTGAGAATAAGACAGAATAAATTACCCCCTAAAATTACAGATGTGGAATCTGAGGTTCAGGAGTGTGAAATGACTTGTCCAAGGTCTCATGTGGCTGGTCAGTGGCAAAACTCCTGACTCTGAATGAGCCCTGCCCTACTAGTGCCTTGTTTTGTTTTTGTATTTATTTATTTATTTATTTACTTATTTATTTGGAGATGAAGTCTCTCTCTGTGGCCCAGGGTGGAGTGCAGTGGCACGATCTCGGCTCACTGCAACCTCCATTTCCTGGGTTCAAGCAATTCTCCTGCCTCAGCCTCCCGAGTAGCTGGGACTACAGGCACACGCCACCACGCCCAGCTAATTTTTTGTATTTTAGCAGAGATGGGGTTTCAACATGTTGCCCAGGCTGTTCTCAGACCCCTGAACTCAGGCTATCCGCCCGCGTCGACCTCCCAAAGTGCTAGGATTACAGGCATGAGCCACTGCGCCCGGCCTAGTTTTTTTTTTGTTTTTGTTTT
The DNA here is from genome assembly GCF_000001405.40 of Homo sapiens. NCBI lineage: Eukaryota > Metazoa > Chordata > Mammalia > Primates > Hominidae > Homo > Homo sapiens. The sequence goes on from NC_000003.12 coordinate 153,071,363, forward strand.
TGTTTGAGAAGGAGTTTCACTCTCGTTGCCCAGGCTGGAGTGCAATGGAGCGATGTTGGCTCACTGCAACCTCCGCCTCCCGGTTTCAAGTGATTCTCCTGCCTCAGCCTCCTGAGTAGCTGAAATTACAGACATGCGCCACCACACCTGGCTAATTTTGTATTTTTAGTAGAGACAGGGTTTTTCCATGTTGGTCAGGCTGGTCTCGAACTCCTGACCTCAGGAGATGTGCCTGCCTCAGCCTCCCAAAGTGCTGGGATTACAGGCGTGAGCCACTGTGCCCAGCCTACTACGGCCTTTTTAAAAGTAACTGCCAGAAAATTACTTAGATACAAATTCTAAGAATGCTATAGTGACTCAGTTGTGTTGCTGGAACAAAAGAAAGTTAGAAATTATTTAAACAGACACTCTACATAAAAGATTAAATTCAGACTGGGCTCGGGGGCTCACGCCTGTAATCCCGGCTACTCAGCAGGCCAAGGTGAGAGAACTGTTTGAGCCTAAAAGTTCGAGACCAGCCTGGCAATTTAGCAAGACACACTGTCTCTAATGATATAAATAAATTAATTAAAAATTTAAAAAGAAAAAAGATTAAATTCAGGTCATTAACTTCAGCCTGCTGCATCCAAATCTTTCAAAGATTCTTACTTTCACATATTAACTACAGATATTTAAATTCCTCCTTTTTAATGGTTGATTCATTAAAGTTTCACTAATTTTTCTTTCTCTTGCTGCCAGAGAAAGCCAACAGTAGAACAGCAGAATTAAAATAGAAGGAATAAAATAGATTTTTATATTCTGAAAAGTCAAAAATAGGACTCTGATATTCATTGATTAATCATGAAATAATATCAGCCTGAGGAGGTTATTGACTTAGTAGATGACTATAAAATAGCCTCCTGACTTGTCTTCCTACCTCCTCTCTCTCCCTCTTCCCTCCATCCTATATTTTGCTGGAAGATTATTTCAACGTAGTTACCATGTGCGAGACCTTCCATAAACTAGCAAAGAAAATATAAACTTTTCACTCTGGAATTCAAGACCTCTGCAAAATAATAGTCCCTACCATCTATTAAACAACCACTGTAAACCTGCTTCCAAAAAACTCTCAAACCGTATTTTTCCTCTATTCTTGCACCTCCACAATAATCATCAACACAGAAGACTTCTGTGACCAAACGTGGGGGAGGTTTTCCCCACACACCAAGCAGTGGACACCAGCTGGGTCTCCTCCAGTTCAATTCTGACACTATCTTCCTTGAGATGGTATCAGGTCCCACAGGCTGAAGGCTCAGGCCTGGAGTGCCTCCCAACCCCAGACACCAGCTGCAAGTCCAGGCCTCCAGAACTTCTGACTGACTGGCTTCAAATTGGGGTTCCCATGACCCCTCTTCAGGTTCAATTAATTTGCTGGAGCATCTCACACAACTCAGGGAAACATGTTTACTGGTTTATTTTAAAGAATACAGATGAAGGGATGCATAGGGTGAGGTATGGAGGAAAAGGAACAGAGTTTCCACACCCTCTCTGGGCACACCAACCTCCAGGAAGCACCACACATTCCACTATTCGGGAGCTCTCTGAACGGAGTCTTGGGGTTTGTTGGAAGCTTCACGATGCCACATTCCTTCCCTCGGGGTATAGGGTAGGACACAATCTGGGTAGAGTCTTAAGGCCCACAATCAGAAAGATCGGGAAGATTAGGGTCCTGCCTTGGGGCAGGTAAAAGAAGGGCAGGAGAAGGTCTGAGAGATTTTGTTTCCTGAGGCCTGCCCCTGAGGCTAAAACACTCAACATTGTAACAAAAGACTAACAAGGGCTATGGGAGTTATCAGCCAAGAACCATGGACAAAAACCTACATATGTATATCTCAAAACACTTTTAACAATCCAGGAAACATGGGGCCAGGCATGGTGGCTCACAGCTGTAATCCCAACACTTTGGGTGTCCAAGATTTGAAAATCACTTGAGCCCAGGAATTTGAGACTAGCCTGGGCAACACACTGTGGCGTCTCTGCAAAAAATTTTTTAAATGTGTTAACTGGCCAGGCTCGGTGGCTCACACCTTAATCCCAGCACTTTGGGAGGCCGAGGTAGGCGGATCACAAGGCCAAGAGATGGAGATCATCCTGGCCAACATGGTGGAACCCCGCCTCTACTCAAAATACAAAAATTAGCCAGGCATGGTGGCACGCGCCTGTAATCCCAGGTACTTGGGAGGCTGAGGCAGGAGAATTGCTCCTACCCAGGAGGCAGAGGTTGCAGTGAGCCAAGATCACGCCATTGCACTCCAGCCTGGGTGACAGAGTGAGACTCTGCCTCAAAAAAAAAAAAAAAAAAAAAGGAATATGTATGACTATGTCAATTTTAGAAATGAGAAAACTGAGGCTGATAGAGGTTAAGTAATATTCCCTAGGTTAGGTATTTAGCACGTGGTGAAACCATGTCCCAACCCAGACCTGTCTAACAACTCTAAAGTCCAGCCTGTCTTTCTAGATTTATTTCTGATTATCAGGATATACATAGCCCACAGTACCTTCAGTGTACAGCGCTAGTCTCATAAACATTGCTAGCCCCATCACAGTTCTAGTCTGTTATGGAGCCAATTTTTCTACCTTAATTGTTCTCCCTAATGCTACTGCTTATAAAAACGTTAGTTTTTCGGCTGGGAGCTGTAGCTCACGCCTGTAATCCCAGCACTTTGGGAGGCCAAGGCAGGCGGATCACGAGGTCAGGAGATGGAGACCATCCTGGCTAACACGGTGAAACCCCGTCTCTACTAAAAATACAAAAAAATTACCCGGGCATGGTGGCAGGCGCCTGTAGTCCCAGCTACTCGGGAGGCTGAGACAGAATGGCGTGAACCCAGGAGGCGGAGCTTGCAGTGAGTGGAGATGGCACCACTGCACTCCAGCCTGGGCGACAGAGCTAGACTCCATCTCAAAAAAAAAAAAAATCGTTTTTCTGGATTCATCTCCCACATCATCTTCTCCTTGAAGTCACTCCTGAATCTAATCTCCAGCAACTTCCCAAATATGAAAAAAAAAGTACCTGTTTTTGAACACCTTTATATCTTTGCATAATTCTTTTGTTTTTGTTTGTTTTTTGTTTTTTTGTTTTTTGGTTTTTGTTTGTTTGTTTTTTGAGACAGAGCCTCATTCTGTCGCCCAGGCTGGAGTGCAGTGGCATGATCTCGGCTCACTGCAACCTCCGCTTCCCAGATTCAAGCAATTCTCCTGCCTCAGCCTCCTGGGTAGCTGGGACTACAGGTGTGCACCACCATGCCTGGCTAGTTTTTGTATTTTTAGTAGAGACGGGGTTTCACTGTGTTGGCCAGGCTGGTCTTGAACTGCCTCGTGATTCGCCCACCTCGGCCTCCCAAAGTGCTAGGATTATAGGCGTGAGCCACCGCGCCCGGCCACATCTTTGCATAATTCTTATGGCACTTACCTGACTCTTCTTTTATTGTAGTTCTTTTCATAACCGCTTTAAAACTGCAAGGCTGGGCTCTGTGGCTCACACCCATAATCCCAGCACATTGGGAGGCTGAGGCAGGCGGATCACTTGGGGCCAGAAGTTGGAGACCAGCCTGGCCAACGTGATGAAACCCCGTCTCTATTAAAAATACAAAAATTAGCCAAGTGTGGTGGTACATGACTGTAATCCCAGCTACTCAAGAGGCTGAGGCAGGAGAATTGCTTGAACCTAGGAGGTGGAGGTTGCAGTGAGCCTAGATCATGCCACTGCACTCCAGCCTGGGCAACAGAGTGAGACTCTATTTCAAAAAAAATAAAATAAAACTTTACAAGCTTCTTGCAGACAGGAACTAGGGTTTATTCATTAGTAATATATCCTTGTATCCCCCAACAGGGATTAAATGCCTCAATAAAAATTTGTAGTGTTGAATAATAAATACCACCTAGAATATGCTGTCTAAAACAGAAGTTCTCTCTTTCTTTTTGAAATCTCCTCTTCCTTCCCTCTTCCCTAGCTCATTGAAGGTACCACCAGCCACCCATGAGCCAGCAACTCTCAATGACATTCTTGACTCTTCCCTTTACCTCATCCCACATCCAAATGCAAATTCTAGGCTGGACACAGTGGCTCACACCTGTAATGCCTGTAATCCCAGCATTTTGGGAGGCCAAGGCAGGCAGATCACCTGAGGCCAGGAGTTCGAGACCAGCCTGGCCAACATGGTGAAATCTCATCTCTACTAAAATTACAAAAATTAGCCAGGCATGGTGGCACATGCCTGTAATCCCAGCTACTAGGGAGGCTGAGGCAGAATTCCTTGAACCCAAGAGGTGGAGGTTGCAGTGAGCCGAGATTGTGCCACTGCACTCCAGGCCTGGGAGACAGAGCGAGACTCCATCTCAAAAACAAACAAACAAACAACAACAAATACAAATTATGTGAATATATCTTCTAAATGTCTCTACAATTCAAATATTTCTCCAGTTCACCTATTTTATAGGCCATATCACCTGTGCACACTTGAGAAACATATGTCCAAATAAAAACACTCAGAGAAAGTAAGCAATGTGCTCAATGTACTGTTTATTTATTTATCTATTTTGAGACAGGGTCTCACTTTATCACCCAAGCTGGAGTAAAATGGCAGTCTCTGCTCACTGCAACCTCTGCCTCTCGGGTTCAAGAGGTTCTCCTGCCTCAGCCTCCTGAGTAGTTCGGATTATAGGCACGCGCCACCATGCCCTGGTAATATCAATGTACATAGTAAATGGGTCCATCTCATTGCCATTTAAATGAAGTCAGTTATCTCCAAATTTATAAAACAAACTATAAGCAAGCCCCTTCACTTTAACTCTACTTATAGCTGGTTCTCTATGTTCCTTCTTTTGCAGTCAAAGTCTTCTCCTCCCTTATATTTCTCATTTACTTCCCAACTCACTTTATCTGGCTTTCCCCTCCACCGTTCAATTTACTCTATCTCCTCAGTTGCAGATGACTCCAAGGATTTTTGGAGTGAGCCACTGGAAGGATGGTTTCTATTGGGAGGATGAAGTCGCCCTTTACTTGGTTCCTGGGGCGTGTTTGCTTTTGAAGATGCTAAACTGGAGATGCCTATTAGACATTATTAATGAGGCACTTATGTTCTGCAGTGTGCAGGTCAGGCATTAGGTTAAAGTTGGACCTGTAAAGTTGGTAGTTTTCAATATACAGGGGATATGTAAATCCTGGTCCTAGGTAAGTACACTTAAAGCAGTGGTTTTCCAACCTCGACTGCATATTAAAATTACCTGGTGTGCCTAAGACTCCCAAAGCCAGCACTTGTTCTAGGCCAATTTATGTAGAATTTCTAGAGTGGTTACCCAGTCATCAGTATTGTTTAAAAATTTTCCTGACCGGCATGGTGGCTCACGCCTGTAATCCCAGCACTTTGGGAGGCCGAGGTGGGCAAATTACTTGAGGTCAGTAGTTTGAGACCAGCTTAGCCAACATGGTGAAACCCTGTCTCTACTAAAAATACAAAAATTAGCTGGGAGCGGTGGCACATGCTGTAATACCAGCTACTCAGGAGGCTGAGGCACGAGAATCACTTGACCCTGGAAGGCAGAGGTTGCAGTGAGCCTGGATCGCACCATGGCATTCCAGCTTGGGTGACAGAGCAAGACACTGTCTCAAAAACAAACAAACAAACAAACAAACAAATGTCCTGGGTTATACTTATCTGGGAATTTAAGTAGTTAAAAAAAAAAAAAGAGGAATTAATTGTTTCCAAAGAGTATTCAGCACAGTCAGGACTTAAATAGAATTGGACTTCGAGTTTCCAGAATCTTTCCTCTCCATTCTCCCAAATTCCTCACGGCTTAAAAAACTGCAACTGGGCCGGGCACGGTGGCTCAAGTCTGTAATCTCAGCACTTTGGGAAGCAGAGGCAGGTGGATCACCTGAAGTACAGAGTTCAAGATCAGCCTGGCCAACATAGTGAAACCTTGTCTCCCCTAAAGATACAAAAATTAGGCCAGGAGCAGTGGCTCTGCCTGTAATCCCAACACTTTGGGAGGCCAAGGCGGGCGGATCACCTGAGGTTGGGAGTTTGAGACCATCCTGGTCAACATGATGAAACCCTGTCTCTACTAAAAAAAACAAAACAAAACAAACAAAACAGGCATGGTGGCATGCACCTGTAATCCCAGGTACTCCGGAGGCTGAGGCAGAAGAATTGCTTGAACCCAGGAGGCAGAGGTTACAGTGAGCCGAGATCACGCCACTGCACTCCAGCCTGGGCGACAAGAGTGAAACTTCATCTCAAAAAAAGAATAGAATAAAATACAAAAATTAGCTAGGCATGGTGGTGCATGCCTGGAATCCCAGCTACTTGGGAGGCTGAGGCAGGAGAATCCCTTGAACCCAGGATGCAGAGGTTGCAGTGAGCTGAGATTGTGCCACTGCACTCCAGCCTGGGTGACAAACAGACTCCGTCTCAAAAAACAAACAAACAAACAAAAAAATCCTGCAACTGTAGGTTGTTCTATCAGGGGATAGATAGAACACAGTAAAGAACATCGATCATTATTCATTCAACAAATGTATTTAAGTCCTGGGACACCATGTTAGTTTCAGAAGACTTTAAAGATAAAACACAGGTCCCACCACAAGGAGCTTACAGTCTGTCTAGTCCAGGAAGGTAAACTTGTAAACAAGTAAGTATGATAATGAAGTGGGCTATATGGGGGTATGAAAGTAAAAGGGTCAATTTTATTGTGGGGTGGGGTGGTAGCCAGTTTAGGTTCATACAGAAGGTGAAGCTTGAGCTTTGCAGGCAGACAAGGAGGGGTTAGAGTGGATAACCCCAGGAAGAGACATGTGTGAGTCAAAGAGCCTGATGTTACTGGGAAACTGTTAATAACTTAGAGTGGAGAATGTATTTGAGTGTGCACAGGGTGAGGGGTGGGACTGGTGGAGGGTATAAAGTTGATTAGGGAAATAAATCAGGAGTGAGAAGGATGAACCTTATATACTGCATTAAAGCCTTTAAACTTTCTCTGGATGGCTTCCTCCAATAAACAATATCTTACAATGTGAGTTAACAGGAAGCCACTGAATGAAAGTTCCATAACTAGAATTGTATTTTCCAGCAAACCCTAGAAAGACATCTTAGATCTCATAAATTGCCTCCATAATCTTTGGAAACCACAGTGTGGTCCACTGGATTCCCTCATTGCATTTCTATTTATTTATTTATTTATTTATTTGAGACGGAGTCTTGCTCTGTTGCCCAGGCTGGAGTGCAGTGGCACCATCTCGGCTCACTGCAAGCTCCGCCTCCCGGGTTCATGCCATTCTCCTGCCTCAGCCTCCCGAGTAGCTGGGACTACAGGCACCTGCCACCACGCCTGGCTAATTTTTTGTATTTTTAGTAGAGATGGGGTTTCACCATGTTAGCCAGGATGGTCTCGATCTCCTGACCTCGTGATCCGGCTGCCTCGGCCTCCCAAAGTGCTGGGATTACAGGCGTGAGCCACCCCACCCGCCCTGCATTTCTATTTAGATATGCAACTTCTAAAGTGGGAAAATGGGAAAATGGGATTACCTACACAATTGTTTGCCCATTTTAGCATGCTCTTTGGCTTCCCACATTCTCTATTGCAGTTCTCCAGCAGAACAAACACTTGCCCCAGGTGGTTGATAACCACAAGCTTCACACAGATAGTGACGTAGAGACCACCCCTGACTCATTCGGCCCTTACCTGCCTTGTAGAAGAGATCATGAGAAATGGAGTCCACTTGCTCCTTAACCCCTCCAGCGCTGCCTAGGGGGAATTGACTCTTTCTGTGCATTTGTGATCAACTTTATTGCAACGTAGAGCGACATTATTATAAAAGGAAAATTTTGGAGAGAGGTGCAAGTGTGTTCAACCCTCAAGGGTGGGGGAGACCAGCAAAAGGGCTGCCTGTTTTACCACCTGTTCCCTGGGCACTAAAGCTTTGCAGACAGCACCTGCGGAGGCACTAGAAACTGCTGTGGGCAACACTATTCGAGATGTGAATCGCAAGCCATTTTCCCACAGATAGTCTTATTGTTTAATTCAGAAAACTACCTTGTACATTCTTGAACACAGGTAAGGCCTGTGGAAAGAGAGTAGGGCCCTTGTTCTAGGTGTCTGTCTCTACTCTGCTTCTGTTTAGAAACACCTGGTGTGTAGGTCTTATCTCACTCTGCTACCATCTGGAAGACAAGGAAACCTATAGCTTTATCCTCAATCCCACTGCTTGACTTAGTGAACCTGGCAAGCTGCTTAACCTCTAGATGCCATAATAGCTTTTTTTCCCACCAAGAGTAATGCATGCCTCTTTCTAATTTCCTGAAATGCTGGATGAACTCAATTGAAGCTTTTTGGAGGAAATAGTTAATATGTATATAACTGTTGTAATCAACTAATTCATCTCAAAATTATGTTTTCTTTTTGTTTTTGTTTTTGTTTTGTTTTGTTTTTAGACAGAGTTTCACTCTTGTTGCCCAGGCTGGAGTGCAATAACACGATCTCGGCTCACCACAACCTCCACCTCCTGGGTTCAAGCGATTCTCTTGCCTCAGCCTCCCGAGTAGCTGGGATTACAGGCATGCACCACCACACCTGGCTGATTTTTTTGTATTTTTAGTAGAGACGGGGTTTTTCCATGTTGGTCAGGCTAGTCTCGAACTCCCGACCTCAGGTGATCCGCCCACCTTGGCCTCCCAAAGTGCTGGGATTACAGGCGTGAGCCACCATGCCTGGCCTCAAAATTGTTTTTTTGTTTTCTTGTTTTTTTCAGACGGAGTCTCGCTCTGTTTCCCAGGCTGGAGTGCAGTGGTGCAGTCTCAGCTCACTGCAAGCTCCGCCTCCTGGGTTCAAGCCATTCTCCTGCCTCAGCCTCCCGAGTAACTGGGTCTACAGGTGCCTGCAACCACGCCCGGCTAATTTTTTGTATTTTTAGTAGAGATGGGGTTTCACCGTGTTAGCCAGGACGGTCTCGATATCCTGACCTCGTGATCTACCCACCTTGGCCTCCCAAAGTGCTGGGATTACAGGCGTGAGCCACCGCGCCCGGCCCAAAATTATGTTTTTAAATTTTCTTTTGAAATGGAGAAAATATATTTTTCCTAAGAGAAATAGTCTTCTATGATATCTGTTGAAAATGAACATAGCACAATTGTGTAAAGTATTAAAATATCAGTTCCAAATTAAAGATTTTTTTTAAAAAATGGCAACTTTTCAAAATGATAAACATTTACTGCTCCTGTAGCTTCCCAAAAGATAAGGCAAAATAGAATTCTGATGAACTTCTGAGATCCTGGGCAAAAGATTTAAACAATGTCTCTTCATATTTCCAACTACAAGAGAAGTCATCAAATGTTACATTCCATTAATTCAATATAGATGGATAACTACTAACTTACAACTCAGAAGTGTTCTTAAGTCCATTCATTCCTGATAAAGACAAATTCATTTTTGAAATTCTCATCTTTACCTCTTAGGACATGGCAGTTGATTTCCTAGAACTATACAATTAATCTACTTTTTGCTTAGACAGACCAAGCTGAAGCTGTTCTTAATGATAAGAAAAAGGCGTGGAAGGGAGCCTGTCAAATAGGATTATTCAGAGGAAGGAAAGCTAAGTGGATTTAAAAATGCAACCTGTCATTGCCTTCTACAAATCATATTGGAAGAATTGAAAAACAGAATAGCATTTTATAAAGTATAAGCCCTAAGAAGGAGAAACAACTTCCGGTTTAAAAAAAATGTGTTACGTAACTGCCATGGTTATGGGTAGCTTAGATGGCTCAATATGAAATGTATTATATGACAGAATTAAAGGTGTGTGTGCATGTGTATTTCCTAACAGCTCTATTCACTGTCAGGTATTAAAGGTCAAGAATAGCACATCACTGGGGATGTCTAATGTTCTCATTTAGATGACTGATGCCATTTATTTGTCTAGCATTGTTTTCTAAGCACATTATCAACCAAGAGCTGACATATCTTCAAATAACTGTATAGATTCACAGCTTATCTCATATTTCATAGTTTAAGAAATGGACAAGGCCAGGTGTGGTGGCTAACACCTGTAATCTCAACACTTTGGGAGGTTGAAGCAGAAGAATCACTTGAAGACAGGGGTTTGAGAGCAGCCTGGTCAATATAGGGAGACCTCATCTCTACAAACAAACCAACAAAACATTAAAACCACAAAAAGGCAATTTGTTGGCCAGACATGGTGACTCATGCCTGTAATCCCAGCACTTTGGGAGGCCGAGATGGGTGGATCACTTGAGGTCAGGAGTTCAAGACCAGCCTGGCCAATATGGTGAAAACCCGTCTCTACAAAAAATAAAAAATTAGCCAGGCGTGGTGGTATGTGCCTGTAATCCCAGCTACTCCGGAGGCTGAGTCTGGAGAATCACTTGAACCCTGGAGGTGGAGGCTGCAGTGAACTGAGATTGTGCCACTGCATTCCAGCTTGGGTGACAGAGCGACTCTGCTAAAACAAACAAACAAACAAAAAAACCCACACACGCACAAAAAGGCAATTTGTCTTCAGTGTCCCCAAATAACCTTTTCTGCTCTTTTGCCCTCTCACTTTGCCTTATTCACTTTACCTGTAACCATCATTCTCACACACACACACACACAAACAAACACACACGCACACACACACATATACATTGCGGTCATATAGCAAAGAGCCCAGTAATATAGCATATTAAGTTATAGCATGTTATTAGTTTTAATGCATTACTTCCCTTTGCTCTCTAAAAGAGAAAGGCAAGACAAATAAATTAAGCTTCAATAATAAAACACCAGGCACTTGTAGGAGAACGATACTAGTACCCACCCCCAAAATATGACACCTTAAAAAAATAATTTTAATAAATAGGAACAGGATTTCGCCATGTTGCTCAGGTTGGTCTTGAACTCCTGAGCTCAAATGATCCACCCATCTCAGTCTCCCAAAGTGCTGGGGTTACAGGCATGAGCCACTGTGCCAGGCCCAAAATAATACTTTGTGAATGTCCACCTTCTCTTTATGAATATGGCTGGCCTTGCTGCCTTAAGCTAAACATGAGTCAACAATAAAACCAAAAATTAAATTTATGTCTCCCAATTTATTCTGAGTTCTTACCATCAAGACTAATTCAATGCTGGTCTGGATGGCTCACGCCTATAATCCCAGCACTTTGGGAGCCTGAGGTGGGAGGATCACTTGTGTCTAGTTTGAGACCAACCTGGGCAACATGATGAGAACCCCACCCTACAAAAAATAAAAAATTAGTCAGGCGTGGTGATGCTTGCCTGTAGTCCTAGCAACTCAGGAGGCTGAAGTAGGAGGATCATCTTTGAGCTCAAGGGGTTGTGGGGAGATGTCGAGGCTGCAGTGAGCTGTGAACATGCCACTGCACTCCAGCCTGGGTAACAGAGTGGGATCCTGTCTCAAAAAAATAAAAAGAAAAAGACTAATTCAGGCAGTCTCTTTCATAATTAGCAATGGGAAAAGCAGATTGAATTGTGGAAATCCTAAGTTTTCAATAGGTCTGTGCTAGAGTTATATCTATAATAAACAGCTGGTATTCCAGACAACTATTGGCTGTGTTGGGGTTAGAAACCGATACCCCAAAATATTGTGGCTTTCTGACAACCTCCCCATAGCATTTGCATAAGATCCAGACCCGTCAGAAGGAATAATTGTTATTTTTTCACCTCTGTTTAAGACCAAGAATGTAACCACACCAAACAGACCCTTTCACAAGATAATGTACAAATTAATCTGTTTTCTGGCCCACTCATTCTCTCTAGTAATCCCCCCAACAGAATTCTTCTTCTCCCCGCCACCCACCAATAATCTGTATTGGTAGGATGGTTTGTAAGCCTCTGGACCACATTGTGGGGGGTGGGTAATCATTCTGTGGTTCTCTCCAAGTACAGGTTAAATACATTTACATGCTTTTCCTCCAAACAATCTGCCCTTTGCAACTGATTTTTCAATGAACCTTCAGAGGGCGAAGGGCAAGTTTCCCTTGGCCTCTACAGGTGCATATTTTTAACCCAACTTTTTAATTTAGTATTAAAAAGCTGGCTAATTGTGGAAGACAATGTGGCAGTTCCTCGAAGATCTAAAGACAGAAATTCCATTTGACCCAGCAATCCCATTACTGAGTATATACCCAAAGGGACATGAATTATTCTATTATAAAGACACATGCATGTGTATGTTCATCGCAGCACTATTCACAATAGCAAAGACATGGAATCAACCTAAATGCCCATCAATGATAGACTGGACAAAGAAAATGCAGTGTACATACACTATAGAATAGTATGCAGCCTTAAAAAGAACGAGATCATGCCCTTTGCAGGGACATGGATGGAGCTAGAGGCCATTATCCTTAGTAAACTAACATAGGAACAGGAAACCAAACACCATATGTGCTCACTTATAAGTGGGAGCTAAATGATGAGAACACATGGGCATACAGAGGGGAACAGCACACACTGGGGCCTTTTGGAGAGTGAAGTGGGGGAGGAGGAAAAGGATCAAGAAAAATAACTCATAGGTTCTAGGTGTAATATGTGGATGATGAAATAATCTGTACAACAAACCCCCATGACACAAGTTTACCTATGTAACAAACCTGCATTTGTAACCTTGAACTTAAAATTAAGTTTGAAAGCTGGCTAATATTCATTATCCTAAATCTTGCAAATGTGCTCTACAGAATAAGCTATTTAAATATTCACGTGAAAATGAAGATCCTGATAATAACTTAAAATCTGATTTTCTCAAGTGTTAAGTGTTGAAGGAAAGAGCAAAAATTAAGCCCCAGAGTAGTTAGGGCAGGAGGGGAGAAGGGAGGGAAAATGTACTATGTGCATCCCTGAGGCAGATTGTTGCAGAAATTTAGTTATCGTGGTTTTATGTGGAGAACTAATAAAATTAATTTGGAAACCTAAAATTAGGAGAAATCAAACAATCATATCTACAAATCACAGTAAAGCAACATACATAATAAGTGGGATGCTGCAGGGCTCCATGCCATATCTTTGGTATTGAAATGTTGTTTAGGATAGGGTATAATTTCAAAGAAAATTGAATTAAAAGGATGAATGGCTTAGAGAATTCTGTAGGGTGCATACAGACTTTTATTATTAGATTGTTCATTTGCATACAGCTCATATCTTTATTTGTCGCTAGTGATTAGCTCACCAAGTAGCCAGCCATAGAATAGTAGGAAACAGTGATTTCCTTGAGAGGGGGGCGGTGGGGTAGGTTCACAAAAGCCTTTATTGTCTATTAGTAGGCAGAAACTGGGATCTGGGTGATGAGGGGGTCAGAGAACTGGATGAAAAAGTTAGATGATTGTTAAAGCATAATTTTTACAGCTTTTCATTCTCCCACTGAAGATTTCAGGTAAACAAAGAAAATCTTAACAGAGAAAAGGAAGACCGGCTCTTTAAAACTGTGAAAGTGGTCTGTGCTACACTGAGGAAACACTGAATTCCAAAGTTATTAGACATTTTAATAATTTTAGTCCCCAAGAATAAGTGTAGTTAGACCACTTGAAGCTGTGTTTTTTGTTTGTTTGGTTGGTTTTTGTTTGTTTGTTTGTTTAAAGACAGGTCTTATTCTGTCACCCAAGCTGAAGTGCAGTGGAGCAATCATGGTTCACTGCAGTCTTGACCTCCTGGGCTCAAGTGATTCTTCCACTTCAGCCTCCTGAGTTGTTGGGAATACAGGTGTGTGCCACCACGCCTGGCTAATTTTTAATTTTTTTGTAGAAATGGGGTCTAATGATGTTGCCCAGGCTGGTCTCAAACTCCTGGCCTCAAGTGATCCTCCCACCTCCTCCCACCTCAGCCTCCCAAAGTGCTAGGATTACAGGCATGAGCCACCATATCTGGCCAACAGTAGACATTTTTTGCATCAAGTACTTTTCTATTATGCCAGTACCACTGGGATTTATTATGACACTAACCTCTCCAAACTATTTGCTTTAATTTATGAGATTTAGAGTGTTTCTTTAACAGCTAACCATGGCCGGGCACAGTGGCTGACACCTGTAATACCAGCACTTTGGGAGGCAGACGTGGACGGATCACCTGAGGTCAGGAGTTTGAGACCAGCCTGGCCAACATGGTGAAACCCCGTCTCTACTAAAAATACAAAAATTAGCCAAGCATGGTGGTGGGCACCTGTAATCCCAGCTACTTGGGAGGCTGAGGCAGGAGAATCGCTGGAACCCGGGAGGCAGAGGTTGCAGTGAGCCTTGACCGTGCCATTGAACTCCAGCCTGGGTGACAAGAGTGAAACTCCATCCTGAATGTTCATATGTTCATTCATTCATTCATTCATTACTTCATCCAATTGTTCTGCCATTCTTTCATTCCACAGCATCTATGCATATGGGTAGACAGTTTATGTACTTGGTTCCAGTTTCTTTCAAAAAAGAAGAGAGAGTCCCTGTCCCCAAGAAGCTCATAATCACATAAATATTCATACATAATTACAATACTATGATATATGTTATAAATTTGTACAAATGTTGGGCCTTTCTTCTCTCTCAGACTTTCTCTTTCTAGATAGAGAGATGATAGATAGATAGATGATAGATAGATAGATAGATAGATAGATATACATATGCATGCATGTATGTGCGCATGTATATGTATTTAGGCATAGAATATCCTATTGCTGAAAATGAATTCTAGAATTGACATAATTAAACTAGCATTCAAGTCCTGACTTCATCACTTACTGGTCTTGTGACTTTAGGATTTTGGTGGAATTTAGCTTCTCTAAATGATTTAACTTCTCACAACCCCAGTTTGCTCAAACTAGCTAACACTTTTTGATAGTTTAGTATGACAGTGGTACCATTACAAGTTTTATGTGTATTAACTTATACGGCTCTCATAACCAACCTATAAAGAGGCTGCTAATATTATCCTCATTTTACAGATGAAAAGACTGTGGCACAGATAGGTGAAATTCACCAAAGGACATACATCTCAACAAGCTTTGAACACCAGCCACAGCATCTGTGCTTGTAATGAGTACTCTATACTACCTCTTTAAATAGAGGGCTAACAGTGGGGTAAAAAGTAGATAATAGATGGAAAGAGTTTTGAAAAGCTTAAGCATACAAAAATAAAAAGTATAATTAATAAAGCCTTTTAAATTAAACTTTTAATAGTATAATTAACAAAGCCTTTTAGATCTGAAACTGCATTGAAAGAAATCACCTAACACCTGTAGTTTCCTGCTGTTTGCTTAGCACCAATATCCTTTCTTTGAATATGAATGCCTTGATTTCCTTCCCCCTACCCTCATTCTGTGGCTTGGGTGGGAATAGTCCCACTCCTGCCTCCAGGGATGAAAATACTGAAAACTAGCTGTGTATCAGTTCTGGATCAAGGGTAAGGCTAGTGGAGAGCTAAAATCAAATCCCTATACACCCTCCAAACTCCAAAGTCCCAGGAATGCCTAACCATGGAAAGCAATATAGTACAAACAGTAAATCAGAAGCCTTTGCTTTTCTCCCTGAAGCTTGTCAATAAACAACTGCTTGGCCTCTGTTTGCTCACCTGTAGTATCACTCCATCAATTTTTTAATTGATGGCCATAAATCGACATAGATCTAGATTTAGTGTTCTTTATCTGTAGGTTGTGTCCTAAAACAAGGGACACATGGAAACGTTTTCCCTCTCACTGCTTCTCACCATCCTCAGGCATGTCGAGGAGGAGCAGGGGGATTCCTAGCTAGAGTGCATGCCCCACAATCTCCCCAATCTCATATCCCTCTGAATTGAGAGAAATACCAGATAGAGATCACAGTTGATCCTGTGAATGAATGAAGTTATTTTCCCAATGGCAATAGAATTACAAAGACCAGATCCCTGAGACTACCTCGAGGAAGACTGAAAGCCATACGCTATTTTGAAGCTTAATACACGTAATCATGACTCTCAGCATAGTCTGTACAGTCCAAGACATTAATCTGCTATGTAGTTTAGTGAAAGTTAACATCCACATTTATACTTTGTAATGGAACTGATGACCATTTTAGACCTGCAGATTTCTACTAATATAACCATCTAAAGATAACATTATTCAAAGGATGCTTTGAGCCAAAACAAGCCAAACTGAATAAAGATTTTCCTGAGATTTGTGATTCTCATGCCTCAACCTCCCAAGTAGCTGGGATTACAGGCGTGCGGTACTACACCTGGCTAATTTTTGTATTTTCAGTAGAGACAAGATTTCACCATGTTGGACAGGCTGGTCTCAAACTCCTGACCTCAGGTGATCCACCCGCCTCGGCCTCCCCAAAGTGCTGGGATTACAGGCGTGAGCCACTGCGCCTGGCCTTTTCTGGGATTTCCTTCCAGCTGTTGCTTCCTTCTAGATTTGTATTTCTATGATTCACTTACCACTACCCTACACTGTTCTCACTGCCCTTTCTCTCTCCCATCCTTCTTCCTTTCTTTAGTACACTGCACTTGTAGAGTAGAATTTTTCAGCCTCTATGTAAAGAGCAAGGTACAACAGCAAAGTTAACCGTGTAGCATCAAGTACATGGATACTGCTGACTCTGAAAACTGGCATTGTCCCAGTGTACCTGTTCCTCACAGTGATTGTATCACTAGCTGGCAATCTTATAGGCTAGAATCCAGTGAAGCTGGTAATACAGCTTACAGATCTGCTCTTTTTGAACCTGTAAGATTCTCAAGGTATACTGTTACATCCTAGAGATGACAAAAGAACATTTTCCTTATTGCATTTACTAGAACTTCAAAAAGTGTAACCTCAAAGATCTCAGGCATGTTTTCCTGTATTTTATAGCTACTGACTAATACATTAAATGGAATGCAACATTTTTCTATCTTTCCCATTATTCAGGTGAATCGTTCCTAAATAGTTCCTTAACCAAGGTTCTCTCTTGGTTAGGCAAGGCTTCCCTCTGTCCCTGCCCACACAGAACATCTGTATGCAACCTGAATGTTCCTGGTGCTGACAGCCCTGCTTCTCCCCAAAGTGTCACCATCTGGACATCAGCTGTGCACTTCTGAGAACCCACGCATTTGAATGCCAATTTTTTCTCTCTGAAAGGCTGTGAGTTTAGCATTTCTCCAGGATCCTAGCCCAGTGACTCAAGTAAGTCTAAAGTTGGTTTTTCCCCAGTACTCTCATTCTCTTAGCCTTTAAAAGTTCACATTCATCACTAAAAACAATAAAATCTCCTTTTGATTAGAGGAACTATTTTCTATTTTTCTTATCACCAGATTGAAGGTAAAATACATATTTTCCATGTGATTTGCTGTCACATCACAGAAGTATAAACTGTGCTAAGGATTACTGCATACATACATGGAAAGCCGTTAATTTCAACTGTCGCTTTATACATAAAAATCTGATAATATTACTGTAATCAGAACACTTTCTTTTCCTTACTTATTTTTTGAAATTATACTTTAAGTTCTGGGGTACATGTGCCCAACGTGCAGGTTTGTTACATAAGTATACATATGCCATGTTGGTTTTCTGCACCCATCAACTCGTCATTTACATTAGGTATTTCTCCTAATGCTATCCCTCCCCCAGCCCCCGACTCCCCAACAGGCCCTGGTGTGTGATGTTCCCCTCCCTGTGTCCATGTGTTCTCATTGTTCAACTCCCACTTACGACATTTTCCTTACTTACTAAAAAAACAACTGGGTATAGTGGCTCATGCCTGTAATCCCAGCACTTTGGCAGGCCAAGGTGAGTGGATCACGTGAGGTCAAGAGTTCAAGACAAGCCTGGCCAACATGATGAAACCCCATCTCTACTAAAAACACAAAAATTAGCCAGGACTGTTGGCGCGCACCTGTAATCTCAGCTACTCGGGAAGCTGAAGCATGAGAATCACTTGAACCCAGGAGGTGAAGGTTGCAGTGAGCTGAGATGAGTGAGCCACTGCACTCCAGCCTGGGTGAAAGAGTGAGACTCCATCTCAAAAAATAAATAAATAAAATTAAAAAATAAAGAAATGTGTAGCTATGCATATATATCTCTCTACACCAGATTCTGCTGATGCAAAGCTACAGATGAACTCTTGTTTTTTACATACTATTGGTGATTTCTCTGTCTCTAATTGTAAAATAGAATCAATAGATTTATAGGGGAAATGACCCATAATTTAAAGAGAATCCAAACTGTATACATTAAAATGTTTGAAGACCAGTAACACTGAAGTTCATTCACTTCAAAGCTGAACACTCAAATGCATCCCTTCTCCCTTGGCTCCAGTGTGACAGCCTAAGGACTGTCTCCCTTCCCCAACACCCAAGGAACCCACCTTGACAATTAAATCATATGGCCTTCTAATGACTAAGGCCATGTGCTGCCAAGACTTTGCAACATTTTAACAAATGAAATTCACTGCCTGGGTTGTACCAAATTGTGCTGAATTGCCAGTTTCTGAAGTTTCAATTTAATTTGAATCTCCAGTTTCAACTTAATTTGAATCTCCCGGCTAAAATGATTTTGTTAGAATAAACAAGATAAACCGGGTGTGGTGGTTCACACCTGTAATCTCAGCACTTTGGGAGGTCAAGATGGGTGGATCACTTGAGGTCAGGAGTTTGAGGCCAGCCTGGCCAACATGGTGAAACCCCGTGTCTACTAAAAATACAGAAATTAGCCAGGCATGGTGGCACATGACTGTAGTCCCAGCTACTCTAGAAGCTGACGCACAAGAATCGCTTGAACCCAGGAGGCAAAGTTGCAGTGAACCGAGATCACGCCACTGCACTACAGCCTAGGTGACAGAAAGACTCCGTCTCCAAAAAAAAAAAAAAAAAAGAATAAACAAGATATGCTAATACAACCGTGTATAACCCTGTAAAACCCATTAGGATTCCTGGGAACGAAACAGTTGTTGTTTTAATACGTATATTTCTATTTAGCCAAATTAAAATATCTCAGAGCTTAAAGACAAGGCATGAATTAAATTAATAAAATCATAAATAGTTTCAATAACAAAATATTATTTTATTTTATTTCTGTTTTTTTCTCCACAGAGTAAGTTCAACAAAATATTATTTTATTTTATTTATTTATTTTTGAGATGGAGTTTCACTCTTATTGCCCAGGCTGAAGTCCAATGGCACGATCTCGGCTCACTGAAACCTCCACCTCCCGGGTTCAAGTGATTCTCCCATCTCAGCTGGGATTACAGTCACCTGCCATCATGCCCTGCCAATTTTTATTAGTGCAGACGGGGTTTCACTATGTTGGCCAGGCTGGTTTTGAACTCCTGACCTCAGGTGATTCACCCACCTCGGCCTCCCAGAGTGCTGGGATTACAGGCGTGAGCCACCGCACCTGGCCTCAACTAAATATTATTTTAAAGTGTCCAAAAAAAAAGTCAGAAATCCAGATTCTATACCTGCTTCAGTCAGTAATTGGCCATGTGACCTCCAGCAGATAACAATCCCTCAGGCTTTCAATTTCCACAATAGAAAACAAAGAGCATATAATTAAATGTACAGAATATTAGGGACAGGAAGACTGTAATAAAAATCTAGTGGTTCCCAACTTGGAGTTCTTGGGTCAGCCAAGTTAATGATGCTTTTTCAATGGATAACAATGAGCTATTTTCCCTACAGGGGTTTCTCCAGTGGCCCCCTTGCAAAAGGTACCAGGTTGCCGAGGGAAGAAAGGAATCTTAATATGAAAGCAAAAAAAATCACTCACAAACTAACCACTTACCAAAAAACAACCCCACCCCATTTCCAGATTCACACTAGATTCAGACTTTTTGGTTTCAGTGTCTTTGTTCTTTTTGGCAGTCACCTGATGCTTTCAGTCTTTCAACTACATAATGCAAATACAGCACAAAAATCAACTGCAAATTGAAATCAAGGATCCTGGGCAACAATGATAGGCCTACATAATTGGATTAAGGGAACCTTTGAATCCTGCCTATTTTGTGCTGCTCCCCCTACCTGCTAAGTAATCCTCCTCTGTGAATTTGCAGAGAAAGTTAAATGTGAGGAGAAGGTTTGTGGGAAAAATTACACCAAAATAAAACAAAACGACATTCTTGTTACTCTTGTTATAGTTCTATGTAGCCTTTAGGTACAGATATACCCTTAGCTGCAAGCCTAACCAAGTAAACTTATTTTCATAATTTTAAGCTTTCAAGGCAGTGACCCTTGTTTTGCATTAACTCACTTTAAGTGGCCCTTTTCTGGAACCAATTATCCTCACATAATCAGCACTGCCTATATTTTAAAATGCCTGATGGAAATAATAAATTTAACCACAGTCAATCTCCACAGGTGAACTAAAGTATCAAATTTCTTTGGCTTTGGCCAACAGTATATGCACCAGGTGTGGTACTCCAAGATATCTTACTCTGATCAGAGGTAATGATTAATATGTTTCATTAACTAAAATCTGAGAAAGGCTTTATTAGTCATTAGATGCAATTTGGTTAGCAAAATTTTTAAAATATAGGACCCATGGTGAGTGAATAATAAAAATGCTCTTTAATATGAATTGATTGGGATTTGACAAAATGCCCCAACCTTTAAATTTCAGAGAAGCAGAAACTGAGGCCAAATGAGGTTGCAACTTTTCAAAATCCCCATCCAACTCTGAATTTTTATTTGTCTAGTCAATCTATGCCACATTCCTAAGCCCTCCATACATTACAAGGTTTAATAAATCTCACTGGTGATGAATATATTCAACCTCAATTCCTAGTGGTTCAAGTAAAATCCATTTCCTCTGTAGGTAAATTCCATTCCATCGTACCTTAGGAAAGTCACTGATTCATTAAAACAATCCCATGGCTTCTGTTATAATGGGCTATGTTCAGGCTTGGTTACCTTAACTCAGTGATCTCTGCTAGTAAAACACACTTTTAAAAACATTTGCAACACATGCATTAAATTCCCTTCATAGAACATGTGGCTTTAAATAATGAGGAAAAAAAGAAAAGAGTTTGGCAAAAGCATTTTGTTTTCTGCCAAACCCAGTATGCTGGGTAAAATAGTTTATGAAATTTAACTAAGGCTAAAGCACTGGTTCCTGCTTTTCTCTCTGAATTATTTGTCCTCCTTGAAGACAAAGCCTTTCTTAATTTATATTTAGATTCTCAAGGATGCTTTCTGTAGTTTCTTTCCATTTTCCAGGAAGATGAAAAAGAATCTTAATTGAAACCTAAAAATAAGTAAAATATTCACTTAAATGATTTCATATTTATTATTGTTAAGGGTCTATTTGAAACTGCCAGATGATTAATATATTGTTTTTTTCTGAGTCATCTTAATATATCCACAGAAAACTAAATATTAAAATTAAAGAAAAAGAATCTCCTGAAATGTTGCTGTGACCTCAGCCACTTCGTGTTTTTCGTTGTTTTTTTGTTTTTGTTTGTTCATTTGTTTGTTTCAGACGGAGTTTCGCTCTTGTTGCCCAGGCCGGAGTGCAATGGCACAATCTCGGCTCATCGTAACCTCCGCCTCCCGGGTTCAAGAGATTCTCCTGCCTCAGCCTCCCAAGTAGCTGGAATTACAGGCATCCACCCCCAGGCCCGGCTAATTTTTTGTATTTTTAGTAGAGACGGGGTTTCATCATGTTGGCCAGGCTGGTCGCAAACTCCTGACCTCAGGTGATCCACCCGCCTCAGCCTCCCAGAGTGCTGGGATTTACAGGCGTGAGCCACTATGCGTGGCCGAACTCAGTCACTTGGATTAGACACAACTCTTGAATTCTATCTGACCCCGAAGGCCTTGGATGGATGGGAAAGACTGGCTCCTCCCCAACAAATAAGCTACCTACCGTCTTATAATGAAAGCAAACCTCCAGCCCAATTTTGCCATACAAACAGACATTTATTTAACAAGCACTTACTAACAAGCAGGCTGAAAAACAGTTCTTACGACCTGTTCTGTGAAACTTGACAACATGCCAGCTCTGTTTTTTGTTTTTTTTTTGAGATGGAGTCTTGCTCTGTCGCCCAGGCTGGAGTGCAGTGGCGCAATCTCCGCTCACTGCAAGCTCGGCCTCCTGGGTTCACGCTATTCTCCTGCCTCAGCTCTCTGTTTTTGGGTATTCTGCATGAAAGTTTACTGGACATAGATAAAACAATAATCTACAGGCAAGATTTTGTGCTCCCCAGTTTGTCTTGGACAGTCAGTAATCCTCAGAATCAAAGAATAGACACAGAATTGTCTAGGGGTCCAGTCTTAGGTTGCTTCCATACTGCACAGGTTTTAGGCCTTACTGGATTCATGTAAGGGTAGAAAATGTATCCAAAATACTTTAGCAATCCATGAATACATTTAAAGTCACCAATGACTTTACATTTTCTAACATTCATTATGTCTATAAATAAACCATGAATTTCCCCCAGATAAAAACCACTTCTGACATTTCATATGCTAATTAGTCAAGTCTCAGGTATTGAGATGCAGATAGCTGAAGCATTTGTATTAGTTAACTCCAAAAAGTGGCATTTTCTGATCAATTGCTTGTTGACCATCTCTGGAATCTCCACAAAAGCCACTGACTGCCCCTTGTTTTGAAGCTGAAACTAACAGTAATGAACACATTCATGATATTATACTGTCTATGCTGGAGCATTTAAAAATAGATTACAAACATCATAACCAAGGCTGCTTTATTATTTGCCATTTTGAGATAGCATTATAGCAGTTACCAGTGAAATAACAAAAGGAAATTCTGTTTAG
The DNA here is from genome assembly GCF_000001405.40 of Homo sapiens. Classification (NCBI taxonomy): domain Eukaryota; kingdom Metazoa; phylum Chordata; class Mammalia; order Primates; family Hominidae; genus Homo; species Homo sapiens. The sequence continues at coordinate 153,094,112 of NC_000003.12, forward strand.
AATCCTTTTTGATTGCATTTACATTTATTGCATGTTTTCTTAGTTTGGAGAGTTAACTTTTATTTCTCAATATATGTCATTTTATCATCAACCTTTATCAGTATGAATTGGTAAATAAATGGTAGAAGACTTAAGTAGTTAATAGGCTGCTATGTTGAACTTGAAGTTAATTATATTTTCCTTTAATTTTTGCTGATTTAAAGCACTCACAGATAGAGATGGTCCTTTAAACAAGACGGTCTTTAAAGGAAAAAGAATGTTACTGTGCTTTACTTTCCCTTTTTAATGCTAGTTGCTAAGCATTAGAATTGTGAAAACTATTTTTAAATGTAAAAGCACTTTCATTATCTTCCTCTTTTAAATTCATATGTACACAGAGGCATCTACTGAAACAGTGAACAGGATTTGACACTGAGTCAGGAGAAATAATCATTATGGCCAATCTTCTAAAGACGTGTATTTCAAACTGGCATTCCAGAAAAACTAGGAGAGCCAGATAGGAATGATTTAAATGCTATTGTTGGCCAGCAGTTATTCACTCCTGTAATCCCAGCACTTTAGGAGGCTGAGGCAAGAGGATGACTTGAGACTAGGAGTTCAAGACCAGCCTGGGCACCACAATGAGACCCTGTCTTTACAAAAAATAAAAATATTAGCCAGGTGTGGTGGCACATGCCTGTAGTCCCAGCTGCTTGGGAGGATTTCTTGAGGCCAAGATTTCAAGTTTACAGTGAGCTATGATTGTGCCACTGTACTTCAACCTGGGCAACAGAGTGATCTCTAAATAAATCTCTAAATAAATAAACAAATAATAAATGTTATTGTCCATTAAGTCTACAGCGTTAGGGGAAGTAAACTGACATTTGCAAAGTCATTATGTGTCAAGCACTGTTTGAAGTACTTTATATGCACTTTTTAATAAATACATTCACAATAATCCTATTAGGGATGGAAAGAGTTTGTAATTGTTAGAAGAACAAGTCATGAAGAAAGACCTCAGTTCCAGTCTTAGCCCTACCATGCTATCTCTGAGATCATTGCCAAATTATTTTATTTCTCTCAGCCACAGTTTCATCATCGGTAAATAATACTATTTATCTCATGGGGCTGGAGTGTGTATATATATGTGTGTGTTAATGGCTGGCTAAAAGAAAAACTTTTTTTGTACCTACAACACTTCTGACACCAAGTGTGTGGGCTTTTCCACATCAAGCAATTCTCCAGTTCTCCGTAACACCAACTAGGTGTCCCACAATTTAACCTGGATTCCCACAGGATTGCCCACCACTTCAGGTGCTACTTGTGAGTAGTGATTCTCCAGGTTACACACAGTTCTGCCTGATTTGGCTACAAATTAGAGTTACCACAACCCCCTCCTCAAGTGCAATAATTTCTCATAACAACTCACAGAACTCAAACACTTTACTTACTATTACCAGTTTATTATGAAAGATACAACTCCAGAACAGCCAAATGGGAGAAAGGCATAGGACAAGGTATGCAGGGAGGGGCACGGCACTTCCATGCCTTTTCTGGGTGTGCCACCTTCCCAGCACCTCCCTGTGTTCACCCCCTGGGAAACTCTTGGAACCTTATTATATGGGGTTTTGATGAAGGTTTCATTGTGTAGGCAGAATTGATTAAGTCATTGGTTATTGGTGATAGAGGCTGGCTCTATCCCCAGCCTCTCTCCTCTCCAGAGATCTGGGGATGGGCCTAAATGTCCTGTTTTTTGTTTTGTTTTTGTTTTTTGTTTTTTGGTTTTTTTTAGATGGATTGTCTTTCTGTCACCCAGGCAAGAGTGCAGTGTGATATGATCTCAGCTCACTGCAACCTCCATCTCCTGGGTTTAAGCGATTCTCCTGCCTCAGCCTTCCTAGTAGCTGGGACTACAGGTGCACGCCACCATGCCCGGCTAACTTTTGTATTTTTAGTAGAGACGGGGTTTCACCATATTGGACAGGCTGGTCTCGAACTCCTGACCTCAGGTGATCTGCCTGCCTCAGCCTACCACAGTGCTGGGATTACAGGCATTAGCCATCGCGCCCCGCTAGCCTGATAATTTTAATCCTCCAATCATGTTGTTGGTCCCTCTGGCAACCAGCCTCCATCCGCCAAGAGTCACTACATTAGCATAAACTCAGGTATGGTTGAAAGAGGCTTATTATGAATAACCAAAAAGCTCCTCTTACCCTAACCATTCTGGAAACTCCAAGGGTTTTAGAAGCTACTGTTCCAGAAACTGAGGCAGAGAACAAATATATATTTCTTCTTATGCCACACTGGCATATAGTCATCACTAAAAAATAGTGTTTGTTTTCTTATTGTTAATGAATTACTATTTTTAATAAAGAAATATGTTAAAAAAGGAATTGTGTCCCCCGAAATTCATATTGAAGCCCCATAACCCCTGTACCTCAGAATGTGACTGCATTTGGACACAAGGCTTTTAAATAGGTGATGAAGTTAAAATGAGGCTGTTAGGGTGGGCCCTAATCCAATCTGACTGGAGTCCTTTTAAGAAGAGGAAATTTGGACACAGATGAAGCCGCCTTTGCAAAAATAATAACAGTGAGACAATTAGACAGTGAAAGGGAGCTTACCTAACTACTCCATCTTGCTTCTAACCTGCAAGCTCCCCTTGTTATTCCTGGGCGTAGGCCAAACTAACTTTGGGAGGAACTTAGTTTATAGTTTAACTTGAAACAAAAGATAATAACAGCCCTTTCCCGAACCAAACCCCCTTCTTGCCGGAGACCAGATTGCCTTTTGTTAAACTAACAAATTAGTCATAAGATTAGAAATTATGGCTCAGGAATCATTCAGCCAGAGGCCACAAGATTACTAACCTATCGAATTGCTCGTATAGGTCACATTAGTATTATAAAATCTAAGAATGGTGTTTGAGGTATTTTTTACACCTTGCACTGGGTGGATCAGCTGGCGCCACCCAGATAGAAAAACTAGCTCATCTGGTCTTGTGGCCTCCACACAGGAACCCACTCAGTGCTAGACGACAGCTTCAACTCCCCATAATTTCATCTCTGACCTGACCCCACTCCTTGGCCCCCTTCCCACCAAATTATCCTTAAAAAAACCCAGTCCTGAATTTTCAGGGAGGCTGATTTGAGTAATAATAAAACTCCAGTCTCCTGTTCAATGGGCTCTGCATGAGTTAAACTCTTTCTCTATTGTAATTCCCCTGCCTTAATAAATAGGCTCCATCTGGGCACCAGGAAAAATGAATGCCTTGGGTGGTTATGCAGAGAGACAGACAGAGGAAAGACCAGGTGACCTCAGGAGAAACCAAACCTGCCAACACCTTGATCTTGGACTTTCAGCCTCCAGACTGTGAGAAAATAAATATCTGTTGTTTAAGCCACCTAGTCTGTGCTATTTGTTATGGCAGCCTTAGCCAACAAATACAAAATATAAACATAATTTTCTATGTATTGGTACTGCCATCAATTTAATTAAATACTTTTAAAAGAAAATATTTCATTCTCAAACAATGCCAATGTAGAAGTTAATGTGAATTATCCTGAAAAAAATAATAATATTTTCCAAGTGGTGGCACAACAAATGGGATACATTTTAAGGATCCCTTGTAAAGTTTATATATACAGAAAAGGGACAAGTGAAATTTAGTATTGGTAGCATTTATTTATTTATCATGTATGTATTTATCAGGAATCCATTGTGCCTTCTGTGCTGTGCTCAGGTGACAGATTAATTTAACACTATTCCTCCCCTTAAAGAGCTCACAAACAATAAATCATGCACTTTTATAAAAACATTCCAAACTGCTCAAAGAGGTGGTGAGTTTTGAGTTTTCTTATTTCCCAGAGGGATAGGGGAAGGAACCTGAGGAATCTGCAGAGGCTGTTCTATGAAGACATTGATCTTATGGCCTAGTTGGGTTCACAAAGGGCCATAGAATTCTACTATTACTAATTGTAGCATTAGAAATAAAATAGGAAAACATACCCTTATAAAGAGCTATAGAATCTTTGGTGCTTCTATTGCCTCTATCTCTGAATTATTTTTAAAATACATCCATTTCGCTCCATGTCTGCTCTTACCACGCTGTCTAAGCCCCTATTATTGTCTCCCTCTTAGATGGCAGTAGCGGTTGGCTTGGCTTCCAACCTTGACCCTCTATAACTCATCCTTCACAGAGCAGCTGGGGTGATATTTTTTTTTTTAAGACAGAGTTTTGCTCTTGTTGCCCAGGCTGGAGTGCAATGGCGTGATCTCAGCTCACTGCAACCTCTGCCTCCCAGGTTCAAGCCATTCTCCTGCCTCAGCCTCCAGAGTAGCTGGGATTACAGGCACCTGCCACCATGCCCAGCTAATTTTTTGTATTTTTAGTAGAGACGGGGTTTCACCATGTTGGCCAGGCTGTTTCTTGAGCTCCTGACAGGTGATGCGCCCACCTCAGCCTCCGCCTCCCAGAGTTCTGGGATTACAGGCGTGAGCCACCGTGCCCGGCCAGGGTGATCTTTTTAAGTACTAAATTTGATCATGTCACTCCTATGTTTGAAACATTTCAAAGATTTCCTGTTTTAATTAGAAAAGAATTCAAGGTCCTTTACTTTTTGCCTGTAAGGTCCTGTGTGAACTTGCTTCTGCCTATCCCTCTGACCTCATTTCCAATCACTCTCTTCATTTCATGCCCACTTCTTTCTATTTGGTAAGCATGCCTAGCTTCTCTTCATTCTAAGGATTTTGTGTTAGATGTTCTCTCTCTGTTTGGAATGCGCTTATCCCAGATGCTTACATGCCTGCCATCTTGTTTGCATTTGAGCTTACATATAATTTCCTTAGAGAGAACACTTCCGGTGATCAATCTAAGGTTGCCCAGGAGGTACTGTGTATCAGATTATTTTACTTGTATCATAGCACTGCTCATTGACTGATATTTGCTTATTTGTTTCCTGTCTTCCCACTCCCAGCCCCCTCTAGAATGTAAGCTCTCTAAGAGTCATGTCATTGCCTGTCTTGTTCACTTCTATTATATATCTCAGTATCCCAAGTGTCTGTCCCACAGTGGGCACTCAATAACGATATTTTAATTAGTGTGTGTATATAGAGTACAGCTCAGGTAGAGTTACAAAGGCATGGCAATGATTGAAAAATATCAGTACCATCTACTCTGGAAAGGTAAACGCTGAAGTAGGATATAAAGTCTTCGTGTATTTAAAGTGATCTTAGTGTGAGTGTGGACTCTGAACTCTGTTCACACAATTGCAGTGTACTAGGATTCAGAGAAGCACTTCTTAGAAGTGGTAGTTTTAAGACAAATAAAAATGACTAATAAAAAATGCTTTTATTCAAAAAGCAATCTGAGGTCGGGCGCGGTGGCTCACACCTGTATTCCCAGCACTCTGGGAGGCCGAGGCGGGCGGATCACCTCAGGTCAGGAGTTCAAGACTAGCCTTGCCAACACGGTGAAACCCCATCTCTACTAAAAATACAAAAATTAGCCGGGTGTGATGGCGGGTGCCTGTATTCCCAGCTACTCGGGAGGCTGAGGCAAGAAAATGGCTTGAACCTGGGAGGAGGAGGTTGCAGTGAGCGGAGATCCCACCGTTGCACTCCAGCCTGGGCAACAAGACCAAGACTTTGTCTCAAAAAAAAAAAAAAAAAGCAACTTGAGCACATAGATTCAAAGTGATTAGTTTCTTTCTTTCTTTCTTTCTTTCCTTCTTTCCTTCTTTCTTTCTTTCTTTCTTAGACAGAGTTTCACTCTTGTTGCCTAGGCTGGAGTGCAATGGTGCGGTCTCGGCTCACTGCAACCTCCACCTCCCGGATTCAAGTGATTATCCTGCCTCAAACTCCCTAGTAGCTGGGACTACAGGCGTGCACCACCACGCCTAATTTTGTATTTTTAGTAGAGATGGGGTTTCTTCACATTGGTCAGGCTGGTCTCGAACTCCCAACCTCAGGTGATCTGCCTGCCTCGGCCTCCCAAAGTGCTGGGATTACAGGCGTGAGCCACCCACCGTGCCTGGCCTCAAAGTGATTAGTTTCTTGGAGATGTAGCCCTTGCAACAGCCTGCACTGAGGTTGAAAGTAAACATTGGAATGATTTAAGTGCTGAATTCTGTTTTGCAAATAAATGCTTCATGTGTACAGACAAGAAAGGTAGGTAAACTCCAATCCTGAATTCAATTTTTAGAAAAGTTAACCTGAAGAGCCCCTTTTGTCCTTAGGCACTGGTTGCAGTTGAAGTATATAAGGTTTCACTTCACACATAAAACCTACTGGCTTGATCGTTTTCTGAGTTAATCTGAATTGGATTAAAATGAAATGTTTATAAAACCTTTTGCATTTCAGGCATTTAATTAGTTTGCCATGCCATGGGAGAATATGACACAGAACAAAATATTCAAAATACATATTAGCAATTAATTGAAGCATATTAATTGGCAAGTTGATTTTTATTCTTTTATATTTTTAGAGGTTAAAACTTTGACAATGAACATTGATGTCAGTATTGCACAAATGAGTGATCACCTAGATTCGAAGATTTGCAAAGAAAATCAATTCATTTTAGTAATCTACAAATTTTACCTCTTTTGCTGATAAAAACCATATCAATATATCTAAATAAAATGTATAGTCATTAAAGGTCATTTAAAATTTTTTCTACATTAGTGTAAAACATGCTGTTTTAATTTAGCATATATGTGCTAGTCACCCTGAATCATCCTCTTTTATTAAATAATTTTATTTTTTTTTTGAAACAGTCTTGCTCTGTCGCCCAGGCTGGAGTGCAGTGGCGCGATCTCAGCTCACTGCAAGCTCCGCCTCCCGGGTTCATATCAGTCTCCCGAGTAGCTGAGACTACAGGCGCATGCCACCATGCCTGGCTAAGTTTTTGTATTTTTAGTAGAGACGGGGTTTCACCGTGTTAGCCAGGATGGTCTTGATCTCCTGACCTTGTGATCCACCCGCTTTGGCCTCCCAAAGTGCTGGGATTACAGGCGTGAGCCACCGCGCCCGGCCTAACTGAATAATTTTTAAATTTAGTGTCTTCCTGTACATTTTTGTTGATTTGACAAATATTTTCTTAGAACATACTTTAAACATGACATTAACTCATTTATTAATTCATTCACAACCCAATGAGACTTTTCTTTGTTCTAGACATACTTCTAGATACTAGAGATAGATGAATAGAATATGGCTGACTTTACATACAATCTTGAAAGGAAATTTTTCCCCATTCATTAGCTGTTTTCTGATTTCTTCAATGGAAAATTAAGTGGTTTATTTTTAGAATGATTTCCATGTTTGGCCGGGCGCGGTGGCTCACGACTGTAATCCCAGCACTTTGGGAGGCTGAGGCGGGAGGATCACGAGGTCAGGAGATCGAGACCATCCTGGCTAACACGGTGAAACCCCGTCTGTACTAAAAATACAAAAAATTAGCCGGGAGAGGTGGCGGGCGCCTGTAGTCTCAGCTGCGCCGGAGGCTGAGGCAGGAGAATGGCTTGAACCCCGGGGGGCGGAGCCTGCAGTGAGCCGAGATCACGCCACTGCACTCTAGCCTGGGCAACAGCGAGACTCCATCTCAAAAAAAAAAAAAAAAAAAGAATGATTTGCCATGTTTAAATTTTGTTTTTGTTAAGATATTTGATTTTTTTCTCACTGTCATAGACATTTAAAAAGGGATATTCTAATATTATTAATGCTGCTATTTATATATTGGTGCACCAAAATTCAGTTTTGTTTTCCAGGCTAAGAATAGTCCTTTTCTGTGGATGACTAAAAGCAATCCAAATTTATCAAGAAATTCTGTTCAGATAGCTTATTTGTAGGTTAGCTGTCTAAATCAGGACAAATTTCCATGTGGATGCTGTATTGCAAGCATTGGTTTGGCTTTTAAGCTACTTTTAAAGCCTATGTAACCTATCCTATAATTCAAATACGTAACAGCACAGCCTTAAATCTTAGCTCCTAGAAGTGAGAAGTCATTTGGAGAAGAACAAGGAAGAATCGAAGCATTTCCCATCTTTCCTAGTCATAGGGACTTCGTTAGATGTTATTTGGAAATAAAAAAGAATTTTTAGAACAAGATATCTCAAACTTTAGTGAGCATAAAAATAACTTGAGGTTTTTGTTAAAATGCAGCCGATTTTGGTTCAGTAGGCCCAGAGTGAAGCCTGAGAGTCTGCGTTTCTAACGAGCATCCAGGTGACGCCATGTTGCTGGCCCTCAGACAACACTCTGAGTGTTAAGATCTTAAATTACCTTAACTAGCCTTAAGACATTCATGCTTACTGTCCCTCTGCCCAGGCCCCCATTTGTTGATTGTTTTCTAAATTTACTGTGACAAGGCAGGGTGCAATGGCTCATACCTGTAATCCCACCAGCAGTTTGAGAGGCTGAAGTGGGAGGATTGCTTGAGCCCAGGAGTTCAAGACCAGCCTGGGCAACACGATAAGACCTACTCTCTACAAAAAAAAACAAAAACAAAAACAAAAAACATTAGTTGGGTATGGTGGCACATACCTGTGGTCCCAGCTACTCAGGAGGCTGAGGCAGGAGGATCACTTGAACACAGAGGTTCAAGGCTGAGCCATGTTCATGCCACTGCACTCCAGCCTGAGCAACAGAGCAAGACACTGTCTCACAAAATATACAAATAGATAAATTTACTATGACAACTTGCCACACCCTCCTTAAAATGTTTCCTACTCCCAAACTAAGAACAACATCCCCCATCTCCACAAATAAAGCCAATTTTGGCTAGTGTTTATGAGAAAAACTACCAAATTTAAACTGCTTCCTCTTGGTGTGACTAGGGTAACATTAACTTTAAAAATGTAGTTTGCTTTTTTTTTTTTTTTTTGAGACGGAGTCTTGCCCTGTCACCCAGGCTGGAGTGCAGTGGCGTGATCTCCACTCACTGCAACCTCCGCCTCCCAGGTTCAAGCGATTCTCCTGCCCCAGCCTCCCAAGTAGCTGGGATTACAGGCATGCCTCCACGCCCGGCTAATTTTTACATTTTTAGAAGAGATGGGGTTTCACCATGTTGGTCAGGCTGGTCTTGAACTTCTGACCTCGTGATCCACCCACCTCGGCCTCCCAAAGTGCTGGGATTACAGGCGTGAGCCACCGTGCCCAGCCTTTTTTTTTTTTTTTTTAAAGAAAATGCTTTGGCTAAATGGCATCTTCAGCTGTGGGAATTGGGGAATGTTATGTGAAGATAAAAAACAAAACACTCCCAGAGGGTGTTGAGGAAGGGATGTTTTTGATCCAAGGCCTGCCATGAAGCCCTGCTTGGAGGTGTGCCTCAGGACTCAATGCCCCAAAGTTATTCCTTCATCTTACAGAGACTTTCCTTTCTCTTCTCTTGGATTGACAAGGCCTTTGAGATAACATATTAACTACTTACACATTAGTAAATTCTATTTGAAACGACTAATGTTTATCTAGTACCTACTTTGTACAAGGCATGTGATAAATTCTTAGATGTGTATAAATAAGCTCTTGGGAAGTTTATGGTTCAATGGGGCTGTACTTTTACGTAATTATTTCCTTAGAGGAAACTGAATTCTGCACATGTCCTAGTTAATTCTGTTATTGCCTAATATACTTACACAAAGCTACCTGTGAACTTGGGAAAGTCAACATCTTTGAGAGCTTTTGTTTTCAAACCTCTAGAGCCTTGCAGCTTGAGTACTAGGTTTAAAGAATGTAACTTCAATGTGATATTCTTTGCATATCCCCCTTACCCAGTCTAGTCTTCATGAACCTAATCTACATTGCTACTACTCCTGCTTTTTTGTTAGATTTATTCATTCTTTTTTTTTTTTTTTTTTGAGACAGTTTCACTCTTGTTGCCCGGGCTGGAGTGCAACGGTGCTATCTCCAGCTCACCGCAACCTCTGCCTCCTGGGTTCAAGTGATTCTCCTGCCTCAGCCTCCTGAGTAGCTGGGATTATAGGCATGTGCCACCATACCCGGCTAATTTTTTATGTTTTATTTTTTTTGAAACGGAGTCTTGCTCTGTCGCCCAGGCTGGAGTGCAGTGGCGCAATCTTGGCTCACTGCAAGCTCTGCCTCCCAGGTTCATGCCATTCTCCTGCCTCAGCCTCCCGAGTAGCTGGGACTACAGGCGCCCGCCACTGCGCCCAGCTAATTTTTTGTATTTTTAGTAGAAAAGAGGTTTCACCGTGGTCTCCATCTCCTGACCTCGTGATCCGCCCGCCTCAGCCTCCCAAAGTGCTGGGATTATAGGTGAGAGCCACCGCGCCCAGCCTAATTTTGTATTTTTAGTAGAGATGGGGTTTCTCCATGTTGGTCAGGCCGGTCTCGAACTCCCAACCTCAGGTGATCTGCCCGCCTCGGCCTCCCAAAGTGCTGGGATTACAGGCGTGAGCCAACGTGCCCAGCAGATGTATTCATTCTTCTTTTTTTTTTTTTTTTTTTTTTTAGACCTAGTTTCACTCTGGTTGCCCAGGCTGGAGTGCAATGGCGCGATCTCAGCTCACCGCAACCGCCGTCTCCCAGGTTCAAGCAATTCTCCTGCCTCAGCCTCCCGAGTAGCTGGGATTACAGGCATGCACCACCACGCCCAGCTAATTTTTTATTTTTAGTAGAGACAGGGTTTCTCCATGTTGAGGCTGGTCTCGAACTCCTGACCTCAGATGATCTGCCCGCCTCGGCCTCCCAAAGTGCTGGGATTACAGGCGTGAGCCACCACGCCTGGCCCTATTCATTCTTAACAAAGTAAGCTCTTATATTGTCCTGTATCAGTCCTGTGTCAATATCTGTTAGTTCAACTCCTTTGAAATCTCAAATTCGAATTTATTAAATTGGGTCAAAAATTGATGCCCTAATGTAGTCTACAGATGTTTTTTTTCTGTGTTTGACCATTACAGCATTAACTTATGAAGAATAAGAATGAGAATTAAGGGGAGGTTGGGAGAGGAGCAGAAGGTGGAGGAGAAAAGAATTAGAAGAAAAGAAAGTTAGAATAGATTTAGGCATTGTCAAGTTTACCACATACCACAGGCCCCACTATTGTCCTAAGTGTGGACTCTCTACCTATTACTGGCTACCTCAAGGCATTTGAATTACCCATTCTCTGTACTTACTATACTCTGTAATAGAAGGGGATAAACCATAAACTAATTTGTTCCCTCATTTCGTTGGTACTTTTTTTTTTTTTAAATGGAGTCTCCCTCCATTGCCCAGGTTTGAGTACAGTGGTGCAATCTCAGCTCACTCAAACCTTGCCTCCTGGGTTCAAGCGATTCTCCTGCCTCAGCCTCCAGAGTAACTGGGATTGCAGGTGCCTGCCACCACGCCCAGGTAATTTTTGTATTTTTAGTAGAGACAGGGTTTTGCCATGTTGGCTAGGCTGGTCTCTAACTCCTGACCTCAGGTTATCTGCCCACCTCGGCCTCCCAAAGTGCTAGGATTACAGGCATGAGCCACCGCACCCGGACATTCCCTGGTACTTTTTAAATTCTGACCCTGTCTCACTCCAGTATCATTATATATGTCATGTCTATGAGAAAAGACATATATAGTGTCATATCTTTCCAGCAACATCCTCAGACTAACATCTGGAATAATTTGACCACATATCTGGGTGCTATGGCCCAGCCAAGTTGACACATAAAATTAACCACAACAGGAATAGTTATCAAAAGCAATCGTGTTCTATTTCAAAATACTATGGAAAGTTGCCTTCATGCATAAAAATTATCTTAATGTTCCCCAGGACTGATCTGACTACAATGGCTTGATCATGTTTTTCAATGTGACTTTTTAACCTAGATCCTATTCTCTGTGGCCACATAACCAGGAATTATGAAGCTTTACGAGTGTGTGTAGGGTAGGGTGTGAGGTGGAGATGGAAGAAGAGGGGCAATGTAGTCTTTTTGGCGACATTAATAGATATTTATTTCATTATAAAGGATTTTATTCCAGTACCTTTAGAAGTCTTCACTCTAAAATTACTAAACACACTTAAAAATTGTCTAAACTCACATTTTATGTGATAAAACTACAAAACACAATCCTTTAATAGAAGCACTCATTTTCATTTTGCATAAATATTTCTGTATTGAATAACTTTTAACAATTTCAAATTTCTTTCATGTATGTGTAGAAGTTCATGAGACATTTGTGTGCGGAGTGGTCCCTTTGTTGTTCTGTATTCATTTTATTTGTGATTTTGCCACTTAGAAATTGTTTAATCTTTAAACTTGCACGAAATGAGAGAAATGGGCCTGCTGCGGTGGCTCACGCCTGTAATCCCCACACTTTGGGAAGCCGAGGTGGGCGGATCACCTGAGGTTAGGAGTTTGAGACCAGCCTGGTCAACATGGTGAAACCCCGTCTCTACTAAATATACAAAATTAGCCGGGCATGGTGGCAAATGCCTGTAATCCCAGCTACTCGGGAGGTTGAGGCAGGAGAATCGCTTGAACCCGGGAGATGGAGGTTGCAGTGAACCGAGATCGTGTCACTGCACTCCAGCCTGGGCGACAAGAGCGAAACTCCATCTCAAGGAAAAAAAAAAGTTCGCTTTTTTTGTGGTGGTGGTTTTATACAGGATTCCTGAGCTCCAACAATTTTCCTTTGTAGCATTATTGATACAGTTTTGCTCATACAAATTAATGTTCTTGCTTTGACTAATTCATTTGTGGAAACATCAAGTTCACACCCTTTGGAAGGAGGGAATACAGGATAGTGGAAGTAAGGGAGATGGCTTTAAGAAAATAGTACAGCACACAAATACCTAAGCATTGGTATGTTAAGTCTTTTTTTTTTTTTTTTTTTTTTGAGACCGAGTCTCGCTGTGTCGCCCAGGCTGGAGTGCAGTGGCGCGATTTCGGCTCACTGCAAGCTCCGCCCCCCGGGTTCACGCCATTCTCCTGCCTCAGCCTCCCGAGTAGCTGGGACTACAGGCGCCCGCCACCACGCCCGGCTATTTTTTTTGTATTTTTAGTAGAGATGGGGTTTCACGTGTTAGCCAGGACGGTCTAGATCTCCTGACCTCGTGATCTGCCCACCTCGGCCTCCCAAAGTGCTGGGATTACAGCCGTGAGCTACTGCACCCGGCCTGGTATGTTAAGTCTTACTAAAAAGTGCACTGCCACCGGGCACGGTGGCTCACGCCTGTAATCCCAGCACTCTGGGAGGCCGAGGCGGGTGGACGACCTGAGGTCAGGAGTTCGAGACCAGCCTGACCGATATGGTGAAAGCCCGTCTCTACTAAAAATACAAAAATTAGCCGGGCGTGGTGGCAGGCGCCTGTAGTCCCAGCTACTGGGGAGGCTGAGACAGGAGAATTGCTTGAACCCGGGAGGCGGAGGTTGCAGTGAGCCGAAATCGTGCCACTGCACTCCAGCCTGGGCGACAGAGCAAGACTCCGTCTCAAAAAAAAAAAAAAAAAAAAAAGTGCACTATCTGGGAGTAACCTTGTCTTTCTGCCACTGCCCAACACCAACACCACGACCCTCCAATTCTGCTGTTACACTTTGATGATTTGTAGAAATCACTGCTGATATGCATAGAATGTGTGTGTTCTACGGAAGTTTTCTAACAAATGGTACCATAAAAAACTTTTACATATTCAATTCCAGGTAGAAAAATTTGGCTCCTTCTAACACTTCTCTATTAATTTCACATTGAACAGTAATGGCTTATTCACATTCCTGCTTCCCTACTAGGCTGTAAATGTCTTGAGGGCAGGGGCCTGACCTTATTTATCTTTGTAGATGGAGCAACCTAGCACAAAAGGTAGGTGTCAAGGAAAGCAGATGAGTGAAGCATCAAATAAGACTCTAGTATAAGTAATTATTGCAAAACAGCTGTTCTAACTTTTAAGGCAATTTATTCACTGTGCTTAATATCTTATCCTGACACCACTTCGCCTCTCAACTCTATTTATTCTAATTGGAATAAAATTTTAAAACTTCAAGCCAAGCGAGGCAGCTCATACCTGTAATCCCAGCACTTTGAGAGGCTGATGCGGGCGGATCGCCTGAGATCAGGAATTTGAGACCAGCTTGGCCAACATGGTGAAACCCTGTCTCTACTAAAAATATAAAAATTAGCCAGGCGTGGTGGTGAGCTCCTGTAATCCCAGCTACTCTGGAGGCTGAGGCAGGAGAATCTCTTGAACCCAGGAGGCGGAGGTTGCAGTGAACCGAGATCGGCCATTGCACTCCAGCCTGGGCAACAGAGTGAGACTCCGTCTGGAAAAAAAAAAAATTTGAAACTTCAAATAGCAATTTGAAATAAAGTCACTGGCAAATTCACAGCATTTATATAGTACACACCATAAACTACAAATCAGAGAGCACAGTGAACACAGTAATTAATTAAACCTGATAAGTAGGGAAGTAGAAATTATAGCCGTTTAAAAAATAGTAGTAATTACCTTGCATCTTCAAAGCATCCTTTCTTCCCCATGTCCTATGATGTCAATTTATATCAAGTAAATTACATAAAAGTATTCTTCCCATATTAAAGATGGATAGAAAAAGTTTTCCTTATTTCTGATAGGCCAAATGTGGTCTCGCTCCTGTGTAAACATAGAAATGAAAATACTAATATACTAATGTAGCTACAATGTTATGTTTAAAAGTAAAATGTTAACACATTCGTTATATTATGTCTATATATAATATATATTATAAGACAATATACATATTATAAGGAATGTGTTAACATTTTACTTTTAAACAAAATATATAAAATTAGCAAATATATAAATAACATAATATGAATAACAATATATAATATATATTAAATAACATATTATATATATAAATAACAAAAAATATATATATTTATAGAGAGAGAGACAAAGTCTTGCTACGTTGCCCAAGCTGATCTCAAACTCCTGGCTTCAAGCAATCCTCTTGCCTCGGCCTCCCAAAGTGCTGGGATTACAGGTGTAAGACAACACATATAAGGTTTTGAAGCTCTTTTTTCTCAATTAAAGCTCTTTTTTCTCAATTTGACTATTAATTCCACATTGAACAGTAATGGCTTATTACTTTTAGTAATGGCTTATCACTTTTTAGTTCCACACTACTTTATAGATTTTTGTAGAGTGAATGCTTTGGTTTTGCCTGCTCAGCTTCCTCACTAATTTCAAGAAAAGAGAAATAAAACCCTTTGTCTACACATTACCAAAAATTAAAAACTAATTAATAAAGCTATTATTTTTGTAGTTCTTTTTTTTTTTTTTTTTTGACACGGAGTCTCGCTCTGTCGCCCAGGCTGGAGTGCAGTGGCGTGATCTCCGCTCACTGCAAGCTGCGCCTCCCGGGTTCACGCCATTCTCCTGCCTCAGCCTCCACAGTAGCTGGGACTACAGGCGCCCGCCACAACGCCGGGCTAATTTTTTGTATTTTTTAGTAGAGACAGGGTTTCACCATGTTAGCCAGGATGGTCTCGATCTCCTGACCTCGTGATCCGCCCGCCTAGGCTCCCAAAGTGCTGGGATTGCAGGTGTGAGCCACCGCACCCGGCCCTGTAGTTCTTTAACAGAATTTTCCCATGTCAAAAAATACTTTTCTGCAACAATAACCCTTCCCTTCTATAACATTAGATATTCTTTCATGATCAAATTTTTTCATGATCAATTATAATTTATATTTTATAAATAAAGTCCATGTTGATGACAAAGTCATGCTCTGTATAAATATTTGGGATTATATCATCAGGAAATGAAAAGTATTTTTATGTTTCTCTAGCTGTAATACAAAACAGTGGTAACATTTGGAAAATAATCTAGTTCTTAACAGATGTAGTGTAAGTTAAATGAGTGTATATTACATATAGAGTTGACTCTTGATCCACATAGGTTTGAACTGCATAGGTCCACTTATATGTGGATTTTCTTTTGCCTCTGCCATCCTGAGACAGCAAGACCAAGCCCTCCTTGTCCTTCTCCTCAGTCTGCTCAATGCGAAGATGAGGATGAAGACCTTTATGACTATCCACTTCCACTTAATACATAGTAAACATATTTTCTCATCTTTATGATTCCTTTCTTCCTTCCTTCCTTCCTTTTTCTTTTTTTCAGAAAGAGCCTCACTCTCTCACCCAGGCTACAGTGCAGTTGTGTGACCATGGCTCACCACAGCCTTGACCTTCGGGGCTCATGTGATCCTCCCACCTCAGCCTTTTGAGTAGCTGGGACTACAGGCAAGCATCACCATGCTCAACTAATTTTTGTATTTTTTGTAGATACAGGGTTTGGCCATGTTGCCCAGGCTGATCTTGAACTCCTGGGCTCAAGTGGTTCACCTGCTTCAGCCTCCCAAAGTGCTAGGATTACAGGTGTGAGCCACCACACCCAGCTTCTTTATACTTTTTCTTTTCTTTTCTTTCTTTCTTTCTTTCTTTTTTTTTTTTTTTTTTGAGACCGAGTCTTGCTCTTTCACCCAGGCTGGAGTGCAGTGGCGCTATCTCGGCTCACTGCAACCTCCACCTTCTGGTTTCAAGCGATTCTCCTGCCTCAGCCTCCCGAGTAGCTGGGATTACAGGCGCCCGCCACCACGCCCAGCTTCTTTATATTTTTCTTTTCTTTTTTTTGAGACGGAGTCCCGCTCTTTCACCCAGGCTGGAGTGCAGTGGCGCAATCTTGGCTCACTGAAACCTCCACCTCCCAAATTCAAGTGATTCTCCTGCCTCAGTGCCCCCATACAGGCATGCACCACCACATCTGGCTAATTTTTGTATTTTTAGTAGAGATGAGGTTTCACCATGTTGGCCAGGCTGGTCTCAAACTCCTGATCTTGTGATCTGCCTGCCTCTGCCTCTCAAACTGCTGGGATTACAGGTGTGAGCCACTGCTCCCAGCCTCTATGCTTTATGCTTTTCTTAATAACATTTTCTTTTCTCTTGCTTACTTTATTGTAACAATACAGTATATCATACACATAACATGCAAAATATGTGGTAATTGACTGTTTATGTTATCAGTAAGGCTTCTGATCAACAGTAGGCTAAGCTATTAGTAATTAAGTGTTGGGAGAGTCAAAAATTTTATGTGGATTTTCAACTATGTTGTGGGAGTGTTGGCGTGCCAACCCCCCACATTGTTCAAAAGTCATATATATATATAAGCGAGTTTTGTCATCCAGTAAGACTATGATATTTCATCTGTCTTTGTTTAGATGTTACTCAGAGGATTTGTCTTCTGTTTTGTTTTGACTCTTTCAGTCATGTGGTATTAATTATGTTATTTTCAATTACAAATTACACTGCTTTAGATCTTTCGAGATCTAAATTTTAAAATGTATGTTAAAAATATGACAGCAAATTTATACTCAACCTAACCCACATAATTTCAAAGGCTGGCATTTCTATTCTGGAGTCAGTGGATTATTTTTGTTAATAAGAGGGATAAGAGGAAGTCAAAATAAATATGTCTTTTTTTTTTTTTTTTTTTTTTGGAGATGGAGTCTCGCTCTGTCACCCGGGCTGGAGTGCAGTGGCGCGATCTCAGCTCACTGCAACCTCTGCCCCCTGGGTTCAAGCAATTCTCCTGCCTCAGCCTTCGGAGTAGCTGGGACTACAGGCACACGCCACCACGCCCAGCTAATTTTATGTATTTTAGAACAAAATACACTGTGTTGCCCAGGCTGGTCTTGAACTCCTGAGCTCAGGCAATCTGCCTTCCTCAGCCTCCCAAAGCGCTGGGATTACAGGCGTGAGCGACCGCACCCAGCTGATATGCCTTTTTTTTTTTTAATTAAATGTTCAAACTTTAAAGTTTCAATGTACCTTGTTATACAGAGATGATGGGTTTTCAGGTCTTCCTTTAATTAGTTGAAAATAGAAAAGTTAATTACATTATAACTTTGCTTGATTATAAGACTTTCACAATACTGACATTAGGGAAAAAACAAAAGCAGTTTTTTTACAATAGGTAAGCTGATTTAGTCAATGACATCCCAGAAGGGATTTTTGTGATAATGTTTTAGATGACATTAACCTAGCTCTATAAACTTGTTATGTAAAGCGTACAGAGACTAATAAAGTTTTTTTTTTTTTTTTTGAGACAGAGCCTCGCTGTGTCGCCCAGGCTGGAGTGCAGTGGCACAATCTCGGCTCACTGCAAGCTCCGCCTCCCGGGTTCACGCCATTCTCCTGCCTCAGCCTCCCAAGTAGCTGGGACTACAGGCGCCCGCTACCACGCCCGGCTAATTTTTTGTATTTTTAGTAGAGACGGGGTTTCACCGTGTTAGCCAGGATGGTCTCGATCTCCTGACTTCGTCATCCGCCCGCCTCGGCCTCCCAAAGTGCTGGGATTACAGGCGTGAGCCACCGCGCCAAGCCAAGTATTTTTTAATTTAAACAATTTTTTTTTCTTTCTGATTCAATTGTCTCCTGGTAAAGCAAAACCTCTTACATACCGTGACCTCTTTTTATTTTTTTATTTTATTTTATATTTATTTATTTATTTATTTATTTATTTTTTGAGACGGAGTCTCGCTGTGTCGCTCAGGCTGGAGTGTAGTGGCACGATCTCGGCTCACTGCAAGCTCCGCCTCCCGGGCTCACGCCATTCTCCTGCCTCAGCCTACCAAGTAGCTGGGACTACAGGTGCCCGCCACGAAGCCCAGCTAATTTTTTGTATTTTTAGTAGAGACGGGGTTTTACCCTGTTAGCCAGGATGGTCTCGATCTCCTGACCTCATGATCCGCCCGCCTCGGCTTCCCAAAGTGCTGGGATTACAGGCATGAGCCACCACGCCCGGCCAAATAAGCACTCCATGACCTCTGTCTTTTACAAGCAGCAATTTCATAGAAGCCTTCAAAGGACAATGGGATTGTGAATAGACTTTCTTATTATGTGCATATAATGAAGAATACATAGGCAGGGCGCGGTGGCTCACGCCTGTAATCCCAGCACTTTGGGAGAGGGAGGCGGGTGGATCACCTGAGGTCAGGAGTTCAAGACCAGCCTGGCCAACATTGTGAAATCCTGTCTTTACCAAAAATACAAAAATTAGCTGGGCATGGTGGTGGGCGCCTGTAATCCCAGCTACTTGGGAGGTTCAGGCAGGAGAATGGCTTGAACCTGGGAGGCGGAGGTTGCAGTGAGCGGAGAACATGCCTCTGCACTCCAGCCTGGGCGACAGAGTAAGACTCCCTCACCAAAAAAAAGAAAAAAAATAAAAAAAAGAACACACAAGAATCATCAAGCCAGTGTGGCAGTGCATGCCTGTGGTCTCAGCTACTAGGAAGGCTGAGGTGGGAGGATCAGTTGAACCCTGGAGGTTGAGGCTGCAGTGAGCTGTGATTTTGCCACTGCATTCCAGCCCAGACCCTGTCTCAAAAAAAAAGAATAAAAATGAGGTTCGTGTTGAGCACATATGAAGCTTGCTCCATAAATACATAGGGTATTTCCAAAAGTTGTTGTCCAAAAATTCATTAGTTAAGACATACTTTAAACACAAAAGACATTTTCCACATTGAAACAATAATTAATCAGCAAAAGTAATGGCTTTTTCTTGATCCTCATACTTCCTAACTTGTGTTACATTTGATCTTATTATTCACCGACTTCTTTTGTAATCCTCACATTACGGGTATTCAATGACATTGCACTTTTGAATTCTCTTGCTTACTGCTTTTCCTTTCTCTTTCCATCTCCTCTTCCAAGTCCCTTAATCCTGAGCCCATTTTTAGGGCAGGTCCTCTGTCTCCTCTCTCTCACCTGATTTGGTGTTTTCTGTATGTTAATGATTTGCAAATGGGTTGGTTCCAAGTCTTTGCTATTGTGAATAGTACCGCAATAAACATACGTGTGCATGTGTCTTTATAGCAGCATGATTTATAGTCCTTTGGGTATATACCCAGTAATGGGATGGCTGGGTCAAATGGTATTTCTAGTTCTAGATCCCTGAGGAATCGCCACACTGACTTCCACAATGGTTGAACTAGTTTACAGTCCCACCAACGGTGTAAAAGTGTTCCTATTTCTCCACATCCTCTCCAGCACCTGTTGTTTCCTGACTTTTTAATGATTGCCATTCTAACTGGTGTGAGATGGTATCTCATTGTGGTTTTGATTTGCATTTCTCTGATGGCCAGTGATGATGAGCATTTTTTCATGTGTCTTTTGGCTGCATAAATATCTTCTTTTGAGAAGTGTCTGTTCATATCCTTTGCCCACTTTTTGATGGGGTTGTTTGTTTTTTTCTTGTAAATTTGTTTGAGTTCTTTGTAGATTCTGGATATTAGCCCTTTGTCAGATGAGTAGGTTGCGAAAATTTTCTTCAACCCAAATGTCCAACAATGATAGACTGGATTAAGAAAATGTGGCACATATACACCATGGAATACTATGCAGCCATAAAAAATGATCGAGTTCATGTCCTTTGCAGGGACATGGATGAAATTGGAAATCATCATTCTCAGTAAACTATCGCAAGGACAAAAAACCAAACACTGCATGTTCTCACTCATACATGGGAATTGAACAATGAGAACACATGGACACAGGAAGGGGAACATCACACTCTGGGGACTGTTGTGGGGTGGGGGGAGGGGGGAGGGATAGCATTAGGAGATATACCTAATGCTAAATGACGAGTTAACGGGTGCAGCACACCAGCATGGCACATGTATACATATGTAACTAACCTGCACATTGTGCACATGTACCCTAAAACTTTAAGTATAATAATAATAAAAAAAGAAAAAAAAATTTATCTTTCTTTAGAAAAGATTCCTATCACACAATTCAAACTCTCCCCACCTGGCTACTCAAGTATTACTTAAAATTTTAACCAGCTGAACGTGACTTGAGTCCAGATGTGAGAAAATAGCAGAAGACTTATCGAGAGGGAATATACTAGCTGTTTTGGAAGGAGAGCAAGCAGTTCAGTTTGTCTGAAGTGTGGTGAGAGGCTAGTGGAAGAACATAAGACAGAAGCAGGAATATGGAGTCACATTGTTTAGGGTCTGATAGGCCATAGATTTTAAGTCTTGGGTTCTTATTCTAAGTATGGAGGGTTGTGAGCATGAAAGTGACAAGTTTTATTTATTTATTTTTATTTTATTTTATTTTATTTTATTTTTTTGAGGGAGAGTCTCACTCTGTCACCCAGGCTGGAGTACAGTGGTGTGATCTCGGCTCACAGCAACCTTCACCTCCCAGGTTCAAGCGATTCTCCTGCCTCAGCCATGGACCACCACATCTGGCTAATTTTTGTATTTTTAGTAGAGATGGGGTGTCACCCTGTTGGCCAGGCTGGTCTCGAACTCCTGACCTCAAGTGATCTGCCTGCCTCAGCCTCCCAAAGTGTTGGGATTACAGGTGTGAGCTACTGCGCCCGGCCTGACAAGTTTTAAAATAATCACTCTGACTGCTGGGTGAAAAATAGACAGCAGGAAAGGCTAAGACAAAGGTAGGAAGAACAGCTAGGTTGGAGGTTACTGGCAAAACACTAGGAATGAATGAATAGTAAGAGACAGAGCTAGTCCACAAATGCCTATTTAAGCTATAATACGGCTGAAACTGTTGAACTTATAATGAGAAGAAAAGAAGTATTATTTCTATAATAGTAATTAAATAAAATGAAAAAGCAATATCATTTAATATGACTTCTTATTGATCCTCAGTTTTGATGCTGGTATTTGAAGAAAAGCTGGTTTTATTAAAAGAAGATTTAGAGTTAGATGGAGATTTATAAAATGTCTAATGGAAACTCTGAATACTTTCTTTTTGTCTCAGACCATTTTCCATCACAATGGGTACTTTCGAGGGTTTTACAAATCAAATGAACTAGTTCTATATTATATTTAATCTCACTTTAAAGCTCATGGCATTCCTCAGGAGTTCGAGACCAGCATGGCCAACATGGTGAAACCTCATCTCTACTAAAAATACAAAAATTAGCCAGGCATGGTGGCGGGAGCCTGTAATCCCAGCTACTTGGGAGGCTGAGGTAGGAGAATCGCTTGAACCCAGGAGGTGGAGGTTGCAGTGAGCCGAGATTGTGCCATTGCACTCCAGCCTGGGTGACGAGAGCGCAACTCCATCTGAAACAACAACAACAACAACAAAAACTCATGATGTTTCTTTCTATGGTTAGAGGGTGGGGCTTATCAACCATGATTAACATTATCTTTTAGCTTACAAAGGCAAAAGTGAGACCTTAAGAGAGAAAGAAATATAAGAAGTTTTTCTTGAGGTAAAAGAGAAAGAGTTGGACAAAAACTGAGGGAGGAATGGAATTAAAGAGGCTACTGTGTACATAATAAACACCAACTAAAGAGCAATTAATTGATTAATTGTGCTGTGGAAAGTGAAGGACAGAAGAATGAAAGACCACAGCTTGTTCATGGTACACCTCAGTGGGGGAAAAAAAACAGTATGAAAAATTAAAAAAAAGTTTAATAATTGGATGGTGAATGCTTTACAGTTTTGGCGATGACAGCTGGAGAACCACGCAATAGAATACATAAATGGCAATTTTGTAAGTCAGAGTTTGTTAATGTAGACACAAGTTATACTATGAATTACTTAATTGATTGGCAAGTTACGGCCCTTACTGTCCTAGAGTTTATAAAGAGTGAAAGATCAGGTTTTGAGAGTTTAGGCAGTCAAAATTATAATAAACATACCCACTTAAACATATTCCAATGGTATCTACAAAATTCCAACTCCAGAATATGTTGAGATATTAACAACATATATTCTAGAGAAAGATGGTTTTCTGAGATATATTGGTAAAACACTATCATGCTTTAATTTGTGGACAGTTTTTATCCTTATGAAATAGGATATTAGAGGACATGTAATTCTTGGTTACATGTTTTTATGGAAGCAGTTCCCTCTATTATTTAGTACATTCCAAAGTTTATACCTATTTATATGTGTGTACCTCTGTGTGTCTGTACAAAATAGACTGCCATGTTCTTTCTGGATAATGCTATTTAAATTCAAGCAAACCCCTCATAATTCTACCAGAATTGCATTTAAGCACTGTATAAGTAAAGCTAATCATAAAAATTAAGCTCAAACACATTGATATAAAGTTATTTTCTATTAAAATATTACATATGTTTTAAATATTACTATTTCACACATTCTTCGACCTAATTAATTATAAAAAACACAAAAGGGTAAATATGCACTAATCACATCAGCATCTGTAACAGTAAGAAAATTAATAATTTTTCAAACTCAGAAATTTAAAAAATCTCCTATATTTTTATCTTTTCTGGCCAGAGAAATTGTGTTAACAGCAGGCTAGGAAGAATCATTCCTAATTTTTGTGAACATGATTTTTACTGCAGTGTAGGCAGGGCCTTAAATACATTTCTCACTAGTGCATCTATTTTTAATTTCTTTTTCTTTTCTTTTTTTTTTTTTGTTTGAGACAGAGTCTCGCTCTGTGGCCCAGGTTGGAGTGCAGTGGGCAGATCTTGGCTTAATGCAACCTCCACCTTCCAGGTTCAAGCGATTCTCCCGCCTTAGCCTCCCGAGTAGCTGGGACTACAGACACGCACCATGCCTGGCTACTTTTTGTTGTTGTTTTTTTTTTTTGAGACGGAGTTTCACTCTTGTTGCCCAGACTGGAGTGCAATGGCCTGATCTCAGCTCATTGCAACCTCCGCCTCCCGGGTTCAAGCAATTCTCCTGCCTCAGCCTCCTGAGTAGCTAGGATTACAGGCATGCGCCACCACATCTGGCTAATTTTGTATTTTTAGTAGAGAAGGGGTTTATCCATATTGGACAGACTGGTCTTGAACTCCCGACCTCATGTAATCTGCCCGCCTTGGCCTCCCAAAATGTTGGGATTACAGGTGTGAGCCACTGCGCCCGGCCTATTTTTAATTTCTAATTCAACATGAAATTCTTAGTTAACTGTCTCTAAATTGCTGGCTATCTACAAAGGCTTAGGTGAAACACTAAACTTTTACTGAGTATTTTATTTTATTATTATTATTATTTTTTTGAGAAGGAGTTTTACTCCTGTTGCCCACACTGGAGTGCAATGGCATAATTTTGGCTCACTGCAACCTCTGCCTCTGGGTTCAAGCGATTCTCCTGCCTCAGCCTCCCTAGTAGCTGGGATTACAGGTGTGGCCACCATGCCTGGCTAATTTTTTGTATTTTTAGTAGAAATGGGGTTTCACCATGTTAGCCAGGCTGGTCTTGAACTCCTGACCTCAGGTGATCCACCCACCACGGCCTCCCAAAGTGCTGGGATTACAGGCGTGAGCCACCACACCCATCCCCTGAGTATTTTATTTTTAACTTTTCTCTTCCCTAGCAAAAACATAAAATGGATCTCTTTTTAAAGTGTGATAAGGATATATCTGGTGAATTTTTCTTCTGAATATTCAAAAATAGATTTTCTGCATCAGCAATGACAGTGCTCTCTCAACCACACAAGTATCAACAAAGTGCATCTGCACATAAAATATACAGTGAATCAACCTTAATGTATGAAGGTTAAGCAAAGAGTGAAGTCATTTCAAAACAACAACAAAAAATTCTTTTTTCTTTTCTTTTTTTTTTTTTGAGATGGAGTCTTGCTCTGTTGCCCAGGCTCTGGAGTGCAGTGACGTGATCTCGGCTCACTGCAAGCTCCACCTCCTGGGTTCACGCCATTCTCCTGCCTCAGCCTCCCGAGTAGCTAGGACTACAGGCGTCCACCACCACGCTCGGCTATTTTTTTGTGTTTTTAGTAGAGATGGAGTTTCACTGTGTTAGCCAGGATGGTCTTGATCTCCTGACCTCGTGATCCGCCTGCCTTGGCCTCCCAAAGTGTTGGGATTACAGGTGTGAGCCACCGCGCCCGGCCTTTTAAAAAATTCTTAACAGAGTTTAAGATTGTTAAAAATTATTAATGCTTTCATCTCTTTGGTACGTTTTCATGTCTGGGTTTTGGATTTGTTGTTGTTTAAAACAAACGCATGGGCAGTTGGCATTGTACAGGGCAGTTCTTTCTAATTTTATTTTTGTCATGATTTGGAACATGATGAATAACACCTACTTGGTTTGGATCTCAAAGTATAGAAGATGTTGATTAGGATGTTAGCTCATGTCTATAATCCCAGCACTTTGGGAGGCTGAGGCGGGAGGATCACTTGAGGTCAGGAGTTCAAGACCAGTGTGGCCAACACTGTGAAACCCCCGTCTCTACTAAAAATACAAAACAAATTAGCCAGGTGTGGTGGTGAATGCCTGTAGTCCCAGCTCCTCGGGAGGCTGAGGCAAGGGAATTGCTTGAACCCAGGAGGCAGAGGTTGCAGTGAACCGAAATCACACCACTGTACTCCAAGCGACAGAGCGAGACTCTGTCTCAAAAGAAAAAAACCAAAAAACAAAGAATACAAGATGGACATTTAAAGAAGATATCATTTTCATTTCTTCCTATAGACAGGTATGGACTTTCAATAATCTTCATTGTTATCTTTATATCCTCAGCCTGACAAGGAAGCAGCATCTTACAAGGAGAGGATTTTTTAGTACACAGTTTTTCGTAAGCTTATGATATAATCACTTCTAATTCATATAACCATGAAGCAACAAATAAAGGTTATTATGAGATTCTGAGATTTTGTTTTGAAAAGTGACTATGAAAAACTAATCTTTGGTGATAAAAGTAAGAATATAGTTATTATAGGGAATAATGATGTCTAGTTAATCACTGGGAAGGAGCCTGACGGAGCTTTTCATTATCTTGTTATGGATAGTAGTTTCATGGGTGGAATTATACATATATTTCATCTAGCTGTACATTTAAAGTTACTGCCCTTTCATCTGTATATGATATATACTTCAAGAAAAGTATGGACCAGGCGCCATGGCTCATGCCTATAATCTTAGCACTTTGGGAAGCCAAGGCAGGCAGATCACTTGAAGCCAGGAGTTCCAGACCAGCCTGGCCAACACGGTGAAACCCCGTCTCTACTAAAAATTCAAAAATTAGCCGGGCATGGTGGCATGTGCCTGTAGTCCCAGCTACTCAGGAAGCTGAGGCACGAGAATCACTTGAACCTAGGAGGCAGAGGTTGCAGTGAGCCGAGATCATGCCACTGCACCTCTAGCCTGGGTGACAGAGTGAGACCCTGGCTCAAAAAAGAAAAAAAAAAAAAAACAGACCCAGTTTCATCAGAAAGACATATTACTATGATTCAATAGTCAATTGTTATTTAATACCAATCAATAATATTTGACAGAAAGTCTATATAGAATAGAAATATATAAACAAAATTAAATTCATTTTCTTCATTTCTCTAATTTGGAAAAACTAGACATTTAGTCTGTATTACATCATATTCTACACTTCTTACTCTTTTATATTCACCCTTCTTTCTCCACACTCTTTGGCAACAGAAATGCCGTTCTCTTTCCACAGTGGGCCCAGCCATTTGTTCATTTCTTAAAAAGGATAAAGCTGAAATTGAATTACGCTATAAATCCTCTATGACTCTGATTCTGTTCTTTTTGAGTTAAGAGTATTAGGACAATGTAGGTTATGTGTATGTGAGGTTTTGTTTGATTTTAGAGACATGGTCTTGCTCTGTTGCCCAGGCTGGAGTGCAGTGGCATGATCATAGCTCAATGGGGTTCACTGCAGCCTTCAACTGCTGGGCTCAAGCAATCCTCCCACCTTGCCTCCCGAGTAGCAGGGACTGTAGTCTGAGCCACTGTTCCCAGCCATATGTGTACTTTTAAGTATGGTAAATTAAAGGGTTTAGGACTCAGAAAAATCTCAAGAGTTTATTTTTTTTGGGATGGAGTTTATTTTTTTTGAGATGGAGTCTAGCTCTGCCACCCAAACTGGAGTGCAGTGGCACAATCTTGGCTCACTGCAACCTCCACCTCCTGGGTTCAAGCTATTCTCCTGCCTCAGTCTCCTGAGTAACTGGGATTGCAGGTGCACACCACTATGCCTGGCTAATTTTTGTATCTTTAGTAGAGATGGGGTTTCACCATGTTGGCCAAGCTGGTCTTCAACTCCTGACCTCAAGAGATCCACCCGCCTCGGCCTCCCAAAGTGCTGGGATTACAGGCGTGAGCCACTGTGCCTGGCCTGAATTGTTTCTAATACAAAGGATAGATGCTTGAGGGGATAGATACCTCATTCTTTATTATGTGATTATTATACATTGCATGCCTGTTTCAAAATATCTCATGTACCTCATAAATACATACGCCTACTATGTACCCACAAAAATTACAAATTAAAAAATTAAAAACAAACACAAAACCAAAAACAAAACACAGGAGTGCAGATATCTCTTCATTACACTGATTTCCTTTCTTTTGGATATATACCCAGCAGTGGGATTGCTGGATCACATGGTAGCTCTGTATTTAGTTTTTTGAGGAATCCCCATCCTGTTCTCCATAGTGTCTGTCCTAATTTACATTCCTGCCAACTGTATGAGGGTTCCACTTTCTTCACATCTTCACCAGCACTTGTTAATTCCTTGTCTATTTCTTTCTTTCTTTATTTTTTGAGACAGAGTCTCGCTCTGTCACCCAGGCTGGAGTGCAGTGGCATTACCTTGGCTCACTGAAACCTCCACCTCCTTGGTTCAAGCAATTCTCCTGCCTCAGCCCCGAGAGTAGCTGGGATTACAGGCACAGGCCACCATGACTGGCTAATTTTTGTATTTTTAGTAGAGACTGGGTTTGGTCATGTTGGCCAGGCTGGTCTCAAATTCCTGACCTCAGGTGATCCACCCGCCTCAGCCTCCCAAAGTGGTGGGATTACAGGCGTGAGCCACCTCACCCAGCCAATTCCCTGTCTTTTTGATAAAAGTCATTCAAACTGGGGTGAGATGATATCTCATTGTGACTTTGGTTTGCATTTCTCCGATGATTAGTGATGTAGAACATTTTTTCAGATGTTTGTTGGCCATCCGTATGTCTTCTTTTGGGAAGCGTCTGTTCATATCTTTTGCTCACTTTTTAATGGGATCGTTTGTTTTTTGCTTGTTGATTTAAATTTGTTCTATATTCTGGATATTAGACCTTTGTCAGATGCATAGTTTGTGAATATTTTCTCCCATTCTGATAGTTTGTTTTGCTGTGCAGAAGCTCATTAGTTTAATGAGGTCCCATTTGTCAATTTTTGTTTTTGTTGCAATTGTTTTTGAAGACTTAGTTATAAGTTGCCAAGGCCCATGTCCAGAATGGTATTTCCTAGGTTTTTTTCTAGAATTTTTATAGTTTGAGGTCTTATATTTAAATCTTTGATTCATTTTGAATTAATTTTTGTATATGGTAGTTAATTTTTGTGTATGGTAGAAAGGTAAGGGTCCAGTTTCATTCTTCTGCATGTGGCTAGCCAGTTACCCCAGCACCATTTATTTAATAGGGAGTCCTTTCCTCAGGGCTTATTTTTGTTGACTTTGTCAGAGATCAGATGGTTGCAAGCTTGTGGCTTTATTTCTGGATTCTCTATTCTGTTTCATTAGTCTATGTGTCTGTTTTTGTATCAGTACCATGCTGTTTTGGTTATGTAGCTTTATAGTATATTTTGAAATCTGGAAATGTGATGCCTCCGACTTTGTTCTTTTTGCTTAGGATTGCTTTGGCTATTCTGGCTTTATGGTTCCATATTAATTTTAGAATAGTTTTTCTAATTCTGTGAAAAATAGCATTGGTAGCTTGATAGGAATAGCATTGAATCTGTAGATTGCTTTGAGCAATATGGCCATTTTAACAATATTGATTCTTCCAATCCATAAGCATGAAATGTTTTAACATTTGTTTGTGTCAACTCTGATTTCTTTCAGCAGTGTTTTGCAGCATTCCTTGTAGAGATCTTTCACCTTATTGCTTAGATGTATTCCTAGATATTTCTTTTTTGTGTGAGGCTGTTATAAAGGCTTATAATGTTATAAATGACAATCTAAATGACAACTGCATTCTTGATTTCTCTGTCAGCTCGAATGTTATTTGTGTATAGAAATGCTACCATTTGGCTGGGCATGGTGGCTCACGCCGGTAATCCCAGAACTTTGGGAGGCCAAGGTGGGCAGATCACCTGAGGTCAAGAGTTTGAGACCAGCCTGGCCAACATGGTGAAACACCGTCTCCACTTAAAATAACAAAAATTAGCTGGGTGTAGTGGCACGTGCCTGTAGTCCCATCTACTCAGGAAGGCTGAGGCAGGAGAATCACTTGAACCCAGGAGGCAGAGGTTGCAGTGAGCCAAGATCATGCTACTGCACTCCAGCCTGAGCAACAGAGCAAGGTTCCGTCTCAAAAAATTAAAAAAAAAAAAAAAAAGGCTGGGTGTGGTGGCTCACACCTTTAATCCCAGCACTCTGGGAGGCCGAGGTGGGCAGATCATGAGGTCAGGAGTTCGAGACCAGCCTGACCAACATGGTGAAACCCCATCTCTACTAAAAATACAAAAATTAGCTGGCCATGGTGGCGTGTGCCTGTAATCCCAGCTACTCAGGAGGCTGAGGCAGGAGAATGGTGTGAACCCAGGAGGTGGAGGTTGCAGTGAACTGAGACCTAACCACTGCACTCCAGCCTGGGTGACACAGTGAGACTCCATCTCAAAAAATGAAAAAATAAAAATAAATAAATAAATAAATAAATAAATGCTACCATTTTTGTACATTGATTTTGTATCCTGAAACTTTATTGAAGTCATTTATGAATTCTAGGTGCCTTTTGACACAGTCTTTAGGGTTTTCTGTTTTCTTTTTTTTTTTTTTTTGAGATGAAGTTTTGCTCTTGTACCCCAGGCTGGAGTGCAATGGTGCAATCTCAGCTCACTGCAATCTCTGCTTCCCAGGTTCAAGCGATTCTCCTGCCTCAGCAATCCAAGTAGCTAGGATTACAGGCGTGCACCACCACACCCAGCTAATTTTGTATTTTTAGTAGAGATGGGGTTTCACCATGTTGGCCAAGCTGGTCTCGAACTCCTGACCTCAGGTGATCCACCTGCCTTGGCCTCCCCAAAAGTGTTGGGATTACAGGCGTGAGCCACTCCAACAGGCCTAGGGTTTTTTAGTTACAGAATTACATCATCATCGAAGAGATAATTTGACTTATTTTCCTATTTGGATGCCTTTTATTTCTTTATCTTGCCTGATTCCTCTCGCTAGGACTTCCTCTTCACTTTGTTGCTTGTTTTCTTTGCTGTGCAGGAGATTTTTAGCTTGATATAATCCCATTTGTCTATTTGTGCCTTTGAGGTCACACAAACACACACACAATCTTTCCCCAGAACAATGTCCTGGAGAGTTTTCCCAATATTTTCTTCTAGTAGTTTTATAATTTCAGGTCTTAGAGTTAAGTCTTTAATCCATTTTGACTGTTTTTTGTGTATGGTGAGAGATAGGGGTCTAGTTTCATTCTTCTGCATATGATTATCCAGTTTTCCCAACACTATTGATTGGAGACTGCCCTTTCCTCATTGTATGTTCTTGGCAACTTCGTCAAAAATGAGTTGACTATAAATGCGCAAATTTATATCAGGGTTTCTAATTCTGTTCCATTGGTTTACATCTCTGTTTTTATGCCAGTGCCATGTTGATTTGGTTATGATAGCTTTGTAGTATATTTTGAAGTCAGGTAGTGTGATGCTTCCAGCTTTGTTCTTTTTACTCAGGATTACTTTGGCTATTCAAGGTCTTTTGTAGTTTTATATAAATTTTAGGATTGTTTTTTCTAATTTTGTGCAGAATATCATTGACATTTTGATAGGGATTACACTGAGTCTGTAAAATGCCTTGGATAGTATTGTCATTTTAACAATGTTAATTCTTTCATTCTATAGGCATGGAAAATCTTTCCATTTTTTTGTGTTCTCTTTAATTTTTTTCATCCATGTTTTATAATTTTCCTTGTATGGATTTTTTTTTTTTTTTGACAGAGCCTTGCTCTGTCATCCAGGCTGGAGTGCAGTGGTGTGATCTCGGCTTACTGCAACCTCTGTCTCCTGGCTTCAAGTGATTCTCCTGCCTCAGCCTCCCGAGTAGCTGGGACTACAGGTGTGTGCCACCACACATGGCTAATTTTTTGTATTTTTAGTACAGACTGGGTTTCACCATGTTAGCCAGGATGGTCTTGATCTGCTGACCTTGTGATCCACCTGCCTCAGCCTCATGATGTGCTGGGATTACAGGCGTGAGCCGCCACGTCTGGCTTGTATGGATCTTTCACATCTTTGATTAGATTGATTGCTAAGTATTTTATGTTCTTTGCAGCTATTAGAAATAGCTTTTCTGCTTTCTTTTTCAAGAGTGTTCACTGGTGGCATATATAAATGACATTAATTTTTGTGTGTTGATTTTGTATCCTGCAATTTTACTAAATTTGTTTATCAGTTGTTTATCAACCCTAACAGTTTTTTGGTGGTGTCTTTAAGCTTTTCTAAATATAAGATCATGTCATATGAGGCTAATTTGACTTCTTTCTTTTCTATTTTGAGACCCTTTATTTCTTTCTCTTGCTTAATTGCTCTGGCCAGGACTTCCAGTACTGTGTTGAATGAAAGTGGTGAAAGTGCATCCTTGTCTTGTTCCAGATCTTACAGGAAAAGTTTTCAGTTTTCCCCCAATCAGTATGATGTTGGCCATGCGTTTGTTATCTATGACCTTTATTATTTAGAGGTATAGTCTGTCTATGCCTATTTTGATGAGGGTGTTTTATCATAAAGGGATGTTGAATTTTATTGAATGGTTTTTCAGCTTGTATTGAAATAATCATATGGTTTTTGTTTTTGGTTATGCTAATATGATGTATTAGATTTATTGATTTGCATATGTTGAACCATCTTTGCATCCCTGGGATGATTCCCATTTGATCATGGTGAATCATCTTTTTAATGTGTTGTTGAATTTGGTTTGCTATTATTTTGTTAAGGATTTTTCTACCTATTTTCATTAGTGATATTGGCTTGTAGTTTTTTTTGTTGTGTCATCGTCTAGTTTTGGTATCAGGGCAATGCTGGCTTCAGAATGAGTTTGGAAGTATTCCGTTCTCTTCAGTTTTTCTGAAGCGTTTGATAGAACTGGCATTTGTTCTTTAAATGTTTGGTAGAATTTAACAGTGATGCCATCAAATCCTGAGTTTTTTTTAAGAGACTTTTTTTCTTTTCTTTTTTTTTTTTTTTTGAGATGGAGTCTCACTCTGTTGCCCAGGCTGGAGTGCAGTGGTGCGATCTCGGCTCACTGCAAGCTCAGCCTCCCGGGTTCACACCATTCTCCTGCATCTGCCTCTGGAGTAGCTGGGACTACAGGCACCCGCCACCACACCCAGCTTGTTACTGGTCTGTTAAGGTTTTTCTGTTTCATTATGGTTCAATCTTGGCAGATTGTATGTGTCCAGAAATTTATCCATTTATTCCAGGTTTTCCAATGTGTTGGCATATAGTTGTTCATTATAGTCTCTGAATGATTCTTTGTATGTCTGCAGCATTAGTTGTTATGATCCCTTTTCCATTTCTGATTTTATTTGTTTGGGTTTTCTTTTTTTCTTAGTCTAGCTAAAAGTTTGTCAACTTTATCTTTTGAAAAAAATCATCTTTTCATTTTGTTGGTATTCTGTATTACTTTTTTAGTTTCAGTTTCATTTATTTTTGCTCTGATCCTCATTTTTTCTTGCCTTCTACTAATTTTGGGTTTGATCATTTTATACTCGCTTTTCTATTTCTTTGAGGTGCATCATTAGGTTGCTTATTTGAAGTTGTTCTGCTTTTTTGATGGGCTGTTTATTGCTATAAACTTCCCTCTTAGTACTGCTTTTGCTTTATCACATAGATTTTGATATGTTTTATTTTATTTTTTATTTATTTATTTTTTTAGACAGAGTTTCACAGTTGATGCCCAGGCTGGAGTGCAATGGCGTGATATTGGCTCACTACAGCCTCTGCCTCCCGGGTTCAAGCGATTCTCCTGCATCAGCCTCTGGAGGCTGGGATTACAGGCGTCCTACACCACACCCAGCTAATTTTTTGTATTTTTAGTAGAGACAGGGTTTTGCCATGTTGGTCAGGCTGGTCTCAAACTCCTGACCTCAGGTGATCCACCCGCCTTGGCCTCCCAAAGTGCTGGGATTACAGGCTTGTCCGGCTGATATGTTTTCTTTCCTTCTTTTTTTTTAAGAACTATTTTTTTTATTTGTACAAATTTATGGCATACATGTGATATTTTATTACGTGTATATAATGCCTAATGTTCAAGTCATGGTATTTAGGGTATCCTTCACCTGTTTACAATACATTTTTGTTAACTATACTCACCTTACTCTGCTCTGAAACACTGAATTTATTCCTTCTAACTTACTGTATTGTACCCTTTAACCAATTTCTCGTCATGCTCCCTCCTCCCCTCCACTCACCATTCGCAGTCTCTTATCCTTCTGCTCTCTACTTGCATATGATCAAATTTTTTGGCTCCCACACATAAGTGAGAAGATGATGCGATATTTTTCTTTTTTTGCCTACCTTATTTCACTTAAGATAATGACTTCCAGTTCCATCCACGTTACTGGAAATGACATGATTTCATTCTTTTTTATAGCTGAATAGTATTCCATTGTAGATATACTACATTTTCTTTACCCATTCATCTATTGATGAAAGCTTAGGTTGATTCCAGTATCTTTGCTTTTGTGAATAGTGCTATAATCAACATGGGAACACATGTATTCCTTTGATATATTGATTTCTTTTCCTTTGAGTAGAGACCCAGTGGTGGGATTACTGGATCAAATAGTAATTCTATTTTTAGTTTTATGAGGAACCTCCATACTATGTTCCTTAGTGGCTGTACTACTTTACATTCCCACCAACAGTGTAAGAGTTCCCTTTTCTCTGCATCCTTGCCAACATCTGCTATTTGTTGGTTTTTTTTTAATATTAGCTATTCTGACTAAGGTAAGATGGTATGACACTCTAGTTTTGATTTGCATTTCTCTGATGATTAGTAATGCTGAGCACTTTTCCATACACCTGTTGGCCATCTGTCGGTCTTCTTTTGAGAAATGTCTACTCATGTTCTTTGCCCACCTCTTTTTTTGAATTTTATATCATCTTCAAAATTTTTTATTTCCATAGGTTTTGGGGAAACAGGTGGTATTTGGTTACATGAGTAAGTGCTTTAGTGGTGATTTGTGAGATTTTGGTGCACCCATCACCCAAACAGTATATGCTGAACCCAATTTGTAGTCTTTTATCCCTCACTCCCCTCCCACCCTTTCCCCTAGGTCCCCAAAGTCCATTTTATCATTCTTATGCCTTTGCATCCTCATAGCTTAGCCACCATTTATAAGTGAGAACATACAATATTTGGTTTTTCATTCCTGAGTTACTTCACTTAGAACAATAGTCTCCAGTTCCATCCAGGTCACTGCAAATGCCATTAATTTGTTCCTTTTTATGGCTGAGTAGTATTCCATCATATATATATATATACTACAATTTCTTTATCCACTCATTGACTGATGGGCATTTGGGCTGGTTCCATATTTTTGCAATTGTGAATTGTGCTACTATAAACATGCACGTGCAAGTATCTTTTTTGTATAATGACTTCTTTTCCTGTGGGTAGATACCCAGTAGTGGGGATTGCTGGATCAAATAGTAGTTCTACCTTTAGTTCTTTAAGGAATTGCCACACTGTTTTCCATAGTGGTTGTACTACTTTACATTCCCACCAACAGTGTAGAAGTGTTTTCTTTTCACCACATCCACACCAACATCCATTATTTTGTGATTATGGCCATTCTTGCAGGAGTAAGGTGGTATCTCATTGTGGTTTTGATTTGCGTTTCCCTGATCATTAGTGACGCTGAGCATTTTTTCATATGTTTGTTACCCATTTGTGTATCTCTTTTGAACACTGTCTATTCATGTCCTTAGCCCACTTTATGATGAGATTGTTTATATTTTTCTTGCTAATTTGTTTGAGTTCCTCGTGGATTCTGGATATTAGTCCTCTGTCAGATGTATGGATTGTTATATAGCTGCTGTTCCTGCATTCTAGCAGCACCAAGTTCTGAGAGAGACATGGTGAGCTTCTCTTGTTCTTCTGATAAATATTTCTGATACAGGCTTAGAAGTTCTTGGCATTCTCTATACTGTAGCTGAAGAGCTTCCCTTTCTTTGATGATCAGTTCATTCTGTTCTTCTAACTGCCTGATCTTCTTCTCAAATGACTCCTGCTCAGCTTTCAATCTTTCCTCTGTCACTTCCTTTTCCTCATTTACTCTGGCCAGTTCTTTAATTAAGTTTGCAATGCATCTTTTGTCTTCAAGACATAAATCCTTCAATGATGCACTCTTTATTTCTCCCCTGCGGGAACTCTGTTCATCTACTGAATCTCCTGCACCTTTTAAAGACTCCATGGAGATTGAAGCATCAGTCGCCCTGGAAGTCTTAAGTTTAACATCAGCTTTTGGACTCATCAGCATGTGTCTTGATCTGACATTTCCTTCAGTAGAAATTCCTTGAACGTACACTACGGATTGTTCTTCTTCAGAAAAGTCCCGGCTCCAGAACGCCGTGGCGCCGGGGCGGGAGGGGCCCGCCACCTTGAAAACGACATGTTTTATTTCTATTTTCATTTGTTTCAAGAAATTTTTAAAGAAAACTACACTTCCTTATTGAACTCTGAAAGCAGAAGTTTAAAAACATTTTATATGTTTTATACACACACACACACACACAAATAATAAAAACTATTAGCAACATAGTATTCCATAGTATTGTTTTCAAGGATCCTGTGTCAAGAAAAGTAATGTTGAGTGATAGAATTTTTTGTTTTTGAAACAGGGTCTTGCTTGTTGCACAGGCTGTAGTGTAGTGGTGTGATTACGGCTCACTGCAGGCTTGACCTCTTGGGCCTCAAACAATCCTTCTGCCTCAGCCTCCTGAGTAGCTAAGACTACAGGCATGCATCACCACACTCCGATAATATTTTGATTTTTTTTATTTAGTGATAGGGTCTTGCTATGTTGTCCAGTCTGGTCTTAAGTTCATGGCTCAAGCAATCATCCGTCTCAGCCTTCCAAATCACTGAGATTACAGGTGTAAGCCACTGCACCCAGCTGGAAATTCTTTTTTTAAGTTTATTAAAGTGTCTTGGTTAAAATTTTATTTTAGGCAGTAAATGTATTTTTATGAAACTTATATAGAGTTAAAATTCTAAGAATTATACAAAGCCATGTTTTACTATCCCACTGGGAAGTGTGGGTGAAAACTAACGCACTTGCCCATCTTTAAAGTCTTAAAATCAACATTTGCTTAGGCCCAACTGAAACACAGTAAAATCATTTTGAAGCTCTCCAGATTTTTTTAAGAAAAATTTGTACGTTTAGATATATGTAAAAATGTTCTTGTTGAAAAAGCACTGTGAATGGCAAGATTTGCTCTCACTTTGACTATCAGTCCATGACTTACAACCTTTTTACACATAGTTTTCTATTAGTAGTTTCAGTGGGAGTACTCTATAAATAAAACTATATTAGATTCTAACACTTTGATAAGGAATACTAAGGAACCTCAACATGAGTATCCCTCAGATATTTTCAGAGCTTTCACTAAATCTTAATTACCAAGAAGTTACAACAAGGAAGTTTTCAGTTCCCCCCTGAGCTGTCTTACTCATCTTTAAGCATACTAAAATTATGACTCACATTGTTTTTACTTCTTTTTAAGTAGTTTCTATAGCATGGTCTTAAGGGCCACAAAATTTCAGTGATAAATGCTCATTAAATTGAATTGGTTCACTAGACTGATGATAGATGGAGTGGAGACAGAGCCTTATGCCCAAATCAGACTCCTTAAATAGAGAAAACCTCAGCTCAGAACTTGCTTTTGTTTGCTTTGTGACATCATTGATGAATTTTAGAAAACAAAAATCTGTGACATACTCAAAATGATCAGAGCCTTTTTAGTTTTACTCGAGCTCTGGCTTTCCTGTGATTGACGACAGCACTGAAGACTTCTCTTCAGTGCATTTCTGTCTCACATATAATTTCTTGATATTGCATGATTTAAAAAACATTTTCGTCATTACAATTTAGCAAAGTTATTGAAATGTGCTAGGAAAAAATATTTCATGATAATTTTTGTATCTATTTTACATTTGGAATGCAAATTATTAAATATAAATCTTTCCTTTTATTAGCCTTTTTTTTTTTTTTTTTTGAGATGGAGTCTTGCTCTGTCACCCAGCCTGGAGTGCAGTGGCGCAATCTCGGCTCACTGCAAGCTCCGCCTCCTGGGTTCATGCCATTCTCCTGCCTCTGCCTCCTGAGTAGCTGGGACTACAGGCACCCGCCACCATGCCCGGCTAATTTATTTTGTATTTTTATTAGAGATGGGGTTTCACTGTGTTAGCCAGGATGGTCTCGATCCCCTGACCTTGTGATCCACCCGCCTCGGCCTCCCAAAGTGCTGGGATTACAGGCGTGAGCCACCGCACCCGGCCTTATTAGCTTCTTACATATTTTTCAGGAATGCCTTTCCCAAAATAGAATAGCAAGGAAGATTGTTTAAATGATAAGTATCTGCTTTTAGCGATTGTGACATGTAGGCTTCTCTGGAGGCTGTGAAATTTGGGATAATTATTCTTAAATCCATATTACCTCTTCACATATAAATGACTGCCTAGGCTACATATGGATGAGTGTTTTCCATTTTTGGGGCATGTCAGAACATTCAGAACTGATTTCCCTTTCAGCCAGTCAGCAAATATGTACAGCATGCCTGTAAATATTGCATTTCCCACTAAGTAAAGGTCTAGAACACTTTTCCCTTGACATTTTATTTTTCTTTCCTTTTTTTTTTTTTTTTTTGAGACAGAGTCTCACTCTGTCACCCAGGCTGGAGTGCAGTGGCACGATCTGGGCTCACTGCAAGCTCTGCCTCCTGGGTTCACGCCATTCTCCTGCCTCAGCCTCCCGAGTAGCTGGGACTACAGGCGCCCACCACCATGCCCGGATCATTTTTTGTATTTTTAGTAGAGACAGGGTTTCACCGTGTTAGTCAGGATGGTCTCGATCTCCTGACCTCATGATCCACCCACCTTGCCCTCCCAAAGTGCTGGGATTACAGGAGTGAGCCACTGCGCCCAGCC
The DNA here is from genome assembly GCF_000001405.40 of Homo sapiens. Lineage (NCBI taxonomy): Eukaryota > Metazoa > Chordata > Mammalia > Primates > Hominidae > Homo > Homo sapiens. The sequence goes on from NC_000003.12 coordinate 153,132,190, forward strand.
TCTTTCCTTTTTTAAGATGGGGTCTTGCTCTGTTGCCTAAGTTGGAGTGCAGTGGTGTGGTGCAATTATAGCTCACTGCAGCCTCAAACTCCTAGGCTCAAGTGATCCGCCTGCCTCAGCCTCCCAAGTAGCAAGGAAGTGCATACCACCACTCTTGGCTAATTTTTTTTTTTTTTTTTTTGAGACAGGGTCTGGCTCTGTCACCCAGGCTGGAGTGCAGTGGTGTGATCTCGGTTCATGGCAGCTTCTGTCTACCTCCTGGCTTCAAGCGATCCTCCCACCTCAACCCCCTAAATAGGTGGGACCACAGGTGCGCACCACAATGCCTGGCTAATTTTTGTATTTTTTGTAGAGACAGGGTTTCACCATGTTGCCCAGGCTGGTCTCCTGGCTAATTTTTTTTTTTTTTTTTTTGGAGACATGGGGTCTCACTTTGCTGCCCCAGTTGATCTTGAACTTCTGGCCTCAAGTGATCTGCCCGCCTCGGCCTCCCAAAGTGCTGGGATTACAGGCTTGAGCCACCATGCCCGGCCACCATTGCATTTTAAACATATTAAAATGAAGTCCATCTTCACATATTTTCAGATGCTTTTCTTTATATTCCTTTTACTGGGCAACACCAACCTACCAAATGTTGTATTGTAAGTGTTTTGAAACACATTTTAGTGTCTGCAGCAATATTACTTCACAAAAGCAAAAACGTCAATTTAGAGAGTAGTATTTTAAATACCAGCTTAGTTTTGTCTGTTATCACCCTTTCAAGATGGAAAGAAACAATACTGTATATAACCTCTCCTCCACCCCATTACCCACAAATTGTCAACCAGGGGATTTCTACCCTTAGCTTTGACATTAGGAAGGCTGATAGGACACTAGAACCTGAAGGTCAATAGGGTCATTATGGGTCCAGAAATTACAATTAGCCTGGTTACTCCAGATCTTTGGTGATTGCCTCATAAAGTGGGAAGGACATGCAGAAAACTGGTTCATTAAGCCATTCAGATGCAAAAGAGGCTGAATATATACACCAGAAAATTAATTAATCAATTAATATTTTTTTTGAGGCAGAGTTTCGCTCTTGTCAACCAGGTTGGAGTGCAGTGGCATGATCTCAGCTCACCACAACCTCCACCTCCCAGGTTCAAGTGATTCTCCTGCCTCTGCCTCCCGAGTAGCTGGGATTACAGGCATGCGCTACCATGCCCGGCTAATTTTGTATTTTTAGTAGAGACGAGATTTCTCCATGTTGGTCAGGCTAGTCTCAAACTCCCAGCTTCAGGTGATCCGCCCACCTCGGCCTCCCAAAGTGCTGGGATTACAGGCATGAGCCACCGTTCCCGGCCAATTTATTAATTTAGAATTAGGGGTTAGAATGGTGCATGTGCAATGAAAAAAATAAGATCCTAGGCCAGGCGCAGCGGCTCATGCCTGTAATCCCAGCACTTTGGGAGGCCAAGGCAAGCGGATCACTTGAAATCAGGGATTCAAGACTAGCCTGGTGAACATGGTGAAACCCCATCTCTACTAAAAATACAAAAATTAGCCAGGCATGGTGGCACACCCCTGTAATTCCAGCTACTCTGGAGGCTGAGACAGGAGAATCACTTGAACCCGGGAGGCAGAGGTTGCAGTGAGCCAAGATTGCGCCACTGCACTCCAGCCTGGGCAACAGGGCAAGACTCTGTCTCAAAAATAAAAGTAAATAAATAAATAAGATCCTGTGGTGGACTGCCCCTCTCCTTGCTACTTCTAGACATTATGGCCCTCAGAGACCATCACGTCACCTTACAAATTGCTGGGAAATGCTACCAAACTATTGCTCTCAGGTTCTGTTTTACCTAAATTCTTTTTTTTTTTTTTTTTTGAGATGGAGTCTCTCTCTGTCGCCCAGGCTGGAGTCCAGTGGTGTGATCTCGGCTCACTGCAACCTCCGCCTCCTGGGTTCCAGCGATTCTCCTGCCTCAGCCTCCTGAGTAGCTGGGACTACAGGCATGCACCACCACACCCAGCTAATTTTTGTATTTTTAATAGAGACAGGGTTTCACCATGTTGTTTAGGCTGGTCTCAAACTCCTGGCCTCATGTGATTCGCTCGTCTCGGCCTCCCAAAGTGCTGGGATTACAGGCGTGAGCCACCACACCCGACCCTATTCACTTTTCATTAGTCAACCTGGTGGTCCCTTGCTCCCAGAAGGTCACCATATTGATTCTCCACTTAGTGTGGACACCTACTCCACAAAGCACACTACAGCTCAGGACTCCTGGGCTCAAGTGATCTTTCCTTCTCAGCCTCCTGGGTAGCTGGGACTACAAGTGCACATCACCAAGCCCGGGTCTTATTTATTTTTTATTGAAATATAGGTGTTTTTTTACAGTAAAGTGCCTGGTCTTAAATGTAAAGCTTGACAGATTTTACGTAAGTATATACCCATGTAGCCATCACCTGGATAAAGATACAGAACACATCCAGCACCCAGAAGCTTTCCTTATGCTTATCTCAGGCAGTCCCATTGCCCAAAGTGAACTTCTCTGTTTTGAAGTATATTTCCTGGATGCAATGGTTGTATTTTAACTGACTCATCCTGATCTCAACTAGGAAAGTGCTTTAATCTCATTCGAGTCTTAATCCCATTGCAGAATGGATTAATTTTGGGAAATTTTCCTGTAAAAGGTAACCTTGGCCATACAACGTGGATTTTACCTAAACTAGAAAAATGATATGCATTTAAATTGTCTTTCTAACTTGCTGTCTTGCTGTTTTGCTCCCTGATTTTAATGCCCATGTACCTGTCTCCCCCTTCTCCCCCTTACCTTATAGCTATCATCTATTTCCCATAGTGCTGTAGTTAAATCTCAGGGAGAAGAATTGGGCTTTGTGGCAAAGAACAAATCTAGAGAGGAATGAAAGTCGAGGATAGTTTGGAGTCACGCAAACGGAGAAGCATGTTTAGGAAAGTAATAACTAGTAACATGATCTAGGGAGGTAGAGGAATTAAAGATCTCTTGGAGGAATAAATTAGTGAAAAAGGGAAGTATTGTGGGTAACATTTAATAAGTCAAGAGTCTATAAAGTTCACCAGTCCCAGCAGTGAGATGAGCCAATTCATTCACTGGTTTGGCTCTGTCACCCAGGCTGGAGTGCAGTAGCGTGATCACAGCTCACTGTAACCTCTAATTCCTGGGTTCAAGCTATCCCCCCACCTCAGCTTCCTGAGTTGCTAGGACTAAAGGTACTCATCACCACTGCCAGCTAATTAAAAAAATTTTTTTTTGTAGAGACGGACTCTTACTATGTTGCCCAGGCTAGTACTGAACTCCTGATCTCAAGTGATCTTCAAGCCTCAGCCTCCCAAAGTGTTGGGATTACAGGTGTGAGCCATTGCCCCCAGCCACAACACCTATTTAATGTGCAATTGTTGAGTATGCTTCAGGACCAGCAGTAGTGCTAAATACTGTAGTATGTGTTGGTGTGAGGAACCATTTAGCATCTTGTGTTCCCCAAACTGTCTTTTTATGTCTGTTGTCTAAGCAAGCTTTGCCTTTCAATTTAGAGCATACTATTTGGAAGTGCTACTAGAAAGTGTCTTCTGACCAACCTATTAGCTAATGCAGGATTGGATGATGCCAGAAACCATTTAGAAGTCTTATGGACAAAGGTCTTCCAAATTGTGGGCTCCTTTCTTCTAAATAAATATTAATATGATGATATGCATTCAAAATAAATTTATTTACTTTTTTTTGTGGGAGACTGGAGTTTCATTATTGCTCTAATCAGTCTCCTCAAAATAACAGTTTATGTTGCATATCCATGAGTTAGAGTATTCCAGCAAAATACTTGTTATATATTTATTTATTTATTTTTGAGACAGAGTCTCACTCTGTTACCCAGGCTGGAGTGCAATGGTGCAATCTCAGCTCACTGCAGCCTCTGCCTCCCAAGTTCAAATGGTTCTCCTGCCTCAGCCTCCCCAGTAGCTGGGACTACAGGCATGTGCCACCATGCTGGGCTGATTTTTATATCTGTAGTAGAGACGGGGTTTCACCGTGTTGGCCAGGGTAGTCTCAAACTCCTGACCTCAGGTGATCCACCTGCCTTGGCCTCCCAAAGTGCTGGAACTACAGGTGTGAGCCACCGCGCCTGGCCACTTGTTATTTTCATGTAAGCAGTTAAGGGGAAAATATTTGTAAATAAATTTGTAAATAAATTTGTAAATAAATTATACATAGCATATTTTTCTTTGTATTGCTTCCTCTTTAAAGTACTAGTACTTTTCCTAAGTTCTACTTTTTCAATAGCAAACTTACCCCTAAATTAAATTAAAACAAGATTAAAGCCAACTTGATTCTTTTTCATTGTTTTTCACAGAATTCTCTAACTTCAAAGTTTATTCTTGTAATTTTCTAGAAATACTTCAGGTTAAGTTGATGTTATGGAGAAGATGTAATATCTACAATTAGGGCTGGTCGAAGTGGCTCACACCTGTAATCCCAGCACTTTGGGAGGCCAAGGTGGGCAGATCACTTGAAGCCAGGAGTTCAAAATGAGCCTGGTGAACATGGCAAAACCCCGTATCCACTAAAAATGCAAAAATTAGCCACGCATGGTGATGCACATCTGTAATCCAAGCTACTCGGGAGGCTGAGGCCTGAGAATTGCTTGAACCTGAGAAGCAGAGGTTGCAGTGAGCTGAGATCGCACCACTGCACTCCAGCCTGGGCAGTAAGTGAGCCTCTGTCTCAAAAAAAAAAAGAAAAAAAATCTACAATTAATTTTTTTAGTTATTTTAAGAAAGTAAAAGTTTGCATGTATTCAACCTGATAATTTTCTCTTTTAAAATTAAAACTAGTCCTAGTGAAGTTATAAACAGAATTTTTTTTTTTTATACCAGTTTCACTCTTGTTGCCCAGGCTGGAGTGCAATGGCGCCATTTCGGCTCACTGCAATCTCCGCCTCCCGGGTTCAAGCGATTCTCCTGCCTCAGCCTCCCCAGTAGCTGGGATTACAGGCATGCACCACCATGCCCAGCTAATTTTGTATTTTTTAGTAGATACAAGGTTTCTCCATGTTGGTCAGGCTGGTCTTGAACTCCTGCCCTCAGGTGATCCGCCCGCCTCAGCCTCCCAAAGTGCTGACATTACAGGTGTGAGCCACTGCACCCAGTCTAAAAAATTTTTTTTAAGAAAATTAAAAAATAAGAAAAATTAAAACTAGGTTCAGTGAGCCCCTTGGTTAAACCACTAGGCTGAAATTAGTTGAATAAGTAATTAGTTGAATACATTTGAATGAAAATCTTTAAGAACAATCTTGAGGGAGATAAAATGTCACAAAGGCTTAACACGACCATCTGGAGTCTGTATGTGTATACAGGAGGAAGAAATTATTCTGTTTTTTTTTTTTTTGACTTGGTGATTAATGTTTACAAGCTCCATTGAACTACTTCTCTCCCAGAGGCCACCTCTGTAGTTACTGCCCAAATACCTGATGCCTATGAAAAGGACCCCTTCCCCATTTGCCATGTGAAGAATATGTGACTGTAATAGTCTATCTTTCACCAATATTATAAAAGGATTCTGTTGTATGATTGAGGAACTAACAGAAGAGTGGTGAGATTTGATATCATGCAACAAATGCTCACTTCCTATTACTCCAGGTGGTAAGAAAGTGGGGGTAAAGTCTTATGCGAAAGAGAGTGTGATGAAGTTTCAGGAGAGGCAGGAAATGTAAGTAAGTTAAGAAATTCTTTTTTTTTTCTTCTTTCTTTTTTTTTTGAGATGGAGTTTCACTCTTTTCACCCAGGCTGGAGTGCAATGGCACGATCTCAACTCACTGCAGCCTCCGCCTCCTGGATTCAAGCGATTCTCCTGCCTCAGTAGCTGGGGTTACAGGCGCCCGCCACCACACTTGGCTAATTTTTGTATTTTTAGTGAGATGGGGTTTCACCATATTGGCCAGGCTGGTCTCAAACTCCTGACCTCAGGTGATCCTCCAGCCTCAGCCTCCCAAAGTATTGGGATTACAGGCGTGAGCCACCTCGCCTGGCCAAACAATTCTTAAAAGAAAAACATTCTAGGGACAGATCCTAAAGCAAACAGGAAGTGATTGGAGAAGCGGAGGACTAAATATCTTTGGAAAAAACTTCAGAGGCCTGAAATCTAACTCTAAATGCCAGTGGGTGTGGAATGTGAGTGGACCAGGTAATAGCCAATATGGGTAATGGCTACAGACCTCCCTTCTAAAGCATGACCTCTTTCCTTGGCCAGTACATGCTAGTACATACCCTTAAGTAGTTCTAGGGCTCTTAAGGGAACCCTTGAGTCAATAGCATTCCTTTGGTAACCTTTATCTGGGGCCAAAATGTTCCCCTCCTTGTCATGATGGGAATAGAATACAGGAATTGCAAGGAAATGAAGGTATGCACATAATTTAGGATAACATTTTGATACCACATCATAATTTATGAGAATGTTGCCCAAGGATACAGTGCATAAGTCTCATTAATGGAAACTGCTGTAAAGAACCTCAGTGGGTGAAACTACCCTGCCCATTTCCTATGATACTAAGTGCAGTGTGTTCCAGAAACCAGTGGGTAGGGAAAGCATGACTCGGCATTGCCATGGCGGAAGCTGGCAGGGAGGAAAATCCCCAACATGTTCTGTCAGGTCAGCAGTCAGTTTGGCTATAAACAAGTAAGATTGCAATGTTGTGAGGTAATCTTAGTCTGACTCAGTCCTTTGTCAGAACCTCACAGGTTACTTTCATGAATCTTTCCTGGAGCAAATAAAACAGTTTCACAACGATGCCATATTTAAATGTTATGTCTCTGCTTATCCAATTCTCCACTTATCCTTTCTTTTATTTACTTTTCTTGAAATGGGTTCAGTCATAACATCAAGCGACAGAAAAGAAAACAAAGGAGGAAGCAGTGTAACCTTCCTCTCTTTAAGTCCCATTTATCTCTCTACCTGAGGCCATTGTGTGCAGATACCTGGGAAAGTGGATGATAGAGAATAAAGAAAGCATTTTAAAGCAGAGGCAACCTTCAAAATCACTGCATTCAATTCTCTAAATTTATAGATGAAAAAAATTGAAGGCCTGAAGAGGAGTGACATGCCTACATTACACAGCAAGTTAGTGGAAGAACCTAAATCGTAATTCCAGTGTTTTGATTCTAATCTGTGTCTAAAACCTTATAAAGCTGAAAAGGCCTCGGAAATTATGAGGCGGAAGAGTTCTCATGCTCTACTAACATTGTGTTCCAGAGAGGTCTTTTCTTAGGGTACAAACTAACTAAAATGGTGTTGTCATTGCTTTTGAATTGGAGGGAGTTAGCAGTCCACCTTCAGTCCTCAGTCCACCCTGAAGCCCACCTTCAGCCTGAAGCTTCTCCTGCTAGAGGAGGCCCTTCGAGTGCTGCTCCAAAATAATTTGGAAAGTATGGATGCTTCCTGATGCTTTTATTGTACTGATAAGAACTCTGAGGCCTAGTAAGGTGAAGTAATCTGTGCACTGTCCAGGAAACTCAAGGGGAAATGTTAGAATGCATAGACTGGCAGCCCTTGGGCCGGGCGTGGTGGCTCACGCCTGTAATGCCAGCATTTTGGGAGGCCGAGGCAGGTGGATCACCTGAGGTCAGGAGTTCGAGACCAGCCTGGCCAACACGGCGAAAACCCGTCTCTACTAAAAATACAAAAATTAGCTGGGCGTGGTGGCGGGCCCCTGTAATCCCAGCTACTGGGGAGGCTGAGGCAGGAGAATCGCTTGAACCTGGGAGGCGGAGGTTGCACTGAGCCAAGATGGCACCACTGCACTCCGGCCTAGGTGACAGAGAGACTCAGTTTCAAAAAAAAAAGGCCGGGCTTGGTGGCTCACGCCTGTAATCCCAGCACTTTGGGAGGCTGAAGTGGGTGGATCACGAGGTCAGGAGATCGAGACCATCCTGGCTAACACGGTGAAACCCCGTCTCTACTAAAAATACACAAAATTAGTCAGCCTTGGTGGCGGGCACCTGTAGTCCCAGCTACTTGGGAGGCTGAGGCAGGAGAATGACATGAACCCAGGAGGCGAAACTTGCAGTGAGCCGAGATTGCAGTCACTGGACTCCAGCCTGGGCGACAGAGCGAGACTCCGTCTGAAAAAAAAAAAAAAAAAAAAAAAAAAGATAGCCCTTCGCATTTTAAACAACTAAAAATTTGAACTAAAGTGGAGTTTTGAATTTATTTCCTGGATGCTAAAGAAAAAGAGAAAAAACAATTCACACTGTCTACCAAGAGGAAACATCCAGCATCTAAAGAGAAAGTCATAGCCTTCCCTAAAATCAAACCCAGAGTTCTCAGTACTGTACATCTCACAAGACGTACACATTCTGCTAAAGTGTAAATATGTGAAGTGAATCACTCTACCCCTGAGTGCACATACATGTCTTTTTATGAGCTTTAGGCTATAAAATTCTAAGGTCATGTAATATATATAAACAAATCAAATATTTTCTTAGTTACTCATCATTCAAAAATGACTGGACAGATTTCTTTTAAGAAAAGTGGATAATATTTTGGGGATGGTCTGGTTTCTATTATATGCACACATGAAATTCATTTTAGAGGCCCTAAAGACTATTACAATTTATAACCAGTCACCTTTTTAGAGGGACTATTGGTGAACCTCCCTTCTCTATTGAACATTGGAGACAGACATGCCCTTTGTATTCAGATGCTGCTATGCACAGATAAAACAAATATGGTTTTAGAAACATGCAGCAAAGATCAATAGAAGCCACAGGGCATTTGTTAAACCACAGGCAATGAGTCACGTAACAGCACTAGGGTAGTTCACTAATATTACACATTTTTTTTTTTTTGAGTCGGAGTCTCGCTCTGTCGCCCAGGCTGGAGTGCAGTGGCACAATCTTGGCTCACTGCAACCTCCACCTCCTGGGTTCAAGTGATTCTCCTGCCTCAGCCTCCCGAGTAGCTGAGATTACAGGTGCCCACCACCATGCCCACCTAATTTTTGTATTTTTAGTAGAGACAGCTACTAAAATACTGGTCTTTTATCGGTCAGGCTGGTCTCGAACTCCTGAGCTCAGGTGATCCACATGCCTCGGCCTCCCAAAGTGCTGGGATTACAGGCATGAGCCACCGCACCCCGCCTATTCCACATGTTTTAATGAATAAATCACTCAGGTTTATTAGATTCTCTTGCTCTTTTTTTTTTTTTTTTTTTTTTTTTTTTAGCATGACCTGCTCCCCAACTCAGCTCCAGACCAAAGACCTCAACCTATTAGCCAGGTCTCACCACAGCAGGGCAAACTCTATATTTATCTCATTATTTGAATGATAACATAATTTTTCTCTTCATGGAATTGCCTTGCAAAATGGTGACTCTTAGCTGTAATAGCGAAACACTGTGCTGTAATTCTGGAATGGTAATTTCTCTTCACATCAAGATCACTCCTCTCTGGAACGCTGTAGCTTAAAACAGGACAAGTCACTGTGTATTCTGAGTGTAGGGCACTGAAGGGCACCTGAGCACATTCTCATTACCAAGTGTGACAGCTTACCCCCATTAGAAGTGGAAAGAAAATGGCTTTGGAAACTTAGATTTATGTAGGAATTCTCCTGAATCTTCCTCTGGGCTAAAAGATGCATATATGTACAGTTTACTATAGATAATTCCTAGGGTTCAATTGCTAATGGGTAAAAACTCAAGACCACTGGCATTGCTGGGAGACAGATGAACTCTAAATAATAAAGAAAGTGTGGAGTCAAGCCTCCAAGTGAGCAGCGAATATAATCAATGAAAAGCATCACTAGAGGGGAAAGAACTTTTGTGGGGATGGAACTTTCAGAGATCCATTCTTCCCTGGGAGCTTGTATCTGATTCAGAAGTAAAACCACAGTGGAATCACCGAACTTCTGTATGGGCCTGGCATCATCATGTTTTCAAAGCTAGATAAAGCCATCCAAAAATTAGAGAGCTCAAATAAAAATTAATATCCTTAAGTAGTGATGATCCTATTTTGTGAAAATGCCTTCTGTGTGTAGTTTATAATCTTGTGAATTGTTGCTATCAATTCTAATAAGAAATGGGTTTCCCTCATTCTGCCTCACCTATAAAGAGGGATATAGAAACAAGGTAAGGGGCTTCATCCCACTGGCTGTTGTCCAATTATTTTTTAATAGTCATTCAATAAATATTTTATAAGCTCCTCTTAGTACATGCAGGTATTTACTGATCTGGACACTGGGGATATAGACAATGTCCCTGTCCTCATTAGGCATATAGGAGAGCAAGCAAATTAATAAATAAAAAACATAATTACAGGCCAGGCATGGTGGCTCATGCCTGTAATCCTACCACTTTGGGTGAATACCTGGTGTTAGAAGTTCAAGACCAGCTTGGCCAACATGGCAAAAACCCATCTCTACTAAAAAATACAAAAATTAGCCAGGTGTGGTGGCATGTGCCTGTAGTACTGGCTACTTAGGAGGCTGAGGCATGGAATCACTTCAGCCTGGGAGCCAGAAGTTGCAGTGAGCCGAGATTGTGCCACTGCACCCTAGCCTGCGTGACAGAGTAAGACTCTGTCTCAAACAAACAAAAAAGAAACATAATTACAGATTTGATAAGTGCAATGTAACAAGATATATTGTGTGAAATGGGCTATAGGAGGGGGTGACAAATGTTTCCTGGGAAGGGCCATGTGGACTGTATGTGGGCTGTTGTATCTTTGTTGCCCCTACTCCACTCTACTGAAGAAGTCTAAAGGCAGCCATAGAGCCAATATACATGAATAGGCAGGGCTGTGTTCTAATAAAAGTTTATTTATTGACACTAACATTTGAATTTCTTACAATTTTCACGTCATTAAATATTATTTATTTTAACCATTTTTTTAAAAAAAGGTTAAAACCATTCCTAACTCATGAGCTGTACAAAAACAGAGGATCAGATTTGGCCTGCAGACATGCCCTCTATATTAACTTCTGGCTACAGGGTTCAGGGAGAAGGGAATGCTGTTGACATAGATAGAGGTTGCTATGGCCTCTCTGAAGAGGTAACATCTTAGTGTATGAGAGGAAACCAGTTATGGGAAGAGCTGAAAAGAGAGTACCCCAGGCTGAGAAAACAACAAATGCAAAGACCCTGAAGCAGTTGGGGCTCCTAGAAACCACATGTTCTATATAAAAATTTATTAAGAGACAAAACAGTTAAGCTGAAAACCTTTAAAAATAGGTCTTACTGTATTTGTGGGTATTGATCCCTGGTCATTAGGTGACAAGTGTTGGAGAAAGGGATGCCATAGGGCATAAATAATCCTTCAATGAAATTGTATAGTCTCCTCCTGTAATTGTCTCCAGCAAAGAATAAAAGGTTGATTTTTCCCACCTTGCATATGATTACTTAGCAGAGTAAGAGAAGAATCATTTAAAATCTTTGTGTCAATTAAGATAAATTATCTTATAGAAATGGCAGACATTTTTCCTTGAATTATTTTAATTTATGTCTGTACCATCGAGCAGGATTTGTAGTTAAGTTACATGTACAGATGAATAAAATATTCTTATTTCTGTATACATTTAAAAGTCTATTCATCAGGCTGAGCGCTGTGGCGCATGCCTATAATCCCAGCACTTTGGGAGGCCGAGGTGGGCAGATCTCTTGAACTCAGGAGTTTGAGACCAGCCTAGGCAACATAGTGAGACCTCATCACTATTTAAAAAAAATTATTTTCAGTCTATTCATCAGTGTTTTACTTACATGTGAAAGGCGTTTATGCTGCCACAGACTTGTAAACTGGCTCTCTGGGCAGTATGATTGGAGATATCCATAAAAATGAATGATGAATAGATATGTCCAAATATTAATACTAATAGTGGTTTTTCTGAACCCATACTTCATTTGTGATTTCAAAGCTTGGCATAAGAAAAAAAAAAGAAAAAGATTACTTGCAGAGTCACCTTATGTAGGAGAGAGATGATACTTCTGTCTATATTTTGAATCTGTGACAGAAATCCAAATCTTACCCAGATGCTGGTAAAGAGGAACATTTTCTTCATTTGAGAAATAATACCCACAGAACACACCCATCTGTCTGTTGTAAGAAAATGTCCAAGTCACATGTTTATCAAAAAAACCCAAAGTGTTAGCGAGAGCTAAAACATGCCCAGAAAAAAAATTCAAAGAAAACAGTGGGTAATAGTGTTTTAAAATGTGCTCCTGGTGAAAATGGTATCTAGGGTGTCTATTACATAAAAAGTGCCTCCTAATATATTACATTTACAATGTTAAAAGTCTTAAAAAGATGACTATGAGATTCGTCTCAGATGTGAAACAGAAAAATCTTGAAAGATATCACAGAAAAATGTTGAATGATATCATGAAACACTTGGTGTCTATTTCAAATTTTTACCAGGTGAACAAACATACCTTAGTTTGTGTAGAAACTTTTACCTTTGTTACCTCGCATCACTGAATAGTTTAAGGACTTCTGATGTGTAGGATTTTGAGCATTTTAGGTTTTATAATGGGTTATGATAATCTTTGGAAATAACTTCAATTAAATTCAATAATCACTTATCTAATGCCCTATAGGGTCCTAAATACGAAATAAGACTGAAATATTTCTCCAAGATTTCATGTTCATCAGAAAAAACAATTTCAAAGAAGTCTGATTTGAAGCAGGGAAATTAAAAGCTATAATACAGAAAGTGCTAAGGGAGGAGAGGAAGGAAATGGTTAATTTTAACAGAAGAAATCTAGGATGTTTCATAGATGAGCTGGCATTTGAGCTGAGCCTGCAACAAATGAAAATGCAAAGGGAAGCATTTTAATACATGGGAAAACATTTTATATGTTTTTGAGCAGGAAGTGGTCTGGTCAGTTCTGATTGCTTTTGTTTTTCACATTAAAAATTGTAAAATACATAAACTTATAGAAAAGTACTTATATTGTAAATGTTCAACTTCAGTATTTTTCTGAAACAAATATATGTATGACTCCCTTCCTCCCAAGTTAAAAGAAAAGAAAAGCATTAACAGAACCCCAGAAGCCAGTCCTCAAATTAGGGCTGGCTTCATGGGTGTCTGCAACTTGAGCAATTGCACAGAGCCTGGTACCGAGAAGGGTCCTCTGCTTGGTTTTATGTTCTGCTGTTGCCATCTTGAAATTCATAATAATTTTTGAATAGGGGATCCTATATTTTTATTTGGCATTGGGCCCCACAAATTATGTAGCCTTTCCTGCCCCCAATCCTCATTCTACAACATATCCAAATGCAAAGTTCCTCCTATGGTGCTAATCATTATTCTTTGATTTCCTTAACAGTTTACTCTCTACATGTCTGAACAAAATAGTTTAATTTTGCCTTTTATGAATGTTATAAACAGAATCATACAGCATGTCTTCTGTTGTGTCTGGCTTTTTTCACTCAACATTATGTCTTTAAGAGTCATCCATATTATGATTCATTCATTTTCCCAGTTATGTTTTCAATGAGCTGTATCTACCAGAATTACATAGGATTGATTGGTACATGGGGGAGAGCAAGACTGGAGGCAAAGAGACCAGTTAGGAGGTAGGGCTAATTGGCAATAACCATGGTGAGAGCCTGGGACCCATAAATAATAGCAGAGGACATCTCTTCTCTCTAGAAATCAGTATTTCAAAACCCTCAGACATTTAGAACTACTGCAGATACAAAACAAACTTAAAAATCTAAATCAACAGCAACAACAATGCAAAAGCCCTGCCTTGGGGCAAAGAAGTAGGCCCTGAGTATCCAGCAACAAATGATAGTGAAGACAGTTCAGTGAACTGAAAATTATTCCAAGCATGCTACGTTGACCAAGAAAAAAAGGAGTGTTCTAACTGAATATATAATTAGATAGAATACACACACATAAATGTGTTTGTGTATATGTGTGTTATACACTTATATATGCACACTTCTTTTCTGGCATGAAAGCACTGAGGTATAGAAGTAGCATAAGATAAGAAATAAGAAAGTAATTTTTAAAAAGTGTAAAGAAAAATAGTAGAGATGATCTGAGGCTGTGTAGCAAAGTTGGCAGCAGTTGCAGTCATGGAGTCTGTGAATGGAAATGGATGCGGCAATGGAAAGGGGCAAAGGGCTAGAGACAAAGCAAAATAAGACTGGAAAACTCTGCAGAGTGTGTGACAGACAATCATCTTCACCACATCCTCCCCATATCAGTCATTCAGTAATGGAGGTGCATTCCCCTAGTGGGACATATTAAAATCACCTGAGGCCTTCTAGTGGACGACAAGGCCCATTTACATCAATAGGTCAATATTTTATTTAGTTGGTAGCCCACTAAAGACACATCAGACCGACCATTCAACATTCTGAGAAAGACATTCATTATTAAATGCAAGTGACCTTAAATAACAAACCAACCTCACTGCAGTAGGGTGCCAAGGCAATGTCATAGAGCCAGCTGTGTACAATGACATGTATACTACACTAGTTCCAGCAAAAAGCAAAGGGCAAAGACATTTTTTTAATTGTGCTAATCTTAAACAACAAAAGGAGTTTTAAAAAGAGTAAACCTGGGAAAATGAACATGAACAATTCATATGTGTCCAAATTCTTCGTCACATGGCCCTCTCCACAGGGTTGCCTGGGTGTCTGGAAGAAGTGGAAACTGGATTCCCCAGAGTGGGAAATGCAAGAGAGACAGAGCCCAGGACAAAAGCTGCTGTCTTTTTTTATAGCCTAATCTTAAAAGTGGCATACCATCACTTATGTCATGATCCATTGATCATACAGACCAACCTTATACACCATGGGTAAAGGCGATTCAAAGGTATGAATGCCAGCAGGTGGTGAGATCGGTAGGGGCCATCTTGAAGACTAGCTACCATAGAAATTAAGTTGTCCCAAATTTTACATCTAGAAAGTCAAATTTTTTACTTTTACTTTTATTTATTTTTTTTTTTTGAGACAGAGTCTTACTCTATCGCTCAGGCTGGAGTACAGTGGTGCGATCTCGGCTCACTGCAACCTCCGCCTGCTGGGTTCAAGTGATTCGCCTGCCTCGGCCTCCCCAGTAGCTGGGATTACAGGCATGCACCACCATGCCCAGCTAATTGCAATTCCAGCACTTTGGGAGGCTGAGGTGGGTGGATCACGAGGTCAGGAGTTCAAGACCATGCTGGCCAGCATGGTGAAACCCCATCTCTACTAAAAATAGAAAGACAAAATTTAAAAGTAAGTCTGTTAGACTAAAAATCTAGTGCTCTTTTTACTACGAATTGTATGTCAGGACTCAAAAAATGTAAAAAAAAAAGTTATGTTTTTGGCAGATTTCTATGTAAGTGAAAGTTGACAGCTGGGTATGGTGGCTCATGCCTATAATCCCAGCACTTTGGGATACTGAAGTGGGAGGATGGCTTGAGTTCAGGAGTGCAAGACCAGCCTAGGCAAAAAGACCTTGTCTCTACAACAAATTAAAAAATTAGCCGGGAGCGGTGGCTCACGCCTGTAATCCCAGCACTCTGGGAGGCCGAGGCGGGTGGATCACAAGGTCATGAGATCAAGACCATCCTGGCTAACACGGTAAAATCTGGTCTCTACTAAAAATACAAAAAAATTAGCCGGGTGTGTGGCGGGCGCCTGTAGATCCAGGTATTCGAGAGGCTGAGGCAGGAGAATGGCATGAACCCAGGAGGCGGAGGTTGCAGTGAGCCAAGATTGTGCCACTACACTCCAGCCTGGGTGACAGAGCGAGACTCCGTCTCAAAGAAAAAAAAAAAAATTAGTGGGCATGGTGGTGCATGCCTGTAGTCTCAGCTGCCCAGGAGGCTAAGGCGGGAGGATCATTTGGGCCTGGGAGGTTGAGGCTGCAGTGAGTCGTGATCATGCCACTGCACTCTAGCATGGGTGACAGATGGAGGCCCTGTTTCAAAAAGCATAAAATATTTTTTAAAAGTTGAGTTGGTAAAAACTATGCAACCAAACTGGAAAACAAATAAAGCCTTTTAAATGTATTTTTTAATGAAAAGATAAATGATTGTACCTCTTGCCCAATATTTATTGCATGGGCATGAAGAAATGATGTGCAAATTCAATAGAGAGAAAAATACTGAGTTTCTGAAGAGTGATTTAGGGTAGACACTATAGTCTGGCTTACTCAACACCATTCTCCTTTTATTTCTCCTTTGTCTCCCTCCACTATAGAAGGTGGAAATGTTAAATATTAATTTTCCTAGCATCCCTTACAGATACAAGGGCATTCAATGCAGTACCAGCCAAGAAATGTAACTGAAAGTGTCCTGAAGTTTGTGCTTGTGCATTCTTCATTCCACCTTCCCAGGCCATCTTTTTCCTGCCACAGAAACAGACTACATTTCTGGGACAGCAATTCTCTTCACTGAGCAATTGGACCAAGGCCAATTAGTCCAGAAGTCCTCTTTCAGACTTCTTGTTATGTGATAAATATTTATGTGTTTAGTCCCACCACCCTCAGTTGGTGTATCAGTCTGTTTTCACGCTGCTGATAAAGACATAGCTGAGACTGGGTAATTTATAAAGAAAAAGAGGTTTCATGGACTCACAGTTCCACATGGCTGGGGAGGCGTCACAATCATGGCAGAAGGCGAAAGGCATGTCTTACACGGCAGCAGGCAAGAGAGAATGAGAGCCAAGTGAAAGGGGAAACCCCTTATAAGATCAAGAGCTCTCATGAGACTTATTTACGACCTGAGAACAGTATGGGGGACCCGCCCCCATGATTCAATTATCTCCCACTGGGTCCCTCCCACAACATGTGAGAATTATGGGAGCTATAATTCAAGATGAGACTTGGGTGGGGACACAGCCAAACCATATCAGTTGGGTTTCCTGATAAGTGCAGCCATAAGTATTTCTAATTCCTTCAGTGTGAGATAACTTTAGAAGACATTAAAAACAAACCCAGCAAATTCTATAAAGATGAAGTGGGAGAGGGGTGTTAGAAAACTTTTGTGGCTTGTAGAAAACTTCTTTCTAAACAATTTCCCATATAACTTAATTTCCTGTAGTATTCTAGCTTAGGGGTAAGAAAATAACAATGATATATCTTATTTTTATTATTTTGCCTTAGTCTGTAACAGTGCAGGAAGTCCAGGCCTCCTTAATTCCTCACGAACAGCACCATTATGGTGGTCTATCTTGCCCTTTCCCTGACCAGCCTCCCTGGTTGTTCTATGTATTGGACCATTGCTTTTCTTTACTCATTATATTGAGGTCTTTGCAGCAGCTGCCAATGCCCAGTGTGACTGCTTGCTGCCCTAGAGGTCTATCACAGACCCCCTGTGACTGCTGTAGCCATCAAAGCTGCAGACCATGGCATGGCATGTTGCAGAAGCTATGGGACCCAATGCTGCTGGTATCTTGTAATTTCAATGGTTAAAATGTCTTGCTATTCTATTACAGTCTCCTTCCCCCACATAGACTTATTGGGGAAATTCCAAAGGATAATCTAAGATGTAAACTCTACTTTAGACAGACATCTCCCTTTCTCTTTTATGCTTTCTGTTGTCCTTGAATCACACTTATGAGCCTCAACGATCTTCCCTTCTCATACCTCCCCAGTGGTAACTTGAACCTTTACAGAATGGTCTGTTTCCTGGCTTGATTTCCTTGTCCTAGACCTTCCTTCCCTGACTTGCCTGCATCCCAGAATGAAATAAACTTAGGCTCAAGCTTGATACATGAAAGTCATATAAAGTTGGTTCAATGTAACTTTTTTTTTTTTTTGAAGCAGGGTCTCACTCTGTCACCCATGCTGGAGTGCAATGGCGTGATCTCGGCTCACTGCAACCTCTGTCTCCTGGGTTCAAGTGATTCTCATGCCTCAGCCTCCTAAGCAGCTCTTAAGTAGCTGGTGGCGCATGCCACCATGCCCAGCTCATTTTTTATATATTTTTAGTAGAGACAGGGTTTCACCATGTTGGCCAGGCTGGTCTCGAATTCCTGACCTCAAATGATCCACCCACCTCGGCCTCCCAAAGTGTTGGGATTACAGGCGTCAGCCACCTTGCCCAGCCAGTCTAATGTAACTTATAGCTTTACACATTCAATAAAATTTTATTTGGGCTAGGCATGGTAGCTCATGCCTGTAACCCTAGCACTTTGGGAGGCCAAAGCAGAAGGACTGCTTAAAGCCAGGAGTTTGAGACTAGCATGGGCAACATGTCAAGACCCCATCTAAAAAAAAAAAAGTTTATTTGAATTAAACAGAATAAGAATATGCTGACAGTTTAATATTTAGGAAATTGTATGTTACTAGAGTATGCTAGAGTGTAGTGTAGTACCCAAAGTATAAATAATGCTTGGAAAGTCAAAGATATTTTCTCTTGTCATACCCAACCTCCTTGAACCATTTTTACTTACATTTGATGAAGGATCTTTTCAGAACCAGAGGCTTATCTGAGGATAACGATATATCCTGTTTTCACACAATTATTCAGCTCATCTAGAGGAAATATTGTGGTATCTGTGAACATTATTTCTATCTCCTAGCCACCAAATATTAACTCCCTGTGTTAGCCTATAAAAAAAAAGTTTTATTCAAGATAGAAAATTGTACTGCATATGAGGTTTAATGAAGAAGTAGGTTTATCAGGCATGTAATATTTAGGAATTCTCACCCCATTATTATAATGAATATACAATTTTAAATACTGCTTATGCCTGGTATTCTAGTCAAATCAAACACGAACAATTTAGAGAAAATAGCCTGAAATCATGTCAGCATAAGTACCTTTTTAAAAATTTTTCGGGTAAAGATTTTGTAGCCTTGAGAGAATAAGTCATTTCCGAATGCTTATTGGGACATACTTTGCAAAGTATGCTAGGACATACTTTGGAAAGAATAAGGGGAAGATTTCTTTTAAGCCTCAGGAAAAATTTTGAGCAAAAGAGATAGAAGCCTGGGTGCAAACTGACAAAGAAAGCAGAAATGTGTTAGTGATGCAGAAGTCACTGCTGGTGCTTTGAATGGTGCTGACACATCAAAGGGCACTGTTTGCAACAAAGAGGAAGATAATTTCTGGAGAGTGACAAAACCATTTGGGAGAATGCAGCTGATGCCCTCGATTCACTGGTTAATTGTGCAGATGGGCAACCATATTCTGCTGCCCCAGAGTTCATGAACCTGGACATGCTTTATCCCACCTGTAGGACAAACAGTCAAACAACCCCAACCAGGCTGCCCTAAGGGGCTTTGTCAAGAAAGCAACTGCCTGGACAACTTTTAACCTCGGTAGCATTGAGACAACTTTAACATAAAAAATATAAATATTATATTACCCCAAACTATTAAATAAGAGAGAAAAAATGTTAAGTTATCTCTCTTGACTTATTTCCTGACCAGTAGTTTATAGAATACCTGAGGCCTACATTGAGCGGCAAGTTAAAACAGGCACAAGAAAACTAGACCTATGGAATATATAAAATAATTCTGTGATAAAAAGACAAGAAGACTGTTAACCAGAATGTTAATTTTTTGTTTTTGGGTAATTTGTTATATTTACTTTGGTTTTTTTTTTTTCTTTTCTATACTTTCCAAATTTATTACAGTAAATACATACTAGTTATCTAATGAAGAGAATATAAATATTTTTCTTTCTTTTCTTTTTTTTCTTCGAGTCAGTCTCGCTCTTGTTACCCAGTCTGGAGTAAAATAGCACGATCTCAGCTCACTGCAACATCCACCTCCCGGGTTCAAGTGATTCTCCTGCCTCAGCCTCTCGAGTAGCTGGGATTACAGGTGCCCACCACCATGCCTGGCTAATTTTTGTATTTTTAGTAGAGATGGGGTTTTACCATGTTGGCCAGGTTGGTCTCTAACTCCTGACCTCAGGTGATCCACCCACCTTGGCCTCCCAAAGTGTTGAGATTACAGGCGTGAGCCACCACGCCCGGCCTAAATATTTTTCTTACTGTGACAGAACAACTCAGACAACAGCAATGTTTTCTAAACAAATACTCAACTACTCAAAAAAAACCAAAAAACAAAACAAAAAAAAAACTGAATCTCTGAGAGTTTAGGTAGTCAAGGTTTTATTGTAATTTAGCATGTAATAGAAAAAGAAACTCAAGAGACATAGTTAAGACAGTTTTACTGAGTTCATCCAATTTCCCATTAGTAATTGAATTAGTAATTGACTTACACAAGTCATAAATTGATGTGCATATATTTTCACTAAGGGTATGAGCATATAGTTCATTTTATAAATATTTATTTGTTTGTGTGGAAAAAAAGCCTTCAGAAATTTTAAGATAATCTGATCTGACAGATTTAAGAATTGCTAGTATCCTTCTTAATAAAAACAAAAAAACCTGAATTGGCATCTTCACAAATTTCTGTAACCCAAATTTAGCAGCCTGGCAACTTTGTGCTGCACTGCACAGTCACTGTTAGGAACAGCTTTATTATTACTCAGATTCCCAAATTCACACATGGTCTCCCATCTTTCAGCAGGTGCCTTTCCATTTTTATTTACAGAGAGAAGGTTATTTGCAATGGGAACTCTCACCTTTTCACCTTCTTGGCTCCAGCTCCTTTTCAGGTCTCTTGGCTCTTCTTTCCTGTTTGGGAAGGGGGATGCTTCCTCATCCTTGCCACCAGAATTCTCACACCTGTCCTTACACTTTCCTCAGAAATTTCTATTCAGTGGAAATTCTGTTGCTTGGATTTCAATCTTGCCATCTTTACTGATGCTCTCCTTTCAGTGGAAAAACAAACCAAAATTTAACCATTAAAAATAAAACCCTAACAATGCTAGAAGAAAACATTAAATTGTATAAAATATCTTGGAGCGTGAGGGGTCTTCCAATTTGTAGCAAGAAATTCACAAAGGAAACTCATAAAGGAAGAGATCAATATATTCAAAATAGAAATTAAAAAGAAACTAAATAAAAAAGCATAAACAAATAAAAGTCTAATAACAAACTTATAAAGTTATTTGTGAGGCATATAATTGACATGGGACTAGTTTTCCCCTATATAAATCCATAATCAACAATTACGAATCGATAAGAAAAAGATGTTAGAAGTACAATAAAAAATGGCAGATACTGGCCAGGCACAGTGGCTCACACCTGTAATCTCAGCACTTTGGAAGGTTGGGGCAGGTGGATCACTTGAGGCCAGGAATTTGAGACCAGTTTGGCCAACATGGTGACACCCTGTCTCTACTAAAAATACAAAAATTAGCTGGGTATGGTGGCACATACTTGTAGTCCCAGCTACTGGGGAGGCTGAGGCAGGAGAATCACTTGAATCCGGGAGGCAGAGGCTGCAATGAGCGGAGATTGTGCCACCGCACTCCAGTCTGGGTGATAGAGTGAAACTTAACTATTGAGAAGAAATTTTAAATGATTTATGTAAAAATAGCAACCATACAGAATTACAGTCATATTGGTTGAAATATACTATGTGAGTGATCATTTTACTATAACTTATGGCCAAGAGTTGTGATTCTATCTAATGACAGATTAGTAGTTTATTTTGACTAAAAGAACCTTCAGAAACAAAGATTTTTTCCCCTCAATACACGGTTTAGAAATTGGCAAACTATGGATCTGTGGGCCAAATGCAGTCCACTACCTATTTTCATAAAGTATTACTGGAACACATCTATTTACATATTTTCTGTGGCTGTTCTCATGCTACAAGGTGCAACAGAAATGTGTAGGTGCAACAGAGATGGTATGACCTGCAAAATCTGCAGTATTTACTATCTGGTCCTTTACGCAAAAATGTCTGAACTGGTTTTTTAGGATATTTAGCTTATGTGAAACACAGAAATATTTGTTCAGTTTTCCAGGATCATGTCTTGTTAATTTCACATTATAGTCTACAAGGCAATAGGTATTTTAAAAATGTAAATTCCTTGACAGAAATAATTTTATTTTCATATTTTGTGGTAATATGTTCATATTACAATAGTTGAATAGAGCAGTAATTTCCATTTTACATGTGTTTTAAAATAGATTTAGAGAAAACTTCAAAAGATTTACAAACTTCTATGACAGAACTGAATATAACAATCACAAAATTATTTAAATAGCCTGAATACTGCAGTATTACGTGTTACTGTCTTCTTTTTTTTATTTTTTGAGACAGAGCTTTGCTCTGTACCCAGGCTGGAGTGCAGTGGTGTGATCTCGGCTCACTACAACCTCCACCTCCTGGGTTCAAGCAATTCTCCTGCCTCAGCCTCCCAAGTAGCTGGGACTACAGGTGTGCACCACCACACACAGCGAATATTTTTTTTTTTTTATTTTTAGGGGTTTTGCCATGTTGGCCAGGCTAGTCTCGAACTCCTGGCCTCAAGTGATCTGCCCACCTTGGCCTCCCAAAGTGCTAGGATTACAGGCATGAGCCATCACACCCAGCATGTGTTATCTTCTTAAGACCCATACACACAGTCTTTTCTTTTAGCTTCTGATTGCTAGATTATGTAACAAGTGGCCAGTAAAACAGAACTCCTATTAGGCAGATTCCTTAAACCAGACCCTGTGGCTGGCTTTTGAAGGAAAACTTACAAAGGAAACTTCTTTTCCCTCAAAGGAAATTGGGGGAATTGATGTCTCATTTGTCTCCATCAAAACCACAAAGTTTGAAAGACTTACTGGAGCCACTGCTGCAGAAGGGGTGATAGGCTTCAATCGTACATCAAGGCAAGCAGTGGATTGCTGTCCCTGTGTGTCCGGAATTAGTGGGTTCTTGGTCTCACTGACTTCAAGAATGAAGCCGCGGATCCTCGCGGTGAGTGTTACAGTTCCTAAAGGTGGCGTGTCCAGAGTTTGTTCCTTCTGATGTTCGGATGTGTTCGGAATTTCTTCCTTCTGGTGGGCTTCGTGGTCTCGCTGGCTCAGGAGTGAAGCCACGGACCTTCGCGGCGAGTGTTACAGCTCCTAAGGCGGCGCATCTGGAGTTGTTCGTTCCTCCCGGTGGGTTCGTGGTGAAGCTGCAGACCTTCGCAGTGAGTGTTACAGCTCATAAAGGCAGTGTGGACCCAAAGAGTGAGCAGCAGCAAGATTTATTGCAAAGAGTGAAGGAACAAAGCTCCCATAGTGTGGAATGGGACCCGAGCAGGTTGCCACTCCTGGCATGGGCAGCCTGCTTTTATTCTCTTATCTGGCCCCACCCACATCCTGCTGATTGGTAGAGCTGAGTGGTCTGTTTTGACAGGGCGCTGATTGGTGTGTTTACAATCCCTGAGCTAGATATAAAGGTTCTCCACGTCCCCACCAGATTAGCTAGATACAGAGTGTCCACACAAAGGTTCTCCAAGTCCCCACCAGAGTAGCTAGATACAGAGTGTCGATTGCATTCACAAACCCTGAGCTAGACAGGGGTGCTGATTGGTGTGTTTACAAACCTTGAGCTAGATACAGAGTGCCGATTGGTATATTTACAATCCCTGAGCTAGACATAAAGCTTCTCCACATCCCCACCAGACTCAGAAGCCCAGCTGGCTTCACCCAGTGGATCGCGCAATGGGGCTGCAGGTGGAGCTGCCTGCCAGTCCCGCGCCGTGCGCCGGCACTCCTCAGCCCTTGGGTGGTCGATGGGACTGGGCGCCCTGGAGCAGGGGGCGGCGCTCCTAGGGGAGGCTCCGGCCGCACACGAGCCCACGGAGGGGGTGGGAGGCTCAGGCATGGTGGGCTGCAGGTCCCGAGCCCTGCCCGGCGAGAAATCGAGTGCAGCACCGGTGGGCCGGCACTGCTGGGGGACCCAGTACACCCTCCGCAGCCGCTGGCCTGGGTGCTAAGCCCCTCATTGCCCGGGACCGGCAGGGGGCTGCTCCGAGTGCTGGGCCGCCAAGCCCACGCCCACCCGGAACTCCAGCTGGCCCTCAAGCCACGCGCGCAGCCCCGGTTCCCGCTCGCGCCTCTCTCTCCACACCTCCCTGCAAGCTGAGGGAGCCGGCCCCGGCCTTGGCCAGCCCAGAAAGGGGCTCCCACAGTGCAGTGGTGGGCTGAAGGGCTCCTAAAGTGCCGCCGAAGTGGGAGCCCAGGCAGAGGAGGCGCTGAGAGCGAGCGAGGGCTGTGAGGACTGCCAGCACGCTGTCACCTCTCACCTGCAGAAGAAAAGGGGGCTCCTTTAATCTAGTAGTGGTGAGAAGAAAGTGAGAGGAAAATTCCTTTTTTTTTTTTTTTTAAGACAGAGTCTCATTATGTCGCCAGGCTGGAGTGCAGTGGCGAAATCTCGGCTCACTGCAACCTCTGCCTCCAGGGTCCAAGTGATTCTCCTGCCTCAGCTTCTTGAGTAGCTGGGACTACAGGCATCCGCCACCACACCCGGCTAATTTTTTGTATTTTTAGTAGAGACGGGGTTTCACCATGTTGGCGAGGATGGTCTTGATCTCTTGACCTCGTGATCCACCCGCCTCGGCCTCCCCAAGTGCTGAGATTACAGGCGTGAGTCACTGCGCCCGGCAGGAAAATTCTTTTTAATGCAACAGTGCAATTTCTCTCATTCTTGCTGTATTTGGTTTTCTGGAACAGAAGGTTGTGAGGAGACAAATCTTAAACAGACTATTAATTTATATGTTGAGATCATTATTTAATATTAAATTGTTAAACAACAGCTTTGAGACATAGCTATTTTGATTCTCCTATTTGTTTTTGCCTGTAAAAAAGTTTATAGAAAACTTGATTTTAAGAGGTTATTTAATTTAAAATTTAAGACTCTTCTACACACTTTCCTTTGAAGAATAATTAAAATAGGAAAAAAGAATCAGAGTACAAGTTATATAGGCAGACACTGAAATTAGAAAACTAGGCAGATCTTTGTCTCTCCTAGTTATCATGCTAGGATTTTAGGACACTGTTAAAATATAAAGACATAAAATCTCATTACAAGTAATTGTTCTTACAAAATGGCTTCCCAAAGTATAATATGAATAGTATATAGTAGTGTGAAATAATGTGTAATATGTTGTCTACCCAAAGTGTAATCTGAATAGTATGAATAGTATGAAATGATAATGATGGTTTGGTTGATGTACAAAATATTTTTAGAGACATTACTGAAGATTATTAAAAAAGGACCATTGATAAAGTAAAATATCCTAAGCCTACTAGTGGATATGTGGTCATGTTATAATATATTCAGTTACTTAACACATATTGAGAACACAGTAAGGCACAGTTATTCTCACACTTATACCTCCACTTTATTTATTTTTTTGAGATGGAGTCTCACTCTGTCACCCAGGCTGGAGTGCAGTGGCACAATCTCTGCTCACTGCAACCTCTGCCTCCCAGGTTCGAGTGATTCTCCTGCCTCAGCCCCCCCAAGTAGCTGGGACCACAAGCATGTGCCACCACACCCAGCCAATTTTTGTATTTTTAGTAGAGATGGGGTTTTGCCGTTTTGGCCAGGCTGGACTCAAACTCCTGACCTCGTGATCTGCCCGCCTCGGCCTCCCAAAGTGCTGGGATTACAGGTGTGAGCCATTGCGCCTGGCCTACTTCAGCTTTCAAATAATGATATATGGTCACTATCAACTTACCTTTGATGCTTTCAAAATTAGAATTTGTTCAGAATTTTTTGTTTACCTATAGGTGACACTAACTAAAACTATGAACATTATGAAACAAACCTCCACTTACCTAGTACAAATGAAAAGAACAAGCGGGTAGTTATTTTCTTGAGGACGTAAAACAGTCACATTCTAAGAAATCTAATTCTTTCAAGACCCAACCTGTGTATCTTGGAAGGAGGTCACTCTGTGAGCAAAGGTTAGGAATGGGACCCCTGTTTATGCAAAGTATCAAAGTTAAGCTGTCTCTTCCTGATAGCTTTTATGTTAGATTGTTTTTCAAAAATGCCTTTCCACATAATCTGAAAATGTCTTCTTCAGACAAAAGCTTTATCCATTGGATGCTTTGGTATCTTTCCTCAAGATAGCACTGATTTAGTGTTTTCACCCCAATAAATGAAGACTTTGATCACTCCAGCATCTTTGTGACTCAGGGAGACAGACTGACACATTAGTATACATTTTTCTGTGGATCGAAAACATGTTATGTCTTATCAAGGATTGATATGATCTTCTAACACAAATAGAGTTTGGAAAAGGATAAAATACCATTCACACATTCATTAATAAATATTTGAGGGCTTTCTACGGTACTAAGTGCTGTGAAGGACAAAGGTGGCTCTAAAGATAAACTAGACATGGACCTTGCCCTTGAGTATTTCACATGGTGCTTAAGGTGACCAGACTTAGTTATGGAAATGTAATAATTATAGTACAGGATAGATAATGTTTCACGCTGTGAGTGGGGGTAAAAATATTCCTAACAAATTTTACATGAAGAAATGATCAACCCTAAAAATTTGTACACTGGGCCGGGCACAGTGGCTCATGCCTCTAATCCCAGTACTTTGGGAGGCTGATGTGGGCAGATCACCTGAGATCAGGAGTTCGAGACCAGCCTGGCCAACATGATGAAACCCTGTCTCTACTAAAAATACAAAAATTAGTTAGGCGTGGTGGCACGCCCCTGTAATCCCAGTTACTCAGGAGGCTGAGGCTGGAGAATCACTTGAACCTGGGAGGCAGAGGTTGCAGTGAGCTGAGATCGTGCCATTGCACTCCAGCCTGGGCGACAGAGCAAGACACTGTCTCAAAAAAAAAAAAAAATTGTACATTTTTCATTGCTTCATTTGAAATCCCAAAGGTCCAATATAAATCTTTCTGTGGAAGACCATCTGAATGTAATAAAAATTGCTATTGAAGAATCCCTAATAAAAAGTATTCAAATTGTGGCATCTTTCTGGTACTGAGGAGGCCATAAAGGTTCAGTAATACCCATCCACATGGCTACCTAGAGTCTTAGGAATGGTCATTTCTCAAGGGACTGTCAGGCTGTCTGGGTCTGAGCAGTAATTTGATGCACGTATGGGGTGCTGCAGCTTTAGAAACATGTTTCCGTCTATTATCTGTTAATTATTATCCCTCTGGACAGCCTGGCACATGGTAAGGGCAGCTAAGACAGCAGGGTCCTAATTCTGCTCAGCTCTCTCTGCTGTAAAATGATTGATTTGGTGACCGGATTTTCTCCAAGTTTCCTTGTGTAGGTAGGTGCGTAGGGCAAATTATATTATCACCATTTTATAGAAAGGGAAACTAAGGTTAGGAGAGCTTAAGTGACTCGCCTAAGGCCTCTGATAATAACTGATATCCAATACTTGAGATTAGACTTCAGGCCCAGAAGGACAAAGCATCTGCTTCTATATCACACTCAGAACCACACCTAATATTTGTGGTTAAGAGTACCAATAGAGGCCCACATAGCATTAACCTAAGTATTTAAGTCATAAATCAAGATAACAAACTGTTAAACAAAATATGATCTGTCCTCCCACCTTGACAAATACCTCCTACACGGAGCTGGATGGCCAGTTGTGAACTATGAATTCCTGGACTTCTCTAAGGGCCAGGCTGGAAGGTGTCATGGAGGATAAAGCTGATCGCGAATGATCCCTCTTCCTGCATTACGAGGGGCCCAAAGCACCTGGGAGTGCACACCTTAGCCCACAGGTCCAGGTACTGTCCACACCCCAAAGAAGAGCTATTTCTTGGACACAGGAGTGAGTTCAGAGTCCCGACCAGATCCTGAAAGTGAACTTGGCACCATTTGGGCAGAGCAGTCCAGAGTTCTGACTACATGGAGCGTATGTAGTCTAGAAGAGGGTCAGGCTCCAGCTGGGCCATCAGCCTGACCGGAAGAGGGGCACTGCCAGAGGAGAGCCAGAGGGTGGCTGTGGGCGGAGGTCCCTCTTGGGTTTAAGAGCCAGTCTGATCACACAGCCTCTAAAATCACCCTAAGAAAGAATAACATACCGGAACATTCATGTGACGGGTAAGTATGGTCCAGTGGTTATGAGACTAGGCTCTGCAGGCAAATCCCTGGGTTGGAATCTTAGGTTGGCCACTTTCTAGTTGTGGCATCGCAGGCAAATTATTGATCATCTCACAGCCTCAGTTTCCTCATCTTTAAAATGGGTAAATAATCATTATTATGAGGAGTGGCAGTATATGTAAAACGCTTGGTGGACATTACACATTGGGTGGATGTTGACAGGGTTCTCTCCAGCTTAGGCGAGTTTGCCTCTGAGAGGTTTTTCTGGAGAATTATATAAGCTTCATAACATCCAAGCACTCTGACAGTCAAGGTGAAAGTCTCCTCTCTCTACTAAATTGGGGTGAGGCGCGGGTGTGGGCACCACCCACCCCACCCAAGGCATCAGGGGCAGCCCACGTCCCGCCCGGTTCTGTGCCCAAGGACTTCACGCTGCAGACGTGCACGGAAGCTGCTTTGGCCAGGGGTTTGGAGGTTAACTAGCAAACGCAGCGTGAGTCACGGCGGCACTAGGAACTGAAACCGTGTTAGCCATGCCCAGGTTTACCCTCCGATGCGGACGGTGAAACCAGGGAGCAGTGACATCAGGACGGGGAGCCAGCGCTGACGCAGCTCCACCGCCTCCCTCCCCATCCCGCACCCGCCGCCGCCGAGCTCAGCCTGCAGACAGGTCTTGACATCCCTCCTCAGCGAGGAGCGAGGGAGTCGGAACAAGTCGGGGCATCTCCCTTGCACCTCCCGGGAGCGCCAGCCCAGCCAAGTCTAGCGATTGCCCGGCCCGCCAGCGAAGACGCTTCCTCTGAAGCAAGCTTGGACACTCCCCTACCCCTCCGGGTGAAACGAATTCCAAGTGGCCCATTTCGGCTCCTCGCCCCCTCCCACTCCCTGCAAAAAAACTTGGCAACTCTGCGGTTTCTTGCGGACCAAAACCTGTAATTAGCCCTTTGTGCTCCCTTTAAGGGGCAGTCGTGACTGGAAACCGAGGAGTCAGACCCTCTCGAAAACACCAACAAAGAACTATATTTAGTTCTGAGCTCTCAGCCTAAATGCCTCTTATTTTTTCACTTTTACTTCAAAACGCCAGGGTTGGGGAAGTGGGAGGCAGAGGGTGGGGGAGCAACGGAGAAAGAACAGCTGTGCCTCCGCCTCTCCGCTCAATCTCTATAAATAACCAATCGCGAGCGGAGGCTACTTTTTAGCCAATGAAGCGCCCCAAACTGATAAAGCCTTGGCGGCAGCCAATGAACAACACTTAGGGGTGTCAGACTCGCGCCCCGAGACCAATGAGTGCAGAGTCTGGGAGAGGTAATTTGAGCTAGAGTGTGGGTGTGTGGTGCAAAAGCTTCCTACTTCCAAGCCCAAAAACCTGCTCTGCGACTGAGCATGCCCTGAACTAACTGCGGGCGCCCTGAGACTTCTGGATTGGGATGTAATCCGGTCTCCGGGTTTTGACCGCACTCGAGCGGGGAGGTGGGTACGACCC
Source organism: Homo sapiens (assembly GCF_000001405.40). Lineage (NCBI taxonomy): Eukaryota > Metazoa > Chordata > Mammalia > Primates > Hominidae > Homo > Homo sapiens. The sequence goes on from NC_000003.12 coordinate 153,161,565, forward strand.
GCGGGACCCTGCCCCGAGAGAGCTGCAGGTACCAGAAGCTACCCCTTTCCTAGTCGGAACAGTATCTCAGACTTGGAGTACCTCCTGTTTTCTTTGTGCAAGGCTGCAGTGCACAGAGTCGGTCAGAGAAGACAGAGTAGCGTTTCTGTGGCGAACGGTTTAGAAAAATCTATGGGGCAGGTTTGCTCCGCCGGCTGCTCGTGCATTCCACGGCACCCACAGGACTTCGGGTTTCCGGCCCCCAGACCCACGCCCGCCCGGGGCTGAGTGAATGGCGTCCTTGGGCCTTTGATAACGGGAGTTGGCAAGACCACAGCCTACTCCATCCCTGAGGCGGCCCGCCGCGCCCACGTGCTTCTCGCAGAGCCGCCGCCCTTGTCCACCACTCCCACAGCTGTAAAATAAAGCGGCCTGCATGCTTCCTACAGCGCTTTCCTCGCTCCCATATACGCACACACACCCCATCTTCCAGCCAGTTCCTAACTCGCGCCACTCCCCAAATCGGACTCAAATCCGGAGCCCCGCCCACTGCCCCGCCCCCTCCCGGCCCCGCGGAAAACCAGGAGCGGCCGCTTGGGCAAGGCGCGGCCGGAACGCACTGGGCATGCTCGCCGGGGAGGGGCGGGCCGGGCTGCGCGCGGCGAGTAGGAAGCCCTCGCCCAGTAGAGGCTGTGGGAGAGAGCGCGATGGGCCGCGGCGGTGGGCGCACGTTCCGCGGGGACTCATGCCACGCGCGTCCCGGCCCGACGCGCAATTAGCAGCCACCTCCGCAGCCCGCCGCCACCGCCTCCCTGCCCTCCCGGGCTGCCGCAGCTAGGAGCTCCAGCCGTCGCCTCGCGCAGGCTGCGGGCATTGTCCTCTCGGTTCGCCGCCCGGGCTGCTGCTGCCGCCGCGGACTGCTGCGGGGCCCGGACCCGCACCCCAGGGATACGCTGCCGCCGCCGCCGGCCGGCCCGGCGCCCGGCCTCCGTTCGGTGGTTTCCGCCCTGCGTTCTCTGGGTTGCTCTCTCCTGGGTTTTTCCTGCGTAGCTGAGGAAGGGGAAGAGAAGTCCAGCCGCCAAGCCCAGCCTTCCCCGGCGCGCAGCCCCGACGGGGCCGCGGCAGGCGCGGCGAGAGCGCTGACGGAGCCATGAGAGAGTACAAAGTGGTGGTGCTGGGCTCGGGCGGCGTGGGCAAGTCCGCGCTCACCGTGCAGTTCGTGACGGGCTCCTTCATCGAGAAGTACGACCCGACCATCGAAGACTTTTACCGCAAGGAGATTGAGGTGGACTCGTCGCCGTCGGTGCTGGAGATCCTGGATACGGCGGGCACCGAGCAGTTCGCGTCCATGCGGGACCTGTACATCAAGAACGGCCAGGGCTTCATCCTGGTCTACAGCCTCGTCAACCAGCAGAGCTTCCAGGACATCAAGCCCATGCGGGACCAGATCATCCGCGTGAAGCGGTACGAGCGCGTGCCCATGATCCTGGTGGGCAACAAGGTGGACCTGGAGGGTGAGCGCGAGGTCTCGTACGGGGAGGGCAAGGCCCTGGCTGAGGAGTGGAGCTGCCCCTTCATGGAGACGTCGGCCAAAAACAAAGCCTCGGTAGACGAGCTATTTGCCGAGATCGTGCGGCAGATGAACTACGCGGCGCAGCCCAACGGCGATGAGGGCTGCTGCTCGGCCTGCGTGATCCTCTGAGGCGGCCACCGCGCGCCGGCCGCGCTCTGCGCACAAAAGCCAAACGCATCCGACTCTCTAAATGTGATTTATTTCTTGCTTTGAGATTGGAGACCACTTTGCATTGGCCAGGGTGTCTTGGGAGCCCGGCTGGCCTCCGCGGCCGGCGTCCCCTGCCTCCACCCTGTGCCCGAGGGGGTGTCCGGTCCTGCCCATCCGATACTCTGGTGGAAATGTGGCTCTTTGCAGCATGTACGTTTCTCCCTGATTTTGGTTGATGCATATTTCCCCGTTTAAGTAGCCGTTAGGGCGCAGTATCGGCAGCTTGACACCCACCAAGCAAAAGTTTCAGCCTGGAAAAAAAATGGGGGGGAAGGGTGGATGAAAAGGAGGGAGAGAAGGTGGAAATGGTTTTTTTTTTTTTTTTTCTATTTTCTTTCTTTTTTTTTTTTTTTTTTTTTGGTCAACAGCCGTTTTTCTAGTTCCAAGTTTTAAATACATGGAAGGAAGTCCGGGAGAACCATATGAAGGAGCAGGAGGAGAGGAAGAAACTTTTTTTCCTTCTTTTCCAGGAGTAGCTGGAAATTAAGATCGGGTTCCTTTTCTGCCAGCTTGGAAGGGCAACCCCATGACTGATTGCGATTCTGAGGATGTCTATGCAAAGTTGGATTCTTGTTACAGTGTATCCAATCTGAAGTATTGCACATCTGAACTGGGACTGTTAACACTGATGCCAATACAGTGTGGGGTGCCAGAAAGTGTCTGCTGATATTTGTGGAAAAAAAATCTATTTTGTTTACCTACTGTATCAAAGGGGAGTCTGGGGGAGAATGGTAGTATTTTTTTTTTTTATCAGCTGTGAAAAAAATGTTACAGATCTGCACATTTTCGTGTGTACTATGGTGTGTGTGTGTATGTGTGTGGTGTGTGTGTGTTTTAAGTTTAGCCTTTTGTTTTTGTTTTTTGGTTGGCAGTAACCGATTTTAATGACTAGCTTTTAAAAATACAGTACAAAGACTTTGTAAATGTGATTCAGGGCCCCCAGCACCCCTGTGTCTGCAGAGTGCCTTCAAAACTCAGCTGTTCCAGCCGGTGCCAACCTGTGAACTTCCCACCATATCCCAGAATCTGCTATTCCCCAAACCACTTCCCAGTTTCCTTTCAGTAATCTTTCTGAAGGAGCCAGGACAATAGGGCCTGTTGTTTAGTGAATTTCTTTATTATTTTCAGCCTTTAAAATGTAATTTCCATCTCTTGCAATGAATTTGTTTCCCTTTTTTTTGCTTCATTTTGTTTAAATTTTCAGGTATTTAGCTCCCCTTTCATATTATTTTTAAATTTTTTAATTACCTGTTGTAGGGTGTTCCTCCAGAAGCAAAGAGCAAAATTTTACTGTTGTGATGTACCAATTCTAACTAATTGTAATTTTTAATTTCATGCGTTTAATCATTGTCTCTTCATTTTAAGACTTTTAATACAAATGTCATTTTTAAAGAAACAAACCCAAAACTATTGTTTGTGTTTCTGTGTTTCATATTCAGTGATTTAATACAGTATCATGGCTGAGGTGGATGGGGCAGGTGCATGATACTCTTCAGAGCTATTTGTGAAATTTTAAAGACAGAAGTGTCTCAGTGACAAGTTGGATGACACTACTCCCAACTTTTTAAATTTGGAGAAAACCATCAAGGTCGAGGAAGCCCTGGGTATGGCCATTACCATCTGATTAGAAGATGAACAGGTATTTTGAATCTGATCTGACATGGAACAGTTTACCTCATTGTAGGTAGGGAACAAGAGAACCCATCTATTAAAATTGCCTTAGATCTGGGAAAGTAACCATCCTTCTGGCAAAGTAGGATGGCACTTTTAAGTTTTTCTTCCTTTTTTCCCTCTGTTTATATTGCACATCAAGTCAAAAACATGTTTGGGAAAGATGGTTTTCAATTCTGAAGTTATACCTAGTGATGTTTTTTGCAGTACATTTGAATGGATTGTAGACACTGCCTCAACCCTTTTGAGGTTTTGATTTGGAAATAGATTTAAAAGAAAACAGGCTAAGATAATATCCTTGTTCTCATTTACACCCTGCAGTTTGGACCACATTTGACCTCATAAGTTTTTCCTTTTAACAGTAGGAGGCAGTGTGAGCTTTTTATTTTTTATTTTTCTTAAGGTGGTCTTAGTAATATAACATGTTCATACATATCAAGAGAGTACTTGGTATACCTTAGGTCTATGAAGTGTAGCTGAAATCTGAAGAGTCTTGACAAAGGGATTTACACCCTTGACAAAACCAAAAGAAATTAACAGGCCACAGGTTTCTTTAAAGCTGTGTTAACATATCTTGCCTTAAAATGTGTGTGTGTGTTTTTGCTTTGCTTTTTTTTTTTTGCCCAAGAGGCATCTCAGTACTCCAGCAATGGAGGAAGAATAGAGAATTTTGCCTGGCAATGGTCCTACTGCCATTTTTTTTTTCCCACTCTGATCTCACTTAAGTTTGATATCAAACACAATTGGGAGGCAATAGTATCAATATCCTAAATGTAGAAATTAAAAGATACTGTATAATTTTATGCCTTTGCAAAGATTCGTTCTTGTATTTGAATAAATTCAGTTGCTAAAGTAGATCCAAAGTGTTAAAAATGCTGAAGTCATGTCAAGTACTGTCTGGAGGGTTTTTTTAAGAAAAGGCATTTGGCATTTAACTGTCTCTTGTTTTATTTTTAAGTTTTTGGAAACCTTTTGACATAAAATGCTGCCAAGTATCTAAGAAATGTATATACTGACAGAAGATATTTGAAAGTGGAAAATTGGAAATGAAATATGTTGCTGGGTGCGTTAATCACCTCCGCCCAGGATTTAGTCACTTGCAGGACCTCTTTATAGTCTAGGATGGCAGAGCAGAAGATTTTAATATGCTTTTATTAAGTGATGTAAAATAAATGCTTTTTGGATTATCAATGAAAGCAATTTTATGTGTGCCTGAAGCAAGAAAATAGCGTTTTTGGTTTTATCTCATATTTTCTTGGCAAAATTGAGAGAAATTAGGAACACTGCTATTTTTTTCTTAAAAATGTTTTTAAGAATATGTTCGTTTCTTTGACTATTAAGAACCCCTTGTGGTATTAGTGTGTGAAGAGATAAGGGCATTTGTTTCAATGAAAAAGTTAGTGTTAAAGGAAGTGAGTCAGGGAGGGCGGAGTTTGTTGTAAGGCAATCACCTGTCAAAACAGAAATTGGGTGGGAAAGGAGTCTTTATCTTGGGGAGCAAAAGCTGACTTTTAAACTTGACCCCTGCTGTTTTTAAACAGCTTTTCCTTTTGGTCTCTGACAGTCAATCCAGGTTTTATGTTATTTCAAAAGGGTTATTTTTGTCCTCCTTTTTTAATAGCTTCAGGAAAGTTAAAGGTATCATCTTAGGTCTAACACTCTAGTCTTTGAGAGTTACGGTTCTTTCGTAGAACAATTTCCATGTTGTTAACTGTTGTAGACTTAATTGAATCACATTTTGGGACCAGATGTATTTGGGGATAGAATTCTTTAAATGTATGGGACTTCATGCTTCCTGATTATGTAATATTTCCTGTGGTTGGGAATCCTAGAATGCCTGATCTATTTTATCTGTTCAGGTAGTTTTGTTATTGTACCCTCTTTTGGGTCATATTCTAGTATTTCTCACAGGGGGTATGAGAAACAGAAAGCTATATGTAGCAGCTGGTCTTGAGAAGTAGAAGCATCTTAACTGTCATAAGAGCATAGATTTTTTGTTTTTCACAACAGCTGGAATAAGTTCCTGCATTATAAGTATAAAGGGAACCGAGATTTAATTTGGAGATCATCACTGTTAAAACGATACCAGACATTTGTCACAGTGTCTTATTTGGGGAAAGTTTGCTAATATACATTTTGTCTGTGAAAATATAGTAAATTTTAAAATACTAATATAATGTGGTATTCTTGATTACAGTATTTTATGCAGACTATTAGGAATGATTCAGTGCATTTAACTGAACACAGAGCTAGTTCTAGGTGAGTGAGATCTTTATCTATTAACTGGATTTTGAAGGTTTGAGAAGGCTATGGGGATCATCTGGTTGAAAGGTTCTCAAACTTGACCATATATCAAAATCACCTGGAGCTTAAAACATGTACTGCTGGGACCCTCCTCCAGTTTCTTACCCAGTGGGTCTCGGGTAGGGTCTCAATTTTCATTTCTAACAAGTTTCCAAGTGATTGTGTTATTGCTGTTCCAGGGACCACACTTTGAAAACCAGTGATCTAGACTGAACTCCAAATGAGTACTATACTGACAGCCACCTAGATATTGAGAGACACAGACTTCAGACTCATGTCACACATTTTGGAGTGCTGTCTACTACAGTTAGAGAATAATCTCTATTGAAATCTAAGCTAAAGAGGACATATACCATTTATACTAAGACTAACTGTTGTGTGTGAAATAGAATAAACATTGCAGGTAGTTTTTGATCATTTTCACATTATTACAGGAACATTTTGACTATGGTTTTCAATGTTAATTCAGAAGTTGACTTTAAATGAAAATGTGGTTAGAATAGAGGCAAAGCCTAAGTGATCAGAATCAACATTCCCCTTCTCCCCAACCTAGGGGAAAAAAAATTTGAAAAGTATGTCTTCAATAAAAGGGGACACTTTATTTGTCTTCTCTTCAACATTAAAAAACAAAGATTTTAAGTTTTCATGGCAAGGGTTCTAAAAATCATTGTGCCAGAGAATTTAAATCTTCATATCATGGTAAGCACATGCGTATGTCTGTGACTCAGTTTCTTAGCCAGACTTCCAGGTGTTAGTTAATTCCTTCTCATTTAGTTCTACTGTAATCCATTCTGGGAAAATGCATACCACAAAACTGTGTATCTTGCAGCTTCTTTCGTTATGCATCTTAATTCCCTCAGAAGGTCCCAGAACTTTATGTTAAAGATCTGGGTTTTTAAAGACAATTTGGGGGCCTTCTAAAGAAACAATAGTAGATCTAATTACAAGTAGTGGATTGCTTACTTCAAATTTCTCTTTTACAATTTAGAAAGTTTAGTACCAGTTTATAGACTGAGGGAGTAGTAGCTACTATTTAGATGCTGAGAATAATATTATCATGCTTGGGTGGGGAAGAAAGGCCCTTACTCAAATCTCCATTTTCATTTTTAATGCTTCCTGGACTTCAGTTATTTTCTTGCTTTTGCCTCAAGAATAATAAATATTTTTGGTTAAAATTTTTTTTGTTCAACCCTGTTGTTGTTACTGTTATTTTCATAGCACAGTAGTCTACAGCTCTCTATAGTAGCTTAATAGCTATTTGCTGAATGAATGGAACATGGAGTGTTACATCTGAAACTATTCTATTAGAAGGTGAAAAGTGTTGATTGAAGAATGGTAGGATTTTATCTTCCCTACCCATGATAGATTTATTAAGATTGTCTTTGGAGCTATGTCTTCCATTCCAACTATACAGAAATAAACTTTTTTAAAGTTTAGTTTGCCCATCTGATAAAGGAACATTCCTGTATGCTATTCTAAGGTTCATTTTCAACAAAAGTTACAGACATTTATGGTTGATAGTTTGAGATCTATGACAGTTTTAGGGAGCTCCATATTCAAAAGGCTATTGCTGGTGATAGTACAATGAAACACTGACTTCAGTATATTTTTATCTTGGCTTTCATTTTACGGTTATTTCTACTACTGTTAATATGGACTAATACTTGATTTTGTGAACCTGTTTTAATTTTAGGGTTATATTTATGTTGGAATAATATATTTTAAAAGTGTCCTATACTATGAATTTATTTGCCATATATAAGACAATCAGAATTATCTGGTAGTTTATTCTAATCCTGGTTAATAATCATTAGGACTAAACTATTTACATTAAAGAAGGAAAAAACAATGAGATGATAATTTTTTTTTTCTTTGAGACGGAGTCTTGCTCTGTCGGCCAGGCTGGAGTGCAATGGCGCGATCTCGGCTCACTGCAACTTCCGCTTCCTGGGTTCAAGCAATTCTCCTGCCTCAGCCTTTCCAGTAGCTGGGACTACGGGCGCCCTCCACCACTCCCGGCTAATTTTTGTATTTTTCATAGAGACAGCATTTCACCATACTGGCCAGGCTGGTCGTGAACTCCTGACCTTGTGATCTGCCCACCTTGGCTTCCCAAAGTGCTGGGATTACAGGTGTGAGCCACCGCACCCAGCCTTTTTTTTGAAATGGAGTCTGGCTCTGTCGCCCAGGCTGGAGTGCAATGGCGCGATCTCGGCTCACTGCAACCTCTGCCTCCCAGGTTCAAGCGATTAGCCTGCCTCATCCTCCTGAGTAGCTGGGATTACAGGCGTGCACCACCACGCCCGCCTAATTTTTGTATTTTTAGTAGAGATGGGGTTTCACTACGTTGGTCAGGATGGTCTTGAACTTCTGACCTTGTGCTCCACCCACCTCAGCCTCCCAAGAGTTGGGATTACAGGCGTGAGCCACTGCACCCGGCTGAGATGATAATTTTATTTAAAAAAAAAATTGTAGAGATAGGGTCTTGCCGTGTTGCCCAGGCTGGTCTCAAATTCCTGGGCTCAGGAGATCTTCCCTCCTCAGCCCCTCAAAGTGCTGGGATTACAGGCCTGAGCCACTGCATCCAGCCAGGAGTGACAATTTCTAAAGCCTTAATTAGTGAAATGGTTTGTTTTGAGAAGCAGAAATGACTAAGTGGTATAGACATGCAGGAAAAGCAAAATGGGCCTTATGGCTATTGAAATTATGAGTGTTGATCTGTTCTATAAATTGGAGGAGACAGCTATTTGCATTCTTTCTTATCCAGTTGACTAAACTTACTCATTTTAAAATGAATTATCTTGCAAAATTATGTGAGGTTAAGTTTGTCAGAGGATTGAAAACGTGGTTGGTTTATTTGTGGTAATTGTGAAAAATTGCAAAGGTAGCAAAATTTTTTAAAAAATGGAAAAGAGAAAGATTATTGATGCCTTGTGAATACAGGTGTCCCCAAAAGGCCTGAGACCAACCTTAATTATCAAGAATATGGTTGCAGTGGAAATTGGTAAACAGCTGAAATTGATTCATTGATTATTCAACACTTATTGAGCACATACTACTATTATTAATAGCTGTACTGCGAGCGCTAATACTTAAAAGAGGAAGTCAGGTGAAGGCGCAACAGCTTTATGCTCTTTTTCACTATAATCTGTGAAATAGTGTATATTAAACAATAATAGTATATGGAAAAGCACATCTACATGTGTCATCAGTTATAATACTGTGGGGCTGTTTGGCAGACAATAGAGTAGATAAATTTATTGAACATTGGGCCTTTGAAAGGTATGTGGAAATTGTAAATAAAAATGGATTCCATGAATTTCAAATAATAATTGTTCTGTTGTATGTGAAACTGTGTAATAAGATTGTCATTTTATTTACTTTTCTGCATCATTTTCAACTTCCTTTTTGAGATTAGCTAAAATTGAACACTTACAAGAGGAAATGATTTTACTTTTATATTTTCATGTCCAAGGGAAGAGGAAAACATGAAGAAAACAGATTTATAAAATTTACTCACAAGGCTGGGCACGGTGGCTCACACCTGTAATCCCAGTAGTTTGAGAGGCCGAGGCAGGTGGATCACGAAGTCAGGAGTTCAAGACCAGCCTGGCCAAGAAGGTGAAACCCCGTCTCTACTAAAAATACAAAAATTAGCCGGGTGCGGTGGGAGATACCTGTAATCCCAGCTACTCAGGAGGCTGAGGCAGAATTGCTTGAACCTGGGTGGCAGAGATTACAGTGAGCCAAGATCGCACCACTGCACTCCAGCCTGGGTGATAGAATGAGACTCCATCTCAAAAAAAAAGTAAAATAAAATTAAATTTATTCACTTATATTTTTCTTTAGTGAGGAAACCAAAGGAAAAGATAATTTAGGTTATATTCTGAAAGAAATAAACAGTCACTGGCTTTCTGGTTCTTCATGTAAAGAAGATTCAGGACAAGATATTTCTTTTGAAAAAGATAATCTTGTAAAAATGAGTGTGCCAAAGAAGTTGACATTTTAAGTAAGTTAATATTTTACACAAAAGCTCTTCTTCTGTTACCTCTTATGCTTACTGGAAGAAAGCAACCAGCACAGAGAAAGAAACGTTGGGTAACAAGCTGGAAGAGATAACAATAATAGCAGTTATTGTAAAGCCATATGAATTGAAGGGTGGGGTTGTGATTATTAACCTCCTGTGGTTTGCAAGATGATTTCTAGTCACCATTTTGTACAGACTGTCTCATGAATTTAACAACATGCTTTTTAAATGTGGAAGGTTACAGAATTGTAGGGGTAGCAGAATCGTTTATGTGAAGGTACTTAATTAAAAAAAATTTTGACTGCCATTGAACCATTTATGAAATGCAAATTTATTAAAGTTTCATAGCTTGAGTAAGGGTTTTAATATTTTATATGTTATCTGGCCATTTGTAAAGTTTTCAAAATCTGGTTATTCATGAGCTCAGAATATTCTAATGTTATTTAATATTATACATATTAATATAATATTTTAGATATTCTCTTTAGAGGCTAACATTATATTGATTTATGTCTTCTTCAGGAAAAGAACCTCTATAGACATCTGTATTAGCGTAATCCTATAAGAGTATATATTTCAATAAAACATAGTTTGAATTATATTTTAGATAGCTTTGAATTTAACCTTTTCAGTAGATAATAGAATTACAAGTATATTTCAATATTATTCCTCATGGAGTAGAAAAAGTATTAAGTCCTGAGTTTTTTTACTGAGTTTAGATATCTTATCTTAGTCATACTGGCTGGGTGTGGTGGCTCACGCCTATAATCCGAGTACTTTGGGAGGCCAGGGTGGGAGGATTGCTTGAGCGCAGGAGTTCAAGACCTGCCTGGGCAATAAACAGAGAACGTGTCTCTATAGAATAAATAAGTCATTAATTATTTAGCCATAGTACCTGTTTTTCTCTTTCTTTTATATATCATTTCATTCATCCACATCTGGTTTATGCAAATGGTTCTCTAATATAATCCACATCAATTGATTAAAAAAACTAAGAACTGTGTAACTGATGGCTATATAAATGTGCTTTTTGACGTATGTTTCCACTATATTTGAGGTGCAGACTGAGACACATCCAACCAGAGATCATTGCCTCTAATCAGACATTACCTTTAGGTTTGGGCATAAGCTCTGTTTTGGTTTTAAAACTGATGAATGAAGTTTTCTAGAAAATGAATTAGATTGTAGGAATATTCATCTTAATATACTTCGAACTGTGGAAAAATATTTGCAGACCATCTCTTCTTCCTCACTAATCTTGTACTGAAGTAAGAAAAAATGAGAAATAAGCTAAATGCATCTCTAAGAAAGTATCGTATCATGAAAGGCAGAGTCAACAACGGTGAAAAACCTAAGAAGCAAAATTGTTTTTCTGCATTTTTGTACAAACCAGCTTTTATTTTGTTATTGAGGAAGTATAAATAGTGGTAAGGGTAATGAAATATTTTTCTGAATCATTTTGTTAGCGTTCAGCAGGAGGTCTTTATACTGTTTCCTTGTTGCTTAGACGTAAGAATGTGATGGAGCTGAGAAGGGAGAATAAACTGCAGGCCGAGGTGGAATTGTTCTTCAGCTCACACTTCCACTCCTACGTTCCTCCAATACCAGAGGATTTCCTTGTGTTCGAAGTTGTGATCTGCTGTGACTCAAGACTGAGGCTCAGGGCTCCTCCTGGCCAAAGGTGAAGAAGCCTATAGGATGCAGTGATGCTGCTGCTGTAATAAATTGGACTCAAGGCAGGATTTCTCAACCTTGTCCCTGTTCACATTTTGAGCTAGGTAATTTGTTGTGGAGGCTGTCCTAGGCATTTTAGTATGTTCAGCAGCAGCCCTGGCCCCTACCCACTCGATGCCAGTATCATCCTCCCCACCCCAGTGGTGACAACCGAAAGTGTCTGCAGACATTGTCCCTGGGAAGGGGGAGGGCAAAATAGTCCCTGGTTGAGAACCACTCCTCTAAACTAGACCTTGTGTGGATGAAGGAGGCATAAACCAGAGAGGAGGTTTGAACCTAGAGTAAACTAGCAGCAGTTAAGACTTCCCTTTCCCCAGAGCATTGCAATTCATGCTTCTCTTCAAAAATAATAATGCTTTTTTTTTTTTTTTTCTAGACTGAGCTTCTTTCACCCAGGCTGGAATGCAGTGGCGCGATCTCGGCTCACTGCAACTTCCGCCTACCAGGTTCAAGTGATTCTCCTGCCTCAGCCTCCCGACTAGCTAGGATTACAGGTGCACCACCACGCCCGACTAATGTTTGTATATTTAGTAAAGACGTGGTTTCTCCATGTTGGCGAGGCTGGTCTGGAACTCCTCACCTCAGGTGATCTGCCTGCCTCAGCCTCCGAAAGTGCTGGGATTACAGACGTAAGCCACCACGCCCGGCCTACAACACTATTGTGCTTCTGACAATATAACTTTGGTCAGTTCATTAAATCCACACCTAAGAGAAATACGTAGTATTCAGGGATTAACATTTGTTGGAAATTTTGGTTCCCTGGAGGGAGAAGGAATATTCAAAAGAGGAGTGTGTTCTGGTTGAGGTGATGAACTTGGATGGCCAGAGATTATCTCTGGGAAGCCTGATGACTAAGCAGAGAGGCCTGTGTGTTAAGTATGAGAAGTCCTGAAGGGGAGGTTGAGAGCAACTATGTTGCAGTTTTGTTTCCTGCCCCCTTAAGTCTTTACTGGGAGACAGTTGGAAGGTGCTCATCCTTTACTCATCTTCCTCCAGCTCACCTCATAGCCTCTTTCCAGCCCACTCCAGGCTTCTATTCAATACCTGACCTCCCTGCTGGGATAGAAAGGATGCACTTTATGCATTCTGTCCTTCTTTATTTTCATTTTTACAATTAGCTCCTTCTGTCCCCTCCCCTCCCCTCCCCTCCCTCCCATCTTTCCTAACAAATAACAGTGTGTCCAGGGCGACTCCTGCTGCTTAACTTCACACACCTACCTGTGCCCAAACCTCTCAGCAAGCCTGTCAAGAAGGGGGCAGCAGAGACAGTAGTGATTGGTGATTGCATTGTAATAAAGTGCCTCGAATCTGACAGCCTGTGGTTAGCACATACGGGGTGGCTGCCAACCCCCTGGAATACAGTATTAAGTATACTGTTAGCAAGTTCGTTAATGTGGAATTAACTCAATGATCATGGATCTTTAATTTACTCTGAATCAGACACGGTTGTTTTTGTCCTTAAGTTTTAAATGAAATGGACATTTAAAAACCTATGCAGCATATTCCTAAGCTTTCAGCAATCACACTATTAGCCACCCTACCTGTTGGGACAATTAAGATTCTGCATTTTACAGGGGGCACATTTGGAAATTAAACATTCCTAGTATATAGTGAATGTCAAAGTTTTTTTTTGTTTTGTTTTGTTTTTTTTTTTTTTGAGATGGAGTCTTGCTCTGTCGCCCAGGCTGGAGTGCAGTGGCACAATCTTGGCTCACTGCAGCCTCTGCCTCCTGGGTTCCAGTGATTCTCCTGCCTCAGCCTCCCGGGTAGCTGAGATTACAGGCACGCACCACTGCGCTCCGCTAATTTTTGTATTTTTAGCAGAGATGGGGTTTCACCATGTTGGCCAGGCTGGTCTCGAACTCCTGACCTCAGGTGATCCTCCCACCTTGGCCTCCCAAAGTGCTAGGATTACAGGTGTGAGGCACCATGCCTGGCCTAAGCCACTGAGCACAGCCAAAATTTTGTAAATGAGCAAGAACAATCTCAAGTCCACCAAAAGGTTCTAACCAACTAGAATAATTTTTATAAACAAGGTAGGTAATAAATGAAATAATTCTTTACAATATAAAAAAAACTTTGATTAAAGTGAGTGATTTGAGAAGCTAAAACTTGCTTTTCAAATTTAGGAATAGTCTTGTATTAGAATGGATGATGTAGGTAGAAATATTTTATCTGTAATGTCTGTATAAATTGAAAATGGAAACACAATTTTTTTAAAAAAAGTTTAGATTCAGGGGATACGTGTTTGAGGATGCCGGTTCGTTACATGGGTATATTGGGTGATGCTGGGATTTAGGCTTCTAGTGAACCCATCACACAACTAGTGAATGTAGTACCTGATATATACATTTCAGGTCCCGCCTCCCTGCTTCCCTCCCTCTTTTAGGAGTCCCAGTGTCTAGTGTTTCCATCTTTATGTGTATATATACCCAGTGTTTAGCTCCCACTTTTAAGTTAGACATGTAGTATTTGATTTTCTGTTTCTGCATAAATTCACTTAATGGCCTCCAGCTGCATTCATGATGCTGCAAAGGACATGATTTTGGTTTTGTTTTTTTTTTTTATGGCTGCATAGTATTTCGTGGTTTATGTGTACCATATTGTCTTTATCCAGTTCACCGTTGATGAACACAGGTTGATTCCATGACTTTGCTATTGCCAGTAGTGCTGCAGTGCTGCAATGAACATACAAGTGCAGGTTTCCTGTTTTTTTTTGTGGGGCGGGGACAGGGTCTCCTTCTGTTATTCAGCCTGGAGTGTAGTGGCGTGATCATGGCTCACTGCAACCTTGAACTGCTGGGCTCAAGCGATCTTCTTGCCTCAGCCTCTGAGTAGCTGGGACTATAGGCATGTGCCACCATACCTGGCTAATTATTTTGAATTTTCTGTAGAAACAAGGTCTTGCTATATTGCCCAGGTTAGTCTCAAACTTCTGGGCTCAAGCAGTCTTCTTGCTTCAGTCTCCCAAAAGAGTGGGATTATAGGTGCAGGCCACCAAACTGAGCCAAGGTGTCAAACAATTTTTTTTTGCTTAGGATAGACACCCAGTAGTAGTATTGCTGGGTAGAATGGTAGTTTTATTTTTAGTTATTTGAGAAATTTTCATACTGTTTTCCATAGAGGTTGAACTAATTTACATTCCCACCAATGGTGTGTAAGCATTCCTTTTTCTCTACATCCTCTCCAACATCTGTTATTTTTTTACTTTTTAATTATAGCTATTCTGATTGGTGTAAGATGGTATTTCATTGTGGTTTTAATTTGCATTTCTGTGATGATTAAGGATGTAGAGCATTTTTTCTTGTTTGTGGGCCATTTATATGTCTTCTTTTGAGAAGTGTCTGTTCATGTCATTCGCCCCTTTTTAATGGGTTTTTTTTTTCTTTTTGATTTGTTTAAGTTTCTTACAGATTCTAGATATTAGTCCTTTCTTGGATGCATAGTTTGCAAGTATTTTCTCACATTATGTAGATTGCGTGTTTATTCTGTTGATTGGGAAACAAGATTTAATTGGTTACGTGATCACAATTAACAGAGAAAACAGATTTCTTGTTTTTTTTTTCTGTTTTCTTCTTTTATAATCATCCGTGTCGTTTTGCAGCATTTTTTCCTTATCTTTAGGTTTTATTGGCTTTGAGGAGTGTTATATTTTCTTTCTAATTAAAAAGTCTAGACTGGGCACAGTGGCTCACGCCTGTAATACTGGCACTTTGGAAGACCGTGGCAGGCGGATCACTTAAGGTCAGGAGTTTGAGACCAGTTTGGCCAACGTGGTGAAACCCCGTCTCTACTAAAAATACAAAAATTTAGCTGGGTGTGTTGCATGCCTGTAATCCCAGCTACTTGGGAGGCTGAGGCAGGAGAATCGCTTGAACCTGGGAGGCGGAGGTTGCAGTGAGCTGAGATCGCACCAGTGCACTTCAGCCCGGGCAACAGAGCAAGACTCTGCATCTAAAAACAAACAAACAAACAATAAATAAAAAGTCTATATTGAGAAAATACTCACTTATGAATCGCTCTATATAGTAGCCAAGAAAATGTATGTATTAAATTGAAACAATTGTGCAGGATGTTTTACAATGTCATTATTTGCATTTACCTTTTATAGCCTGGGAATAATTTTTAATGCAACATTTTCAGTGGAAATGAAATTCACCCTTTGATTAATTATAATTTATTATTTTAAAAATGTAATAATTATTTTTAAAAGTATTATCTCTCTTTACATTTTATAGCAAACTTAACTCATAATTTTTCTGTTTAAACTTTACTCAGAAGAGTATCACTTTATGAGTAGGACCAAAAAAAAAAGAATGTATGTGAATTCCCTAAAGTCACTGTGTAGTTGTTTGCATTGATCAAGGTGGTGATAATTTTGGCAAAATATTTGCCCTCTTAAATACAAGTAATAGAATTATTAATAATTGATTTGTACTGGCCAGTAGGGATGCATAAAAAATGTATTCAGAATGGCATGTTGTAAACAATTTTGTATAATGAATAGAGTAGATAATACAGCAGAAATAAATAAACCAGGCCAGTTGTGGTGGCTCACACCTGTAATCCTAGCACTCTGGGAGGCTGAGGCTGGAGGATCACTTGAGCTCAGGAGTTTGAGACCAGCCTGGGCAAGAAGGAAGGTCTAGGGCTGAAGGCTATTGTTCAGATTCATTTGTCCCATGGGGTGTTCCCTTGATGTGATACTCACCCCCTCTTCCTATGGATGTGGCTTCTTGAGAGCCCAGCTGTAATGATTGTTATCTCACTCCTGGATCTAGCCACTAGGCAAGTCGACCAGGCTCCGGGCTGGTACTGGGGGTTGTCTGCACAGAGTCCTGTGAGGTGAACCACCTGTGGGTCTCTCGGCCATGGATACCAGCACTGTATTTGGGGTGTTTCCTGGGTCCTGCAGGAGCAATCTGTTTCCTTCAGGGGGTCTGTGGGTCCCCTAGGTTTCCTGATTTATTCCTGCAGTCATTCTGGAGCAAAAATTCATGATGAGAGCCTCCACACACTGCTCTGTCTGTCCGAGTCGGAGCTGCAATCTAGTCCTGCCTCCCGTTTGTCATGATCCTATGTGCATTTTAGAGCAAAGATGAAATCTGTATGAAACTTATTATCTAAAAAATTGATCTTTCAGTGTATTTTTCTTCTGGTATTTTAAAAAAATATATAGTTCACTTAAACAGAGTTAGAGCTTTTGTCCAAAATACTAAGTTATGATTTGCATAGCAACCATAATTCACTTCTTACATAACTGTCTGCTTCATGCCATAGTGAATATATGCAATATATTCAAACATATCTTTCCTTAAGATTGAATGTGTAGTTCTTAAGAATAGAAGGTTGAGGAAGGTCAAAGGCAATGTGGTGTTTGTAGAATTTGCAGATTAAGAACAGGTAGGTTGCTAAGTGATTGAAGTATTTACTTAGAACTGCAGCCATAATATTTTACTGTTTTGAACTAGGAAAAATGATGTTAAAATGCACATTTAAATTCATGATGTATGGAACTCATGAATGAGATTTCTTAGCTCATTAGACACTATAGATAATGATTTTTTGGTGGTGGTGTTTTTGAGATGGAGTCTTGTTCTGTCACCCAGGCTGGAATACAGTGGCACGATCTCAGCTCACTGCAAGCTCTACCTCCCAGGTTCAAGTGATTCTCCCACCTCAGCCTCCCGAGTAGCTGGGACTACAGGTGCATGCCACCACACCCAGGTAATTTTTTGTTTTGTTTTGTTTTTGAGATGAAGTCTCGCTCCATCGCCCAGACTGGAGTGCAATGACGCAATCTCTGCTCACTGTAACCTCCACCTCCCGGGTTCAAGAGATTCTCCCGCCTCAGCCTCCAGAGTAGCTAGGATTACAGGCATCTGCCATCATGCCCGGATAATTTTTGTATTTTTAGTGGAGATGGGGTTTCACCATATTGGCCAGGCTAGTCTTGAACTCCTGACCTCAGGTGATCTGCCCACCTCGGCCTCCCAAAGTGCTGGGATTACAGGCGTGAGCCACTGCACCCAGTCTAATTTTGTATTTTTAGTAGAGACGGGGTTTCACCATGTTGGTCGGGCTGGTCTCAAACCCCTGACCTCAAGTGATCCACTCGCCTCGGCCTCCCAAAGTGCTGGGATTACAGGCGTGAGCCACTGCTCCCGGCCAATTTTTGTATTTTTAGTAGAGATGGAGTTTCACCATGTTGGCCAGATTGGACTCAAACTCCTGACCTCAGGTTATCCGCCTGCCTTGGCTTCCCAAAGTGCTGGGATTACAGGCGTGAGCCACCGAGCCCTGCTGTTACTGAACGATTTTTATTATTTATTTCCCTCACTAGAAGTTAAACCTCCTTGGGCAAGGACTGTGACTTACTCTTTTATCTCCAGTATCTAGAACAGAAGCTGGTGCAAGTCAGTACTCAGTATTTGTTTAATGAATGAATGAGTGAAAAAATTATTGATAAGGGGAAAGAAAGTAATTTTGACTGCAACGCTAAAAATAAATTACAATTACCGGAAGAATTGGAATGCCTGTATTTCAAAGCTCTGGGTCAACTTCAGGCAAATATTATAGAATGAAAATCTGTAGCCAGGCACTGTGGCTCATGCCTGTAATCCCAGCACTTTGGGAGGGAGAGGCGGGTGGATCACGAGGTCAGGAGTTCGAGACCAGCCTGGCCAACATGGTGAAACCCTGTCTCTACTAAAAATACAAAAATTAGCTGGGCATAGTGGCATGCGCCTGTGGTCCCAGCTACTCAGGAGGCTGAGACAAGAGAGTTGCTTGAACCCGGCAGGCGGAGGTTGCAGTGAGCCAAGATGGCGCCACTGCACTTCAGCCTCGGTGAAAGAGTGATACTCCATCTCAAAGAAAAAAAAAAAAAAAAGAAAATGTTGTAGGCTGTTCTTTTCTTTATCAGTTCTGAAAACTTATAGCTTGGAATGGCAATGCTCATAATTATAGTGTTAATTGGACTTAAACTTTTGTACAGTTGTCAAAAGCAAAGTCAAAATAGTTTCAGAATTTTGAGGAAAGAAGTATACTGCATTGTTTTATAGACCTATGTCCTCTTCTGCACTGGTTTTCCAAATGCAGGTGTGCCTTGGTTTATACAGTGGATATGATTCTGAAAAAGCTATATATCAAAATTAAATCATATTTAAAAACTTGCTACTTTTTAATGATTCAAATTTGTGTTATAACACTCTCACACTGGAATTTTCTCTTTCTTGCCCTTCCTTCCTCCCTCCCTCCCTTTATTCTCTTTCTTCCCTTTACTTTTCTTCTGTCTTTCTTTTTTCTTTTTCTTAGGTGGGATCTCACTCTGTCACCCAGGTGGGAATGCAGTGGCACCATTTCAGCTCACTGCAACCTCCGCCTCCCGGGCTCAAGGCATCCTCCCACCTCAGCCTCCTGAGTAGCTGGGACCACAGGTGCATGCCACCACGCCCAACTAATTTTTTGCATTTTTTAGTAGAGATGGGGTCTCGCCATGTTACCCAGGCTGGTCTCGAACTCCTGAGCTCAAGTGATCTGCCTGTTTAGGCCTTCTAAAGTGCCGGGATTACAGGCGTAAGCCATTGCACCTGGCCTCACACTGGAATTTTCTACGCACCTGATGAGGTATGCTTGTGGCAGTGGTTCTCAAAGTGGGGTCCTGGAACCAGCAGCATCAGCAGCACTTTGTTAAATATGCAGATTCTCAGGTCCCACCTCAGACTTAATCAGAAACACTGAGGGTGGGGACTAATAATTTTTACCCTCCAGGTACTTTTATTCATGGTAGTGTTTGAGAATCACTGCTTGATGAGATATAGAAATAAAAACTTGTTATGGATGGTGGCTGTTTTGTAGACAAGATAAAGACATATGCACAAATGACAGTAATAACTAATAAAAGTGACATTTGCCATAAGATGGTCATAAAGTGCAATTGGAATTTGGGGGAGATGTGATTACTTCATTATGAACATGATATCCTCATTCATTCATTCATTCATTCATTCATTCATTCATTGAGGCATTCTAGGTCCTAAGACTAAGTAAGGCACAGTCTTTGACTTAACAAGCTGAAGTGACATAATAGGTGGTTCTCCTTGCTAATTACCACATGGCTAGATTACACAATCCAATGATCTCCACACTTAAAAGTGCATTTGAATCACTTGGCAGGCTTATTAAAACACAAATTGTCAAACCCCATGCCCAGAGTTTCTGGTTCGGTAAGTAGGTGGGTGCCAAAAATTAGTATTTCCAAAAATTTTTCAGGAGATAACTGATGCCACTTGTCCAGGGTTTGCAATTTGAGAATCACTGATATAGTCAGTAATTTAAAGACAGTAGTACTAATGCCCAGAAATATGACTTTGTTTAACAAAGCTGGCCTAAGCTAGAAATGAAACCAGATTCCCAGTTCAACATAACCTCTACTGCAGCCTGCCTTTGTGACCCCTGAAAGAGGATGCCTGTTTGATCTCACAGGGATTCTAACACTTACAGGACAGTAAAGAATGGATGACTTTATGATACTTCATCTGTCTCATTTTTATGTTGTATTTTAATTTCTTATTCCAAAATCAGCCATGTTTCTGACATCTACAATGCAACTGTGAACCATCAAGCTCTCCATTCTGTGTAGGGAGATCTGATCTGTACATAAAAGTAACATTTGAATTACAATATCACCTTGAAAAGAGTAATATATAATATATTTTATTATCTTCCTGATAATAGGAGGTTTTGAGGACAAAGATCCTCAATTACAAAATATTTCTCCCTTGTACCTCTCTGTTAGATGACTGTGAAACTAACAAAAGACCATGTTTGTTGAGAGAAAGGCATAAAAATATGTACTGGGAGACAAATCAGTGGAGATAATAGGCTGTGGGTTCTTTGCTGATAATTCACTCTATTTCAAAAGTATGTGTGGTTTATCCATAAATCCATGATTAAGTTCTCTAATTCTGTAATTTGGAGAAAATATATTAATCTTTTTTGAATGGAGATAAAGATAGATTCCCCCAAATTTAATTAATCTATTTTGCATCCTTGAATGATTACATGAAAACTCAGACCCCTCAGCATAAATTATGTAATTGAATTTCAAATGATAATGTGGAAAAATTGGGCATGGATGAAAATAATATATTCCCAATTGTATAATGACTTTCTTTGACCATTTAAAAATATTTTAATTGCTTTTATTTTAAATCAAGTATTTTAAGGAAACTATTTTGATGATTTGAAGGTGAGCACTGAGAAGGACTAGAAATGAGGAAGAGAAGTAGGGGCCTGATGGTATTTTAGTCTCAACAGATGAATTCTGGTGGATATTGGATGGTTGGTTTGCTTAATCCTGTAGTGATTAATGGCCTATCAAGGGATGAGAACATATTTTACACACTTATTTCCTAAATATATGTGCTAAATTCCTACCATGGAATCAATGCTATTACATAAAGGATAGGGAAAATCTCTCTGTGTTTAGGTTTCTCCTCTCCCCTGCGGTTAATCTCCCCTTTCTCCCATTTTGTCAAATAGGGTATAAAAAATGTTAAGACTTCAACGCAGTTAAATCTTAGGCACTTTCACTTGTCACAGTCATCACCCAGTCTCCCAAATTAAAGAGCAGCTGTTCAGATTCTCTTGGGTAGGACATGATGAGTCTTATTTCCTACTTCCTGTGGAGCTCAGTTTAAACTATTTCTGATCCTCTAGAACTTGAGGTAATCATCTACTCTGTAAAAGAAGACAAAAACTCAATATTACTTTCTTGAGTAATTTGGATGGCCATTTATTGCTTTCATCCTGAGAACAACTGGTTTATTTTGCCTCCAAATATAGCATTCTTAGAGTTGCCTGAAAGAATTTATTTCATATACCTATGTTGCATCGCTAGAAATAGCATAAAGTTTCTGCCCCCTGTGAAATAAAGCCAGATAATTGGGTGATCTCTTTTTTTAAAAAAAGAGTTTTTGTGTTGTCAGTAATCCGACTTCGGCAGAAAGCTGCTTTCTGATGCAATTTAACTCAGTTTTCTGAAATTGGCTTCTTGGGCTCTAAAAAGAAAAAGAAAAGTGATGGTTGAGTGAGAGGAAAGAGAGAATTTTAACTAAGGATGAACTGGATCTCTAATAGGTTTTTTTCCCTTCTATCTACTTTTCCTGCGAGTAGAGGTTTAGGGGAAATTTTAGTTTTGAAGTGCCTTTCAGCCCAGATTTCCTGGCTTTTAAGTATACAGAGTAATTTCATCACTGAATCCACTTGATTTCATTATTATGATGTAAAAATCAGGGTGGCAGTTGGGGGTTTGGGGGTGGGTGGTGACTCACACCTGTAATCCCAGCATTTTGGGAGGCTGAGGTAGGAGGATCATTTGAACTCAGGAGTTCAAGACCAACCTGGGCAGCATAGTGAGACCTCAGTCTCTACTAAAAATAAAAAAATAAAAAAAATAGCCGGGCATGGTGGCACATGCCTGTACTTCCAGCTACTGGAGAGGCTGAGGTGGGAAGATCGCTTGAGCTCAGAAGTTCAAAATTGCAGTGAGTTATGATTGCACTACTGCACTCCAGCTTGGGCAATAGAGTGAGACCTGTCAAAAAAAAAAAGGAAGAAAGAAAGAAAAGAACAAAAAGTAAAAAGAAAAGAAAAGGAAAGGACTGGGTGTGGTGGCTCATGCCTGTAATCTCAACACTTTGGGAGGCCAGGGCAGGTGATCACTTGAGATCAGGAGCTTGAGACCAGATGGCCAACATATTGAAACCCTGTCTCTATTGAAAATACAAAAATTAGCTAGGTGTGGTGGCAAGCGCCTGTAATCCCAGCTACTCAGGAGGCTGAGGCAGGAGAATCATGGAACCTGGGAGGTGGAGGTTGAAGTGAGCCAAGATCACGCCTCTGCACTCCAGCCTGGGCAACAGAGCAAAACTCAGTCTCAAAAAAAAAAAAAAAAAAAAAAGAAAAGAAAAGAAAAGAAAAAACCAGATGTTCTTAATATTAGTGTGTCAGATTGTTTTACCATTGTAGCTCAAACTTTAATATGCATGTAAGTCACCCAGAAATTTTTCTAAAATGCAGGTCCTGATTGAATAGGTTTGAGATTCTGTAATTCTAACATGCTCCATGATGTTGCTGATGGTCTTCACTGGACATAGTCCTCCCTTTGAATATCTCAGATGTATACCATGTAATTCATAAGTGAGTTTATATGTGAAAGTTTATTACTGTCTTGTTCCTTACTTCTCTCTCTACTTTTTTTTTTGATATACATGAGACAGCTTCTCAAGATTAAATAATTTCTCTGGATTTCAAAGGTTTCATTGTAGAAAAAAATTATGATTATGGAAAAGAGCTTTAAAAATAATTGTTTTCTAAGGTAGAGAATTTGGACTTAAAAGAAGGTTTTGTTTTCAATAATCAAAAGAAACCAAGGTTGAAACCTTAGCATCTCTTTGAATTAAAAAGTTTGAAAATGTGTCTAATTCCTAATGATTCATTTTGACTACCCTGAATTCTTCAGTTCTCATTTCAACATGAATGTCAGTGCTTAGAGAAATTTAGTGTCACTGAAAATCAGGTCCTATTTTATGAATATCAATGAATAGTTTTAAACCAAATTTAATTTTAGAATGTATGTTTTGTTTTGTTTTGTTTTGTTTTGTTTTTGAGACAGCGTCTTGCTTTGTCGCCCAGGCTGGAGTGCGGTGGCATGATCTCAGCTCACTGCAACCTCCGCCTCTCGGGTTCACGCCATTCTCCTGCCTCAGCCTCCCGAGTAGCTGGGACTACAGGCGCCCGCCACCACGCCCAGCTAATTTTTTGTATTTTTGGTAGAGACAGAGTTTCACCGTGTTAGCCAGGATGGTCTCGATCTCCTGACCTCGTGATCCGCCCGCCTCAGCCTCCCAAAGTGCTGGGATTACAGGCGTGAGCCACTGCGCCCGGCTAGAATGTTATGTTTTAAGAGTCTGGATACCAAATAAATATGACGTGGTTCAATGACAGTTGAATTGTTTCATACTTTTTATCTCTCTCTTAATAAAATATACATTTGGGGAAATAGGAGTCCAGGAAATTTGGAGTGCCAGTGAATGGATAGCATATTCTGCATCCAATGTGTAATTAAATTGTGGGCCCAAAAGCCTCACAGATAAGATTAAGCCTTTTTTTTTTTTTTTTTTTTTTTTTTTTTTTTTTTGAGACAGGGTCTCACTCTGTCGCCCAGGCTGGAGTGCAATGGTGCAATCACCATTCACTTCAGCCTTGACCTTCTGGGCTCAAGCAGTCCTCCCACCCCAGCCCTGCCAGTAGCTGGGACCATAGGTGCACATCACCACACCCAGCTAACTTTTGTATTTTTAGTAGAGATGGGGTTTCGCCATGTTGCCCAGGCTGGTCTCTTTCTCTTGGGCTCAAGTGATCTGCCTGCCGTGGCCCCCCAAGTGCTGGGATTGCAGGTATGAGTCACTGCGCCTGGCCTTCTGTTGTATTTCTGGGTTGATGCACAGATAATTTTATCTGTCAACTGTACCAATCAATTTCAACAACAATGGTTTATTTAGCACCTGCTGTGTGCCAGGTTTTATTTATATATATATATATATATATATATATATATATATGTATATATATATATATATTTATGTAATCTCATATAATCCTTGACATAATACTACATGTAGACAATGTTTCTTCTTTTTTATCCCAGAGAATTTAAATAATTTATGAGGTTGAGCAGATAAAAAGACACTGAGCTGGTTTGTTTCCTTCCTCCCTCCCTCCCTTCCTTCCTTCCTCCCTCCCTCTCTTTCTTTCTCTTTCTGTCTCTCTTTCCTTCCTTCCTTCTTCCTTTCCTTTCCCTTTCCCTTTCCTTTCTCTCACTCTGTCACCCAGGATGGAGTGCAGAGGTGTGATGTTGGTTCACTGCAACCTCTGCCTCTGGGGTTCGAGTTATTCGTATGCCTCAGCTTCCCAAGTAGCTGGGATTATAGGCATGCACCACCACTCCTGCTAATTTTTGTATTTTTAGTAGAGACAGGGTTTCACTATGTTGGCCAGGGTGATCTCAAACTCCTGAGCTGAATAGATCCACCTGCCTCGGCCTCCCGAAGTGCTGGGATTACAGGTACAAACCACCACACCCGGCCAACTGAGCTAGTTTTCTAATATGTCTATTCTCTGGCATGATCACAGCTCACTGCAGCCTATGCCTCCCAGGTTCAAGCGATTCATGCCTCAGCATCCTGAGTAGGTAGGGTTAAATGTGTGTGCCACCACACCTGGCTAATTTTTGTGTTTTTTAATAAAGATGGGGTTCCACCATGTTGGCCAGGCTGGTCTTGAACTCCTAGCCTCAAGTGATCTGCCTTCCTCAGCCTCCCAAAGTGCTGAGATAACAGGCATGAGCCACCATGCCTGGCCCAATAATGATGTTCTTATTCTCATGTGCCTCCTATACTGCTGCTCCTGAAATGCTAACTAATTTTAAATATTTGTGTACAACAAATATAGCTGTGGTTCATGTTGTTTCTGTTGTAGAAAAAAATAGATTATATTACATTCTTAAACCAAGTAGTTGGTATATTATGATTTTTGTACTTTTGATTTTCCCATTTGATTGTCTTACTCTGTTAATTAAAGGGATTTAAACTTTTTTAAAAAATTAGATGACCATGATAATAGTTGTTTTAAAAATGCTAATCCACATTTGTAGTTCATTAAAGGCAATCATGACAGCTCTGTCTGAGTCTTTGCCCCAGATATAGTTATTGGCATTTCTTCACGATTTTATTGCTTAGTTTTTTTATTATGACTGTAATGTTTAGCATAAAAATGATTCAATCATTACTTTATAAGTAAACAGATTTGTTTAAAGTCCAGTTTTTCTCAAATGAAACTATTATGTTAAAACTAACCTTTTCATAGTGATTTATTTCTACAGTTTTCTCTTCAATACTTTCTAAAGATAAAGTGCTTGTCTTGTTCATTTATAAAATCAGGTATGAGCATAGAATGGCAGCAAGCAAAAGAAATACAGATTATGTCTGGTGAAGCCACTTACATTTTCCTGTTGATTCCTACATTCTACTCATATCCACTTAAAATCTAACTCTAAAATGTCACACACTATATCAATAAACAAAACTTTTTGTAAAACTCTTACAATTTTTTGTCATAGTTGAAAAATGATAATCAGTTTTCCTATAAATTGCTTTGAAAATAAATTATATATTTTTAACTCTAACATCTGTTTTGAAGCAGACAAATCACTTGCCCAAGGAAGGAATTTCTCTTAATTTTTTTCCAGGAAATTTTTCCACACACTCATATAAAACTCTTATTTAAATAATTGTGGCTCACAATGTGTCTAGAATATTTCTTTCCAAATTAGGTCTGCTTTGCAAATATTAAATGGTAATCTATCCTCATGTAGTTGTGAGGGAGAGAAAGTGGAATGCAATGTTGTAAACATTGTTCAGCAAGTTACATTTGTTTACTATCACATGCATTAATCTGGAATAGTTTTATTCTTTATTCTCCCATTTGATTGTTAGATTGTCAGTTGGTGTCATTAAACTCACTGAAGGATAGTGTTTGTCACAAGTTCACTTAAGCAAGATGCCCATATTCTAGCTCTACATTTAAAGTTGCTTCACTTCGTAGGAACTCGTTTTGCATTTATTAGGAAGATTAGCAGGAATTTAAAAAAAAAATTTGTTTTGAAATGAGTTCTCACTATGTTGCCCACGCTGGCCTGAAAGCCCTGGTCTCAAGAGATCCTGATACCTTAACCTTCTGAGTATCTAGGTCTGTAGTTATGCACCACCACATCCAGCTAGATTTTTATTTTTTTAGTAACTTTTTCTATCATTTGATTAATGGAGTCACTTTTAGTTTGCAACAATCATGTCAGTGCAATTAAGGCATCCATTTATAAATGCTACAAACACAATCCTTTTTAAAAATTAAATTTTGGGTGCCTAACTGTCATTCGTGAATGTGCTTCCTTAGCTAGAGTCAAAAGATAAAAGCCTTGTTTTTTAATTAAATACTTTGGGTGGATGTTTGGAATGTAATTGAGATTTTTATTTTATTGAAGGCAACTTTTAATTTATTCTTTTGTTGAATCAAACTATAATGTATAGTGTTTTAATTAGAGCATAGTATCAGTCAGTTATGCTGTAGGTTTAAAAGAGTAATGGGAGTAGCTTACAAAATATTAATCTTAAGAACTCAATACATTCAAGCATTTCAGATTTTTAAATAATTTTAACCAATTATTTAAATAATTGGTTTTAAATAATTGGTTTCAAGTCATGTACTAATTTTAAGAGATTGTTGTGAATATGGTAGATATTACCTGAAACAAGACAATGAGATAAATGTTTCAGGCTTGAATTCTGGAAAGTACAACTGAATGTATTTTCTTAGCTTGTGCATGGGAAAATTGTCTTTAATAGCTCTAAAATACGGGTCTGAAAAATATAGGTATATTTAATAGGAATCATGAGATTTAGTTTTCAAAATTGAATATACACAGGAAAATCTTATCTTAAAAATAATCCAAGGCCGTGCATGGTAGCTCAAGCCTGTAATCCCAGCACTTTGGGAGGCCGAGACAGGAGGATCACCTGAGGTCGGGAGTTCGAGACCAGCCTGGCCAACATGGAGAAAACCTGTCTCTACTAAAAAATACAAAATTAGCCAGGCATGATGGTGCATGCCTGTAATCCCAGCTACTCGGGAGGCTGAGGCAGGAGAATCGCTTGAACCCGGGAGGCAGAGGTTGTGGTGAGCTGAGATTGTGCCATTGCACTCCAGCCTGGGCAAAAAGAGCTAAACTCCATCTCAAAAAAAAAAAAAAAAAAAAAATCCAAAATATGTATCTCCACTGAAGGGTTGCAATATATCAATGTATCATAAGTAATTATTTACTGATAGTAATTACATTATGAAACTTGGAGGAATGGTAACTTTTCTTTCTTCATTTTTTAATTATTATTTTTAAAATTGAGACAGGGTCTTGCTCTATTGAGACTGAAGTGTAGTGGCACAATCACAGCTTACTGCAGCCTCAAACTCCCAGGGTCAAGCAATCCTCCTGCCTCAGCCTCCCAAGTAGCTGGGACTTACAGATGAGTGCCACCATGCCTGGCTAATTTTCTTTTCTTTTTTTTTTTTTCTGAGACAGAGTCTCACTTTGCTGCCCAAGCTGGAGTGCAGTGGTACGATCTTGGCTTACTGCAACCTCTGCCTCCTGGGTTCAAGCGATTTTCTTGCCTCAGCCTCCCGAGTAGCTGGGATTACAGGTGCACACCACCACGGCTGGCTAATTTTGTTTTTTTTTTTTTTACCAGAGATGGGATTTCACAATGTTGGCTAGGCTAGTCTCGAAGTCCTGACCTCAGGTGACCCACCCCCCCTTGGCCTCCCAAAGTGCTGGGATTACAGGAGTGAGCCACTGCACTCGGCCCTGGCCAATTTTTATATTTTGTTGTAGAGACCAGGTTTCACCAGGTTACCAAGGCTGGTCTTGCTCCTGAACTCAAGTGATCTGCCTGTCTCGGCCTCCCGAAGTGCTAGGATTACAGGTGTGAGCCACCAAGCCTGGCTAGGTTACTTATTTTCTTTATAAGCAGAGTATATTCAAGATGAACTATTTTATGATGAGATTTTTACTCACATTCACTTGCATTCTCATGAACTCTCTTGAAAGGAAAAAAATGAATGAAGTTAGAGTGAACATTTTAGAGACTTCTTGGGAGTGTGTCTATGGAGATCATCACTAGTGAAGGTTTCTGCAGAAAAAAAGCTGATTGCTGCTCTTACGGGTCATTTGTTCACAGTGAAAGTAGCTTTTTAACTTGAAATGTCCTATTGTGTAGAAAACAATGGGAAATGGGATAAATTTCATATGGAGAAAATAAACGCTTACCTTTTCATTTTGATTTATTTTAGTTTCCAAAAACAGACTCGAACCATTACCATTTGACTTCAGATAAAGAATAAAACTTCAATAAAAGAAAAACCTTAAATTTGTATATATTTCTTAGGTGAAAATCAGCAAAATTCCAGAAGGATGAAGTTTATTTTTACATGTGTTTTAAGCATGCTGCTAAAAGATAAATGGCAATGTTATTTGTAGTTTTAAATTTCTTTTTTGCAAATACAGTTTAGAATTTGGGAGAAGGCTGGGCGAGGTGGCTCACGCCTGTAATCCCAGCACTTTGGGAGGCTGAGGCGGGCGGATCATTTGAGGTCAGGAGTTTGAGACCAGCCTGGCCAAAATGGTGAAACCCTGTCTACTAAAACTACAAAGACTTAGCTGGGTGTGGTGGTGCATGCCTGTAATCCCAGCTACTCAGAGGCTGAGGCAGGAGAATCGCTTGAACCCAGGAGGCGGAGGTTGCAGTGAGCCCAGATAGTGCCACTGCACTCCTGCCTGGATGACAGAGCAAGACTCCATCTCAAAAGAAAAAAAGTATTTGGGAGCAAAAGACAAATAAAGTGGCCTTTCAATTTTGTGCTAATGGAGGTATATGTCCATATACCCACAAGTACTTTTGCAATATACAGCATCTGAATTTGATTTCTGGAAAATGAAATATTGTGAGAGGGGGTTATAACAGTATAGTGAAATTACTTGTTGCTTTCTTTTGTGTGAAATGAAATGTAATTTCAGGCTAATTTAGGGAGTTGAGAGAATTATCTTGAGCTGTTTTACTAAAGTCTTTATTAGCTTCTCTTTCTCTCATTGTTTCTCAGATACTCAGATAGATTCAGTAAGTGCCCAAGGGTACAGCATACCACTTTGACTCCATCGGGAGTTCCCTGGCAGATACATATCAAATCTGAAAAACACAAACCAATTCTAACTACTAATAGTAGTTTTTCAGAAAAGCAGTGCATATTATTTAATTACGGATGATTTATTCATAAGCATTAGGAATATGAAATAAAGTTAATGTATGAAGATTGGTTTCTTACTCTGTGCTGTTATATGCAATAAGATATAAGGTTAACTGGCTTATCCTCAGTGACTTGACCTTTCTCTTTGTTTTCATTATCTTAACGATTTGATTTCATTAAAGAAGCATTAAACAAGGCATTTTATGGTGAATAGCTCAGGCCTTGCACTTTAGAATTCATCTCTTTGGCTATTAGTTGCAAATAGATTGAACTGTACATCAGTAACTCCTACAGCACTTAAAACTTTTCATTCAAAATTCTTAAGTCCTTGCTTCACATCAGAGTTACTTGTGCATTAGAAATTATGGGATTTTATCTGTAATTTTTTTTGTAGTGGCAAAGGGATTTAGGAAAATCTGGTTTATTATCTAGATCTTGTATTAATCACTAAAAGCAAGAAAATGCATAACAGATGATCTTTGTCCCTTCATGTTATGGAAGAAATGATATATTAGAAGAGCAGATGGTACTACAATCTGTTTTTGTCTTAAAATGATTTTCTACTCAAGACTTATTTGAGCCTAGCTCCTGAACAAATTTATTTAATCCCAGACAAAACCTATTCTAAAGTTTATAATACAGTCCCTGCTTCAATTTATTATATTTTTTCCTCCAAATATTTCCATTTTTTTGTTTTAAATATTAATCGAGTAAGTCTGGTTGGAATCTAGGACTAAAATCTGTAACTCTTAATATTCTATTGATAACTTTTGTTCTGTTATCCCCAAGTTTGCATTAATATACACATAGATTCAGGGGCCAACCCATTTGTAAATTGGCAGCTAATAGCAAGACAAAAAAGTTGATTCAGGACTTATAAAGTAATAATTTTAATTTAAAAAAACACTAAAGTATTTCTGAAACCAACCTAAATTTTTAAATTGAATTAATGTCTTCTGCATTTTCAAATTTTATTATCTTTACACCTATTTTTAAAGTTAATTTTAAATTAGCCTTAAAAATTATTTAACATCACCATTTTTCAAGTACCAAAATATAACTTCATCATCTTTTTATAGTTTTTTTGGCATTTGGCATATCTTCACTGACAGTTTATAAATAAACTCTTAAAAATATTATTTTCTGTGAAATAGAGAAATAGTTATAGGAAATTCATTTATCTATGATGCTATTCATCATTATAGTTAAGCTATGACTTGGCATTCCGTTTTATTTAATTTGGGGAAGACCTCTTTTCACATGGATTTGGTATCAATAATTGTGTTTTCCCACAATTTTTAATTATTTGCACTGACTTATAATTATGATAGAGTTCATATACTGTATTTAGGTATCAAGTTATTCCAGCTTTATAAAAAAGTAGTTAGATATAAGTGATGTAGTATTTTAATGGGCTGAATTATGTCCATCCAAAATTCATATGTTCATGTCCTCAGTACTTCAGAATGTGACTGTATTTGGAGACAGAATTTTTATAGAGGTAATTAAATTAAAATGAGGTCATTAGGGTGAGTCATAATCCAATTTTACTGATATCCTTAGAAGAAAAAGAAATTAGGACAGGCACATAGAGAAGTAAGACCATGTGAAGACATAGGGAGAAGATAGCCATTATAAGCCAAGGAGAGAAGCCTTGGGAGAAACCAACCCTACCTACACCTTGATCTCAGACTTCTAGCCTCCAGAATTGTGAGAAATAACTGAAAAATTTTTAAATTTATTTTTTTAAGACAGGCTTTTGTTCTGTCACCCAGGCCTGGGGTGCAGTGGTTGATGACAGCTCACTGCAGCCTCGACCTCCCAGGCTCAAGGGATCCTCCCACGTAAGCCTCCTGAGTAGCTGGGCAGGTGCACGCCACCACACCAGGGTAATTTTTTTTTTTTTTTTTTTTTTTGGTAGAGATGGGGGTCTCACCATGTTGCCCAGGCTGGTTTCGAACTCCCCTCTCAAAGTGCTGGGATTATAGGCATGAGCCACTGTGCCCAGCCAGAAAATAAATATCTGTTGTCTAAGGCACCACGTCTGTGATACTTTCTTATGGCACTTCTAGCAAACACAGGCATATTTAGGATCAGGAAAAAAAAAAATGTCTATTAGAATTTGAATTTCAAAGTTTAAATAATGTAATTTCATTGTTTGTTACTTTAACTACATAATGATCCAATGTGAGATTAAAGGAATTCCTAACTCAGATTTATGTGAGAAGCATTGAGGGAGAATTTGAACTTAATGAAAATTTATCACTTAGTCCAGTCAAAACACAGACATACATTGGAAGCTGAGGCACATATAATAGTGATAAAATCATTAACACTTATCATTAACACTTACATAGTGTTTGTTATGTTCCAGGCACTGTTCTGAATATTTTTTACTTATCAAGTCATTTAACCATTACAACTCTATGAAGTGTAATCTAATTACTATAATCATGTCTGTTTTACAGATGAGAAAACTGAAGCCAAAGAGGTTAAATAACTTGCCCAAGGCCATACTCACAGTGAGGAGTAGAACCATATATGAACCTAATCTTAACTTTCTGCTGGCCTTTTCTTTTCTTTTCTTTCTTTCTTTTTTTTTTTTTTTTGAGATGGAGTCTACCTCTGTCGCCCAGGCTGGAGTGCAGTGGTGCCATCTCGGCTCACTGCAACCTCCACCTCCCGGGTTAAAGTGATTCTCCTGCCTCAGCCTTCCAAGTAGCTGGGATTACAGGTGCCTGCCACCACGCCTAGCTAATTTTTGTATTTTTAGTTGAGACGGGGGTTCACTGTGTTGGCCAGGATTGTGTCAACTCCTGACCTTATGATCTGCCTGCCTTGGCCTCCCAAAGTGCTGGGATTACAAGCGTGAGCTACCATGCCCGGCCAGGCCTTTTCTTTTATTACACTCTGGGAGCTACAGTAAATGTCATGACAGAAGACAAGGGAACTACAAAGGGCACATAACATGTGTATGTCTGCATCTGTTAGGCAAGACTCAGCCAAGTCTCTAAGGAATGGTGTGGTCCAGAGAAGACCACAGACTTAATCCTTCCTAGTCCTACCATAGTTGATTGAGTTATCTGCCTTAACTGCCTACTTTAAAATGAGCATGAGTATTGAGAGCTTCTCCGCGTCAGGTGTGGTGGCTCACCTCTGTAATATCAGCACTTTGGGAGGCCAAGGTGGGGGTATTGCTTGAGGCCAGACATTTGAGACCAGGCTGGGCAACATACTGAGACCACTATCTCTATATTAAATAATATTTTAAATAAAATTATTATTATTATTTATTTATTTATTTATTTATTTATTTATTTATTTATTTTGAGACGGAATCTCACTCTGTCACCCAGGCTGGAGTGCAGTGGTGTGATCTCTGCTCACTGCAACCTCCGCCTCTCGGGTTCAAGCGATTCTCCTGCCTCAGCCTCACGAGTGACTAGGATTACAGGCGCCCGCCACCACGCTCAGCTAATTTTTTGTATTTTTAGTAGAGATGGGGTTTCACTGTGTTAGCCAGGATGGTCTCAATCTCCTGACCTCATGACCCGCCTGCCACGGTCTCCCAAAGTGCTGGGATTACAGGCATGAGCCACCGCGCCCAGCCAAAATTCTTATTTTTTTAACACAACTTCTCTGAAATCAAGGCAACAACCTGAGCTGACAGGAGAAAAAAGAGCAACTCTTTGTCACCCAGGTTGCAGTGCGGTGGTGCCATCTCAGCTCACTGCAACCTCCGCCTTCCAGGTTCAAGTGATTCTTGTGCCTCAGCTTCCCGAGTAGCTGGGATTACAGGGATGCGCCACTACACCCGGCTAATTTTTGTATTTTTTAGTAGAGATGGGGTTTCATCATGTTGGCTAGGCTGGTCTTGAACTCCTGGCCTTAAGTGATCTACCCGCCTCGGCCTCCCAAAGTGCTGGGATTATAGAAATGAGACACTGCGCTCGGTCGTTGTAAGTTATTTTTATTTTTATTTTTATTTAATTATTTTGATACAGTGTCTCGCTCTGTTGCCCAGGCTGGAGTGCAGTGGTGCGATCTTGGCTCACTACAGTCTCTGCCTCCCGGGTTCAAGCGATTCTCCTGCCTCAGCCTCCTGAGTAGCTGGGACTACAGGCGTGCACCACCACGCCAGGCTAATTTTTGTATTTTTAGTAGAGACAAGGTTTCACCATGTTGGCCAGGCTGGTCTCAAACTCCTGACCTCATGATCCACCTGCCTCAGCCTCCCAAAGTGCTGAGATTATAGGCGTGAGCCACTGCGCCTGGCTGTAAGTTATTTTTAATCACTGTCATATAAATAAATAAAATTTACAATTCCCAGGTGAGCAACTCTTAAATTCCCAAGCCAGTGCTACAAGAGCACTGTGACCTAAGTTGGCCATCTGTAGAAAAAACAAAGCAAAACAAAAAACACTTGGTTAATCCCTCTGTGTGGCATTCTGGAAAGGGAAAAACTGTGGAGACAGTAAAAGGATTCGTGGTTGCCAGGAGTTAAGGAGGAGGGAGGGATGAATAGGAGCACAGAGGAGTTTTGAGACAGTGGAACTCCTCTGTGTGATACTATAATGGTAAATACATGTCATTATACATGTGTCCAGACCCATAGAATGCACACCAAGAGTGAACTCTAACGTAACTATGTGCTTTGGATGATAAGGATGAGTCAGTGTAGGCTCATCAATTGTAGCAAATGTACCTGTTTGGTGTGGGATGCTGATAATCAGAGAGGCTATGCATGTATTGCAGCTAAGCGTATACGGAAAATCTCTGTACTTTTTGCTCATTTTGTTGTGAACTTAAAATTGCTCTAAAACATTAAGTCCATATGGAATAAACAAAACACATTTGATTCATTGTTTTCTGATTGATCGATTCATTCAGTAATTCTGCAGACATTTATTGACTGCCTACTGTGTACCAAGCATTGTATTAAAGTTTAGGGATGCCTCAGTAAACGAAACAGGTCAAGCTCCTGTGTTCATGGAGATTATGGGGAAGTCAGATAATAAGTAGCTACATGTAAAATATCAGGTAGCGAAAAGCGCTAAGAGGAAAATTAAACATCTTAAAGGGACGGAGTGCTGTGGGTGATGAGGGGCAGAGCTCTTTAGGCTTTTAGGAAATGCCTCTCTGAGAGGTTACCTTTAATAGACACTTGAGAAAAGTGTAATGGGCTGAGCCATATAAAGATCTTGGGTTAGAGCAACTAAGGCATAAGATCAGCAACAGAAAAGGCCCTGAGGCTTGGGATCTTTGAGGAAAATCAAGGGGCTTGTGAGCCTAGGGCTCAGTGAGTGATGGGAGAGTATTAAGAGAGGCAGTCGGAGAGTGAGCCAGGTGCCAGAGCACACAGAGGCTGGCAGGGGTGCAAACACAGGTTTTATTTTGCTTGTGATAGAAAGAGAGTTGTAAGGTAGGAAGAGAAATGATCTGATCTAATTTAGTCAATGGGGACAAGAGTGAAAGCAGGGTGGCTGTTAGGAAGCTGTGTATAGGAATCTGTTTGAGATCCTGATGTCTTGGAATAAATTAGTGCATTGAAATTGATAGGAAGTGAGTTGAGCCCAAGATCTATTTTTAAGGTATAGGCAAAGAGATTTTCTGGTGAAGTGCACAGGGATTGAGATTGAGAATCATGGATGTTACCAAGGGTTGGTTCAGATAGGTGAATGGTGGTATCATTTATTAAGATGAGGTACACTGGGGAAGGATCAAGTATGGGGATAAGAATTGAGAGTTTAGTTCTGGTTAAGGTGGAGCTGCTTATTAGTATTCGAGTGAAGATGTTTAGTAGGCTGTTGGATATTTGGAGTTCAGGAGACAGGTCAGACCTGAGATGAATATTTGGGAGCCATACTTGCATGGATCACCCAAGTAGTCAGTGTGTGGGGAGCGCTCAGGCCTGAGCTCTGGCTTTCTCCAACGTTTAGAGGGTCCAGTAAAGGGGACAGAGATGGAGGCACTAGTATGACTAAACTACTAAAAACAATGAAAATTGTAAATGTAATATCAGAATCATTAAAATTATTAAAACAAGAGACTGGGACATTCTAGATATTGCGGTACCCATAAATTAATTTATACCTGAAAAGATGCCCCCAAATCCTCATTCTCTTCTCTGCTATATTCAAGGGTATAATTGAGCTACCATCTTTTTCTCAGTCACCAGAGAGACTATGATTTTGAGGTTTAACCATGGATGAAAGAAATGCCAACATGTAAAGAACTTGTGAAGATATGAATATGCCAAATAAGTGAATTTTTGGATATGTGAAAATGCCAAGTTGCAAATAAACAAATATGTAAAAATGAAATATTTGTTGATTTATCGTGAGTGGCTTTTTCATAATTCTAAAGCTTTTGTTAACACTTGCATATCAGTATCACCTGGGAAGCTTTAGAAACATACCAATGCCTGGGATCTACCCCAGACCAATTACATCAGAATTTCTGAAGCATCAACTTTTTTACTTTTTTTACAACACTCCTCAGGAGATTCTGATATGCATCCAGGGTTGAAAACCACTTGCCTCTATGTTCATATCACTTTATGTAGCTGTAATTATTATAATAAATACAATATTGGTTTGATTCTTTTCATATGGTATTTCCTTTTTGCATAATCATTACAATTTGAGACTTGATAAATTGAATAATATTGACATAGTATCATATACAGTTCTTAGTCATTGTCCAATAGTTAAGACAAAGGTTGCATTTAATTTTGGAGGACATGTATAACACTGCAATTAATTTTTTCACCAGTCATATTGTATCCTTCAGCAAAATAGTAGGACATGATATGCAGTTCATTATATTCATATTACTTTCTAAGCCTTTAAAATGATTTACAATCCCCTGGAGTATTTGGGGAAACAGATTCATCACAATCTTACCCAAGTTGAGTGTTAGGTATTTTCTTTTTTAATTGCTAGAGTAGTGGATTGTATTAATAAGAGCACTTTTTCTTGCAAACAGTAGAAACCAACTTGAAGCCTCTTAAAAGAAAAATGAGAATTGCTTTCTTATGTGACTAAAAAGTCCAGAGGTTATCAGAATTTTGGCAGCGATGGATCCAGGGAGTGAAATAATGGTGCAAGATTCAATTTCTCTTTTTCTAGTGGTCAGCCTTGCATTATTCTTCATGGCCTTTATTCTTGGGCAGGACCTGCCAGTTTAGACTCTTTTAATACTCTAGCATAAGCCTGGGATTCATTCTGATCGGCTCAGCCTGAGCTAATCACTTTGGCTACATGCCTCTCTTGGACTCAGG
Source organism: Homo sapiens (assembly GCF_000001405.40). Lineage (NCBI taxonomy): Eukaryota > Metazoa > Chordata > Mammalia > Primates > Hominidae > Homo > Homo sapiens. The sequence goes on from NC_000003.12 coordinate 153,198,261, forward strand.
TTTGAAATCTCCATATCAGAAGAACATGGATTCAGAACTGGAGGAGAATGATGCTCTAGAGAGATGCTAGGCAAGCAAAAACCATGTCTACAACATAGATTTGAGATTATGTGTAACTTTTAGCATGCATTTATGTTAATGTTCTAACATTATTATAGTACAATATGTAGGATGTTTACATAGCAACATATACCACATTATTTAATTAAGTAATCATTTTATTTATTTACTGAGGCAGGGTCTCTCTTCATCACCCAGGTTGGAGTGCAGTGGGGCGATCTCGTCTCACTGCACCCTCCGCCTCCCGTGTTCAAGCGATTCTCGGCCTCAGCCTCACGAGTAGCTGGGATTACCGGGGAGCACCACTGTGCCTGGCTAATTTTTGTATTTTTGGTAGAGACAGATTTCACCATACTGGCGAGGCTTGTCTGGAACTCCTGAGCTCAAGTGATCTGCCCGCCTTGGCCTCCCAAAGTGCTGGATTACAGGCATGACCCACTGTGACTGGCCTATTTTAAAAATTATATTTATTTAAATAAAGAATCCTATAAAATATTTATAAAAGAAAAATAAGTGATTTTCAGAATAACAACTTTGCTTGTTAAGAATTCTACATATATAAACTTTTTCTTGACATCTGTAGGTCAAGATTTGGCTCAAATGCTTATGAAATTAGCATTCATAAGCATAGGACATAGTGAAGAAAAACAAACATAAAAAAGAAATTAGCATTGAAATTATGAAATTAGACATGTAGAATGTCCAGTTGCACATATGGTATTCTATGTGATAGTTATTCTGAACATATTGTGCTCTCACAAATTATATCTCTTGAATTTTAGGTGTGGTAGAAGATTCAGCAGCTCCTGAGATATTTCTTTTTAATCTGTTGGTGGTTTATTAAAAAGAGAAATCATAACTTTAACCAGTCCATCACCATAATTTTAAAGTTTGCAAAACACAGCAGCAATCATATATAATTGAAGTTGTATTGGTAAAGAAGAATTATTAATCATTTATTCAAGGTGATGGAGCATAACACTCATGCCTAAAATTCTGAAGGGAAGATGAAAAAGCAATATAGCAATCTCTCTTAAAAGCCAGCTTATCATTTATACAGTACAAGGCACAGGAGTAAAAATAAAGTGCTTATGTTCATTTCTGAAGGCACCACTGATACATTAGAACCCAAAATGTGATAAGGACAAGATTAGATCAAATTTTCTCTGCAGTAATACTGAAACATTTGGTTACATGAGAAAAAATATTTATGCTGTTTCCTATTTGCTTCTTTTTGTTTTCATCTATTAAAATTAATGTGATCTGTAGTAGCAGCATGTCACATTCTTATGATACTTAAGGTACATTTTAATGTGCTATATTAACAAGAATACAGACTAGGAAAATGATTTTTTTAAATTTTTTTTTTTTTTTCTTTTAGGGATGGGGTCTTGCTATATTGCCAGGCTGGAATGCAGTGGCTATTCACAGGAGCGATCCCACTATTGTTCAGCACGGGACTTTTGACCTGCTCCATTTCCGACCTGGGCCAGTTCACCCCTCTTTAGGCAACCTAGTGGTCCCCTCCCAGGAGGTCACCATATTGATGTCGAACTTAGTGCGGACACCTGATTGGCATAGCGCACTACAGCCCAGAACTCCTGCACTATAGCCCAGAACTCCTGGGCTTGAGCAATCCTCCCACCTCAGCCTCCCAAGTAGCTGGGACTACAGGCCCACACCACTCTGCGCCTGGCTGTTTTTCTTTAGTGTTGACAAATTGAGGTCATTTGGCAAGAGAAACAGTGGAAACATAGCAAGGTGGAGAACATTTGTAATTATGGCATGGTATAATATTTTAAGACATGAATCTCTATTTACTTGTGTACACTAACGGCAACTAATAAAATGTCTCTGCTACAGATATACAACAAAATAATATATGTATGGATTGATATTCTTAAAAATTGAGGCTCATAGTAATTTGTCTTTTAACTTTAACTCATGAATTTTATTTGTAATTCATTAGATATAAAATTAGCTCAGAGACTAACTGTATAGAAGTAATATTGGTATTCATCTTCACCTAAGAATGAAGACATTCTTTACACCTAGAATCTTAAAAAATGTTTTTGGCTGAGCGTGATGGCTCATGCCTGTAATCCCAGTACTTTGGTAGGCCGAGGAAGGAGGATCACTTGAACCCAAGAGTTTAAGACCAGCCTGGGCAACACAGGGAGACCCCCTCTCTACAAAAGTTTAAAAAAGAAATTAGCCAGGCATGGTGGTACAGGCCTGTGGTCCCAGGTACTCGGAGGGCTGAGGCAGAAGAATTGCTTAAGCCTGGGAGATCAAGACAATAGTGAGCTGTGGTCGTGCTATCAGAGTGAGACCCGGTCTCAAAAAAAAACAGTTTCTTCAGCTATTTGGTTGGATACAGACAAACTTTCTATTACATTTGAATTTCTGGATCTTCAGGCCTGTCAAATCATTATGCCCTACCCCACATTCTATCCTTATGAATGTTCCAATAATAGACATATTTATAGATGATTTCTACATTTCTATGATTCTAATCTGGATGCATTCTTGCAAGTTAACTTTTCCTTAATTTATTCGTAAAATAAGAGCTAACACTTACTGTTTTTATATGCCAGTTATTCTTCTAAACACTTTACCTGGATGTTGGTACCATTTTACAAATGGAGAAACCGAGTCAAGGGAAGTTAAGTGTCATGCCTACAAACACATAGCTAGTAAATGAAGTTATTCTGGCTTGGATGTCCAATACTCTATGACCTCACATGGAGCCTTATCACCTTTAGGGGGGAACTTCTTTTCTTTGTAAGAGCTAAAGTGTCCATCTACATTTATAGAGCAGTGAAAGAGCTAAAGAGATAGTTGAAGCCTTTCTAGGACACCAATCAATGAGCTCTGAAGAAAATACCAGAAACCAGTTTTAAAATTCTGATTAAAATTTTCATAAAGCATGAAATTAGAAATTCCTCAGACTGTGCTGGGCACGGTGGCTCACGCCTGTAATCCCAGCACTTTGGGAGGCCGAGGTGGGTGGATCACAAGGTCAGGAGTTCGAGACCAGCTTGGCCAACATGGTGAAACCCCGTGTCTACTAAAAAGTAAAAATAATTAGCTGGGCATGGTGATGCGCGCCTGTAATCCCAGCTACTTGGGAGGCTGAGGCAGGAGAATCGTTGGAAACTGGGAGGCAGAGGTTGCAGTGAGCTGAGATTGCACCACTGCACTCCAGCCTGGGTGACAGAGCAAGACTTAGTCTTGGGAAAAAAAAAAAAAAAAGGAAATTCCTCAGACTACACATTTTAAGAAGACAGTATTGAAATTTAATTATTTCTATTGACCTTATGGAATCTAACAGTGGAACCTGACAAAAGTTTCTCCCAGCATTTTTCTTACTGTGCTAAAGAATCACATGTATGATATCACATTGAAGATTGAAACTCTTTCTCACTTAAAAAAATTTTAATGAATATGAGGGTCAAAGTTCTCTTGAAGTTTTCTTTATTTTAACAGAGATTACTTTTAGAATTAAAACTAAAAAGTCCACATAGCTAGAATGTTAGTATGCCAAAACAGTAATAATTTGGAAAAAATTGAGTTGGTTAAAAATCATAGCATTAACCATCTAATGTGGCAGTTCTCATTTTCTTCTCAGAACACTTTTGTGCTCTTAAAAATTGAGAATTAAAAGACCTTTTTTGTTTAGAAAATTTTATTTATTAGTATTTACCATACTAGAAAAAAGGAAACTTCTTTAAAACAATTAATTTTAAAAATAACACATCGTTTAATATTAACATCTATAATATGTTTTTTATATTTATTTATTAACATTATTCTTTTCTTTCTTTTCTTTTCTTTTTCTTTCTTTTTTTTCTTGGAGACAGAGTCTCATTCTGTCACCCAGGCTGGAGTGCAGTGGCATGATCTTGGCTCACCGCAGCCTCTGCCTCTCAGGTTCAAGCGATTCTCCTGCCTCAGCCTCCCGAATAGCTGGGATTACAGGGATATGCCACCAAGCCCGGCTAATTTTTGTATTTTTAATAGAGATGGGGTTTCACCATGTCGGCCAGCCTGGTCTCCAACTCCTGACCTCAGGTGATCTGCCCACCTCGGCCTCCCAAAGTGCTGGGATTACAGGCATGAGCCACCGCACCTGGTCATTAACATTATTATTTAGAGACAGGGTCTTACTCCGTTGCCCAGGCTGGAGTGCAGTGGCATGATCAGAGCTCACTACAGCGTCAAACGCCTGGGCTCAAGCGATCCTCCTGCCTTGGCTTCCCAAAGTGCTGGGACTTCAGGCGTGAACCACCATATATATGTTTTAATGAAGAAATAATATATTTTATAGAACATATAATTAGTGATAAGAATGCATTTTACATTTTTACAAGTATCTTTAATGTTTGGACTAAGAAAATACATTTGGATTCTAATATCTGTTTCTGGATTCAATCTGTTGTGATAATGTTGCTTTGATTGAAGTATAAGAAGACAGTCTGGCCTCATCCAGATATGTAGTTGGAAATAGCATTTTTAAAAAAGATAATTATAGATTTTTTTTCTCTTATTATATCCAACTTGTCAAGTGGTAGTTTCTTGAAGGTTGCTTGCAATGTGGATCTGAAACCATATCAATGAACTTCTCGTCTCTGTTACCTTAAAATTCATTCACTGTCTTGCACTTTAAATGGATCATTATCCATGCGTGATTCTGTAACATCATGCATTGGTCATTTAGAAAATACTGGCTCATTGATTTTGCAGATCTTCCAAATGTTGACATTTCTTTAGGCAGTATCACAAATCACATTTATTCTTATCATCACCAATTTCATCAGAAATGTCTTCAAGTATTGGGCAACTGACAAGCTCATTGTGGAGAATACAAGTTTTTCAAAATTCTAGGTTTAGCTTGAAAGCTTAAATTTTATCATTGGTGACATGTAACGCCAGTTATTTTTCTTGAAGTGACAGTAGAGTGACCAACTTGCTCAGCTTTGCCCAAGACCTCCAAGGGTTTGCAGATCTCACTTTGAGACCTACTGATTTAACAGAATATTGTTTATACAGTGCAAATCACGAATATTTGATATTAATTGCTCTTGAGTAAACATTACCACAGTTCTTACCTTTTTTTTGTCTTTCCGTTCATTGTTATAGAGGTCAATATCTCCATTTAAAACTATATTCACCTCTGGAAAAGGTACTTCAAATAACTTCAAATTATGAATCAGAAATACCCTCTTGATGTGGAGAAGGGTCAGTTAAAAAAAATACTGTGAATATAATATAGTGAATGACAGTCAGGGAAACACTGTCTCCCTAGGGGTCATGGAAATATATGGGCTGGTGTTTTGTTTTATTTGAATTTGTTGTTGCAACTGGGGAGAGGAGTCACTGGCATTTAGTACCCCAGGGTTAGGGATGCTAAATGGCTTCCCAACCAAGAAATCCAACCCCATTAACAAAAACACCACTTTTGAGAAACACTATATGTTCTCTAGCTTTCTGTAGTAAAATGACAAGTGCTTTGTTCCTTCAGGAGGAATATGTACCAAGGAACAGTAAGTGCTATGTCAAAGGAGAAGAAGAAATGACAACATATTGCTGGAAGGTATGTGTGCGAATGGGAATGGGACTGAGTTATATGGCCCTGTTAATAGAATTACTAAGGATGGAGGGAGGAGAGATTGATGGCATGCGTGAGAGCACCACGTCTTCCTTATGAATTACCTTCTCTATCTGGCACCCCCAGCCCTGGTTATGGTATCATTTCAACAAAGATGATTTTTAAGTTGTAATTTATAGTGTGATACATAATATATATACACATACGTTTATTGCGTATTCCAAAATACATTTCCCCTATATTTCCTTATTATTCAATAGGAGGCAACTTGACAAAGTTCTAAAACAAAAATAAAATTTCTGTTTTTTATATAATCTATATAGAATAAAACTGATAGATTTACTATTTTCAGAGTTTTTAGCTACTTAGTTCCTATTGTTTTAAAACAGGAAACTTAGACTCCAAGGAGGGAATAGACTTAGTAAAAAAAAATCACTTGGTAGCTCAATGAAAGTAACTGCCAATACATGGAGATAACTGGACTTAGAAGGTCATGACTAGACCAGGTATTTAGAATTTATTTGCATTTTAAAAGTCTAATCCATTCTTTTTAATTATTGCAAACTCATATGGGTGAAGCTTGAGGTTTTGCTTTTCGGTTTCAATGTTTTATAAAAGCTTAGCTTTTTAGTTGTGGTAAGTATCAAAAGGAAATATTGATTAAAACAAAGTATCTTAATAATCCTTTGTGCAATTTTGTCACAAAACATTCTCAATTTCTCATATACTTTTTTTTTTTTTTTTTTTTTAGGAGACCAGGTCTCATTCTGTTGCTCAGGCTGGAGTGCAGTGACACAGAGTTCACTGTAAGCTTGAACTCCTGAGCTCAAGCGATCCTCTTTCCTTAGTCTGCCGAGTAGCTGTGACTACAGGTGCATGCCACCATGCCTCAGCCTCTCAACGCACTGGGATTAAAGGCGTGAGCACCTACGCCTGGCCATGGACTTATTTATTTTTTTATTTGTCAGCTGGGAACTTTGATTCCTACTTATTTTCTGCTCTAATATTTTGGCTGTTTCAAGACTCCTAAGACATTATCTCTCAATGGTCAGAGAAAGACTAATACTATTTATTTATTTTCTATATCTTTGGTTGCCTTGATAAAACAAATAATTGAGGAAAAATAGTTTTAAACAAGAAACTTTACCTAATGAATCATCAGTGAACTTATCTAGTATTTGGCACTTCAGATCATGTTTCTCCTACCCCTATTTTAGTAGTTAGGAGAAATCTGTAGATTGTTTCTCTTTGAAATCAGAACAAGTGGATTTAAATCCTAGATCTGCTTCCATCAGCTGAGTGACTTGGCTAAGTTTCTTAAGCTCTCTAGGAATCAGTTTCTTCATTTGGAAAATAAGGAATGGGCCGGGCACAGTGGCTCATGCCTGTAATCCCAGCACTTTGGGAGGCTGAGGCGGGCAGATCACCTGAGGTGGGGAGTCCAAGACCAGCCTGACCAACATGGAGAAACCCCGTCTCTACTAAAAATACAAAATTAGCTGGGCATGGTGGCGCATCCCTATAATCCCAGAAACTTGGGAGGCTGAGGCAGGAGAATCACTTGAACCCAGGAGGCAGAGGTTGTGGTGAGCCGAGATCGCACCATTGCACTCCAGCCTGGCCAATAAGAGCAAAACTCCAACTCAAAAAAAAAAAAAAAAAAAGGAATGACATTTATTATGCGATTATTATGAGGATTAAATTATATTCAGCTTATAAATTAAAATTCTCAATGCCTGGCCAAGAGTTGATACTTAACAATGATTTCTTCTTAGATCTTCTTTAAAAAAGGTAAACTAAAATCAAATGATTTTGGATATGTGCTTAGTTTAGATTACAATTAACTTTGATTTGCCTTAATTTTGATTCATGTTTCAGTTTCTTTTGAGGTCTTATTTTAAAATTTGGTATTTGCTTAAGTGGATTTGAAATTTGAATCTAGGTAATAATTACCCATGTTGTTCTGACAGGAAAAACCTATGAATAAAAAGTGCTTTTGAAAAGGAGGTGGGGCCAGGCATGGTGGCTCATGCTTGTAATCCCAACAGTTTGGGAGGTTGAGACAGAAAGAATACTTGAGCCCAGGAATTCTGTGCAGGGAGACTGTCTCTACCAAAAAGAAAAAGAAAAAGAAAAAAAAGCCAAGCATGGTGGTACACACCTGTGGTCCTAATCTACTCAGGAGGCTGAGGTGGGAGGATCACTTGGGCCTAGTAGGTCTAGGCTGCAGTCAGCTGTGATCACGCTATTGCACTCCAGCCTGTCTTTAGACCCTGTGTAAAAACAAAACAAAAAAAAAAACAGGAGGTGGGCTTACGAGGTTAAGGAGGCCCCCAAACTGTCTAGGATTTAGCACAGCATCTGTCATCTATTGGGGCTCTTAGCTGATCAATGAATGTGTCCCATTTCTGCCTTTCACATCATGAGCATCTCTGGGTGTGCTAGTGTGCTAGTGGGCAGGTGGAAGGAAGCCTCTTAGGGTTTGGTTCACCACTGGATATTTTTTCCTTTTTCTTGACACAGGATCTCACTCTGTCACCCAGGCTGGTGTGCAGTGGGGTGATCACGGCTCACTGCAACCTTAATTTCCCGAGCTCAAGTGATCCTCCCACCTCAGCCTCCCAAGTAGCTGGGACTACAGGCATGCACCACCACGCCTGGCTAATTTTTGTATTTTTAGTTGAGATGGAGTTTTGCCATGTTGCCCAGCCTGATCTCAAACTCCTGGGCTCAACAGAGTCACTTGCCTTAGCCTCCCAAAGTGCTGGGATTACAATCAGGAGCCACAGTGCCAGGACAGATACATTTTTATTAACTTATTTATTTATTTATTTTGAGACGGAGTCTCACTCTGTCACCCAGGCTGGAGTGCAGTGGCGGAATCTCGGCTCACCACAACCTCTGCCTCCCAGGTTCAAGCAATTCTCCTGCCTCAGCCTCCCCAGTACCTGGGATTACAGGCGCCCACCACCATGCCTGGCTAATTTTTTTGTATTTTTAGTAGAGACGAAGTTTTGCCATCTTGGCCAGGCTGGTCTCAAAATCCTGACCTCAGGTGATCCACCCACCTTGGCCTCCTAAAGTGCTGGGATTACAGGCGTGAGCCACCGTGCTCAGCCATTAACTTATTTTTATCTGTTACAAAAATTATAAACATGATAGAACCATTAGTAAACACAAATGAGAATAAACAACAATTTAAAAATAATCCATAGTCATTGTTCTCAGTATTACAAACACTTTAACATAGATACATCTTTTAAACAAAAATAAGATGAGATATTTAATGTCACATTTCTGCCTGGCTGCTTTTAGGATGAATATTGGAGAGCTGGCTACATTAAATCCATAGTTTGAAAACGAGGTTTGGGTAGTTTTTTTTTTTTTTTTTTTTTTGAGACAGAGTTTCGCTCTTGTTTCCCAGGCTGGAGTGCAATGGCGCGATTTCAGCTCACCGCAACATCCACCTGCCTGGTTCAAGCGATTCTCCTGCCTCAGCCTCCTGGGTAGCTGGGATTACAGGCATGCGCCACCACGGCCGGCTAATTTTGTACTTTTAGTAGCGACAGGGTTTCTCCATGTTAGTCAGGCTGGTCTCGAAGTCCCAACCTCAGTTGATCCGCCCGCCTCAGCCTCCCAGTGTTGGGATTACAGGCGTGAGCCACTGCGCCCAGCCTGAGGTTTGGGCAGTTTTAAGGCATATGCAATTCCTAAGAGTCCTCAGTTTTTGAAGAATTGAATACCTATTTATAAATAGTAGCATTTAACAATACCTTATTTATAAGCTTTTCAAATCCATACTAGTACTATGTACTGAACTATTATTTCTGTGAATTATTAAGTTGCCTCATACTTTGAGCCTATTCATCCTGAGGACAATTCAGTTTTCAATAATTTCTAAGCCTTTATTGAAGTCTTGATTTCCCCTTCCATAGAAATAAACAGAAGGTAACTGAGAGAGACAACAAGCCTGTTGTTTATCAGCAAGCTTTTAGCACAAAATTGCTGTCTGCACAAGTGGTATCAGCAATCATTACACCTGCTTGCAAATGTGAAGACAAACAGGGCCATGATCGGTCAATCTGGTTATTGACTTCAGGCATCTCACTTCAAAGGTGATTGCAGTTTCACCAACTGTCCCAGCCATGTGTGAAAACTGTGCTTTAAGGAACTCTGCCACCAATGATAGGTTAAATGAGAAGATTGCTTTGAAAGTTTATGAAGATTCCCCAGGCAATGAGAATATGAGCTGTGATTCTAGCCCCTTCAACTGGCATTTGCAACCATTCTTTTAAATTCTAGTGTCAAATTTTAAGTATCTCATTGTAGTTTTTCTAACAGTAGCAAATTACAGAAAAGAAGATCTTACTTTTGACTTTTAAACAGCGATTAAGCATTTGCCTCTAAAATTCTAAATTTGCTTCCTTCATGGTAAGGTCAGCTTGGTTGAATTAGCTAAAAACGTGTACTTCTTCATATACTGACTTCCAGAACAGTTCAAGTGATCTTTCGCATTATGTTCCTGTAGATACATGAGATTTAGAGAAGAGGTAAAAGCTGAATTAGTCATTATTGCACTAATTTTGTAATTATAAATTTGCTTGGAGGTCCTTTAAAAGTTTTAATACAATTGATAGCTCGGCCTATTTAAAGAAACAACAGGTCTATGACTATGCACTAGGCTTAGCATTAAATTTTCACTGCTTTCTGATGTCAGTGCTTGTTATTGTCTTTGTAATTAAATCTAGTTTCCATTTGTCATCCAAACCAGGCAATCAGCAACTTTACATTTATCTTCCATTACCTTCAAAGGAGTATTTTGTGAATCCTCCATTTACTCATCTATTTTCAAATGCCCCGGCCTCTACCTGCCCATATCTCATGAGGCTGTGCACAAAAATAAATAAGGCCAGAAAGAATTGAGGTTTATAATTATACAGCTTATTGACCCTTAGAGTGGTGTTTTTAAAATTACTATTTTTAGTGATTTTTTTTTTTAAACAATTAAAGATTCAGAAAAAGGCAGAATTGTGGACTTGCTTTTCATGTCATCTCCACGAAGACGTTAAGAAGAGCTGCTCTGCACCCATCCTGTTTGTAAAAACAGCCTTCCCAGAGGAACCCCACACCATTATTGTTCTCCCCGTTCCTGCTGGTAATTGATTCAGGAAGCTTTCTTGAAGAATGGGGGTTTCTACTTCATTATCACTACTGCTGAATATTTTACACATGGATGGTAAAAAATTTTAATGCAAGAAAATTAATAGCAATACAACTATAATGAATATAATTTAGGCCTTCAGGGTACAGAATTTGCAGTGCTGCAAACATTCATTTTGAACATCAGTGATAATTACATTGTAGCTATAAAAATACAGAAAATGGACTGAAATGACCTTCCTTCTGTAATACTCTGCAAGTTGTTCGATAAAAGGAATTCTGTCACTTGTTCAGTTGTCTGTTTCGTATGTAGGGGAAGTTGGAGGTAAGGGTGTGTGGAATGGGAGACAATGAGAGGAAGGCAGATGGGAGTGTGGGATGTAGTTCTTTATTTTGTAATTGTATTACAGTATATAAGAAAGAGTGATGTTAGTAAGCTTCAGCAAGGACCCACCATAAATGTAGGTAGAGGCAGGTACAGAGAGCAGGACACCGAAACAAGTTATATGGTCTCAGTAATGGGACAATGCCACTTTGTTCTCTTCTTCTTCTTCTTTTTTCTTTTAGGGAATGCAAGTCAAACAATAAGTGGAAGACTCTTGAGCTTAGTCACCCAGGTTATGACATGAAGGTCAGTTTGGTCTCTCTCTTCATTTCCTCCCGCCCCACGGGGAGTCATCTGCTTGAGGAAGGAAAGACACATTGCCGGGCTACAGCGCAGGGCCCATTGTCATGCTGAGCCACCCTTGCTTCCCTGCAGGCCTCCTGAGTCGCAGCCTAGGAATGTAGCAAGAGGTGAGCCAGTGTGGCCGGGTTTTCCTCTCCCACACGCCAAATATGTCCACAGCTTCGGGTACCACTTTCCTCTGAGCAAATTCTTCCCCACTCTCTTTCAAAATGTTAATTAGAGTTTATCCACTATGTTCCCAGCATTACCACTTTTTGAGCAGGTAAATCAGATAATTCTTCTCATGAGCTTCAGCTTCCTGCTGAGTTGTGTACTCTCTCGCGGAATGACTGAGGAAAGGTGCTGTGCACAGTTGGTCCAGTTAATGTGTGGCTGCTCCACTCCTCCAGCTGAGACCATTTGTTTGAAGGATATTCCCATCAGTTACAATGGAATCTTGAAACATTTTCACTCCAGTATGCTGCAATCTTGCAATCTCCTTGAGCACTAGAGAGATTTTTTTTTCTTAAGGCTTTTTTTTTTTTTTTTTTTTTTTTTAGATTTCACCAGTAGGAGGAAGCCTCCCTCGAAATGAGCGAGGCTCAGCAGGTCTGGCACAGCTAACCTTGATCGTTCCTAGCTGGTATCTTATTGCTGCTTCTTGCCCAGCCTCCTTTCTGTTTTTTAACCTGGCCTCCTCTTTTATGTTCACTTATTTCATTATTTGAAAGAAAACAGCAGGACCTGGAAACTCTAGTCCAGTCATGCTCCTGGACTTCTGTCTTGCCCTGCGGTCTCTTTTGATCTAAATTTGTTTCTCACTGTTACAAATATGGTCGCTGAGAAGCCTGCAGAATCTGAAATAAACTAAGGGTTTGTATGAGGAAGCATATATTAATATAAGTGTGGAAAGCAAGGTTTATCTTCTATATATTCGTACCTGATCTCATGTTGGCTATAATGGCAGATACTGCATCCTTGCTTCCCAAGCAGAGGTTTTATGGCCACAAGGAAGTATGAGTTCCTACATTTAATTACAACATATGGTGAGTTACAACATGCTCTGCTGCTGGTTTTACCACTTGAGAAGTAATTGGGGGATTGTCCATTCTTAGATATTTAATTGCCTCAGGGCTGCAGAAGAGGTGTTGCCACAAGCTGGTTTCACAATGAAAGGCCACCTCAGGGATGCAATAGATTAGGCTGGCCTGCTTTTCTTGGGCAAAGACAACATGAACTCCAGGCTGCCTTTGTAATAAACTGCTCTTTCATCTTTATTTTTTGCTTTCTTGGCTGGCTTTTAGAAGAAAAAGTCAAATTTTAAAAGAAATGGTACTTAAATTGGAAATTGGCTGCTCACGATTCAGTTAGGGAGGGCACATGTGGCATTCTATCAATGACCCATCATGTACATATTTTTATTTGAATTCCTGTAAGTGGCTGCCCTTTTCCTAAATCTCCTTAATTTATTCAATAAAAGTGTTATCCCCTTGGGAGGCCGAGGTGGGTGGATCATGAGGTCAGGAGATCGAGACCATCCTGGCTAACACAGTGAAACCCCGTCTCTACTAAAAATACAAAAAAAAAAAAAATTATCCAGGCATGGTGGCTGGCACCTGTAGTCCCAGCTACTCGGGAGGCTGAGGCAGGAGAATGGCATGAACCTGGGAGGCGGAGCTTGCAGTGAGCCGAGATCGCGCCACTGCACACCAGCCTGGGCGACAGAGTGAGACTCCGTCTCAAAAAAAAAAGTGTTATTCCCTAGATATGCCAGACACTAAGGGTTTTAAATTTTATCTTTTTTTATATTACGTATTTCATGTTGGATATTTAAAATAATATTATTAGTTTGTGTTAATATACTATGTTCCATTTGAGCCATGTTGACTTTTTAAAAGAATTTCAAGATACAACTTATATCTACATTTGGACCATAATGTGAATTCATGATTTTCAACTCACTTGAAATACTAAGTTTTTAATTGAGTTGATTTGTTTTGTAGACTAACTTTATGTGTAATTGAAATGTTTCTTTTATAGATACTTCAGTACATTTTGTTGCCATGGATTCATTTCTCACATCTAATTCCTAACCCTGGAAAAATAATTTTTAAAAATTAGCAGAGAATATTTCTTTTTAGATGAGTCTTAAGACCTTTCCAGTTCCAGATTGCTTTCTGTTGAAATGAGAAGTTGTGTTTTAGAAGGACACGATTTATCTCCATGATGTCAGCCTCAAAAATCAATCAGCCTAAATAAGGAACTAGAGCTTCATGGAGAAAGGCTAATTTCACGGTTGTGGCAGGGAAGGTACATGATAAGCCTGGGATTTTTGTGTCAGAAAATAAGGAGGTGCTCAAATGATGGTGAGTATGCATCAACATGACACAGAAGCCAGCTTGAATGAATTCCAACTGGTATCCCCGTTCAAATCTGGGATAATTTTAGCAAGAGCGAGAGAGAGAAATTAATTAATTATAAATGAATGAAATAAGAATTAATGGGTCCAAACTCATAATAGCTAAATAAGGAAGAAGAAAAAGCTGTTTCTCACAGCAAAATCCTGGCTGATAGAGAAGACAAATGGATAAAATGGAGTTAGAAAATTACCATTTTATAACCATCAGAGTAAAACTGATTCTGGCTAGAATGATTAATAGATGCCAGATCTAGCAGAGGGAATTTTGATGAGGAGCAAGTTATTTACCCAGTCTCAAAATGCCTCTCCACAAGTTACTTAATAATGATGAGGGAAAATAGTGTAGAAGCAGAATAACATCCTACTTAACCAAGTAGATCAACACTGATATCATCAACAAGAGGCAAAGGAATATCAAGTGCCTCCCAATGTGATAACACAAGCAAAACAAAACATCACTCATGTGGTAATCCAACCAAAAATGGATTAGCTCTGTCTAATCATAAGGAAGCAGCAGAGAAACCCAAATCTTAATAGATATATTCTATGAAATAACTGGCCTGTATTAATCATAAATGCCAATGGCATGAAAGACAAAAGAATGTTGAGAAAGTGCTTTAAATTAAATGAGTCTAAAGAGACAGGACAACTTAATGCAATATGTAATCCTAGACAGTATCCTGAACTGGACAAAGATTCTTTAAATAATATTTTGGAAACAATTAAGGAAATTAAAATGAACTTTAAAGTATTCTATCAATGTTAAATGTCCTGAGTTTTTAAAATATTTGGTAATTATTACACATTTAATAATTATACTGTGGTTAAGGACAAAATTTTGTTCTTATGAAATGTAAGCTGAAATATTAAGGGATAAAGAGGCATTATGTGTGCACCTACTCTTATATTGTTCAAAAAATATATATTTAAAAATGTGTAATATATTTAAATAGATATACATAGATGAAACAAAGCAAATGCTAAAACTTGGAAAATCTGGGTAAAGACTTTTTCTATTTAAGTGTTCTTTTTACTGTTCTTGCAATGTTTCTGTAAGTTTGAAATGACTTCAAACACAAAAATAAAAATAGAAGGAGACAATCAGCCAAATTACTTTTGTGAATACTTAATACAGCCTCATTACTCTGAAAAACAAAAAGGTACTAAGAGACATAGAACTATTCATTAGAACTTTAAAATCTATAGGCTATCCAAAAAAGACAAAAAAGTAGAAAGAAACACCTTTAAAATCTAGTGGAGAAGACTATATTAGCATATAAAATAATTAAATGAATTAATCTTTTTAAAAAAACTTTTTAAGACAGAATCTTGCTCTGTTGCCCAGGCTGGGGTGCAGTAGTGTGATCTCGGCTCACTGCATCCTCTACCTCCCAGGGTGAAGTGATTCTCCTGCCTCAGCCTCCCCAGTAGCTGGGATTACAGGTGCCATGCCACTGTACCTGCCCCTGGCTAATTAAATGAATGAATCTTAAGAAATAAATGAGCTATTTATTATTGTTTATTCATACAAGTTATGGAATAAACCTTTACAAGTTAGGAATGTATTTATTTGTCCTAACTTTCTAGCTTTCTTTCTGAAGTCATGTAGACTCAGTTTATTATCTGGACTTTTTTTCCCCCCAGTTTGACTATGTAATAGAAAAGCATTGTCCTAGGATTCAGGATATGTAGTTCCTAGCCCATCTCTGTCATTTAAGAGCTGTTTGACTATGTCAAGTCACTTGACTTTTGTGGACTCAGTTTCTTCACCTGTGAAATAAGGAAGATGAACTCAAAAATCTTTGAGCTCTTTCAGCTTTAAAGGCCTATGATGCCACATGGGATGAAAATCATAAGAGCTAATGAAAATAGCTGGATATGTTAAATCTCCTTTGGTGATTTGCAGTTAGGATGCATAAGCAATTGATCAAACTTCTATGGAGGCTAGACACTTTGATGGTAAAATCACTTTATATTCCAGTGCTGCTTTTATTTTCTCAAGCATTCCCATGCCTTTAATATGATTTGACACTTCTAGCAAAGTTGCTGTGATATGAGTAGGGCATATATCATCAACTCCATTTTTCAAAAAACAAAACTGAGGCACTGAGAGGTTACTTACCTTTATACCTTTTTTTTTTGAGACAGAGTCTTGCTCTGTCGCCCAGGCTGGAGTGCAGTGGCATGATCTCGGCTCACTGCAACCTCCGCCTCCAGGTTCAAGCAATTCTTCTGTCTCAGCCTCCCGAGTAGCTGGGACTACAGGCATGCACCACCATGCCTGGCTAATTTTTGTGTTTTTAGTAGGGATGGAGTTTAACTGTATTGTTCAGGCTGGTCTCGAACTACCAACCTCAGGTGATCTACCCCCTTCGGCCTCCCAAAGTGCTGGGATTACAGGCAGAGCCACCATGCACGGCCACCTTTATATGTTTAAACAAATTAATATTTCTTTCTTGATCTATAAACTCAGAAATCTGGATTCATAGTCCTATAAAACAAGAAAGAATGCCCCACATACTCCCTCTGTCTCTGTGCTATCTGCATTTCCCAACTTTTTACATTGTCAATATTTCTATCAGTTGGGTTCTGTTCTCAATGACTGATTATTCTGTACTTTGCCAATAGGTTGATTGATATTTTTTAAGTAAAAGGATTTTGCACTATTATAATAATGTGAATATTATTACCTAAGGCACAAAGTAGCATGATTGGACCCATAAAGAAGGAGATATATAACTGTGTGTTAATAAACCTGTACTAATTGAAGAAGAATATTTCAAGTGTCAAGGTCAAATAGATTCTCTTCTTCAATTTATTTAAATATTACACAACATTATAGATTGTTTTATATTTATACCATGATTTCTTTACACATCTTTTCAAGAATTTGAATTTCTAATTCACTTTTTTTGTGAGCAGAATTATAATATGCCTTCAGCTTTCATCTTGTCAAAGATCATCCAGTTCTTAATAACAATATTTCCTACTTGAATATTTCTACTTGAAACTTACTCTTCAGAGCCCTCTGATTTCCTATTACTATTTGGACTGTTGATTTCCTAGGCTTGCTAGACAGCTCTCATCCAAAAATTATTTTTCATAGATTTCTAGGTAAAGTTTACTTTTTTCTCGGCTGCCATAATCTTCTTTGTCTTGGGTTACTTTTTATTTTTGCTCTGGTACGTCCCCAGATAATTGTTTTTTTCAGAAAGTATGCATGGGAGTTAAAAAATAAATTAGAAAAGTCCATAATTCTAGTTTCAAGAGAATTTTCCCTCAGAACTATTAAAGCATTTTCTATGATCCTCTAGCAACCAATTTTGCTGGGAAGGGACTGGCACCAGTCAGATTCTGATCTCTTTATAGATAATTGGTTTCTTTTCTCAGAAAGTTTTTAGGCTTTATATTTTGACATGGGGAAGTTTCAGAAAAGGTGTCTAGATGTGCATTTTTAAAAATTTGTGTATCATTTGCTGATCTCCTTATGCTAAATTGCTTAGTCAACAGAAACAGAGAGGCAGCAGTTACATGCCAAGTACACATAACAAGGATCTTAGCCCTTTATAGGAAGGTTGTTTGACTTCTTTAGAGATCACTTTTTTGGTTTTAGTTTAAATAAGGCTACACATCACCCTTGTATGTAGATGAGGGAGTACAGAATGGGTTGAAGGTGGGCTTGTACAGCTTTACTGTAAGCGTTAAACCCATACCCTTGATTTCTGTCTCACTTTCCCCTGGCATTCTTGCCAGTTTCAAGCTTTGAACTTGCAGCTTTCTTCTGTTTAATTTCTTGGCTGTAGATTCTCTGGCTTCAATTTATAACAACAAAATCTAACTTTTATTAAGCAGCATTCCAGGAACTGTCCTAAGTATTTATATTGTGATTTACTTGGCCAATCCTCACAACAACGCTATGAGGTAGCTACAGTCGACTCTGAGTATATGCAGGGAATTGGTTCCAGGAACCCCACATCTGCCAAAATCTGTGCATACTCAAGTTTGGCAAATTGGTCCCTTGGGAAATGGCGTATGCAAAAGTTAGCCTTTATTATAGGCCAGTTTCGCATTCCACAAATACTGTATTTTTGATCTGCCCTGGGTTGAAAAACAATCCACATGGAAGTGGACTCATGCAGTTCAAATCCATGTTGTTTAAGGGTCAACTGTCCCATAATTATCCACGTTTTATAATGAGGAAACAGGATTGCTCAAAGTCATACAGGTTATGACTGGCAGAGCTGATATTTGCATCCAGGCAGTCTGCGATCCCATCCTGCACCTCTCTTGGAGAAATATATAGAAATCTGTAATTCCTTGATCCTGGGATTTATTATGAACTTATTCTCTTTTATATGCATATATTTTAAACCAGCATTTCAGTGGAATGTGAGGTTGAGGGGCCAAGAAGGAAAGGCATGGTGTTCTGTCTGCAACAGTTAATTGAAATCTACCCATAATTTCTGAGTGCCAAATTCACCAAGGGTAAATCCAGGTATAGGCAGTTGCTTATGCTGTGAGTTTACGCAGCATAATGACAGACAATGAGCAGTCAGAGACTTACTTTTAGAGGTCTAAGACTGCTGTGGCCATTCTTTTCCTTCACTTTACCTCCTACTGCTGCAGCTAGAACAACCTCTCCCTGAGAGAACCTAAAGATACAGGTTCCATCTAAAAACACCCCCTCCACCCCGTTTCCTTCCATGCTCATTTCTCTGATTAGACAGGTCTAGGTAGGGCTGGTAGGTGGAAGGAGGCAGACAACCAAAGGAAAACAGCACTAAGGCTAAAGGAAGGAGAGAGAAAAGAATGAAATTTGTTTGGGAAGCTAGACTTGACCCCTGTTTCCTGCTAATTACCAGAAGTCTATAATGAGTCATGCGTTGTTATAGGTGTTCTGTGTGTATCATTCAATTTACTTTTCATAATGACCCTGTAGCAAAGGTATAGCAAAGGTATTACACCCATTTTATAGATGAGGACATTAAGGCTTGGAGATGTTAAGGAATTTACCCAAGGTTACAAAGGAAGTATGTTCATCCGACTTTAAAACCCATGCCAATTTCTCTGCCATGATGCCTTTTGACTCCTTATGGCAGCATTTGGAATGGAGCAGGTGTTAGTGCAAGCTCACCCTCCCTCCCTTTCTCTCAGTACACTCCTACACTCATAGACACACAAACACAAATACACACACAAACACACACACACATGAATTAACTAATTGAACTGATATTTCTTGAGCTGTTTATGTGCTAGGTATTTGGTAGAGTCTACACTGTCTTCTGTGAGTCAAATCATGCCTCTAAAGCACACAGTAATCAAACTTTCTTTTTTTTTTTTTTTTGAGACGGAATCTCGCTCTGTCGCCCAGGCTGCAGTGCAGTGGCGCGATCTCGGCTCACTGCAAGCCCTGCCTCCCGGGTTCACGCCATTCTCCTGCCTCAGCCTCCAGAGTAGCTGGGACTACAGGCGCCCACCACCACGCCCGGCTAATTTTTGTATTTTTAGTAGAGACGGGGTTTCACCGTGTTAGCCAGGATGGTCTCGATCTCCTGACCTCGTGATCCACCCTCTGCAGCTTCCCAAAGTGCTGGGATTACAGGCGTGAGCCACCGCACCCGGCAGTAATGAAACTTTCTAGAGGCGGGGATAGGGGAAAAGGGTGTGGAATCTATGTTCAAATAGTTGGCTTCTTAAAGATCAGGACTGGAGGGGCTGCACAAGTCCATTGCAGAAGAGCAACTCTTTCTAATTTGCCACTGGGCCTGGAATTCTGACTCTGAAGCTCAATTCTCTTGAGGTAAGATATTTTGCCATATTAAGAAGCAAAATACTTTCTTAGGAGTCCTCATCACCTTATTGTGAATTAAATTTATGAAATTTCTTCAAATGTTAGTGTAATAGATCACAAAATGGTCAAATTACTTATAACCCTGTTCACAAAATGGTCACAAATTACTTATATCCCTTTGCAGTGGGATTTTTGCCAGGCCTCGCATCAAAAGGTTGAGTTTATTTCTCTATCCTTTAATCCTGGGTTTGGCTGGGTAACTTGCTTTGGCCAATGGAACATTGAAAAATATGGTGCAGGCTGGGCATGATGATCCATACCTGTAGTGCCAGCTACTCAGGAGGCTGAGGCAGGAAGATCACTTGAGCCCAGGAGTTTGAAGCCAGCCTGGGCAACAGGCTGGGCAGATATGGTCTCTGAGAAAAAAATGTGCAGAGGCTTGAGGGGGGCTTGCATATAGGGTTTACCTTTTCCTGCTGCTGAGAATGTTTCTGCCACCATGTGAACTACACTCTTTGAGGATGAGAGAACATGTGAAGAAAGGCCTTAAACATACCAGTTGTCCTAGCTGTAGCCCCAGATGTGAGAGGGAGGCCATTTTAGATCACGCAACTTCAAATGAGCTGGCCTCATCCAGAAACACTATCACCACCAAATTGTGAGGAAGTATAATTGGCTGTTTTAAGTCCCAAAGATTTGTAGTATTTTGTTGTGAGGCAAAAGCTACCTGATGTATGTACCTAGTTGAAGTAGGCTGGGGAAGGGGGAGCAAAACAGGAAGGAAAGGAATTGAGTAGAAAGCACCTTGATTATCATTTGTGCAATGTAAGGTTCCTGAATGTTTGGGTAGAGACAGGGCAGCCCCTAAGGAGAGAGAAGTGCAGAAAAGAATGAAGGGAGTCCACTAAACACAAAGTTCACTCTTCCTCATGACTGACCTTTTTATAACTCCAAGAAGAAACATCTAGAATGTGAGCACTTTATCCCATTGTCAGGGTTTTGCTGTAATTTGAACAATTCAAAAGTGATTTGACACTCTTGTTTACTTTTTACTTAGTGGTTCAGCAGAGATAAATAACTTCCCAGTAGATTCATTTGAATTTCATCTTGACCCAGAACTCTGGAGTGCAAATATAACCATTATCTGAAACTGTGAAACATCAGAAGTGGAAGCCATCTCAATCTGTTTTATGTCCAACTCCCGCCACCTTGTTTTAACATGGTACCGTGTTAAAGAACATCAGACATTCTAATTCAGTATCACATCTTTATTTGAGTAATATGCTTTCTCCCTCCTCTGCCCTCAAGTATAATGCTTTCTCTGTCTTTTGCAATATAAATGATTCACTTTGTTATGTGGTTATTCAAATGGATGTCTGCTGTCTTCAGAGGCTTTAAACTTTCTCTGGGAAGAGATCTTGTTTTATTATTCATTCTTTCATTAATTTATTCATGCAGGAAATGTTTATTGTACAATGGTGGTTCAGGCCTGCTTTCAAGGATCTTATTATCTAAGTACAAGAAAAGAAAACATAAACCAGTTTTTAAAGAGCATGTTAATGTTGAGTATTTACAAAATGTATGAGCACAAAGAAGAAAGAATTGGCTTGACACATGCACCTATATTCTAACTCATGTTTCCTCTTCTACACTTGACTCCCTAACATTAAGTGTGCACTCACTCAACAGCCAGAGTGATTAGATATATCTAATTAGATATAACAGCCAGATAGATTAGATTATATCAATCCTCCACTTTAAATTTTCAATTTAAATTTCTTTCTTTTTTTGAGATAGAGTCTCGCTCTTGTCACCCAGGCTGGAGTGCAGTGGCACGATCTCAGCTCACTGCAACCTCCACCTCCTGGGTTCAAGCGATTCTCCTGCCTCAGCCTCCCAAGTAGCTGGGACTACAGGTGCGTGCCAACACACCCAGCTAATTTTTTTGTATTTTTAGCAGAGATGGGTTTTCACCATGTTGACCAGGATGGTCTCAATCTCTTGACCTTGTGATCTGCCTTCCTTGGCCTCCCAAAGTGCTGGGATTACAGGCGTGAACCACCACGCTCGGCCTCAATTTAAATTTCTTACTGGTCTTACAAAGCCAATGGGATGTGGCCCCTGACTGTAATTCAGTCATGCTGGCTCCTTTCAGTTCTTTGGGAACTCTAGCTTGATCTCTAGGCTTAGCACCTCTGAACCAGTGGTTCCTGATGCCAAAATGCTATTCCTCCTATTTCTGCATGATTAGCTCCTTCTTGTCATTCAGAACTCAACTTAGGTGGCTGGATTCCTGATACCTGATGTAAGTAACCAGTCAGTTAACGGATGTCATTTGACTCTGTGTAACACTAGCCATGATTTGTTAGTGTCTTTGTTTTCCTATATCCCTCTCTTTCCCCTCCCTCCCTCTCTTCCTTCCTTCCCTTTCTTCCATTTCTTTCTTCCTTCTTTCCATACCTCCTTCATTTTTCTTTCCTCTTCCTTAACTTTATGCCTCTCTCTCTGCACTAGAATGCATGCCCCATCAGAACAGTGACCTTGTTGTCTCCTGCTCCCATGCCTATTCCATAATAGGTATTCAATAAGTACTCCTGGAGTACATGAACAGATGGATAGAAGAATTCTAAATGCCGGAGGATGTGCAGGTACATACTAGGTGGAATGCAGGGGGGAATGGCTTTTTAGACAGCGAAAGAGCACCATATTCAAACACGTGAGACAAGGAACAAGAACATTAGAAGTATATTGGGTTGGCTGGAATACAAGGTTTGGGTTAAGTTTGGGAAGAGCAGGAAAATAAAAGGAGGTGAGAATTGAAAGATAGTTTTGCTGTCTTTCTACGCACGCACACACACACACACATCCTCCCAAGAAATTTTTCAGTCTCAGAGCTAGTTTGTTGATTGACACACAGATATTCAGATTTCTGCTACTTTTTTTTTTTTTTTTGACATTGCTACCTTGCAGGAAGACAATGAGATGGACTTGTCAAAAGCTACTGACATTTGGTCTGTTGTAAACAACTCGTTGAAGAGTTTTGACTTTTGATTTTTAGTAGGGATTTTTTTTTTACATTTTTTTGAATCGTTGGAAATAGATTACTGAACCTGGCCAAATGCAGGAAATATATAAATCATCATTTTATATCATTTACTCATTTGAGTCTTACAATAAATCACTGCAAGCAGCAGATTTATTTATTACTCACACACACATATAAATGTATTTTATATATTTGGGCTTTGTTTACTATTTATGAGGTTTAAAACAATTTTGGGAGATCAGATGAGGCTTTCATTCACTTTGATAGCTTCCTCATCTGTAAAATGGGAGAAATAATAATGTATAGATCTCAAAGGGTAGTTGTAACCCTTAAATGACTTAAATTGCAAAAGTGTTTAGATCAGTCCTTGGGGTAATTGTTAGCCTTTATTATTATCATAATTGTTTGCTGCTCACATGAAGAGAAACATGAGTTGAAGGAATTTTACTCTAGGTCCCAAATTCTACTGTAAATGCAATTGCATTTTGCTGGTGAAATACTTTCTGCCATTTTGCCATTGTGGAAACATTGCTTGACAATGACTGATGTCATTTCTTGCATGCTTTTTAAACTTGGTATAAATGAAGTCTAATCGATTGAATTATATCAAGCCCATTGTTTTCATTTTTAAAAACAATACGAAGGCCAGAACAAGCCAGGGAGATACTGAGTAAATATGAAAAGAGAAATCTCTACAGAAAAAGTATTCTTGTAGAAAAAAGAGAAAAGTATTTTCCTTGCAGCAGGGCCCTGACGTGAATCCATTTCAAGAGCTGATCGCAGTTGCTCTGTCTCTGACTCCTGGCTCCAGCCGTTCTCACCAAGACTCTAGGCTAGTTGTGGCCTGTGGTTCTGCAACTCAGCTCTTCGAAGGGCAGGAAGGAAGGGTGGACCTGCTTGAGATTTCCTGTCTTGCTGTGAGTCACTGATACAGAGCACTTCTTTTGCACTTCGCTGTCTACTATCCAGAGAGCAGGAATGCAGCAGCTGAAGTCAAACCGGAACCATCCCTCTGCGTCATGATAACTGCTCTCACCACCTATTCGTGCATGGTCTGCACATCCTCAGGGGTTGCTCTTCCGCCTATGGAGCAAGACACTGAAAGAAAGGCTCTATTATCTCCTGTAAGGAGAAGATAATAAAACTTATGACAAATAATATCTTTATGTAACATTTAGGTCTGGTGGAAAAGGAAACTTATTTTATAGATGGGAGACAACTCTTCAATGCTGACTAGACTAGGGAAGATTGTAAGCCTGTCTCATACGTAATTCCCTTTCTTTCCCTGCCTGCCTTTATTGTAAACAAATTGAAGTTGAGGTCAGGTGCAGTGGCTCATGCCTGTAGTCCCAGCACTTTGGGAAGCTGAGGCGGGAGGATTGCCTGAGGTCAGGAGTTCCGGACCAACCAGGGCCAACATGGTGAAACCTGGTTTCTACTAAAAATACAAAATTAGCTGGGCGTGGTGGTTCACACCTGTAATCCCTGCTATTCAGGAGGCTGAGGCAGGAGAATCCCTTGAACCTGGGAGGCGGAGATTGCAGTGAGCAGAGATTGCACCACTGCACTCCAGCCTGGGTGACAATAGTGAAACTCCATCTCAAAAAAAAAAAAAATTGAAGTCGAATATGGGGTTTTGAGATTCCTATAGGTAAATGCCTTGTAAATAAAATTTTAATCTTAGCCAGGTGTGGTGGTGCATGCCTGTAGTACCTGCTATTTGGGAGGCTGAGGCAGGAGGATCACTTGAGCCCGGGAGTTTGAGGCTTCAGTAAGCTATGATCATGCCACTGCATTCCAGCCTGTGTGACAGAGCAGGACCTTTTCTCTAAAATAAATAAATAGGCCGGGTGCAGTGGGTCACACCTATAAGCTCAGTACTTTGGGAGGCTGAGGTGGGCGTATCACTTGAGGTCAGGTGTTCCAGGCCAGCCTGGTCAACATGGTGAAACCCCCTCTCTACTAAAAATAGCTGAATGTGGTGGCAGGCACCTGTAATCCCAGTTACTCGGGAGGCTGAGGTAGGAGAATTGCTTGAGCCTGGGAGGTGGAGGTTGCAGTAAGCTGAGATCACATCACTGCACTCCAGCCTGGGTGACAGAGCAAGACTCTGTCTGAAAAAAAAATTTTTTTTAAATAAATAAATATATACATAAATAAAAATTAAAAAAATTAATTCTTGCTTGTGGAGTATAATGTGAAAGGGATTAATCTTTGTAGAGGAATTCTGTCAAGACAGCTGTGCTACCTAACTTCTAAGCCTGTTGGAAGGATAAGTAATAATAGTGATTGAGCATATGTTTTACACTAGATATTATATAATCTATATATATTATTGGTGATCATCACAACCTCCACAAGCTTTCCATTCTACCAGCTGCCTTTTTTTTTTTTTTTTTTTTTGAGACAGAGTCTTGTTCTATAGCCCAGGCTGGAGTGCAATGGAGAGATCTCAGCTCACCACAACCTCTGCCTCCTGGGTTCAAATGATTCTTGTGCCTCAGCCTCCCTAGTAGCTGAGATTATAGGCATGCACCACTACGCTGGGCTAATTTTTGTATTTTTTAGAAGAGATGGAGTTTCGCCATGTTGGCCAGGCTGATCTTCAACTCATGACCTCAGGTGATCTGACTGCCTCGGCTTGCCAAAGTGCTGGGATTACAGGTGTGAGCCACCAAGCCCAGCCCCAGCTGCCTTGAAATGGGATAATATAAGTGGCAGTGCTTTGGAAATCTTAGTCATTAAATAAAAGTAAGTATATAAGTAACCTAATAGTAAATATTTCAAAAATAATATGTTATTTAGTTTGCAAGGAGCATGAGTAACAAAACTAAGTTCAAATATGATTTTTGCCCCTTTATATCTATAGGACTACTGCTCAGTTACTTCTCTGCTCAGTTTCTTCCCATGTGAAATGGGCATAATAACAACTACCTCCTGGGATATTATTGAAAACTTCTGAACTCCATGTTTGACAGGTAGAAGATACACCACCAATATGAGCTCCCTTCTTTTTTAGATTTTTCCTAGAGATAATAGAACCTAATCTAGAAACATAAATTAGGTGTTTTATCATTTTTCATTAAAAAATTTTTTTTTTGGAGACAGTCTCTCACTCTGTCACCCAAGCTGGAGTGCAGTAGTGTGATTTCGGCTCAATGCAACCTCCACTTCCGGGGCTCAAGCAACCCTCCCGCCTCAGCCTCCTGAGTAGCTGAGACTACAGGTGCCCACCACCATGCCTGGCTAATTTTGGTATATTTAGTAGGGATGGGGTTTC
Organism: Homo sapiens; assembly: GCF_000001405.40. Taxonomy (NCBI): domain Eukaryota; kingdom Metazoa; phylum Chordata; class Mammalia; order Primates; family Hominidae; genus Homo; species Homo sapiens. The sequence goes on from NC_000003.12 coordinate 153,224,298, forward strand.
ACTATGTTAGCTGGGCTGGTCTCAAACTCCTGACCTCAGGTGATCCATCAGCCTCGGCCTCCCAAAGTGTTGGGATTACAGGCATGAGCCACTGCACCCGGCCAGGTGTTTGATCATTTTTCAGAGTGCCTGCCGAAATATTGAGAAGAAGGGAGGACAGGTTGAAGAATTAGAAGTAACGGAACACTACAGATGAAGCAATCTGCTGCCCAAGAGGAAAATTGTCTGATTGTTTCTATAAAGTGCATTTGAGAGTAACTGGGTTCGAGACTTGAAAATCATGCTATAGAGTTGTAATAGAAGAGAAATTATTAAAAATTCATGTTATTTAACACTCTTGGACCATGACAATATAAAAATGATTCTAGGGCTTTGGTAGGGAAGTTGCGATGAATTCAGTTGTGATATTAATGAATTTAAATTGCTAGTCATTAAGTGGCTACCTCAGAAAACCAGAAACACGAACTCTCATAGTGTGTATTTATTAGAGAAGAGACAGTAAGTTGTAAAATAGTCACTGCCATGACCATTTATAGACATTATAAATTAAATTTTTAAAAATATTTTTATTTTGTTCACATAATTAGATTTTTAAAAATTTTATTCATGAAAGTTGGGTCAGCTCTTAAAACAGTAATTATTTTATTAAGCAACCGGCTCTTCTCAGTTGTTCCCTAACTTTACACCTCAGAATAGAAAAAATAGTAGTAACTTTTTAATATCAGTACAGGTTACCTTCAATATGTTTTGCAACATTCTCTACTTTTCATGAGAAATTTTATGAATTTGGAGTTTGTTAGCACACTTAAAAGACCACTTGGGCTGAAAAAAAAAGCCTTGAGAACTGGCCGGGCGCAGTGGCTCTCGCCTGTAATTCCAGCACTTTGGGAGCCTGAGGCAGGTGGATCACGAGTTCAGGAGATCGAGACCATTCTGGCTAACACGGTGAAACCCTGTCTCTACTAAAAATACTATATATATATATTAGCCGGGCATGGTGGTGGGCGCCTGTAGTTCCAGCTACTAGGGAGGCTGAGGCAGGAGAATGGCGTGAACCCGGGAGGCGGAGCTTGCAGTGAGCCGAGATCGCGCTACTGCACTCTGGCCTGGGCGACAGAGCAAGACTCTGTCTCAAAAAAAAAAAAAAAAAAAAGTCTTGAGAACTATCTCAGCAAACACTTTGACAGCATCCTGGTTCCTGAAGCATTGCAGTTTTCTGTTCAGGCAAACTTTTTATAGACTTGAGCACCACATTGTTGTGTTAGGCCTAGAGACTTAGTAAATCATTAGTATTCTTTTCCACAGTTTTGGGAACATAAAATCCTGGGTTTCTAATTACGTTTGCACAACTAAAAATAAAGTATACTTTGCAAAACAAAAAATAACAAGAGAAAACAAACCCCAAACCACACAGAGCAGGATAAACATTCTTAAATAATAATAAACTTTTTACTACAAGTTCTTCATTTTCTTTCAGAGCATCTCCTAGTAACATGTTTATTCTATCTGTACCTACATCCTCTACTGTTGGGATGGCTCTAGTTATGCGTGGTGTCTTAGTCCATTTCATGTTTCTATAAAGAATACCTGAGACTGGGTAATTTATAAAGAAAAGAGGTTTATTTAACTCACAATTCTGCAGGCTGTGAAGTTCAAAGATTGAGTGACTGCATCAGGTGGCTCCTGGTGAGGGCCTCCTACTGTGTCAAAATGAGGTGGAAGTGGAATCAAGTGCATGAAATAACTGTCAAAACATGAGAGGTAACCTGTCTTTATAACAACTGGCTCTATTGGGAATTACCCCACTCCAACAAGAACTAACCCGGTTTCGTGAGAAAAATATTAATCCAGTTCATGCACGTCCGTGTGAAGAGACCACCAAACAGGCTTTGTGTGAGCAATAAAGCTTTTAATCACCTGGGTGCAGGCGGGCTGAGTCCGAAAAGAGAGTCAGCGAAGGGAGATATGGGTGGGGCCGTTTTATAAGATTTGGGTAGGTGAAGGAAAATTATAGTCAAAAGGGAGTTGTTCTCTGGCGGGCAGGTGTGGGGGTCACAAGGTGCTCAGTAGGGGAGCTTTTGAGCCAGGATGAGCCAGGAGAAGGAATTTCACAAGATAATGTCATCAGTTAAGGCACGAACAGGCCATTTTCACTTCTTTTGTGGTGGAATGTCATCAGTTAAGGCAGGAACTGGCCATCTGGATGTGTACTACGTGCAGGTCACAGGGGATATGATGGCTTAGCTTGGGCTCAGAGGCCTGACATTCCTGTCTTCTTATATTATACGAAAAATAAAATGAAATAGTGGTAAAATGTTGGGATGGCGAAAATTTTTGGGGATGGTATGGAGAGATAATGGGCGATGTTTCTCAGGGCTGCTTCAAGCGGGATTAGGGGTGGCGTGGGAACCTAGAGTGGGAGAGATTAAGCTGAAGGAAGATTTTGTGGTAAGGGGTGATATTGGGGGGTTGTTAGAAGAAACATTTGTCATTTAGAATTATTGGTGATGGCCTGGATACAGTTTTGTATGAATTGAAAAACTAAATGGGATAAGAGAAGGAGAAAAACAGGTATTAAAGATCTAAGAATTGGGAGGACCCAGGACATCTAATTAGACTGCCTAAGGAGATTCAGCATAGTCCTGCCAGCGAAGATTATTTGTTTACTTTAAGAGTAAAGAGTGGCAGTTTGGGGATAGCAACAGGAGATATCAGCTGTGATGGCTTGGAGAAACAGTGTAAGCCGGCAGTGTAAACAAGAGCAGGGTATGTATGAGTAGTTGAGAACGGTGAATAGGAGTATGACTAGACAGAAGATAGTAGGGATAACAAGTTTTTTGGGGCACAGTCCAAGTTGGTCTGGTGTCTGGAATGAGACTGGGGCCTAATAAAAAGGAGCGTCCTTACAGGAGCTCAAATGGGCTATACCCTGTAGCATTCCGAGGGCAGGTCTGACTTCTGAGAAGGGAAAGTGGTAAAAGTATTGCCCAGTCCTTTTTAAGTTGGTGGCTGAGCTTGGTGAGGTGTGTTTTTAAAAGACCATTAGTCTGTTCTACCTTTCCTGAAGACTGAGGACTGTAAGGGATATAAAGGTTTTACTGAATACTAAGAGTCTGAAAAAAATGCTTGGCTGATGTGACTAATAAAGGCCAGTCTGGTATCAGACTGTATAGAAGTGGGAAGCCTAAACCGAGGAATTATGTCTGACAGAAGGGAAGCAATGACTGCGGTGGCCTTCTCAGACCCTGTAGGAAAGGCCTGTACCCATCCAGTGAAAGTGTCTACCTAGACTAAGAGGTATTTTAGTTTTCTGACTCGGGGCATGTGAGTAAACTCAATTTGCCAGTCCTGGGCAGGGGCAAATCCCTGAGCTTGATGTGTAGGAAAGGGAGGAGGCCTGAACAATCCCTGAGGGGTAGTAGAATAGCAGATGGAAAACTGAGAAGTGATTTCCTTGAGGACAGATTTCCACAATGGAAAGGAAATGAGAGGTTCTAGGAGATGGGCTAGTGGCTTGTAACCTACATGGAAGAGGTTATGAAATGACGACAGAATTGAATGGGCCTGTGAGGCTGGAAGGAGATTTTCCTTGGTCTAAGAACTATTTGCCTTGTGTGGGAAGAGATTGATAGGTGGAAGTTTCAGCCGGGGAATAGGTGGGAGTGACTGATGTGAAGGAGAAAAACTGGCCATGAGGGACAGAAGTTGGAAAGCTAGCTGCTTGTCTAGCCACCTTATCAGCATAAGCGTTGCCTAGAGCAATGGGATCTGATGCCTTTTGATGGCCTTTGCAGTGAATTGACTCCAGCTTCTTTTGGAAGTAAAGTGGCCTTGAGCAGTGTTTTTATTAAAGAGGCATTAATGATGGAGGACCTTTGCGTAGTGAGGAAACCTCTTTCAGCCCATATAACAGCATGGTGGTGCAGAATATGAAAGGCATATTTAGAATCAGTATAAATATTGATGCGTAGTCCTTTTGCAGGAGTGAGGGCTTAAGTTAAGGCAACTAATTTGGCTTGCTGAGAGGTAGTGGAGGGGGACAGAGCAGTAGCCTCAGTGATAGATGTGGAAGATACTATATATAGCATAGCCTGCCTTTGCTGGTGAGTAGCGATTAGGCCTGGTGGAACTGCCATCAATAAACCAAATGTGATCAGGGTGAGGAACAGGAAATAAGGAAATATGGGGAAATGCGGTGAATGTCAGGTGGATCAGAGAGATACAGTCATGAGGGTCAGGTGTGGTATCCAGAATAATATGGGAGGCCGGATTGAAGTCCGGGCCAGGAACAATGGTAATTGTGGGAGACTCAACAAAGAGTGAGTATAGCTGAAGGAGCTGGGAAGCAGAAAGTATATGCATCAGGTGTGAGGAAGAAAATAGATTTTGGAAGTTAAGAGAACTGTAGAGAGTGAGTTGACCATAGTTTGTGATTTTTAGGGCCTCTAAAAGTATTAAAGCAATGGCAGTCACTGCACGCAGACATGAGGGCTAGGCTAAAACAGTAAGGTCAAGTTGTTTGGACAGAAAGGCTACAGGGTGCGGTCCCGGCTCTTGTGTAAGAATTCTGATCGCACTAACCATGCCTAGGAAGGAAAGGAGTTGTTGTTTTGTAGAAGGGATTGAGGTTTGGGAGATTAGTCAAACACGAACAGCAGGGAGAGCACGTGTGTTTTTATGAGAATTATGCCGAGATAGGTAACAGATGAGGATGAAATTTGGGCTTGACTGAAGTAATGGGGGCTATCTGTGAAGGCTTGTGGCAGTACAGCCCAGGTAATTTGCTGAGCCTGATGGGTGTCAGGGTCAGTCCAAGTGAAAGCGAAGAGAGGCTGGGATGAAGGGTGCAAAGGAATAGTAAAGAAAGCATGTTTGAGATCCAGAACAGAATAATGGGTTGTGGAGGGAGGTATTGAGGATAGGAGAGTATATGGGTTTGGCACCATGGGGTGGATAGGCAAAACAATTTGGTTGATAAGGTACAGATCCTGAACTAACTTGTAAGGCTTGTCTGGTTTTAGGACAGGTAAAATGGGGGAATTGTAAGGAGAGTTTATAGGCTTTAAAAGGCCATGCTGTAGCAGGCGAGTGATAACAGGCTTTAATCTTTTTAAAGCGTGCTGCAGGATTGGATATTGGCGTTGAGTGGGGTAAGGGTGATTAGGTTTTAATGAGATGGTAAGGGGTGCATGATCGGTCGCCAAGGAGGGAGTAGAGGTATCTTATACTTGTGGGTTAAGGTGGGGGGATACAAGAGGAGGACGCAAAGGAGGCTTTGGATTGGGAAGAAGGGCGGCAATGAGATGTGGCTGTAGTCCAGGAATAGTCAGGGAAGCAGATAATTTAGTTAAAGTGTCTCGGCCTAATAAGGGAACTGGGCAGGTGGGGATAACTAAAAAGGAGTGCTTAAAAGAGTATTGTCTAAGTTGGCACCAGAGTTGGGGAGTTTTAAGAGGTTTAGAAGCCTGGCCGTCAATACGCACATCAGTTATGGAGGCAAGGGAAACAGGCCCTTGAAAAGAAGGTAATGTGGAGTGGGCAGCCTCCGTATTGATTAAGAAGGGGACGGACTTACCCTCCACTGTGAGAGTTACTTGAAGCTCTGCGTCCGTGATGGTCTAGGGGGCTTCCGAGGAAATCAGGCAGTGTCAGTCTTCAGCTGCTAAGCCGAGAAGATCTGGGAAGGAGTCAGTCAGAGAACCTTGGGCCAGAGTTACAGGGGCTCTGGGAGTGGCTGCCAGGTGAGTTGAACAGTCTGATTTTCAGTGGGGTCCCACACACATGGGACGTGGTTTAGGAGGAATCCTGGGCTGCTGGCATTCCTTGGCCTGGTGGCCAGATTTCTGGCACTTGTAGCAAGCTCCTGGGGGAGGCGGGCCTGGAGGAACGCCTGGCCACTGCGGTTTAGGCGTTTGGAAGTTCTTGTGTGCTGGAGATGTGGCTGGGGTTTGTCTCACAGTGGAAGCAAGGAATTGCAACTCAGAAATACGTTACTACTTGTCTGCCTCTACTCTATTATTGTACATCTTGAAGGTGAGGTTAAGTCCTGTTGTGGGGTTTGAGGGCCGGAATTTAATTTTTGGAGTTTTATTTAATGTCAGGAGCGGATTGGGTAATAAAATGTATATTGAGAATAAGACGGCCTTTTGACCTTTTAGGGTCTAGGGCTGTAAAGCATCTCAGAGTTGCTGCCAAACGAGCCATGAACTGGGCTGTGTTTTTACATTTGATGAAAAAGAGCCTAAACGCTATCTGATTTGGGAGAGGTCAGATAAAGAAAAAGGAGCATTAACCTTGACTATCCTTTAGCTCTAGCCACCTTTTTAAGAGGAAATTGCTGGGCAGGTGGGGGAGGGCTAGTTACGGAACGAAACTGTAAACCGGACTGGGTGTGAGGAGGGGAGGTGACAAAAGGATTATAGGGTGGAGGAGAAGAGGCTGAGGAAGAATTGGGACCTAGCTCGGCCTGGCGAGGAGCAGCCTGGGGAGGAGGGGAAAGGTCAGATGGGTCTGTAGAAAAGGAAGACTGGAAAGACTCAGCGACGCTTGGGGTTGGGACTGAGGGGACAGGCAGGAGGGAAAGAAGGAGGATTTGGGAGGAATCGGGAACAGAGACTAGGGAGGGAATGAAGTGTGAAAAACGCCTGGACGTAAGGCACCTCAGACCATTTGCCCATTTTTCAACAAAAATTATTTAGGTCTTGTAGGATGGAGAAATCGAAATGCCGTTTTCTGGCCATTTAGAGCCATTGTCAAGTTTGTATTGGGGCCAAGCGGTGTTGCAGAAGAAGATAAGGCATTTAGGTTTTAGGTCAGGTGTGAGTTGAAGAGGTTCTAAGTTCTTGAGAACACAGAATAAGGGAGAAGAAGGAGGAATGGAGGGTGGAAGGTTGCCTATAGTGAAGGAGGCAAGCCCAGAGAAAAGAGAGAGTAGAGATATGGAGGGAAGGGGTTTGGGGGTTCTTACCCTCCAGAAAAGTGGGAAAGGGGTCGGGGCACAGAAATAAGGGGTTGGGGCACAGAGATAAGAGGTTGGGGCATGGAAATAAGGGATCAGGGCACAGAGATAAGAGGTCAGGGCACAGAAATAAGGGGTTGGGGCACAGAGATAAGAGGTTGGGGCATGGAAATAAGGGATCAGGGCACAGAGATAAGAGGTTGGGGCATGGAAATAAGGGATCAGGGCACAGAGATAAGAGGTTGGGACATGGAAATAAGGGATCGGGGTGCAGAGATAAGGGGTCAGGGTGCAGAAATAAGGGATCGGGGGGGTTCTTGCCCCCAAGAAAAGCAGAGAAGGGGTAGAGACAGGGAGAGAAGGGGTCAGGGTTCTTTCCCCTCCCCCAGAAAAGCGGGACTTGCCGCTAAGGGTGAAGGACCAAGGCAGGCATCCCTGCGTGGTTAGACATCTCTTAAACATGGGTTAATAATCAGGCATCCCTGCAATGATTAAACACCAAGGGAAGGCTGCCTTCCCGAGTCCGTGACCAGCGCCGGAGTTTTGGGTCCACGGATAAAACGTGTGTCCTTTGCCTCTACCAGAAAATGAAAGAAATTGAAATTAAGAGAAGGGAGAGATTGAAGGGTGGCGCCAAGATTGAAAGGAGAAAGTGGTTGAGGGATAGTGAGAGAGGTTGGAGAACAGAGTAAGAAGAGGACGCTTACCCGATTTAAAATTGGTGAGATGTTCCTTGGGCTGGTGGGTCTGAGGACCTGAGGTCGTAGGTGGATCTTTTTCACGGAGCAAAGAGCAGGAGGACAGGGGATTGATCTCCCAAGGGAGGTCCCCCGATCTGAGTCACGGCACCAAATTTCATGCGCGTCCGTGTGAAGAGACCACCAAACAGGCTTTGTGTGAGCAATAAAGCTTTTTATCACCTGGGTGCAGGCGGGCTGAGTCCGAAAAGAGAGTCAGCGAAGGGAGACATGGGTGGGGCCATTTTATAAGATTTGGGTAGGTAAAGGAAAGTTATAGTCAAAGGGGGGTTGTTCTCTGGCGGGCAGGTGTGGGGGTCACAAGGTGCTCAGTAGGGGAGCTTTTGAGCCAGGATGAGCCAGGAGAAGGAATTTCACAAGATAATGTCATCAGTTAAGGCACGAACAGGCCATTTTCACTTCTTCTGTGGTGGAATGTCATCAGTTAAGGCAGGAACTGGCCATCTGGATGTGTACTACGTGCAGGTCACAGGGGATATGATGGCTTAGCTTGGGCTCAGAGGCCTGACAATCCATCTTAATGACCTAATCACTTCTTAAAGGCACTACCTCTCAACAAAGCCACACTGGGGAACAGGCTTCAACATGAGTTTTGGTGGGAACAAACTATTTTTAAACCATAATAGGTGGTAAATAGAAAATTAACAAATTGAGTAAATGTCTCCCTGATAATTATCTTGAACATTATGGTTTCAGGGACTGAGAGAGAGTTGTACTTCTCCCATGATAGCTAAATTTTATTAAGTAAATATTTGATTAAGAGTTTAAAAGGCATTATCTTGAAATGTGAGTCCATGGCTTTAGAAAAGATAGAGATAAAAGGAAATGAGTGAAATTTAGTGCATCTCTCTTTTAAGAGCAAGATTTTGTTTACAAGATCTTTGCATGAGCCAAGTTTAACTAATGGCAACAGTGTTTGTTGTAGCTTTTATTATTCCTGGATGTCCTGAGGATATAACTTAAAAGTATTTTAATGCTACTAAAACTGCTAAGCTTAACATGAGTTTTTCAATCATGAAAGAATTTTCTACTTGTTTGGTTCCTTATGATAGAATTATTCTTGGACTAAAATGTAAACTGCGCATTAAAAAAATATTTAGTTGTTTGATATTTCTGACCCACACAATGTAGGATCCACATCTAAAGAACAGAAATTTGGTGATGAGTCATATGGAAAATAAATCTGAGTGTTTTTCAGGGCAAAGGAATTTAGCAGTGATGTTGTAAAAATAGGCGAACTTAACTGTGCCTCGTCTGCAAGAAATGTTTTCTTCTTTCTTCCACTTAATCTCCCACAGATTATATACTAAATCTAGAAAGGTTTGCTATTTTTAAAATAATTATACTTAACGCAAGAAGCAACAAAGGCCAATCTGAAAAATTATTATCATTATTATTACTATTATTATTTTTGAGAAAGAGTCTTGCTGTGTTGCCTAGGCTGGAGTGCAGTGGTGCCATCTCAGCTCACTGCAACCTCCGCTTCCTGGGCTTAAGGGATCCTCCCAAGTCAGCCTCCCAAGTAGCTGGGACTACACAATGCTTGGCTGATTTTTGTGTTTTTGTAGACATGAGGTTTCTCTATGTTGCCCAGGCTGGTCTCGAACTTCTGGGCTCAAGCAATCCATCCGCCTCAGCATCCCAAAGTGCTGGGATTACAGGTGTGAACCACCACGACCAGCCCACTTTTTTTCCCCCTTCTACTGGTTTTCATTATACAATTAGAAATTATCCCTTCAAGTCCTCAAATGTGCAGTTGAAACTTTTATTGGAAGAGATAAGAAGGCAGAAAAATCTGGGCCACAACAGACCTGATAGTACTTAGAGAATTGTAGTTTCCACTTACATCCTAAACTCATAATGTCCCTTCTCTGATTAGCTACTTTAACCCACAAGTCAGTCTCCCTAGTCAGAGGGAATCCCTATTCCACTCACAAATGCTCCAGCTCATGCTTGGCTTTCTGACTGCACAGGTGCAATCTTGATGCAAATAGGCCTCCTTAATACTTTAATGTGCATTAGAACTGCCTGGAGGACTTGTTAAAACACAGCTTGCTGAGGCCTCACTCTTGGAGCTCCTGATTCATTAGGTCTGGAGCAGCACCTGAAAAGTAGCATTGCTAGCAAATTCTTAGATAACATTCATGCTGCCATTCTGGAAACTCCATTTGGGAACCAGTAGTGTGATGCCAAGAGACCAGAAGTAGAGAGTTAAGAAATCTTGTCTTTATTTGCTTTCATAACTTCCTGCCACTGAAAGTACCTGTCCCTGGTTTACTCATTTGTAAAACAAAGGAATTGAGCTGGTAAATCCTTGCTCAGTACAGGCATTTTGCACTTTACAGGTCTTGTGTTTTGCCCAAAATGAAGGTTTGTGGCAACCCTGTGTATACTAAGTCTATTGGCACCATTTTTCGAACAGCATGATTGCATACTCTGTATCTCTATGTCACATTTTGGTAATTCTTGGAATATTTCAAAATTTTCGTGATTATCATATCTGTTATGTTGATCTGTGATTGGTAATCTTTGATACTAATAATAATTATTTTGGGGTGCCATGAGCCTCACTCATATAAGACAGCAGACTTAATTGATAAATATTATGTGTGTTCTGACTGCTCTACTCACTGGGTGTTCCTTCATCTTTCTTTTCCTCAGGCCCCTCTATTCTCTGAAACATAACAATATTGAAATTAAGCCAGCCGGGCACGGTGGCTCGCGCCTGTAATCCCAGCACTTTAGGAGGCCAAGGTGGGTGGATCACCTGAGGTTGGGAGTTCAAGACCAGCCTGACCAACATGGAGAAACCCCGTCTCTACTAAAAATACAAAATTAGCCAGGTGTGGTGGTGCATGCCTGTAATCCCAGCTACTCAGGAGGCTGAGGCAGGAGAATTACTTGAACCTGGGAGGTGGAGTTTGCAATGAGCCGAGATCGTGCCATTGCACTACAGCCTGGGCAACAAGAGTGAAACTCCGTCTCCAGGAGAAAAAAAAAAAAAAAAAAAAAATTAAGCCAGTTGGCTGGGCATGGTGGCTCACATCTATAATCCCAGCACTTAGGAAGGCCAAGGTGGGAAGATCACCTGAGGTCAGAGTTCAAGACCAGCCTGACCAACATGGTGAAACCCCATCTCTACTAAAAATACAAAATTAGCCGGTTGTGGTGGCACATGCCTGTAATCTCAGCTACTCAGGAGACTGAGGCAGGAGAATTGCTTGAACCCAGGAGGTGGAGGTTGCAGTGAGCCAAGATTGTGCCATTGCACTCTAGCCTGGGCAATGAGAGCGAAACTCTGTCTCAAAAAAAAAAAGAAAAAAAAGAAATGAAGCCAGTTAACAACCCTACAATGGCCTCTCAGTGTTCAAATGAGAGTCACGTGTCTCCCACTTTAAATCAAAAGCTGGAAATAATTAAGTTTAGTGTGAGGAAGGCATGTCAAAAGCCAAGATAGGCTGAAAGCTAGGCCTCTTGTGAAGAACAGTTAGTCAAGTTCTGAATGCAAAGGAAAAGTTCTTGAAGGGAGTTAAAAATGCTGCTCCAGTGAACACAAGAGTAACAAGAAAGCAAAAGAGACATTGCTGATACGGAGAAAGGTAGAGTGGTCTAGATAGAAGATAAAACCAGCCACAACCCTCCCTTCAGCTAAAGCCTAATCCAGAGCAAGGCTCTAACTCTTTTTTTTTTTTTTTTTTTTTTGCCATACCTATACCAATTTATTTGGAATTCTATCTTGGCTTTTTTTTTTTTTTCTTTATACTTTAAGTTTTAGGGTACATGTGCACATTGTGCGGGTTAGTTACATATGTATACATGTGCCATGCTGGTGCGCTGCACCCACTAACTCGTCATCTAGCATCAAGTATATCTCCCAGTGCTATCCCTCCTGCCTCCCCCCACCCCACAACAGTCCCCAGAATGTGATATTCCCCTTCCTGTGTACATGTGATCTCATTGTTCAATTCCTACCTATGAGTGAGAATATGCGGTGTTTGGTTTTTTGTTCTTGTGATAGTTTACTGAGAATGATGATTTCCAATTTCATCCATGTCCCTACAAAGGACATGAACTCATCATTTTTTATGGCTGCATAGTATTCCATGGTGTATATGTGCCACATTTTCTTAATCCAGTCTACCATTGTTGGACATTTGGGTTGGTTCCAAGTCTTTGCTATTGTGAATAGTGCCGCAATAAACATACGTATGCATGTGTCTTTATAGCAGCATGATTTATAGTCATTTGGGTATATACCCAGTAATGGGATGGCTGGGTCAAATGGTATTTCTAGTTCTAGATCCCTGAGGAATCTCCACACTGACTTCCACAATGGTTGAACTAGTTTACAGTCCCACCAACAGTGTAAAAGTGTTCCTATTTCTCCACATCCTCTCCAGCACCTGTTGTGTCCTGACTTTTTAATGATTGCCATTCTAACTGGTGTGAGATGGTATCTCATTGTGGTTTTGATTTGCATTTCTCTGATGGCCAGTGATGATGAGCATTTTTTCATGTGTCTTTTGGCTGCATAAATGTCTTCTTTTGAGAAGTGTCTGTTCATGTCCTTTGCCCACTTTTTGATGGGGTTGTTTGTTTTTTTCTTATAAATTTGTTTGAGTTCATTGTAGATTCTGGATATTAGCCCTTTGTCAGATGAGTAGGTTGCAAAAATTTTCTCCCATTTTGTAGGTTGCCTGTTCACTCTGATGGTAGTTTCTTTTGCTGTGCAGAAGCTCTTTAGTTTAATTAGATCCCATTTGTCAATTTTGGCTTTTGTTGCCATTGCTTTTGGTGTTTTGGACATGAAGTCCTTGCCCATGCCTATGTCCTAAATGGTAATGCCTAGGTTTTCTTCTAGGGTTTTTATGGCTTTAGGTCTAACGTTTAAGTCTCTAATCCATCTTCAATTAATTTTTGTATAAGTTGTAAGGAAGGGATCCAGTTTCAGCTTTCTACATATAGCTAGCCAGTTTTCCCAGCACCATTTATTAAATAGGGAATCCTTTCCCCATTGCTTGTTTTTCTCAGGTTTGTCAAAGATCAGATAGTTGTAGATATGTGGCGTTATTTCTGAGGGCTCTGTTGTGTTCCATTGATCTATATCTCTGTTTTGGGACCAGTACCATGCTGTTTTGGTTACTGTAGCCTTGTAGTATAGTTTGAAGTCAGGTAGTGTGATGCCTCCAGCTTTGTTCTTTTGGCTTAGGATTGCCTTGGCAATGCGGGCTCTTTTTTGGTTCCATATGAACTTTAAAGTAGTTTTTTCCAATTCTGTGAAGAAAGTCATTGGTAGCTTGATGGGGATGGCATTGAATCTGTAAATTACCTTGGGCAGTATGGCCATTTTCACGATATTGATTCTTCCTACCCATGAGCATGGAATGTTCTTCCATTTGTTTGTATCCTCTTTTATTTCATTGAGCAGTGGTTTGTAGTTCTCCTTGAAGAGGTCCTTCACATCCCTTGTAAGTTGGATTCCTAGGTATTTTATTCTCTTTGAAGCAGTTGTGAATGGGAGTTCACTCATGATTTGGCTCTCTGTTTGTCTCTTGTTGGTGTATAAGAATGCTTGTGATTTTTGTACATTGATTTTGTATCCTGAGACTTTGCTGAAGTTGCTTATCAGCTTAAGGAGATTTTGGGCTGAGACAGTGGGGTTTTCTAGATATACAATCATGTCGTCTGCAAACAGGGACAATTTGACTTCCTCTTTTCCTAATTGAATACCCTTTATTTCCTTCTCCTGCCTAATTGCCCTGGCCAGAACTTCCAACACTATGTTGAATAGGAGTGGTGAGAGAGGGCATCCCTGCCTTGTGCCAGTTTTCAAAGGGAATGCTTCCAGTTTTTGCCCATTCAGTATGATATTGGCTGTGGGTTTGTCATAGATAGCTCTTATTATTTTGAAATACGTCCCATCAATACCTAATTTATTGAGAGTTTTTAGCATGACGGGTTGTTGAATTTTGTCAAAGGCTTTTTCTGCATCTATTGAGATAATCATGTGGTTTTTGTCTTTGGCTCTGTTTATATGCTGGATTACATTTATTGATTTGCGTATATTGAACCAGCCTTGCATCCTAGGGATGAAGCCCACTTGATCATGGTGGATAAGCTTTTTGATGTGCTGCTGGATTCAGTTTGCCAGTATTTTATTGAGGATTTTTGCATCAATGTTCATCAAGGATATTGGTCTAAAATTCTCTTTTTTGGTTGTGTCTCTGCCTGGCTTTGGTATCAGAATGATGCTGGCCTCATAAAATGAGTTAGGGAGGATTCCCTCTTTTTCTATTGATTGGAATAGTTTCAGAAGGAATGGTACCAGTTCCTCCTTGTACCTCTGGTAGAATTCGGCTGTGAATCCAACTGGTCCTGGACTGTTTTTGGTTGGTAAACTATTGATTATTGCCACAATTTCAGCTCCTGTTATTGGTCCATTCAGAGATTCAACTTCTTCCTGGTTTAGTCTTGGGAGAGTGTATGTGTCGAGGAATTTATCCATTTCTTCTAGATTTTCTAGTTTATTTGCGTAGAGGTGTTTGTAGTATTCTCTGATGGTAGTTTGTATTTCTGTGGGATCGGTGTTGATATCCCCTTTATCATTTTTTATTGTGTCTATTTGATTCTTCTCTCTTTTTTCTTTATTAGTCTTGCTAGCGGTCTATCAATTTTGCTGATCCTTTCAAAAAACCAGCTCTTGGATTTATTAATTTTTTGAAGGGTTTTTTGTGTCTCTATTTCCTTCAGTTCTGCTCTGATTTTAGTTATTTCTTGGCTTCTGCTAGCTTTTGAATGTGTTTGCTCTTGCTTTTCTAGTTCTTTTAATTGTGATGTTAGGGTGTCAAGTTTGGATCTTTCCTGCTTTCTCTTGTGGGCATTTAGTGCTATAAATTTCCCTCTACACACTGCTTTGAATGCGTCCCAGAGATTCTGGTATGTTGTGTCTTTGTTCTCGTTGGTTTCAAAGAACATCTTTATTTCCGCCTTCATTTCGTTATGTACCCAGTAGTCATTCAGGAGCAGGTTGTTCAGTTTCCATGTAGTTGAGCGGTTTTGAGTGAGATTCTTAATCCTGCGTTCTAGTTTGATTGCACTGTGGTCTGAGAGATAGTTTGTTATACTCTCTGTTCTTTTACATTTGCTGAGGAGAGCTTTACTTCCAAGTATGTGGTCAATTTTGGAATAGGTGTGGTGTGGTGCTGAAAAAAATGTATATTCTGTTGATTTGGGGTGGAGAGTTCTGTAGATGTCTATTAGGTCCGCTTGGTGCAGAGCTGAGTTCAATTCCTGGGTATGCTTGTTGACTTTCTGTCTCATTGATCTGTCTAATGTTGACAATGGGGTGTTAAAGTCTCCCATTATTAATGTGTGGGAGTCTAAGTCTCTTTGTAGGTCACTCAGGACTTGCTTTATGAATCTGGGTGCTCCTGTATTGGGTGCATATATATTTAGGATAGTTAGCTCTTCTTGTTGAATTGATCCCTTTGCCATTATGTAATGGCCTTCTTTGTCTCTTTTGATCTTTGCTGGTTTAAAGTCTGTTTTATCAGAGACTAGGATTGCAACCCCTGCCTTTTTTCGTTTTCCATTTGCTTGGTAGATCTTCCTCCATCCTTTTATTTTGAGCCTATGTGTGTCTCTGCACGTGAGATGGGTTTCCTGAATACAGCACACTGATGGGTCTTGACTCTTTATCCAATTTGCCAGTCTGTGTCTTTTAATTGGAGAATTTAGTCCATTTACATTTAAAGTTAATATTGTTATGTGTGAATTTGATCCTGTCATTATGATGTTAGCTGGTGATTTTGCTCGTTAGTTGATGCAGTTGCTTCCTGGTCTCGATGGTCTTTACATTTTGGCATGATTTTGCAGTGGCTGGTACTGGTTGTTCCTTTCCATGTTTAGCGCTTCCTTCAGGAGCTCTTTTAGGGCAGGCCTGGTGGTGACAAAATCTCTCAGCATTTGCTTGTCTGTAAAGTATTTTATTTCTCCTTCACTTATGAAGCTTAGTTTGGCTGGATATGAAATTCTGGGTTGAAAATTCTTTTCTTTAACAATGTTGAATATTGGCCCACACTCTCTTCTGGCTTGTAGAGTTTCTGCCGAGAGATCCGCTGTTAGTCTGATGGGCTTTCCTTTGAGGGTAACCCGACCTTTCTCTCTGGCTGCCCTTAACATTTTTTCCTTCATTTCAACTTTGGTGAATCTGATAATTATGTGTCTTGGAGTTGCTCTTCTCGAGGAGTATCTTTGTGGCGTTCTCTGTATTTCCTGATTCTGAACGTTGGCCTGCCTTGCTAGATTGGGGAAGTTCTCCTGGATAATATCCTGCAGAGTGTTTTCCAACTTGGTTCCATTCTCCCCGTCACTTTCAGGTACACCAATCAGACGTAGATTTGGTCTTTTCACATAGTCCCATATTTCTTGGAGGCTTTGCTCATTTCTTTTTATTCTTTTTTCTCTAAACTTCCCTTCTCGCTTCATTTCATTCATTTCATCTTCCATTGCTGATACCCTTTCTTCCAGTTGATCGCATCAGCTCCTGAGGCTTCTGCATTCTTCACGTAGTTCTCGAGCCTTGGTTTTCAGCTCCATCAGCTCCTTTAAGCACTTCTCTGTATTGGTTATTCTAGTTATACATTCTTCTAAATTTTTTTGAAAGTTTTCAACTTCTTTGCCTTTGGTTTGAATGTCCTCCTGTAGCTCAGAGTAGTTTGATCATCTGAAGCCTTCTTCTCTCAGCTTGTCAAAGTCATTCTCCATCCAGCTTTGTTCCATTGCTGGTGAGGAACTGCGTTCCTTTGGAGGAGGAGAGGCGCGCTGCGTTTTAGAGTTTCCAGTTTTTCTGTTCTGTTTTTTCCCCATCTTTGTGGTTTTATCTACTTTTGGTCTTTGATGATGGTGATGTACAGATGGGTTTTTGGTGTGGATGTCCTTTCTGTTTGTTAGTTTTCCTTCTAACAGACAGGACCCTCAGCTGCAGGTCTGTTGGAATACCCTGTTATGTGAGGTGTCAGTGTGCCCCTGCTGGGGGGTGCCTCCCAGTTAGGCTGCTCAGGGGTCAGGGGTCAGGGACCCACTTGAGGAGGCAGTCTGCTGGTTCTCAGATCTCCAGCTGCATGCTAGGAGAACCACTGCTCTCTTCAAAGCTGTCAGACAGGGACATTTAAGTCTGCAGAGGTTACTGCTGTCTTTTTGTTTGTCTGTGCCCTGCCCCCAGAGGTGGAGCCTACAGAGGCAGGCAGGCCTCCTTGAGCTGTGGTGGGCTCCACCCAGTTCGAGCTTCCCGTCTGCTTTGTTTACCTAAGCAAGCCTGGGCAATGGCGGGCGCCCCTCCACCAGCCTCGCTGCCGCCTTGCAGTTTGATTTCAGACTGCTGTGCTAGCAATCAGCGAGACTCCGTGGGCGTAGGACCCTCTGAGCCACGTGCGGGATATAATCTCGTGGTGCGCCGTTTTTTAAGCCGGTCCAAAAAGCGCAATATTCGGGGGGGAGTGAGCTGATTTTCCAGGTGCGTCCGTCACCCCTTTCTTTGACTTGGAAAGGGAACTCCCTGACCCCTTGTGCTTCCCGAGTGAGGCAATGCCTCGCCCTGCTTCGGCTCGCGCGCGGTGCATGCACCCACTGACCTGCGCCCACTGTCTGGCACTCCCTAGTGAGATGAACCCGGTACCTCAGATGGAAATGCAGAAATCACCCGTCTTCTGCGTCGCTCACGCTGGGAGCTGTAGACCGGAGCTGTTCCTATTTGGCCATCTTGGCTCCTCTCTAACTCTTTTTAATTCTGTGAAGTGTGAGAGAGGTGGAGAAGCTGCAGAAAAAAGGTTTGAAGCTAGTAGAGATTGGTTCTTGAAGCTTGCGGAAAGAAGCCATCTCCATAACGTAAAAGTTCAAGATGATGCAGCAAGTACAATGTAAAAGCTACAGCATTCTCCAAAAGATCTAGCTGAGGTCATTAGTGAAGGTGGCTACACTGAATGACAGATTTTCAATGTAGATGAAACAGCCTTCTATTGGAAGAAGATGCCGTCTAGGACTTTCATAGCTAGAAAGGAGAAGTCAATGCCTGGCTTCAAAGAACAGGCTGACTCTTGTTAGTGGCTAATGTAGCTGGTAACTTTAAGTTGAAGCCAATGCTCATTTACTATTCTGAAAATCCTAGGATCCTTAAGAATTATGCAATATTTACTCTGCTCATGCTCTGTAAATGGAAGAACGAAGCCCAGATGACCACACATTTGTTTACAGCATGATTTACTGAATATTTTAAGCTTGTTGTTGAGACCTACTCTCAGAAAAAAGATTTTTTGTTTTCAAAAGATTACTGCTCATTGACAAATTCACCTGGTCACTCAAGAACTCTGATGGAGATGTACAGGTATGTGAATGTTGTTTTTATGCCTGCAGACACTACATGCATTCTGCAACCCATGAATCAAGGAATAATTTTAACTTTCAAGTCTTATTATTTAAGAATTAAATTTTGTAAGGCTGTGGGTGCCATAGATATTGTTTCCTCTGATAGTTCTGGGCAAAGTAAATTGAAAACTTCTAGAAAGGATTCAGCATTCTAGATTTGTGATTTATGGGAGAAGGTCCAAATATTGACCTTAACAGGAGTTTGGAAGAAGTTGGTTTTAACATTTATGGTTGACTTTGAGGAGTTTAAAACTTCAGTGGAGAAAGTCCCTGCAGATGTGGTGAAAATAGCAGAACAAGAATTAAAACTGGAGCCTGAAAATGTGACTGAATTGCTACAATCTCATAATAAAATCTGAATGGACAAAGAATTTCTTCTAGTGGATGAGCAAAGAAACTAATTGCCTGAGATGGAAAGTACTCCTGGCGAGGATGCTGTGAACATTGTTGGAAAGACAACTAAGGATTGAGAGAATTACATGAACTTAGTTGATGAAGTAGCAGCAGGGTTTGAGACGACTGACTCCAATTTTGAAAGAAATGCTACTGTGGGTAAAATGCTATCAAACAGCATCTCATGCTACAGAGAAAGCTTTCATGAAAGAGAGTCAATCAAGTTGGCAAATTTCCTTGCTGTCTTAAGAAATTGCCACAGCCTTTAGCACCTACCACCCTGATTAGTCAGCAGCCAACCACATTGAGGCAAGACCCTTCAACCAGCAAAAAGATTGCGACTCACTGAAGGCTCAGGTGATTGTTAGCATTTTATAGCAATAAAGTATTTTAAAATTAAGATATATACATTATTTTTTAGATACAATGCTATTGTACATTTAACTGACTACAGTATAGTGTAAATATACTTTTATATATGCTGGGAAACCATAACATTTGTGTGACTTGCTTTATTGCAATATTTGCTTTATTGTGATGGTCTGGAACTGAACCTGCAATACCTCTGAGGTATGCTTGTGTTTATCGATGATTTTTCTTTCTATGTAATCTATGCCATCGATTCATGGCACCCTTCTAGGAGTAAAAAAATGTATTCCAACAGTCATTTCAAATTGTGAACCTCTCCTTTGGGGGTACATCGCAGTCTCCTTGAAGGTATTAGAGGGACTAATTAGAAAAAGCATTTCACGGTGCCTGTAGTCCCAGCTACTAGGGAGGCTGAGGCAGGAGAATGGCGTGAACCTGGGAGGCGGAGCTTGCAGTCAGCCGAGATCGCGCCACTGCACTCCAGCCTGGCAAACAGACTGAGACTTCGTCTCAAAAAAAAAAAAAAAAAAGCGGCTCACTTATTTCATGAAATAAAATACTTTACAATCAAAGTTTTAGATCAGAGCTTCCCACAAAAATCCCACGAAAAGTAAGTATGCCGAGATATGGGTCTTTTCTAGGTAGTCCATCTTTAGAAAAGTCTTTTCACCCTAATATGCCATAAATACATTGTGATTTTCTTTCTTTCTTTCTTTCTTTTCTTTTTTTTTTTTTTTGAGTTGGAGTTTCCCTCTATTGCCCAGACAGGAGTCCAGTGGCATGATCTTGGCTCACTGCAGCCTCTGCCTCCCAGGTTCAAGCAGTTCTCTCCCTCAGCCTCCCAAGTAGCTGGGATTACAGGTGCATGCCACCATACCCAGCTAATTTTTGTATTTTTATAGAGACGAGGTTTCGTTATGTTGGCCAGACTGGTCTTGAACTCCTTGCTTCAAGCGATCCTCCTGCCTTGGACTGCCAAAGTGCTGGGGTTACGGTCATGAGCCACTGCGCCTGGCCGTATTTTCTTTTTACCATGCTGTAACAAGAGTTTGGGAAGCACCATTAGGTTAAGTAAAACAACTTTGTTTTTTCATCTGTTCTGTAGTTCTGATATCTTTTATATATAATTTATTTAAGAAAGAGGTCCGCTATATTAAAAAGACTGACTGTGGTACGTTAACTTAGTTTTTCAAATGTTAGTTGGCATCATTCTTGATTCATTTTACTTTGAAGCAGTTTAGTAGAGTATGGAAGAGATGATTTCATTTCTCTGAATCTGCCTGAGAGAGAATCTGCCCCTTCTAGCACTGCAATTTTTTTGTGTGTATCCATCAGCCACACTCTGTGTACAGTACATAATAACAAATGGAAGGCTGGGATTAAAAGGAAGTGGGGCTCCTGTAAGTGTGTGCACATGTACAGTGGCTGGAGTTTGGGAATGGAGAATAGAGAAGAATGGTGCTGAGGTCCTTGGGTTGGACTTTCAAATTTCCTGAAGGCATGGAAAATGCTACCAGCCGGATCTGTCTCTTCACCGGAAATCCCATAGGATTCGGATAGGGGCTGGATATATTGCTCTGTCTCCTCAGGGACTAGAACGGTGCTTGGAACAAGATGGATGCTTAGAAGATGTCTTCAAATATCTTCATAAAGGCTTGGCAAAGATCACTAGGTTCCAACCTATTGTCTGGGAACGTATATTATTTACAGTTCATATAAGAGAAGCCACAACGCGAGAAATGGTGTGGTACAGAATGGAATATTTTACTGTACAAAATAAGCAGACTTATTCTACCAGTTCTCCTTCCTCTATCAACTCATTTCAACTTATTTTGTAGATGATCTAATTCCAGTTTGTTTTTAGAAAAACAGTGTTCTGTTATCTTGACATAGAATTAGTCTTCAAATGTATGTCACCCCACCCTTTTGTATAGTAAATTTAAAGAGGCTTTTTACTTGCTGAAGTGTTGTGTAATGTAATACTTATGAAATAGTTTAAACTGACTCAGTCTTCTCAGAGAGCTGTTCACCACCACCAATGACGTTGTCTGCGATGAAAAACTTACATTAAAACTCTGTATCATTTTATAAAACCAAATATCTAACAGCCAACTGATCTTATTGACACGGTTGACAAAAATACACACTGGGAAAAAGACACCCTTTTCAATAAATGGTGCTGGGAAAATTGAATCACCATATGCAGAAGAATGAAACTGGACCCCTGTCTCTCACTATCTACAAAAATCAACGAAGAGGGATAAAAGACTTAAAAGTAACACCTGAATCTATAAAAATGTTAGGAGAAAATCTAGGGAAAACTATTCTGGACATTGGTCTAGGCAAAGAATTCATGACTAAGACCTCAAAAGCGTGGGCAACAAAACCAAAAATAGACAAATGGGACTTAATTAACTGAAAAGCTTCTGCAGAGCAAAAGAAATAATCAACAGAGTGAACAGACAATCTGCAGAATGGGAGAAAATATTTGCAAACTATTAATATGAAAGGAGACTGATATTTAGAATATACAATGAACTCAAACAATGAGAAAAACACATATCATCCCATTACAAAGTGGGCAAAGGACATGAATATAAATTTTGCAAAGAAGACATACAAATGACCAAGAAGCACATGAAAAATGCTGAACATCGCGAATCATCAGAGAAATGCAAAATAAAACCACAATGAGACACCATCTTACACCAGTCAGAATGGCTATAATAAAAAGTCAAAAAATAACAGATGTTGTTGAGGATGCAGAGAATAGGGAATGCTTATACACTGTTGGTGGGAGTGCAAATTAGTACAGACCCTGTGGAAAACAGTATGGAGATTTCTCAGAAAACTAAAATTAGACCCACCATGAAACCTAGCAATCCCTCTACTGAAATGCCCAGAGGAAAAACAATCATTACATAAAAAGATACCTATTGTGTAAAAAAAAAGATACCTGCACTTGTATGTTACAGTAGCATTATTCACAATAACAAAGATATGGAATCAGCCTAGGTGTCCATCAATGGTTGGGTGGTTAAAGCAAATGTGATATATATATATATATATATGTGATATATATATATATATATGTGTGATATATATATATATATATGTGTGATATATATATATATATATATATGCAATGGAATACTATTCAGTCATAAAAAAGAATAAAATCATTTCTTTTGACTGGAGGTGATTATCTTAAGTGGAGCAATTCAGAAACAGAAAGTCAAATACATGTTCTCACTTATAAGTGGGAGTGAAATAATATATACACATGGACATAGAATGTAGAATAATAGTCATTGGAGAGTTGGAAAAGCGGAAGGGGATAAGGGAAGAGAAATTACTTAATGGGTACAATGTACAGTATTTGGTTGATGGTTACACTAAAAATCCAGACTTCACCATTATGCAATATATCCATGTAACAAAACTTCCCTTGTACCATTTAAATTTATACACACACACACACACACACACACACACACACATATAAAGCTTTGTAGCATTTTATATTGGAACAGAAATGATTTTCACACACTGTGAACAAAATTAATTGATAAAAATCTTCGTATTTGTGGTAGTAACTAAAAAAAAAGCAGTGTAATTCATAGAATACCAAACTGATGTTTAACTTTAATCATTTTTAGCAGGGGGAAAGCAGGTTACAACATTGTGGTTAGTCCTTTCAAAAGACAGACAAAGTCTAGAGTGGATATGAGGCTACCCTAGCTTCCAATTGGAAAAAGAAAAAAATCACTTTCCTGGAACTCAATTCCACTTTTTGCTTCTCCTCCAAACTTCACTTCTCAGTTTATATTACTCATTACTGGTAATTCTGTGTTTGACTCTGGTTGGGCATGCTTTTGAAATGGCCAACCATGTATTATTTTTATTTAACATTGCTTCAGGCTTAAAAGAGTCTGAGGATCACTGTTGGTTGACAGGAGACTCTTCCAGATGTACATTCCAACAGATATGGAATTCGATTTTTTAATAGTCACATCTGCTTAATATGAGCCAGTCTTCCTATCAAGAGAGAAATATCAATTACTATTTTGTACCTTTCTACACTTTTCTGGTTTTCTTAAGACTATTTCTACTATTATTCTCTTGAATATTAAAAACAAGTATACTGCTACATAACATCTTACTGAGGCATACCAACACCATCATCCCCAAAAGCTTCACTTGCCATCTTATAGTTCTTCATCTAATTCTTGTCTATTTTATCTTTCAGTAGGATTTCCAGCTCCTAGAAGACAGAAATCATGTTGTTCATCTTTTGCATCCTTCCCAGAATCTAGTGGAGCACTGAGCATCATGTGAGTAGTCAATAAACAATTGTTGAGTCATGTTGCATTGAATTAAAAATCTCCACTTTCCCGGTGTTAATTGAAAAAGTAATGGAAAATACCCCTGCTTCTGTAGTCTGAGACTATTATCAAAAGTAATTATTATCAGATGAACTAACATTACAGGGAAGGAAAAGCCAAAAACCAAATTAAATAGCACAAAGAAACGTTAGAAGAAAAACAATGTCCCTTTAACCAGTTCTGTCTGAGCTGCAGAAAGGGGATGTTTGGTGAATGTTTGGTAAATGTTACAACACCCGTGATCTCTTGTGATTGTCACATGTACCAGCAGCATAGAGCAGACAGATTTTTAAAATATATATAAATATATATATTTATTTAAAGTCTGAAGTTCTAATAAAAAGTTCTGTGTTTATTTTATACCATTTCTTTGAAGTTTTAGTAAGCTGGTGTGTGAAAGTAATTTTCCACATCTATGACTAATTTCTAAATACTAATTCAGTGCTTTAGACATTGGATTTTACTACGTATTCTCCTCCCTATTGTAAACCTTGTGAGTGTCATGTGCAGGAAGAAAGACAGGGAGAACAGTGTCTTCTGTGCACTTTAGCAGTATCACATGGGCTTCCTTGATCCAGCAGGCTTGGGCTTCCTATTCGAAAACTGCGCCCTCATATTTTTCTAGACGATGCATTTACTAGCTTCTGGTTTTTAAAATCAACTTGTTAATTTTTTTGTCTTTATAGTTAAATTATTAAATCTTTCACTTTGTACATTTTCTTGTGTCTTTCCCAGTATCTAGTGGAGTCATAAGCATCCTGTTTATATTCAGTACACAATTGTTAAATCATGTTGACTTGAATTTAAAATTGAAAAGGAATTTTAAAATACTATTTTTTGTTTCCAGGGTGAAAGTTTTGCACAGGATCTATTAAATAATATTATAAAATGGTTAAGCAAAATAGCAGTTTTACTAAAACTGGGCATTGCATATATATACAGTCAGGCCTTGCTATTTCCTGTAACATTTGTCTTATATCTTTTACATAAAGATGTCTCTGGAAATACACCAAGCACATTTAAAACAGTGTTTGGAATTTTTTGTTGGGTAAGAATGTTTAGGTAATACTATCTGGACTCTTTTTTCTTCTGTTACCTTAGCTTTTTAAAAAACATTTTTTTTTTTAAGTTCTGGGGTACCTGTGCAGGATGTGCAGGTTTGTCACATAGGTAAACATGTGCCGTGGTGGTTTGCTGCACCTATCAACCCACAACCGAGGCATTAAGCCTGGCATGCATTAGCCATTTTTCTTAATGCTCCCTCTCCCCAACCCCACCTCCCAACAGGCCCCAATGTGTGTTGTTCCCCTCCCTGTGTCCATGTGTTCTCATTGTTTGGCTCCTACTTATAAGTGAGAACGTGCAGTGTTTGGTTTTCTGTTCCTACATTAGTTTGCTGAGGTTAACAGCTTCCAGGTCCATCCACATCCCTGCAAAGAACATGATCTCATTCCTTTTTATGGCTGTATAGTATTCCATGGTGTATGTGTACCACATTTTCTTTTTTTTTTCTTTTATTGAGATGGAGTCTCGCTTTGTCACCCAGGCTGGAGTGCAGTGGCCCGATCTGGGCTCACTGCAACCTCCGCCTCCCAGGTTCAAGCGATTCTCCTGCCTCAGCCTGCTGAGGAGCTAGGACTACAGGCACGTGCCACCACACCCGGCTAATTATTTGTATTTTTAGTAGAGACGGGGTTTCATCGTGTTAGCCAGGATGGTCTCGATCTCCTGACCTCGTGATCTGCCCGCCTCAGCCTCCCAAAGTGTTGGGATTACAGGCATGAGCCACTGTGCCCGGCCCACATTTTCTTTATCCAGTCTGTCATTGGTGGCCATTTGGGTTGATTCCATGTCTTTGCTATTGTGAATAGTGCTACCTTACCTTTTAAAAAAGTAAACTCAATTTTTCAAATGTTTGTGAACATTACATGATATGTCATATATATCTGTCCTAGAGATAATCTTACCTGCAGAATTGGTCTAGTAACATAATATCTCGACAACACCCCACTTTCATTTTAAGGGATAATCTATAATCATGAATTCTCAGTCCTTATGAGAGCGATCTCATGCAGATGATGGTATTCTGAATGAGCACAAGTGTATACAAAAGACCAACAGGGAATAAAATTATACTCATATGAAAACGGCTTTTATCTAAATTACAAAAATTGGATTATAAAATAAAGATGGTGGTCTTAGTTTTCTAACACTAAATATTCCCTTTTGTAATCTCATTGGCTCTTGCGCAGTGAAATAAAAATTTGAAACTAGTCTCTGTTTTTTCTTTATATGTAAATATCTCTTATGATTCACTTAATAGGTCACCGTTGTCATTGGCAAAGCTAGAACATTTTATAAAACAGTTATTGTACTAGAACTTTGGCACTATTTAGCAAAATAGCAGGGAGAAGGCAGATTTTGCTGTGCTCATAGATCTTATTAGTTGCCGTTTTGTTGTTGTTGTTGTACATAGCAGGACTGAAAGCAGTGTTTCCCAAAGCATGGTCTGAGGATAATATGGGAAGTTTATAAATTATGCAGATTCCCAGGCATACACAGCCCTATCTAATCAGAACCTCTGGGAGCAGGGCATGGAAATCTACATTAAACCTGTTTCCTCCTCTTGAATTTAAATAAGCATCCTAACTGATTATTATACTCACTAAATAAGAAATCCCTGCCCATAGACTCACATTTAATTTAAGAATATACAATTCATCTTTGGGTAAAGCGTTTTTCATTTTAATATTCCTCTCCACTCAGCATACTTCTGTGTTATTTGTTACTTTCTCTTCCTCTTCTTGCTCCTCTTGCTAAGTTTCATAAAATCTTAGAACTATGTATCACTAGAATTCTTTGGTTATAAGCAATAGAACCTAATTCTGGATAAGCTAAAGCAAAAAATATTACAATTTATGGGATACATTATAGATTTTAAAAAACCCCGAAGAACCAGTGTTAGGAAAAGACAAAAACTAGAGTCATTTCAGATATGTTAAAAGTAGGAAGTACTAACCATACTCAGTGCCTGTGTCACTTTATTCAGATTTCAAGTTGCATTTAAAAAGCACTAGCTTTGCCTAGTTGGTCATGTGTCAATATTCTGACCAGGAAGCAAAACTAAAGGAAACTCTAGAACTATATCCATGCAGTTTTCCAAAGCAAAATAGCAGTACGGTTTTAAGAAGAATGGAGGATTTCTGTGCAGTCAAAAGCAAGTTCACCTCCAAGCAGAAAACTTTAGAGCCATTGGGGGAAAAAGTACTCATTTTATTCAGAAGTCAACTAATTCCTGAGAGTTAGTCAACAAGTATTTATTACACACTTAGTATTCTGAGGCAGGTGCTATATTAGGTGTAAGGACTAAGTAGGAAGAGCTTGTTAAAATAAATAGAAACACTGAATAAGGATACTTTTTTATTTACTTGGACTATTGTTTTCATTAACTAAGGACAATGTGGTAAACATTGCTTTTGCCTGCTGTGTGTTTTTATGGTTCCTGCCTTAAATAGATATGAGGGCTTACAATTTGGTAGTAGTTGAATTAAATAATCATTGAGTGAATAAACTTATGTGATTACAAGTTTTTCTCTAAAGTAGTTGAATATTCTCTCTGAAATTATATTATGTCATATTATATTATATTAGTTTACATTATTTACTTAAACAGACCTTATTACTTCAACCAACTTTTTGAACACCTAATATGTGCTAGCTACTGGGGATAAAGATGTTTCCAGCAATCAGGGAGCTCACATTTATTCTCAGGGAATGCCTTTCTTCAGAGATAATGAAAAGGCAACCTTTAGCCTGGTTTTATATTAATTTAGCCCGTTTCATATTTTGCCCCTTTATATGTCTTTGTCTTCACACAGATTATCCTTTTGCCAAGAATGCTCTATCCCTTCATTTATCCACCTAATGGGTACCAACTTATTCTTCTTATTTAACATCAAAAGACTCTCTGGTGATAGTTTTCTCTAGCTTCTCCTGGTAACTTCTCCCTGTGGCATTTCTTGCCAATATTTCCATTGTGTCATTGCTTACCTGCCTTCTTCCTCATTAGACTCTTAACAGCTTTTCTTCTTCATCTTCTAGAAGCCCAGACCCTCTTTAGCACATGGCTCCAGCCACCATTTCTATACTGAGAATACTCAGAGATATGTCTCCAGATCAGAGACGTTTGGCAAGTTCTGGATGGGTGAGTCTGTTCTTGCGTTGCTATAAAGAACTACCTGAGACTGGGTAATTTATAAAGAAAAGAGGTTTAATTGGTTCACTGTTCTGCAGGGGGTACAGGTATGGCACCAGCATCTGCTCAGCTATTGGTGAGGCCTCAGGAAGCTTACAATCATGACACAAGGTCAAGGGGAGCCAGCGTGTCACATAGCAAGAGAGGGAGCAAGAGAGAGAAGGCAAAGTTGTCAGCCTCTTTTCAATGACCAGATCTCATGTGAACTAACAGAGCGAGAACTCACTGATCACCAAGGGGATGGTACTAAGCCATTCATGAGGAATCCACCCCCATGATTCAACCCCTGCCACTAGACTCTACCTCCAACACTGGGGATCACATTTCAACATAAGATTTGGTGGGAGCACATATCTAAACCATATCACTGGACTTATACAGCAGGCTGCACAATCAGAATTTCCAGTCTTATCTCATGGATCTTTCCCTTGAAACCTGTTTCCTCCTCTTGAACTCTCAATCTGGCTGAACAGTTCTGCCTTATTCCTAGTTTCCCAAGGCAGAAATATGAAATATCCTGTGACTTCTCTCTTTCTCCTTCCACACAGAATGCAAAGCTGTATTTCAGACCCACATGATTTTTTGTCAGGAGAACTTCAACAGCTTCTAAATTAGAGCTGCCTACCCTAGTCTAGCCCCTTCTAATCCATCTTCCAAAGAGATAGCAGGAGTAGACCTTACAAAACCAAACCTGTTTTTCTTATCCCTTTGAAAAACATTTCAAAAGCTCCCTGTAATACCTAAGATAAAATTCAAGTTTCTTTACTTAACAGAAAAACCTCTTCATTATCTACTCCTTCCCATCAGAGTCTAGCTTCTAGGTGTGCCCAATGTGGCAAGTACTGTTGATGCTCTCAAAGTCTCCCCCAGCCATCCTCATTCTAGGATCTTACCTTTGTAGTGAAACTGACTTTCAACTGCCTGAAGTCTTTCTCCCCCAGCAATCCTTAACCAATGAATGAAAAAAGTTGGTGCATAAATAAGTATAGTCATGCATTGCTTAAAGAGGGGGATACGTTCTGAGAAATGTGTTGTTGGGCGACATTGTCATCATGCACACATCATAGAGTGTACTCTCACAAACCTAGATGGTATGGCCTACTACACCTCTAGGCTACATGTTACAGCCTATTGCTCCTGGTTTACAAATCTGTACAGCATGTTACTTTACTGATTATTGTAGGCATTTGTAACACAGTAGTATTTGTGTATCTAAACATAGAAGAGGTACAGTAAAATAGTATAAAAGATAAAAAACGGCATACCTGTACATGGCACTTACCATTAATGGAGCTTGCAGAACTGGAAGTTGCTTTCGGTGAGTCAGTGAGTGAGTGGTGAGTGAACGTGAAGGCCTAAGGCATTACTGTGCACTACTGTGGACTTTATAAGTACTATACACTTAGGCTACATTACATTTACAAAAAAATTTTTTCTTCAGTAAAAAACCTTAGCTGACTGTATCTTTATTACTTTATACACTTTTTAATTTTTTAAACTTTTAGGCTCATTTGTAATAACAGCTTAAAACACAAGCACATTGTTAGAGCTGTATAAAAATATTTTATTTCTTTATATCCTTATTCTATAAGCTTTTTCCTATTTAATTTTTTTTACCTAAAAAAGTTTTATGTTAAAAATGTAGACGAAAACACACACATTAGCCTAGGCCTACACGAGGTCAGGACCATCAATATCACTGTACTCCACTGCCACATCTTGTCCCACTGGAAGGTCTTCAGGGACAATGACGTGCATGGAGCTGTCATCTCCTATGATAACAATGCCTTCTCCTGGAATACCTCTGGAAGGACCTGCCTGAGGCTGTTTGATAGGTAACTTTTTTTTTTTTTTATAAGTAGAAGCGTACACTCTAAAATAACAACAAAAAGTATAGTAAAGTATAATATATTAAATACATAAACCAGTAACATTTATTATATTATCAAACATTGTGTACATAATTGTATGTATTATACTTTTATATGACTGGCAGCAGAGCAGATTTGCTTATATCAGCACCACCACAAATACTTGAATAATGCATTGTACTACAATGGTTACAACAGCTATGATGTCATTAGGTGATAGGAATTTTTCAGCTTTATTATAATCTTTTAGGACCACCATCATGTATGCGGTCCATCACTGACCCAAAGTGGTTATGTGGCACACAGAAAGTTATGTGGCACGTAACTGCTCCGACTCTCTCACACTTGGCTTAAACAACTGTGAGGCCTGTGTTCCGCATCAGCTCCTAGAACTTTCCCGTGTAGATAATTTCCACTTACTCATAGTCCTTTTTTTTTTTTTTTTTTTTTTGAGGCTCGCTGTGTCACCCAGGCTGGACTGCAGTGGCACAATCTCGGCTCACTGCAACCTCCGCCTCGCAGGTTCAAGGCAATTCTCCTGCCTCAGCCTCCCGAGTAGCTGGGATTACAGGGGTTTGCCACCATGCCCAGCTAATTTTTGTATTTTTAGTAGAGACAGGGTTTCACCATGTTGGCCAGGCTGGTCTTGAACTCCTGACTTCAGGAGATTCACCTGCCTCGGCCTCCCGAAGAGCTAGGATTACAGGCGTGAGCTACTGTGCTTGGCCACTCATAGGCTTAAGAGGCTTAATAAAATACCTTTTGTTGGCTGCCTTTCCTTTCCCAGCTTACTTTTCCATACGCCTGCCAGTGTTTCCTGGGATCACCTCATCAATAAACAGTTTGCACTTGAATCCTTAGCACTTCATCTGATTTTGAAGAAGCCAGCTAGGCCACCCAACATGTTTCCTTTGTTTCAGCCAAACGAACACAAAAAAAAGTTCATGTTTTTTTTTTTTTTTTTTAATGTCATGTTTTCCCATAGTTCTTCTGCCCAAAATGATTCTGGCTCCCACCTCCCTTACCTAGCCAAATGGTATTAATTTCTCAAAATTATGTCCATCATCATCTCTTTAAGGGAAGCTTTTCTAAGCACTGATTGAATTGTGGACTGGAAACTCTATCCCACTGCACCTGAACATACCTGTATCGTGGCAGACACCTTAATCCTTGATTTGTTTATTTGACTCCCCAAATAGACTGATCTCCTTGAAAGCAGGGACTAAGATATATTTGGATTTTCAGTCCACCCCACCCCCACAAAATAGGGGAAGATAGCATTGATTAAACTACTAAATGTTTGCTTGAATGAATTGTTTTTATTGAACACATTTATGAATGAATGAGTAAACAAAAAACAAAGCCAACAAGAGCAAATTTTATTAGAGGAAAGAAAATCTACTGTGAAATGAATGTTTATGCAACTAATTTCAAAATTCAGAATAAAAAGTTTTGGCTTATTTGCACGACTGTCCTTCCCAGTAAGTGTGGATAACAGTAACAATACAATTAACACACCCAAAACAATCATTGTCTTAGAGACTGTAAGTGCTTTAAAAAATTACACACTTAATCTTCTTATTGTATATACCATTATTATATTACATTGTATTACATTGCACCTATTATGTAGAATTTATTATTATTACTATTGTTATTGTTAGTTCCATTTTACAAAGAATACATAACGCTCATGTTAAATATTTTAAAGCAGTTTTTTTCACAAGGCCAAGAGTCTCAGAAAGTTCCATTATGCTTATTAGGGCAGTGAAGAGTAATAAATTCAAATAATGGATAAGGTTTAGGAACTTCCCTTCTTTCGTTCTGCTCAATGCAGAGGGTTAATAACTACTGGGGCAAGCTTCCTGCCTCATACTGTTTTGTGACTTAATGTAGCCAAAATAACACCCTTTGACTATGAGATAGAATTTCCTAAAACCAGTTTCAGAGTTATATTATCCACACAATCAAAATTTGGGCTCAAAAAATGTTGTGACATTTCATGTATTTGATAAACACATATTGGATCTTTTTTGTTTCTATTGCATGGTGTTAACCTCTGGCGATATATAAACTTAACTAAGTCAAGAATCTGACCATTGGCATGCGGTAGCTCATCCTGAATAACAATTGCCTTTGCAACTTTAGGATCAATGGCCAAAATGTACCATCTAAGTCTTTTCTTTTGTATCTGGAATTAAAAATGGAGATTTGCTTAGTCTTTGATGATGTTGCATTCATTTTAGAGCCCTTCTGGAAGGAAGTTCCAGATGCTTTATAAATATTAACACATTTATGTTGAAATGACCACTCCCTTTGTTTCATAACTGAACTAACCAATATTTTCATTTTTTCCTATGAATTCCTTATTGCCTCTTTATTTTTATTTTTTGGTTTACTTACATGGTTTCCTCTCTGTAAGAGTGTATTATTTAAGGAAAGGGACCATGTCTTATCGATTTTTGTATCCCCAGGACCTGATATAGAACCTGGTACTTCATCAGCACTGTTTCTGAAATGGATGAAGAAAAAATCGTATATGGCATTTAGTATAATGCTTTAAGCATGAAAAAGTAGAAATGCTTTTACAAAGTGGTTCTATATGAGTTTATAAATAAATACATTTTAGTTTAAGTCCTATGAATTAATCTACACCCTCTTGAATTCCCCACCCTCATCTTTTCTTCCAGACATAATTGGAAGTCAGTAATAAATTCCAATTCATAAAACAAATCTCTAGTGTTACATCCTGTCTGCCCCATTCACTAGCTTTCCAACAATCATCTGAGGTAGTCACTGTGTAGTAATCAGGAAATCTTAATGGCATGTTTCCAAGCCTTGGTCATCTTTTGAGCCCTAACACGGCCAAGTCACATTGACTTAGTCTCAACCACATGAATGAAAATTCCTCCATGTCTTTAGTCACTCTATGCAGGTCCATAATGTACAAAAAGGCTGCTGGCTTTTTTGTTTTTGTTTTTTTTTTTTTGAGACGGAGTCTCGCTCTGTTGCCCAGGCTGGAGTGCAGTGGCAAGATCTCGGCTTTCCTGTTTCTAGACTCATAGGTTTCTTTGAATATTCCTGCAAACGTTTCGACAAAGGGCCAGATAGTAAATGTTTTATTAGGCTTTTCAAGCCCTACAATCCCTGTCACAAGAATTCAGCTCTGCTAGAGATGATGCATAATCAGATGAACATGGCTGAGTTAGAATAAAACTTTATTTATGGACACTGAAATTTGAATTTTATATTATTGTCATGTTCCACTAGTATTATTCTTTGGATTTTTTTTCCAAACACTTAAAAGTGCAGAAACAGGCTGGGTGCGGTAGCTCATGCCTGTAATTCCAACACTTTGGGAGACAGAGGCAGGCAGATCACTGGAGGCCAGGAGTTTGAGACCAGCCTGGCCAACATGGTGAAATCCTGTCTCTATTAAAAATACAAAAAAATTAGCTGGGTGTGGTGGTGTGTGTTTGTAGTCCCAGCTGCCTGGGAGGCTGAGGCACAAGAATCACTTGAACCCGGGAAGCAGATGTTGCAGCAGGTCAAGATGGCACCAGTGCACTCCAGCCTGGGTGACAGAGTGAGACTCTGTTTCAAGAAAAAAAAAAAAAATACAGAAACATTCTTAGCTCATGTGCTGTATAAAAACTATGTATGGGGCATAGTTTGCCAACTCTGCTTTAAAGCAATATATGTTTAACTTCAAATTTACTAATATCACCTCTTGCCTCCTAGTTTATCTCCCTCATGAACCCTGCACTCCCGTTTTGCTCTCAATCCCCTTTATAGCATCCCTTGCAGGACTACTCTACCCCAAAGTATCCCCTGATCTAATATTTCTAATCTTTCCTTCCCTTATTTCCCACTTTTTGAATATAACTTTCCAGCTAGTTCTTTTAAAAAAGCAAATGTGATTCACTAAGAAATGCTGCTACCAGAATTATCTTTTGAAAATACAGATCTGGACCTGTCACCCCAGTGCCAGCATTTTCACACCTGTCCTTTGACTAAAAGATGCAGCTTAATATCTTAAACAGAGCCCATTAGGTCTTTGACAATCCGGCTGTCATATACCCACCAGATCCTTGATCTTTATTAGCTCTGTGACTCTCCATGTTTACTACACATCCTGTGGCCAGACCAAATATTTCTTCCTTACCATGCAGGGCTCTTTCCTGTCTGTTTGCTTTGTGCATGCCACTGTCTTTGCATAGAACAGTTTGACTGTGGAACTTTAGTTGACCCTCCAAGGTCCACTTTAAAGTCACATTCACAGTGAAACCTTTGCTAATATCCCCAAAAGATCACTTTTTAAAAACATAGTAACATTTAAAAAATTATGTATGCCATATTACACATTTTCATGTCACGTTTTGTTTATATACCATTCTTTCTTACCAGATTCTGGTTTCAGGTGGACACACATTGTGTCTTCTTCATTTTCATTAACATCTTCCTCCTGTATTTAGCACAGGGCCTAGCACAGAGTCAGCAACATAGTATATTCCTATAAAAGATATTACATTGAATCCACCCAGAGGTATTTTCACTTTTAGAAGCATAGATTTGTTAATTCAAGTGACCTTCTGACAGAGTTTTAAGCTATAGTAAAAGGAAGTGAAGGGATTTAGGCAGAAAAAAACAAAAAAAAAAACAAAAAACAGATGCTATTTTGGGGCAGAAGGGGCCATGCCCAGAGCAGGGCGGCTGCTCTCCTTCTCTCAACCCCATCTCTCTTCAGGGTCAGCTTCCCAAAAGGTCCCATGTTTCATGGGTCTGATTTCTTTCAAGCTCAATGTCATATTCAGTGTTCTTAAGGCCACCATGGGTAAGGCTTTAGATTTGAGAAGGGAAGTGGGGACAAGAAAAACTGCCAGTTGAACTACAAGTCAATTGTGAGTTGTTTGAAAGTTGGTACTTGGTTCTACCACGTTTCTTTATCTGAGCAGCAGAGAAATTTTTAAATGACACTGACATGGACTCTAAAATATGTCACTTAGAATTAAATAATTTCATCAAAGGCAAAGGTGTTAGAGAGATAGGGAAACAGCTTTTTTTTTTTTTTCTTTTTTTTTTTTTGTGAGATGGAGTCTTGTTCTGTCACCCAGGAATGCAGTGGCGCAATCTTGGCTCACTGCAACCTCTGCCTCCTGGATTCAAGCGATGCTCCTCTCAGCCTCCTGAGTAGCTGGGATTACAGGTGCTCGCCACCACGCCCGGCTAATTTTTGTATTTTTAGTAGAGATGGGGTTTTACTATGTTGGCCTGGCTGGTCTCAAACTCCTGACCTCAGGTGATCCCCCTTGCCTCGGTGTCCCAAAGTGTTGGGATTACAGGTGTGAGCCACTGTGCCCAGCCCAGAAACAGCTTTTATACCAAAGTAAGTGCTAGTGATTCAAACGAAGGCCCTGTCAAGAAGATAAAATTTTTAAAGTTCTCTGATTTCTCCTTGGAAACCTCTCAACCCATTAAACCCTATCAATCTAATTTTCAAGGCAAAGATAAAACTACAAGCAACAGAAAGGATATTTCTCATTTGGTATTTTAAAATGGTTATTCACTTGTTAATTAATTAATTTTTTTCTGGTTTGCAAAGTAGTTTTATTTCTATTGTCATTTTGATTTTGTCAGAAACTTTTGAAATTGAGAAGTAGAGATTTGATTATCTATGGATTACAGCAACTTTCCAAACCTGGTTTTATTTCAGTTTATTAAGTAAGACATCATGGACTTATTTCATCTTTCCATTACAGGAATTACAAACTAATTTTAAAGTCGGGGGCTGGGCATGGTGGCTCATGCCTGTAATCTTAGCACTTTGGGAGGCTGAGTTGGGTGAATTGCCTGAGGTCAGGAGTTCAAGACCAGCCTGGCCAACATGGCAAAACTCCGTCTCTACCAAAAATACAAAAAATTAGTCGACGTGGTGGTGCATGCCTGTAACCCCAGCTAATTGGGAGGTTGAGGCAGAAGAATCGCTTGAATCTGGGAGGTGGAGGCTGCAGTGAGCTGAGATCGTGCCACTGTACTCCAGCCTGGGTGACAGAGTGAGACTCTGTCTCAAAAAAATAAAAAAATAAAAAAATAAAAATAAAATAAGACAAAATGGGTCTAAACCAGGTGTTCTTAACTTGGAAACTAGCACCCCTATGATGCCAAATAGAAAACCAGATGTGGTCCTTGCCTTCATGAAATATTCCCACTTCCTTCCCTGAATTATTTATATTCCAGTCTCTTTGTATATCATTTCTGTATTTATGCAGCCTTCAACATTTTGCATTATGCCTGGTTCTCAGTAAAATTTGGGTGAATATTAATAGAAGAAGAAGACCAAGGATTTTGAGATGCTGGAAAATAAAGAACTACTAAACGTAGGTGGTCACCAGGATAAACATGAATGACTCATGGACCACCAGTATGGGAACATTTAGATCTGAGAAAATAGGTGGACAAACTAGCACAGACGAGAAGCATCAAGTTTAGAAAGATCCCTGTTGAATCATATTTCTTGTGACTCCTCTGATATGGTTTCACTTATTAGTAGATTAGTTTGATCTTTCAAGCCAAGAGAGCTCAGATATGGTGAATGGGGAAAAGACGGAGAGGCAGGCAAAAGAGCAAAATTTGGAGAAGAATAATTACTGGAAGTAATTCCCCACTCAATAAGGTTACCTAACTGAGGATAAAACACTCTTAAAATTTGGGATTTGCAGGTCTTTGAGGTATGAAAATGAAAGCTTTCTTTTTCTCTGTCTCTTTTTAAAGGAAATGAATGCTAGCAGCTATTAAACTAATAATTTTTGTGGAAAACATTTCTTGTGATATGAAGTGAATTTTAAAAACTTGGGGGAACACTTTTGATTAAGAATGTCAAGTTTAACTTTAGATTCTGTCTTGGGTCCCCCTTGAATTGACTTCTCAAAAGCAAAATCTACTTTGTGTCATGTTGGCTTAGAAACTGTGTTAACACATAGGGATTTTAAAACAATACAGAGCCTGAATGCAATTAGAACTGTAATGGGATCTGGGCATGATCAGTAACATTTAAATAGCTTTTCTTCAGCAGACCTGCCACATAATTTAAATACATTCCTGCAGAAGGTATTGCAGGATATTTCTGGTTAAGTGCACTAAAATTCAGTTAAGCATTCTGTGCTGTTGATTTTTTTGTTTTTAAACAAATAAAACCAGAGAGGTCAGATTCCAGTGGTGGCTGCCATGGCCCACTTTCTGAATTCCTGGCAAGTGAAGATTGTGCGATAAGTATCTTCTACCCAAGTTACAAATTCAAAGGTTTTCTTCAATGAGGGTGGAAAACAGGCACAAAAGTTTATCTTCTATTAGATGGTACAGCTGCTATCTTCAGGGCTGGTGGACTCAATGGAGATCAGAAGAAAGGCAGGTATTTAGATTAAAAAAAAAAGTTTATCAGAATAGGATTCTTGCTATCAGATACTTAATTCTGCTTTTAAAAGTCCAAAAAAAAAAAAAAACCAACAGCAAAAAAAACCACACACAGTTAAGTCGGCCTTTTCCAGTATTTACGTGGTCTTTTTAGAGCACTGCGTATGGTAATGATGTATTGCAATGTTCTGTAGGTCAAGATGATGTGGAAGACTATAAGATAGTGAAATTTCAATACATTTTGATGAATAGTCTTTATTTATAAGGTTGTTGCTTCCCTTGTAACTCTATATAGCATTTTCAAAAGTGACAAACTCACTTTCAGTCACAATATTTTAAAGTGAATATCTAAGGAATATTACAAAAAACTGTAGATTCCCCTATACCTAAAAACATAGATGAATTTTTTTTAGCTCTTTCTTAACAAACTACCTATATATTTACATGATAATATAATTTGTCAGCTTTATTTTATTTTATTTTATTGAGACGGAGTCTCACTCTGTCGCCCAGGCTGGAGTGCAGTGGCGAGATTTTGGCTCACTGCAAGCTCCGCCTCCCGGGTTCATGCCATTCTCCTGCCTCAGCCTCCTGAGTAGCTGGGACTACAGGCGCCTGCCACCACGCCCGGCTGATTTTCTTTTGTATTTTTAGTAGAGACGGGGTTTCACTGTGTTAGCCAGGATGGTCTCAATCTTCTGGCCTCATGATCTGCCTGCCTCAGTCTCCCAAAGTGCTGGGATTACAGGGGTGAGCCACCACGTCCGGCCAACTCATATTTTAAGTTTTAAGAATATACAGTGAAAACACAGGAAGGTATAATTCATCACAGATCTTTAATTTGTTAACAATTGTATATAGGTCACAAATTATAGAAGACAAATTATAATAGACCATCACCTCATCTTTCTCAAGAAATTATGTTTGGTAGGCTGCTCTGACCCTATGTCCATTGTCAACATTTTTCTTAATGACCAACTAGTTATTCTGCAACCTTGTTTACTTGCTCTGTATCTAAGTAAGCACTGATATCTTCTCTTTTTTTTTTTTTTTTGTTTGGGATGGAGTCTCACTCTGTCGCCCAGGCTGGAGTGCAGTGGCGCGATCTCGGCTCACTGCAAGCTCCACCTCCCGGGTTCATGCCATTCTCTTGCCTCAGCCTCCCGAGTAGCTGGGACTACAGGTGCCTGCCACCATGCCCGGCTAATTTTTTGTATTTTTAGTAGAGAAGGGGTTTCACCGTGTTAGCCAGGATGGTCTCGATCTCCTGACCTCGTGATCCGCCCATCTCGGCCTCCCAAAGTGCTGGGATTACAGGTGTAAGCCACCGTGCTGGGCCAATATCTTCTAACTAACACTCTAAGGTTCATATATCTTTCTTAGGTTGAAAAAATTATCTCATATAAAAACTAATGATTTACATTTGTTGTATGGGGGAAGGAAAATAGAGTTGTTCCATGGCAACTAATAGAGTGAGATTTCGGAAGTCTTCATTTTGAATTTCCTCTAAGTATTCAGTAGTAATGATTTCCCCAGGGCTTTGAGTGTGCTATATCCTCATCCCTGTCCAACAGTTAAACAGCAAGTTCTACAGGAAAGTGCTATTCTAGGCTTTTTGCTTATATAAATTATTTAATCCTTCCAAAAACACTGTAAGACAAGTCTACTATTAATAGCTCCATTTTACAGTGAAGAAAATAAAATATAGGGAGGTTAAGTACCTCACTCAAGGTCACAGCTAGTAGCAGTGGGACCATCATTCCCGCCAGGATAGTCTTACTTCAGATACCATGATTTTCACCCCTGAGCTTTCTCCACACGTCCAGCCTCTTACAGGCCAGAGCAGAAAATGGTAATGCACAAAACAGCCATGTTGTCTTCTAGTATTAAGTATGGAAGAGAAGATTAACAAGAGATTAACATTCACCATCTTGAAATGGAAAAGTGGACAAAAAATTCAGGGGAGAAATTAGTCTCAGGTAGTTATTTATTCAAATAAGTCAATATCTGTATCCTCTTTCCTCTTGAAATTACAGCTTACATTGCTAGTACATGGAATCTCATTATATCATCCTTCAAAATTTCTCTGAAAATATGTTTGTCTTCATCATATTATGTTTACCTTGTACTCGGAAACTTGCATACTTGCTAATGGAATTGTATGTGTTGTTATGCAACTTCTTAAGCCATTTTCAGCCTTTTGAGAAGGGGAATTGTTAGTCTTAAGACTACTATTAAGGTCAGTTGAAAAGCAGTCATCTGTCAAATCTTTGGATATGAGGGCATATGGGTCAATTATCTACAGCATTGCAGGGAAGATACAGAGAAATAGGGATCTTGAGCTGGAGGGCCCCATGGGGTTAACATAGGCTAAAAGGAAGTTCTGCCTGACTAGTGGATTCCAAGAAAACAGGAGCATGCCATGTTGTGAAGTGAAAAAGAGCACTGGATTTGGAGTGAGGAGGTCTAGAATTAAATGTTAGTGCTACAAATGCTACTTACACAAGCTGATGTGAGTTATTTAACCTCTTGGATTCCTGGCTTTCTTTGAAGCTCTTAGGATTAAATAAGAAGATAGATATAAATATGCTGTGAATTGTTACATATATTTGAGCATTAAAAAAAAAAAGATGGACAGTGGGCACTAAATTAGACAAGCACGCTGGTATGTGTCCCTGATGTGACAGAATAGTAGTTTCCTAGTAGTGGTCAAATGCCATGATGGGTAATCCAGATCAGGAGTTGGAATTTTAGACCTCAGGGACATCTGTGAAGAGTTACCAGAACTCTAGCCACTGGGCTGGGGTTCGGATAGAAAGTTCCAGTTTTGAATATATTAAGATGCTAGGCAAACCTTTGGTTATTCAAAAAGGAAGAGACCAGATCTTGGGTATCAGCTGGACTAGTAGTAAGAGTTCCATGTTCTGTGCTCCATAACGTGGGCTAAAAAGTGCCTTCAATCTTTTCGACTAGTAGGTAGAGTTGAGTCTGAAGATGGAGCTCTGGCTGTGGGTTAAAAGGGACCCTGCCAAGTCTGGGAACCTGATCCTAGCCTTCCAAAGTAATGGATTGGCTGGGCACAGTGGCTTACACCTGTAATCCCAGCACTTTGGGAGGCCGAGGCGGGCAGATCACAAGGTCAAGAGTTCTAAACCAGCCTGGTTCATATGGTGAAACCCTGTCTCTACTAAAAATACAAAAATTAGCCAGGCGTGGTGGCATGCGCCTGTAGTCCCAGCTACTTGGGAGGCTGAGGCAGGAGCACTGCTTGAACCCGGGAGGCAGAGGTTGCAGTGAGTCGAGATCATGCCACTGCACTCCAGCCTGGTCGACTCCATCTCAAAAACAAACAAACAAACAAACAAACAAAAACAAAGTAATAGATCACACATGATTCTTGGGTTACAGAAATGGAGACAGCTTCAAGTGGGTGGAAAATGAGGACTCAAAGGTGACTTTGTGGTTTCTAACCAGAGTGTCTGGGGCCACATATCTAATTTACAAAGGTTGCAGTGTGGGGAGTCAAAGGTGAGAAATAAGAGAGATGGGAAGAGAGTAATATTCTAGAAAGGCAGATTAGGATGATGGTTGGGCAGTCATGAGATGCTGTTGGAACTGTAGGCTTAGCACTCAGAAGCAAAATTAGAACTAGAGGTATGAGTTTTAGAAATTCTCCATAGATACTGGTACAAAAACAGACACATAGACCAATGGAACACAATGGAGATCTCAGACCACACATCTATCTACAACCACGTGATCCTCAACAAACCTGACAAAAACAAGCAATGGAGAAAGGATTTAATAAATGGTGCTGGGAAAACTGGCTAACAATTTGTGGAAAAATTGAAACTAGACCCCTTCCTTCAACTTTATACAAAAATTAACACAAGATAAATTAAAGACTTAAATGTAAAACCCAAAACTATAAAAACCCTAGAAGAAAATATGGCAATACCATTCAGCACATAGGAACAGGCAAAGACTTCATGACAAAAATGTCAAAAGCAATTGCAACAAAAGCAAAAATTGACAAATGGGATCTAAGTAAACTAAAGAACTTCTGCACTGCAAATTAAACCATATTATTAGAGTGAACAGACAATCTACAGAATGGGAGAAAATTTTTGCCATCTATCCATCTGGAAAAGATCCAGAATCTACAAGGAACTTAAACTAATTTACAAGAAAAAAACAAACAATCTCATTAAAAAGTGGGCAAAGGACATGAAGAGACACTTCTCAAAAGAAAACATTTATGCAGCCAACAAACATATGAGAAAAAGCTCAACATCACTGATCATTACAGAAATACAAATCAAAATCACAATGAAATACCATCTCACACTAGTTAAGAGTGGTGATTATTAAAAAGTAAAGAAACAGCTGGTCGTGGTGGCTCAGCCTCCCAAAGTGCTGGCCTGTAATCCCAGCACTTTGGGAGGCTGAGGTGGGTGGATCACTTGAGGTCAGGAGTTCCAGACAGCTTGGTAAACATGGTGAAACCCTGTCTCTACTAAAAAATACAAAAATCAGCCAGGCATGGTGATGCGCACCTGTAGTCCCAGCTACTTGGGAGGCTGAGGTGGCAGAATTGCTTGAACCTGGAAGGCAGAGGTTGCAGTGAGCCAAGATCATGCCATTGCACTCCAGGCTGGGGAACAGAGTGAGACTTCATCTCAAAAAAAAAAAAAGAAAAGTCAAGAAACAACAGATGCTGGTGAGGCTGTGGAGAAATAGGAAGGCTTTTACACTGTTGGTGGGAATGTAAATTAGTTTAACCATTGTGGAAGATGGTGTCACAATTCCTCAAAGATCTGGAACCAGAAATACCATTTGACTCAGCAATCCCATTACTGAATATATACCCAAAAGAATAGAAATCATTCTATTACAAAGATATGTGTACACATATGTTCATTGTAGCACTATTCATAATAGCAAAGACATGGAATCAACCCAAATGCCCATCAATGATAGACTAGATAAAGAAAATGTGGTACATATATACCATGGAATACTATGCAGCCATAAAAAGGAATGAGATCACATCTTTGCAGCAGCTTGAATGGGGTTGGAAGCCATTATCCTCAGCAAACTAACACAGGAGCAGAAAACCAAACACTGCATGTTCTCACTAATAAGTGGAAGCTGAACAATGAGAACACGTGGACACAGGGAAGGGAACAACACACACTGGGGCCTGTCAAGGAGTGGTGTTGGGGGAGGGAGACATCAGGATAAATAGCTAATGCATGTGGGGCTTAACAGCTAGGTGATTGGTTGATGGGTGCAGCAAACCACCATGGCACATGTTTACCTATGTAACAAACCTGCATGTCCTGCACATGTATCCCAGAACTTAAATTTTAAAAAAGGACAGAAAAAAAGAAATTCTTCATAAAACAGTTACCTCCAAGCCCTTGGAGAGTGTATTAGTTTCCTGGGGATGTTGTAACACAGTAAAACCAACAGGATGGCTTAAATAACAGAAATTTATTGTCGTGTAGTTCTGAGGGCTAGAAGTTCAAAATCAAGGTGTCAGCAGGGTTAGTTCCTTCTGAGGACTGTGAGAGACAATCTATTTCATGTCTGTCTCTTAGCTTCTGCTAGCCTCAGGCATTCCCTGGCTTGCAGATGGCATTCTCCATGCAACTTCAGATCATGTTCTCTCTATGCATGTCTGTCTCTATGTCTAAATTTCCCTCTTTTGTAAAGACATAGTCATATTGGATTGGGATCCACCCAAATGACCTCACTTTTTAATTTTTTTTTTTTATTTTTGAGACGGAGTCTCGCCCTGTTTCCCAGGCTGTAGTGCAGTGGCACAACCTTGGCTCACTGCAACCTCCGCCTCCCAGGTGCTAGTGATTCTCCTGCCTCAGGCTCCTGAGTAGCTGGGATTATAGGAGCCCGCCACCACGCCTGGCTAATTTTTGTATTTTTAGCAGAGACAGTTTTCACCATGTTGCCCAGGCTGGTCTCAAAGTCCTGACCTCAAGTGATCCACCCGCCTAGGCCTCCCAAAGTACTGGGATTACAGGTGTGAGCCACCACACCCAGCCATCATCTTAATTTGATTATTGACGAAACCTGATTTCCAAATGAGGTCATATTCACAGGTACTAAAATTAAGACTTTATCATCTTTTTTTTTTGGGACACAATTCAACCCATGACAAAGAGGATGAGGTGGTTTCTGGAGAGTTTAGAATAAGCAAAGTGCTCTAGAGGCTGAAGCAAGGCCTTTGAAATTGTAATTCAAAAGACCGAAGAAATAGGTGGATATAGAGGATAATCTGAAAAACATAGTAGCCAAGGAGAATTTCACACAGAAAGGAGGCATATTTTTAAGTGATAGAAAAAAGTCAGGCAGTAGGATGAAGTATAAGAAAAGGTAATTGAGGCCGGGCACGGTGGCTCATGCCTGTAATCCCAGCACCTTGGGAGGCCAAGGCGGGAAGATCACAAGGTCAAGAGATTGAGACCATCCTGGCCAACATGGTCACACCTGGTCTCTACTAAAAATACAAAAATTAGCTGGGCTTGGTGGCGTGTGCCTGTAGTCCCAGCTACTTGGGAGGCTGAGGCAGGAGAATCGCTTGAACCCAGAAGGTGGAGGTTGCAGTGAGCCAAGATCATGCCACTGTACTACAGCCTGGCGACAGAGCGAGACTCCGTCTCAAAAAAAAAAAAAAAAAAAGTGTCTATGACATAATGTTTCTGGAGACAAACTCTATGGCCTAAAATGTAACTTAAGGCCATTACCATAGGATATTAGTACACTACGTAAAACTTCTTTTTATTGTTTTTTTTTTTTTTTTTTTTTTTGAGATGGAGTCTTGTCCTGTTGCCCAGGCTGGAGTGCAATGGTGCCATCTCAGCTTACTGCAATCTCCACCTCTCGGGTTCAAAAGATTCTCCTGCCTTAGCCTCTCTAGTAGCTGGGATTACAGGCGCCTGCCACCAAGCCTAGCTATTTTTTATATTTTTAGTAGAGACAGGGTTTCACCATGTTAGCTAGGCTGGTCTGGAACTCCTGACCTCATGATTCATCTGCCTCGGCCTCCCAAAGTGCTGGGATTACAGGCGTGAGCTACCGCGCCCAGCCACATTACTTAAATCTTCTAGGTCTAAGTGCCTCATATGTAAAATGGAAATGATAATAATAGTACCCACTTAATAGAGCTGTTATGAGGATTAAATAGGTTGTGTTTAATAGTTGTCCTTTGATAGTGTGCATCAAAGGATACTATCAACATAATGAGAAGGAAATCCGTGGAATAGAAAATATTTGCAAATCTTATGTATGACAAGCGATATCCAGAATATATACAAAGAACATCTACAGCTCAACAACAGAAAAAGAATGACTCAACTAAAAAATGGTCAAAGTGAGAGGTGACAGCATGCTGGCGGCCCTCACTCGCTCTCAGCGCCTCCTCGGCCTCAGCGTCTGCTCCGGCCACGCTTGAGAAGCCCTTCAGCCCACCGCTGCGCTGTGGGAGCCTCTCTCTGGGCTGGCTGAGGCTGGAGCCGGCTCCCTCTGCTTGCAGGGAGGTGTGGAGGGAGAGGCGTGGGCGGGAACCGGGGCTGACCACTG
Organism: Homo sapiens; assembly: GCF_000001405.40. Taxonomy (NCBI): domain Eukaryota; kingdom Metazoa; phylum Chordata; class Mammalia; order Primates; family Hominidae; genus Homo; species Homo sapiens. The sequence goes on from NC_000003.12 coordinate 153,268,721, forward strand.
CGCTTGCAAGCCAGCTCGAGTTCTGGGTGGGTGTGGGCTCGGCGGGCCCCGCACTTGGAACTGCGCGGCCCACCGGCCCGGGGCACTGAGGGGTTTAGCACCCAGGCCAGCAGCTGCGGAGGGTGCGACGGGTCCCCCAGCACTGCCAGCCTGCCGTGCTGCGCTCGAATTCTCACCGGGCCTCAGCCGCCTCCCCGCGGGGCAGGGCTCGGGACCTGCAGCCAGCCATGCCCCTTGCCGCCCCCCCCCACCCGCTCCTGACCTCCTCCTCGGTCCCCTCCGCTTGCCGCTTTGGGCTTCCGCGCGGCCGGAGTCTCCCCGATGGGCGTCGCCCCCTGCTCCGCGGTCCCATCGACTGCCCAGGGGTCGAGGAGTGCAGGCACCTGGGGCGGGACTGGCGGGTAGCTCCGCCCGTGGCCCTGGCAGGGGATCCACTAGGTGAAGCCAGCTGGGCTCCTGAGTCGGGAGGGGACTTGGAAAACTTTTATGTCTAGGGGGAGGATTGTAAATACACCAATCAGCACTCTGTGTCTAGCTCAAGGTTTGTAAACACACCGTGTGTCTAGCTAGAGGACTGTAGATGCACCAATCAAGTGTTTTAAAAACACAATCGTGAAATATTTTTAAGTTGCAAATTAAACAACAAAATTTGTTTTACTGACATCAAAATTTGAATATATAATGGTTCCTTGTATCTAAAAATAGAAAACTGAGCATTGTTTTACCATATTTCAACAACTAAAAAGTGTTCTGAAAACCGGTTTGAGAATTTAACCTTAACAGCACAGTTCCATAAACATAAGCCTGTGAAATTACTGAAAAGACAGTACCTGTTGGTCTGTACTTATTTTACTTACCTTGACTAAGAAGATGAAAATATCTTAACTCTCAAGTTAAAAGATATTTTACCAAAATTATGAGAGTACACAAATAATTGAAGTCCTAAAGCTTTTATTTATTTTCCTCACTTGGTTAGTTTAATTCTTCATGTTTTATTGCAGAATAACACTGTCAAAGGCTTAGGTTTGGGGGTAGTTACATATGACAACTGCTTTTACATTCTGTTTTGGTCAGGACTATTTCTAAATCTAAACATGAACATATTACCGGAAATATACTTGACCTCAGAGTTTAAGAGCCTTTAATACTACTCGTTAAGATACAATTAATCAATAAAACCTACTCCAATTATTTCCAAAGTCAATATTGAGAAAGCTACCCCTTGAACTTTAACTAAATCAACAGAATTACCTCCTAACCTAGGCAAGTCATGATCCAACTTTATTACACTTAAGACTATCAGTGTCTTACATTCGCTTTCTTTTCATAATGGCGGTATTCATTCAGTGCCTACACTTCTGTATATTGATTTTTTAAAAATATGAAACTTTTGCTATTGTTACTTCCTCTTTATAAATATCATTTAAGAAATAGTTTAAATTCTATCAAGTGGGTGTACTATAACTGAAGTATTTTCTTGTGAGAAATATTCAGACTACTTTCTATTTTTGTAAAGAACCATAAATGTCATCTCTGAAACATTAATGAAAATGAGACCCACAGATTATAGTTTCTCAAGCTCAGCGTCATTGACATTTTGGGCTGAATATTTCTTTGTTGTGGGGAGCTGTCTTGTTCATTGTAGAATGTTTAGTAGCATCTCTGGTCTCTACCCACTTGATGCCAGCAGCCCCCCTCCTACCCAGTTGTGACAACAAAAAAAATCTCCAGTCAAATGTTACTTGGCAGGCAAAATTGCCCCTTGTTGATAATCTCTGCTATAGAAGCCAAGTTCAAGTTCAATCACTGGAAGATCCAATATTAAAACTTAGCTTCCTGAATCCAAGTCCAGGGCTTTTTATTCCACCTTCAATGCTCTTACTCCATCATTTTTATGAAAACTTTTGAACCCCTAGTTGCAAAGTGGCTTCTGCCCACAGGAATCATAAAGACATTCCTGGCAAAAAGGTGGGATGTTGGCAAGTAGTAAGAGTCAAGGACACTCTTCATGAAGAGATAGTCTTTTTATTGAGAAGTGATGCCTTCCATGGTGCCTCTGCCTCTGTATTATTAACCAGAATTGTGTCATATCCCCTTGACCCACCTCTGCCTGTCATGAAAGAAGCTAGGAGTTCACATTTTTAGCTTTAACAGCTTCTATACTAGAGTCAGGCATGGGAGAAGGGTGGTCACAAATGCTTTTTGAATCAACAATACTTACTAAATTTCCTATCCTAGTACAGTCACTTTTTTATGGTAGATGGAAGGGGCAGAATTGAAGCTGCTAAAAATGTTTCATTATATATATGTGAAGCCTCAGTGTGCTGTGATTTATTATCTCAAGAGTGCTTCATGATATCCTTTTTGGCTGATTGATTTGGTAGTTTCTTTATTCTGTTTTCTCTGAATCAGAAAATTGTATTCATGTACAAGTAGTGTCATTGAAGAGACCCAATTAATTTCAGCTAGAAAGGTCACTCCTTCAAACCAGCAGTGCTTTTACCAGTGGTAATAAATATGCCTATCAATTCATATCATCCACAGCCAACATTTAGAAGATTCAAATTGGTTTCATGTCATATCCATCCAGCAATATTCAGCAGTGACCCAAAGTCCTAAATGCCAGCTGCATCTGAAGATGTACAGGATGTGGACTTACCAGACATACAACAAAAATACAATACAAACAGCAACACAATTCACTGGCTAAAAGTGTAACTGTTTGTTTCCTTATCTACCAAATCACTGAGAAATTTTGTTTAATTATGCAGTTTCCCAATTTCCTTTCAAAGAAACAAACCTCTACCCAAGTGTTGTGGGTTGTACTGTATCTCCCCTAAAAGATTCTAACTCCTGGTAATTGCATGTAATATTATTTGGAAGTAGGGTTTTTGCAGAAGTAATCGAGTTACTACAATGTCATTAGGGTGGGCCCTAATCCATTATGACTGGTGTCCTTATAAGAAGAAAGAGAGAGAGAGAGAGACACTCCAGGAGAACACCATGTAACCACAGAGGCAGGAATTGAACGAACGTGTTAATAAGCCAAGGAACACCAAGGCTTGGCAAGAACACCAGAGGCCAAGAGAAAGGCATGGAGCAAGTTCTCCCCTAGAGCCTTCAGAGAGAGAGCATGGCCCTGCTGACAACTTGATTTCAGACTTTTAGCCTCCAGAACTGTGAGAGAATAAATGTCTGTTGTTTAAAGCTATTCAGTTTGTGGTACTTTGTTTTGCAGCCCTAGGAATACAATACATCAAGAATAGAAAAATAGTAACTGCTTGCTGATTGAAAAAGCAGTAGTACCCTCTATCAGGCTCTTTAAGATACAATTTTATACAACACTGTCCGATTCTGAATATACATTTTCTATCTTTTTATTGGGATGGTACGTTTCCCAGTGTTAATTTTCTTTTTCATTTATCACATGATAAAATCCTTTCCAAATTGAATCTCATTTAGAAGGAAGGGTTGATTTGGGCCTGGCATTCAATACCAAGGGAATGGTGGCACTGAGAGACGGCTCTTTCCCTCTTTGTAATATTATTGCTTAGGGCTGGGATGCTTGGGTGAGAGACAGATGTCAAAGCTCAACATGATGGAACCTCAGAATGGATTGTGCCATAGTTGGGGTCCTCTGAGAAGCAGACACTGATGTGGTTTGAACTTGTGTCATCATCCAAATCTTGTATTCAGTTGTAATCCCCAGTGTTGGAGGTGGGGCCTGATGGGAGGTGATTGGATCATGGGGGGTGGTTTCTAATGGTTTAGCACCATCTCTTTGGTGCTGTTCTCATGACAGAATTCTCATGAGATCTGGTTGTTTTAAAGTGTGTGGCACTGCCCCTCCGCCCCCTCCTGCTCTGGCCATGTGAAGATGCCTGCTCCACATCATGAATAAAGGTTTCCTGAGGCCTTCCTAGAAGCCAAGCAGATGCCAGAATCATGCTTCCCATACAGCATGAGGAACCATGAGCCAATTAAATCTCTTTTCCTTATAAATTGCCCAGCCTCAGGTATTTATTTATAGCAGTGTGAGAACAGGCTAATACAGTCACCAAGCTAGAATTAGATATGCAAAAAATATATCCAGGTAAATTCCTGAGAAGCATACAGGGGAAGGAGCTGGAGAAGGCAGCAGGAGCCTTGAGACCACAGTGCTGGTCTGACACCCATGAAGGAGGCAGAAAAGGAAGTAAGTCTGGATAGAAAGAGTGTTGAGTTGCAGCATGGTTCCAAGAAACGTTCAGCTAGGTCAATGGAAAAGTTGCTGATTATAAGAGTTCTGCATCTCAGGAATAGGCTTTCATTAGTACCCTCACCAGGTTCATGGTCAGCAAGAAGCACTCACCAAAGCAAAGCTTGAGCTGCAATGTGGTGGTGGATCCAGAGGGACAGCACCTGGGCGATCAGGCCATCCTCCTGGAGAATGACATCTGAGCAATGTATTTTTATAGCCACCACTGCATTCAAAACCAGAACAAATTTTGGATGTTACCAGGAGATCATAAAAGGACCAGTATCTTGAGTAATAAGGCAGCTTCGGTCTAATTCATTTACTAGTCCTTGCAGTGATAGTTCCTTTTTGATAATGGCTGGCTAGAGGCAGTTTTCTTGTTAGGCTTTCCTGGTGGCACCAATTTCCTGTCAGTGGCTCCCTGCTGTGCTTCGTGGTGGCAGCTCTTGCTAAGAGCATCTCCCATTGAGAAGAAGTGGAGTCAGGTCCGTGGTGAGCCCCAAGCTGGGCTACACAATGCTTAACAGTGGTGATCTCTGACTGTAGTGGCTCCAGTTGTTCCAGCAGCAGGTTCTAGTGCCTACCACCCCTCCTTTGCTCTCATGGTCCTCTTTCCCAGGACACTCCTTCCTTTTCTGTCCATAAAAATGCGGCCCAAGGCCGGGCACGGTGGCTCATGCCTGTAATCCCAGCACTTTGGGAGGCTGAGGCTAGTGGATCACCTGAGGTCAAGAGTTTAAGACCAGCCTGGCCAACATGGCGAAAGCCCATCTCTACTAAAAAGCACAAAAATTAGCCAGGTGTGGTGGTGGGCGCCTGTAATCCCAGCTACTCAGGAGGCTGAGGCAGGAGAATTGCTTGAACCAGGGAGGTGGAGGTTTCAGTGAGCTGAGATTGCATCACTGCCCTCCAGCCTGGGCGACAAGAGTGAGACTCTGTCTCAAAAAAAAAAAAAAAGAAAAAAAAAAGTGCTGCCCAGACTTTAAAGCTGAGCTCGATTCTGCTGACTACTTATTTTCAGCATTCAAAGACACATCGTCCATATAACCTACTCATCATTCAATCAAGTATTTCCTTGTTCATTAACTTTTCATGTGGAGCCTATCTTATTTCTCTAATAATGGATATGATAAATTCTTAAATGTATGAGCCAGTATATATACTTCTCTATGGAGCTAAAAAAAATGAGAGAAACACTGACGCTGTTGGTATTATTCAGTAATTATTAGTCCAATGAATCCCTGCAATGACAAAGAAACCAGCCAGTCAGTAACTATTTCTGGCTCCCTAGCTGCTCATCACGTTGTTCATGTTTCCAGAGTCTGATGATTCATTGTGAGTTGATATTGCAGTATTCTCGATGCTAAAGAATATTTCAAATTATGATTTTGGAATCATAGAAACATTTTGCAAACACTCAGTTAAACAATATGAATTATAAAAAAGCTTTTTTTTCTGCAATATATCTCAGAGCTTTTAAAAATATATTGTCACTGTGAATCTTAAAGAGTAATAAAGTATGCAGCATTTACCAAATTTCTTTGGCCACAGAATTTTGGGTCGTTTTGTTTTGTTTCCCTGCATCATCCTAAGGGACTGAAAATACATATATTTTTAGAAATGCTCGATTAAATATCTAACCTTCTCAGGGGTGATTTTCATTTTTATGAGAAATGCTAGAGGACCTAAGAGATTTCATGATCTAAAAGAGTGATGCTACAATGGTGGAATTTGAGGCATGGAGAAAGTCAGGAAGGTTATGAAGAGGAGGAGAGATTATTTTGGCATGTGTCTCATGCTTGATAATGTTGATCCTTCCAGCGACCTCATGGAAGCTCATATTAAGAGCTTCAATTATGCAGCATGCTGTCCTGATTTGGATTCAAATTGGATTGTTGTATTATTCACAGACTTCATGTTATCATTCGTTACTCCTCTCCCTCACTTCAGTGCTGAGCCCTTTCCCAGCAAAACTTCTTGTTGAGCCTAGAAATGCAGTCTGAGAAATTGCATGATTTCTCCATACTTAGAAATAATGTCGTGTTTTTAGTCTAAATTCAGGACCCTATATCAAGAGATGTGACACTGCCTGTTGGGTTGGGGATACTTCAAGCTTAACCATATCAACAAATAGCCATTAAGTAACCAAAACGTGTAAAGTCCTATGCTTATGTTTATCTGAGGTCATAATTTTCTCTGTTTCTTGAGGCAATCTAGATTAATGGAACAAACCTAAACTTGGTAGCCTGATTATCTAATACTAAATTTAATATCATGGTTTTATTTTGAATGCTAACAGAGAACAAAGTGAGATCTTTGTTAAGGTCTTGACTTAAATGATTTTCTTTTTAAGTTGAATGTATAATTGTGTCATGATCCGTCCCTAAAAATTTCTGCTTCAGATGATTGCTGTGTAGTCCATTATTCAAAACTGTCTTCCAAAGATGTGTGAGTCTCTGTGGAACCTACAGACTCAACTATTAGACTGTGTTTGTTTGTCCTTTATGGATTTCTCACAGCTAGTGAATGGGAATAAATGTGGCTGATATATTCATTTTAAATAATCATATTAAAGGAAATTTCATGAATGCTTTTTAGGTAGAGATGTGTTATTTCCCATTTAAACTTCTTTATTGTACATAACATTATTATTACTACTAATGCAATTTCCTTTTCACAAAGATCAATAATACTTTATAGACATGATTTCACTAATATTGCTTTGTTATATATATTTCCAGATATGGTGATGATGCAATTATCAATAATGACAAGGAGAGGGCAATATTCAAGCTGGATTTATATACATTCATAACAAGCAAACCTATTAATTGGCTGTGGCAAAAGGAAAGTTATTTTTTCCCTGCTTTTATTTATTTGTTTTTTTCCCAGTTGGGGTGGTATGTTGATTACTAAGCTAAGACTGGCTTGCTACTCTGTGGTGCCTTATTTTTGGATGTATTTTGGACATCTGGGCCTGGCTGTGTCTTGGGGGAAGGAGGGCCAGTAAAGTGGAGGTGGATGTGTGGGCAGCTGGGGTGAAGTAGGTGGGCAATGGAAAAGATAATATGTGCCTACTTCCCAGCCCCACTCTGTGGACTAAGACTGAGGTCTGTGAAGAAAAGGAAGATGCTGAAGAAAGTGTTTTAACCTAAGAACCAACAAGGAACCAGAAGGCAGGCCCATTGCCCAAGGGAACAGGAGCCATACACAGGTTGACTATATTCCCTGGTTTGCTTGGGACAGCCCAGTTTATCCTTCTGTCTTCGAGTAACTATTAATTAGAGCCCCCTTTCACTGTCATATCTGCTCGAGTTAAGAAAATATGTAGGCCAGGCGTGGTGGCTTACGCCTATAATCTCAGCACTTTGGGAGGCCGAGGCAGGCAGATCACAAGGTCAGGAGATCAAGACCATCTTGGCCAACATGCTGAAACCCCGTCTCTACTAAAATACAAAAAATTAGCCTGGCGTGGTGGCGCTTGCCTGTAATCCCAGCTACTTGGGAGGCTGAGGCAGGGGAATCGCTTGAACCTGGGAGGTAGAGGTTGCAGTGAGCTGAGATCGTGCCACAGCACTGCAGCCTGGCGACAGAGCAAGACTCCGTCTCAAAAAAAGAGAAAATATATATTTACCTAAACACAGAACGAGGCAAAAGAGAGATTCACTCCGCTGTGCGCAAGAAAGGCACTGTATGCCCCTGAGACTCAGAAGGCTGAAAGGAAGGCAGAGACATTTTGTCAACTCTCGGGTTTGTGGCTTTAGGAGCACAAGGGGAATCCCCTCCCTGATTATTCTCATGGAGAACCTGGGCAGTAATGACAAATGTCCCTCAAATGGCTTCATGGGTTGTGGGCATCACTAAGAGGCTGCGCTGCAAGCACTTGGGCTGATTTGTTGGGGAACACATGGAGAAATCCCTTCAAAATGCCCCAAATACTGGAGAAGGCCCTCTGTCAGGAGAGTAATTTTTGTTGTTACTTCACTTGGTCTCCCAGGCTGCAGAAGGCTCAAAGAAATTAACACGTGGGCTCTGGCAGTAATTGTAGGTAGAAAATGAGGGCACATTTTCATTCTAAGAGTTATTTGTTTATTTGAATACATTCAGCAACATTTTGAAATGAGTGAGATTGAATCACGGTGAATCCTGTTTTCCTAAGGTAAATGGATCTAAATAATGCAGAACCCGTTATCAAATTGTAGAACTCAGCAATTTAGCAGTCTGAATCTTGGTCTTTTGAAATCCTGTGTCTCCTGTCTTAGGCAGTTACTCAAAAATTCCTGTAGTGATGACAAGATGAGGATGATGACTAGGTTTGCTTCTAGGTGTGGAACTAGTTTGAAAATAACTATAGCACATTTTTGACTGATTATCTCATGCTCTCACATTAACATGATCATGTCTGTCTGATTTATTTTTATTGTTATATAACCAAAACCTTTCCCAACACAGGAATAAAGACAGAGAGGACTGCCATAAGTGGACATTATTTGTTCTAGGGGTAGCTTTATTTTTGTTGGTTCTCGGAGAACTACTTTAAATTTACTTGTGCTTCATCAAAATAAGATTAAAGATAAATTACCCTGCTCATTTTGGTTTTGGTGACTTAACTTTTGCAGTGAAAAGGGCCTTTGAACTAGTGCCCTGAATAAGTTAGTCTGAATAAAGACTCAACTGACCTCAAAGAACTGAAGTACTTTTCCCAGTGAATAATTCTTTTCTTCCCTCATCTTCTCTCCTCCTATTTTTTTATTAGTATGTATAGGCTATTTCCTTATAATATATTAATAAAAAGTATTTTTTCTTTTCTACATTTTTTTGGTGAATAGAATTCACTCTCCTAAAGAAAAGCTAAGTTCTTTTAAGATTTTGTTCCACAAAGCATAGTAACTAACAATACAGATATTCATAGATATACTTCGTATTAATATACTTTAATTTTATATTGTATTTTTGTTTCTTGGGGCATTGGCTGTAAATATTCTGAATTATTTATTTTTGAATAATCTCCTTATTTTACTTTCTTAATATTTTAATATATTTAATTTATCCATATTTGTGTATTTGATATTTATATTACTCTTTTCATTGTATGATGTTATAAGTAGAACATTTTAGTTATTGGATTTTTCCATTGTAACTTGAACCTTTCTTTTTAATAATAAGAAAAACGAATCAGTGAAAAATAGTCATTTTGACTGAAATGAAATTGGGTAGGAAATTATCTATTGCATCTTTAAAAAATAATAGTTATCTAATTATAAAAGAAATACATACCTTAAGTTTTTGGCTTTTCTTACCTAAAGTAACCTGGTCAGCTATGCTCCCTAACACATCTCCCTCAACTTCCCCAGGACCTTCCTCCGTGAAATAGCTCCTTCTCCAGAAATAATCAACTCTCTCTTGATTGTCTCCTTCCCTTCTACCTATAAACACCATCAACCTTTCCTTATTTATATAAACAAATAAACAAAACACCACCACTCTTTCTACAATCCTGCAACTTCCTTTACTACTCTTTCACTACCAAATAACTTGAAAAAATCACTTTTGCCTACTTTGCTTCAATCGCTTCTCTCTTTTTGTTATGTGACTGTCATAGTTTCTTTGTGCTGCTATGAAATACCACAGACTGAGTAATTTATAAACAATGGAAATGTATCTCTCATAGTTCTAAAGGCTGAAAAGTCCAAGATCCAGGTGCCAGCATTGGTGTCTGGTGAGGGCTGCTCTCTGCTTCCAAGATGGCACTTGGTGGTTGTGTCCTCACACGGCAGAAGGCTGAAGGGCAAGAGAGTACTCCCTTCAAACTCAAGCCCTTCTATACGGGCGTTAATTCTATTCATGAAGACAGAACCCTCATGACTAAGTTATCTCTCAAAGGCCACACCTTTTAATAACTCCACAAGGGGCTTTAAGTTTCAACAAGAACTTTGGAAGGGACACACATCCAAACCATAGCAGACTTGCTCAGGTCTCAACAGACAATTCTCAACAGACATGTTGGCACGGCCTCTCAAACTCTCTGAGCACATGATAGTATTAACCACACCCTCCTCCCTCTCTTGAAACTGTTTTTTTCTCTGCACTCATGGCATGATCCTGTTCATGATCCCTGAGCCACTTTTCTTGTTTTGTTTTGCATTGTTTTTTGAGATGGAGTCTTGTTCTGTCACCTAGGCTGGAGTGCAGTGGTGCGATCTTGGCTCACTGCAACCTCCACCTCCCTGGTTCAAGATATTCTCATGCCTCAGCCTCCCGAGTAGCTGGGACTACAGGCATGTGCCACCATGCCCGGCTAATTTTTGTATTTTTAAAATAGAGATGGGGTTTCATCATGTTGGCCAGGCTGGTCTCAAACTCTTGACCTCAAGTGATCTACCTGCCTTGGCCTCCCAAAGTGCTGGAATTACAGGCATGAGCCACTTTGAATCATTGAGTCTGTCCCTCAACTTAACATGATATATTTATCCAGACTCTAGCTCATCATTTAGGAAAAATAATACTCCAGTTACATAAATACTTAGCACTAGTGTATAAAACATGGCATAAGACTTTCTGCTTTTTGAATACTTTCACCATCGAACTTTGGGAAGGTTAAGTAGAAGTTAGCAAAGTTTCTGGCTTTGCTACCAGAAACCCTGTGAGCCTCAGGTTCCTAATGTATCACAGACTAGACCTTCCAGTGATTCATTAGTAGAGTTAGAACAAAACAATAAGGATGTGGCACAGTTTTAAACATTCCCTAAGCATTCTTATCTGTTATTAAAAGAGAGGCATAAAGATTTAAATGAAGCTTCTCTGTGACTGATACCAGCTGAGGGGGGCAGTGTAGTGTCTTTGGAACGTTTTCAAAGTGCTTTAAAGGTTAAGAGCTACTTACTCTTAATGCTTCTGTTCCTCTTCACATTGTCCACTGTGGGCAATCCCCATGGCAGCACAGTCTCTTCACTCTCTCTCCTCTACCTAGATGGTCATTTACATTCTTTTACATCATATTTATTCAATCAATATTTACTAAACACCTCCTAGGGGTGAGGTCCTGTATTCCACACTGAGTATAGGCAAATTAATAAGATACAACTCTTATTCTAGCTTATAGTCCATTAGGGGAAACAGACACATAATAAAATATTTACAGTATACTTAAAGTGACACTTTTGTCTGCTTGGTAAATGTGCCTTTGACAAACAACTCCTCATTCCTCCATGTTTACTTCATGGAATTCAGAGATTGGTCCAAGAGTAAGAACATGAGCCGAGGCTGGGCATGGTGGCTTATGGCTGTAATCCCAGCAGTTTGGGAGGCTGAGGTGGGCGGATCACTTGAGCCTCAGGAGTTTGAGACCAGCCTGGGCAACATGGTGAAACCCTGTCTCTACCAAAAACACAAAAAATTAGCCTGGCAGGGTGGCTTGTGCCTGTGGTCCCAGCTACTTGGGAGGCTGAGGCAGGAGGATCACTTAACCCTGGGAGGCAAAGGTTGCAGTGAGCCAAGATTGCACCACTGCACTCCAATGTGGGCAACAGAGCAAGACTCTCTCAAAAAAAAAAAAAAAAAAAAAAGAAAAGAAAAGAAAAGAAAAAAAGAACATGGGTTGAGTAAATCAGGACCCTTTCATAAAATGTGAATACCAGGAGATACAAGTTGTCTCTTTTTTTAAGATTATAAATTTGAGATAACCAGCAGCCTCTCATATAAAGACAGCCAGCTTGAGGGTGAGAATATTAGATACAGAAAAAATAAGTAACACATGGAGAGAGACCAGGTCATCATGACACCATTTGATTATTTAAATCCAGCCATTCCTAGTCTAATTTCTTTGAGCTGACAAGAGTTTGAAGTAGCATACTGTAGTAAGTGCATTGAGAGATCACATGTGAACATTATGGGATCACAGATGCAGAGACCCAACTTAGAAGAACAAGGCTTGGCTGGATGGAGTCAATAAAAGTTCTCTTACAGGCATAAGTAGCATTTTTGGATAGAACCTGAGACTGTACCAACATCCCCAAAATATCAGTTCACATTGCTTTACACTCAAATATTGAATTTATTAATTTTAATTATCAATTGAAATTAATAACTTGATTAATGGATCATCTGAAAATTTTACTTCATTAGAAATAGTGCAACTTGAAGTTTAATGTGTCACAGATGGAACTGTTTACAAAGCGTGTCAAACTGAGATTTATCAGAGGATTTCTTGGGTCCAACCGACTCTTGCAGCCCAACACAGGGCAGGGGCTAAATTTTGGTATTGGCTCTTCATGAGAGGTGACAACGTGCTAGCAGCCCTTGCTTGCTCTCCGCGCCTCCTCGGCCTCAGAGTTCGCTCTGGCACCACTCAAGGAGCCCTTCAGCCCGCTGCTGCGCTATGGGGGCCCCTCTCTGGGGCTGGCTGAGGCCAGAGCTGGCTGCCTGTGCTCGCCTGGAGGCTGGAGGGAGAGGGCCGGCGGGAGCCGGGGCTGCACGTGGCGCTCGTGGGCCGGCACAGATTCCGGGGGGGCACATGCTCAGTGGGTCCTGCACTCGCACTGGCACGGCTGGCAGGCACCTGCTGGGCTTGATTGGGGTATGAGCTCCCTCTGGGCTGCTGGAGTGCCGGGGCTAGGTGCCACAAACTCGAGCGTCCAGTGACATTGAGAGGTGAAGCTGCTGGGCTTCTGGGTCTGGTGGGGACCTGGAGAACTTTTCTGTCTAGCTAAAGGTTTGTGAACCCACCAATCAGCACTCTGTGTCTAGCTAGAGGTTTGTAAAAGCACCAATCAGCGCTCTGTGTCTAGCTAATCGGGTAGGGGACTTGGAGAACTTTTGTGTCTATCTAAAGGGTTGTAAATGCACCAATCAGCGCTCTGTGTCTAGCTAAAGGTTTGTAAATGCACCAATCAGCGCTCTGTCAAAACGGACCAATCAGCTCTCTGTAAAACGGACCAATCAGCTCTCTGTAAAATGGACCAATCAGTAGGATGTGGGTGGGACCAGATAAGGGAATAAAAGCAGGCTATGGGAGCCTGCAGCGGCAACTGGCTTGCGTCTGTTTCCACTTTTGGAAGGTTTGTTCTTTTGCTCTTTGTGGTGAATCTTGCTGCTGCTCACTTTTTGGGTCGGCGCCGCCTTTATGGGCTGTAACATTCATGGCGAAGGTCTGTAGCTTCACTCTTGAGGCCAGCAAGACCACGAACGACTATGGATGGAAAGAACAAACAACTCCGGGTGGAAGGAATGAACAACTCGAGACGAGCCGCCTTAAGAGCCATAACACTCACCTTGAAGGTCTGTAGCTCCATTCCTGAAGCCAGCGAGAGTATGAACCCATCAGAAGGGAGAAACTACGGACGTGTCCGAACATCAGGAGGAACAAACTCCGGACATACCATCTTTAAGAACTGTAACACTCACCGCAAGGGTCCGCGGCTTCATTTTTAAAGCCAGCAAGACCAAGAACCCACCAATTTCAGCCACATTCATACCACCCTGCATGTCATCTTCCTCAGACTTAGCATCCTAAAAATGGTTTTCCTGAGAGAGAATGCAACTCTGAGGGCTTCCCTACTGTGTTCACATCCCATGCTTCTGGCACAGTGCCTGACAAGCCGTGGCTCCTCACCATAGTTGCCTTGTGGAATGGTCTTAAGAGTGGGAACATCGCATGTGAGCTACAGTCAGGAATCTTTTTCTATTCTGAAGTAGTTCATGGAAAGCATAAAAATATGGAAAGAAAGAATAAATGTCTTTGGGGGCTGACAGAAAAGATAGCAGTTTTGCTGGACTTATTAGGAAATATCTTTCTACTTTTTCTCCCATATATAGTGTTTACCATGGGTGAGGCTAGTCCAGAGGGAGGTGTCAGTTTCCCAAGTAGAGATATAAGTCTTTCTAGAGATCAAAATAAATGTGTTCCACAGAACTACAAAATGCTGGATAACCTAAGGCCTGGGTTGAAAAAGCCCTCCTAGTGAAAGGCTGTAGTCGAGAAAAGGTGAGGTCACTCCAGAATAATCAGTGTCATGAAGGCTACCTGTTTATTTCTCTCCTCTTTCTCTCCATATGTAGATATAACACATTAACTATATATATATGTATGCATAACACTATTGTAAGATTATTGCCAGATTTTTCAGCCTGTGTAAAATTATGATGCTAATTACCTGGGAATGTGCCTGTAAAATTTTACTTAAATCAGCCACATATGCAAAAATATACACATATAAACTTTGCCATTTCAAATTTGAAGAAATGTGATCCCTAGATATGTATCACATTTTTTAAATTTAGAAGTTTGCACAAATAAATGTGCAAAGCATAATCTCCCGTGCTTCAACAATTAACTGATGGCCAATTTTGTTTTATTTATATTCTTACCTATTCACTCCCTTCCCCATATTTTTATGGAAAGCCTAGACTTTATATTATTTTTCATAAATATTTCTTTATGTATTTTGAAGGAAAAAACTTTTTAGGCTGGGCACGGTGGCTCAGGCCTGTAATCTCAGCACTTACACTTGAGGCTGAGGGGGGCAGATCACAAGATCAGGAGATCATGACCATCCTGGCCAACATGGTGAAACCCCGTCTCTACTAAAAATACAAAAATTAGCTGAGTGTGGTGGTGCGTACCTATAATCCCAGCTATCCGGGAGGCTGAGGCAGGAGAATCACTTGAACCAGGGAGTCAGAGCTTGCGGTGAGCCGAGATCGTGCCACTGCACTCCAGCCTGGAGACAGAGTGAGACTCTGTCTCAAAAAAACAACAACAACAAAAAAACTTTTTAAAAACATGACTACAATAAAGTATAACTTTAAAAAGTTACCTTTAAGACTTAACAGTTATATTCAGAAACTAGAATTAGCTAATAAAGTTAATTTTTCATTTAGAATGGTAGATACTGGTTTGGCCTGTTTTCATAAAAAAGATGACACTTAAAATTGGTAATCTGTTTCATCATTCAAAAGCAAATAATTTCTTCTTTAAACAGAGTAAGTCTTCTAGGGTCTCATTAGTTGTGTTAATTTTTTCAGGACACCCGTATCACTTATTAATGGGAAAAATGGCAATCTGTACTTCTTGTCTGATGGGAGGAAAATTCACATCAACAGTGCCATCTAATAGTATCTATTCACTCCATGACTTTTGGAGTGTTTTGTGTTTTGTAGCCTAAAATGCAATTAAAATAGTTATTTTATTTTGCAACAGAATCCTGTAAGTTGGTTATTATCAGATTTATATTCATTTAAAGAAGAGGAGCTACAGCTCAGAGAGGTGAAGTGACGTGTGTAAGCCCCGAGTCAAGCTCCAAAACAAAAATTCTGTGTCGAACTCTGGAATTTTTTCACCTAATCATACTGTTTTTCTATGAAGTCTTCTATTAGCACCCTCTGGCAAATTTTTACACGATCCATATTTCACATGATCAAACTTTCAAGTCCCTAAGTAAAGGGGAAAGGTAAAATTGAGAATGTGTCCTGCCTTTCTAATCTGACTAGGCTGCTGATGCTCAACACGTGTTTTTAGCTTGCATCACCCACACACACGTCTTCTGACACAGCGTGCAGAGCCAGGCTAGTAATACAATCAGAATCAGGAAGTGAAATCAAACAAACATCTCTTCCTCCCTGGAGAAAAATGACCTCTTGTTGGAGGGATTCCTCTTCCAACATAAAATTCTCTTCTGCCA
Source organism: Homo sapiens (assembly GCF_000001405.40). Taxonomy (NCBI): domain Eukaryota; kingdom Metazoa; phylum Chordata; class Mammalia; order Primates; family Hominidae; genus Homo; species Homo sapiens. The sequence goes on from NC_000003.12 coordinate 153,284,636, forward strand.
GCATTAGTTACACCCACATTGTTAAGGATCTGCAGGATATATGCTTTGCTAAAACAAATATGTAACATGATTTAAAAAAATTTATAAACCTCTCTGCTACTCTTTATTCTTTTCTTTTCACCACATCAAAAAAGCTCATGCCTGACAGAATTTATTTTCATCATTTCTGTTGTCATGGCTTTTATATTTTATTATTATGGTTAGATATAAGAAGACTTGATTCATATTACAAATCCAGAATTGATTAGTGGAACACTCAGAAACAAAACAAATTGAAATTTTAACAGTCCTCAAAGGTATTATTGCTCTTAATCAAGTGATCACTTGGAACACAATTGTTTTATGAAGAAGAGAAAATAATTTTTGAGGTTTGGAATAGAAACAATTGACCAGTGGAAAACATTTTAAAAATAATATGTTAAATTAATATGTAATTATTATAATTTAGTGATCGTTATCAGTTATTTTGTTGCTTTTCTTTTGGAAATAGAATTACTACTCCGTCCCTCCCATCCCCCCCGCCACCCCATGTAAGTTACAATGAGAGCCTCCTCATCATCTATGATCCTGACTGCTACAGTCATTGTTGGGGTGGGTCCCTGTCTCAGGCTGGTCTAATCATAGTACCCAGCACTCCTGGACACAGTGACTGGTCGAGGTGTAGAACTATGACCCAATTCAGCTTGGAAAAATCCCTCCACAAGGTTTTTGTAGCTGGGCCTGTGAGTGTTTGTTTCCTCTTTGGTCACAAGTAAATAAGGTTTACATCAGGAGCTTCTGGAAGCCAGATCTCCTACTCCTCAGAAAGCCTGTCTGAAAGAATGTAGACTGCCTGCAGAGGGAGGCAGAAAAGAAACCTGGAGAGGGAGAGTCCTGAGAATGCCAAAGCCCATGTTGCTGCTGACCATCCAGCCAGCCCTTCCCCTTCCTTGATCATATTTTGAAAGGTAGCCAGAAATTACTTCCCTGTCACTGTTTTTGTTTCTGTTTTGCCTGTGCTGGTTTAAGTTTTGGTCATTTGCAAATAAAAAAAATCTTATGTCTAGTATATATACACAATATTTTATTTCTAACACAGAAGTAGATATAGGTTAGAATTCCTGTTCCATTCCTGTGTATCCTTGGAAAAGTAACTTAAACTCTCTAATATTTATTCGTTGTCATCTACTTATGAAATGGTTGTGTGGATTAAAGGAGATGCTGTGTGTAAAATGCATTACTCTAAGCTTCTAAAAAATGCATAACTCTAAGCTTCTAAGTTGTACCTGCTCTTATTATTTTGTTTCCTCAGTGAGTTAAAAAAATGTGGTAGATTGAAATATTGGGCCCAATACTCCATCTCTTCCTATGCCTGTCTCCTTTGTCTGTAACTTTGCAGTTTCTCCCTCTAAAGGCGGATATACTTCCTCATCCCATTGACTTTGAACTTGGCCTCATGACTTATTTTAGCCCATGGGTTGTTAGCTGACTTAACACAAGTACAGGCTTGAATAGTGCTTGTATTATAGGGTTTGCTCTCTTGTACTCTGCCATTGCCCAGAGAAAAACATATCCTGGCTGGCTCCAGGAGAGTGTGAGACGTGTGGAGCAGAGCTGCTTCAGGGGACTTATAGACCCTTGAGTCAAACACATTCTTCCTTTGAGATTTTGTGGTTACTGTACAATAATGGCTGAGTGATACAGCAGTTAGCCACACCCCAGTAGGTAGACTTTAACTCATACTGATTCATATAATAGAAAATCATTCAGTACAAGGGCATGTATTCTACCAATGGTAAAAACAAAACAAAACAAACAAATAAACAAAAAACCCTATTGACTACAGATACCAGAAAAGAAAGGTTTTGTCTGATGGGAGGAAAATTCACATCAGCAGTGCCATCTAATAATATCTATTCACTCCATGACTTTTGGAGTATTTTGTGCTTTGCAGCCTAAAATGCAATTAAAATAGTTATTTTATTCTTCAAAAGAATCCTGTAAGATATAGCAGAAAATGACCAAGGATACTGGTTTCTAACCTACTGGGGTCATAGACTCTTGAGAACATGATTAGATCTCTGAACTCTCATGATTATGTTACAAACACAATATTGTGGGTACAATTACATGGAGCTTACAGATGTCTTAATGCCCACTGAATCTGTAATCCTCAAATTCAGATTCTTTGGTCTACTGAGTCATAGTATAGAAACACTGAGATAGCTGTGTAGCATTCAAAGTCTGCAGCTTTGACAAAAATCCTGATTCTGGGAAACTATATAGAAGTATAGTTTGCAGGGCTATGACTTAAACAGGCATTTTGGCCTCACTCTACCTGATATCCTCAGGATCATTCAATGTGAAAAATATATACATAGTAATTTTTAAATGTAATATGCGTATTCAGTTGATATTTAGCATAGGTCATCTTATATGATTTTTTCTTCTTTTTTAAATTAATGTACTATATGTGTCTACATATGAATGCTAGCTACAAGAGTTCAGCAGAAAAAAGAATGACGGGTTGGGTGTAGCTGAGAAGTCATTTGTGAAATATGTAGTCATAAGCTTTACCTTGAGGGAAGCATGACTCTTAAGTTAGTAGGAAACATGAGAAACACCACGTGATGTGGGTATGAATTTCAGCAAATGTATATAGAGAAAAACAGACATGTCATGTATTATTATGGCTAACTTTATGTATCAACTTGACTGGGCCATGGGTGTCTAGATATTTGGTTAAACATAATTCTGGGTGTGTCCGTGATGGTGTTTCTGGATGAGAATGATGAGTGGATTGAGTAAAGCAGACTGCCCTCCCCAATGGGGAGGTGAGCTTCATCCAATCTGTGGATATACTGAAGAGAACATGTAGGCTGAGTAAGGGGGATTGCTCTCTCTGCCTGTCTTTGAGGTGGGATATCAGTCTTCTCCTGCTTTCAGATTTGGACATGGTTTGGAGCTTACAACATTAACTTTCCTGCTTCTCAGACCTTTGAACTTGCCATCAGAACTATACCATTGGCTCCTGGGTCTCTGGCTTACTGACTATAGATTTTGAGACTTAGCTTTCATAGCTGCCTCATGAGCCAATTTCTTTTAATCAATTAATCAATCTCTTCTTTCTTCTCTCTCTCTCTGTCTTTTTCTCTCTCCCCTCCTTTATGTCTGCCTGTCTGTCTGCCTGTATCTATCTGTCTGTCTGTGTGTCTGTGTGTCTGTCTGTCTATCTATCTATCTATATCCAATAGCTAGTCATCTATCTAGATATTGGTTTCGGTTTTGTTTCTTGAAGAACCCAGACTATTACATGTGTTGAGTGGCATATTTTTATGAGAATGTGAATCTATTGCATAAGGTGAGATGAAGGACATTGTTTAGGTGGTAGAAATAAATAAAAGTTAGGCTAATAAATTTAGAAACGACTGCCTAGAGGTCAGCCAGCCTTTGTGGGAAGGAAGAGATAAAACAATAGGGTAACAGTGTAGAACTTTGGTTTGGTGTGCTTCCTTTTAACCATAAGACTGAGTCTAGCCTAGAAATAGTGGGATTTTTGATTAGGCCTAGTTAAGTCTTTGTCAAAATTGTTTTGCACATTCTCTTCTTTGCCCTACCAATAGAACCTCTGCCTTATGGTAATTGCATTAAATGAAAATAAAGTAAACAAGACTTAGGTTTAACTAGGTGACTTTTTATATTTATTTATTTATTTTTTGAGATGAAGTCTCACTCTTGTCCCCCAGGCTGGAGTGTAATGGCGTGATCTCGGCTCACTGCAACCTCTGCCTCCCGGGTTCAAGTGATTCTCCTGCCTCAGCCTCCCAAGTAGCTGAGATTACAGGTGCCTGCCACCATGCCCGGCTAATTTTTGTATTTTTAGTGGAGACGGGGTTTCAACATGTTGGCCAGGCTGGTCTCAAACTCCTGACCTCAGGTGATCTGCCTGTCTCGGCCTCCCAAAGTGCTGGGATTACAGGTGTGAGCCACTGCGCCTGGCCAGTTTAATTAGCTTTAAAGCTTCCCTTGGAGAGAGTTTGTGCCAAAGACAGAGAGGAAAGAATTTCCGGTAACCATTGACTTGTTACTTCTTTTGCTGACTTTGGCTGGTGTCATCTTTGAGTAAAGAATCTTGGAATATTTTATTTACATTGTCTTGCTTAGGATCCTCTGCATTGCTGTTTATAAGGAAGTCCTAAAATTCTGAAACCCAGAAATTGGGAAAAGTGAAAAGCAACTTTTCTTGTGCCGACTATTGGGAGTGCTGATTTGGGTAGAGAGGTAGATAGAGATGAGGTCGGCGAAATAAACAAGGAACTAGTTGTGCAAGGCCTTGAATGTAAGGTTAAAAATTATCAAAAATTGTATGTATGCGTGTTGCCTTGGATTCAAGGAGTTAGGTGAAAATATTGATTTAATGATAATCACATGAGACCATGGATTGATAAATTAGAGATAAAAAACCACATGAAATGGCAAGTGTACCCTACACCATCATGCGGACTACTGTGCTGGGAGATTCAGAAGATGTAAGTCAACAACTGTTCTTTTCTTGTATGACATCAACACACAGAACAGCACCTGTATTATAACAGCACCTGTGTATTTAAAACAGTACTAAAGTGCCCGTGATATATTCAGAAGAAAATGACAAAGACAGAGAAACAAATAAGTAAGCACTTACATCGCCAAATTGTGTTCCCAAAAAGTAAGGGACAATAAGTGGTTTGAAATTAAATGAATGATAAAAGTGTTGGAGAGAATGAGTGTGTGGGTAAAGACTTCCAAATTGGGGAAATTGTATGCAATAGATTGCAAGGTGAGAGAGCAGCAAAGATGTTAGCAAAGCAATAGAGTGGCAGTGGTTATGAGATTATAGGGAAACGAAGCACTAGTTATAACCACCGCTTAAGAGTTACATCTTAAAAAGCTGAGTCACTTCAGGGACTAAAATAAAATGTCATGTGCTGATGACTGCAATGACTGCACATAGGAAGGGTGACCAGCAGCAGTGGGAAATGCAGTGAATTCATTTTGTTTGAATAGAATTTGTGGTGGGAGAAGAGTTAAAAGCAGTTTGCTACAATGTTTTAACATATCTGAAGATCAGCGGAAAGGAAGAGGGATATAAGAAAGGTGGGGAAATACAGTCTGAATTGTAAAGATGAAAGGATTGTTTCTTTTGCAGTGGAGTAAAATAGAGTTTGAGGCACTTAATTGGTATAAGACTTTTCAGATGTAGACATAACAAGGCATGTTTCCTACACTAATGGCAAATATAGAGAAAGTAGCAAACAAAATTATTTTCTTCTGTTCTTGATTATTTAAAACTTGGAAAGAAAGGCTTAATTATGCTATAAATATCAGGTGCTGAGTAATCCTTTTCTATAACAATTTAAAAAAATAAAACATTATTTCCACAATGTCAAAAAGTTTTGAAGATTTATTGCCAGTATTAACAATATAACGAATGTATTTAAAGGGTGCAATTTTTTTGGCTCCATATTTAAAGCCTCAGCCTATATCACTCTTAATGTGATATAATATGACAGTGTTTTAAATTAATAAATAATTTACAATATTGATGTGCAAGTACAAAACCATGATGCATAACCAAGTTACTTTTTAATATGTAAAACACTGAGTTTATAGAATCTACATCTTTGAGTAATGAATGTGTTTTTCTCTTTAGCATATTGCTGTAAATCAAGTTAATCTGTGAGCAGGATAGGAAGTTACAGAAAATTTAAAATCTTCATTTAGCTTCTCTTCTTAAGGATTATGACATCTAGAAAAGCTTAAAGAGGTATTCTGTCACATGAAACACCTTTTGCTAAAGAAAACCTTCATGTAGGAGGCAACTCCCCCTGCTGTGATGTCTGGGAACAGGGAAATCAAAATCTGTGGTTGAGAGGTGGCAAATGTGGGGGTTTTCATAGAATTAATAGGCTGAAATTATTTTCTTTTTATATCCAGGATCAGATGAGGAAACATTTTCATTGTCAATATTGTGTTGCCAAAAAGAAAATAGAAGCAATCTTCAATATTTGCATATGCAGCTCCTTCTGTCCCTTTCAAGAATTCTTTAAGTAGAATTTTGCTTTTTGTTTTATTCTACCACATAGTGCATATTTGTTCTGCTTCAGCTTCAGTCTCATTTAATTGTATTAAAACTTTTCCATTGGGCTGGCAGAACTTCAGGATAAACCACAGTTTCAAAGGAACAGCTGCTTTTGAGTACTCAAGAGATTGAATTGTTTCAAAATTTCATCTTTTATTGTAGCAAGCAAGTGCACATAATGATTTTAAAAAGGTACTTTTTATGGACCGTATAAACACTCAATGACATACCTGTAATATATTCAGAGTAAGATGACAGAGATAGAGAAACAACAGCCCATGCAGCACAGAATGAGCTTTGTAGCTATGCTTATTCAATTTATGAGAATGTTCAGTCTTTAAGCAATAGGCAATGCAGTCATTTTATTTCTTCAAAAGCCTGAAGCATTTTTATGTTGGATAACATCACACTTGATGGCATGGAGAAATAAATGTGTTCTTTTTATTTATCTCGTAATTATATGGGGCTGATGAATCTGGTTTCTCCTTGACCCTCTGAGGAAGTCAGTAGAGGGAGCCAGAGTTACCTTGCCAGTGGCCCTGACCTAGGACGCTTCAATCAATTAAGAAAAAGGGATGTAGCAGAGAGCCTCCTTCCTGTTTCAAACAATCGGAATAGGTGCAGTGAGGGTAGCAGAAGTTTTCTAAATGAGATATGACAAGATTTTTATTAAGTGTTTTGATGTTTCATAAAGAAAAGACTTACCATTTACAACTGAGGCCTTTATGATTTCCCATGATAAAGAGCAACATTTGTAATTTATGCAAATTAGGCATTGCATAATCTACTTATAAGCAGTTCTCCTTGGAAATGTGAGTTTTTGGATTTTGTAATTGTTATCTGAGGCACTGATGTGTGAGTTAGAGTACAGAAGTAGTGCACTGCTAGGTTTTGTCTTAGTTCTCAAGTTTTCTGTCCCTCACTACTGTCCTCTTGATGCTTGCAAAAGAATAGCCTCCTGACAGATCTCTCTGCTTCCACTCTTACTCTCTTATACTCTGTTTTCAACATGGGAGCCAGGGTGATCCTTTACAAGTATGTTACATGTCAACAGCTCTCTTCAAAAACCTTCCAGTGGTTTCCTACTCAGAGAAAAAGCCAAAGTCCTTACAATGGCCTCTGAGATCTTCCAGCATTTGGGGACTTACAGCTCTCTATGAGTTACCTGCTGCTTTCCTCTGTTCCAGCCACTTGGCCCCCATAACTCCTCAAACACTCACGCTCATTTCTGCCTTAGCGGTTTTGCAGTGGCTGTTCCCTCTGCTGAATGCTTTTCCCACAGGTAAACACTGATTTCCTAAATCTTTGCTCAAATGTCACCTTCACAATAGACCTAGGCTACTCCTGGTTCTCCTTACTCTGCCTTATTTTTTTTTCTATAGTATGTAATCACTTTCTATCCTACTATATAATTTACTTATTTACTATGTTTATTACTTTTTGTCTGTTTCCAGCCACTAGAATTTAAGTTCCAAAGGTAAGGAATTTGTAAAAAACAAAAAAAACTTTCATTTTCACATAATTGTTGATTCACATATAGTTGTAAGAAATAATACAAAGAGATCTTTTGTGTTAGATCCAGTGTCCCCCAATGGTAAGGTTGCAAAACTATATTATAATATCTCAACCAGAAAGTTGACACTGGCAGAATCCACTCACTTTTTTCAGATTTCACTAGTTTTACATGTATTTATTTGTGTGTGTATTTAGTATGATGCAATTTTATTACATGTAGATTACATGAATGTAGATTTGTGTAACTAATACCAGAGTGAAGATATAGCACAGCTCCCTCAGAAGGATCAACAGTAATAATTTTTTTTTGTTTTAGTTATTGATATATTCCAAAACCTCGGCACACAGTGTATGCTCATTAAATGGTCAGTAAATAAACCAAGTTATTTTTTGAAATGGAACTTGTATAAAATATTATAAGCATTGTGTTCCTAAATAATTTGAAACCATACTCAAGTTTTTTTTAAGGTTATTGTTAATTTAAAATATATTTTTAGGGGAGGCCGAGGTGGGCAGATCATGAGATCAGGAGACCGAGACCATCCTGGCTAACACGGTGAAACCCCGTCTGTACTAAAAATACAAAAAATTAGCCGGGCGTGGTGGCAGGTGCATGTAGTCCCAGCTACTCGGGAGGCTGAGGCAGGAGAATGGCGTGAACTTAGGAGGCGGAGCTTGCAATGAGCCGAGATTCCGCCACTGCACTCCAGTCTGGGCAACAGAGCGAGGCTGCGTCTCCAAAACAAGAAAAAGAAAACACACCTATTAGTCTGTTGTTTTTTAAAGTGCTGATTAATTATGCTGTGGTTAATGAAAATGTGATTTAACATAGATTCTAAAAACATTATTGCTTAAGGGCATAGAAAAGTTATTAAATATTCTTGATATTTTAACTGTATTTAAATGTAATTTTTTTTAGAAGAAAAAGACAAGTGTTTTACTGACAAGCTAACCCCATTTCATACAGAAAAATAGTATGAGAGTGAGTGTGGCAAGACTGGCAAGCCACTTTTTGATGTTACTATCCTTTCTGGAGAGGACTCATTAATATAGCAAAACTGGAATCACACAAAGTCTTCTTCCACCAGGACAATATTTTATTATTATCCACCTACGTTTTCTTGTCGTTGTGCTGATTCACTCTGTAATAACAGTGATGGTTGCTCAACTGTATTTGTCAGTTTATGAAATAGCTGAGTTGGTTGCTTAGTCTGGAAACGAGGAGAGCTTTCCTTTTTTTTGTAAAGTTCTTGGCATGTTCAGGCATTGCACTCAAAGTTTTAACCGTAATTAACACTACAACTTCATAATGCGGTGGCTAGGATAGATTACTGTGGGAAGCCTTCTAAGTTCAACAATTTCTATCAAGATAATTCTCCAACCAATGAAATACATGAAACTTAAGGCTTATCAAATTTTTTAGAAAACAGAAAACCCCTTCCCTTTCATTGCCTACATGCAAACTTAAAAGTTTAAAAATCTAAAAGCAACCTAACTTCCTCCTATTTTTCCTTGGGTTTTGTATCTCTTATGGCCTTGGATGACATTGTTTAGTCCTGCAAGAAAAAGAAACAAAGCAAAGAAAAACTGAGAGCTCAAATAACCTTGAAATGTAGCTCTCCCTACTTAGCTATGTCTTGAGCATTTTTTTTGTTTTGAACCAGGCACATCCAATTTTGATTAAGCCTGACTAATTTTGATAACTTCAGTTTTACACCTAGATTATAAATCTTATTAGCATAAGTAGAATGCTAAAGAAAAAGTAGCTAAATTATATGAGATTAAAGATTTTCTAAAGCCTATGGTGTATAAATATTAAATAAGGAAATATAAGAAAATATTAGCTATCTAGCTGGGGAATTATTTAATTAGCAAAGAATATTAAAATAAATTATAAACAAAGGATCAACAGATATGATTAACATGAAACACTTTGTATTTTTAAAATTCATATTATATACATCTAAAACAAACTATGATGGAGAAGTACTTAAAACAAAGAGATAGTTAATATATTTACTACATAAAGCATTTTTAAAACGTTCTATGCCTTAGGCATTATTTTAAGTTCTGTACATAGTTCAGCTCATGGCAACTTGGAAATATATAGAAATCTTAAAAATATTAATCCTTTTTGACCAAGTAATTCCATCTCTTGGGTTCTACTCTAGGTAAATAATTACAAATGCAGAAAGTGATTTAATTAATTTATTTATTTATTTATTTATTTATTTATTTTTTGAGGTGGAGTCTCGCTCTGTCGCCCAGGCTGGAGTGCAGTGGCACGATCTCGGCTCACTGCAAGCTCCGCCTTCCGAGTTCACGCCATTCTCCTGCCTCAGTCTCCCGAGCAGCTGGGACTATAAGAGCCTGCCACCACGCTTGGCTGGTTTTTTGTATTTTTAGTAGAGACGGGGTTTCATCGTTTTAGCCAGGATGGTCTCCATTTCCTGACCTCGTGATCCGCCCGTCTCGGCCTCCCAAAGTGCTGGGATTATATAGGCATGAGCCACAGCGCCCGGCCGAAAGTGATTTATTTTTAAAGGTATTCCTCACATCAAAAGAATAGTTAGACATAGTATATTTATGTAAAGGGCTTCTATGCAGCTATTAAAATCATATTTAAGAGTGACTTTGAATAATGCAAAAAATTTATATGCTGTAATATAAAATGTGGTATAGTGTAATCACAACTATGGAAAAATAAAGCATAGAAAGATTTTGGAAAGAAAAAATGGTTAAAAATAGTTGCCACTAGGTGATTTTTTTTGGGAGCCTACTTAGAAAATAATATAATTTAGATAATTACATAAGCTATAATTATATAATTTCCCAAAACTATACAATAAGTTTGCATTGATTTTATAATCAAAATCCATGAAAAATACTTTAGTAGCACAATAACTTAGCATAAAGCCTTCAATTCAAAGTGTTCATAGAGACAGATGAACTCAGAACTCTCAAGTTTTTCAAAATTGTTATAATAAAAGCAGCAGCAGCAACAACAAAAACACCACAACGCTGGTACTTTTATGATCTCATTTTATAGATGAATAGATGGTGCAACCAAGAGGTTCCACAGAGAGGTAAAGTAACTTTTCCAAGGTTGCACAGAAAGCCATTGGTAGTGCTGGGGCCTGTACTCTTAACTCCCCATGCCATTTATTGCCACTGTTGGTTTGAAAGAGAGTTCCAGAAAATAAACAGTACTTGGCATTCATAGAACTTGTTTTCATATACCAACTCATATACCACTGATTCGCTGTTTGGCTCTAGTTAATTTAATAATGTAAAGATCAGTTTCCCAGTCTGAAAAGGTATGATGATGTCCATCAGTGAACCTTATACTGTATGTCAAAGCTAACAATTATAGAAGTCTAATATATGTTAGCTCAATATGAGTATAAATTGAATACAAATATTTATCTGTATTTGACTTGGCCATTTTACTAAAGAAGATATAAACATCTTTTTAAATTTAAATATTTGACACATGTTTGAATTGGAAATAAACGCCTATCATATTGTCTTATCTTTAAATAATATTAGTAGGTGAGAGAATCAATATACTTTTACGCTATCTCCACCCTTTTTCTTTTTAATTCCAGCTATAGCTATTTTTTAAAAATAATTTCTACATTGTGTTCAGTAACCATAATACACATGTTTATGTTTGTTTTAGTTACCACAAATAAAAGGAATTAATAGTCATTGCTAGTCAGTTTGCATGGTATTTCCAGACAACTCTTGGTCAGCTGAAGTTTGTCCTCTAACAGTTTATGTAAGAGAAGTGATGGAAAATATATTCTCTGGGTTCTCACATATTCAGAAAAATTTTTCAATGGCCTTTATACTTGCACAATAGTTTGGCTAAGAATACAATGTTTGGGTTATACTTTCTTTGTGGCTTTTGAGAATACTGCTGCAATGTTATTGAGTTGAATGTTTCTTTGTAGTCATACAAGGCCAGCCTGCTTATTTTCTCATTATGATGATGTGATTATTATACCTAGAGATCCAAGAAAGTCTTTATTTTAGAATCCCAAGATCTTACTAGGATATATCTCAAAGCTTACCATTCTGTGCCTTTTATATTTTTGGTCTGAGATACAGTACTTCCTTTCAATCAGAAAGAAACTTCTTTCTGAAAAGTTTTCTTAAAGTAAACCATTATTTATTGCCTTTCATTATTTTTCTTTATTGTGAACATCAATTATGTACATATTGTACATCTTTTGTCCATTCCCCATATTTATTATTTTCCCTCAAAAATATTTTTGAATATTTTATTCATTTATATTTTATGTTATTCTCTTTCCTTTGCCCTGTTCTTTATATGGCCTTCTTGGCTCACTAAAATCCCTAAAACCTAGGAGAGTGAAGCAGAATAAGTATTTACAGCACAAATAAATTATAGTGTACAGTTAAAAAAAAAACTCCTTAACTTTCTAGAGCCATAATCAAGAGGCAATAAAGAGTAATGTTTAAGAACGATGCTCCCCAACCTTTTTGGCACCAGGGGCGGGTTCCGTGGGAGACAATTTTTCCACGGGAAGTCGGGGATGGTTTCAGGATGAAACTGTTCCACCTCAGATCATCAGGCATTATTTGGATTCTTACAAGGATCACACATCCTAGAACCCTGGCATGCACAGTCCACAATAGGGTTCAGGCTCCTATGAGAATCTAATACCGCTGCTGATCTGACAGGAGGTGGAGCTCAGGTGGTACTGCTTGCTCACCTGCTGCTCACCTGCTGCTCACCTCCTGCTGTGTGGCCCATTACTAACAGGCCACTGGACAGGTACCGGTCCATGGCCTGGGGGTTGGGGAAACTGAGCACCGCATATTCTCACTTATAAGTGGGAACTGAACAATGAGAACACATGGACACAAGGAGGGGAACAGCACACGTGGGGGCCTGTCAGAGGTGGAGTTGGGGGAGAGAGCATTAGGAAAAATAGCTAATGCATGCTGGGCTCAATACCTTGGTGATGGGTTGATAGGTGCAGCAAACCGCCATGGCATATGTTTACCTGTGTAAAGACCTGCACATCTTGCGCATGTACCCTAGGACTTAAAATAAAAATAAAAATTAGGAAAAACTTCCTAATTAAAAAATAAAAAGAGGGTACAAGCTCTGAAGCTAGCTATGATCCTGGACAAATTTCTTACCTCTTTGTAACTCAGTTTTCTTATTTGTATCAAGAGGATGTTAACAGTATTCACTTTATGAGTTTGATATGAGGATTAAATAAATTGAGTATGATATAATTAAAATAGCACTTGGATGATATGTGTTGTTGTTGATGTTATTATTGTTGTAAATGTTGTTACTATTATTATTTTGACAAAATGAAACTGCAAGTTCAATGAGTCTTAAGGAAATAAAATAAAAAATCAATCTACTACTGGTTCCTACAAAATCAGAGACAGATGTCCACGGTACGAGGCATCCAATAACATCAAAGAACCAGTTGAATCATAGATAAGTGAAAACGTTTTATAAATAGATAAAAAGAACATTTAGATGAAAATAGCTTTTGAGGACAGATTATTTGATGAACTCTTTCCCAGTCACTTGTAATTAACAAAATGAGTCAAATACTGCAAAGACAGTTTGAAGCAGAACATGGTTTTCGAACACCTTAATCTTACAATTAATCATCTCATCTCCTTAAATCTATCTCATGAAATCTCTTTTTTAATCTTAAAGTTATTTTAATTATGAAATATTTCAAATGTACAGAAAAATGGAGAAAATACCTCCTCCCTTTTTTTCTCTATTACTCACCTATTAACATTTTGCTATATTGTCTTTAGGTTCGTTTCTATCTATATTATTCTCTGTCTCATAAATTCTGCCACCTAAAGAAATTCTGTCTTATTTTAGTGAGGCCGAATTTCTAAATACTCATAGAGATCTTCTTGATGCTCATTCCACTTTCTCAAGATTTTATGGTATCATTTTAATGATTCAGATTGCATATCATAGTTGTTTTTCTTCCCCACCTAGCCAGAAGTTTTAATTGACAAGTCATACCTCAAGTCTTGTTTATAACCCTTTTACTTTTGAATTGTTAGAGCTGTGCACTCCTTTATTTGGGGAAGGGAGAAGCCTCCTATGGGGTGTAGTGGTAGTTGAATGTACTTCTGCCTTAAATATCTACACCTCACTTGAAAGCTAATACATGCTTTTTACCTCTGTGATAAACTCTGATATAATAATGTAAGGAAAAGAAATAATCACCTTTGGTCACTTAAAAGATAAAAAGAAATTTTTGTTGCTATGGATACTTGAGTCTTCCTGGCTTTTTCTCATCATTAAAACCCCAATACTGTAACATTCTAGTCTCAACTTCCCCTGTTACAATAATGAATTAGTTAAAGATATAATTATTTCAAAGCTTCAAGGCAGGAAAATGCCATGGTTTCCGCAAATCATCACATATTTTATATAAAAGCTCCACAGCCAAAGTGAAAATATTAACTGTGGAATCAATAATCGCAAATATGCTTAGGGCTGCCTTGAAGATAAACACAAAGCATTTGCTAATGTATCCTTTTGAAAGTTAGACCTCCTCTAAAGTATATGAGCTTTTTACAGTGGAAGAAAAGGGATATGTATTCACAGGTTGAGTCAATGGAATTCTGTGTGAATTATGAGCACATATACTTCATTTATTCATTCAACAAATATTTATCAAACAGTTATTGTATGTCAGGTACTGTTCGAGGTGCTAGGACTATACTGGTGAATGAAATAGAAAAAAAAAGGGGAGATTGCTAATTAATATATTAGATATTTATACATTTTTCCTCTAACTATCTTCACCTGTATCAAAGAGTTATGAGTCAGGCAAAGAGTTGGATTTAACCAGAGTAAGGATTTTGCCGAGTGAGTACAAAGATGAGAAGTCAAGGTAAGAAAGTTGAGGGTGTACTCAAGGGAATACCATAGGCTTCACCATGAAATGGAATCTTCTTAAGTGAGAAGTAAGTAAATAAGTGTGCGGTGGGGGGCTGGTGGGAGGAGGGGAATCGAATGCTAGAGAAGTATTTGGATCAATGGGTTGTAGGTCCCAGTGTAGTTGAAGGACCGAAGGACTAAGATGCTTGAATGGGTGCTTAGAATTTAGATTTTAGGATTGCTTTATTTGTTGTGACGAGGTCTAGCATTCAACTGTGGGAGTGAGTGGCTGAGGTAATATAGAGTTCATGACAATTGGAGCACAGGAATTCAGAGAGCTACATGACAAGGATGTTGGAACTTGTCATGGAGCACAGGAATTCAGAGAGTTACATGACAAGGATGATGTTTAACCATTAAAGGATAGTGTTGGATAGAGTACCAATAAGATAGAAGCTAAAATCTTCCAAGACTAAAGGGAAATAATATAGTCACTAAAGACTGCAACAAAGAAGTACAGGATTATCTAATATCTTATGTACAGGGAACTGAGATCCAAAATTTTGAACTGACTTACCCAGGATTATATAACTGTAAATTATTAACTCAGCTGTACAACTTAACATAACTAATCTATCTCCACGCCAAGTGTTTTTCCCACTATATAATACTATCAATCATGATAATTTCTGTGAATTCAACACTGAATGAGGATAAGAAATACGAGGAATTGGGAACTTTCTTTAGCTGTGTGTAGTAAGATGATGAATTAATTTTATTGCAGCCCAAATTTGAGGTACCTGTGAACACTACAGTGAAGAGGGTGACAATTAATTGCAGGTTATACATTCAAGTGGAGAGGTTTTGTAGGCATTTGGAGGTCACAGAGATCTCAGTTAAAGGTATAGCTTTGTGAACCATCAGTTTCTAATGATAGGTGAAGCAATCAATACAGATAAAATAAAAGAGGGAAAGAATGTAGGGAGAGAAAAGAAGGCTAGCAAAACATTGAGGAGCAAAATATAAAGAGTGAACAGAGGAAAAGGAATTCTGTAGGAAACAGAAAAGAGAGCCAAAGAGGTAGAATAACCAAGAATGTAAGGATTTCAAGTAATATTGAATGATCAGTGGTAACAGATGCCCCAAAGAAATTAAATGGAGGAAGGTATGGAAACAGTCCCTTGGGTCTAAGAAGGTCATGGGACTATAGAGTTGAGTTACTGCTTAGTAACATAGATCATTGAACAATGAATAGTAAACATGAAGCCCTGGAATTTCAGAGATAAAGAGGAAGGCAAAAGAGATTATGCAGTTTTGACCACTGCAGTTCTGCTGGACTCATTGTCCACTAAGTCTATGGGAGAGCTCCAGTCCTTTCATCAGACAAGTGTCCCAACGATGTCAAAGGTTTTCACATGATGAATGACAGAAGCATTTTCCAGAACACTTCTCCAAAGATATTCCTTAAGATAATGGTTCAGTGGTCAAATAATTTGGGAAACTAGTATTTAATTACTCTTTGAGGTTTACAGTTTATTTTAGTATATGCAAGCCTTAAGAAGTCCTACAGCAAAGAAACTAACTAAATTTTTATTAGCAAAATCTTTCCCAAGCTTATTGAGCGAAGAACCTTATTATTGTTGCTGTTATTATTATTAGCAAATTCCCTTTTAACATTCTAAGATTTATGTTCTGCAGAACACATTTGGGGAAATGCTGGTTTATATTATTAGGCCAGAAAACACCGGTAAAAAGAAAATACTTCCAGCCATGAGGGTATACCTGGTCATAAATGTAGTAGGGGGTAAAAAATATGATTGGCCGGGCGCGGTGGCTCATGCCTGTAATTCCAGCACTTTGGGAGGCCGAGATGGGCGGATCACGAGGTCAGGAGATCAAGACCATCCTAGCTAACACAGTGAACCCTGTCTCTACTAAAAATACAAAAAATTAGCCCGGTTTGGTGGCAGGCGCCTGTAGTCCCAGCTACTCGGGAGGCTGAGGCAGGAGAATGGCATGAACCTGGGAGGCGGAGCAGCCTGGGTGACAGAGCAAGATTCTGTCTCAAAAAAAAAAAACCATATATATATACACATATATATATGCATATATATGTGTATATATATATATACATATATATATGCATATATATGTGTATATATATATACATATATATATGCATATATATGTGTATATATATATATACACATATATATGTGTATATATATATATACACATATATATGCATATATATATGTGTGTATATATATATATAAAATTAAGGGAGCATGAAGCACTAGAGCAACCCCTAAATGTAGCATGATTGCTTCCTAATCATGCCCAAAAAGTAAACCTACTCCTATTTTCATTGATTGCTACTATTATTATCACAATTTAAATTCTCAGTAAACCAGAGTTTTTGGTCCATAGGATTATAATACTTTAGTTATTAAGTCACCCCAAACCATTTTTTCTGTATATTAAATTTTCAATAATGATTGTGTTGAAAACCTCATTAAAAGTGCCTTGATTTAAGTTCACAATAACAGACTGATCGATTCAGATGAAAGAAAAATAAACCTCAACCTGCCTAGAATTTTGATCAGTTTTTTTTTTTTTTTTTTTTTTTTTTTGCCATCAGAGGGAAAGTATGCTATTTATCTGAGGCTGTCTGGGACTTTCTTTAGGATTTATAGATGGTCCCTGCTAAGTATATTAAAGGAAAATGACATCAGAATTATTTGTGACTGACATTCATAAATTTTAAGATTGGCAGTACTAACAAAGTAGCTAGTTAAGAACATTCTTGGTGATGACAAATTACGTTATTATTGAATTTAAACCGCCAAAGAGAGAAATGGCCTTAAAGCCAATAAAAAAAGAGATGTTTTTAAACATTTACCATTCAGTGGGTAATGAGATTAAGACTTATTTGAACAATGGAAATTAACCTATTACATAAGAAATTTTGTGATTTTTAAGGTTAAATTTATGATCGTACATTACTTTGTTACACACTACAGATTAAGTAGGTTTTTCTGAATGCTGTTATTATTCTCTTCTTACCAATGCGAACATTGGTAAGCACTGGTCAGTTTCAAGCAGAAGAAAAGCATCATCTGACTTGCATTTTCTTTTTTTTTTTTTTTTTTTGAGACGGAGTCTCACCCAGGCTGGACTGCAGTGGTGCAATCTTGGCTCACTGCAACTTCCGCCTCCCGGGTTCAAGCTATGCTTCAGCTTCAGCCTCCTGAGTAGCTGGCACTACAAACATGCACCACCACACCTGGATAAGTTTTGTATTTTTAGTAGAGACAAGGTTTCACCATATTGGCCAGGCTGGTCTTGAACTCCTGACCTTGTGATCCACCCACCTTGGCCACCCAAAGTGCTGGGATTACAGGCGTGAGCCACCGTGCCTGGCCCTGATTTGCATTTTTAAGACCCTTCCAGGGCTGCATGAAGAATGAACTGTAGGAAAACTTGCTAAAGCACACCAGCCCCGGGGCAGAGAGGATGCAGGTATGGACCAAGAAGTTAAGAGTGAAGGTGGTGAGAAGCGAACACATGCGGGGGGCGGGGGGCGGGGGGAGGGGGGTATTTTGAAGGCACAGGTGAAAGCTATTGGATTTGATAGGGGGCCTGTGGGAAGAAGAGCCAGCAAGAATCATGGCTCTGTGTGGGCCTGAGCATTTCAGTTAATTATGTGAGATGGAGAAGACTAGGATAAAAGCACATTTACACTAAATGTTAAAAAAAAAAAAAAAAAACCTCATTAACACAATCAGAAGAGTCTCTAAAAATTCTTAAGGCTGTTTTTGTAAAGTTAGTTTACTTTGATAAAAGAAACTCCACTAGAATTTCAATTTTTTTTTTTTTTTTTGAGATGGAGTCTCGCTCTGTCGCCCAGGCTGGAATGCAGTGGCGCAATCTCGGCTCACTGCAAGCTCCACTTCCCGGGTTTACGCCATTCTCCTGCCTCAGCCTCCCCAGCAACTGAGACTACAGGCGCCCGCCACCACACCAGGCTAATTTTTTGTATTTTTAGTAGAGATGGGGTTTCACCATGTTAGCTAGGATGGTCTCGATTTCCTGACCTCGTGATCCGTCCGCCTTGGCCTCCCAAAGTGCTGGGATTACAGGCGTGAGCCACCGCTCCCAGCCTAGAATTTCTATCTTAATTACAAAAATGCCTTTGCTGGAGTAACGGGTTGCAAAAATGTATATTTGGGTTGGAAGCTGCTATTTGCAAGCATTTTTATTACTTCAGGAACATAAGTGAGGACAAAAATAGTTCATAATAAGATATAGATTTATATATCTCTTTGTGTCCTTCTCAACAAACTGTCTAGGCTAAATTAGATAGTGTTTTCAGTAAATACAAGTTTACTTGTACTTTTTCCTTTCTTTTCTTCTTAAAATCTATTTTCTTCCATGGAAGCACAAGAAAAAAAACAAATCAGCAGCCAGAGAGTCTTATTTGCCTTTAAAAATAAAAGCAGCTATATTCATACTGAGTTATAGATGAGGAAGAATAACCTGCTAACCTTTCCTTTCACTGAAAACATAACAAGAACAAATTATGGAAGCAGTGACTGGAGTTAGGCACAGAGTAAGAGTTTTTGGCAGTAAATCAGTCTTATAAACAAGTAGATGTTAGTCTAGAGACACCTAGACTTTAGATTATAACAAAACATTTTTCTATAACAGGCTTATAAAGAAACAATAAACTTTTTTTTTTAATCTCCACAGGAAACTTTTCTTATAATTACTATTACATAATAAGAGAAATGGGGAATAATTATATTTACCTAAAAATACCATCAAATGTTTTTCAGTAATACTGAACAGTTTCAAGACACTGAGGGCTGTTATATTTGTTGAAATAATCTGTAAGGTATTATATGAGGATTCCTTACTGTATAAGCAATTTTAAGCAAGGTTTTTTCATGGTATGCTTTGAATGCCCCTTCCATGGTTTGAGCCAGTAAATTGAAGTGTTTTGAGTTAACAGATGGACAGAACTATACTTTATGAAATTTTCCAGATCAACATCAATGTTTAATTTTTTTCTCAGTTTCATGAATTTTTGATATATGACTACCTCTCAGATCTGGACACAATAAAACAAAATTATCTAACTGTTCAGGGCTTATGTATTTAAAAACAAGTGAGCAGATCCTGTATGATCATACTTTTTGTCAAATTAATTGTATTTTAGTTGCTTTCAAGCTGTCTTTATGAGTGCAGCTGAATTGTGAAGTGTTCAATTCTTTAAAGATTAAGAAATTGTGGAAAAACAGAATTGCAAGATTTTCCAGAATGACCACCTCAGGGACTGAAAAGATAAGGTCTAAAGTCTTTTCTCTAAATTTACTGCAGGCAGTAAACATTGATTAGCTCACCTTTGCTTAGGTCAAAATGTGTAGTGTACAGATATTTTGAAGGGAGAGAATTATAAAAAAGAGAGAAACTAGTTTTTCACTATGACATGCTTCCAAAAACAAGAAATATTGCCACAAATGGTGATTTCTATTTTCCTATCTGCCTATTGAGTAGGTCAGTGTGGGACCTTAAATTTATTTCATGATATGTGAATTTCAACTCTTACTAGACTTGCAGAGGGGATCTCAGCTCTAATAATGTATGAGTCCAAGAATAGCCATACCAAATTTAATTAATACTCAAGAAAACATTCCCATTCATTACATTATAGGTATGATTTGTTACTTTATAACAATTTTGTGTTTATTGCCTCACTTTTATATCCATTGCAAATGTATAATAACAAACTATTGGCTTAATTCACCATAAATTACTCAGTAGAAATTGAATGTAATTTGCTTATATAAGGGAGTTAAGCCAGTTAAAAATTGTCTTTACCTTTAGCAATCTTTAGTGTGATGTTAAAATGCTTAATTCATACACTGAATGCAACAAATTACAGTAAAAAGACCCCTTAGTTGTTCCTGTACGTTATCAGGTTATATGTATTAAATAACCAGAACTAGATCTGCAAAAGAGAACTGTCAAAATTCTAAAGACAAAAATTTGTGCTCATTTAATTTTTTTCAAAGTAAGGATAACTTTCTTCATGTCTGAAGAGCCAGGCAATCCATCTGGGAAGCTCTCCTGAGCAGGCTTGATGAAGTAATTTAGGTTGACCTTGTTTGGCAGGCAGTGCCGTCTGTTCTATGGTAGCACTACTTGGCTGAAAATGTGGGCCACAGGTGATTTTCTCCTCTTAAAATATAAACAAAGCATGACTTATCTCTGTGTGCTTTGCAAACATCATATGCCGTGCATTATTTTGCTTACAACATGAACTTTTTGAGGACCTGAAGTGGAAAATTTGAAAACATGGTAATTATTGCCAACTAAGGAACCCTGCCAAGCTTTAGAGGATACCAATGTTCCAGGCCAGGCAGAAGACACTGTACAAAAGTAAATCTTCAAGATAAAGTTCACAGATAGTGGAGAGAAACATGAAGATGGGTTGAATAATAATCTAGTCCTGCTTTCCGGCATTAGAGAAAGGGACTTTGGCAGAAGAGAGCCCTGGGGATACACACAAAAAAATCACCTGTGGGGATCTCTAAACATAATTTAGGGTGAGCCAATTCCTGATTATACTTCTAAGGAATATTTGTTCATAAAAGGTTTAACTTAACTAAACTAATTGAGGGATGTGATGGAATTAGACTGGGAAGCTGTGAGCTGTCCTATCTTTGAGAGTTGCCAAGGCAACTCAGAAGGATTGAATTGGGTATCTATGGGGTAGGTTTTTAAAATGAGACCTGGAGGAGGGAGAGAAGGGGGAGGACCAGAAAGAACAAACAGCTGGTATTAAACAGTAGCTGGAGGCAAAAGAACTGGTAGGCTCCCCTTATAAACAGAGCTGATTGGGCCCTGTTGCTCATGCTGAGCCTTTGGTATTTATACATGAGAGAAACTTAGCAAGTCGCTGGTTGGTCTTGTGTATATTCTGGACCACATAATATGCAAAAGCAGGGCTGCATATCCAGTGAGATAAGGCATTTGGACTCTATTTTATTATTATTGTTATTGTTGATTGTACACGTCCCCATTTGTTTTCAACTATTTTCGATGTGTGTTCATGAGAATACTGAATTTGGAAGAGACAAAATGAGAATTCTAGAAGCTGATCCACATGTAAACCAAGCAAGGTGATAAAAGATAATTTGATAAATGTATTGTGGTTTACCTAGCCCCAAAAAGTTAAAACCAAAATGTTTTACTGTGACAGACTAAATCTTTAGCTTCTAAGAATTTTCTTTCTTCAAATTTGCACTGCCAAATACAAACATGCTTTACCAAAACTGCCATCTTCTCCCCGATACCCTCAGGGCCATGGTGCTTTTTGTATGGGAGTTGTATATGTTGAGCATTTTTTTTCTGAAGTTTGAACCTAAGTCAATTAAAAACAAAGTTCACTTCTTTTAACATAGAACATTATTTGTGATTATTTTAAAAATCCAATCAATTTTCTTCAGGCTTATTTTCAAAACAGCCTTTTAAAAGTGTGTATAAAATTTTAGTGAACTGCTGTCCAAGGATGCCTATTCATAGCTTTTATAAAATAATTTGATTTTAAACAGCTGGTCCTAAGAAGCACACAGTCAAACCCAGAAAAATTGATGCTGGACTTAAAATGTGGCCTTTTGGTCAACATCTCCCTGTTCTGAACTCACCTATACCAATTTGGTGATACATAATGCATGAATTCTTTTGAGAAGATACATCAACAGTATCAGCGGATGAAATTTTGAGCTGAGTGAGCACTACTCATGCTCTCTCAACCCAGCATTGTGCTGGTAATGTTAAACAACCAGCTCTGAAAAATGTGTGTGTGTGTGTAATACAGGTTTATTATACATTTTACTGATATACAAGATGCGAAGCATGCAATTTACAAATAATCAAATATTACAACATTCATTATTGTAAATTCCATATACCCAGTTGATTCTCATGGAATATCTCACCAATTTGAACCAAACTAATATCTGCAGCTAACCTATGATTATAATTGATGAATACGTAGGATCTACATGAATATTAGTTAATTTTTTTGTTGGTGTTAATGAGGAAGATGAAAGTAGAACTTTAAAGGCACATTGGAACTCGATTTTATCAACAATGACATAAGCAACTTTGCTGAATCAGATGAGTTTTTAGATATTGGAAGAATTCCTCAGTTTTTTGGTAATATTTATAATGTAATGGCTGTAGACATGACATGCTCTTAAGTTTAATCTGCATTGTTATTTTCTGCAACACTTTCTTAAGACAATCAATAAAACTAAATCAAACCCTGATTTGTAGAAAATAACTGATAGAGATGTGGATAAGAGAAACACTTGTGGTAGCTCCCTTTGAAGAACAGTCTTCCTAATTAGAAGGCTAGTGGGCCACGCCATAGACTACTTATTCTTGAATAAAAGGTTTGCAGCCTCAACTATTGCATAAGCCAAACGGTACATACATAATATTACACTGTATATGTTAAAGTATTTTAATGTGCATTATAGCTATTGTAACACTGCCCTTTGATATCACTAAGATTTATTGGTTGTCACGTGTCAACATGTCTGTAATTAATTACACACAAATAATGAGGTATAAAGTCTCAGTATATAAAAAGTGAAGCCCTAGGGACCACACAGAGTAATACAAAAGTAGTATATACTTTCACACAAAAAATTAATAAGATAAAACAATATAAAAGCATATAAAATTAAAAAATATGAAAGTTACTACCCCCTTGCCTACTACTTTAATCCTATTTTTCAGTTAACCTCTTTTTTCTTTTCTTTTTTTTTTTTTTTTTTGAGACAAGGTCCTGCTTTGTTGCCCAGGCTGGAGTGCAGTGGCATGATCTTAGCTCACTGCAACCTCTGCCTCTGGTGCTCAAGCAATCCTCCCACTTCAACCTCCTGAGTAGCTGGGACTATAAGCATGTGCCAACCTACCTGGCTAATTTTTGAATTTTTGGTAGAGATGGGGCTTCATCACATTGCCCAGGCTAGTTTCGAACTCCTGGCCTCAGTGATCTGCCTGCCTTGGGCTCCCAAAGTGCTGGAATTACAGGCATGAGCCACTGCTCCTGGCCAGTTAAGCATTCTTTGTAGTTGGAATGTATCCTTTAAATTTTTCTGCACACATAATTATTTTAATGAGATTGTATTATAATATGCTTTACTTATTTTTAATAAGATAATATTCTACTATTTTTTAATCTTTTTTTTTTTTTGAGATGAAGTCTTGCTCTGTCACCCAGGCTGGAGTGCATTGGCATGATCTTGGCTCACTGCAACCTCTGCCTCCCAGGTTCAAGCGATTCTCCTGCCTCAGCCTCCTGAGGAGCTGGGATTACAGGCAGGCGCCACCACAGCCAGCTAATTTTTATATTTTAGTAGAGATAGGTTTTCACCATGTTGGTCAGGCTGGTCTCGAACCGCTGACCTCGTGATCCACCCACCTCGGCCTCCCAAAGTGTTGGGATTACAGGCATGAGACACCGTGCCTGGCTCTATTTTTTATTCTTAAAAGGATACGTTTATAAATATAATTCTGCAACATTTTTTTCTATACTTAATATATTCTTCTTGGTCAGTACATATCGCTCTACTTCATATTTTGTAAGAGTGGCAAAGCATTCTCTAGCAATAATTTACCACACATTGTAATCATTCCCATACTAAGAGAAGTTTAGAGTTTTTTCAAGTTTTTCACCGTTTCATATGCTTTTTTATTTTTCAATGAAAATAGCAGTAAATATCCTTGCACATATATCTTTGTACAGCATATGAATTTCTATAGGAGATAGAATCCTAGAAACAAAATTTGCAGGCTTCTTCAATCATTGATCACATATTCATTTATTTTGCAATTATTGAAATCATTCTGGCTTTAATTCTAGTTCTGTATACAAATATTTGCCAATACACCATCCCCACCTAGTTACCAAATAAACTTCAAGGGTTCTCCATCTTTTGAGGTCATAGAGTTCTGCATTATTTTGCTGTTGAATATTCTGTGGTTCAAAAGTTTTTGTTCTGGAATTAACATTTGCTACAAATGCTTTTATTAAAGAATTATCTGACTATTCATTTTAAAAAAACAAGTTATTTTATTTATCACATTTATTGTTAACAAATGAGAGTGGATGGAATTCTTATGTTTTGGGTCTATTAACACAACTTCAGAATGAGATTGTCAATGTCTCACTTATTTGGGTAAAAGAGTATATGTCCTTAAGGTACACTTGCTATTAAAGTGAGACAAACATTTAAAATTGTTCAAGTAGCAGAGATTGTTGTCCACAGGTTAGAATCTGTAAAAATGACTAGCTGAGCTATGATAGGTATACTATTCTGGTGGCAACTTTCAGAGCTGTAACACAATAGGTGATTATTAAGCCATTCAAAATCGAAGCTACTGCTGGAATCTGGGACAGGCAGATTCTTGAGTCAAGCGAATTTTAAAAGGTCTAAATGCATGGAGGTCTTGTCAGTTTGCTCTTAAAAAACATTTGTATCACATATATAATATACTTCTTTCTGTTAGGTCTATCAATGTTGTATCTGCAATTGAGCTAAGTGATTTGCAACATAAACTTGCTTCACGTATATTCATTGGTGTTATTCAATGAGCTTAATTATCTGTTTTAATTTGTTTTTATGCATTTGAGCCTTTCTTTTTTGCCATCTT
Organism: Homo sapiens; assembly: GCF_000001405.40. Classification (NCBI taxonomy): domain Eukaryota; kingdom Metazoa; phylum Chordata; class Mammalia; order Primates; family Hominidae; genus Homo; species Homo sapiens. Next base: position 153,309,895 of record NC_000003.12, read on the forward strand.
GAAATACTCAGATTATTTAAATGCTCTTGTGTAGAAAATGCAATCTGTATTGGGTGAGCAAGGTGTGGTGTGTATGTGTGTGTGTGTATGTGTGTATGAAGCTATTGTGTATCTACTCAAATTGGTGACTTAAAAATATGAAGATGTTATGATCTCTAAGAAAAAATAAAACCCTTAAGTACACTCTCTTGAGAAATGGGCTGGAGTGTGGGCACCCAGCACCGTACAGAATATTCACTGAGGAGAGAGCCTGATAAGGATAAACAGAAATAACTTAAAGAATTCTAGAAATAAAAATTCCAGGATCCTTCAATCACTGATCATTTGTTTTTTATTTTGAAATCATCCTAGTTTTAATTCTTGGTAAAAATTTCTCAGGTTTTCATTAGAGGACAAAGCATTGGTTATAGAATCTGAATGGGGCCTTACCAACCTTATAAATTTTTTCTGTCACTTTTTGGCTTGAGAGGAACAGAGCTAAATTCATTAGCAGCTTCTCTTTCCACAGCTGGGTGAGCTCAAACTTCTGATCTGTAGGCCTTACACTGTATTGTCAGTACAGAAATTAAAGCAAATCACCTGGGCTCTCACTGAGCTAGAAAGTCTATAGATCCAAACAATGGGTTATCACAGAATTATGATGTGGGAAGATCAGGGTAATTTTTCATCTTTACTGAAAAATCATCAGTATTTGATTTACAAGAGCAACAGTTTAGAAAAAGCAGTAAGACAGAAAGTTCCTGAAGTAAGTTTTCTTGCTGTTTAAAACACTTCATCCTTTGTGATAAAAATCATTTTGGTGTTTAATTTTAAGGACAATAGACTGGAGGTTTTATAAAGACCATGAGAATATCTGCTTTGCTCCCAAGATCTCCAGGGAGGGCCTGGCACAAAGTAGGTGCAAGATAAATACTGCTGAATGAATGAATGGTGGAATAACTAACTGCATTTTCCAGGCATAAAGCGTTGTAAAATTGTTTGTCATTGAGGTTGGCGTCTCTAGAATGGCTCTAATGATCCCTGCCTCCAGGTGTTCATGCCCTTTTGTAATCACTCTTTAAGTATGGGCTGGATCTAATGACTTGCTTCTAGTGCACAGAGTACAGCAAATGTGATGGAATGTCTCTTCTGATATTAGGTTACAGAAAAGATTGTGATTTCTATCTTGTTTACCCATCCTTATCCCCCAAGCCCTCATTCTGGAGGAAGCAAGCTGGCATGTCATGAGTCCTGTGAAGACGCCCATGCAGAAAAGAGCTGATGTCTCTGGCCAACAGCCACATGATTGGGCTTAGAAGTGGAGGGTTCCCCAGGCGAACCCTGAGATGGCTGCAGACCTGGCCAACACCTTGATGCATGATATTGTGGCCTCATGGGAGACACTGGGTCGAAGGCACCAAGCTAAGCTACATGTGGTCTCCTGACCCACAATAAATTATGGGATAATAAATGTTGGTGGTTTTCAGCCACGATGTTTTGGGGGGTATTTTGCTACACAGCAATAGATAACCAATGTAGTTGAATTACTTCTTGGACTAAATTCATTAGTTATAAAAGCTCCTTCTAACTGCATAACCCCTGAGTAACACTGATAGTTTGTTGAGACATATAATCCTTCCATTTCAACCTTATTTCAAATGGCCATATCTTCTAAAACTAAGTTACTTTACTCAAATAAATATTCATTTTGAGTTACTTAGTCATTAAGAAGTAGAAATATGTTGATAGTCTTTTTACTGTTATATGGGTGAACATTACATTCAAATCAGTGAATACTATACTTACTTAGACATTTATTATCTTCAAGGAACTATGCCCACACATTCAGATATAGTCCCATGCAGAGCACTGTGGTGAAACTTGTGGTCGGTGGTGTCAGACAGCCTGGATTTGATGCCAGCTTAGTTATTTATTATAAATAACTTAATACATTTGGGCAAGCTACTTGTCTGGCATTAGTTTTGTCATTTACAAGGGAAAAGGAATAGATTGTAAAAATAAATGAGATATATAAAGAGTAGTCCATACAGGAGATGAGATCCATGTTCAGATAATATACAAATAATCTACACTTTCACTTTTCATAGAGTTTGCTCGGGGAAGTTCCTTTTTCCCGGTCTTTTCAGTTATATAATGTCCTCTGTTTGAATGATATTAGTGCATTTCTGTATTCATGGAATAAGTGGACAATCTATCAACAACAGTGCTCCTTTACAATTTTTTTTTTTTTTTTTTGAGACGGAGTCTCGCTCTGTTGCCCAGGGTGGAGTGCGGTGGCGCGATCTCGGCTCACTGCAAGCTCCGCCTCCCGGGTTCCCGCCATTGTCGTTCCTCAGCCTCCCGACTTCTTTACAATTTTTTTAAAAAAGTTATCACAGTTATACATGCACATAGTTTAGAGTTGTCCTGTTGAATAAGGACGCCTTAGAGTTATGTAGCTACTGAGTGCTTGAAATGTGGCTAATCCTAATTGAGATGTGCTGCAAGTATAAAATACACCCTGGATTTCAGACTTAGTATGAAAAAAATATAAAATATCTCTTTAATAATGATTACTTTTGAAAATGATGGTGTATTTGGTTAAATAAACTATATTAAATAAAATACATGGATAGACTGGGGGCGGTGGCTCATGCCTGTAACCCCAGCACTTTCGGAGGCCGAGGCGGGTAGATCACGAGGTCAGGAGTTTGAAACCAGCCTGGCCAACATAGTGAAACCCCGTCTCTACTAAAAATACAAAAAATTAGCCGGACGTGATGGCGGGTGCCTGTAGTCCCAGCTACTCGGGAGGCTGAGGCAGGAGAATCATTTGAACCTGGGAGGCGGAGGTTGCAGTGAGCCGAGATTGTGCCATTGCACTCCAGCCTGGGCAACAGTGCAAGACTCCGTCTCCAAAAAAAAAAAAAAAAGACATATTTGGTTAAATGAGATGCATTAAAGTTAATTTCACAGCTGGGCACAGTGGCTCATGCCTGTAATCCCAGCACTTTGCGGGGCTGAGGTGGGTGGATCACCTGAGGGCAGGAGTTTGAGACTAGCCTGGCCAACATGGTGAGACAGGGGTCTCCACTAAAAATACAAAAATTAGCCGGGCATGGTTGCAGGCACCTGTAATCCCAGCTACTCAGGAGGCTGAGGCAGGAGAATCACTTGAACACGGGAAGTGGAGGTTGTGGTGAGCCAAGATGTTGCCATTGCACTCCAGCCTGGGCGACAAGAGTGAAACTAAAAATAAAAAATGAATTTCACTAGCTTTTTTTTTTTTAACTTAAATGTGGGTACTATAAAATTTACACTTACAAATGTGGTACTCATTTTATTTCTTTGGAAAGCATTCTTATAACTCTTTGAAGTTTGTTAAGAAAAACAGCAGTACATCTCTTCTCCATCACCTCTGCATCTTCAGTGTTTGCATGCATTTTCACCTCTTTTAAGTGATTTATTTGGTAATTATAGCGTTTTCTCTAAATAACATACTTCTTTCATAACTTTTTGATTTTTCAGCCTCAGGCATTATCTTTTGACTGCACATTCAGTCACCCCTCTGTCATCTCTCAGTCCCCAAGGATTATTTTCTATCCCATCATAGCAGTTGCATCATTGTGACTTAAGGGAGCCTCATTCACAATTGAGGCCAGTGGGGAAACATGATTGATTCCTTTTTCTGTACAACTTTTTGTTTCCTTGCCTTCTTTCTTTTCATTTGCTGTGTTTTCTATGTACTTATAATTAATACAGTCCCAAATGCTTTGCCAGTTTTCTACCTCTCTTCTTAAGATGTCAGATGTGTCTGGCATTCTTCTGGTTTCATCTTTCACAGAAGTCCCTCCCAGAGCCACTGAAAACCACACCAGGTGATCTTTTTATCAGATGTACAGTTACCATCTGGGAATCTTTCTCTGCACCATCCCTGGGATTCCCCTTCTCAGGCTCCTCTGTAGGATCATTTCAACTTTATACCAGGACTTCTTCTTTCTTGGCTTATTTCTTCTTTTCAGTGGAGTACATTTTCCAAAAGTTGTCAAGAAAAGTGAGCATAGGAGGTACATTTTTTGAGATGTGCATGTCTGAGCATGTTTTCCTACTGGCTGGGATGGTTTGGTTGTGTAGAAGTCTGTAGAATTTTCCTTTTGAATTTTGAAAACCTTCCTTAAAATTTCTTAGCATTCATGCTGCTACTGAGAAGCCTGAAGTTATTATTTTTTTTTTTGTACTTTGTGGCTATTTTTTTCCTTTCTCTGGAAGCTTTTGTGATTGTCTTTTTGTCCCAGTGTTTAGTAATTTCACTATGATGTATATTGGTTTGGGTGTGTCTGAATCTAATGACTCCAGGATCCGAGGTCTTTGTCTGTTTTTGTTGTTTGCTGTGATTGCTGACTCTTATTTCTTTCTCATTCTTTCCTCTCTGTGTGTGTGTGTGTGTGAGCATGTGTGTTAGTAATTATGTAATCTTAATTTTTAAGCTTCTAAATAGGAATTTTGTGATGCCTGGGTTGAGAGGGAATCAACATTTACTGCTGCTATGGTGCTGGTGAAGTCCATCATCATCCACTCCTTAATAAGGTTTCTTCTTGGGGAATTTTGGGATAACACATGTGTGAATTCAGGCTTGAATGGGCTAGTTTGTCCTTGCTAAATTCCAGGGGTATTTTCTGCTGGCTAAAACATAGAGATTAGACAGTTTTCTTTTTAATCTACCATTGCTAAAAAGGTTTTCTTGTAGGCCATCCTGTTTTATACGCATAGAGCCAGCAAGGTCCTAGCTTTATTTGGGGTGGTTCAGATCTTTTATCTTGCCCTGCACAGGTGCCTGAGGCTTCAGGCCATCTGCATGAATCTCATAGATGCCCTCATGCTATGCTACATACTGTTTTCTCATTCTCATACCTTCTGAGGTTTTCTGCTTTTTTTTGCTCTTGACAATAGGGGATACCCTGAAGTTTAAAAACTACTGGTGTTGTGGTCTTTCTGCTCCTTAGCTCAGCTAGGTCCAAGTTCTTGTCTCACAACCAGGAAGAATTAGGCACACAGACACCAGAGAGTGAGTGGAACAGAATTTATTAAGTGAAAGGAAAGCTCTCAGCAAAGAGGGGATGTAGGGGTCGGAGGGTGGTTCCCCTACCTGAAGGTGGGAAATTTCTCCCAGGTGGCTGAGTCTGGGCCTCTTATGGACTCAAAATGAGGAGTACATGCTGACTGGTTTGGGAATATGTAAAAAAGGTTAAGGCAAAGACACCACTCAAAGATGGGCACGACAGTATAGAAAACCAATTAGGAAGGGGTAGGTATATGTAAAATAGGTGAAGGGTTGGGATCAGTTAGAGGAAAGCAAGCCAAATGGGAAGAGAAGTTCTCAATCCAGTCAAGGATGTAACTTGCAGCTTGTCTTTCGGCTTTAAACAGCCTTGGGCTTGGAGGTAGGGTTTCACTGGGGACCCACCCCTATCTGCCTAGGCATTTGGCTGCCTCCTGCCACTCTTACCAGTTCAACGACTTAAATCTATACTACGTGTCATTTCTAACTTTATAGATGAGAAATTTTAGGATTTTTAATCTGTTATGATAAAACTAGAAGCAGAAATATAAGGCACTTTAAAAACTATGAATTATTTTATCATGTAGTATGTATAATGTAAAGCATAATATACATAAAATTCATCCCCCCACCAATCAGCTTAAGAAACAGAACACTTTCAATGTTTGATGCTCCCTATTTGCCTTCCATAATTATGCTGCCCTTTCTACCCAGATCTCAGTTATTCTGAATTTTGTGATATCATTTTCTTGTTTTTCTTAGTAATTTTACCAAGTGTGTGAGTATTCCTTAAAAATAATGTTTACTTTTGCATGTCTTCATATTTTACATAAAAATCATACTGCTTCAATTTATCTTCAACTGGCTTTCTTTTATTTGCTGAAGATTGTTAAGATCCTATAAAAAGCTTTTTAGTTTCTCAAGAAAACCTACTATTCATGAAATTGTCATGTCACTGAATAAACACCATAAAACAAATAATTACTAGAGGGCTTGGGAATTTCTATGCCTTCTTTTTACTGGAAATAAAAATTTACTAGAAAAGCTGAATACTATCTTCCAAATTAGAAAAAAAGTCATGATTACATGGAAAGAAATGCATGTTCTTCTGTTGTGGCAGCAGTTTTCCATTGTATTTGTTATTCTTCTCTCTGTAAATCCAGTGCCAACCACACAATTCCAGATGAGTTAAGAATGTTTAACTCAGTTTTTAAGGATTATAAAACTAAGCAGGAATGTAAGTAACTTAAGCTTTCCCTTTATTTTTATACACATGCACACACAAAATTTTAACTTGTTAAGAACTTTGAATTGGATGACATTTGTTGACTTTTTATTGATCCATTCAGCTTCAAACAGACTTATCAATCTAACATTTTCTCCCTTTTTGTTTACTTCTGTTTTGTAGGGAAGGCTGGAAATACTTCTTAAAGAATTATACATCTATCAAGTTTCCCCTTTTCTCCTCAGTCTGTTTTCAGATATCTGCGAGTTAATTTCTGGGGTGGTAAGAGCCAAAAGCAGAGAATAAAATAACAACTGAGATAAAAATAAGAGAAAGGAAAAGGGCATGCTAAATCCTTTCCCCCACCCCCACCATAGGGAAACTGCCATGCCTTTTTCAAGTGCATAAATGCTTTTTTCAGGCTAATGTCTACCTGCCACTCATCAGGCTAGGCGAAGGGAGTTTTATGAAAAACAGACTAGATGTCATAAACTATCATAATACACAGTCTGCCTTAAACAATGGGTGAACTCAACAAATGTTTCGCTTTAAGTAAATTTCAAGTTTCTCTTCAGATTTTCACTTAAATTGCCTCTTAAACCTACACACCATAATATAAATTCTGTAACACATATATTGAAACATAGCTTATACTGCTAACATTTAATAGAGGTTCTGTCATTGTAGAACTTCTTTTATTATCAAATTTAGCCATAAATATTTCTGGTGGAGTCATATTTTCAACATTTAGAAGTTACAGTATTTTCCTATGGAAGGTAGCATCTTGACAGTTCTCTAAAACAGTATGTATATTATTACTTCTAAAACACTTAGTGTGTCTATCATTCAGCACTACTATATATTACCATCTATTTTTCTATGTTTTCTTCATTTGTACATGCTTTCTCCTCTCAACCAAATACTCAGTTTCCACTGCTTTCTAATTTTTATGCATTCTCCCCTCTCACTAAAACATTATTGGGCACCCTGTCATCCAACAAACCTTTCTTGAGCATCTACCGTATGCCAGGAATTGTTTTGAGGGCTCAGGATACAGGATAAGAAAGACACATACTCTGCTCTTGGATAACTCATAGTGGAGAGGCAGGCAATGAAGAATAAATTAAACAAAAAAGAATGAGATGATTTCTTATAGTAATTGGTGCAATAACAAAGAAATAAAAGAAGATTATATGAAGCACAGTGTCCAGGATGTAAGAGCCTTCTTTACCTTTTATTTATTTATGTTTATTTTTATTTTTTGAGTCAAAGTCTTGCTCTGCCGCCCAGGCTGGAGTGCAGTGGCGGGATCTCGGCTCACTGCAAGCTCCGCCTCCCGGGTTCACGCCATTCTCCTGCCCCAGCCTCCCGAGTAGCTGGGACTACAGGCGCCCACCACCACGCCCGGCTAATCTTTTTGTATTTTTAGTACAGACGGGGTTTCACTGTGTTAGCTAGGATGGTATTGATCTCCTGACCTCGTGATCCACCCGTCTCGGCCTCCCAAAGTGCTGGGATTGCAGGCGTGAGCCATCGCGCCTGGCCAAGAGCCTTCTTTACCTTTTCTTAAGAAAAATTATACAAATTTTACTGCATGTCTCTTTAATACCATACTGGTCTACTGTCTATCAGCCACTAAGAGTTATTTAATTCTTTATGGGTGTATCAATGTATCGATGCTTGTCTTAGTATTTACTAGTGATTAGGGTCCAAACTCTGAAAAGTTACATGTTAACATGAGGATTATTGTCCAGTAGAAATACCAGTGGGTTCTATCTGGCAGAAAAAATCGTGTCCGATTTTATGGCTTTATTGTCTTATAGGATATAACTAGTTTTATCCCTAATATAGCGAATTTATTTCTGTATACCTTTCCGGAATGATACATAAACATCTGTTTCTTAATTTTTCCTTGGAAAAAGGAAAACTATTTTTCTGGTTCCCTTATTGATGAGTGAAATAAATCTAATATTCATTCAGCTATTAGTATGATAGTCATGATTTTACCTTTTTGAAAATTATAACTTGACCAGAGGAGGAAAGATAAAATTTTTCTAAGAGAATATTTAAGCCCAAATATAAATGACAAGAAGGAGACAGCCATGTGAACAACTGGGAACTGAGTGCTCTAGGCAGACAGAATAGGATCTTTAAAAACCTAAACCAGGAGTGAGGGTGGAGTGTTGGCCTATATAGAGCATAAGAGTAGAGGGAAGTGGCCCGGCGCGATGGTTCACGCCTGTAATCCCAGCACTTTGGGAGGCCGAGGCGGGCGGATCACGAGGTCAGGAGATCCAGATTATCCTGACTAACAGGGTGAAACCCCGTCTCTACTAAAAAAAATACAAAAAATTAGCCGGGCGTGGTGGCAGGCGCCTGTAGTCCCAGCTACTCAGGAGGCTGAGGCAGGAGAATGGCGTGAACCCGGGAGGCGGAGCTTGCAGTGAGCCGAGATCGTGCCACTGCACTCCAGCCTGGGCGACAGAGCGAGACTCCGTCTCAAAAACAAAAAACAAAACAAAACAAAAAAATTAGAGGGAAGTGAGTTTGAAGAAATAAGCAGGGGGTAGATTTTTTGTAGGGCTTTGACGACTGTGAATAATGGCTTTATTATTTTTTTTTTTTAGAAAGAGAGAGGAGCGAGACTGAGGAAAGAGGAGAGAGAGATGAGAGACAGGGAGAGATGACGGACGGAAAGAGGAGAGAAAGACACATACACAGAGACCGAGAGAGAGGGAGAGAGAGAAGGGAAGGGAAGGAAGGGGAGGAGAGGGGAGGGAAGGGAGGGGAAGGGAAGGTGAAGAGAGAGAAAGGAGAGAGAAACAAGGAGAGAGAGATGAGAGAGGGAGACAGAGAGAGGGAGACAGAGAGAGAGAGGGAGACAGAGAGAGAGGAGAGAAAGAGGGAGAGGAGAGAGAGATGGGGGAGAGAAACAGGGAGAAAGAGACGGAGAGAGAGGAGAGAGACAGACTGAGAGAGAGAGGAGAGAAAGACTCAGAGAGAGAGAGGAACCCAAAGAGAGGGAGACAGAGAGAAGAGAGAGAGAGGAGAGAGAAAGCAGAGAGAAAGAGAAAGAGAGGAGAGAGAGAGGCAGGGACAGAGAGGAGAGAGACAGATGGAGAGAGAGGAGACACACACACACACACACACACACACACACACACACACACACACACCAAGGAAAGGGAGACAGAGAGGAGAGAGAGAGCAGAGAGAGACACACACAGAGAGAGAGGAGAGAGAGAGAGCAAAGAGAGAGGAGAGAGAGGGGAGTATGAATAATGACTTTAATACATTTTTTAAATTATATATTTTCTAAGAAATCTCAACTCATATGTGTTTGTTTCCATACCTAATGTGAATCCTTCAATTCTCTAAAAAAAAAAAAATAAACAAAAATAAAAAAGAAGTTTTAGTGGAGAAAAACATAAGGATTAGCACAAGCAACAGAAGGAGAAAACTAGAAAAGGTATTTACAATTAAGAAAATATATTGAATCACACACTCTGAGATTGTGGCTTCATTTAAGTTAAAAACTCTAGGTGGGGTTGCAAATATTCCTACAGGTCCTCTTTCATTTCTTATTTTTCTCTGCAAGGAAGAGAAACTCCAGACTCCAAAATTATCAGAGATCTGGGATGGAGAAAATAAAAGCAGAGTTCTGTGACCAATTCTGCCTCTGACTGACTGTGATTTTAATGGTGTTTTAGCTTCTCCATCTCCACTGTGAGGCTGTAATTGCCTAGAGATCTGGGTGGGTCCTCCACGGAAAGGTTTTAAGACAGCTACAATTAGCTGTAAGTTATCTTGACTTTTAAGAGAAAGATTTCAGACTCTGTGGCTTAAGGGTTGTCTTTTTCCACCTTGCTTTGCCTCCATGTTTCCTCATATGGCAGGAGGAATAACAAATACAGAAAGGACAGCTCTAGTTCCTTAATCTTTTCTGCTTGTGACCAGAATACTCTGTGCTGTTAACATTTCACTTCTCAATTTATAAAAGGTCATAATATTGTGTTGGTTCTGTGTGGTCTTATTTTAGTATTTTGTCTTATTTTATTGGGAAAAAATGCAAAGAATTAGCATAGCAGATTATGGGGAATTTTATCTTTATTAATTGTTGAACTTGCCCTCTTCTCCTAGTTTCTTTATCATTGTGGACTGACGTTTTTGCAAAGTTCATTTTCAGTTTCTATTTTATTTTTCCAGTGTTGGGGAAAGGTCTCAAGTAAGACAGAGAAGGCAGAAATTCACCAGCAAATCCAAACTGGGGAAATCCCAGAGTTGAAGACAAGAAACTTAAGAAAACCTTACAAAAAGAAACATGCTTGGGGCTACTCTTGTTTGCTGGTAGAATGATCTGTAGAAAATTCTGAGATAAGGTGTTAAAAGTAAGAAAATGCAGGCATAATTATGATCAGACTGTCAACTTTCCCCTTGTCTAATGGGAGCCAAAGAATGATGTTTTAATGCTCAGCTTCTAGATGAAATATGTATTAGCAAACTATTCTAGGCCTTTATATTCCTTTATTTTTGTTTTCAAAAATTCCCATGACAATATTCTGGCATCCATGCCACATGAGGATACATTTCGTGCCAAAACAAGCTTAGGAAATCTGCAGTTTAAAGGAGGAAGGTATGCTGCAGCTGAGAGCAGACGCTTCTAAGGCATCTTGGGAAGGTAAGTTCAGAACGGCATATTCTTTGAATACTGTCTGAGTATTGACAAGAAGATTCAAATAGACGCTGCAAACAATGGAGCGTTGTGAATTGTGTACATCTTGAGAAGTAATTTGAGTGGCATATATTTAAGACAATCCATCCATATTTGAGCAAACCCAAGCAATTTATATTTCCTGGATGTCAGCTTGAATAGGAGGTTAGAAGAATGGCGATGCTTCAGTCTCATTTTAGATAAAAATAATGGATAATCATGTATTTACACATTAATTTATGTCACAGAAGTATGTCAAGTATGAAAATAGGACCTTTATACACTACTGTTGAGAGGATAAATTGTTACTAACTTCCATGAAGGACAATTTGTAGATGTATATACAAAAGCTTAGAAATACTCATGATCTTTGAATCATCAATTTTTCAATAAAATAAAAAGATAAATGTTCAGGATTATGTAACTTATTCATTATGTTATCACTGTGTTTGTAATAGTGAAAATCTGGAAAGAGCCTATAATACAGGCAGAAATAGAGGAATTTTTAATATGGTTTATTCACACAATAGAATATTTTGCAGCATCTATAATGATAAAAATTTATAATTATTGACATTGAAATATGTTTTTAATTATAAAATAAGACTACAAAATAAAGCATGATCTCATTCTGTAACAAGATATTGTTCATTTGCTGGTATGTATGAATAAAACATCTTTCAAATCATTGAATTACATCTTAAGCTTTGTCATTGACTTAAACTTATGTTTCCTATTTTTTCCATCACAAAAATTTTTGACTACAATGTCATATAAGACTCTATTATTTAAAAAAGACTTTTATGCATATCTAACTTTACAATTAGGAGTTTGATTTTCACTACCACCTTCTCAAGAGAATTCAAAGTTCTCAAAGAGACAATTCAAAGTTCATAATTTACTATTATATATTTCTCTTAGGAAACACATTTTTTCCATGTTAAATTGGATAAAATGGTTAACCCATGGGGTTCACGGACTTCTGCTTCCCCTTTTGCCTGATCAGTTTTTTTTTTCTCTCTTCCATCCCGAGAAAAAGGACAAAATTTCATGAATGGATGCAAAAAGTAGAGAGGGATTCAGAACAAATAATTTTTCTCTCTAATTCCAAGCACTGGGAAGTCAGGAAGTGTCCTGAGTGTATTACGAGAAACTGTGCACTTTGGAGCAGCAGTTGATAAGGAGGACCAAGGTATAAGAACAGGTGAGATGAGTGAGAAAATTCTTCCTAGATGAGAAGGAGACACCTGAGAGTTTGTGGTGCCATACATTAAGAACATTTGCTGTAGTCTAAGTATTTGCAGCTCCTTAAAAGTAAAAAAGGGCATGACTGAAGATTATATGTATTCCTTTTTGGGTCTGGAGTCTATATGTGAGACACTGCTCCTGGATTGGATTTAGGGGTGATAGCTTTATAAACATTACTTGTGTATCTAGAGAATTCTGTCCACATGCTCTCATCAGGCCAATTCTTGCTTTTGTGCCTTTTATCACTTCTTGAAACCCTATTCTGTGTCAAAAGAGGAACAACAGTATGTCTATTCTAAATCAGTCCCTCCCAAAAAACAGACGTAGGGCTTTATAATCAAATGTGAAATATGTTTTTTCTTCCCAAGGTCATACCAAAGATTTGTTTGTGGTTCTTTAATTGCAGTTTTTAGTGACCATGAAATGCTTCACTAAAATACACATTAAGAAGTAAAATAGTGGAGTTTACAAAGGAACTCTCTGGAAGAATATGTGGGTGTTCTCCACACATGAAATTTAGGAAAACAGGATGGCTTCAAAGAGATGAAAGGAATGACCTATTGTCTTTCTTGCTAACGCAGATTCTTCATTACCCTATAGGTTGCATCTGCAGTCTCAAGAAATATTAAAACCTATTTTAATGTAGGTAAGTCATCATATAGCCTTTGTAAATATGAAGCCCAAATATCACAATGCTTTGTTCCAGCTGAATCCTAATATGTATGAAAATTAAACTCTGCTTACAGCACATGAAGATTTCATAAAATATTTATGACCAGATCAGCCTTCACTGAGAATAACAAAACATGTGAAGTGTGCAAATTAGCTATCATATGTTTAAAAAATATGTGTATGCCTTTAAATTTATTGGCGTATTTAGACTATGAAGAACTGTAGGTTTTCAACAAATTGGATAGGGTTCAATACTTTTAGTCTGTCCAATAGGTCACTGTGTTTAAGGTATGATGCAAATATTTAACAAATTATGAAATATAATTATTGACTGTGACATGGTTTCAAACTATATTTATTTATTTTTTCAGAAGAGACATGTTTCATTTTATTAACCCAACATATCCCAAACATATTTGACCATTGTATTTTTTTAACATGAAGGTAATACTCATACTAATAACAATAACAATACTAGTAATTCAATACCATTATTGAATGCTTACTATGTGCTTACTATTCATTATTGAATACTACTATGTATCAATGTATTCATATATTAATCCTGTGATGTAAATACCATTTTTATTCCTATTTCACGGATTAGAAAACTGAAGCATAAGGCAATTAAGAAATTTACTCAAGATCACATAAGTGGTGGGGGTATGATTTGAACTCAACTTCTCTGAACCTAGATTCCTCACTCTGAACTGCTATTTTAAAGTCTCCCACATTTAATGCCTACATCTGTAGAAATTCTGTGGAATTAATGTTTCCAGGAAATCACTTGGGGAAACAACTGGATTAGAATGGTTTGTATGGATGACAGATAAATTGCTTTCACTTTTAATATGCACAAGGTCCTGAGGCTGTTACAGTACATTTTCTAGAATGATTTGCAGTAATGTTGAATATAAAAATTTCATTTTTAAGGTACTGGACTTCTCCACAGTATGACCCTTTATAAATATTTATTCTCTTGAGTTTTTCTGAATTAAATCTCTTACTATGATAATTTAAAAAACTATTTTATTTTTTATAATTTCAACTTTTATTTTAGATTCGATGGCACATGTGCATTTTTGTTACACAGGTATATCACATGATTCTAAGGTTTGGGTACAAATGATCCCATCTCCCTGGTAGTGGGCATAGTACCCAATAGCTAATTGTTCAGTGCTTACTGCCCTTCCCCACTCTCCCGTCCAGTAGTCCCCAGTGTCTACTGTTGTCATCTTTATGTCAATGAGTACCTGAGGTTTAGCCCCTGCTTATAAGTGAAAATATGCAGTATTTGGTTTTCTTCTCTTTTTTTAATTTTTATTTTAGGTTTAGGGGTACATGAGCAGGTTTATTATATAGGTAAACTACATGTCATGGGGATTTGGTGTGCAGATTGTTTCATCTCCCAGGTAATAAACATGGTATACAATAGGTAGTTTTTTTGATCTTCTCCCTCCTCCCACCCACCACCCTCAAGTAGGCCCCCAGTTGTTCCCCTCTTTGTGTCCATGTGTTGCATTGTTTAGGTGCATTTATAAGCAAGAACATATGGTATTTGTTTGTTTGTTTGTTTTGTTCCTTCTTAGTTTGCTTAGGTTAATAGCCTCTAGTTCCATCTATGTTGCTGCAAAGGACATGATCTTGTTCTTTTTTATGAATGTGTAGTATTCCATGGTATATATGTACCACATTTTCTTTATCCAGTCTACTATTGATGGGAAGTTATGTTGATTCCATGTCTTTGCTATTGTGAATAGTGCTGGGATGAAAATACATGTACATGTGTCTTTGTGGTAGAATGATTTATATTCCTTCAAGTATATACCCAATAATGGACTTGCTGGGTTGAATGCTAATTCTGTTTTAAGTCCTTTGAGGAATCACTACACTGTTTTCCACAAAGGCTGAACTAGTTTACATTCCTATCAGCAGCGTATACGTGTTCCCTTTTCTCTGCAACCTTGCCAGAATCTGTTATTTTTTGACTTTTTAAATAGCCATTCTGACTGGTGTGAGATGGTATCTCATTCTGGTTTTAATGTGCATTTCTCTAATGATTAGTGATGTGGAGCATCTTTTCATAGGCTCATGGGTCATGTGTATGTCTTCTTTTGAAACGTGTGTTCATGTGCTTTGCACACTTTTGTGGGTATTAGACCTTTGTTGGATGCATAATTTGCAAATATTTTCTCTCATTCTGTAGTTTGTCTGTTTGCTCTGTTGATAGTTTCTTTTGCTGTGCAGAAGCTCTTCAGTTTAATTAGTTCCCATTCGTCCATTTTTGTTTTTGTTGCAATTGCTTTTGGCATCTTTGCTATGAAATCTTTGTCAGGGCCTATGTCCAGAATGGTATTTCCAAGGTTATCTTCCAGGATTTTTATGGTTTTAGGTTTTACATTTAAGTGTTTAATTCATCTTGAGTTGATTTTTGTGTATGGTGTAAGGAAGGGGTCCAGTTTCACTCTTCTGCATATAGCTAGCCAGTTATCCCAACACCATTTATTGAATAGGGAGTCCTGTCCTCATTGCTTGTTCTTGTTAACTTTGTTGAATATTAGATAGTTGCAGGTGTATGGCATTATTTCTGGGCTCTCTCTTCTGTTCCACTGGTTTATGTGTCTGTTTCTGTACCAGTACCATGCTGTTTTGGTTACTGTAGCCCTGTAGGATAGTTTGAAGTCAGGTAACATGATGATTCCTTCTTTGTTCTTTTTGCTTAGGATTGCCTTGGCTATTTAGGCTCTTTTTTGGTTCCTTATGAAATTTGAAATATATTTTTCTAATTCTATGATGAATGCCATTCATAGTTTGATAGAAATAGCATTGAACCTGCAAGTTGCTTTGGGCAGTATGGCCATTTTAACAATATTGATTATTCCTGCCCATGAGTATGGAATGTTTTTCCATTTGTTTGTGTCATCTCTGATTTCTTTGAGCAGTGTTTTATAATTCTCATTTCAGGGATCTTTCACCTCCCTGGTTAGCTTTATTTCTAGGTATTTTATTCTTTTTGTGGCTATTGTGAATGGGATTGCGTTATTGATTTGGCTCTCAGCCTGGATGTTGTTGGTGTCTGACAATACTTCTGATTTTTTTTTTTTTGAGATAGGGTATCACTCTTGTCGCCCAGGCTGGAGTGCAATGGCGCGATCTTGCTCACTGCAACCTCCGCGTCCCAGGTTCAAGCAATTCTCCTGCCTCAGCCTCCCGAGTAGCTTGGATTACAGGCAATTGCCATCACACCTGGCTAATTTTTGTATTTTTAGTAGAGAAGGGGTTTCGCCGTGTTGGCCAGGCTGGTTTGAACTCCTTACTTCAGGTGATCCACCCGCCTCGGCTTCCCAAAGTGCTGGGATTACAGGCGTAAGCCACCACGCCCGGCCAACTTTTGATTTTTGTACATTGATTTTGTATCTTGAAACTTTGCTGAAGTTGTTTATCAGATCAAGAAACTTTTTGCCAGACACTATGTATGGGATTTTTCTAGGAGTAAAATCATATTGTCTGCAAACAGGGATAGTTTGACTTCCTCTCTTGGTATCTGTTTTTTTGTTCCTGTGTTAATTCCCTTAGGATAATGACCTCCAGCTGCATTTGCTGCAAAGGACATGATTTTTTTAACGGCTGTATAGTGCTCCATGATGTATGTATACCCCATTTTCGTTATCCAGTCCACCATTGATGGGTGGCTAGGTTGATTTCATGTCTTTGCCATTGTGGTGATGAACACATTCAAACTGTATTTAGTTTGACGTAGAACTGCAGTGTATTTTACAGCTAAACAAACTCAAATTCCTGACTAATTACAAACCAGGTACTTTGTGCTCTCTTACAAATACAATGGTGTTATAATACCTCCATTTTAGGGTTACTGTTGGGATTAAATGATTTAACAAAGGCAGTGTGTCTACTACGGTGTATGACACAGATACTGAGTTAATGCTAGTACCATTTTATATTTTGCCTTATTTTTACTGTCAAGTTTAATTATTGCAATAAAAATATGATCACCTAAAATATATGCAAGGGAAAAAACTCATCTGGATGGCACTTGAAAGTTAAAGCCTCAAGTATAACAATAAATCGAAGCTTGAGATTGTTATTCAGGAAAGTAGCAATTTCATGGATCTCTGGATACGACAGATTCTAGAAGAGAGAGTCCATATGAAGTGTGTACTCTCCCTCCAGGGCCCCATGCACTGTGAGGACAGATATGTATATATACGAGGTAAAGCACTTTTTTGGTGCTATCCTCACAAATTTTTTTTTTTTTTGAGATGGAGTCTTGCTCTGTGCGAGGCTGGAGCGCAGTGACGCAATCTCAGCTCACTGCAACCTCCAACTCCCTGGTTCAAGCGATTCTCCTGCCTCAGCCTCCCGAGTAGCTGGGATTACAGGCACCCACCACCACATCCAGCTAACTTTTGTATTTTTAGTAGAGACGGGTTTCACCATGTTGGCCAGGATGGTCTCAATCTCCTGACCTCATGATCTGCCCTCCTTGGCCTCCCAAAATGCTAGGATTACAGTTGTGAGCCACCACGCCTGGCCCCTCACAATTTTTCTATATACCTAAACCTATTCTAAATAAAATGTTTATTTAAAAAATACACTCTAAGAAAACAACCCAAAATGAAAATACACATACATACAAATACATATACTGTTTTTCTTTTTATTCTTTTTGTGTTTTCTTGCATATATATACTTTTGAAAGTGGAAAACCTTCATAGTAAAAATTTTGGGTTGGTCGCAGTGGCTCACACCTGTAATCCTAGCATTTTAGGAGGCCAAGGAGGGCAGATCACCTGAGGTCAGGAGTTTGAGACGAGCCTGGCCACCATGGCGAAACCCCATCTCTACTAAAAATACAAAAATTAGCTGGGCGTGGTGGTAGGCACCTGTAATCCCAGCTACTCGGGAGGCTGAGGGATGAGAATCCCTCAAACCTGGAAGGCAGAGGTTGCAGTGAGTCAAGATCACACCACTGCACTCCAGCCTGGGGGATAGAGCAAGATTCTGTCTCAAAAAAAAATAAAATAAAAAAACAAAAATTGAAATAAATAACATCTAAAAAACTGGTTATATAAACTGCGTGGTCCACAAATAATAGTAGATACTATATTGTTATTAAAGAGTCACAAAATTTAGAATATGTTAATATGTGGGAAATCATACGTGGGATATGAAAAAGCAAAACACATAGCATGTTTACTCTGGTTATAAAAATTTCAAAAGCTAGGAATATTCACATTAAAAATACTTTGAAAAGGATATGTTACAATGAGGTAGTTGGCATTTCAAGTTTGTCTATGTTTTCTGTGGATATTTTAGATAAAATATTCATAAGAGATATTCCTTTATTCAGATACAAAAAATGCTCTCCTCACTCAGACTAGTTATTCTGAACATGTTTTGTTTTTCTCAAGCTAATTGTTGGACTCGAGAGATAGTACCCTTTCTATTCCATAATTTAGTGATACAAATAGTGCTTACTAGCTTGATGCCTGGTGTAAAGAACTCAAGAAAAGTTTATTAAATGAAAATTTAATATAATCTACTTGCTAACCTTAAAACTTTTTAAAGCTTTATGTTCAATACTATAAAAATTTAAACATTTTTGTAATATATATATATTTTGGAGACACAGTTGCACTCTGTCACCTAGGCTGGAGTGCAGTGGCATGATTTCAGCTCACCACAACCTCCGCCACCAGGGTTCAAGTGATTCCCTTGGGATTTCTATTGATTCTTATACTTTATAGATTATTTAGAATTGTCTATGTATGATTATGTTATCTGTAAATAATGACTTCTTTATTTCCTCCTTTTTTTTTTTTTTTTTTTTTTGAGACAGAGTCTCGCCCTGTCACCCAGGCTGGAGTGCTGGAGTGCAGTGGCACGATCTTGGCTCACTGCAACCTCCGCCTTGCCCAACCTGCAAGCTTGCAAGCATGTTTTCTTTTTCTTGTCACTTTGCATTTGACTAAGACCTCAGCAGAATGTTTAGTAGCAGCAAAGACAGTGGGTATTCTTTATTTATTCATAATCTGTCATGGGTTGGATACCCTGGGAAGCAGATTGTGAGACTGCAATTAGCATGCAAGAAGTTTGCTAGCAATGCTTTTGGGATCCACCCATGTGGATTGAATGGAAGGGGAGCAGTCTTTATGCCTCTGTATCTATCAGTAAGTGGTAGTGTGACCTGGGGATGAGGGTGGCTCAGGATGAGGTGACTGTCTTCAGTCAACCCAATTCCTAAAAGGGATAGACAACTAAAGGGCTCTGCCAAAAGTACCCCTAGAGGCTGGTAAATAGTTCTTCAGTTCTGAAGAGTCAGCATCTTCTACACAAGTTTTCATGGGGAAAGATGTTAAATTTCACAATGTTATTTGTGTCTCAGTGTTCTCTAAACAACAAATATAACAATAGTTTTAATAAAAACAATGAATGATAATAAGACAACAAACAAAAATACAGTAACTAACATTCCTGTAATGGGATATTAAATGGTACTTTTCTTATCTCAGGATTTCAGCTGAAGTCCCCAGTTGAGCCTGGTGGATGATAGAACCCTGTCACATTTTGCAGAGAGACATTTCTAAGCAGGACATACTAAAAGATATGTGGCTTTGTGTACATTACTTCAAATAGCTTAGATAAAAGAAAAATTTGAAAAGAAAAAGTTGTCTATATCACAGTCTTCCCTCCCTTAAGGCAAAATGAGTTGTTTTCTAGAGATTTTTGTGGTTGATAATGTCGTTTTTTTTTTTAATTTTTTTGCAAGAGACTGGAATTTTATTCCTCAGCTGGATATTTATTGAACTGCAGAAATGCATAGTCTTGCCTTATACTTCCCTTACTGATCTTGAGGGCATTTGGGAATGTCTATAACACAGACACCGATGCCTGTATCTGGGGGATCTGAAATTCAAGGCAAGGTAGAGTTGTCTATGACAGCAGGAAGAGCAAAGAAGCTAGTTTTGATATCAACAGCACGGATACAAATTTCTCCAGGCCAAGTGAATCTCGTGAAAAATAGCCACTTGTGCCATCTTGACAGGACCCTGTCAAAGAAGATTGTTTATGGAGTGTGATGACCTTGGCTGAGTCTGTGGGATCATCACTGGAATGAGAGTGGAGGATGCAGAGATGAGAGGGTTCATGAAAGGTCCATTACCTTGTCAGAGAATGGTGCCATGTAGCGGTCATAGAGGGAGTCTCCAGAAAACCCTCCAACACTCTCTAAGAAAGTGTGAAAGAACCTGCATTCTGCACCTGCCGTCACTGAGGACGCATATAGATTATATAACAGCACCAGAAAAGAAAGACAATGGTGTTTTCCTTTAACTTCTTCTCTGACAATTACCTCCCACCCCCATGACCCTGGACGTGTGAGTACCAGGTCAAATAGGGGAACAAGGAGAAAAGATCAGCAAACCCCCTCACAGGCCACAGATCTGGCCTGAGCAGATGGGAGTGGGGCATAAGTGGGCGGTGGTGGTGGTGCGGGGCAGATACGGAATTAGATGGGATATTAACGTTTTGATTTAGACTGGAGTTTTAGAGGTGTGGCTAGTCTTAAAAACTGTAACTTTTTAAACATCCATAATATTTGCCCATGACGTTGCCAGGAAGTAGAGAAGGGTGATCCAACATCCTTCTTAAGGGCAGTAGTAAGAGAAAAACAAAGCCATGAAAACCACTAAACTCAGAGAATAACAGTAATAGTGACAACCAGTAAAAGTAATCACTAACTTTCAGTCAGAGTTTTACTATTTATGAAGCACTCCCACAGAGTCTAACTTATAATTATCTATATAGTTGGTCCTCCTTAATACAATAATCAGTATGGTTTTTCTTTCCACTTCAGAACCTTGGAGCAAACTGTAGCTCTTCCCGGAATGCTGTTCCTCTTGTTTTAGCCTAATTTTTGCTGCTATTTTGGAGCCTAGATCAATGTCTTTGCCTCACAGAAGCTATCTCTGACCCTCCAGATAGATCTACCCATTTTATGCTTTCATAGCACCCACTATTCCCACCTCAGAATACTTTTCCCCAAGTTTACTTAAATAATTACTTGTGCAATTAATTGTTTAATACCTATGTCTCCAGCTAGAATCTAAGCCTCATGAGGGCATGGCCCTAGTGGATCTTGCTCAGAATTGATTTTCTGGCACCTACCACAAAGCCTTACACATAGTATAAAAGTTCAGTAGGGATATCAATTGAATAAATGAAGAAATGGTGAAAGAACTAATATGACTCAAGATTCCTAATCCCTGACTAGGAAGAGTTTCTCTGGATTCCATGGTCTGTAAAGCTATAGGCCAGAATGACTTCCTGATAGTGGACATTTGTAGCTGGATTTAGTATTTCACTGTGGTTTGTTAGGAGATACTGAACTGGGTGGGGAAGGCCATCACTTACCAGGACATGGGTGTGGGAAGAAGGGAGTGCGCAGGTAGCTCATGGGGTGGGGCCCAGGTGAACTTCTTTTATTTTAGACAGCCACTATTCATTAGAAAGAATGCAAGTCCCTTTCACCTTTATCTCTGTAGAGATAATGGGAGATGCACAATTTTTTTAAGGCACGTTCTTTGGTCCCTTTGAATGAAAGTGCTGTATAAGTCCATGATGTTATTTTTGACTAATCAAAGGGAAAAATGTCAGGCTAACATCAAGGACATGCTTTTGATAATTTTTTAAAAAGGTTATGCATGCTACCTTTTATTCAGCAGTCAATTAAATGCCTTCACTTTTAAACATAAAACTGAGCAGCTGATTTTTTTTTCTTTTCAATGGTATTTTTTATGCATAAAAAATTGAGCATATTTTTTCAATGAATTATTGGAAAAGATCAACCACCCATCCATAAAATCTTCTAAAACCACTATATCCCCTCTTTGACATTTTAAGACATTTTAGCTAATGTGGTAATATATTTGAATTCTACTCAGAGTATTTCCAAAAATACATAAATAGAGGTTTACCCTGAGGCTTCCTAATAAAACTAAAACAAGTTTCATTTCATTGAAATGTTGTTTCTTCTTTGACTTTTGAATAGGATGATTGTTGAAGGTCCTTTCCAGGAACAGAACATCATCCACTCACTTTCTTACTAAGAAAGCTGGCTTTTTAATCTTCATTTGTTGATGGCTATCTTTGGCCTGAACAACTAGAAAGTATCACATCAAACAAGAAGGAAAGAAGTTAAATAAACTTCAGGGAACTCTTCCAAGAAAGGTCATCTATTTAAAAAATATTAAGTGTGTTTGTTCAATAACCATGTATGTAAACTAAATGCAGCAGCTTAATGAAATAATTCAATTAAATACTTTAGCTTTATTGATAATGACAGAGCTCTATAGTGGCTGGTAATGTCACAGTGGATAATTATAATAGTATGATATGATTTTTCTCTATGTAATCATAAACAAGCTTAAGAACCAAAGCTTATAAGAAATTTATAAATAAAGAGAACATTTCCCCTCCATTATTGTGGCTTAATTATAACGATAGGCCATATCTTTCTTGGGAAGATAAACAAAGCACATGTAGTAATAAATGTTTCATCTCAACCATGAATTTTCATGATGAACAGAATAGAGATCAAAGTCATATTAATCTAAATATTAAAAGTTCTGTGACTTTATTTTGTGCCTCCCAAGTTGGTGAAGCTTGACAGATTGGCTAAGGCTATTATTTAATTTAGAAAAAAATTGATCTTGTAATTACATGTAGTTTCTCACTCAGGAATACGGTATTGTTCTTTATTTATTCCAGTCATTCTTTTATATCTCTAGTGGAGTTTTCAGGTTAAGCCCCAGCCAAGTACAGCCTTGGAATACTGACAGGTATGATAGTGTCTGGGAAATTGACAGGGTGGTCCCCTGAGGCTTAATTGCATGAGAGAATGAGGCATCTACTGGAAGAGAATTTGATTCTCAGGGAAGAAGATGTTAGGCAACAAGTCAAATCTTAACAAATCTGTGGTCATAGGTAGGGAATAAATAGGACTGAGAGGCCTGAAGAGAGCACAGTATTTATCTCCTATTGCAGCCACATTCCCCTTGCTCTATTCTTTATTTATATCTAAATTTCCTAGAGGAGAAATTTTGTAATTAAAAAAGATAAAATACCATGTTCCTATAAACTGCTTAAGATATCAGGTCACAAAGGTATTTCTTTGGTATTCTTCATACAGAATATAATCCAAAATGACAGAGGGGTCCTCTCTAGTCTTCTCCACAGAACGCAAGGCAGCACTGTACACGGAAGGCTCAGAGGGCAAGCAAGACTTGAACCAATGGTCACAAGAAAGTAGCTGCTAACACAATGGAGGTGGCAGCTGTGCCTGGTGGAGCAGAGGGGCAGGGGGGACTTTCTTAGAGGAAGTGGTATACCCACTAAAGGAAGCTGTAGTGCCTATGAGGATGGTAGAGTTCAAGAGAAATACAATAACAGAAAAATCACTGGTGGAAATGGAAGCAGCAATGTAAAGGGCTCATCTAACAAAGCAGTTCCTGGAGGAACAGAGCTCAGCTGTAAGTACTGAGGAGAGCAAAATCACACTGAGACATGGTGGCATGGTGGGGTATGGAGGGAGGATTTCGCAGGAGAAATTCTGAAAGAGGAGGTGAGACTAGTGATTGTAAATGTGAGTTATTGATACTGGTGAAATACAATTTTAAGTTTTGGGTTGAAATCCTCAGGGGAAACAGACCACAGAACTTTGAGCAACTTTCTTAATAAAAGCCCCAAATATTATACGGGTTGGTTGGATTCATTTTTGATAGCTATGGTAAGTTTGCGCTTTTTTTTTTTCTGGTTTTATGTTTTAATTTTAATTATTTTCTATTTTATCTATTTTTCAAAACCAACAAAAATCTGAAAAAATTATAATAAAATAATAAATGTAAGAAGAGTCAAAAATTAATTTAAAGGTGACAGCTGAGTAGGAAATGAAAAGAGAAGTTATATTTAATTTTTTTTTAACTATGAGTTTTGGGTTTATGTTAACTAATACAGTTAGATGTAATAAGTTTTGGATATTCCAGTAGTCAAAACAAAGAGAAAAAATATGATAGGATGTACAATACTTTTATGTTTTTAGGTAATATTACACCCATTTTTTATTATGACCTTTTAAAAATATTTTCCTTCATAAGCAATATACAAATGCATCTTATTTAAATATTTCCGGCAATACTATATATATATATATATATATATATATATATATATATATATGTATATGTACTTCCATATATATATATGTGTACTTGCTTCTGAGAGGGAGAGTAGACTCTTTATGTTATTGTGTATGTGTATGTATATATATACGCAATGTTGTATTGTGTGTAAATATATATACACACACACATACACAATAAAATTAAGAGTCTACTCTCCCTCTCATAAGCAAGTACTTTTGACATATATGTGTCTTTGCATTCTTTTCTCTATATGTTTTTGTCTGTTCATTCATATATAATGTTGAGCCCTTAGTGAGATCTGTGTGAGAAGGCTTCCACGGAGGAGTTCTGATTTTATCTGTGAGGGTTGTGGTTTCTATGTATTAAAACATATTGTAAGATGATAACTAAAATGTTAATATTTTCCTTGACTAGAAGAATGAAAATGATTTAGAATTTTTTCACAGATTCCTATATTTTCTAAATTTTTTACATTGACTATTTATTATATTTTAAACTTAAAAAACTCCTCAGTGTCAATTTAAATAAATAATACCAGTGAGTTTCTAAGGGCGCAGATGCAAAAAGAAGACTGTAAGGCAGAGGTTTACATTTTAGGCCATTTGGTAATGCTTGGATGGTCAAAATCTATTAGAAGTTTACATAAAATTGTTTAGTAGTTCTAACTAATATATTGCACACAGCTTGCTTTTTGTTTCCTCAGTTCTCTGAATAACTTATTATTTCTTAATAGTCAGCAGACAGGCCCAGCTTGAGGTTTTTTTTTCATACTTAGATTTAGCTCCTGCCCAAATAGCTTATGCAAGCATTGAAGGCCCACAAGCCAACTTAGAGGTCATGGCATTGGGAATATTGCTTATAAACCTCAGCTAATTCTCTGTAGATCATATAGTGCCATCTATACCCATTTGCTGAAGTTAAGTTCTTTACAACAAATGTTTTCTAAAAATCTACTATGTGCTAGACATTTTGATAGATACCAACAATAAAAAAAAGAAATAATATACAGATCTTGCTTTCAAGACTAGTAACAAAAATCAGTTACTCAATGACTGAAGGTTAATACTTAGTGTGGCTCTTGGGTAGATTGAAGTACAAAACCAAAAAAAAGAGAGCTGACATGAATCCTAGTAAGATAAAATTGTACTGTATGCTGACTTATTTTTTATCCATTATTTATACAATAGATTCTTCATCGTAGAATTGTTAAAATTATTTGAAAATTAACAAGATGTTCTTTATAATTTTCATTTGTGTTTAGAGTCTTAAATGTTAAATGTTTGAGTTAGGCTTCTGATGTAGAGTTTTCCTCTGTAACAGGTCTCTAGACTTTGAATCAAAATTGCTCTAATAGTTTGTTTCCTTTTTTTTAGACCAGCCCAAATTTGAAGGATAATTTACCAGTGTGGTTCCACCAAAGCCCCCTAGGCCCCACTCCACACTGCAGTATAAGTTAAGGTCTTTCTGATAGCACCATATTGTGGAATGATATTTGTAAAGCTTAATTTTGCTGCGTAGGTTCCCAAACAAGCTGTGATCTGCATGAGAGCCAAGTAGGGAGCTAGTTCATTTGAAAAGAGTTAAGATCCAGTTGAGAATTAGCTGATAAATTCAAAAAAATTGCTTAACCAAGTGAAGCACTTACAGGGCAGCGATTACTTGTAAGATTTTTATCCTTTATGTTTAATATTCATGAGCGCTGATCCACGCAAGAAGGCTTAGGAGCCTCCAAAAAATACTAATTAAATGAGAGTTGGGGTATTGTATCTGCTGTAGCTATTTTCCAACAGATTACATTGTAAAGAAGTTTACCCAGAATGAATGTTCCAACGCCTACTCTGTGTAATAGCAGGTGCAATTCTTCTTTAGAAATCCAAGCTCTGATGAATGCATTTTCCAGCCTTGCAAAGCACAGCGGCTTGAATAAATCCAATAAGGCTTACCTTGTTTTGGGAAATATTTGCTGAGTTTCACTGTGCAAAGACCCTAAGACTGATTTGAGTGATAACAAGGCTTGAACATCTGAAGAAGTCCTTAGAGTAGATGCTGACTCCTGTCCTATTCACAATTCCAAGAAATTTTTTTAATCCCTTTATTTTCATTAATTTCACAAGGTAAATGTTCTGAATCATTTCTGCCTTGAAAAGGTTTGATGAACCATTAATATTAGCATCATTAAAAATAGTGAACTCATTCATCAATTGTGTATTTTAAGTTTTAAATCTAAATAACTTTTAACTTTCCTTTGGAAAGTTAGAGTGACAATGAAAATTAGTATTTCATGGTCTCTTGATTGAATCTGAGATTCAGTCATTAAGGAAGGATCATAATTTTCTTTTTATAATACAGCAATTGACTGTTTTCCATCACCATCAAAACTATATATATATATATATATATATATATATATATATATGGTCTCTGTCTCAGGTTCCTGACACAGAACTACTAAAATCCTTGTAATTTTCTGAGCAAAAGGGGTGCTAGAAGCATTTTTTTGTTACAATATTTGGTCTTAGTCCCTGGTTCCTGACAGGAGAGCTTCTAAGATCCTTGAAATCTCCTGAGTGGTAAGAGTATTTTTTGTATGCTAATGAGATTACTGGTGGCAGGGACCCCTGGATAACTTCAGATTGGAGGCTGGTCACCAGAAAGATTACAGCATGATTAGAGAGTTATAACTTTCAGCCCTACTCCTGACCTCCAGGGAGTGAAAAGAGGATGAAAATTGAGCCAATCATCAATAGCCAATGATTTAATCAATCATGTTTCTAAAAGAGGCATGATAAACGGAACCTCAATAGAAACGCTAAACAATGAGGTTTAGAGAGCTCTGAGGTTGATGAATGCATCCTCATGCTGGGAAGGTGGTGGGCCCCAACTCCATGGGACAGAAGCTCCTATTCTCAGGACTCTTTTGGACCTCACCCTATGTGCCTCTTCATCTAGCCATTTGTTTGAATCCTTATAATATCTCTTATCATAAACTAGTATATGTAAGTAAACGATTTCCCTGAGTTCTGTGAGCCATTATGACAAATTATCAAGTATGAGGAGAGGGTCACAGGAACTCCCAATTTATAGCCAAATCAGACAGAGGTGTGAGTAATTTGATGGTACACTACTTGCAATTGGCATCTGAAGTGGAGGGGGGCAGTCTTGTATGATTGAACCCATAAACTGTGGGGTCTGCACTAATTCCAGGTAGTTAGTTTCAGTTGAATTAAATTATAGGACATGCATTTGGTGTCCAAAGAGTTGGAGAATCGGTTGCTGGTGTGGAAAAACACATTTAGTGTCAGAAGTGTAGCGAGTAGAAAAGTAGTTTTTGTTGTTGTTGTTATTAGTAGGACATGTAGAACTAGATGGAGGACTCTTAAATAAAAGCCAATGAAAACTATGGAGATTAGTAAGATCCAGAATGTTTAACCGAGGTAGTCTAGTTTCAAAAATAATTCCCTTCCCAAGAAATCAAAAGTGATTGTGAATTTATGGATAAACAACAGTACAGCATGGAGATTTCCTAGACAAGGGCGTGGAGATTTCCTAGACAAGGGCGTGGAGATTTCCTAGACAAGGATGATGACATTCTGTAGCCTATTGATCATGGATCTGGGAGTGCAGTTATTTTGGGAAAAAAGGATCTCTGGCCCACAGCAAGATTTGAGCCAGCAATTTCAGGGGGCATGTTGTAAAAAGAAAGAAGACTCTTCAGAAACAAAATTTAGGCTCAAGGATGCAATTTAATTGCCAATCTGGTTTGGCAATTTGTTAATGGGCTCACTGGGATGTTTTAAGACTATAGATGAGTAAGAAGAGATGTCAAGGGAACAGAAAGAAAATACCAGATGGAGAACAAGGAATCTAGGATGTAGTAAAGGTAATGACAGCTTAGTCTAAAAACTTGTTAAGAATCTTATCAATGTTCTTATTAACATTAACAGGCTTTGGAGGCTGTCCAAACTCTTATATTGAATGGAATTAGCCTGAAACAAGGAGAAAAGATGGGTATAAATTATAGTGACATGAAATAACGTTTTAAATATGTGTTGACAGATACCTGCAGTTATCACTTCAGCTATTTTCTGTTGGTTACTGTTGGCATAGTGAGTTCAATTCCATATATGAGGTGGTGTGGAGAGGACCTATGCTACCAGGAGTTTTATTTTATTTTTTTATTATTTTATATTTTTATTATTTATTTATTTTTGAGATGGAGTCTCGCTCTGTCGCCCAGGCTGGAGGTCCCTGCAAGCTCCACCTCCCGGGTTCACGCCATTCTCCTGCCTCAGCCTCCTGAATAGCTGGGATTACAGGTGCTCACCACCATGCCCGGCTAATTTTTTGTATTTTTAGTAGAGACGGGGTTTCACCGTGTTAGCCAGGATGGTCTCGATCTCCTGACCTTGTGATCCGCCCGCCTCGGCCTCCCAAAGTGCTGGGATTACAGGCGTGAGCCACTGCGCCCGGCCCAGGAGTTTTATTTATTATTTTGGCTTTTCTCTATTATGTGACCTAAATTATGTGACATGTTGGCAGCAATTCATCTCTGCTCTTACAGAGTATATGCCTATGGCGTTTGATAGATAATGTGGTTAAAGGTCTAGAAATCTTCATTTTCCTTATGAACTTATGCTTGTCAGCCACCCACACATATCTCTATTTTTAGTCATCCCAGAACTGGGACTGTTTCTCCATGAACAGCTGACCTTTGTTGCCTTTGTTCACAGTTTTAGCTGACTTAATGCATATTTGAGAACTCATTTCCCTAGAGTTTCAACCTGAAACCAGAGGCTCAGACAAGGAGATTCTACTTCCGAGAGACCACGAGTCTTGAAGAGAGGACCATGTCTGGTCTAAAAAAAAATGAAAAAGTTTAGCAGCAAGAGGAGTGGACACAAATAGGGGATAAATAACAGGAGAGGACCGTCCCCCTTGAGATCAGGCCTAACAAATTGAATCAAATATAACCTCCACCGTTCACACAATGTGTGCATCTAACTCCATTTTTAGTGCTTTTCCTCCTCACTCCTTTTCTGTTACCTTTCTTACAGGGCCTTTTTAGGCATTTCCATTTGTGGTCAGTATTTTATGGCTCTATGCTGAACTAAACAGATACCACAGTTTGCCCACTGGAACATAGTTCATCCCCTTTATTCCATCACTTTGTAGAATAGTCATGTAATTGGACTGAGAGTAACTCTCTCATTTCCCCTCCTTCCATTGCCCTACTTCATTTCTTCAAGCACTTGAATGATTTTAAACCTTTCTCTAACCATTTCCTGCTGTAGGTTATTATTTCACCAGGGCAAGCAACTCAAGCAAGTCAAAATATTGCTTTCATCTTATATCACTGCCCTGTTTAAAAATTACCTACAAAATTTAGTTGTTTTTCTTTTTTTAAACTTAGACTTCCATTTTCTATTAAAGCATCTTTCTAGTTTTTTCTTTTCCTACCTCTGTGGTTCTCTGATCTGGCTGGTAAAAATCTCCTGGACAACTTTTAAAAAGTAGCAAGGCCAGGACCCCACCTCTAAAGTTTTTGGTGTAAGTGGCCCAGGGTATGGCCAGGAGATTAGAAAATTTTTCCTTGCTTTTAACTCCTCAGGTATTTCTAACACACAGAGCCAGGCTTGAGAGCCACTTATCTATACCAGTGGCTTATCTATACCAGTGGAACCAAAGTATAGTTCCTAACCATCATCTGCATCACCTGGGAACTTGTTAGAAATGCAAATTATTGAACCCCACCCCAGATTTACTAACTCTGAGAAACTCTGGGGGTGAGACCCAGCAATCTGTGTTTTAACAAGCTCTCCAGGTGATTCTCGTGTACTTCAAAGTTGTGCTGCCCAATATGGTAGCCACTAGTTATGTGTGGCTATTGAAAACTTCAAATGTGGCTAGTCCGAATTGAAATGTGCTGTAATGTAAAGTACACACTGGATTTCAAAGGCCTCACACAAAACTAGAATATAAAAATCACATGAATAATATTTAATTACATATGAAGATAATATATTGGGTATTTAAATCAAATGAAATATATTACTAAAATGAATGTCACCTATTTCTTTTTACTTTTTAAATATGTCTGCTAGAATATTTGAAATTATGTATTTGGCTTGCATTACATTTCTGTTGGACAGCACTAAAGTCTGATTGCACTGATCTATGCAATCACTATTTTCTTTACTGTTGGGAACAGGCCCCTCAAATCTGGCCATAAACTGGCCCCAAAACTGGACATAAACAAAATCTCTGCAGCACTGTGACATGTTCGTGATGGCCATGACGCCCACACTGAAGGTTGTGGGTTTACCGGAATGAGGGCGAGGAACACCTGGCCCACCGAGGGTGGAAAACCGCTTAAAGGTGTTCCTAAACCACAAACAATAGCATGGGCGATCTGTGCCTTAAGGACATGCTCCTGCCGCAGATAACTAGCCAGAGCCCATCCCTTTATTTCAGCCCATCCCTTTGTTTCCTGTAAGGAATACTTTTAGTAAATCTATAATCTATAGAAACAATGCTAATCACTGATTCGCTGTCAATAAATATGTGCGTAAATTTCTGTTCGAGGCTCTCAGCTCTGAAGGCTGTGAGACCCCTGATTTCCCACTCCACACGCTGTATTTCTGTGCGTGTGTCTTTAATTCCTCTAGCGCCACTGGGTTAGGGTCCCCATGACGGAGCTGGTCTCGGCACTATACAAACTTTTTTTCCACAGTGGCTTAAGCAGAACACATTTAGCATTTCTGATTCCATACCTCTGGACCTTTCATGTATCATCTTCTTCACTAGATGGTCCTTCCTACCTCTCCACACTTGTGCCACTATGGCTGGTTCTTTTAGGCTCAACCTTTATATCTTCTTATTTCAGAAGTATTTCTTAGCCACTCCAGCCTCTGGTGACACCCTCTCCCCCCTTTTTTTTGTAGTTCCTGATTCCAGAAAGTAAGAGACATTCAGAAAGGAAACTATTGTGATTAGAGAACTCATGGAAAGGAGCATGTGTGCTCAATATTCCAGAATGCTAGAATCATTGAAGGGTAGAAGAGGAGAGGAACAGACAGAGCTAGTGAGATCAGTAGCTCCTGGACATCAGAGGCCATTTCCTCTCCCTTAGGCATCCCTCATAGTATAGTATGATGTATGTCCCACAAGGTGGGCACCCAATACATATGTGTGGCTGATGAAGATGATGGACCTTAAAGGCTAGAGCGAGGGAGGACAACTCCTAGACAAGTGGACAGATGCCACAGGATCTAGAGTCTCTTTTAGAAAAATCTCCCCATGTCTCCATCTTACTGAGATGGTCACCATGAAAGTTGCCAGATTAATTGTCTTTAGTCACTTATAGAGATCAAACTATCTACTTGGTGCTTTTGTAATGATGAGAATTGACATGGCAGCAGGGAGAGCTTTTCATTGTAGTTCATGTGATATTTTAGGAATTTTTTCCTGTTACCTATGTTTTATCTTGTATCTGGCATAATTTTGCTTAAAGGATGGGAGATAGACTAGATGACCTCAAGACACTACTTTCTGCTGGGGAGTCTACTGCCTACATCATAGAAGGCAGACTGGTAGCATTGGAAGGAGAGGCAATCCCCTTTCTAATCTATTTAAAATATAACCATACTTTCCCTTCCCAATATTCTTCCTCTACTTTTCCAGTACTCTTTCTTGTAATTTCCCACCATGATAAAACATTATTATGAAAGAGGAGTTTGTAAAGTGAAAAAATAAAAAAAACACACTATGTTTCTCCCTATATGTGAATTACTTGCTACCCGATATAGTTTGGATATTTGGCCTGCCCAAATCTCATGTTGAATTGTAATCCCCAGTGCTGGAGGCGGGACCTGGTGGGAGGTGTTTGGATCATGGGGCAGACCCTCATGGCTTGGTGCTGTCTTTGCAATGGTGAGTGAGTTCTCAGGAGATCTGGTCGTTTAAATGTGTGTGGCACATCCCCACTACTTTCTCTCTCTTGCTCTGTTCTGCCATGTAAGATACCTATTCTCGCTTCACCTTCCTCTCTGAGTAAAAGCTTCCTAAGGCCTCCCTAGAAGCAGATGCCAATACTGTGTATCCTGGACAGCCTGCAGAGCCATTGGCCAATTAAACCTCTTTTCTTATAAATTATCCAGTCTCGGCATTTTATTTTTTTGAGATGGAGTCTTGCTCTGTTGCCCAGGCTGGAGTGCAGTGGCACAATCTTGGCTCACTGCAACCTCTGCCTCCCGGGTTCAAGCAATTCTCCTGCCTCAGCCTCCCAAGTAGCTGGGACTACAGGCATGTGACACCACGCCTGGCTAATTTTTTGTATTTTTAGTAGAGACGGAGTTTCACCATGTTAGCCAGGATGGTCTCGATCTCCTGACTTCGTGATCCTCCCAGTCTCGGGCATTTTTTAAAACAATGCAAGAATGGCCAAACACACTACCCTTCATACCACTCTTGTATGTGAATTCATTCTATTCCTTCTCTAATTATGCATTTTCAGAAAGTTAATGTTTAACATTTCCCAGAAAAGACCATTTAAACCACTAGACATTCCAGACACTTTAGCAGTTGCTTCAAGCACTTCAAAAAGTTCTCATATAAAAACATGGATTTGATCTTTGAAGGCTCCTCTGGGGCACAAGCAGTACCTCCTGAATTGATCAGAACTTTCTGCCCCAGATCCTTTAATCCTCATTATAGGAAAAGAAATATCTACTTGCGAATACTTTTTGAGGCTCAAATGGTGATGTTCTAAATTCAATTAAGATATATGAATCCCAAGACAACGAAGTACCTGAGTATGGTATTATGAAGTTATAAATTACCAATTTCTCATCACCACCTTTAAAAGCAAGTTTAAAAAAATGAACCTACTTGCAAATGAACCTGTAAAATACCACCAGCCAAGCATGGGATTGGAATAAAGCATTTCATCAAAATGTCCATAGATCATTTCTTCTAGATGAGTATCTTGCAGATTGTCACACAGTGCACATTTTTATAGCCAATTTGGAGAGAAAATGTTTTATATATATATATATTTATGTGATAAGAGTCAATGGGATCAATAAAAAATACAAATCAGTAGATTTAAAATACAGAAATCAATTTTAAATGGGAAATGAAAGATAAAGGTAAGTTATTTTGTTTCCAAAAACCTGTGTAGTCTGTGGTCTATTTTACTTTTCATAATTTTTTTTACTCAGCTGTCATTTTGGTTTCCATTTCCTAGGAATCATCTAATCTAATGCTGTTGCCAAAGTTGTGCTGCTGATGCAGGTTTTCAAGGGCAAGAGTGGCATTGTCAAATTTCTTATTCCTGAAGATGATTGAATATTATTAGCCCCACCCCCCCACTCACAATTTGCTGTGTGAAAAGAAAATTAAAAGCTTGGGACCCCAATTCACTGTGCCAAAAGGAAAAAATATTAAGCTGAAAGCTGAGTCATGCAAGAAGCTGCCTTTCCTTTTGTTCCTAAGCAGATAGCTTCAGATAAAAGGTTAAAAAATCTCCATGAGTAGTTGCTCTAGGTTCACCTTATCTTCTATAGAGCACTAATTTACTGAGTGCCAGAGGAATACATGACTATTACTCTACCTGCTCCTTTTCTCTTGCAATGTAGATTTAGTAATGTATCCATATCCTCCCGTTTACCCTTTTTTCCCAGGCTGCTTTTCCCCTTTAAATATTAAAGCCCTCAAAGTCATCTTTGGAGAAAGGCACAGACCACAGACTGTTTCTATGATTCTGTGTTTGTTTCCTCCCAGGCATTGTCCTTAATGTTGGCAAAACAAACTTCTAAATTGATTGAGCCCTGTCTCAGATACTTTTTGGTTGATAGCTGTAAGCAGAATTTTACTGCTTTAGAAAGTAGAAAAGGTAAAGAGTTAGAAGAGACATCTATATATCCTCAGAACGCCCATCAGGCATTAATAAGAACTGTACATTATATATTTTGAAATGTGAACAATATCTACTCCCTATACATAGCAACAGTTGGGATTGCAAACTGTCCAGCAAGCCAAGAATTGGACTTGATTTGGGGAGCTGTCACTTCAGAGACTCGGCGTCCTAATCAGCTTTTCTTCCCCCAATTCTGAGTCACTACATGCAGACAGTCTGATTATCTGAATTCTCTAGTTTCAGCCAGTGGAGTTACAGGTTGACCTTTCTAGTAGGAGCTGCCCTCAGTTCCTCTAGTGGGCACTCACTTAGCTTCCTGTTGGCCCTGAGATCTGTTCCCCAAGCTTCCCCTACTCTGCTCTGAGTGATGGAAAAGTGTCTTCCAGAGGCTCTTGTGCTCACTGGTAGGTTTATCCAATAGGAGGCAAGATTAGGGTCAGGGGTTGGAAAGATGGCAGTCACATATTTTTTTTTCCTCCCACCCCCCCCATTTTCATGGCATTTTCAGGAGCATCTCTTCCACAGTTCCAATTTCTGCAAAAAAGCACCTCTTCTTGTGGGTCCCAGCTCCCTGGGTAAGTGCCTGCCATGTTTCAATCCCACAGGTTGGCCTGGCTTCTGGGCTCTTGTAGTACCACCTGTTCTGCTGGTCTTGCCAGGCCTCGGAATGATAGCTACTTCCTGCTATTGCCAAACTCTGAGAGGCCTCACCTTTCCCTCTTGAGCTTCTTTGTTCTCCCATCAGCTGTTTCAGGAGGTACTCTAGTTTCTGTCTAGATCTTCCTAGTGGGTTGGTGCACTTATTACCCTGCTATAAGCTTTGATTGCTAAGGCCTCAAAACTGTCCCTTTGTTAAGACTTGCCGGGCAGGAGCTCACAGAGCAGGTGCAGCCAGTGATGATAAAGGTTATAAAATGTCAACTTCGTTTTGTCAAGGAGGGGATGATTTTGTGACATGTTTTATGTTCCAGATTCCTCCCCCTGTGGATCAGGCCAGGGACTGGGGTTTGCTTAAACCACATCTTTGCTTTGCTCTTTTCTTTTTTATTTTATTTTATTTTATTATTATTATTATTATACTTTAAGTTTCAGGGTACAAGTGCACAATGTGCAGGTTAGTTACATATGTATACATGTGCCATGCTGGTGTGCTGCACCCATTAACTCATCATTTAGCATTAGGTATATCTCCTAATGCTATCCCTCCCCCCTCCCCCCATCCCACGACAGTCCCCAGAGTGTGATGTTCCCCTTCCTGTGTCCATGTGCGCTCATTGTTCAATTCCCACCTATGAGTGGGAACATGTGGTGTTTGGTTTTTTGTCCTTGTGATAGTTTACTAAGAATGATGATTTCCAATTTCATCCATGTCCCTACAAAGGACATGAACTCATCATTTTTTATGGCTGCATAGTATTCCATGGTGTATATGTGCCACATTTTCTTAATCCAGTCTATCATTGTTGGACATTTGGGTTGGTTCCAAGTCTTTGTTATTGTGAATAGTGCCACAATAAACATATGTGTGCATGTGTCTTTATAGCAGCATGATTTATAGTCCTTTGGGTATATACCCAGTAATGGGATGGCTGGGTCAAATGGTATTTCTAGTCCTAGATCCCTGAGGAATCGCCACACTGACTTCCACAATGGTTGAACTAGTTTACAGTCCCACCAACAGTGTAAAAGTGTTCCTATTTCTCCACATCCTCTCCAGCACCTGTTGTGTCCTGACTTTTTAATGATTGCCATTCTAACTGGTGTGAGATGGTATCTCATTGTGGTTTTGATTTGCATTTCTCTGATGGCCAGTGATGGTGAGCATTTTTTCACGTGTTTTTTGGCTGCATAAATGTCTTCTTTTGAGAAGTGTCTGTTCATGTCCTTCGCCCATTTTTTGATGGGGTTGTTTTTTTCTTGTAAATTTGTTTGAGTTCATTGTAGGCTAGCCACATGTAGAAAGCTGAAACTGGATCCCTTCCTTACACCTTATACAAAAATCAATTCAAGATGGATTAAAGACTTAAACGTTAGACCTAAAACCATAAAAACCCTAGAAGAAAACCTAGGCATTACCATTCAGGACATAGGCATGGGCAAGGACTTCATGTCTAAAACACCAAAAGCAATGGCAACAAAAGCCAAAATTGACAAATGGGATCTAATTAAACTAAAGAGCTTCTCCACAGCAAAAGAAACTACCATCAGAGTGAACAGGCAACCTACAAAATGGGAGAAAATTTTCGCAACCTACTCATCTGACAAAGGGCTTTGCTCTTTTCTTTATCCTGCTTTAGTCCTCCTCCACAAGCTCTTCCTAAAGAAAGTCATGTGCACACAAATCCTTGTCTCACATTGTCCTTTCTAAGGAATCTGAACTCAGGAAGCTGTGTAACCACATCCATCTTTTTGAAAGTCTTAGAGTGGTTAGTGTTTTCCTGGCTGTATCCTGAATGATGCAGAAATCTAAAGTGACTCTCAGCACCTTGATTCCCAGAGAAAAACTACAATGATAATATCTGGCAGGGTGTCCTGGTACAAATACAATTTCTTTTTATATTTTTTAATTGGAAAAATAATTGTGTTAATTTATAATCTTTTTTATTATACTTTAAGTTCTGGGGTACATGTGCACAACGTGCAGGTTTGTTACATAGGTATATATGTGTCATGTTGGTTTGCTGCACCCATCAAATCGTCATTTACATTGGGTATTTCTCCTAATGCTATCCCTCCTCCAGCCCCCCACCCCACAATAGGCCCTGGTGTGTGATGTTCCCCTCCCTGTGTCCATGTGTTCTCATTGTTCAACTCCCACTTATGAGTGAGAACATGCGGTGTTTGGTTTTCTGTACTTGTGATAGTTTGCTGAGAATGATGGTTTCCAGCTTCATCCATGTCTCTTCAAAGGACATGAACTCATCCTTTTTTATGGCTGCATATTACTACTCCATGGTGTATATGTGCCACATTTTCTTTATCCAGTCTATTATTGATGGGTATTTGGGTTGGTTCCAAGTCTTTGCTCTTGTGAATAGTGCTGCAATAAACATATGTGTGCATGTGTCTTTATAGTAGCATGATTTATAATCGTTTGTGTATATACCCAGTAATGGGATTGCTGGGTCAAATGGTATTTCTAGTTTTAGATCCTTGAGGAATCGCCACAGTGTCTTCCACAATGGTTGAACTAATTTACACTCCCACCAGCAGTGTAAAAGCGTTCCTATTTCTCCACATCCTCTCCAGCATCTGTTGTTTCCTGGCTCTTTAATGATTGCCATTCTAACTGGCGTGAGATGGTATCTCATTGTGGTTTTGATTTGCATTTCTCTAATGACCAGTGATGATGAGCATTTTTTCATATGTCTGTTGGCTGCATAGATGTATTTTTTTGGGAAGTGTCTGTTCATATCTTTTGCCCACTTTTTGATGGAGTTGTTTGATTTTTTCTTGTAAATTTGTTTAAGTTCTTTGTAGATTCTTGATATTAGCCCTTTTTCAGATGAATAGATTGCAAAAACTTTCTCCCATTCTTTAGGTTGCCTGTTCACTCTGCTGATAGTTTCTTTTGCTGTGCAGAAGCTCTTTAGTTTAATTAGATCCCATTTGTCTATTTCAGCTTTTGTTGTCATTGCTTTTGGTGTTTTAGTCATGAAGTCTTTGCCCATGCTTATGTCCTGAATGGTATTGCCTAGGTTTTCTTCTAGGGTTTTTATGGTTTTAGGTCTTACATTTAAGTCTTTAATCCACCCTGAGTTAATTTTTGTATAAGGTATAAGGAAGGGATCCAGTTTCAGCTTTCTACATATGGCTAACCAGTTTTCCCAGCACCATTTATTAAATAGGAAATTCTTTCACCATTTCTTGTTTTTGTCAGGTTTGTCAAAGATCAGATGGTTGTATACATGTGGTGTCACTTCTGAGGCCTCTGTTCTGTTCCATTGGTCTATATATCTGTTTTGGTACAAGTACCATGCTGTTTTGGTTACTGTAGCCTTGCAGTTTAGTTTGAAATCCACTCTGAAGTTATTTTAAGTTCTGGGATACATGTGCAGAACGTGCATGTTTGTTACATAGGTATACATATGCCATGGTGGTTTGCTGCACCCATCAACCCATCCCATGCAGTAGGTATTTATCCTAATACAGGAACAGAAAACCAAACACTGCATGTTCTCACTCATAAGTGGGAGCTGAACAATGAGAACACATGGACACAGGGAGGGGAATATCACACATAAGGGCCTCTCAGGCGGTGGGGGCAAGGGATAGGGAGAGCATTAGTACAAATACAATTTCTGTCCATTATTCATTTGATCGTCTTCATCCTCCTCTAAGGTGCAGCTTCTCATCGGTTTCTCCAACTTTGGTGGTTTTCTCTTAGTTTCTTGAGCACAGTATATTTCTTTCTATCTCATATTAGCTCCCAAATGCTCTTCTTGCTGGAGTGAAGATTAGAGATATTAAGTGACTTGTGTACAAGGCAACTAATCCAAGATATAGAACTGGGCCAATAAAGACTTTCTGAGCCCCAAAACAGTTAAGCTTTCTGTTACCCCACATCCTTCCAATTAGATGCAGCCAGACACAAAATTCTTTTTAAGGAGGAAATTAACACAATAAAGTATACAGACCCTTAAGATTGTGTTGCTAATCCCTGTGCTTGTGTTGAGATGTAAATTATCTCTGCTTGAAGCCCATTTAGAGACCTTAGATCCTTCTGACAGGAACAGCTGGGATCATGATAAAACTGGGCCTCCCAGAAATAATTCTCGTTGTCATCTTTACATTCTCCCCCAGGCAAGAGAAGATATCCACCAATTCAATTCTGGGGGGAGTCCTAACAAGTGAGCTGCTGTGTGTAGTGAGCATTCTTGCCCTGATGACACAGTTGGCCCACTGTCTTCCTCTCCACCATGTTCCTCCTTACTTTCAACTGCAAATGGATGACTCAATGCTCTTTCCCTTCAGAGTTCTTCAATTTCTGTAACTCCTTTGACTTTCATATGTGCTTAACTTTGTGATGATTTGAAAGTCTCCTCCTTTGAAATATCAAA
Organism: Homo sapiens; assembly: GCF_000001405.40. Lineage (NCBI taxonomy): Eukaryota > Metazoa > Chordata > Mammalia > Primates > Hominidae > Homo > Homo sapiens. The sequence continues at coordinate 153,348,987 of NC_000003.12, forward strand.
CTCCAATAATTTACCTCAAACCACAACTTATCATTCCAGCTTTTACTCCATCACCGTACCATACTTGTTAGCCTCATAAAAAGTTATATTCCAGTGATTGCTTCATTCTCTTCCAATTCCTCAGCTATTTGTCATCTTCACTTTCTTCCTTACCTTGCTTAGACTCCATGATCTATGGTGTTTAAATATAGAGAACACCATAATCTATGGAGTTGAACAAGTGTCTTGACAATAATTTCAATTCTCATACCCTTTCTGCCTCTTTACCCTCAGGGTGTTATTCTAACCTAAACCTATATATCTAGTTCCTCTTTTCAGCTTCTATATACAGCTGAATGCGTATTGCTTGAGGACATCAGTACTCACTCTCTTACTCTCCTCTCTTACTCTTATTTCACTTGGACAAGTGCAACTCTTACATATGAACTTACCTAAAACATATACATCCTCATTCATCATTTCCAAACCAATCCAGATAAAATGTCTCCTCCCATGAATTCATGTATCATGAACATTTTTTAATTCTATTTTATGAATATTAGAATGTGGGACATGATAGACAATAATTGTTCCATTTAATGACTCACCATCTTTTGTATATTATTCTGTAGCTGGTATATTTATTTATATCTATATTAAATTGTGAATTTCTTGAAAACAAGAATTGTTTCTTAGTCATCTTTAATTCACTGTACCTGGCAATGTCTGAAATATAGTAGGTGTTTGTAAAAAAGGTGAGAGGAAAATGAATACCTTGGTGACATGGATCATTTTTATGCATTTAAATAATTTTTAATAAATGATTTTTTAGCTGTGATGATAATTGAATGTCTAAGTGAGAAAACCAGCAATGTGACAAGTCCAAGCGTACATTATTTCAAATAAATGAATTCTGAATTATTTTACTACAGAAATAATTTATGTAATTATTTTCAGCTCAAATTTAATTCATCAGAAAGCTAATTAGATGATTTCTAGCCTAGAGAATGGATAGTCTAAGAGCCCCACATTTTCTTTTGCCCAGGTTCCCTTTAACCTGATAGAATTAAAGATAACTGATTATGCACAGACACAAGTTCTCATTTTGAAATTGGCTGTCTTTTTCTCTTTGGCAATTTAGTTTGGTGCTTATATAGTTTCCTTTACAGTACCCTGCTCTCTCTCTCTCTTTTTCTTTCTCTGTCTCTCTCTCTCTCTCTCTCTCTCTCTCTGTGTGTGTGTGTGTGTATTTTCTAGTTATCATAACAGAGACCATCACAGAATCACAACTCCTACCTTCCTAATCCATTATGTTAGTCTACTTATTGCTGGCCATTTCCCACTCATGGTAATGCACACACATGCACATACACATTAAAGTATGGTATAGATAATAAAATAAAGATTCTAAAGCATTTATAACTGTCTTCAATGCAAACTTTCCCAGTGCTTTCTACATTTAAATAAACCGTATTGAAACCTCCAAATACTACATTTGCTTACCTGAGGTTTCCAGGCCACTTAATACATGTTCTTTGGGATTCTGACTTTGATTGCAGCAAAAGAATCTCTCTGTAAACTCCTACTTTACCACAAGCCTCTAAAGAATGCCAGATGAAAGCATACCTCTCCTTTCGTCTTGTCATAAAAATCCACATTTCTGGTTACTCACAAACTAAGAAACCATGATCTTAGTACAAAGGCTCTTGCAAATTCCCTGACACAGTCAAACTGTGGTTCTTCAGATGTATAGGTTATATATGTCTGAGTTTTTTGTGGTTTGTTATTCTAGTTTGAATTTTCCCTTTTGCCCTGAATAGCTCTGGATCATCTCCTCTTTTGTTGTTTGGGTGTGGTAAGGGTTTACTAATGTTAAAAATATTAATCATAAAATAAGATATACCTAAATAAAACATATTTAGGGAATTAACTATGTTGCCCCCAAATCATATAAGATAGCCAAGACCAAAAGTAATTGTTTGGTGCATGGCCGAGATCCCCCTTCAGGATGCAGGCTGTAAGCATTCATTTTCTTAATTTCAAGGATTGGGACCTGCTGAGTCTTTCCTTTGGAGATGGCCTTGGGCCTAAGAGCTGTTTTGCCCAATATTATAAACTCTTTCTCACAGCAGCCCATATGCAATGACTCCAAAGTGGGATGTTACAAAATGCACCTCTCATCTTTTTTTGAAATGGGAGAGTTCCTTGGCTGCCCTCGAAGGAAGTGTGACAGGGGCATGGCTCTTTATTTGGCCACCATGAGCTCAAACCCCTTACAGGAGGGGGAGCATGCAGACAGGCAGGTGCAGAAACCAGGGCAAGCACTTCTGGGCTCTGGCCGCACAGCAGCATCTAGGGGTGGGTGCTTGTGACTCCTGAAGCCCCAGTGTAACAGTGTTCTTTTAGCTCTGCTGTCCACAGACAGCTTAAGTTTTAACCAGGTCAGCGCCCCATTGGTACCTGGGCCCTTGTCTAGCATCCAGGAAGAATCAGGTTACACACGGACTTGAAGAGTGGTAAATGCAAGGGTTTTATTGAGTGTTGGAGGTGGCTTTCAGTGGGATAAATGGGGAGTTGGAAGGGGGATGGAGTGGGAAGATGATCTTCCCTGGAGTTCGGCTCTTCTGTGGCCAAACTGCTCTCTTACCATCCCCAGCTGGACTCCTCTTGATGTTCAGATGCCCCTTTTCTTCTCTCCTTCTCTGCTGTGCAGTTCTTCTGCTCCTCGGCTCTTCTGCTCATCGCCTCATGGAGCAGGAGGTTTGGGGTTTATATGGGTACGGGATACGGGGTATTGTAGGCCAAAAGGCAACATTTTGGGCACAAAACCAGGAATGCTTGTTCCCATTTAGGGCCGCAGGTTTCCAGGCTTTAGAGTGGGGTCTTTGCTAGGGAACTGACCTCTTCTACTCAGTATTTCCCTGTCTCCTGTCTGTATCACTTTCTCCAATTTGGAGAAGTTATTCCAGCATTAGAGCTCCCCAGGTAATCAGTTTAGACTTCTATTGCAACTGTTTTTAGTTTAATTTATCCCTGTCTGCAACGTTATTTTCTTTACTCTCTTAGGCATTGTTCCTGAGAGTAGCTTCAATAAGCCACGTGGATGCAATTATCCAGCTCAGGGGTTGTTTCTTATGGAATCCAACCTATGACTGTTGACGCCAGGAGTGGTCCTGGGAAGGAGACTCTGAAAATTTTGGAGCTGGCTGGGAATAAGAGTCCTGTTGCTGTTGGTAGGTAGAATATGGTTAGCCACTGTCCTGCAATTATTAAAACTCTCATAGGTGATAAATTGATGTGGGAATAGGCAGGTGAAATATCTCAGTCCTTGGAAAGGTAGAAGGAGCATAGCAATTACAAGAAAAGGTGAATCAAATGGCTCATTCCATCAATGCATTGGAGGATAATAAACAGCTAAGGGAGACTAATGATCAATTTAAGGCAAAATATGAAAGTTAGTTTTGGTGGCAAAAAGTCTTTTTCTACTATTGGAAAGGGGAGAAAAATTTGAAGAGTTAATTATAAGAGTAGTGGATCTCTTGAAATAGTTGAATTCTCTATCCTGGCCAGTCAAATCTGTTATGTTAAGGTCAGCACCTGGTTAGGAAGGAGTGAGACTTTGAGACTTGTCATGGTGACCTCTGAGCTGAGGCACTAAAAACACCTTGAAACCCCAGGTTTTTCTGAATTCACTGCTACTGCATTAGTGACCCAATTTTCTCCACTAAAAATTAGCATTCCCTCTTTGTTGAAAAAAATTCAGAAGCCTTTGTTTTACAAAGCAACATGTACCTTCCTTCCCTCAAATCTACTTCCACTTTTTCTCCTGGTCACAGGACAAGAAAAAAAAACGAGTCAGGAGAACACAATCTGGTCTGGGAATCTCAGGACCTGCTAATGGAGGAAAGGGACTATTGTAAAACCTAGAAAATATGTACTATCAGGAGTTGGGAGAGGATGGGTACTGGCTCTTGAGGATGGTGGATCAAGTGGGGAGAGAATAAAAGGTTGGATAAGGGAGAATTTGCTGATATAGGACCACACTCCAGTGATACAGAATATAACACACTGGCAAGGACCCTGAAGATCAATACCAATATGCTAGTCACTGACTTTCAGAAGCTTGGAAAAACTGATGTTAGAAATTCTAGAACTGTCATGCAAATAGTGGAAAGAGATCAAAGGCTTAGAGAAGTGGCTTGCTAGAGTGGATATAGTGCATAAGGATCAAAATACCTACCAGCTGACTATGTTCTGTGGGAGCACCCAGAGAACACCATTTAGCAATACAATAAGAAATATGCAGGTGAGAGGGGTCCCAGCATCATTGCAAAACTCAGTAGTGTCTTTCAAGAGAAGACCAGTGCTAACTTCCTCATAGCAATGGGGATGATTAGATCCCAACATTAAAAACAAACAAACAAGCAAGCAAACAAAAAACAGGTGGTGGCATTTAATGGTCAGAAATTGTGAGTGTAATTATTTTAATGGACTGTCAGCCAGGGTCTGGTCAGTGACGAGCTTTGAAGATGGTTAACAGAACATGTATCCTTAGGGCAGCCAACAAGCATCACTCAATGTGTGCAATCAAAAGAAATCAAGGTGGGCCAGGGGCAGTGGCTAATGCCTGTAATCCCAGCACTTTGGGAGTCTGAGACAGGTGGATCATTTGAGGTCAGGAGTTTGAGATCAGCCTGGCCTATATGATGAAACCCTGTCTATACTAAAAATACAGGGTTGGGCGCAGTGGCTCTTGCCTGTAATCCCAGCACTTTGGGAGGCCGAGGCAGGTGGATCCCGAGGTCAAGAGATGGAGACCATCCTGGCCAACATGGTGAAACCTCATCTCTACTAAAAATACAAAAATTAACTGGGTGTGGTGGTACATGCCTGTATTCCCAGTTACTCAGGAGGCTGAGGCAGGAGAAACTCTTGAACCAGGGGAGTGGAAGTTGCAGTGAGCCAAGATCATGTCACTGCACTCCAGCCTGGTGACAGACCAAGACTCCGTCTCCAGAAAAACAAACACAAAAATAAAAACAAAAACAAAAAAACGAGAAAAACAAAAATTAGTTGGGCGTGGTGGCAGCCACCTGTTATCCCAGCTACTCAGGAGGCTGAGGCAGGAGAATGGCTTGAACCTGGGAGGCGGAGGTTGTCGTGAGCCGAGATTATGCCACTGCACTCTAGCCTGCATGACAGAGTGAGACTTTGTCTCAAAATTTAAAAATGATAATAATAAAAAAGAAATCAAGGTGGAAAGATCAGGAGCTTGAGGAAGCTGTCACAATAAAAGGTCATATTTCTTTGTTCTATTTTCAAACTGAAGCCAATTTTCTGACCCAGAAGTCATTGACTGTGAGAGAGACTGGGTTCCCATAAAGAAAGGCCCTGAAATACCACCACAAGCAAATATGGTAATAATTCCCTCAGTTCTTTCTCAAAGGGACCTATGACAATTTATTTGGGTAAACTTATATACCAGGGAAAAACAAAACCCATTTGAATGATGCGAATATGGGAGTTGAGTTAACATTCATACGCAGGGACCTAAAGTGTCATCATGGCCTCTGTGTTAGAGTAGGGGCATAGAGGAGCCAAGTAATAAATGGAGTCCTATCACAGGTCTGGTTCACACAGTGGAACCACATACCTACCCATTGGTAAATTCATCAGTTCCCAAGTGTACAAGTGGAGTGGACACACAATGTAATTGTAAGAATCCTAATATTGAGGCCTTGGACTCAATATTGGGTAAGAAGTATTTAAGCTGGAAGACTAAGTAGAAGCCACTGAAACTGCCCACATTCGACAATATCATGTCAAAAACAATGTTGTGGTTCAAGAAGAAAGGCAGAGATTAGTGCTATCTTAAAGACATAATGTTATCTGTGGTAGAGAGAGATACCACATGAAATTTCTGGCAAGCCCTACTAGGAAAATCACCATGACTTTCCCAGGGTTCTAGAACAAGGTCATGCCTCTTGCAGCAGAGTATTATACATCTTTTCAAAACATTTCCTGATGTGCTACTTTGTTCTGATAGAAACAGAGCATCTGACTTTGGGATATCAAATGACTGTGTGGCCAGAACCGTCCATCATCAGCTGAGTTTTAATCAGCTCATAAATTCAGAAGAGTAGACGATCCAAGAAGCATTTCATCCTGCAGTGAGAATGTACATCCAGGACTGGACCTGAGGAGGGCTGTACAGCACAATAAGCTGCAAGTGCAGGTGGCCAGACCCTTTTGTTATTAATCACAGTTGCACTTGTACTTCTCCCTTAGCTCCCATCTGTAGCTTTTTGACCAGCTTGTGGAGAAGAAAAAAGGCTAAGCTTAGTTCATGGGTGGGTATTCTCCATGTTTAAGTACAAACTGAAAATGAGCTGCTGCTTTATTACAATCCCACTCAGCAGGGCCATGAAAGAAAGCAATGAGTAAAGATTTTCTCATGGGCAGAGTTTCAGGCATTGTACCAGGACATATACTTTGCATGGAAATAAAAATTGCCCAAGATAAGAATATACAGAAATTTCTGAGCAGTGGCAATTAGCTTGACTGCTTGGTCAGAGATTGGAAAGGAAAAAATGGAAACCTTGGGGGCAAGGAAGTCTGGGGAAGAGGCATGTGATGGACCTATTGGAGTAAGTACAAATTTGAAAAGTTTCTATGTAATTATTAATGCCTACCAGGAAGCATTTATCATGAAAACAGCACTGAACTCAAGTGGACAGAATGACTGTGTCTGCTGCTGGCTGACATGTGACAGCCAGCCTCTGTCATCAGCTACCACAGTGCTGGTACAATGAATGCATGAAGAGACTATCAGGGATGAAAACTATTCATGGGTCCTACCAGCATCATAGACTGATAATCACTATGGCTAACTACCACTGCTATCAGATATTCAACTAGCCTGCATCAGAGAACGATACTAAAGCCTGATAGGATGCCATCTTTCAAGGAGACTAACCAGTCACTTGGTGCCAAGTTGATTATATCCTCGAAGAGGCAGCAATTCATTTTTACTGGAATCAGCACATATTCTAGGTATGGGTTTTCATTTGCCACTTGTGGAACCTTGACCATCTCCAATATCTGAAGGTTTACAGAATGCTCGATCCATAGACATAGTATCCCACTTGACATTATATCAGACTAAGGACCATTTTAAAGAAAGAAAAAAAGGTATGGCCGTGGACATATCACAGTGAAGAATATTGTTCCCATAACAGACCATACTACCAAAAAGCTGCCAGTCTTACAGAGTGATGGAACTGCTTTTTGAAGGCATAGAGGCACAAGATTGGAGATAACACTCTGCAAAGATGGGGTGCCATTCTCCAGGATGCAGGATACATCCTAAATCAGTGATCATTATCTAGTGTTATGTCCCTAGTAGACAGAAGTAAAGTTTAAGAGTGACCCCTTTTGCTATTACTCCTAGAGACTCACATGAAGAATTTATGCTTCTGACTCTGCAACAATGAGCTCTGCAGGTCTATCTAGCATTTCTGTTCACAGAAGATGAGCGCTTTTACTAGCAAGATTTTAAGCTCTATTTGCTTCTCAGTCAACCAGCACTTGAGATTTCATGTACAAAGACCAGGAAAAGATTTACCATTCTGGCACAGATAATGGACTCTGATCATTACAAGTATGTATCGCTGCCATTATGTATTGGGGCAGGCAAGAATACATCTGGCATCCAGGTGATCCACTGAGGTACTCCCTACCCAATATTCCACATAGTTCAAAAATTAGCAGTGAAAATTTTGTTTACACAATTAGCTGAGGACTTACTGCAATATTCAAAAATTTTTAAAAAGTACACCATCATAAGAAAAGGTGTTTTTTATGTGTTCATCATTCTTGCCTTTAAATCTGGAAGGTAGACAAGAAACTGAGAAGATAACGGATGGCAGAGACCCAGAGGCTTAGTTCTTAAATACATTTGTGCCATAGTTTCCCTGGCTTTCCTTTCTCTAGAGTGTGGATAAGCAGTAACCAAAACAAAGGAACAACACTATAAGAAATCCATAAATAAGTAGAGAGTTTTCTGGCCTTTCCATGTGGGAGAGATGAGAGTTGATGAAAAAACACCAAAACAAAGCAAGCTTTGTGGCTTATTTCCTGCAGATATCTGAGAGCAACCTTCTGCCAGGATTTGCCCTGCCCACAGGCGTTAGCATGGACTTGATGACTGCGGTGTGGCTTTTACTTTCTCAATTTTCCAGAGCTCATACTCCTCAAACTCCAGAGGAATAAGATGTAAGTATAATTGGTGACCATAGAGCCCATGATTCAAGTTAGTCAGACCTAATTATTTGAAAATATAACTTTCTCTGCCTTTTTTTTTCTAAAATTATTTGAAACTTGGTCAAGCAAAGGGTACATGGTGTTTCCTGCCATGTCAGGAAAACAAAAAACAAATACAACCCTATTGAGAAATCCTAATCATTCTACATAAGAGAAATTTAGCCTCTTTTTATTTTACTGTTAAAATCTATGTTTTGTGGAAATTCTGAAACTCATTTTATAAGACTAAATTAAACGGAGAATTTTGCTAGTCTCATTTATTGTTGAATCTTCACGCTAGGAAAGACTGGAGGCTCTGAGGGAAAGTTCATGCTGTTTTTATATCCATGTTGCTAAGGTGATTTTGTGGGATGAAAACACACTGGCAACTCTCCATTAATTTGTTTACAAAAGAATATGAATGAGTTTCACCTCCTACAGTCAGGAGCACTTCAGCTTCTGCTTAATTCTAGCAAACCATAAACCAACTAGCAAATTAAATAAAAATTCCTTCAGTTATTGTTAAGGTACAATTACTCTCAGAAGAAACATATATAATCTGTTAAATAGTCCCAATTAACTAACTATTTAGAGCACAAAGTGAAAAACAGAATATATGTGAAACTAAGTGAGGAAAAGATAATTTGATTCCAAAATGGAATTTATCTTGCTTTTCAGACTGTCTTATCTCTCAGTAAGTCAAAATGGTTTAGAAAAACAGGTGGCTTGTTGCCTTTTGCAAGTGTGTGAATGCGTAGAATAATATATTTGTATTTAATCATTATTTATTTAATACAATGTGGCTTTTTGGACTGGGGAGTGAGGAATGGGGCAGAGAGAGTGATAGCTGACTTTGTATGAATAATACCAAGGAAACGCAGTAAAGGTCTAGATGTTTTCATGCTTAACGACACCGTATTGCTTTGTACATCTCTTCTGAAATCCCAAGCATGATTTTTTGCCTTATTGCATCAGAAGAGAGACTAATCATGGAGCACTGATTCTAGTTTATGGGACACCTGGCAAAAATAATCATACTACAGTGTATTGGCCTCCTAGGATGAGCAAGAAGTAAAATTCTTGTAAGAGAACATGATTACAACAGGCCATCAGTGAAGTTTTCATGGATTCTGGTGCTCAATTGCCTAGGTCTACTACTTTCTACTTCATGATATAGGAGCAAATAACTTAACCTCTATGTCCTGTGTCATCCTCTGTAGAAGAATAATAATAAAAGTAACATCAAAAATTAACAGATTTAACCTGTATTATGTTAGTATTTATTGTTTTTAATATAGATATGATTTGAATTCTTTAGTATATAGAGAATAAATTTAAATTTCAGGGCCAGAAAGTCTGTTTTTTTCTTAATATGAGGAATATGTATTTTGTATAGGTTTGACACAAATCTCTACCAATATCTACTGTTCTCTAACTCTTTAAATTCACTAAAAGAATCCCATAATTTGACTGTAGGTTGATTTCTCAAATTATTTGGTTTGCTAGAAGCTGAACAGTATTGCCCACAGTAGATTAAAAACCTAGGAATAACCTATCATAGCATGGCCACTTTTCCTGTTCTTGCATCTAAAATCTCTCTCTCTCTTTCTCTCTCTCTCTCTCTCTCTGTCTGTCTATGTTTGTCTATATATGTTTTTTGGTTTTTTTTTTTTTTTTTTGAGAAGGGATCTCACTCTGTTACCCAGGCTGGAGTGCAGTGGTACGATCTCAGCTCAATGTAGCCTTGACTTCCCAGGCTCACATGATCCTTCCATCTCAGCCTTCCAAGTAACTGGGATTACAGGCATGCACCACCACGCCTGGCTAATTTTTTGTATTTCTTGTAGAAATGAGGTTTCAGCATGTTGCCCAGGTTGGTCTCGAACTCCTGGGCTCAACTGATCCTCTCAAAGTGCTAGGATTACAGGCGTGAGCCACAGCTCCAGGCTGCATCTAAGATATTTTAATTGAGGAAAAGAATATGGATTTATAGAATCTTAGGGTTGAAAGGACTCTTAAAAGGCAAAATTCCACCCAATACAGGTGCTCTCATTCCCTCATATATTTATTCTGCTGATTACTGAGCACTCCTTAAGGGCAAAAACTGTGTCTTATTTTAATTCTGGATCTTGCCATTGATATAGTGCCTGCACTGAGGCAATGCTTATTTGGAATGGAATTCATTTATTCTTCCATTAAGCATATATTAAGTATCTAATAAATGCCAACACTTGGATAAGCTATGGAGTTATAAAGATAAATAGTACAGAGTTTCTGCTCTTTAGGAGCTCACTATATTGGAATGTTGTGCAAACTAAATATTATACAGTAGGGGCTAGATGAGATTGATCAACAGAATGTAGCCGGTTATACATGAACGGCAGTGCTCTCTTTAAACTTTTGGAAGGGGGAATTATGCCCTTTTGGTCTTCCACTTGCTCTCCAACAGCCTGACTTTTACCCTAGCAATGACCAGCTCTATAGGATATTAGTGGGTAATCTCTAAGTATGGCTTGGCATGTAATAAGGAAACTGCCAGGCCTTTTGACATTTCCTTGTCTTTTGGAGACTTGAGATGTTCATCTTACAGTGATAATAAGGGTCAAAATGGGGTCTGGACCACAAAGACAAGGCTGTCTCATGAATGAGTGATTCATTGACATTTTAATTTATTGAAAGCCTGAGACAGTGGGCCTCAGATAACTCTCCCTTACTCCATCTAAGTGGTCCTTCAGGAAGTGCCTTAACATCAGGAAGCTCACTCCTGGGTAGGCAGCCCTGTATATTGTCAAAAGATTCTTATGTTGAATCTTATCTACCTCCTTGTAATTACCAATAATCAGTGCCAATTCTGCCATCTGGAACAAGATATAAAATTAAGCACTTTACCATGTAACAGGCATTTGAACAAAAGAGGATCCCCGAAATTATTATGATACCACACCATCTTATCTTTTGGTTAAATATTTCCAGTTCCTTCAAGGGATCCAGTCCCCATCCCTCTTATCACAATTCGTCAGACTTCTCTCTTTGAGACACTCTAATTTGTCAGTGATCCTCTGAAAATATGGAGCTTGGGATTGGACACTGTCAAGATCCATACCACATTAAAATAGCTTCCCAGGAGGCCTAGGTTACATCTCGCAGAACAGAAAATAGATTACAGAAATAGAGCATGGAATCACTTTGTTCACTGTAAAGCCCTTTTACAGATGTACAGTATACAATATATAATACTTTGTAGATTTTCTCATTTTGTTTGTTTTGAGATGGAGTCTTGCTCTGTTTGTTGTCCAGGGTGGAGTGCAGTGGTGTGATCTCAGCTCACTGCAACCTCTGCCTCCCGGGTTCAAGCAATTCTCCTTGCCTTAGCCTCCTGAGTAGTTGGGACTACCATGCGTGCCACCATGCCCGCTAATTTTTGTATTTTTAGTAGAGATGGAGTTTCACCATGTTGGCCAGGATGATCTTGATCTCCTGACCTTGTGATCCACCCGCCTCAGCCTCCCAAAGTGCTGGGATTACAGGCGTGAGCCACCGTGCCCAGCCTCTTTGTTGTTTTTTTTAAATCTCGTACATCAAAGGGGTTAAATGACTTTGTTCAGAGCCAATGGCTCAGCAGTACCTATAAGAAGAAAAGGCAACCTTAGTTGTTTCTTAATTAAGACTGTCGTAGCATAAGGAGTGTTGAGAAATTAATTTGGCAGCCTAAATTAACGTGCATGACTGTAACAATCATCTCCGATTTACTTTTTTGAGAAGCTAAGCAAGTATTGATTCATTTCTGCAGACTCCTGTGAGTAATCACATTCAAAGTAGACAACATAAATTATTAAGAACCTGCTTTTGCTTGGTAACTAACTTCATGCTGAAAGAGCAAATGTCAAAATACATTAGAAGAAATGGTTTGAATCAATTTTTTGTTAACTTTAAGAATGTCTCACCAAAACTAACTTATAAGTGAATGTCTTAGTTTCTGTATTACTTTTCAGAAAATCACCTTTTAGTGCTAGAAGGAAACTGAGGAGTCATCCAACCTAATCCAAACAGAAATATGTGGAGGTAGGAAAGATTTTATGATTGTGAAAGCTGGATATTTAGCAACCTAATTGATTTTTGTATCAACCAGCAATTAGTTTTTAAGCTGGAGTAATTAACTCTCTTAATACTCAGAAATCACTCAATATAACTGTGACTAAGTTGTGTTTAAGGACCAACTCTAACTGACTGTAACTAAGAAGACGATGAGGGGACACAATAATAGGTAATGGTTCATTCTTTCTATAGGTAATATCTTTATATTGACCCCTAACAACATGTTGAAAAGGCTTGTTGGTGACAAGACATGTTGGCAGTGTTTGGTGATGAGATAAGCTAGGGTTTTAAATTCTTTTTGTTTGTACTTTTTCATATTACTTATTTTTTTCCATGGAACCTCTATTATTTGTAATTTGAAAAATTATATGCATTAATATTTTAGAGAAATATATTTTCTATTTCTGACTCTCTGCAATGAAGAGAAAACTAGGAGGTCACAAAATGACTTTCTGTTAAAAGTCTAAGTAGATTATAGTTTATCTAATGCTACTTTCTTACTTGTATATTCAACCTCTGTTCCACCTCTGGCCTGGGTTACCAGGTGCCAGTGCCTATCATGCAACTAGAGCCTTTGTTTTGCCTTTTCCCACCCACATCCATGTCCCCTGCATGGTGCATCTCTACTTAAACATCACAGAGCTGATGAAGGGGGCAGCAGGCTGCACACAAGCCTGGTGGCAGTTACACAGGTTTCTATTTCATGGTGGTGAGAGAGTAGCTGTAGTTGTAGAATTGTGGCTGATTTTACTATTGTTTCTTTTTCACATCTGTATATTCCAGCATTTCTGCATGGGAATATTATTTAATTTAAAGTCAGTAAAAATTCTATAAAATATGTAAGTAGCAGTAGTTTATATTACTTATCTATTATTATTATTATTATTTTTTGAGAGGGAGTCTCACTCTGTCACCAGGCTGGAGTGCAGTGGTGAGATCTTGGCTCACTGCAACCTCCACCTCCTGGGTTCAAGCGATTCTCCTGCCTCAGCCTCCCAAGTAGCTGGGACTACAGGCACGCACCACCATGCCTAGCTAATTTTCACATTTTTAGTAGAGATGGGGTTTCACCATGTTGACCAGGATGGTCTTGATCTCTTGATCTTGTGATTCGCCCGCCTCGGCCTCCCAAAGTGCTGGGATTACAGGTGTGAGCCGCTGTGCCCAGCCAGTTTATATTACTTATAGATGACTTATAAAATAAGTTAAATTTTATTTCCTGCAATATAGGAAGGATGTAAACATTTTAGAAGAGATTGAGATTAGCGATTTGCTTATGACTACATAGCAAGGAAACAGAGAGACTCTAAAATAATTATCTTTTTGTGAAGTGTTCATTAATTTTTTTTTTTGTATTTAGTCTTAAAAAGCTGAGGCAAGTTAGTAAGAAATAAAAAGAGAAAGCCTGGAACCGTTTAGCATGTAAGAATAAAATGAATTATATGATGGATTTTCTTTTCTTTATTTTCCTCAATAGCAAACATTTGCTCATTTTTCTCTACTTTAATAAACAACCAAGGTAAAATTGCTTCTGAAGACCTGAATTTGGAACAGCAAGATTTGAGTGATAAAAACTTGTTTTGCAAATGTATGGTATAAATGGAATAAAGCTGATATTGACAAATGCTCATGATAAGAAATTGCAGAAGAATGAGAATGACTTTTCAAAGAAATAAATTGTCTTGTAGAATATTGCATTTTGACTTTTAAGTCAATCTGAATTTTTTAAAAACAGATAAGTTGAGCCTATTCACATGTAGTAATTTGATAGATATTTGATTTTTTTATCTGCAGATAATAATTCATAACATAATATTTACTGGGTATCTTTCATTCTGTAGTGTTACTGAAACACCAGGGGTTCGGTCTAGGTCCTGCTGCTCACTGCACAGAAAGCTAGTCACTGAGATGAGTACTGCCAGGGAAGAAGGCTTTAATGGGGTGCTACTGCCAAGGAAATGGGAGATCAGTCTCAAATCCATCTCCCTGACTGATTAAAAATAGTAGTTTATATAGCAGGGAAGAATTGTAACTACATGCAGGAGGACAGGAATTAGGGAGGGGTAAAGAAGAGGGGTTGGTCAACAGGAAGCAGATGGCCACTTAGGCAATCATGATGAGTGAGGAGTCTGAGGGCTCATTGTGCAGATAAGGTGATCCGATAAGTGTGTCAGTTCCTTGATACTATCTGGGAGCCTGATAGTTAGTTTCCTGAAAAAGGAACTCAGATAAGACAAATGTAACTTTCTCAAGTTTTGAGACTGAGAGGGTTAAATTCTATGTTTATTCAAAAGACGAGTCTCCCTCTGTCCCCCACGCTGGAGTGCAGTGGCGCGATCTCAGCTCACTGCAAGCTCCGCCTCCCAGGTTCATGCCATTCTCTTGCCTCAGCCTCCCGAGTAGCTGGGACTACAGGCGCCCGCCACCACATCCAGCTAATTTTTTGTGTTTTTAGTAGAGATGGGGTTTCACTGTTAGCCAGGATGGTCTCAATCTCCTGACCTCGTGATCCACCTGCCTCAGCCTCTGAAAGTGCTGGGATTACAGGTATGAGCCACTGCGCCTGGCCTTCTTTGCTTTTTAAATTAAATGTTTTCTTTTATTTTGTAATACTTTTTTGTGTTTAGAAAGATTTGTATTTTCAAAAAGTATTATCTTATTTTGATACTTGCATTTAATGGTCTTCGTCCTTAGATTTTTACTCCTCTGTCACCCTTAATTTCCTTTTATTTCTACCTATTATCTTTACAGCAGTCAATGAACATATTATATTTTCACTCAATTTTATTTCTTTTTGTGTTATTTTGATTTTGACAGAGCAAATAATATTTACATACTAATTTTTCTCTCTCATTCTCACCTATGTTATAGTCATAGATCTAAATGTAAGCTGGCTAGATTTGTTTTTCATTTTTTGATGTAGTTTATAGAGCCTTGTAGGTTTATTTTGGTCATTTAATTAAGCATATTTAATCATCATTACCAGTTATTTCACTGGTTTCCCTAATGATCTCTTTGTTAAATTAAATTCATCTTTTAGTAGATTACCAGGAAAGACTCCTGGATGTCTTTAATATCTGAAAAACAGTGTGGCTGGATATAAAATCTTTTCCTTACATTTCTCCCTTTAAGTTTATGGGCAGTGCTATTGCACTGTTTACTTGCTTTGACCGTTGCTGACAAGAATTGTGATGCCAACCTGATTTTCCTTCCTTTGTAAATGACTTTTTGATTTTGCTTGGAAACCCAGAGGGATCTTTTCTTTTAAATTTCAATAATTTTACTAGGATATGTCTCACAGTTGACCTTTCTGGATTGATTTTTTTTCTTTTGATAAATGATAGATCCATTCAATATGTAGATCTAGGCCTTCCTCTATTTCAGAGAACTTTTATTGAATTATAGTTTTAAATATCAGTTCCTACCCATTGGGAATTGGGTCGCTAGAGGACAGGGTAAGGAGGAACTTTCATTCTACTTTTTGTGTTTTGTGCTATATGTGATTTATTCAAAAATAAATAATTAATGAAAAAGACTAAACCCTCATTTAATATCCTGAATATACTTTTCTCTTTCTTTCTTTTCCTTCCCTTCTTTCCTTCTTTCTTTTTTTCTTTTCTTTTCTTTCTTTCTTCTTTCTGTCTTCCTTCCTTCCCCTTCTTCCTTCCTTTCTTCCTTCCTTCTTTTCTTTTTGAGATGGAATCTCACTGTATTGGTCAGGCTGGAGTGCAGTGGCATGATCTCGGCTCACTGCAACCTCTGCCTCCTGGGTTCAAGAGAGTCTCCTGCCTCAGTCTCCCGAGTAGATGGGATTACAGGCACCCGCCACCACACCTGGCTAATTTTTGTATTTTTAGTAGAGACAGGGTTTTACCATGTTAGCCAGGCTGGTCTCGAACTCCTGACCTCAGATGATCCACCCGCCTCGGCCTCCCAAAGTGCTGGGATTACAGGCATGAGCCACCACGCCCAGTCACTTTGCTATGTTTGCCACTTGTTAATAGAAATATATTGAAATACTAAAAATACCTGGATGTGCTATATGAAACAATTTAATGAAAGTAGTTGTTATGTCCTCTATAAGGTAACTTTTAAAGCTATTACTCAATGCTGTGCTTCTGAATATTCAGAAAATAAATTGGATTATTGGTTTAGTATCAAAAAAGTTCTTCTGCTCTGATAATCTGATTTGCTTTCAATGTGTATGTACTAAATTGTGGTATCATCATGTTTCACTCCTTCCTTTGGCAATTAAAAGCTGTAGTACTAAGTCTGAGCTATTATTGTATTATTAAGAGTAACACTAAATCTTTGTTTTGTTTTGTTTTGTTTAACTTTTAAGTTCAGGCATATATGTGCAGGATGTGCAGGTTTGTTCCATAGGTAAAAGTGTGTTTTGCGGGTTTGTTGCACACATTAGTTCATCACCTGTGTCTTAAGCCTAGTATCCATTAGCTATTTTTTCTGATCCTTTTCCTCCTCCAAACCTCCACCCTCCAACAGGCCCCAGTGTGTGTTGTTCCCCTCTATATGTCCATGTGTTCTCATCATTTAGCTCCCACTTATAAGTGAGAAGATGAGGTATTTGGCTTTCTGTTCCAGTGTTAGGACATGATCTTCTTGTTTATTTTATAGCTGCATAGTACTCTGTGGAGTATATGTACCAGGTTTTCTTTTTTTCTTTTTCTTCTTTTCTTGAGATGGAGTCTCTCTCTGTTACCAGGCTGGAGTGCAGTGGTGTGATCTCAGCTCACTGCAACCTTTGTCTCCCGGGTTCAAGTGATTCTCCTGCCTCAGCCTCCTGAGTAGCTGGGACTACAGGTGTGTGCCACCATAGCCAGCTAATTTTTGTGTTTTTAGTAGAGACGGGCTTTCACCATGTTGGCCAGGATGGTCTCGGTCTCCTGACCTCGTAATCCGCCCACTTCGGCCTCTCAAAGTGCTGGGATTACAGGCGTGAGCCACTGCCCCGACCCATATTTTCTTTATCTAGTCTTTCATTGATGGGCTAGATGATATCTAATCTATCATTGATGGGTTATTGTGAATAGTGCTGCAATGAACGTAAGTGTGCATGTGTCTTTATAATGGAATTATTTTTTTGGATATATACCCAGTAATGGGATCACTGGGTCAAATCATATTTCTGTCTTTAGGTCTTTGAGGAATTTCTACACTATCTTCCACAATAGTTAAACTAATTTACACTCCCACCAATAGTGTAAAAGCATTCCTTTTTCTCCACAACCTTGCCAGCATCTGTTACTGTATTTTTTTACTTTTTAGTAATAGCCATTCTGACTGGCGTGAGATGGTATTTCTTTGTGGTTTTTATTTTCATTTCTCTAATGATCAGTGAGGTTGAGCTTTTTTTCATATGATTGTTGGCTGCATGAATGTCTTCTTTTGAGAAGTGTTTGTGCATGCCCTTTACCTACTTTTTAATGGAGTTGTTTGTTTTATTCTTGTGAATTTGTTTAAGTTCCTTCTATTAGACCTATTTTGGATGCACAGTTTGCAAAAAATTTTCTCCCATTCTGTAGGTTGTCTGTTTATTCTGTTGATAGTTTCTTTTGCTGTGCAGAAGCTCTTTAGTTTAATTAGATGTCATTTGTCAATTTTTTGCTTTTGTTGCAATTGCTTTTGGTGTCTTTGTCATGAAATCTTTGCCTGTGTCTATGTCCTGAAAGGTATTGTCTAGGTTGTATTCCAGAGTTTTTATAGTTTTGGGGTTTGCATTTAAGTCTTTAACCCACCTTGAGTTGATTTTTGTATATGGTATAAGAAAGAGGTCCAGTTTCAATTTTCTGCATATGACTAGCCAGTTCTCCCAGCACCATTTGCTGAATAGGGAATCCTTTCCCCATTGCTTGCTTTTGTCAGGTTTGTTGAAGATCAGATAGTTGTAGGTGGGTGGTCTTATTTCTGCATTCTCTATTCTGTTCCATTGGTCTGTGTTTCTGTTGTACTGGTACCATGCTGTTTTGGTACTATAGCCCTGTAGTATAGTGTGAAGTCGGGCAGGGTGATGCCTCCAGCATTGTTCTTTTTGCTTAGGATTGCCTTGGCTATATGGGCCCTTTTTTGGTTCCATATGAATTTTAAAATAGTTTTCTCTGGTTTAGAATTTAAAATAACTGGAGTTAAATTTGTGATCTGTCCAAAGTTAGTAAATAAGACTTCATGACATGCATTAAAAATTATTTTTATCATTATTATTATTATTGAGACAGAGTCTTACTCTGTTGCCCAGACTGGAGTGCAGTGGCACGATCTTGGCCACTGCAACCTCTGACTCCCAGGCTCAAGCAATTCTCCTCCTTCACCCTCCCAAGTAGCTGGGATTACAGGCGTGTGCCACTACTGCCTGGCTAATGTTTATATTTTTAGTAGAGACAGGGTTTCACGATGTGGGCCAAGATGGTCTTGAATTCCTGACCTCAAATGATCATCCACCTCGGCCTCCCACAGTGCTGGGATTACAGGCATGAGCCACCGTGCCCATCCTAAAAAATTATTAACTCCATTCTTCTCTCCATTTTTATAACCCATTCTTGTTTTAAGTGCTTACTACAGTAGTACATATGACTCCCAGAAAACCTTAAAAAATGTAAGCTAGCTAGATTTGTTTTTTGTTTTTTGATGTCCTTTATAGAGCCTTATAGGTTTATTTTGATCATTTAAAAATACATGGTATAGGCCGGGCGCAGTGGCTCACGCCTGTAATCCCAGCACTTTGGGAGGCCGAGGCGGGCGGATCACGAGGTCAGGAGATCGAGACCATCCTGGCTAACACGGTGAAACCCCGTCTCTACTAAAAATACAAAAAATTAGCCGGGCGTGGTGGCGGGCGCCTGTAGTCCCAGCTACACGGGAGGCTGAGGCAGGAGAATGGCGTGAACCCGGGAGGCGGAGCTTGCAGTGAGTCGAGATCGCGCCACTGCACTC
Source organism: Homo sapiens (assembly GCF_000001405.40). Taxonomy (NCBI): domain Eukaryota; kingdom Metazoa; phylum Chordata; class Mammalia; order Primates; family Hominidae; genus Homo; species Homo sapiens. The sequence continues at coordinate 153,368,310 of NC_000003.12, forward strand.
CAGCCTGGGCGACAGAGCGAAACTCCGTCTCAAAAAAAAAAAAAAAAAAAAAACATGGTATAGATAGAATTATCGAGTCATATACTCATTTTTTATGTGAATCTGTTGAAGTAACTGGTTATAGATACCCACTAGAACCTAATTATACCACACTGATTTGTAGTGTGACTTTTTGTACAGCAAACATCTCCCTGAGAATGGCAGGAACTGTTGAGATTGTGTAACTTTCTAATATGTAAGATTTGAATTTTTATTCTATAACTATAAAAACAATCAGTCAATGGAGAAGAGGTTCAGAAATATTATAGATTTTGGCACAGCTTCTTTTCCATGTCAGGAACACTGGTAGAGACTTTCCCAGCTTCCACTGCTTGTTCTCTCCAGGCTGATTTCTTCAAAGGCATTCTTACTTTTCCTTAGGTCTGGGAGTATGATACAAAACAGGAAAAAATTTTGGCTATGACCTGGGTTTGAATTCTAATTTTGTCACTAACTATATGAGATTGAAACTCTTACTTAAGTTCTAATCTTTTCACATAAATGAACATAAGAACATCTACCTTATTTGGTGGTTTTGTGTCCGGAATTGGTGGGTTCTTGGTTTCGCTGACTTCAAGAATGAAGCCGTAGACCCTCGCAGTGAGTGTTACTGTTCTTAAAGATGGTGTGTCTAGAGTTTATTCCTTCAGATGTTCAGATGTGTCCGGAGTTTCTTCCTCCTGGTGGGTTTGTTGTCTTGCTGGCTTCAGGAGTGAAGCTGCACACCTTCACTGTGAGTGATACAGCTCTTAATGGCGGCGCATCTGGAGTCGTTCGTTCTTCCCGTCCGGAGGAGTTGTTTGTCCCTCCCAGTGGGTTCATGGTCTCGCTGGCTTCAGGAGTGAAGCTGCAGCCTTCACGGTGAGTGTTACAGCTCATAAAGGTGACACAGACCCAAAGAGTGAGCAGCAGCAAGATTTATTGCAAAGAGCAAAAGAACAAAGCTTCCACAGCGCGGAAGGGGACCTAAGCAGGTTCCAGCTGCTAGCTGGGGCAGCCTGCTTTTATTCCCTTATCTGACCCCACCCACATCCTGCTGATTGGTCCATTTTACAGAGAGCAGATTGGCCCATTTTACAGAGAGCTGATTGGTCCATTTTGACAGGGTGCTGATTGGTGCTTGAGCTAGACACAGAGTGCTGATTGGTGCATTTACAATCCTTTAGCTAGACACAGAAGTTCTCCAAGTCCCCCCTAGATTAGTTAGACACAGAGCACTGATTGGTGCATTTACAAACCTTGACCTAGACACATAGTGCTGATTGGTGCATTTACAATCCTTTAGCTAGACATAAAAGTGCTACAAGTCCCCACCCAACTCAGGAGCCCAGCTGGCTTCCCCTAGTGGATCCCGTGCTGGGGCTGTGGGTGGAGCTGCCCACCAGTCCTGCACAGTGTGCCTGCACTCGTCAGCCCTTGGGCGGTCAATGGGACACAGCACCATGGAGCAGGGGGCGGTGCCCGTCAGGGAGGCTTGGGCCGTGTGGGAGCCCAGGGGGGCCGGGGGGTGGGGGCTCGGGCATGGCAGGCTGCAGGTCCCGAGCCCTGCCCCGCAGGGAGGCGGCTGATGCCTGGTGAGAATTTGAGTGAGGCACGGATGGGCCGGCAGTGCTGGGGGACCCAGCGCACCCTCTGCAGCTGCTGTCCTGGGTGGTAAGCCACTCACTGCCCAGGGCTGGTGGCAGTGCTGGCGGGAAGCTCCGAGTGCAGGGCCCGCGGAGCCCACGCCAACCTGGAACTCACACTGGCCTGTGAGTGCCAGACGCAGCCCCAGTTCCCGCCCGCACCTCTCCCTCCACACCTCCCCACAAGCAGAGGGAGCCGGCTGAGGCCTCGGCCAGCCCAGAGAGGGGCTCCCACAGTGCAACGGGGGGCTGAAGGGCTCCTCAAGCATGGCCAGAGTGGATGCCGAGGCCTGAGGAGGTGCCAAGAGCGAGCAAGGGCTCCTAGCACGTTGTCACCTCTCAGTTTTGGAAATTAATTGATAATAAATGGAAGGTGATATACACACTGGTTAAATATATGTCAGCTTGCTTATCTTTCCTGCTCTCTGTGCTTCGAGACAAATTTCAAAGGAGCTTCCTCAGCAAACATGAATTCCTGTGTTATTGCTTTCAAGGATAATGTGACATTACTTAATAGACCAGAAATGGAAAAGCAGCCTTGTGGATAGCTCCCAATTTGGAAAGTTCCTTGCATTAATATGTTTATTGGTTTATTCTTTCAAGCCAAAGGTAAACTTTGCAGAGGAGACTGTGTAACACCAAGCAGTGGCACTTGTGATAGTCACGTTATTTTCCTTTTCCTGTATCTTATCAGTAAAAGTCAACCAATCAGTTATAGCCTTATACTATGGAAGTCAGCTTCCATAGCATGGATTTCTCAATGTGAGTCCACACTTAAGAAAGTACACTCCATTCAGCTTTACTGAAATGAACACACTTCTAAGGCTGACAGGCATGGATCAATTTCACTTCTGTAACCAATGAAAAATGCTCTCTTGTGTCCAACACAAAACATCTTTTTAAGACTGTCATCACCACAGCCTTGCCTCTGTCCAGCACATCTCCAAGCAAACTCTTGTCAAAAAAATCTATACAGTATTGTGATATTGTGAAATACGTATTTGGTATTTGGTATGTAAATGTTATGTATCCCATTTCCTGGCATTCAACTTTTAAAATCTTTAAAAATGCCTGAGTGATGTCTTTTTGTATGCTAATGAGTTGACGTAGGGCTGGCAGCCTCTAGGTAGCTTCAGAACTAGGGGCTGGTCACCAGAAAACCAGTGGAGAATTAGAGGGCTGGGGCTTTCAGTCCCACCTCCTAACCTCCAGGGAGGAGAGAGAGACTGAAGATTGAGTTGATCACCAATGGCCAATGGTTTAACCAATCATGCCTACATAATGAAGCCTCCATGAAAGCCCGAAAGACAGGGTTCAGAGATTTGTAGATAGCTGAATACAGGGAGGTTCCTGAAGAGTGCCACCCAGGGAGGGCATGGAAGCTCTGTATGCCCCTTTCCTCATACCTCACCCTGTGCATCTCTTCATCTGTATTCTTTGTAATGCCTTTTATAATAAACCAGTAAACATGTTTCCTTGAATTTTGTGAGGTGCTCTGGCAAATTAATCAAACCCAAAGAGAAGATCTTGAGAACCCCAACTTGAAGCCAGTGGGTCAGAAGTTCTGGAGGCCCAAACTAGCAATTGTTGGTGTCTGGGGAAGGGGGCAGTCTTAGGGACTGAACCCTCAATCTGTGGGATGTGATGCTATCTCCAGCTACATAGTGTCAGAATTAAATTGGAGGACACCCATTTATCCACTGCAGAACTGATTGCTTGCTTAGTGATGGGTAGAACCCAGCCCTCTCCACCAAATTTGGTCACAGAAGTTGTCTGTGTTGATTGTTGATTGTTGTTGTTCAGTGAGAGAATATAAAAACCACTTTGCATGCTTTTGAATTGAATACACATAGACCAATAACAAAAGGTCTGCTCCATCAAAGTCTTAGATTTAGTGGCAGAAATAGATAACACACATAATTGTAGCAAAATATAAGGAGTGCTATAATTTGTGTCTCAATAGCATACTACGACAATAAAGAGGAGGGATTTGCCATCTTTGTCTATGGCAGCTGGTTTGGGGGTGGGGTTTCACTGGCAAACAACATTTCCATTGCACTTTGAAAACTGTGTAGACGTTGAAACAATAGAAATCGTTGAAGATGATGAAATTGCATCTGGAAAGACCCAGAGCCATGAACAAGGCATGGGATTTATGTAGTGAGTGGAAGGAAGTTTTCGATGATGGGCAAAAGAGAAATATGACAGTAATAAGGCAGGTGAAGGTGAGAGTAAATATATGTAATGTTGGAATCAGAGAAGGACATTTGAATAAATTTAGTGCATAGAGTATTCATTTTGTTTTCTGGAAAGCGGTAAGTAGTTTTTTTCTCCTGGATATGAAAGTGAAAGCTTGCGCAGGAGTGTGAAGTTATAAAATGGTCACCTTGGTGAATAGGAAAAATATCTGAATGAATACAGACATAAGGATTGCCAAGCTGTACTGAGGACTAAGTTGAGTTTGGAAATGGTAAATATGCAATAAGTCCAAGCAGTACAGTTATGCAATTTTTCCCAAGCAGTGTTTGGCAGCTTATGAATTTCTGTTGCGCAAGCAGATGGTTGGATTAATCACAGGTTAGGGACCGGTAATTCTCATGGGCTGAAAAGACAAGAGGTTTAGGCACTGGAGGGTACAGGCAAGAATTCGTGAATTGGTAGTCCAGGTTACGTAGGGAAGGAAGAAATGGGGCCATGATTTTGGGAATTCAAAGTAATGCTATACATGAAACATGAGACTGTGTGAGTTTTATAGTTGCGAACAAGATGTGTAAATGTATTTTTGATGGAAAATAGTGGAATAAGACAAATTAAGTATATTCCGAGTATAATGGCAATGCCTGGGTATTAGGCTGAGTGGGACCATGGACTCAGTAATTAGCTCTCCTTAGCTCAAAGTTTATGCCTGCAGTTTAGATAAACGTGTGTTTATTAAAATGACAAAGATAAAAGAATAAATGTTTAAAATCATAATGTATGCTGGACCAATCAAAACAAACCTGCTCTTTCTTAGTCTCCTTCTTCATAGTAAATGACACTATATTTTTTAGGTGCTTAATCCCAAAAGATAGGGTCTTTCTTCTCTATCTCTCTCACTACACGTTTCACCATGGACAGATTTTGTTGGCTCTACCTTGAAAATATAGCACACATTTTCCATACCTTATCACTTTTATACTGTAACCCTAGTCCAAGCCCCCATCATCTATCATCTAGGTCACTGCAGTAGCCTCCTACCTGCTTTCCACTTCTACAGCCTATTTTCCACTGAGGAGTCAGAGCTTTCCTCAATGTGAATCAAGTCGTGCCATTCCTCTGCTCAAAAGTCTTCTTGCATTCTGAGAAAAAGTCCCACACCATTATCATGGTCTACTGCATCCTGCACAATCTGGCTCTTCATTACACTTCTCCCTCATCCCCATCTCCTTCCACCTCACCCACTGGACTCCTTGGTGTTTCATTAGATATTTTTAATATTGTCTATGTGTTGAATTGATAACATTTTATTTATAATGGGTTATACTAAACATATTAAAATCGACTTTCACTTGTTTGTTTTCTTCTGCCTTGTTAATGTGGCTGCTAGAAAATTTAAAATTATATACCGGGTTCACATTATATCTATGGGCAGCATTGGTTATTGAGTCTATGTTGACTGTGTGTCTTCCCCTAAGTGTCTGGTTGTGGGCTGGGGGCTACTCTTGCACAACAGGGCCAGCAGTCAGGAAGGAGATTTGAATGTGGAGCACAGCAGAGTGAGCACGAGCTGAAACCCTCCAAGCATATTTTCATCACTGTATTGCCTGTGAACATCTTCAGAGTGTGATGACTCCTACTTCCTCTGAATCTCATGTGAGTTCCTCTTTTGGCAGCTCTAACTCTAACCTTACAGGAAAGGGGAATATAGAAAACACAGTTCCCAGAAAGAACTAGTTCCAACCAGTCGATTGAACCACTCAGCACAGCTTCTAAAAGAGGACTCCCTGGACTGTTAGGGTCTTGGAAACCATGTCACACAAAAATTGTCTCATGTAACTGAAGATAATCATTCTGGAGAGCAGAGGATTAAAAAGAGGCATGCCATTAAATATTAGAAACACTTCTGTGTCGAAGACAAAAATTGACTTACACCTATAAATTCTTCAGATTTTCTCTCCTAAATTCTATGGAAATGTATCAATATTTTCACTGATTAAAATTTTTTTCCCACCTGTTCAAACTCTTCGAGTCTTAATTAGGATGGATGAGTGGAAGTTACAGGGACTCCAATTTCAATGCCACATAAGAGGGAATGTTCTAACATCTAGAATTGTGACACAAGAGCAGACTATCTCCAAAGGTGATGAGTTACATGTCAACTGGAGGTAATCAAACAGCAATTGGATGACCATTTATCAATTGTACTGAAGAATGGATTCTAGAACCTATCCAAAGGTTGGATTGGATGACTTCTGAACTCTGAACTAAATCTAAAATTTTGTGAGACCCTAAATTTCATTCACCAGTACTCAATCATTTCCAACTGCTACTTAATTAAGCCTTGGCTTTTCATTCTAGACACAGGAAAATCTTCATTTTCTTTCATCTAGAAAGATGACTAGGACTTTAAAGCTTCATTCTTTGATCTTTTCATAGCCTTGGTCTCCTGGCAAAATGTTTGTAGTTTTTTCATTGAAAGTGCTTCTTGATCTTTTTTTCAGCTTTCTTCATTAAGACATCTGATAAAGATGACTTCTTTATTGTTGCTTCATTAATGTAAATTAACATAAAATACATTTTTCTTCCTTTAAGGGTAATGTGTGCTTATTAAATATATGAGGTATTTATGTATACCTCATGTTAATCAAAAAGATAGACACCCTCCGGGGGTCTTTTTTTTTCTCACACACTACACATTTAACCATGGACAGATTTTGTTGGCTCTACCTTAAAAATATATCACACATTTTCCATATCTTACCACTTTTTTACTGTAACCCTAGTCCAAACCCCTATCATCTGTCATCCAGGTCATTGCAGTAGCCTCCTACCTGCTCTCCACGTCTACAGCCTATTCTCCACCGGGAAGTCAGAGCTTTCCTCAACATAAATCAAGTCATGCCATTCCTCTGTTCAAAAGTCTTATTGCATTCTGAGAGAAAGAATACTTCATATTTAATGAGCACACAGCACCCTTCAAGGAAGAAAAATAACAAGATATAAAAAAGAAAATAAATACCCTAAAGCCCACAAGCTAGAAATAAACACTTCTAAAATGTTAGTATAATTACTTCCAGTTTGATAAGAAGTCAGATATGTATTTAACACAATTGAAATCATCCCATATATACATATGTATAACCGGTTTCACTTAATATTAGGTTGTGAGTTTTTCATTATATAAATAATCCATCTTTACAGACCCAACTATTATTAACAGTGTATAATATTCCATTATGTTGACATCCCAAGGTTTATTTAAACTTTTCACTATCCTTGGCTATTTAGATTGTCTCTAATATGTAATTTTTACTAATTATTTATTTTTAAATTTCTAATCTCTCATCTCTGGCTGAAATTTTTACTGTTTAAATGCATAAATAAACAGCTAAATCCTTACTTCATTCCATAGTAGTCATCACTGATATCTACTCAGTTCCTCCAAATTACTACTACTTGTCCTCTGGATTCTTCATTTATAGTGTATATTCCTTTTTAATTCCTCTGCAGCATGGCACAACATGATTTAATTTTTATAAATCTCAGATAATTTTAGTTTCTAAATATCTTTTTTTTTGCTTTAAATAAATAACATTAAGATTCCTTAGAAGTATTGGTCAGAATAAGTGACACAATCATCAGATGTTCTGTTTCAAGTCTCTGGCATGTCCTTTGTTAGAATAATGTTTTCTAAAGTATGCCTTAGAAAAAGTTGATTTAGGTAAGGTTCTTAGGAGACATTAGTATCTAATAGGTGAATTTCTTAGATAGTCTTGAAAAAAAGAGGAAAAACACTCTTTTGGCTAAAAACTCAGAAGATTTAAGAATTGCTCTACCTGGTGCTTTTCCCATTTCTGAATGTGGCTCAAGTGAGGAAATGTTTCTTATTTTTGATGTCAAGAAGAGCACATAAAGAGACATAAGAAACTGAAAGGATGGAATTATTATACCCAAAGTTCTTGGTATATCCGGGGACAACTGTTATTACCAGACTCTGAACTTCTGGGTTAAGATATGTAAACTTCTCTTCCTTAATACCTAACAAAATGAGCAAAATTAATCAGTCAATCCTAACAAAAAAAAACAGGGAAAGGAGCCTAATATAGCAGCATAAGCTTCAATATTCACAACCAAAAAAATAAATGGAAGATTCTGGAGGGGAGTGGAAGGATCTGGAAAGGAAAGGCAACACAAGTGGGGTTCAAACTTCCCCTGAATCCAGAAGTCAATCTGGTGCATCTACTAACTCTGGATAGTCTCATGGTATCTCCAGCTATGCAGAAAAGCAAACTATCATTACCCTCATCTTTTTGTTTTAGATGGAACTGTGGCAGAAATTGCTGCTGAAAATTATAGGAAAAATAGGGAAAATGAAAAATGAGGTTGATGCTGTCAGAAATAAAGTCCATGCAGCTACATTCTGGATTTGGAAAATGGCCCAAAGTAGTATAGTACTCTCTTTTGTCAATCTTCCATCCCTCCGTGGGAATTAGGGCATCCCCAATCAACTTAGAAAACCCTAGCCGAGGACACAGAACCAAATCTTAAAACATGTCAAAACCCAGATACCCTCCCACTTCAGCCTTTTCTTTCAGTTCTTTTTCTCTGGAAATGTCTACTGAATACAGAAATGAACACACTGAAATATTTTCATGCATTGCCTCAGAGGAAGGGTGACCGAAGGAGAGCTCGAGAAACGGAAAGAGAATGAGAACAGAGAGAGGTAAGTGAAGTCACTGCTGCACATTATCATGTAATGTCTCGACACAGCCCTCCAACCATGAAGAAAAGAAATACAACGACATGTCAACTTCATAATCTTGCTATCTGTAAAAAAAGTAAATAAACAAATCATCAATCAATCAAAGGAAAGAAGGATAATACCACATACAAAATATTTACAATGGCAATTTTGTGGTGGTAGAATACAAAGTGGTTTTCAAAATCCTTTTTTTATGTGTGTATGTTTTCTTACATTGTTTGAATGTATTTCAACCCACAAGATATACATCAGAAATACATGGTGTTTTTTTCAATGGAAGCAAATATTTAAAGATGTTAACTTTTTTTCAGATAAAGAAAAGCATACAAAATATTTATTGCTGCATTTCCGTGCCTTCTCCACAATATTGAGGCCTGAATTAGGTAGGTAGTTGAAATCTCTCTAAAAGTGAGTCAGATATTGTGTCCGGAATTGGTGGGTTCTTGATCGCACTGACTTCAAGAATGAAGCCGTGGACCCTCGCGGTGAGTGTTACAGCTCTTAAGGTGGCGCGTCTGGAGTCTGCCCCTTCTGATGTTCAGATGTGTTCGGAGTTTCTTTCTTCTGGTGGGTTCGTGGTCTCTCTGGCTCAGGAGTGAAGCTGCAGATCTTCGCGGTGAGTGTTACAGCTCTTAAGGTAGCGTGTCTGGAGTTGTTCATTTCTCCCTGTGGGCTCGTGGTCTTGCTGGGCTCAGGAGTGAAGCTGTAGATCTTCGCAGTAAGTGTTACAGCTCATAAAAGCAGCATAGACCCAGAGTGAGCAGTAGCAAGATTTATTGCAAAGAGCGAAAGAACAAAGCTTCCACAGTGTGGAAGGGGACCCGAGCGGGTTGCCAATGCTGGCTCGGGCAGCCTGTTTTTATTCTTATCTGGCCCCACCCACATCCTGCTGATTGGTAGAGCCGAGTGGCCTGTTTTGTCAGGGCACTGATTGGTGCCTTTACAATCCCTGAGCTAGATACAAAGGTTCTCCAAGTCCCCATCAGATTAGTTAGATACAGAGTTTCCACACACAGGTTTTCCAAGGCCCCACCAGAGCAGCTAGATACAGAGTGTCGATTGGTGCACTCACAAACCTTGAGCTAAACACAGGGTGCTGATTGGTGTGTTTACAAACCTTGAGCTAGATACAGAGTGCCGATTGGTGTATTTACAATCCCTGAGCTAGACATAAAGGTTCTCCAAGGCCCCACCAGAGCAGCTAGATACAGAGTGTCGATTGGTGCTCTCACAAACCTTGAGCTAAACACAGGGTGCTGATTGGTGTATTTATAATCCCTGAGCTAGACATAAAGACTCTCCACGTCCCCACCAGACTCAGGAGCCCAGCTGGCTTCACCTAGTGGATCCCGCACTGGGGCTGCAGGTGGAGCTGCCTGCCAGTCCTGCGCTGTGCGCTCGCATTCCTCAGCCCTTGGGTGGTAGATAGGACTGGGCACCGTGGAGCAGGGGGTGGTGCTCGTCAGGGAGGCTCGGGCGGCACAGGAGCCCATGGAGTGGGTGGGAGGCTCAGGCATGGCGGGCTGCAGGTCCTGAGCCCTGCCCCGTGGAAAGGCAGCTAAGGCCCGGCGAGAAATTGAGCGCAGCGCCGGTGGGCCAGCACTGCTGGGGGACTCAGTACACCCTCCGCAGCCACTAGCCCGGGTGCTAAGTCCCCCATTGCCCGGGGCCAGCAGGGCTGGCTGGCTGCTCCAAGTGCGGGGCCCACCAAGCCCACGCCCACCCGGAACGCCAGCTGGCCCGCAAGCGCCGCAGGCAGCCCCGGTTCCCGCTCGTGCCTCTCCCTCCACACCTCCCTGCAAGCTGAGGGAGTGGGCTCCAGCCTTGGCCAGCCCAGAAAGGGGCTCCCACAGTGCAGTGGGGGGGCTGAAGGGCTCCTCAAATACCACCAAAGTGGGAGCCCGGGCAGGGGAGGTGCCGAGAGCAAGCGAGGGCTCTGAGGACTGCCAGGATGCTGTCACCTCTCAATATAAGCATCCTACAGTTTCCACACCAGGACAAATAAGCAGGAATCCCTTAACTCTAAGAGCCATGGTGGGGAGGAGGGTCGGTCGGGATACCATGTGTTTTTTCTCTGTTCTAAAAGCCGCATCCACATGAATAGGCTTCTGTTTTAAATGCTGGATATTAATAACATGTTTTAATTAGTTCTACAAGTTAGGAATAGCTGAAAGCTCTATATTTGCATTTAAAAATTTGCACCTAGTTGGCCGGGCACGGTGGCTTAAGCCTGTAATCCCAGCACTTTGGGAGGGCGAGGCGGGCGGATCTTGAGGTCAGGAGATGGAGACCATCCTGGCTAACACAGTGGAACCCCGTCTGTACTAAAAATACAGAAAAAAAAAAATTAGCTGGGCGTGGTGGCGGGTGCCTGCAGTCCCAGCTACTCGGGAGGCTGAGGCAGGAGAATGGCGTGAACCTGGGAGGTGGGGCTTGCAGTGAGCCGAGATCGCGCCACTGCACTCCAGCCTGGGCGACAGAGCAAGACTCCGTCTCAAAAAAAAAAAAAAAAAATTTGCACCTAGTCTTGAACCATTTCTGACTATACTGTCACCACTGTAATCTAAACTGCTTTTCTAAAAGTGATATTCCAGGATCCTCCTATGAGAATACAAAGCACATTTTTCATGCCACACCTTTGTTCTCCTTGTTTCTTTCATCAAGAATGTCCTCACTCTACACTATACTTCACAACTAGTGAAAACCACCATACTTTCCAGGATGAGTCCATGATTCCATTTCCTTCTAGACTACACAAGTACAAAGGAATGTCTCCCTCTCTGAATATTGGAATGATGCATTCCTTATTGTCTGTGGTGGCATTCACAGGCTCTTAGCTGCATTGGTATTTAATTCTGCATTGTGATTGAACATTTACCCACGTTTTCTCTTGGTTTTCTCTACTAGACTGTGTTCTCCCCCAGGGCAAACATTTCCTGCATGTGAAGGAGCCATTCCTGGGCTGGGGCTAATCCCAGCAGAGACTGATCCATTTTAAAGATTTCAGGTCCCTGGAGTTCCAGGTGACTGGCACTGGCTCAGAAAAGAGGAGCAGGTTCACTGGCTGATACTAAAAAGACCTGAGGCTCAAATATATGCATCTAATTGGCCCATAAATCTTAACATCAAGACAAAGCTTTTGTCTCTTATAGACTCAAACCCTCTCTTGGAGCTGAATGTATCCTTTTATAAATTATTTGGTCTAATTTCCACAGTATAAACCTGTAATGTGGTATTTAGTAGCACTGACTTTGGAGTTAGACTCCCTGGGCTTAAATTTCAGTAGTAGCACTTTCTACACAATTTATTTGCCATTTCTGTCTCTTACATGCCTCCTTTGTAGAATAAGGAAAATAATACTTACCCAGTTGATGACTGCTCTACTAAAGGTAGTCATGACAAGCTACGCATTTGCAAAATACAAGGTTACTGACTCAACTGGAGTTAAAGAAGCTCTAAAGAAAAAAGACCGATGCTCAAATTATTATTATTAGTATTGATTATTGAGTTAATATTAACTTTAAAGTACTTAGCACATTATGAATGCAGTGTTAAATATTATTTTTATTACTATTAATATTGCTGTTTCCCCAGTGCTAGGAAGTACTAGAGATGGGGAGAGATATTAATGGCTGATTTGTGCAGGACCTGCACCACCTTATTGCCAAGTCTGGATTCCAGAGCCCCACAGGACCCTTTGTGTCCACAGTGCTGACACAGTATTATGCAGAAAGTAGGAATAAAATGCACTTATTGCTTAAATTTATTATGGCCCAAAGCAATAAATACCAAGTATATTACATAGGTTTGGAACACTAAGAGCCCACCTATACATACATACACCCACCCACCCACAAACACTTTGGACTTCATCAAGATCTGGAGATAAACTTTCCTACAGAGCTTACATTAATTAGATTTTCATAGACATCTTGCCATGAGAAGAAAATAAAAATTATCGACAGACTTGCCTTATCAAAACTCACGAATTTCTGCAAGCACATATTTTCACAGTTGATGAAAGCATTTGACCGAATAGCTTGACTTTTTGACTTATATGAAACAGCTTGTTAAATGTTTAGGTATTAAAAGCATGTAATTCTTATAGTTTATTGAGTATTTTTCTCCTGCAGCTTTGAAGTGGTACACTGAGGAATTGACAAAACCTGTGTTCAGACTCAAGTCTCATGACCTGAATTCCAATGTTCTCTCCTTAAAGTGATCTGAGTTTTGTGTGGAGAAATTAATATACCAGAAAATACTTGTATTCCAGCATAACACCTATTGTACTAGATGAGTGCATGACAGATTACGAAAGTGCAGAATCAAGGACTGTGCTGGGGTGTGGGAACAAATGCGGTGGATCTTGTTTTGCTCACAGAAAAGTTGATGCTAACATTGTCCTTAGTGATTAGGGGGAGTCTGATGGGTAGATATTGGCAGGTGGGATGAGGGTGGGATGGTCAGAAGGACATTTTAGGCAAAGGAATAGAACGTTCCAAGGCTTGGAAGCATGAAAAAACAAGGCATAATGAAGGAAAGCAGGCCAGAGAGTATTTTATACGTGGAGGGAACATTTTGGTGATTAAATTTCAAAGGATGGCATCACCGTGACCAGACCATAATAGACCCCATATAACATTTTAAGGAGTTTGATTTTTGTCCTGTAGAGCAAAGTGAAAGATGTTTAGGAAAAAAAAAAAAAAAACTAACTTGATTAGCTCGTGCTGTAGAAAGAGTATTCTGCCTGCAGTGAATGAATTCTGGAAGGCAGTCGTGAAGTCTAGCCTGTACATCAAGAGCTATTCAAATAATTCGGGAAAGTGATGATGGGTGTGTGAATTAGGGCAGGAGAAAAGGGGCTGGAGAGGAGTGGCAAATTTGTCAGGGCATTGGGACATAACACTCATGGTACTTCAAAACCGGTGATTGAGCTGTGAGGTGGAGGCCATAGGCCCACTCCGCACTCAGGTGCATGTCTTGGAGGAGGAATAGATTTTGAAGTAAGTTGCTGAGTTTAAGAGTAAAACATATTTGGTTCAAGATGCATATCCAGGTAGAACTCTTAAGTAAGGCATTAGATACTTTCATCAAAAATTGGGGTGAAAAGTCTGGGTATGAAATAATGATTTGGAAGTATCTGTGGAGGATATAGATTTTTTAGGTGAACAGGTTGTGGTTAAAATCATTAGAATGAGTAGATTGTTAAGGGGGGTGTGGGGTGTAAAAGCAAGAAGACAGTCCATGATGATGAACTTTGGAAAATACTAATACTGAATGATGGGGAAGAGGAAGAAGATGCAGGAATAGGATATTTTATATTACCAAAATAAATCATCATCAAGAAGTAACTTTATAATACCTTAGGCTGGAAGTTTACATAATTTGATGCTGAATATAAATAAAGTACTGTAATAATCTGTGTGCAGTCTTAATGACATACTGGATACATATTATGAAATACCAATTATTTAAAGCAGCTTTTGAAAGCAGGCCCCTTTCTAGCAGTTCACAATACCATAATAAAATACATTTCAGGAATCATCTTCTATAAACAGTATCCCTGGTAATCATTAAGATGTCATCTTGATTATGCTAAGGCCAAAACCAATGTTAGGGCTTAATATAGTTTGCATTTCTGTTTCTTCTCATCTTATGTAACCTGTATTTTTGACAGCCATTTATCTTACATTATAATAGTATAATGTACCATGACAATGTATGTGTCATGACAATATTGCACTCAGTGAAAAGGCTGTTGCATCTATGGACTTGAAAACATAAATCATGAAAGCTTTGTTGCAAAAATTTATTATTTAATCAGTTTGGAAGTTGAGTGATGTTTTAATTGCCTCTTTGTTTACCATTCTGGTCATGATTTACACTTTACTGCTATCCAGAGTCCGTATTAACTAGTAAAAACAGAATATATTTGAGAGTTCACTCTTAAATCTAAGATCAAATGATTTTTCAGATTATTTTTTTAAAAACAATTCTACAGGCCATGCCCACAATTTATATAATTGCTTAGGTGCATGTCAGTGTAAAACAACAGTGCTACATTTAAAACATGTTGTTTAGAAAGAATTTGCTCATTAAAAGGTCACAGAACCTCATCAAGCTTCTCATAAAACTATATGGCTTAAAATTTAACCTAGCAGTTTCATGGTCTGAAATCGTGCATCGTTTTTGACATGTTTCTCGAAAAGATAAAAAGAAAACTTGCAGAAAATTTCATTTGGGTAGGATATCAAGTAATAAGATTCAATCAAAGGTATTTGAAATTTCTTCAAGTCAAGATAAAATTAAAGATAAAACTGCTCCAAAAGCTATTTTAAGTAAAAGATAAACTTTTATGCTAGCACTGGTAGTTGGTTAATTTAAACTGCCTAAGTGATGACCAAGAAAAAGAGAGAGAGAAAAAAGATGCCTCATACAGATCTAGAAAGCAATAAACTCATTAAAAGTTGCTTACAAAACCTTCATAGATTTTTTCAAGCTTTAATAAAATTCCAAGGCATTACTCGAATAGGCCAGATGATTGAAAAGATTATTTAGATAGAACTATCTCATGACTTACAACATAACACACATGATATATATTATTTTATTCTGTTAGAAAGTCAAGACATAAAATGATTGGCAGGAGTTCCTTATCAGAACAGAATCTCTTAGAACTAGAAATGAATGCCTTTTTCCGCACACGAACTCTTTGGCTGCATAAAAGAAGTATCCATGGAAACCCTTACCTGTTAGTTCTAATATGCATATACAAGGTTATTTTCTTTTCCATTTTATTTCAACAAAAACGTGAATGGAATAGAAAGCACTGAACTACTAGAAGCTTCCAAGGCCTTACATAACAGTTTTTGACAAAAAGCTCATTATATTTTTATAGTTTCTATTTGGCACAAGACCAAATGACTTTACAGAGTATGTTAATCAATAGATGTAACAAGGATTATTAAATGTCCTATTATGCTTATGGATACAAATTTATGTTATTATTCAGCTTAGGAGCCACAGTTGGTGCACATTCAATTTAAATGATATTTTATCATTTTTCAGTCAAATAAAATATACGTAGTGAAAAAAAAATACCTCCTAAAGCTTCCTAAAAGCTAGTTTGCATCTGGATAAGGTGTGGAATTGAAGGCAGAAGCTAGAGAGAGTTGATGATTGCAGAAAAGCCAAGACCGTGGCATTTATTCAAAACAGTTTTTAATTGGAAAGTTCATGGAATGAAAGAACTATGGAAACAAATGAAGTGCACCCAGATGCGAACAAGAAAAGTATATTAATAAGGATATTTATTCAGAGCTAGCATAGTAAAGAAGTTAACCGCCATTATTTGTGTTTGTCGGAGACTCAAAGGCAGGCAGAGGAGTAGGAAAGCTTTAGAATGGGAAAAAGGGAAGGCTTCAGGTCTGCCTGATTGGAGGCTATTGGTCCGGGGAAGTCGGAAGCCCGATAATTGAAAGAAAAGCATCCTATGCGGGTGGTTAGGCAGCATATTTGTCTTTCTCCAGTTGGTCCCAAGCTGGAAGTGGGGGAAGGGGGCTAAAAATTATGAAAGTTGTCCGTTATTGATCAGGTCCTGACCATTTTGGGCTAATTGCCATGGAGGCTGTGGTCTTGCTCTGGTTATTGCAATTTGTGGCTTAGAATTCTGTTTCAATGTATGGTGTGACTGTATATTCAGTCTCTCAGAACTAAAGGCTAGTGATGTCATCAATTAACTAAAAAAGCTGAGCTCTGAGGCAGACATTAAAGAAAAGTAAGGAAAGTGGACTGGGTATTTAAAAAATGAGTAATAAGAGAATGGCAGCAGCAAGAGAAAATTTTTAAAAATAGAAATAAATGTGTGAACCACAGTTTGGGAATAAGGGTGGAGATGGGGCAGAAAAAACAGAAGCAAGCAGGCTAACAGTCTTTTTGTATCTCTCTTCTGAAAGGTGAGATATCAAGAAATAAGATTCAATCAAAGACACTTGAAATTCCCATATGCGACACCGAATTTATCACAGCAGGCTCATACATTTTTCATTGAGTTAAGAAATATTCAATTAAATGGAAATATCAAACACATAGGATAGTCAATTTAATGAAATATGAAAGCCCTTTGATATTTCAGTTGATATCTCTTAACATTGTGAGCCAGTATTTGTGTAGCAGGGCTCTTCTTTCAAAACTAGATTAAATTATATGTTTCTCAGGTTGGTCCTGGAGATCAAAATGTCTTTATTCAAGGGCATGCAGGCAAAAGAACAAGCATATCTATCATGGAACATTCAATAGTCCTTTACTGTCTTATGCATCAGATCTTCTGTCCAAACTTCCCACGGATTGCTCCAGTCCTGCAGATCTGGATCATTCTCTGTTCCCAAGCCCATCTGTGTTCTGTTGGCAGCTGAGAGATTGCATACTGTAATCTCTCTCTCTCTGATGTATGTCTTCTAAGAAATCCAAATATAAAGAGTAACACAAGTTTATTAATTTTACTTTTACTTATGAAAAGTTGCAATGTTACAAGTGATTCTGCAGTTGTGGGAAATTAAACATGCACAAGAGGGGCCTCAAATCAAAGGCCAGGATGTGGTCCCTAGTTCTTAGCTCCAGTGTGACTCCAACAACCTCCAGTAGAGATAAAGGCAGCATCTCACCATAATTATTCAGTTCTACTGTCCACCAAGAGGAGAATAAAATAATTTTTTTCATTGTTTTTTTCATTTTAAAAGCATTCTTTCACTTTTTAAAGCACTTTTGAGGTAATCCTGGATCTGCTTTATAAATATTATGAATCATATAGGCAGTAAAACAATGAAGAGGGGGAATTAGCAATAAGATTATGCTATTTGTTTAATTTCATAATGTAATGTTTTTCCCCTTAATTTACTTAATATTGGTAATTAGTAATGTTGTTTTTAACTTACCTCATAAAATATGGTCTTGGATTTCAGGACAATCCTTGGTATGAGGGAATATTTTTCATTTGTGTCCTCTTCCTTTGTAGGGGTACTCAGGACTTTGAATGCATAGGCTCAGTTCTGCTGTGCACTTTCTACACAAATCCTGACCAAGCCTGTGAGTATGGGCAAATATTTATTCAGACCAATAGGTAGACTTTGGCATTGACCTGGCATCAAGACCGCCCAAAGTAGTTGCTGTTCTATATATTCACCAACCACCTGTCTTCACCCCAAACTTTACCTTATGAATAGATTTCTATTGATTTCTTTTTTTTTTTTTGTCATATATGCTAAACCCCAACAATTTTAACTCAGCTTCTCTTTGTTATGTACTTTATTGCAGGAGATAGGGGAAGACTCTGTTGTTCAAACCTGTAGCCACTGGATCACATCATGTTCAGACAGAGCTCACTGAAATCATAGCACAGGCCCTTCCTTGAGAAAGGGCTACTGATCTACCTCTCCGAGCAACTGCTTGTAAAGACAAACTGAATTGAATGGGCAAGTGATTTTCAAACCAGTTACGGATATTACATAACAGCTTCTCATGCACATGGGAGACAGAGTCTCACTCTGTCACCAGGCTGGAGTATAGTGGCATGATCTCGGCTCACAGCAACCTCTGACTATCTGGTTCAAGAAATTCTCCTGCCTCAGCCTCCTGAGTAGCTGGGATTACAGGCACCCACCACCACGCCCAGCTAATTTTTGTATTTTTAGTAGAGGCGGGGTTTCACCATGTTGGCCAGGATGGTCTGGATCTCCTGCCCTCGTGATCCGCCAACCTCGGCCTCCCAAAGTGCTGGAATTACAGGCATGAGCCACCGTGCCTGGCCAACATTTTTGCTTTTTGAAAGACACTGATGGAAATGAAAAAAAATCTACGGATTAAGAGAAAATAATTGCAAATTATATATTTGATAAAAGATTCATGTTCAGAATACTTAAAACACTGTCAAAATTCACTGCTAAGAAACGAGGCAACCCCATAACAATTTGGGCAAACAATTTGAACATATATTTCCAAAAATAAAAGATATGCATAATATATTAAAACATAAAAATGTGTTCAAATTGTTTTCATCAAAGAAATGTAAAATTGAAACCACAATGATATACCACTGGACATCACAGTAGTGCTTAAAGTGAAAAAGGCTTATCATAATAAGTGTTAACAAGGATGTGGAGAGACTGAAACTTTTACAATTCTGACAGGTAATGTAAAATGGTAGAACCACTTTCAGCAACGGTTTGTTGGTATCTTAAAAAGTTAAACATGTAGCTATTATATGTTCTAGCCACTCCACTCCTATACATTTACCTAAGATAAATGAAAATATATGTCTATTCAAACACTTGTACGTACATATTCATATCAACTTTATTTGGAAACAACTCCAATTTTTATCACCAGTAAATGGACAGAAAATTCTGGGATATCCATGTAATATTTTTTATTCAACAATAATAACTAATGAGTTGGCCAGCATGGTGTCTCATGTCTGTAATCCCAGCATTTTGGGAGGCCGAGGCAGGCGGATCACTTAAGGTCAGGAGTTCGAGACTAGCCTGGCCAAAATGGTGAAACCCCGTCTCTACCAAAAATAAAAAAAATTAGCCAGGTGTGGTGGCGCATGCTTGTAATCCTGGCTACTTGGGAGGCTGAGGCAGGAGAATCACTTGAACCCGGGAGGTGGTGGTTGCAGTGAGCCGAGATCGTGCCACTGCACTCCAGCCTGGGTGACAGAGTGAGACTCTGTCTCAAAACAAACAAAAACCAAAAAAAAACTTATTAGTTATTGATACCCATACAACATAGATGAGTTTCAAAAATAACTAAGCAGTGTAAAGTAAGTCAGACAATAAAAAGAGAACATATAGTTTGATTTCATTCATATAAAATTCTAGAAAATGCAAACTAACCTATAGTGACAAAAAGAACACCAGTGGTGAGAGCTGATGAAGGGAGAGATGAGAAAGAGAGATTATAAAGGGTCATGAGGTAAGTTTGGATGTGATGGATATGCTTATTTCCTGCTCATAGTTTTCTGGGTGTATATATCTGTCCAAATTTATTAAATTGTACATTTTAAAGATATGCAGTTTATTTTATGTCAATTGTACCTCAATATAGTTGTAAGGGAAAACAGCAACGTGGTGGTCTTTGAATTCCTCACCTTTAAAATAAGGAAGTCGAACTATAATTATCTCTGAGGACTGAAATTCTGTGATTCTGTAAGCAAGAAGGCTAAAGATGAGGCCCAAAAGGTAGGAGATTGTACATACAGTGTTGTTAATGTCTTGCTGAAACTGCAGAATAAGAGCATGTATTACTAGGTAATGAGAGTATTTCCCCTAAAACAAAATGGATTCTAGTTTGTGGCTCTTTGGCCTAGGGGTGGGGAAAATCTTCCTCCTTTTAGTCCTAATGGTGATGGCCAGTCATTCTTAGCTACGTGGAGATAGGCTGGAAGGGAACAGCAAAACAGACCTACAAGTTCTCAGTGACAATGACATTGACTATAGCTGCTACAATCAATGTCATTGTCACTGAGAACTTGTGTGGAGATATGTCAAGATCCTGAGATGTGTGACAATCAGGGCAGTGGTGAGGAATATCCTAAGTTCCAGGGGTCATGTATGAGTTTTGGATTTTATACCAAGGTCGTAGAATTTCTAGAGAAATCCTTTTGAATAGAGAGGAGGTAAATGGATCTCTTGAGTCTCAATCACCAAAGGAAGTGGCACGGCAGCAATTCAAGAAGGCCAGCATGGACCTGGCAGACTACGTCCTGAGCACATGTGAGAAAGTACTTCTTGAATCAGTGGATCAGCAGAAAAGAAGAATTTGGAAATATACCTACATTGACAGCATTTCTTTATGTATCGCAGATAAAGCATATAGTTTAATAGGTTAGGGCCAATAATGCAATGGTTAGAAGAGTAGACATGAATTCCCAGTGCCTTTCTTAACCTTCTTCAGCATACATGCATTATAAAATAATGCAGGGATTTAAAAATCATGTTATACTCCTGACCCACATACCACTATAACCCATAATTATACTGTTTCTGCTCACTTAGCAACTAGCCTATATCTTATATATAGTTCATAGTGCAAGACAGCTTTCAGTGGAAGATCTTCAGAAATATGATTAAATACCATCTTGATATTTGGGAAATTAACATCAGATTATTGTCTTGAAATATCACCTAAGAATTATTTCATGTCTTGTGTACTTTGAACCATACGAAACTGCTGTTTTAATAGATCAAATATGGTTTAAAATTAGAAATTTCATGATTCAAAATCAAAAGGGAAAGAAGGAAGGAGGAAAGGAAAAAGAAAAGTCAGAATGACAAAGAGAAGGAAAGAGCCATAGATGTTATTTCAAGCCATCAATGTGCATTAAAGAGATATTTCTCAAATGTAGACTATTAATATGAACTGCAAATACAATAACTTCAGATACATGATTTACAACTGATTAAACTTGTTTCAAGTTATTTTATATTAGTTACCACTATTGTTGGACTTGCTTCCACAGATCACATATTTTGGCAGAGATATCAGTTGCTTTTATTTTATTCCTTTTTTCTTCTCCTAGAGCCTTCAGATGAGATATATTATTACTTATGGAGAAGAGAAATAAAATAGACATTTTTCTTTGACATTTTCTATGAAACTGTAAATTGGATTATACTACAGCTATTTCAAGAGGTCACTTTACATGGTTTTTGAAGACAGGAAAAGTGATTAATGTTAAGAAGGTCTTGACATAGGAATTTAGTGTCCTTGAGCTCTGTATAATTACCTTTTCTAAAGCTGCTAACACACTGCAAGCGATCAATGACTCAATAATGTAAATTTATAAAACACATTGTACACACATACACACACATACACACGTATGTGACCTTCCAGAAGTTGTTCATGTGTTAGAAATTAACATTTTTTGAAGTCTGTAGGTTACCATGGAAATCTGCTGTTGATGCTCACTCCATTAACACATTCGTTCCGAGAAAGAAACTAAGTTCTGGTTCCTTTACCAGTGGTGTTAATAATACTGTTGTGCTATCAAATACTACATCTTATTTATTCTATCTAACTGTATTTTTGTATTCATTAACCATCCCCTTTTCCCCCTACACCCACTACACTTCCCAGCCTCTGGTAACCATCATTCTACTCTGTATCTTCATGAGTTTAATTATTTTGATTTTTAGTTTCCAAAAATAAATGAGAACATGCAACATTTGTCTTTCTGTTCCTGGCATATTACACTTAATATAATATCCTCCAGCTCCATCCATGTTGTTGCAGATGACAAGATCTCATTCTTTTATGGCTGAATGGTGTGCCATTGTAGATGCATACTGCATTTCCTTTATGTATTCATCTGTTGATGGATACTCAGGCTGATTCCAAATCTTGGCTACTGCGAATAGTGCTGCAATAAAAATGGCAGTACACATATCTCTTTGATACACTGATTTACTTCTTTTGGGTATATATCCTAGTAGTGGGGTTGCTGGATCATGTGGTGGCTCTATTTTTAGTTTTTTGAGGAATCTCCATACTGTTCTCCATGGTGACTGTACTAATTTACATTCCCACCAACAGTGTGCAAGGGTAACATTTTCTCCACATCCTCACCAAAATTCATAATTGCCAGTCCTTTGTATAATATAAAAGCCATTTTAACTGGTATGAGATGATATCTAATTGTAGTTTTGATTTGCATTTTCCTGATGTTCAGTGCCATTGAGCACCATTTCATATACCTGTTTGCCATTTGTATGTCTTCTTTTGAGAAATGTCTACTTAGATGTTTTGCCCCTTTTAAAAATTGGATTCCTAGATTTTTTCCTATTGAGCTGTTTGAGCTGCCTATATATTCTGGTTATTAATCCCTTGTCAGATGTATAGTTGGAAAATATTTTCTTTCATTTTGTGAGTTGTCTCTTCACTTTGTTGATTGTTTTGTTTGCTGTGCAGAAGCTTTTAAACTTGATGTGATCACATTTATCCATTTTTGCTTTGGTTACCTGTGCCTGTGGGGTTTACTCAAGAAATCTTTGCCCAGATCAACGTCCTGGAAAGTTTCCCCAATGTTTTCTTTTAGTAGTTTTATAGTTTGAGGTCTTAGATTTAAGTTTTTGATTCATTTTGATTTGATTTTTGTATATGGTAAGAGATAGGGGTCTAGTTTCATTTTTCTGCATATGGATATCCACTTTTCTCAGCACCATTTATTGAAGAGACTATCCTTTCTTCAATGTATTTTCTGGGCACTTTTGTTGAAAATGATTTCACTGTGGATGTATGGATTTATTTCTGGGGCTTCTATTCTGTTCCATTAATCTATGTGTCTATTTTTATGCCAGTACCATACTGTTCTGGTTAGTATAGATCTGTAATATAATTTGAAGTAAGGGGAAGTGATTCCTCCAGTTTTGTTCTTTTTATATCAGGATGGCTTTCTGGGTCTTTTGTTGTTCCATAAAAATTTTAGTTTTTTTTTTTCTATTTCTGTGAAGAATGTCATTGGTTATTTTTATAGAGATTGCACTGAATCTGTAGTTTCTTTTGGTGTGTGGACATTTTAACAATATTGATTCTTCCAATTCATGAACATAGAGTATCTTTCCATTTTTGCGTCCTTCTCAATTTCTTGCATCAGTGTTTTATAGCTTTCATTACAAAGGTCTTCCACTTCTTTGGTTAAGTTAATTCCTAGGTATTTTATTTGTAGCTATTGTAAATGAGATTACTTTTTCAAGTTGTTTACCATTGGCATATAGAAAAGCTACTGATTTTTGTACATTGATTTTTGTATCCTGCAACTTTCCTGAATTTGTTTATCAGTTCTAATAGTTTTTGGTGGAGTCTTAGGTTTTTCCAAATATAAGACCATATCATCTGCAAGGGCAATTTGACTTTTTCCTTTCCAATTTGGATGCCCTTTATTTCTTTCTCATGTCTGATTGCTTTAGTTGGGAATTGCAGTACTATGTTGAATAACAGTGGTGAAAGTAGGCATCCTTGTCGGACGCGGTGGCTCATGCCTGTAATCCCAGCACTTTGGGAGGCCAAGGCAGGCGGATCATGAGGTCAGGAGATCGAGACCATCCTGGCTAACACGGTGAAACCCCATCTCTACTAAAAATACAAAAAATTAGCCGGGCGAGGTGGCAGGTGCCTGTAGTCCCAGCTACTCGGGAGGCTGAGGCAGAAGAATGATGTGAACCCGGGAAGCAGAGCTTGCAGTGAGCCAAGATAGCGCCACTGCACTCCAGCCTGGGTGACAGAGCGAGACTCTATCTCAAAAAAAAAAAAAAAAAAAAAAAAAAAGTGGGCATCCTTATCTTGTTTCAGATCTGAGAAGAAAGGCTTTCAATTTTTCCCTGTTCAGTATGATACCACCTGTGGGTCTGTCACACATGGCTTTCATTATATGTGTCAGTCGGTTTTATGTGTCTAGAAATTTATTCATTTATCATTGTATTGAGGTATGTTCCTCATATACCTAGTTTTTTTAGGAGTTTTATTATGAAGGGATGTTAAATGTTATCACATGCTTTTTTCAGCATAAATCGAAAAGATCATATGGTTTTTGCCCTTCATTTTGTTGATGTGATGTGTCACATTGATTGATTTGCATATGTTGAACCATCCTTGCATCCCTGGAATAGATCCCACTTGGTCATGAAGAATGGTCTTTTTAATGTATTGTTGAATTCAGTTTGCTAGTATTTTGTTGAGGATTTTTGTATCAATGTTCTTCAGGGATATTGACCTGTATTTACTCTCTCTGTCTCTTTTTAAAAATGTATCTGTGTCTAGGGTAATACCAGCCTTGTGATATGAGTTTGGAAGTGTTCCCTCTTTCTTTATTTGTTGAAATAATTTGAATAGAATTGGTGTTATTTCTTCTTTAAATGTTTGGTAAAATTCAGCAGTGAAACAATTGCATCCTGGGCTTTTCTTTGCTGGGAGACATTTTATAACAGCTTTAATGTAATTACTTGTTATTTTTCTATTCAGATTTTGGATTTCTTCATGGTTCAATCTCAGTAGATTTTATATATCTGGAAATTTCTCTGTTTATTCTAGGTTTTCCATTTTATTGGCATATAACTGCTCATAGTAGTCTCTAATGATCCTCTGAATTTTTGCCATATCAGTTGTAATATCTCTTTTTTCATCTCTATTTTTATTTATTTAGGTCTTCTTTTTTTCTTAATCTGGCTAATGGTTTGTTGATTTGTTTTTATCTTTTCAAAAACCCACTGTTCATTTTTAAAATCTTTTGTATTGTTTTTTCTTTTCATTTTCATTTATTTCTGCTCCTATCTTTATTATTTCTTCCACTAATTTTGGGTTTTGTTTGCTCTTACTCTTTCGGTTTCTAAAGATGCATCTTTAGGTTGTGTATTTGAAGTTTCTTTCTTTCTTTCTTTCTTTCTTTCAGCCTTCCACTTAGTACTTCTTTTGCTGTATCCCATAAGTTTTAATATGGTGTGTTTCCCTTCTCATTTGTTTTGAAAAATTTTTAAATTTCCTTTTGAATTTCCTTATTGACCTATTGGTCATTCAGGAACATATTGTTTAACTTCCATGTGTTTGTATAGTTTCCAAAATTCCTCTTGTTATTGATTTTTAGTTTTTTTCATTGTGATTAGAGAAGATACTTGATATGATTTCAATTTTTTAAAAAAAATTTAAGACTTGTTTATGGCTTAAGATATGGTCTGTCTTTGAGAATGCTAAGGAGAAGAGTGTGTTTTCTGCAGCTGTTGGATGAAATGTTCTGTAAATATCTATTAGGTCCATTTGGTTAAGAGTACAGATTAAGTCTAATGTTTCTTTATTGATTTTCTGTCTGGATGATTGGTCCAATGCTGAAAGTGGGGTGCTGCAGTCTCCAGCTATTATTATTTTTGGGTCTATCCCTCTCTTTGGCTATAATAGTATTTGTTTTATATATCTGGGTGCCTAGTGTTTGGTGTATATGTATTTTCAGCTGTTACATCCTCTTGCTGAATTGGCCCCTTTATCATATAATGACCTTCTTTGTGTTTTTTAAATAGTTTTTGTCTTGAAACCTCCCTTGTTGGATATAAGTATAGCTACTCCTGCTTTTTTTAATTTTATTTGCGTGAAATATCTTTTTTCATCCCTTTATTTTCAGTGTTTATTTGAGTCTTATAGGTAAAGTGTGTTTTATTTGTGTCTTATAGGTTAAGTGTGTTTCTTGTAGGCAACAGATCATTAGGTCTTGCTTTTTAATCCAGTCAGCCAATCTATGCCTTTTGATTGAGAAGTTTAGTCTATTTACATTTAATGTTTTTATTCATAAGCAAAGACTTACCCCTGCCATTTTGTTATGTGTTTTCTGGTTGTTTTGTGGCCTTTTCTTCCTTTCTGTCCTCCTTTTGGTGAAGATGACTTTCTCTGGTGGGATGATTTAATTTCTTGCTTTTTATTTTTTGTGTATCTATTGTATGTTTTTTAATTTGAGGTTACCATGAGCCATGCAAATACTATTTTATAATCCATTATTTTAAGCTGACAACAACTTAACACTATTTGCATAAACAAACAAACGAAAAGAAAACTAATAAAGACTTTACACTTAATCTTACCCCCCCATTTTTTAACCTTTTGTTGTTTTTATTTATATCTTATTACATTGTCTATGTCATGAAAAGTGGTTGTAGTTTTTATTTTTAATAGGTTTATCTTTTAGTCTTTCCACTTAAGATATGAGTAGCTTATATACCACAATTACAGTCTTATAATATTTTGTATTTGTCTGGGTACTTACTATTACCAGTGAGTTTTGTACCTTCAGATGATTTCTTATTGCTCATTAACATCCTTTTCTTTCAGTTTGAAGAACTCCCCTTAGCATTTCTTATAGGACAGGTCTGGTGTTGATGAAATCCATTACCTTTTGTTTGCCTAGGAAAGTATTTATTTCTCCTTTATGTTTGAAGGATATTTTTGCTGGATATACTATTCTAGGAGAAAAGTTTTTTGTTTCTTTTTGTCAGAAATTTAAATGCCATGCTACTCTCCCCTGGCCTGTAAGGTTTTCACTGAAAAGTCTGCTACCAGACATATTTGAGGTCCATTGCAGGTTATTTCTTTATTTTCTCTTGCTGCTTTTAGGATCCTTTTATTATCCTTGACCTTTGGGAGTTTTGATTATTAAATGCCTTGAGGTGGTTTTCTTTAGGTTAAATCTGATTCATGTTCTATTACCTTCTTGTACTTGAATATTGATACTTTTCTTTAGATTTGAGAAGATCTTGTTATTATCTCTTTCAATAAATTCTCTACCCCTATATTTCTCTCTGACTTCTCTTTAAGGCCAATAGCTTTTAGATTTGCCTTTTTTTTTTTTTTTTTGAGACAGAATCTCACTCTGTCACCCAGGCTGGAGTGCAGTGGCATGATCTTGGCTCACTGCAAGCTCCACCTCCCGGTTTCACGCCATTCTCCTGCCTCAGCCTCCCAGGTAGCTGGGACTACAGGTGCCCACCACCATGCCTGGCTAATTTTTTGTATTTTTAGTAGAGACGGGGTTTCACCATGTTAGCCAGGATGGTCTCAATCTCCTGAACCCATGATCCGCCCGTCTCGGCCTCCCAAAGTGCTGGGATTACAGGTGTGAGCCGCCACACCCGGCCCTTAGATTTGCCCTTTTGAGGTTATTTTCTAGATCTTGTAGGCATGCTTCATTGTTTTTTATTATTTTTAAATTTTTCTCCTTTGACAATGTTTTCAAAAAGCCTGTCTTCAAGCTCACTAGTTCTTCTGCTTGCTCAATTCTGCTGTTGAGAGATTCTGATGCATTCTTCAGTTTGTGAATTGAATTATTCAGCTGTAGAATTTCTGCTTGATTTTTTGTTAATTATTTCAATATCTGTTAAATGTGTCTGCTAGGATTCTGAATTCCTTCTCTGTATTATCTTGAGTTTCACTAATTTTCCTCAAGAAAACAAATTTAAATTCTCTATCTGAAAGGTCACATATTTCTGTCACTCTGGAATCAGTCACTGGTATCTTATTTAGTTCATTTCGTGAGGTCATGTTTTCCTGGATGGTCTTGATGCTTGTGGATGTTCATCAATATCAGGGCATTGAAGAGTTATATATTTATTCTAATTGTTGTAGTCTAGACTTGTTTGTACTCTTCCTTCTTGAGGAGGCTTTCCAATTATTCAAAAGTATTGTGTGTTTTGATCTATGTCTTTGGTCACTGTTGGTGCATCTGAATTAGGGAGCACCCCAAGCCTAGTAACACTGTGGCTCTTGCAGATTCATAGAGAATACTACCTTATTGGTCTTGGGTAAGATCTGAGAGAATTCCATGGAATTACAGGCAGAGTCTCTTGTTATCTTCCCTTACTTTCCCCCAAACTAGCAAAGTCTCTTTCTCTGTGTTGAGGTGCCTGGAGTTGGGGGAGGGGTGTCCTGTGACCATTATTGCTGGCACTGTTCTAGGTTACACATGAAGGTCTTGGCCATGGCCTGTGATGACTATTTCCTGTCTACCACTGAAGTTTATTCAAGGCCCAAGGACTCTTTAGTCAGGAGCTGGTGAATCCTGCCAGGTCTTTGTCTCTCCCTTCAAGGCAGCAGGTTCCCTTCTGGCCCAGGGTGTCTAGAAATGCTCTCCAGGAGCTAGGGGCTGGAATCAGGAGCTTTAGGTATCTGCTTGATTATACTGTGGCTGAGCTGGTACCCAACTTGCAAGACAAAGTCCCTTTTACTCTTTCCTCTCCTTTTCTCAAGCAGAAGGGGCCTCCCTGCAAGGTCACCACAGCTGGTTATGTGCTGGCCTCGCCTGAAAGCAGCACAGTACTGGATCTTACCCCCTGCTTGTGGCGAGTACTTCCTGGCTACTGGCAATGTTTATTCAAGGCCCAAGGGCTCTTTAGTCAGCAAATGATGAATTCTGCCAGGATTTGGTCCTTCTTTTTGGGGCAGTGGGTTCCCTTCTTGCTTAGGGAAGGTTTAGAAATGTTATCCAGGACTTAAGACCTGGAATAGGGGCCCAGGACTCTTTCTCATGCTTTATTTTACTGTGGCTGAGCTGGTATCTAAGTTGCAAGACAAAGTCTTCTTTACTCTCCCCCTTCTCTCCTCAAGCAGAAGGAAGGAGTCTCTCCCAGAGCTTCAAGCTATGAGCTGTGCTACCTGGGGTTAGGGAAGAGGTGATGCAAGCACTCCCCTAGCAACCCCAGTAGGGCTCTCAGTGGGTCCTGTGCACCCCAAATTCACTGGCTCGGATCCCAGCATAGCACCAGGAGTTGCCCAGGAATTGCAGTCCTTGTGGCCTGCTTTCAAATTTATTTAGGACTCCACAGCACTTTAGTCTGTGGTGGCGAGGCTTGCTGGAACTCAGGTTCTGATCACAGGGATGGATGATTTCCCTCTGTCTGGGTCGTTTTAAATGCTCCCTCTTTGGGTGCTCACTAAATTTGCCCTGTTTTGCTTTCCACTGTGACTGGGCAGCACTGAGTTGCATTACAAAGTCCCACAATCACTTTGCTCTCCTTTTCCTAAGTGCACAGATTTTCTCGCTGCACCACACGGTGCTGCCAGGGGATGGGGGAGGAGCGACTTTGGTAATACAAAACTGTCTTTCCCACCCTTTTTAGTGCCTCTTTCCTTGATGAAATGTTAAAACCAGGTACTATGATCACTCGCCTGATTTTTAGTTCTTATGAAGGTGCTTTCTTATGTGGATAGTTGTTCAATTTGGTATTCCTGCAGAGGGAACAATTGCTGGAGGCTTTTATTCAGCCATCTTGCTCTGCTTCTATTTAGTTATGTCAGTGTAGTTTTAAGATAAATAAGCCCCTTTAAACTGGTTGCAGCACCCGTGAAAATCTTACTTGTTAGATATCATAGAATTGGATCTTCTTGGGATTAGTATGCATCATAGATTCCTGAAACGCCTGATATCTAATGGCCCAATCATTTCTTTATAGACTGAATGGAGTGTGAACTAATCTATGGGTGTGAATTTATTATCCATATACATCATCTTCATACCTAAATGTCAAGGCAGATTGGCCTGTCAGTGACAAGAGTCAGCCTGTGTGTATCATAATTTATTAGTCATGTTACTGTAGCAGCATGATTACCACAAGCATGGGGAAGAAATAATAATATTTTCAATGACATTTGAAGCATAACTACAAGTATTGCATAGATAGGAAGGGTTGAAAAACAAGACTGACCTGACTAAAATACAGGAGTTTAAAATCTTGATTTTACTGGTTTATCTCTGTCCATCCATTATCTTCTATGTATGTACAATCTTGAGAATTTAACTTCTTTAAAACTTAATTTCCTCCCCTATAAAATGGGAGTAACATCTATAAAGAGTTGTCTAGCTAACCATGATAGAGACTAGCAAGAAGTCAAAATAGCTGTGTGTATATATATATATTTTTTAATATATAATATATATTCAATATTACATATACTATATATTCAACATATATTCTCTATATTCAATATATATTTGCAGATATATTCAATATCTATATTATATAATATATAATTATGTATTCTCATATATTGCTGAATATATATATTCACCAGCAATCAAATAAAAAAAGGTGTACAGCCAGTGTTTTAGACTTCAAAGAATGGCATTTGATATTGATTAAACAAAGAAATCCTCAGAGAACAAAGAAGGATTCTTCATGGCTGCTTTATCCTACAAAATTTAATAAGAATATAAATTCAAAAGATAGCAGTATGAGGAAAAGATGAGATTCTGTCAGAATGAGATGGAAATGGGGAGATTAAAGAGTGAAGAAAAAGTTGAGAATCAAATTATCCTTAAGGAAATAAGAAATTAGAAATAAGAACAAAATGAAGTGACTGAAATAAAATTACTGAACAAGAGTAGTTAGAGGTAATCAAAGGGAGAGAATAAGAAAAGACAAATGAATTAAAGAAATTAGGAAGAAGAATCTAAACTGGGGGCCAGACAGTTAGAGAACTGGACACGTAGAATAGAAAAAGTATTCAAAGGCATAATACAAAAAATGTACTTATAATTAAGAAATATTGCACAGGAATTTTTGTTAATCTCTTCTAGTATTAGAGGAAAAATTTACATATAACAACATTTATACCTACACTAGGTAAGTTTTGTAACTCGGGCCTAAAAGAGAGCACATTTCCCCTCAAATTTCTCCACAGCTAAATTCAGAGCCAGAAGAAAGGCGCCAAGTTTTGAGAAAAACAGAATGTTTTCACCAACCCAAGACATTATCAAAATGTAAAGGCTCCTAACCACATTTTAAGACATTAAACAACTTAGGAAATAGAATGTCTGAAGCCTTCTTGAAAAAACAAAACACAAAACATTAAAACCAAGACTACCATTCAATGCCAAAATCCAGTTGATAAAGAAATAAAATATGTATTTCAGAAGAGGAAAAGGCATGGTTAAAAGCCTGGAGATACATATTGCTTCTGTTTTATTGAGAATTATGGCTAAATATCTGTGGAAATGACTATGCAAATGTTATAAGTCTCACAATATCAAAACAATAGTATGATTGACAACAATTAGAAGGAAAGGGTAGAAAACATTGATTGAAGGGTAAGAATGCTAACATTCTTTTAAGGCAAAAGTCAAACTGT
This sequence comes from Homo sapiens, assembly GCF_000001405.40. Lineage (NCBI taxonomy): Eukaryota > Metazoa > Chordata > Mammalia > Primates > Hominidae > Homo > Homo sapiens. The sequence continues at coordinate 153,399,588 of NC_000003.12, forward strand.
CTAAAACTGAAAAAAAAAAGTTTAAAAAATGACTCAATCTTAGTCAGACTTTTTAATATTTTTCATAATGTTTTTTCTTAATCTTAGTGAAATCTTTTAGAAATAAACATATCTCATGGTATAAAAAGTTTACTTTTAAGTTTGTTTGGAATTAGAATTGATGCTTTTATTTAAAAATAAATGCAGAGCTTTCAGTTTCACTTTGACACATTAAGAGGTTAAAAATAGTCCTGTCCCTACTAGAGAAAAGCTGAAGAAACTGAAGATCAATGACTTAGACCCACTAGGTAACTGAAGTTGCAAAGGAAACAGCCAACCTGAAATCTGAAAAGACCCATAGATACAGAAAATCACAGCCAAGATCTGCATACTTGAAGATCTGCATACTTAGAGAATAACTGCTGAAGTTAATACTGGTAGGAACACTTAAATATTAATTTTGATTAATTTTTGGAGACTGAGCATGGTCTAGCTTGATAATTTGAAACTTCTGGGGACCACAGTATGTGCATGGGGTTGGTCTCCACACTTTCTTGAGTTTTACCTACAGAAATTCCATGAGGTTCTCACAGTAAAGATCTGAGAAAGATCTTCCTGGCTCTGGTAGGGATAGAGGAAGATCAATGACTGTGAAATATATCCAGTGCATTCTCCATAACAAAGAAAAACTTTATCAAAACCTTATTCCAGCTGAGGGAATGTAATTTCTTCACAGCCACCTCCCTGTAGCCTTCCTGTCTCAACCAAGGTCAGAGCTTTCTGTCTAACAGGGCCAGAGTTTCAAAGAAATAGACCAGGAACGTGTAGTCAGGGAAGAGAGTAGACAAAGAGGGGAATAAAGAAACTATGCCATTGAAGAAACAAGTGTGAGGGTCAAAGCCCTGAGACTCAGGTTAAAACACTGACATTTAACTGAATGATTACAGGATACTTTCTTGCCCCAAACCTTACCATCACACCAACAAGACTCCAGGATAACAGTGAATTGCAGCTGAAAGAGCTGAAAAATACAGAGTCCTTCCGAAAAGGAGTAACTACAGAAGTCCGAAGCCAAGAGGGAATTACAAAACAACACTAGAGAAAGTGAAGCCTCTGGCAACTAGGGCTACAGCAAACATTAAACATAGCCCAATTTCTAGTTATATTAACATAAGTCTTTACAGTAAAGGCCTATTTACCTCAGTTCCTTTTACCTGATATGACATGTCCAGCTTTAAAAAAATTGTTACAAGGCAGACATACTAAAAGGCAAGCAAAAACACAGTCTGAAAAGACAAAGCAATTATCTGACTCAGATATGACACAGATGTTGAAACTGTCAAATAGGGAATTTAACATAACTATGGCTAGTATATCAAGGAACCTCTTGGAAAAAGTAGAATACATGCAACAGTGTATGGTTAATGTAAGCAGAGAGATGAAAACAGTAAGAATCCAAGGAAATAATAGAAATGTAAAACATTATAACAGAAGTAAAGAATGCTTTTGATGGGTTCAATAGACTTGACATGAAGGTAAGCTTAAGTGAGCTTGACAATAGGTTCACAGAAACTTACCTTCAAACTAAAATGCCAAGAGAAAAAAAATGAAAAAAAAAAAAAAAACAAAAAAAACAAAACACACACACACACACACACACACACACACACACACACACACAACAAACCAACACCCAAAACCACAAAACAGAACATTCAAGAACCATGGGGGCAACATTACAAGGTATAATAAACTACCAAACTATCTTCTAAAGTGCCTATTCCAATTTGTGTTCCAACTAGTAATGAATGAGACTTTCTTGTTGCTTTGTATCCAAGCCAGAAATTGGTACTATTAGGTTTTTGGATTTTAGCTATTCTAGTAGGCATGGAGTGGCATCTTATTGTTTTAATTTACTTGTGGTTTCCTAATAGCATTTAATGTTGAGCATATTTTTAGAGGTGAGAGAGGATTTCCTTGCCTTGTTCCCAGTTTTTAGGTGACAATTTCCGGTTTCTCACCATTAAGCTATCTGTATGTTTATTTGTGGATGTTTCTTATGAAGTTGAAGAAGTTACCTCAACAGAAATACCCTGTATTCCTAGTTTGCTAGGAGTTTTAAAAATCATGAATGGATGTTGAATTTTTCCAAAAATTTTTTTTCTGTTTCCTGTATTCCTAGTTTGCTGAGAGTTTTAAAAAGCATAAATGGGTGTTAAATTTTTTCAAAATTTTTTTCTGTTTCAACTGATATATTTTTTCCTTTAGCTTGTTGATGTGGTGAATTGCACTTACCAATTTTCAAATGTTTAATCAGTGTTGTATACCTGGAATAAATTTCATTTGGTCATGGTGTATGGTTCTTACTATATACATTGTTAAATTTACAGTATTGTTGACTTAATATGCTAGTATTTTTTGAGAATTTTTGCATCTATGCTCAGGATATGGTCTATAGTTTCCCTTTCTTGTCTGTTTAGTTTTGTTACTAGTGTAATGTTGCTTCTATTTTGTGGAAGAGTTTGTAGAGCATTGGTATCATTTCTCTCTTGTTTGGTAGAATTCACCAGTGAAACCATCTGGTGTATGGTAACGCTCTATACTACCTTTGCAACTTTTCTATAAATCTAAAATATTTAAAAAATACAAAGTTTACTAAGAATATAATTTCAGGCCAGATGCGGTGGCTCACACCTGTAATCCCAGCAATTTGGGAGGCGAGGTGGGCAGATCACGAGGTCAGGAGATTGAGACCACCCTGGCTAACATGGTGAAACCTCGTCTCTACTGAAAATACAAAAAAATTAGCCAGGCGAGGTGGTGGGCGCCTGTAGTCCCAGCTACTGGGGAGGCTGAGGCAGGAGAATAGCATGAACCCAGGAGGCGGAGTTTGCAGTGAGCCGAGATGGCGCCACTGCACTCCAGCCTGGGTGATAGAGCGAGACTCCGTCTCAAAAAAAAAAAAAAAAAAAAAAAGAATATAAATTCAGAGTGTCACACCATAAAATGCTATCTTTATGAGTCTATCTATATGTCATCTGCTAGTTGTATGTATGTGTGTAGAGATACATAGAATGATGTTCACATGTCAAATATAATTATTTCAGGGCTGAGTATTTGTGTAATTTTTCTTCTCTTTTGATTTTATTATAATAAACATGTATCATTTTTATAGAAACAGTAACTTCATTGCATTAAAATAATGAAGTGTAGCTGCTAAATTATCCTTATGAAGAATCGTGGCGAGATACAGTAAGTTCCTATACTACTCACCATCTAATGGACACTCAAAGTGATTGTTATTATCATTTTGTTACAAGCACTTTACATTCTGACCCTTGCTAACCTCTCCAGTCTATTTTCTCACTATTTCCCACCCTACAATTGACTCATCAGTATCAAATAACAGATGAAGTATGCGTTAAAAGTTTCAGCTATGTGATCTAATATGCTCAGGTTTATAGCTCAGGTCTGCTTCTGTGAGGCCATAGGCAAGTTCTTTAACCTCTCCAGACCTCAGACCCCTGATTGGCAAAATGGAAATTATGAACATTATCTGCCTCATAGGATTATTATGAGGATTGGACGAGACTCTGCATCTAAGAATCCTGGCACTTAAGAAAAGATAGATTTTTTGACTACTTCTACCACTACATCATTACACCACCACCATTACCTCCGCTACCACTCCTGCTAATACTACCATGACTATACCACCTTCTTTATCACTATTTATGTAGGCTTCTTTGCTTGGAATATTCATGTTTGCATCCTCACATTCCACTAGTCACTTTTCCGGTAGTATACTAGCAAACATTTAACAACTGATTCCAAGAAAAGAAACAACAAAAAAAGCCCTCATTTGTAAAAGATGCAAATTCCCATGGAATAAATACCTTCATCATCACTGATTTCAAGTTATGAATATGATATCATTAAATGTGAAATTGAAAAGAGAAGCAGTAGCACCATGATGTCATATTTCTACCGTATACATTCATTAGATGTAAACAACCTCAAGAGCATTGAAAATAGAAACACATCAGTATAATTAGGAAGTGATTAGTGTATTTTTAAACTTTGCTTATAATGTAATTTATTTAATTATTAGCTTCTATAATTTAATTTTTAACAAAGGCTGTGTTTAACAACCAGCTTGCAAAGCGTGGTTAAAAATTTAACAATGAACTCTAACATATTTTTACTTGTGACATATTGATTCTCACCTTTTACAATCTTAACTCAGACATTACCTTAAGTATCTTTTATTGACTGCCACAATGGGTCAGTGAGTAAAATAAATGTTATTACAAATAACAAAATGGCTTTTAATATTAGTTTTTCATCCAGAATATAAAATTAGAATCAGTATCATTCTTGACCTTTGTCTAAACTTTTCTCTCCGATCTCTTATCCTCCTAAATTTTACATAAATTTTAAAATAAGAGATACATATATATATATAATTTAAAAAATTAAAACTTACATATACAGATTGCAGAAAGGAATACTCCTTAGAAAGGGTGAACTAAATTTAGAATAGACTATACATTTAACAATACATTTTAGGTTTTCCAAACCACCCTTAGCTCATCTCATCTAAGGTCTGGCATCTTATCTTTGCTCTCCTATTCGAAAGTATCTTAGTATTTGAGGGATGGTGACAGAAATTTTATTGAAGGCCACTTCTTGAAACATCTACTCTCTACATTTCTGTAACCCTCCCTCTATTGCCTGTTCAGGCCCCAGGAAGGTAATGGCTTTCAGCTGTTGCTAGCCCCAGGGTATTGCACAATTCCCTATTGATTTTCCTAAACTCTGCCCACTTTTTTGTAAATCTTCTCAAATTTCCCAAATTTGGTTTGCCATCTTTTTCTGCAAGCACCTGACTGATATAGTCGCTTTGTCAGCTTAAAAAAAATACAGATGCTATGTTATCCTTGTCAAATTAATGGGGGACACATTAATGTTGGGCACAATTTAGAATGGTTTATGTGATGTTTTCATACTTTAAGATTATTAACAGCTTAGTATGTTTATTGCAAATATTTTTTCCTATAGTGTCTATTTCTTTTAACTTAGTTTTTAATTTTTTTTTACAAAAAGAACGTTTAATCTTTATGTTGTTAAATATTACATTTTGTTTTTTAATTTTAAAATATGTGTTGTAACCGAAGTTAACTTTTGTTTTCAACATAAGATAGGGATTTACTTTAATTTTTCCTAAATGTTTTCTTTCTTATCATGAGTTTCTCATTATTAGATTATTGTAGCTTTATAATGTATTTTTAATATATGATAAGACAACTCTCCTCTTTTAACTCTCTTTTATAAAGCTTTCCTATCTGTTATTCTTCTAAATGAAATTTAGTATCATTTGCTTTTTTTTGCTTCCAATTAATCAATTTGTTTTTATCTTTATTTTGTTTACCCTACTGTTTTTTGGTTAGCTTTCAATATATTTTTGAGTTGAAAACCTTTTAATTCACTCATTTTAATCCTTTTTATTATTTTAATAAGATATTTAAAATTATGAATTTTCACCTGAGAGTTTCTCATGTGTTTTGTTATATGTTTTATGCTATATAATTTCTGGCCAGAAAGACATTTCTGTCCTAATATTTTACTCCATGTATTTTTGTGGTGGTGGTCATTTTCTTTATTATAGAATATAAATACCAAAGTTTTCTACGCATTGTTCTTCTTTTATCCACTCTGCCTTATAGTAAGTGAATGGTTTAATTTCAGTTCTTATTCCAACTCAGTAGTTTTTTCTTTTTCTCATATTATTTTTTATTTTCTTAATGATAATGATAAGCTGTACTTTTATATTCCCAGAACTTTGCTATTAAACACAAATACAGAGGTAGAAGCCAAAATGTCACCCATAAATACAAATTTCAAACTTAAACAACTTTATAAGCTTTTTTATTTTATTTATTTATTTATTTATTTATTTATTTATTTATTTATTTATTTTTTGAGATGGAGTCCTTCTCTGTTGCCCAGACTGGAGTGCAGTGGCACGATCTCGGCTTACTGCAAGCTCCGCCTCCTGGGTTCATGCCATTCTTCTGCCTCAGCCTCCGGACAACTTTATAAGCTTTTTAATGGTTGAAAGAAAATATGTTCTTTTCCCTTTTCACATTAAGATAGAAAGACAGGGTTTACATAACCTCAGGTATTTACTTTTCTCCTCACACAAAATGATATTCAGTACTGAATATTTAGCAAACTTATTGAGAATTTATAGTTAATACCTAAGTATACTCACATAAAAGTTTTTCTTTTTGAAAATTTGAAATTTTTGAAAATGTCACACAAATTTTCATCTAACAGATATTTTAATTTTACCTGAGAGAAAAGATGTCTGAGTCATTTGTGGGAAAATACTCTGGTTTGGCTGGGTGCGGTGGCTCACACCTGTAATCCCAGCACTTTGGGAGGCCGAGGCGGGCAGATCACGAGGTCAGGAGATCAAGGCCTCCTGGCTAACATGGTGAAACCCCGTCTCCACTAAAAATACAAAAAATTAGCCAGGCGTGGTGGCGGGTGCCTGTAGTCCCAGCCACGCGGGAGGCTGAGGCAGGAGAATGGCGTGAACCCAGGAGGTGGAGCTTGCAATGAGCCGAGATGGTGCCACTGCACTTCAGCCTGGGCGAAGAGTGAGACTCCGTCTCAAAAAAAAAAGACAGAAAATACTCTGGTTTAATTTCTAAATTTATATGGGTAAGTATTGAATGAAGATTTTATTTAAAAAGAATGCAATATCTACTTCCACATTAAAATCACAATAGTTTTTGAAATTTTACTAAATTTAATGAATTGGAAAAAGTAAATTTTATTTTAGTTCTTTGTCTTGTGGCATTGTCAAACTGGTTGAATTTCTAGTAGTGTTGTCTACTCCATGCTTTCAAACTAGCCTCTAAATGTCATTACAAACTTTCTTTCTCACTAATTTAAACATATAAAAATTGCATATTCTCACCCTTTTGTTAATGTTAAAGCAAATATACATATAAATGCAATAATTCACACACTTCTCATTGATCAGATTCATACCTTCTAAATGAGAAAAGATATGTAAATTTATTGCATATATACACATCAAAATCCCAGTGATTCTTAGTACTGTAAAGTAACTAACGGAAATAAAGCCTTTAAATGGTTAAAGACATTTAGGCATTGATGAGAAATGTAAGATTTTGCTTTAACTATATTTTATTAACCACAAGTGGTAACTGCTGCTGAAAATTTATGACATTGGTTTTTTCTTTTTTTTTTGTAGCTTTGTAAGAGTTCCTGTTCTTGCCTTTTTAATAATTAATGGAGAGAAAGTCTTTTATTTCTGAGCAAGGATAATTTTTGTTCTGCCACTGCCTTGAGGGCTAACACTAGGTATTACAAAGATTTGGTTAAGAAAACTAAGTATATCTAGATGTATCTTTTATGCATTGTTTTAGTTTATTAATGTATGTAGTTAGAACATCACATGATCATGTGAGCTGTTCAGTGATTTTCTCTGAATTCTAGAAATAAATTGGGAAAATGGCTATAGTTCAAACAGCAGTTTTAACGCTGAATTTATGTATTTATCCTTTTGACATAACCAAAAAGCTTAATAATTGGTAGATTTCAAGATGTCTTTATGATATAGTACAATGTTATAGCTTATGTCAACAAATTCCATTAATAATTTAACTAGCTAATTATTATCAAACATAATGATGGATGTGAGTACCTTAGATTTTTTACTTTGTATCATATACCTGCTTCTACTCTGGAAAACAGATACACATAACTTAATGCAACCTTATCTTACTCTTTAAAAATGAATAAATCAGGAATGCATCAGTCCAGAAAACAATCACAATTAGCCCAAAGTTTATGGTCATGTTTTTCCTCGTTTTAAGAGTTCCCATTCAAGATGAAGCGTATTCACTTTTCATTATCACTTTCTTATAAAGATCTTATTTTTTTTCTTTGAATTCAAATATGTCTAAAAGGCTTAACTTCAGATGTAGAAATTCCCAAGGTGGGGCAACTCTAGGATAAACAGCAGATGTCTAAATGTGTACTATTTCCACACCAATATATGTTAACCCTAGTTTGTTATGATTACTTTCTAGAAATTTTTAAGGCATTTCTTCCATAATTCAACTATAATAGTGAGTCTTATTGGTAGAATGCATTCAGATGGATTTTGATGAATTTGAACTTTTTATTGAAATTTTTTTCTTTTTACTGAAAGTATTGTTATATTTTATAGAGTTCTTTCTTCATGAACCAACTAGTTTCACACCTTTATAGCACCAGGTACCTTCATAGAATTTAGTACAGCTTGTAGTTATATAATTATTTTATAATTGTTTAACTCATGTGTGCATAGTCTAGTAGACCAAGAGATCCATGAGAGAAGAAACTTCAGTTTTTGATGCTTACTATTGCATCTGTAGCATCTAATGTAATACCTGGCATCTAGTAGTCATTTGATAAATATTGTATTTGTTGATCAGTGAATAAATGCTTTGTGTTGAGACTTTCTTCCAAACCAGTATTTACATAGTTAACATATGTTATCCTTGGAAATTATGACTTGCTGTTCCTTATGTTTTGGCATCCAGTCTTTTAGCCACTATTACCTTTTTCTGAAATACTGTCTTCCTGTAGTTATTATGATGCAAATTAAATTCATCTGAATTTCTACCTTGGAATGTACCAGACAATGTTTTCCAGACAGGATTTTATGCATCTCACAGAAAGGATATAAACATATGCCTTTGCCCTACATTTTATTTAAGTGAAATTTTACATACTGATTTCTTAATTATATACTTTGAAAACAGCCTGCATTTTATTTCTCTCTATGGGAAACTTTCCAGCAATAAACAGCAGATTTTTTGGCTGCTTCTGTAATATATAATTAAGAGTTAATAAATTAGATGTGCTGTTGTGTTAAATAGATTATAATTAAAAGGGACTTTTTTTTGTGAAATATAAAAGCATGTTTTATAATGGGATAAGAAAATCAGACATTCAATTTTTTCATAATAATGCTAACGTAAACACTGCAGACTTATTTGTATTTAAAATTTTATTTTGGATCTCCTGATTTTAAGGTCATGTGATTAAAAATACCTTAGAAAAAATTTGGAATTTTAGTTTGTGGAACTAGTTTCTTATATGATGGGCTTTAAATTTAATGTCTCTATAATTTTTAAAATAAAATTTGAAAATATAGCTTGGCAAGCTATTTGAAAGCACTTCTATGCCAGGTAGGAATCTTTACAGCAGTCTTCATCTCCAGAAGGAAAGAAGATTTCCAACTATGTCCTATCATGTTTTATGAGACAGTCTTTGAGCCTTGCAAATATATTCTGGTTTTAGAGAAATGTTATAATCAGTTATGACACACAAGGACAAAGATAACTCATTCCCTCCGTCTGACTTTAAGGAATTCATATTGTCTGTAAACAGCAACAAATTTGGTTCTGTCCTTACTTTTATCCTGAAAAATATATGGCAAAATGTTACCATAATGTTGCTTTTCAAGTATAAAGGAATGACTACCCTATTTTTCCGGATGAAAATTATATCTGTGAATGTCACTATTCTTTTTTTTTTTTTTAGATGGAGTCTTGCTCTGTTGCCAGGCTGGAGTGCAGTGGTGTGATCTCGGCTCACTGCAACCTCCACCTCCCGGGTCCAAGAGATTCTCTTGCCTCAGCGTCCCGAGTAGCTGGGACCACAGGCACGGGCCACCATGCCTGGCTAATTTTTGTATTTTCAGTAGAGATAGGGTTTCACCATGTTGGCCAGGAGGGTCTCGATCTCCTGACCTCATGATCCACCCACCTCAGCCTCCCAAAGTGCTGGGATTACAGGCATGAGCCACCACACCTGGCCAATGTCACTATTCTTTTACTAATAATTATTCTTTGAAAAGTGTTTGGCAATCTTTGAAAAATAAAGAGCCCCAGAATGATTGAAGTGAGTCTGAGAAGAAGAACCAGCTGTATTTGAGAACTTCTGGGACAAGATGGGGATAACATATAACATGCATATTACAGGAACTCTGAATTTTGATGGGTAGCTTCCTGGTTCACAGCATTGAAGATTTTGAAGCTGTGACAGATTATCTTTAGCGCCGTTGGTAAGTGAGCGTGAGGGTTCTTCACGGCACACAAAAATAGAGACAGAAAGAAACAAAAGTACTCAGAAACGCTGAAGAAAACCTCAGGTCCCTGTTCCCCTGGAGGACATCTAAATCAGAAGCAACAATCAGATTCCTACTTAATCAGTGTCTTGGGTATAGCGCCCTAGAATCTCCTCTGAGTAGTATTACAGACACGGAAGTCTGAGAATTAACTCCTTGATTTAAGTATGGCCATATAGTTGTTTAGAAGAGTCATTCTCAGACTTGACTCTGCATTACAATCACTTTTGGAGTTTTAAAAACTACTGATCCCTCAGTTTTATTCCAGATTAAATAAATCATCATCTTTGTGACTGAGGCTCAAGCGCTGGTATTTTTTTTTTTTTAAACTCTCCAAGTTGCAACCAGGGTTGAGAATCAGTGGTTTAGAACATTAAGTGAAGAATGGAAATTTATTGTAATGGCAAAACCAGATGGTAACTGAGTACATCTATTTCTCCATCCTCTTTCCCAAGTTCCCATTGGATGTGGAAAAGTGAATAATAATAATTTAAAAATATATCAATTCTGGAAAAGAAGAAGTGACATTAGAAGTCCAAACATCTTCAGATATTTTATATAAGACAAAAGCAAATGGAATTAGTTGGTGATGAAAGAACAGGAAACCACAGTGCAAGATACCAGAGAGTTACAAACTCAGATTCAAGCAATACAAGAATCAAAGAATCACATTCTTATCAAATGGCTTTCCAGTTTCTGTTTGTTACATAAATAAAGGGGCTGTAAGCAAAGGCTTGAAGAAAAGAGCAGAATTAGAGCTATCACCAGAACTCTACAAATACACAGAAGAGAGAAGGAGAGAAAAAAGGAAATGGGGAAGGATAGAGAAAGGCGCTTCTGCCTGGAAGTGAAATTGACTAAAGCTTTTCATTCCCAGTGTGGAGCCTTCCTTACTTTGCCCAATATAGGGCATTAACTTCCTCTCTGCCCCTCTGTATAGGGAAGCCTCTTCTCCACCCCGAACACCCTGTTTGAACACCACAGAAACTGCAGGCACTCCTTCCATAAAGGGAAATGCATTAGGAGAAAGAGGTCCATACTATTTCCAGAGTTGTGCTTTTAAAAGTAGCCCTTCGTTTATTCTGTGAAGGCCAATGAAAGATAACCATGTTTGTGAGAAAATCTTTGCAGACAATTGAAGTCTTAAACAATAGAGGGCTTTTTTGGAAGGGCTTTAGCTGGCTCACAGAATCAACGGAAGGAGAACCAGGCTGTAAAAATGGGCAAGAACCTTTACATGCTGTGCATCACAAACAACCGGTGCAGGATGCTGCTACCAATTCCACCTCCAGTAAATATGTACCATCATGCCACCAAACTCAAGTCCATTGCCATTGGTGCAAATTATCACACACAAAAGGACAGATCAGGAAGGAGAATTTTCTACTCCCACCCATAATCCTCTCTTGAAGGAGGTGAGCCCATTTCTTCCTCCTGTTTTGAGAGCTCCTTAAGATTCAAAGAATGTTTTAAGGCAAGAAGCCTAAAAACTAAACAATGATCACAATTAAAACCAAGGCCTATAAAGGAGAAAAATAAAAATAGAGCATATAGAACAATTAAATTCAGAGGGGAAAAATTAATGAGTAAGGAAACAGCAGAGACCCTTTAAATTTTTCTAATTAATGCATTTATAGAGATTTGATAGAATTTTTCATCTAGAATGCAAGCAAGAACATACTACTATGAATCAGAAAAAATAAGTAAGATTTGAGAAGAAATAATACCTGATATTTAAAAAATGCTCTCTGAACTGATAAATGTACCAACTAAATAGTAAACTGAACATTACATTATAGCCAAGTTTGTGATGAGAAAAACAAATTTCTCAGAATTTATGGTACAAATAAAAAGTTATTGAAAATAAAAGAAAAGATACTTTGAGAACAGACACAGGGTTAGAAAAGACATCTGTGAGATATTCCAGAAGGAGACCTTTACAGAGACTATAGAGAGAAGAAAATGATAAATAAAATAAAAAATATTTTAAAAATAAAAGAACAATTCCAAGTGTGTACGCAGCATGCAAGAAATATATAATCTTTGGCTTGAAGAGCTCATCAAGGAGGTTATAAGATTATTGACAAAACTGTATCTCATCAATTCCTGATAAAATCAGAAGACTAGGAAAAAAGAGAAACTTACAGGAGTATCCTAAGAACATAAATAGCTAACCCATAAAAGAAGAGAATCAGAGTATTATTGTTTCCATAAGCAACATTAGAAGATATAAAAAACAATGAAAAAAGTTCTTCAAAATTTTGAATCCAGACTGTTATCAGTTAAGTTTAAAGGTATTTTATCCATCTTGAGTTGATTCATGTGTGTGTGTGTGTGTGTGTGTGTGTGTTTATATATATGTGATAAAGAAAATGCAGTATATTCTACATCACTGTTGATGGACAATTAGGTTGAGCCTGTATCTTTGCTATTGTACTTTAATTTATTTTTATACATTAAATATTGTTATCAATTTATAAAGAATTAAAATATAATATTCTTCCCATGAAAAAACATTTTATGTTTTTCTATTTGTTTAAAACCTTTTTATGTTTCACAAAAAACTTTGGGTTTTTTCTAACTTTTATTTTAGGTTCAAGGGTACATGCGCAGGTTTGTTATATAAGTAAACGGCACACTCACAGGAGTTTGGTGTACAGATTATTTTATCACCTAGGTGATAAGCATAGTACCCGATACGTAGTTTTTTGATCCTATCCCTCCTCCCACTCTCCATTCTCAAGTAGGCCACAGTGGCTATTTTTTTTCCCTCTTTGTGTCCATGTGTTCTTGTTGTTTAGCTCCCATTTATAAATGAGAATATACTGTACTTGATTTTCTGTTTCTGTGTTAATTTGCTTAGTTTAATGGCCTCCAGCCCCATCCATGTTGCTGCAAAGGATACAATCTCATTCTTTTTTACGGCTGCATTGTATTCCATGGTGATAGGTACCACATTTTCTTTATCAGTCTACTGTTCAGTCTGCTGTTGATGGGCACTTAGGTTGATTCCATGTTTTTAGTATTGTGAATAGTGCTGTGATAAATATATGTGTGCATGTGTCTTTATGGTACAATGATTCCTTTGGATATATACTGAGTAATGGGGTTGCTGGGTTGAATGGTAGTTCCATTTTAAGTTCATTGAGGAACCACCAAACTGCTTTTCACAATGGCTGAACTAATTTACATTTTCATTATTTTCACATTTTCTTTCTCTTGTCTGATTGCTCTAGCTGGGACAAGAAGTGGCCTTTGAGCTGGACCTTCAAGCATATTTTGGAAGTCTCTGGATGAATAAAAAGATTGTATTAATCTCTTTATTCATTCTGAGATTGAGCAGAATACTTAACAGTCTCTATTAATCAAGTTATCCATTATAATTTAACTAATGACTTTCTGTACTCTTATTTTTTAAAAAAGATGTTTATTAGCTTTCGTTTTCATGTTTATCTAAAGCTTCAATTTTCATCTGTATTAACAAGTGAATTGTAGCTCATCAATGTGAACAGACTGGATTAAATCTCACTCTGCCACTCTCTAGCTTTGCAATTTGGGTAAACCATTTAATCTTCCTAAGACTGTTTCCTCAGGTATGATATAGAGTTGATATCTTTACTTGATGGGGTTTGTGATTATTTGAGATATCATCTGTAAAGTTCTTTTTAGCACAGTCCTTGGAACATGATATGTACTTGATAAGTAATTATTACTATTAATATTAGACATATCGAGGTGCCTATGCTCATAATGAATGATTACCTAGCTTCTTACTTTAAGAGAGGTATAGAAATTTTATAAACAGATTAGGAGATATGTAATCATGAAAATTTGGAAAATAGGAATTTTGAAGCATGGAGGCTATTTAAAAGCCCATTTATTTGGTAAGAAAAATTAGAATTACTATTGCAACAAAAAGCTCATTCCACAAAAAATAAATCCCTTCACTGAAATATGTATTATACACTAAGATGAGTGCTGATATCTTCTTTTTTAAGAACAAGACTGTTATTTATCGATTTTGATTACATAAGACGAGTCTTTCCAGAAATAAAGACAGCATAACTGACCTCTTATATATTTTTCTAATTCTGTGTTTCTATAACTATAAAGAAAGCACTGCTGACACTTAGTCAGTAGTAACTCTAAATTCATGAATCTTTTAAATATAGGTAAGTTTTTAGGCAATGATATAGAAATGGTAGAAAGCCTTAGGCTCTGTGTACTCAAGAGAAAATTGTGTCCCATGTATTTTTAATAAACTAAACAGTGCTATTTCCATGAAAAAAATAAGGTATGCTAAATAAGAGTGACAGGAATTCCAAGGGGAAGGGCTGAAAAAAGATAGAATTTGGCACTTTCATTTTTCAATCGACTGAAGGAAAAAATGTAAGAATTTATAGTAAGAGTAGCAGATTGTATTATATCAAAACTGGGGAAGCTTCTGATTTGGGTATTTTGCATAAATTTACATCATAATTTGAAAGTCCTATCTGCAGATATTTAGAAGGAGCTTAATTAATATAATTTTTTCTGTTGTATTTAATTCTAATATTCAGGTACGATACACAAAATAAAGATTATATTTTGTCACATATCAAACATGTTAGATTGTCTGGGTCTCAGTTTCTGCAACTCCAGGATGAAATGGTTGACATAAAGAATCCTTAAGTCCTTTGGGAGGCCGAGGCGGGCAGATCACGAGGTCAGGAGATCGAGACCATCCTGGCTAACATGGTGAAACCCCATCTCTACTAAAAATACAAAAAATTAGCCAGGCATGGTGGCCGGAGCCTGTAGTCCCAGCTACGTGGGAGGCTGAGGCAGGAGAATGGCGTGAACCCAGGAGGCGGAGCTTGCAGTGAACCGAGATGGTGCCACTGCACTCCAACCTGGGCTACAGAGTGAGACTCCGTCTCAAAAAAAAGAATCCTTAAGTCTTTTGAAGAGGAAAATTTTATGGGTCTTGGATCTATGCACCTCTAATAGTGTTTTAAAGAAATAGAATTGCCAATGAAAATTTATTACGAAGAATAACCAGTATATATTCTCACGTTATGCTAATGCAAAAGACATTCTTGAGACATTTTGAAATCCTAGTACTGTGAAGGAAAGTGAGAACTCATCCATGGAAATAGGAATTACTTGGATTTCAGTGATGTGCTAGAGCCAGCCAGTTCTGTGTATCTCTTCCCCACTCTATGTTTGATACTCCATGTTTAACAATATAAAACAATAGTGTTCTCTCTTCTTTCTTAAGTTCTTTAAAATATGTATGACTATTAATAGAAAAATTATACCATTATACTGTGGGATTTGCAAGCTACATTGTTAATACGTAGTGTAAAGTTATGTACTGAGCATAGCTTTACACTATGTAAAGCATGCAAAGCATGCTGGAGAGGGTCTAAGTCAAATTATATAGTATTTCTGGGTTGAGTGGTAGTTCTAAGTTCTTTGGAAAATCTCCAAACTGCTTTCCACAGTGGTTGAACTAATTTACATTCCCACCAGCAGTGTATAAGCATTCCATTTTCTCTGTAGCCTCACCGACATCTATTATTTTCTGACTTTCAAATAATAGCTATTCTTAATGGTTTGAGATAGTATCTCATTGTAGTTTTCATTTGCATTTCTCCAATAATTGGTGATGTTAAGCATTTTTTCATATGATTGTTGGCCATGTGTATGTCTTCTTTTGAGAAGTGTCTGTTCATGCCCTTTGTCAATTTTTAATAGCTTTTTTCTTGTTAAATTGTTTAAATACCTTAAAAGATTCTGAATATTAGATTTTGTCAAATGCATGGTTTGGAAATATTTTCTCCCATTCTGTAGGCTCTGTTCACTCTTTTTATAGTTTCTTTTTCTACGCAGAAGCTCTTTAGTTTAATTCGGTCCCACTCGCATATTTTTGTTTTTGTTGCAATTGCTTTTGGAGATTTTATTATGAAATCTTTGCAAAAACCTACGTCCAGAATGGTATTTTTTTAGGTTTTTATCTAGGGTTTCTATAGTTTTAGGTCATACATTTAAGTCTTTAATTCATTTTGAGTTAATTTTTGTGTATAGTGAAATGAAGGTGTCCAGTTTCAATCTTCAGCATATGGCTAGCCACTTATCCCAGCACCATTTATTGAGTAAGGATACCTTTTCCCATTGCTTGTTATTGTTGACTTAGTCAAAGATTATGTAGTTATAGGTATGTGGCTTTATTTCTGGGTTGTCTAACCTGTTACATTGGTCTATGTGTCTGTTTTTGTACCACTACCATGATGTTTTGGTTACTGTAGCCTTATATTATAGTATAGTTTGGAGTCAGGTAATGTAATGGCTCCAGCTTTGTTCTTTTTGCTTACTTAGAATTGCTTTGGCTGTTTGGAATTTTCTTTTTGTCCCATATACACTCTTTTAAAATAGTTTTTTTCCTATTTCTGTGAAGAATTACATTGTTAGTTTGGAAGAAATAGCATTGAATCTGTAAATTGCTTTGGGCAATATGGCCATTTTCACAATATTGATTATTTCTGTCCATGAGCACGGAATGTTTTCCCGTTTGTTTGCATTGTCTCTGATTTCTTTCAGCAATGTTTTGTAATTTTAATGGTAGAGATCTTTCACCTCCCTGGTTAGCTTTATTCCTAGGTATTTTATTCTTACTGTGGCTATTGTAAATGGGATTGCATTACTGATTTGCCTTTGAGGTCGGATGTTATTGGTGTATGAAAATATTACTGATTTTTGTACATTGAGGTTGTATTCTAAAACTTTACTGAAGTTGTTTATCAGTTCTAGGAGCGTTTGGGCAGAAACTATGGAGTTACCTAGGTATAGAATTATATAATTGTGAACAGTGACAGTTTGACTTCCTCTTTGCCAATTTGGATGCCCTTTATTTTCTTCTCTTGCCTGATTGCTCTGGCTAGGATTTCCAAGTACTCTGTTGAATAGGAGTGGTGAGAGTGAGTATCCTTGTCTTGTTTTAGTTCTCAAGGGAAATGTTTCCAGCTTTTGTCCATTCAGTATGGTATCAGCTGCGGGTTTGTCATAGATGTCTCTCTTTATTTTGAGGTATATTCCTTCGATGCCTAGATTGTTGAGGGTTTCTAATATGAAGGGATGTTGAATTTTATCAAAAGCGTTTTCTGCATTTATTGAAATTATCATGTAGTTTTAGCTATTATTTCTTTTTTATGTGCTGAATCACATTTGTTGATTTGCATATGTTGAACCAACCTTGGCATCCCAGGAATAAAGCCTGCTTGATTGTGATAGATTAGCCTTTTATGTGCTGCTCAATTCAATTTGCTAGTATTTTGTTGAGAATTTTTGCATCTGTGTTCATCAGGGAAGTTTTTTTTTCCTATTGTGTCTCTGACAGGTTTTGGTGTAAGAATGATGCTGGCCTCATAGAATGAGTTAGGGAGGAGTTCCTCGTTCTCAATTTTTGGAATAATTTTAGTAGCGTTGGTACCAACTCTCCCTTGTACATCTGGTAGAATTTGACTGTGAACCTGCATGGTCCAGGGCTTTTTCTGGTTCATAGGGTTTTTTTTAAATTACTCATTTAATTTCAGAACACATTATTGGTCTGTTCAGGATTTCATTTTTTTATGGTTCAATCTTGGGAGGTTTTATGTTTCCAGGAATTTATCCCTTTCTTCTAGGTTTTCTAGTTTGTGTGAACACAGGTGATTGTAATAGTCTTAGGGTTTTTTTGTGTGTGTTTATATAGGGTCATGGTAATGTTTTCTGCCTCAAGGATTTGTCTAATGCTGTCAGTGGGGTGTTGAAGTCTCCCACTATTATTGTGTGGGTAACTAAGTCTCTTCATAGGTCTCTAATACTTGTTTTATAAATCTTGATATGTATATATTTATACACATATATATATATACACACACACATATGTATATATTTAGGATAGTTAAGTCTTCTTGTTGAATTGAACCCTTTATCATTATGTAATGCTCTTCTTTTCCTTTTTGATTGTTGTTTGTTTAAAGTTTATTTTGTCTGAAATAAGAAGAGCAACTCCTACTCTTCTTTGTTTTCCATCTTGATTGATCTTTCTCCATACTTCTACTTTGAGCCTGTGTGTGTCACTGCACGTGAAATGGGTCTCTTGAATATAGCATATAGTTGGGTCTCACTTCTTCATCCAACTTGCCACTCTGTGCTTTTTAAATGGGGCATTTGTATAATTTATGTTCAAGGCTAATATTGATATGTGAGGATTTGAGCCTGTCATCGTGTTGTTATCTGGTTGTTATATAGATTTGAGTGTATGGTTGCTTTATAGTGTCAGTAGGCTATGTACTTAAGTGTTTCTGTATTGGCAGATAATGGCCTTTTTGTTTCCACATTTATCACTCCCCTAAGGACCCTCTTATAAGGCGGGTCTGGTGATAAATTCCCTTAGCATTTTCTTGTCTGAAAATTATTTTATTTCTTCTTCACTTATGAAGCTTAGTTTTGCTGGATATAAAATTCTTGGTTGAAATTTCTTTTAAGAATGCCGAAGATAGGCCTCTCATCTCTTCTGGCTCGTATGATTTCTGCTGAAAGGTCTAGTGTTAGCCTGATGGGGTTCTCTTTGTTTATGACCTGCCCCTTCTCTTTAGCTGGCTTTAGTATTTTTTCTTTCACACTGACCTTGGAGAACCTGAAGACTATATGTCTTGGGGACAGTCCTCTTGTAGTATAGTATCTCACTGGGGTTCTCTGAATTTCTTGAATCTGGATGTAGACCTTTCTAGCAAGGTTAGGGAAATTTTCATGGATAATATCCTCAAATACATTTTCCAAGTTGCTTGCTCTCTTTCCCTAATTTTCTGGAAGGCCGTTGAATTGTAGGTTTGGTATCTTTATATAATCCCACATTTCTTGGAGGTTGTATCTATTTTTTAATCCTTTTTTTCTTTTATTTTGTCTGACTAAGTTTATTTGAAGAACTAGTTATTCAAGTTCTGATATTCTTTCCTCAGCTTGGTCTATTCTGCTGTTAAAACTTCTGATTGTGTACTATTATGAAATTCTTTTTTTTTTTTTTTTTTTTTGAGACAGAGTCTCACTCTTGTCACCCAAGCTGGAGTGTAATGGCTTGATCTTGGCTCACTGCAACCTCCACATCCCAGATTCAAGCAATTCTCCTGCCTCAGCCTCCCAAGAAGCTGGGATTACAGGTGCCCACTACCATGTCCAGCTATTTTTTGTATTTTTAGTAGAGACGGGGTTTCACCATGTTGGTCAGGCTGGTATTGAACTCCAGACCTCAGGTGATCTGCCTGCCTCGGCCTCCCAAACTACTGGGATTACAGGTGGGAGCCACCATGCCCAGCCAATATTGTGAAATTCTTGTAGTGAGTTTTTAAGCTCTAGATCTGTTTGTTAGATTCTTTCTAAAAATGGCTGTTTTGTCTTTCAGCTCTCATATAATTTTGTTGGATTCCTTAGATTCCTTGGATTGGACTTCTACTTTCTCTTGAGTCTTGATGATCTTTGTCGCTATAAAGATCCTGAATTCTATGTCTACTATTTCAGCCATTTTGGTCTGTTTAAGAACCACTGCTGGGAGCTAATTAATGCAGTCATTTGGAGGTAAGAAGACACCCTGACTTTTACAGTTGCCAAAGTTCTTGCACTGGTTCTTTTTCAATTGTGTTGGCTGATGTTCCTTTAATATTTGAAGTTGCTGTTCTTTTTGAATGGGCCTTTTTGTTTTTATATTCTCTGATGCCCTTGAGGGTTTGACTATGGTTAAGTTGGGTTTAGTTGATTGGTTTCCTTTCTGGATGCTTTTGGGGGCCAAGGCTTAGCTCAACACTCCTGGGCTGCATGCTGTGTTTCTGGGGTCTGGGAATAGGTGTGCAGTTTTGTTCTCTGGCTCCTTGAGGTTAAATACCTGCTGTACTGGAGGGGCTGAGGTGTCCCAGTCCACTGGCAACAACACTCCAGTGGGGGCTGCCAGCAAAAGTGCTCTGGTGGGGTGGCAGTGCACTCCTTTGTGTGTGTGCACTGGCCATGTGGTGGTAGGTCAGTGCAAATGTGTGTACTGGCAGGTTGGCAGGTGTCATTTCATGTGTGTGCACCTGTGGTGGGTCCATGTGCTGATGCATGCGCTGGTGGGGTGGTGCTAGGTCCCTGCACATGTACATGCTGGCAGGGCAGCCCGGGCTCCACATGTGCATGTATGCTGGCAAGGTCTGCCGGCAAAAGATATGACAATGGCCACTAGCGAGCTGAGGCTGTACTACAAAAGAGTATGGCCAGGCAGTGGCCCTGGAAGAGGCTGGCAGACAGGAGGCACTCAGATCTGACTGGCCCCATCCTACAGGTAAGACTGCCCTGCTCTGTCGTTTGTCTAGCAGCAAACGAAGGCTAAAGCTGACTAGAGGTATATGGTGAGCTTTGTGGAATAGGCATCCATGGATGTGCCCCATTGCAGCTGTTCCCATGCCAAACCTTCTGGGCTCCACACAGACTGGAGATCTGTCTCTACTAACTCTCTGGGAAGTTCTCTCTGCCAGCTCAGACGTCCCTGGGGCTCGTGAAGTATCCCACAGCTAGTATCCCAGAGGTCTGTGGCAGAAGTAGGCCACTTCATGCCTATATTACTCACCAGTTTCCTAGGAGCTGCCCAAGCCAGGAGCAGTTCTGGCACAGTATCCTCCACTTTCAGCCTGGGGTCTGCATCATCCTGTCCGCTTTCAATGCCTTATTTCCAAAGATCTGTTCAGAGTGTCCTCCTTTCTTCATTGTGTATTTTTGGAACCTTTGTAAAAGATCAGTTGACTGCAGTAGACACTTGAAGAACATGGGTTCGAACTGCCCAGGGTCCACTTACATGCAAATTTTCTTCCACCTCTGCTGTCCCTGAGACAGTAAGACCAATTCTCCTCTTTCTTCTCTTCCTCCCCAGCCTATTCAACATGAAGATGATGAAGATGATAAGGATGAAGATCTTTATGATGATCCACTTCTACTTACTAAATACTAAATATATATGCTATTTCTTATGATTTTCTTAATAATATTTTCTTTTCTGTAGCTTTCTGTATGGAAAGAATGCAGCATATAATATATATAACATAAGAAATATGTAATAATTGACTGTTTATATTATTTGTAGGGCCAACAGTAGGTTATTAGTAGTTTTTGGGAGTCAGAAGTTTTACGTTTTCATTGTGTGGGAAGTTGTCACCCCTAACCACCATATTCTTGAAGAGTCAACTGTATATATGTGTGGATTTATTTCAGAGTTCTTTTCTGTTCCATTTATCTAAATGTCTATCTGTATGCCATACCATACTGTTTTAATTACTGTAGCTTTGTAATATATATTAAAATCAGGAAGTGTGATGTCTTCAGCTTTTTTTTCAAGATTGTTTTGGCTATTCAGGAACTTTTGTGGTTCCATGTAACTTTTAGAATTTTTTTTCTGTATCTAGGAGAAATACCATTGGGATTTTGAGAAAAATTACATTATGTCTGTAGATTGCTTTGGGTTGTATGGAGATTTTAACAATATTAAGTTAAGTTTTATAATTTATGAATACAGGATAGCTTTCCATTTGTTTGTTTGTTTGTGTTTTCTATCATCAGTTTTTTTTAAATCAAAGCAAAAATAAACAAGTGAGACTTCGTTAAACTAAACAGCTTCTACACAGCAAAAGAACCAACCAGTAGAGTAAATATGGCAATCTACAGAATGGAAAAAAATACTTGCAAACCATATATCATCTGTTAAGACATTCAAGGCTGAGTGTGGTGGCTCATGCCTGCAACCCCAACACTTTGGGGGGTGGAGGCAGGAGAATCACTTGAACTCAGGAGTTTGAGGCCAGCCTGAGCAACATAGTGAGGCCCTGTCTCTATAAAAAATACAAAAATTAGCTGGGTGTAATGGCATGTACCTGAGGTCTCAGCTTCTTGGGAGGCTGAGGTGGGAAGATCACCTGAGTCCAAGAGGGCAAGGTTGCTGTGAGCCACAATTACACCACTACACTCCAGCCTGGGTGACAGAGTGAGACCTTGTCTTTAAAAAAAAGCGAAAAAACAAAAAAGACAATCAAATGGCCAACAGGCAGCACCTGCTTGCAGGGCAGCCTCAGGTAGTGCCCTTGGGGACTGCACTGTAGCTCCTGTGCTGGCTGACAGTGCCTTACCAGTGGGAGCTCCAGTAGGGTGGCCCTTATGGCCACATACCAGCCAGCCTGCTCTTTCTTCACACTGTAGCTTCCCCTAGGCCCATGGCAACCCCCACATTGTGTTGCTGGTGTGTGTGTGCATGGGCAGGCCTTTCTCTTCCTTGCCTTGCTTGTGAACGTGTGTGTGTGTGTGTGCACCCTGCCCTATTGCTGCTGTGGCAAGAGTACATTCCACACACCTCTACCACTGGACCTCCATTGTAATCAAAGCCTTGGCAGGCACAGAGCAGGTCAATCCTACCCCCTCCCACACCCTGCCCTTATACCAACAATGCCATGGGAGTAAAATTAGGCACAGAGAACAGTGGACTTTCCAGCTCCCTAAGTGACCACCCCAGCTTTCAGTGCACAGAGAATGCACACAGACCTGTGCCCAAGTGCAGACTGCTCACGAGTTGTGCTGCCTCTGCCATCATGGTGAATGTCCACATAGAGGCAGGCACTCCAGCACCCACCAGCATCCTGTTGCAGCCAAAGAGCGTTCAGCCTTCTGTGCTGCCACAGCCACTGCAGCTGACATGTACAAAAAGGACAGATCCCATTGACACTGCACTGTGAAATGCATTGGCTGACACCACCCATCAGAGTGTAGTGACCAGTGGTCTGGGAAGCACCTTTCCCACCTCCAGTGCAGTGGACTCGTGATCTCGAGGAGCCAGAGAACAAAGTCAGGGCCTGATATAAGTTCCCCAGAGTTAAGAGTACACAGTCCAGGAGTTTGGAGCTAAGCATTGCTCCCCTACAGTCTTCCAGAAATGAAGCCAGTTGGCTGATTCCACCTTATATCACAATCAAATTTTCAAGGTCATCAAATAGGAAAGGAAAAAACACCCAAAGGTCAGCAGCTTCAAAGATTGAAGAAACATCAGCCCACAAAGATGAGAAAGAACCAATTCAAATACTTTGACAACTTAAAAAACCAGAGTGCCTTCTTCCCTCCAAAGTTCCATACCACCTCTACAGCATGGGATCTGAACTGGGCTGAAATGGTTGAAATGACAGAAACAGAA
Source organism: Homo sapiens (assembly GCF_000001405.40). Taxonomy (NCBI): domain Eukaryota; kingdom Metazoa; phylum Chordata; class Mammalia; order Primates; family Hominidae; genus Homo; species Homo sapiens. Next base: position 153,422,999 of record NC_000003.12, read on the forward strand.
TTCAGAATATGGATAGGACTGAAGATCATTGAGATGCAGGAATATGTTGAAACCCAATACAAGGAAACAAAGAATCACATTAAAATGATACAGGAGCTGACAGGCAAACAAACAACCAGTATAGAAAAGAATGTAACTGACCTGATTGATAGAGCTGAAAAGCACACTACAAGAGTTTCATAATGGAATCAAAGAATTAATAGCAGAACAGATAAAGTTGAGGAAATAATCTCAGAGCTTGAAGACTGGCTTTCTGAAATAAGACAGTCAGTCAAGAATAGAGAAGAAAATGAAAATGAATGAACAAAACTTCCAAGAAATATGGGATGACATAAAGAGACTGAATCTACAACTCATTGATGGCCCCGAAAGAGATGGGGAGAGAGTAAGCACTTTGAAAAAGTATATTACTCATGAGAACTTTCCCAATCAAGCTATGGAGGCCAACAATCTAATTCAGGAAATTAGAATGGGCCTACAGAGAAGCCCAGTAAGATACAGCACAAGAAGATCATTCCCAAGATGCATAATCATCAGACTCTCCAAGGTCAAAATGAAAGAAAAAATGTTAAAGGCAGCTAGAGAGAACAGTCAGTTAACCTACAACGGGAAACCCATAAGACTAACAGTGGACCTTTCAGCAGAAACCCTATAAGCCAGAAGAGATTGGGGGCCAATATTCAACATTCTTAAAGAAATGGAATTCCAACCCCAAATTTCATATCCAGCCAAACTAAGCTTCATAAGTGAAGGAGAGATAAGATCCTTTTCAGACAAGATAATGCTAAGGAAATTTGTTACCTCTAGACCTGCCTTACAAGAGCTCCTGAAGGAAACACTAACTATGGAAAGGTAAGACCATTACCAGCCACTACAAAAACACAACTAAGTACATGGACCAGTGACACTATAAAGCACAACAAACAAGTCTGCATAATAACCAGGTAACATCATGATTACAGGATCAAATCCACACATGTCAATACTAACCTTGAATGTAAATGGGCTAAATGCCCCAATTAAAAGGCACAAAGTGGTAAGATGAATAAAGAACCAAGACCCAGTGGTATGCTGTCTTCAAGAGACCCATCTCACATGCAATGACATGCATAGGCTCAAAATAAAGAGTTGGAGAAAAATTTACCAAGCAAATGGAAAACAGAAAAAAGCAGGGGTTGAAATCCTAATTTCAGACAAAAGAGACTTTAAACCAACAAAGATTAAAAAAAGACAAAGAAGGGCATTACATAATGGTAAAAGGTTCAATGCAGCAAGAAGGCTTAACTATTCTAAATATATATGCACTAAACACAGGAGGAGCCAGATCCGTAAAGCAAGTTCTTAAAGACCTTCAAAGAGATTTAGACTTCCACACATTAATAATGGGAGGCTGTAACACCCAACTGACAGTATTAGACAGACCTTCAAGGCAGAAAATTAACAAAGATAGTCAGGACATGAACTCGCCACTGGATGGACCTAATCAACATCCACAAAACTCTCCACGCAAAAGTAACAGAATATACGTTTTTCTTACCACTACATGACACATACTCTAAAATTAACCACATAATCAGACACAAAACACTCCTCAGCAAATGCAAAAGAACTGAAATCATAATAACAACTCTCTTAAATTGCAGTACAATCAAATTAGAAATTAAGACTAAGATATTTACTCAAAATCATACAATTATATGGAAATTGAATAACCTGCTCCTAAATGACTTTTGAATTAATAATGGAATTAAGGCAGAAATCAAGAAGTTCTTTGAAACTCATGGGAACAAAGATACAACATAACATAGTCTGTGGGACACAGTTAAGGCAGTGTTAAGAGGGAAAGTTATAGTACTGAAGGCCTACATCAAAAAGTTAGAGAGATTTCAATTTAGCAACCTAACATCACAACCAACCCCAAAGGTAGCAGAAGATAAGAAATAACCAAAATCAGAGCTGAACTGAAGGAGACTGAGACACACAGAAAAACTATTCAAAAGATCAGTGAATATAAGAATTGGGTTTTCAAAAAATGTGTAAAATAGATAGACGTCTAGATAGATTAATAAAGATGAAAAGGTCCAATTTAACAAAATTAGAAATGATAAAGTGGATATTATCACTGACCCCACAGAGGTACAAACAACAGAGAATATTATGAACACCCCTATACACAAATACTAGGAAGTCTAGAAGAAATGAATAAATTCTTGGACATATACACCCTCCCAAGACTGAACCAGAAAGAAATAGAATCCCTTCACAGACCAATAATGACCTCCAAAATTGAATCAGTAATAAATAGCCTACCAACCAAAAAAAGCCCAGGACCAGACAGATTCACAACAAAATTCTTCCATTTGTACAAAGAGAAGCTGGTACCATTTCTACTGAACCTATCCCTCCAAAAAATGAGGAGCGATTCTTCTCTATCTCATGCTATGAGGCCAGCCTCATCCTGTACAAAAACCTGTCAGAGGCACAACAAAAAAAGAGAAAACTTTAGGCCAATATCCTTGGTGAACATTGATGCAAAAATCTCCAACAAAGTATTGGCAAACTGAATCCAGCAGCACATTAGAAATCTTATTCATCACAATCAAGTAGGCTTTATCCCCTGGGATGTAAGATTGGTTCCACATATGCAAATCAATCAATGTGATTCATCACATAAACAGAACTAAAGACAAATACCACCTGATTATCTCAATACATTCAGAAAAGGCTTTTGATAAAATTCAATACCCTTTCATGTTAAAAACTCTCAATAAACTAGGTATTCAAGGGACATACCTCAAAATAATAAGAGCCATCTATGACAAACCCATGGCCAACATCATACTAAATGGGCAAAACCTGGAAACATTCCGCTTGAAAACCAGCACAAAACAAGGATGTCTTCTCTCACCACTTCTATTCAACATAGAATTGGAAGTCCTGGCCAGAGCAATCAGGCAAATAAAGGGCATCCAAATAGGAAGAGAGAAAGTCAAACTATCCCTGTTTGCAGATGACATAATCCTTTATCCAGAAAACCCCATAGTCTTGGCCCAAAAGCTCCTTAAGCTGATAAACAGCTTCATCAGTCTCAGGATAGAAAATCAATGTATGTACGAGATTTGAAATCCACCTAAGTGTCTATCTATCAACAAATGAAAGGATTAATAAAATGTGGTACATATACACAAAGAAATGTTATTTAGACCTAAAAAGAATGGAATTCTGTCAGTTGCAACAACACGAATGGAACTGGAGGACATTATGTTAAGTGAAATGAGACAGGCACAGAAAGAACATTTTCACATGTTCTCACTCATATGTGGGAACTAAAAATTAAAACAAATAACTCATGGAGATAGAGAGAATGATGATTACCAGAGGCTGGGAAAAACAGCAGGGAGTGGAGAGATGCCCATTGATGGACGAATGGATTTTTAACGACGTAGTATACAATCACATGCCATATAATGACTTTTTGGTCAACTCCAAACTGCATGTATGACAGTGGTCCTATAAGACTACAACAAAAAATTCCTATCACTTGATGACATCATAGGCCTTGTAGCCATTGTAACATCATAATGTCATAGCGCAATTACTTAATTTTTAGGTAAATTTGGTGTAGCTTAAGTATATGATTTTATACAGTAGTGTATGGTAATGTCCTGGGCCTTCACATTCACTCACCAGTCAGTCACTGACACCTAGGGCAACTTTCAGTCCTGCATCCTCCATTCATAGTGAGTCCACTATACCAGTTACCATTTTTAATCTTTTGTACTGTATTTTTACTGCACTTTTTTCTATGTTTAGATATGTTTAGGTGCTCAAATACTTACCACTGTGCCACAATTGCCTATAATTGCCACAATTGCCTACAGTTACCTACTGTATCAGTACAGTAACCTGCTGTACAGGGTTGTAGCCTAGGAGTCATAGGCTATACCACATTGCCTAGGTGTGTAGTAGACTATATCACCTAGGTTTGTGTAAGTGTACTCTGTCATGCTTGCACAGTGACACAATTGCCTAAGGACATAGTTCTCAGGATGTATTCCTATTGTTATGTGATACACGGCTGTATATACACAATGGAATATGATTCAGCCTTTAAAAAGAAAAATCCTGCAGAATGCAATGACATAGATAAACCTTGAAAACATTATGCTAAGTGAAATAAGCTAGTCACAGAAGGACAAGTACTGCATGTTCCACTTATAAAAGATATCTAAAATAGCCAAGCTCATGGAAGCAAATCATAAAATTGTGGTTTCCAGGGATTAGGGCTGGAGGAAACTGAGTTGCTAACCAACATGTATAAAATCTTAGTTATGGAAAATTAATAATTTCTGGAGATCTTCTGTACAATATTATTCCTATTGATAAAGTACTGTATTGTACAATTTAAAATCTATTAAAAGAGAAAATCTCATGTTAAGTATTTTTACCACAATAATACTTTTTAAAAAGCTGACATATTTAAAGGGAGAAATACACAATTTCTCTAAAACTTGGAGATTTTTGTATATATCTCTCAGCAATTAAAAGACCAGCTAGACAAAAATAAATTAGTAAATAAATACAGAACTTGAACCAATTATCAACTACCTTGGCTAATATTTATAAAAATAAAGGGGAAACATCTGTCTTCCGAATTTAGATAATAATATTATTTTAAAATTACAGGATTTTATTTATTTATTTACTTTTACTTTTCTATTTGTTCATTTTTAAAAAAATTTTACTTTAAGTTCCAGGATACATGTGCAGAACGTGCAGATTTGTTACATAGGTATACATTTGCCATGGTGGTTTCCTGCACCTATCAACCTATCATCTAGGTTTTAAGCCCCACATCCATTAGGTTATTTGTCCTAATGCTCTCCTTCCCCTTGCCCCCCACACCCTGACAGGCTCTTGTATGTGTTATTTGCCTCCCTGTGTCCATGTGTTCTCATTGTTCAACTCCCACTTATACGTGAGAATATGTGGCACTTGGTTTTCTGTTCCTGTGTTAGTTTGCTGAGGATGATTGGCTTCCAGCTTCAACCATGTCGCTCCAAAGGACATGAATTCATTTTTTATGGCTGCATAGTATTCCATGTATATAGGTACCACATTTTCTTTATCCAGTCTATCATTGATGGGCATTTGGGTTGGTTCCAAATCTTTGCTATTGTGAATAGTGCTGCAATAAACATATATGTACCTGTGTCTTTATAGTAGAATGATTTATATTTCTTTTGGTATATACCAAAGGGATATACTGTTAAGTGGCTTTCTCGACAGTAATGGGATTTCTGGGTCAAATGATATTTCCGGTTCTAGACCCTTGAGGAATCACCACACTGTCTTCCACAATGGTTGAACTAATTGACATTCACACCAACAGTGTAAAAGCATCCCTATTTCTTTCTCCACAGCCTCGTCAGAATCTATTGTTTCCTGACTTTTAAATGATCACCATTCTGGCTGGCATGAGATATTATGGCATTGTGGTTTTGATTTGCATTTCTCTAAGGATCAGTGATGATGAGCTTTTTTTCATGTTTGTTGGCCACATAGATGTCTTCCTTTGCCCACTTTTTCATTGGGTTGTTCTTTTCTTGTAAATTTGTTTAAGTTCCTTGTAGATTCTGGATATTAGACCTTTGTCAGATGGGCAGATTGCAAAAATTTTCTCCCATTCTGTAGGTTGTCTGTTCACTCTGATGCTAGTTTCTTTTGCTGTGCAGAAGCTCTCTAGTTTACTTTTGGCTTTTGTTGTTTTCATCATTCATTCCTTTTTTGAGACATTACTCAGTAAATGTCTGACTTCCACATATATAAAATATATTTTGATTCCCTTTTTATTTATTTGTTGCTTCATATTAAGAAGAAGATTAAATTTCCAAATTTTTGGTTCCTTATGTTCAGTGCTTCCTCTTCCTGTCTCCTACTTATTCTAATAAAGTATTTTTAAATATTTTGCAGTGTACTAAATTTTTTCCATCCATCCATACACACACACACACACACACACACACACACACACACACACACACACAAACTCATTTAATTGGTTAGAAGAATATCAAAAAATAAATTTCTCTTGATCATTTTCTGTTAATTTTCTATTGATCTATCTAGCTATTATCTATCTATCAGATCTATCTATCAATCATATCTATTATCTATCTATCTTTCATCTATGTCATCTTAATGTGTTCATAATTTATATTGTGCTCTGGTGTTGCTCTCTTAACTGACAATGATTTGGCTCACCCGAGAGTATAGCCACTGATGGTTCTAACAACAAAAGTTAATCTTATTTTTTGGCTAATCAGTAGTACACGTACCCATTAAGGAGGCCAGGAGGTTTTATACTCTAATCACATTGCCACTACTGGGTAAGTGCTGGTGCTGGGATTACAGGCGTGAGCCATTGCCCTGGCCAGGGCTTTTAAATTATCTGAAAATTTGACATAATTCTTCATCAAACCAAAGCAAAATGTCATAAAATCAGTTGCTTCACAGTTCTAAAGGAACTATTCATAAAAGTTATGATACCTTACTTTTATTTTACACTTCCATAAGTGATTTACAGACACAATTTAACTCTTCTTTCTTAAAACCTCAATGAGGTAGGCAGATATGTAATTGCATATCTTGAAACTCCTAGATGTTAAGGGACTTTCTTAAGGTTACACGGCAATCTCTTTGCAAGGTAGGATTGCGTACTAGATCTTGAGATCCAGTTTTCAGAAAATTATAAAAACATTCCAATGTAATATTTGTTTGAAAATGTTTTAAAGCTTATTTCAAAATTATGTTGCCCTAGAATAATATTCATTTTATGCAAGTTTCTAACTCTGAAGAAACTTGAGAACTATCTAGTTTTTGAGGATTCCTATAATATAATACATGTGACATTCCTACTGGGGGTAGTAAAGTCACACTCTTAAGCACCGCATTATGATGTGTTTGCCTCACATGGAAACTATGTGTCACTGTAACAGGATTTCCCAAATTAGCACCGTTGACATTTTGGACCAGATAATGCTTTGTTATGAGGAATTACTGCGTGCATTGTAGGCTGTTTATCACCATCCCTGGCCTCTACCAACTAGACACCAGTAACAACTCGCCAGTTATGACAGATAATGCCTCCAAATGTTGTCAAATCCCTTGTGGGGCAAAATCATTTCCTGCAGAGAATTGTTATTATAATTTGACTGACTATCCAAGTAAGTGAAACTGTGGAAAACTGGCGGTTCCTTTCCATGTTCTCAATAACTTGAGTATTGATTCACAAATTTGGAAGGATAAGGTTAGAATGAGGTTTCTAGAACCTCATTTGAATATAGAGTTAGTTAGTGAAAAAAAAGCCCCTTTCCCTGACTTTTAGGTCAGAAAGTAATTTTGACAAAAGATAAATTCTCTGTGTAAAGACATAAAAAGCCTTCTTTGCGCATGGGAATGGCTAACATGTCTGGAGATAATAGAGCTACAATCAAATAAGAGACTTTTAGAAGAGAAATCTTATTTATTTATTTATTTATTTTTTGAGACGGAGTCTCGCTTTGTCACCCAGGCTGGAGTGCAGTGGCGCGATCTCGGCTCAATGTAAGCTCCGCCTCCCGGGTTCAGGCCATTCTCCTGCCTCAGCCTCCCGAGTAGCTGGGACTACAGGCGCCTGCCACCACGCCCGGCCAATTTTTTTTGTATTTTTTTTAGTAGAGACGGGGTTTCACCATGTTAGCCAGGATGATCTCGATCTCCTGACCTTGTGATTCACCCACCTCGGCCTCCCAAAGTGCTGGGATTACAGGCGTGAGCCACCGCGCCTGGCCGGAGAAATCTTATTTTTACAGATTTGGGCCAAACCAAAACTTGTTTGAAATAACTAATCCAGAGGAATTTTCATGACTTCTTATGGAGTAGCAATTCAGGAAATAAAAGTATTAACTAGTACTTTAATATTTGTTATACAAATGCGTTCATAATTAATATTGATAAAAAGATTAGAAATTGATAAAAAGAAAAAAAAATCTTTACCAAATAGGATTAAGAAACTATCTTCTACTTCTGTCAGAATTTTACTGATTGTGTTGTTTAGGCTGTACTGAAATTTTGGTGCTACATTTTTGTTCTGCCCATGAATTTTTTGATTAGATCAAAACTTTCATTACTAACAGGACATGATTCCCAGCCTCTGCCATCAGTTGTTTAGCAATTATAATAACGACATTAAGCTTCCTTCAATATTCTCTACTAAATGCCTGCTTTCAGTAAGTCATTGCTCTAGAAATATCTATGTTCTGCATTTTAGTTCCTCCTTGACTTTGGGAGGAACTTATAAACCTGCTCCTTTGACAGGAGGATTAACTGCTAGATTTAGGATTGATCTATAAATAAGGTCTTGATAATACCTTCTGGAAGTTATATATTAATAGTCTCATTTTACAGATGAGAAAGTTGAGACACTGAGATGTTAAATAACTTGCCCATGTTACAGATTAGAGACATAGCAGAGATTCAAACTCAAGGCTGTCTGATGACCAAGATTATGTTCCATCATACCGCAGTGCCTTCCTGTCTCCCATGAAAGGAGGTAGCAGCATTCTCATAGACTCTTAAGCGACTAATATATGGTATATGTGTATATTTATACATGTAATACACACACATATTTTTAGCTATGGTATAATTGGGGGTGGATGGGGAGTAGAGTAATGTTGAATACTGAAGCAAGAGAGAAAAGTCAGAATTGAAAAGGATCCCAAGTATGAAACGATGTTTGGGAAGGTAGCCTATTTATTATTTTATTTATTATGTATCCATCTATTTGTTCAATCTTTTATTCATTCATTCAACAGGCACATATTAAGCCTAGAATGTGCTAGCCAATGTGGTACTGGACTGACGTGGCTCATGGATCTCATGGTGGGAACTACATAGAGTGGACTTATGAGAAAAGCCAGCTGGGGCTCCAGGAGCATCACGGAGCAAAGAGAGGTATTACTATCTGTGGGGTAAAGGGAAAGACGTCAAAAACCTGATTGGGGCACCACTCAGGGAGAAAAAGGAGAGAAATCTGTACCTACTTTACAGATGTGTCTGGGGATATTGTCTACATGAAATTAATTACCGCTCCCAGCTCAGCCTTTACAGCTCCATGACCTTACCAGTAGTTACAAGGGTATTAATATACTTGTAGCTACTTACCTGCATACTTGCTTTCGCATCTAACGCAGCTCTGATGTAGCAGGTATTTGTGGTGTCAAGAGAACAATAAGAACATGACTAAGATTCAGTCAGAATCACCAGTTTACTTAATTGGTCCTCATTTGACATTATAGGTTCCCATATTGAGGCCAGTCCATACATCTTTATACAAAAATTTGAGCTTAAAATTTAGCCTTTTAAGAAACATAGAATTCATTTTAATCTGGAAATTTTTATTTTAGGAACTCCTAGACCAAATGGGAAATAATTATAGCACAGTAATACAATCTTTGATTGTTTTTGTGTGTTATTAAAATGAGCTGCATAATAAACATACATAAGGCAGTTGTATTGTAATTGAATATAAAATGGTTTGCATGACTAACATGAAATTTTTTTCTAAATATTCTTAATATTGTTTTATTTTTGGTTTATAAATGTCATTAGTATCAAGTGACAGCAAATATATGGGTTAATCTGGCCTGGGAATTCACAAGAAATAAAGTGCAACTAGTAATTCAAGTTATTTTCTCTACACAGTGGTAATGTTCATTAAATTACAAATAACTATTATGGAGTAGTGAGGGGGTTTGCAATGGAATTTAAAAGAGCTGTTGCACTCATGAGTATAATTTTATCCCTTGCAAATTATGGCATGTCTGTTTATAGTAATAAGGTATTATAGAGATCACTGAGTCATAGGTAGTTCACATGGGAAGATGCTATAGTTTTCTAACCTTTTCCCAGTTGATGTTACCATTGGAAGCCAGAGTTATAACATATCAGTGACAACACAGGGCCATGCTCCCCCTCTTACCCCCATGACTCCCTAAATCCATGTAACTGAGTCCGATTGCCAGATATGCAGTTCTCATGTAGAATGAGTGCCCCATGGTTTCAGACCCTCCACTCGTATCTCTTTGGTTATGCAACACCTCCTCAAACAAGCAATAGCATCAGAAAACCAGCTTGCTTTCCTTCGAGTGAGGTGTTGGTTTTGTCTGTGCTTGAGCTTTTCAGGCCTCATTTTCACTATAGGACCAGTGAATAACTCTGGATGGCAGATAAATCATAGGGTGGAGAGAAAGGAGTAGAAGGCTTCAATGATGATACCCTGTTTCCGTCAATGACAGGTAAGATTTTCAAACTGAAGCTGGTGAAAGACTTGAGTAAGTTTATTTGCAAGTCAAGCCTGTTTGAGGTATTCTGTTACTGGAATATCCCCAGGCTTCATTGGTCTGTGGTTACAAATAAAGCTGGAATATTAATAACATTCCAGTCTTGATGGCTTACTAACTCCAACTGCGACAGAAGCTATCAGGCCCCTTCAAAATTCCCTCTCCCAAGACTTTTCAGTTGTCCCTGGAGTATGTCCCATATGAGCTCTCCTGCAGGGCACTGCCGCTTTCTCACCAGGTCTCCACTGAGTACTTCTGTCTCTGCTGACAACCACTGATGTGTGTCTGTTGTCACAAGTAGTATCAGTTTCCTATTGCTACCATAACGAATTATCACAAAGTTTATGGTTTAAAATAATAGAAAATCATTATCTTATATTTCTGGAGGTCAGAAGTGTAAAATGGGTCTTATGGGGCTAAAATCAATATGTTGGCGGAGCTGCGTTCCTTCTAGGGGATTAAGGGGAGAATCTACTTCCTTGCCTTTTACAGCTTCTAGAGGTTGCCTGCATTTCTCGGCTCCTGGACCCATCTTCCATTTTCAAAGTGCATCACTCCAAGCTCTGCTTCCATTTCCCCATGGCCACATCTTTTTCTGACTCTTAACACTTCATCCTCCTTCTTACAAGGATTCTTATAATTAAACTGGACCCTCTTGGAAAATCTTGGGTAATCTCCCTACCTCAAGATCCTGAGCTATTAGTAAATCATACCTGCCAGGTCCCCTTACCCTGTAAGGCAATATATTCACAGGTTCTGGGAATTAGGATGTGGAAATCTTTGGGGGCCATTATTCGGCCCACGACAGAAGCTACCTGCCCATACATGGATGCTGCCATTTATCTCCACCAATGCCCTAGAATTCTTACAATACAGGAGTGGTGCTGGGTGCCAAAAACAAAAAAGAGGGTGGGGAGAAACAGGCATCACCCCGCTCTATGCATACCTCAGAAGCACATGCTTCAAAGTCCCCGTGAGAAAAGTTGTTCAGCTTCTACTTATGTTCCTGTCAATGAAGAGCTCTGATGAAGTTCATAGGCCTAGGCTGGGGCCATTCATCATGTGCTCTTCTCCATCCACTATACTTTATTCCTGCAAGTGAACAGTCCCGCATACAACCTCCTCCTGGTAGACCTTCTAATGTGGAGAATCAACACATGTATGTAGAGCTTGGGCATAGTCAACTCCTCAGTACCAACATGCCTAAATCTTAGCTCAGGCCTGCGTTCTCTTGATATAATTCATTAATTTGAGAATTCACTAATCCATCTTAATTCATTCCTGAAAAAACTCACCACTAAATGAAAAGCCATTATATTAAAAATAAATGTTCTCATTAAATTTAATGAGAAAAATTACGATACATCCCATCTCAACCAGCCTCCTCCTAAGATATTGAAAGCATGCAATACTTGCACCTTCCTCTATGACATTCATATTAATAAATTCACATACAGTTCATTCACAATATGTGTTAAGATGGACCTGTAGTGGGGCTAGAAGTTGGATGGATGAAGAAAGAACTGCAAAGAAAGAGTGGATAACATTATAAATATAATGTTTAAAACTACTGAAAACAAGCACAGTTAACTCCAGCTTAAAAACATCTTCTGTTCATATAAATAATTGATATAATATTATGCACATTAGTGGCATAATCACTTTGGTAGATTCTCTGCTACCTCTGATAGAAGAATTTAATTAGCATAATTCTAATCAGAATGTAATATATAATGAAATCTGAACCATAAGGTAAAATATCACTTTTTATATTTATTTAATGGGGTTTGGGGTGAAAACCAGCTATATCAAGATAAAAAAGAATTGTTGGAAAAATGATAAAACTTTTAAAAGGACGATATTTACTTTTGCTACATGAAGAAAGCCTATATTTATTAGACACTTATTTATGCCAAGCTCAGGAATTTTAAGATAAAGGAAACAATCCCCATAATGAGGAGATTCGCTGGTTAATGGGAGAGGAAGTATTAAAACTGCACAGAAACAAACCAAACCATTAATATGGTTATCAGGGAATGAATTGCTGAGCAATTTATATTTTTTTCATTCAAAATATTGATTTTAAAATATCATACAGCGAACCTGCGTAACTTCTATAAGTAGAAACACCTGTAATTTATCTTTACATTTTCTACTTAGTGTAAGTTAACAACAAGCTACAATTAAGCCACTGAGTGCATCCAACACTCATCTCAAATTAAAACTATCTCTTATACCTCAGAATTGGCACTGTATAATTATAAGCCACATATCTAACTTAAAGCTGCTCTGTCATATCTCCTCCAGCACAGGCCTGACTCTCCAAATCTTTAGGCTTTCTTGAAGGGGATATGATTCTAGTTGGCTCATGGGTTCTGATAAACTCCTTAGTAATCCTAAGGGACTTACGGAATGTTTGAATTGGAAAGGGCCTTGGAGCTTAAAAGTAACTTATAATTACAACTGGGAAAATAGAGGCCTGGATCAGTGAGTGATATGAGCTTGGCAGTAATGTGAATTATTGGCACCGTGACTCTGGGCAGAAATTACTCATGTGCTTCTCTTAAATAAGGTGCCAGCTTGGGCTTCATGGGACCTACAACAAGAGATCCTAAGATGCCTAGCACCAGTCAACCTGGATCAGAATTAATTAACAGCAAAAATCCAGTGACTTCTTCCTGTACTTTCCGTATCTCTCAAACTCTGCTGCCAAGACCAGTTCCAGCAGATTGGAGAATATAATATAACCCGTGGCACTACCCTCAAATTTGGCTCCTGTTCTGGCTTTCTGGGCAGGCCAGCCACCTTTAGAAGTGACCACATCTTTCTGATGTCTCATCAGTCGGCAGTCTGATACTTGGTTGCTCAGTTCATATTTTCTCAGCACAGATCACTTTGGTCTGTGACTTAAAAGGTGGGCTCTGGCATATTATTCTGCATCTCTCTACAGCCTGGACTTGCTTCTGGGCCTAGTCTCTCCTGGCTAGACAAAGATATTAGTGAAACAAACAAAAGCATTGCCCTTGAGCTGCCTTTTTCTCCTCAGCTTTGCTTCTACACTTCACCAAGTTGTTGAATCTCTCCCTGTCCCCGGTAACATTAGACGTTGGGGTTGGAGTACTCTTTTTTCCATTGCGTGCAAAACTTCCAACTTTCTCCTTCGAAGTTAAGGGTGATAAGTAGGGCACTCCAAAACATAATCTTAGAAGATATGTGGCTTATAATTATACAGTGCCAATTCTGAGGTATAAGAGATAGTTTTAATTTGAGATGTGTGTCGGATGCGCTCAGTGGCTTAACTGTAGCTTGTTGTTAACTTACACTAAGTAGAAAATGTAAAAATAAATTACAGGTGTTTCTACTTATAGAAGTTATGCAGGTTCACTGTATGATGTTTTAAAATCAATATATTGAAAGAAAAAACATAAATTGCTCAGCAATTCATTCCCTGATAACCATATTAATGGTTTGGTTTGTTTCTGTGCAGTTTAAATACTTCGTCTCCCACTAAGCAGCGAACCTCCTCATACATCCCATAGCTTAATCACTCAGGGATAAGTTTAAAGCTGAAAGAAACCTGCGTTAAAATTCCAGATCCCCCCAGTTGCTTGCTGTGTAGCTTTGTGACTTTGGCCAAAATTTAGTTTCTCCATCTGCAAAACAAAGATTATAATAGCACCAACTTATGGAGCACAGTCATTGAAATGATGCAGGTAAAACCCTTAGATTAGGTCCTGACATGTAGTAAGAACTCAACAGGCAGTAGCCCTGAGTATTCTTTTCTTCACTAGCTCCCCAAATGCCACACTGGGACTCTCATTTATGGGATCCGTGTGCTGATATTCAATGTGCATATTTAGTTTGTACCAAATTATATTGTAACTGATAATTAGATGTTGACATTCGTGGTATCATATCAGCACCATTTTCTGGTTTTAAGATCTGTTTTAATATTTTTGCTATTTGTGGTTATTTTTCTTAATTTTGTTGAGCTTCAAAGAGGGCAGTGATTTTTAAATAGGCATTCTCTTCATCATCTTTCCCAGAAGTACTGCCAAATTATTTTTCTATTTCTAATACACTATTCTGAACCTTTTCTCTTAACATGAGTGCCAAATTTGCTTTGAATAAAACATGATACTAAAAACTACATAATACTAAAAAACTAGGTGTAAAGAAAAAAATGTAGAGTTTGTCACCTTATTTTATTTAAGATAGATGACCAAAATGAGTTTTTAATTTTCTTTTTCCTTTTTAAATCTTGGAAATCCCACATAGGTCAAATCCCATGATTCAAACATTTTTTTTTTCTTGGCTTCCTGGCTGTAATGCAATGATTTGATTTCTGCTTAGCTGATATTTCTTTTATCAATTCTCGCATTGCTTCTCATGTGACAAAATAAAACTCTGATTTTTTTTCCCTTTTTTGCAGAACAGGAAATAACCACTTGGCCCTGTTTCTGGTGGTTTTGCATGTACCAGAATGTCCTAGAGAAATATAACCCATTACAAACCTCATAATGTCAGGGGAAGATGGATGGCCTTGAATACTTCGAACAATGTAAATTGAGCAGCATATAGAATATGTTACATTTTGAGCTAAGCTCTATTTTCTGGAAAAAAAGAAAATATGGCTAAAATATTTCATAGTGCAAATCAGCCTTGATTCCTTCAAAATCATTCAAAGAATTGTATGTGCTGATAAGAACAAGTTCTTTGCTTTTTAATGATGGTGTATATGAGTAATTCAGAGCCTTATTTCAAGATTACTGGTCAATCTATGCCTTTTACTGACATTAACCTTCCTGTAAAATGAGACCATTTAAGTTCACCTTTCAATTGACTGGCTGACATTATAAGTCACCTATTCTGAGATTTAATCAAGTATAAACTGAAAGTCTTCTCTAGGTCACGTTACCTAGTCTAGTAAAATTTGTTTGAAACAAGGCCCTTAATGCTGATCATTGAGCTCACACTGCCCTGGGTTCATGATTTCCTTAACTCCTTGCTTTCTGAAATCTTTATTTGCTTCACTTTTCTTTGTTTCCGTTTTTCCCCATCACCCTGTGCAGGAAAGGTGAGAGCTAACTCTATTGAGTGTGTTTGTTGCCATGGTGAAGAAAACAGTACGATTCCACAGTTAATAAAGAGTATCAGGGTGAAGAAGATATTTCTTCCAAGCTCCCATGATTTTCATTTCATTACAGTGGAACTAAAGAGCACTGACAGGCCTGTTGAAGCAAAATCTTATGTTAGATGTAGTTCATAATGTCATGCTATTCACTCAGAATATAGTACTTTCCTGGAGAAATTATTTAAAATGCTTGCAATGAAGAAATGTTTTAAAAGGGACTTCATGTGGTCATTTACTTCCTAACTAAAAAGGAATTGGTATTCTACAGATTTCCACTTTGAGAACTGGACAGTAACAGAGTAATATTGTTGCAAAATCCCTTATTAATTCATGCTTCAAAAAACGATTTGTGGCTTTTCTAAAGGAAAATGTCTTCATTTAGCTGTCCCATCTAAACTTGGGTGTGGAAAGCATGAAGAACCTATCTTTCACAAGTACAAAGGGTAATGCATTTTTAGTAATGTATGTGGTTCAGAACAGAAAATCTTTTCTCTTATCCCTTCTCTCTCATCTCTTTCCATCCCTTCTACTTGCTCCTCCTACTCACCCCAACCTCTCTTCACATGCACTTACAGATTCACAAGAGCCAAGTGTGTGAGGAATTTTTTACCAGAAGAGAGAGAAGAAAGTAGCTAAGGTCTAACAGTGTAGCTGAAAGTCTTTCCCCCATGAATTTTTTATTTGTTAGGTAATTCAAAACACCACAGCTGAACTTGTGTAAGAGGTCACGTCAACTTCACAATCTTTCATTAAAATGGAAGCAAATAGAAAGCTTTCTTAATTGCATTTTTTCTACTTATCTAAGTCTAATTTACTATGATGAAATACACTTTGGTGAGCATTCCATTGTTTCAATGAAGAAAGAAAATAAAGAAAAATAATTTTTAAAAACGTAGATCGAAGAAAAGTAAGAATATTTGAAAATAGCAAATTTCCAACTTTTAACTCCATTGTTAGGTTGCCAGATCCTTTATGAACACTGAGATTGTTAGAACTGCAAATAAAGTAGAATACAATGTTGAAGTGGCTTATGTTGAAGTCTGCTGATAGACAACACAAAGGTATGTTATGTAAGAAATTTTCTTTCTCAATATAGTTCAAATAGTAGAAAAAAGTGGAAAAAGAAAGATGAATGCATTCAAGGCTTTCTTTAGAGGAAAGAAAGTTAGCTTTAAAAATAGTAGACATTTTGTCAAGAAGTTATGTTAGAATAGGTGCTATTGAGATGGATATGTGGGAAAGTGGAAGAAGTGGTAATTGTGGAGTACCCATGCTGTGCTATGCACCTTATACAATTTATCTTGTATAATCTTCGTTTATTGTCATCCTGAGAAGGTGGGTAGCAATGTGCACATTTTCACAAATAAAGGGAGAAAAGAAATCTTTTTCTCAAGCTCCTGGAATAAAACACTTGAAGTCAGGTCCATAGAATGTCATACCTTGTTGTCTGCCCCCTGCTGATAAGGGAAGCAAAGGTTTCCAGTATTTTGGAAAAAGGGGCATTCGAAGAGAAATTATAGAGAGAGCAAATTCATAAATATTGCCTGGTTAATTCCATTTTATTATCATTTCTTATGAAACAAAATAGATGTTTCGATGGTCACATTACCAGGGAATTTTATTTTTTCAGCTGGACATTGCAAGTCCTTGTGTAATCATCCTCCAAATCTCACAACATCCCTTCCATTTAATTATAATCTATTGACTGTATTGTTCCGTTTTACAGACAATGACAATATTTATTTGCATCCATTAAAAAATGTAAATCTGAGCGTTTTTAAAGATCACATCAAACTTGAGAGAAAGACTACTTCAAGAGAGAGAAGAAATAGAAGACATGGACACTGCCTCTTAAGAACATAAAATCTAAACGTTGAGGCAGGTCAAACTAAGAAATATAAATGCATTTGAGACTCATATAGTGAAGCACAACACAAATGTAGACTGATAGGAATTTCTTTGCAGATAAGGCCCGAAGATCCAGACTGATGATAAGCCTAAAGCTGGTGGAGGACAATCACTACTGGATTCTACCACAGAAGGCTGCAAACACGGCTGAGGATTTTTACTAAAGTTACAAAAGTAGGGGCTTTTAGTAAATTTTGTTTCATAGGCAGTGTATTATCCAATTAGAAGTAAGCTAATATTGGCTGGGCTGTAATCCCAGCACTTTGGGAGGACGAGGCAGGCGGATCACGAGGTCAGGAGATCGAGACCATCCTGGCTAACATGGTGAAACCCCGTCTCTATTAAAAATACAAAAAAATTTAGCCAGGCTTGGTGGTGGGCGCCTGTAGTCCCAGCTACTCGGGAGGCTGAGGAAGGAGAATGGCGTGAACCCGGGAGGCGGAGCTTGGAGTGAGCGGAGATCACGCCACTGCACTCTAGCCTGGGCGACAGAGAGAGACTCCGTCTCAAAAAAAAAAAACAAAAAACAAAAAACAAAAAAGAAGTAAGCTAATATTTTTGTTTTTTTTTTTTTTTGAAGCTGTTAGATTCTGGGTAGAAATCGCACTCTACAATAAATAGAAGCAATAGCTTATCATAGATTTAATATCTACCTTCTATAATAGAACTTTTTTACAATAATTGATACTCTCATTTATTCTCTTAATAAAATATATTTATTGCATGTCTCCTGTTTACTAGGCATTGAGTAGGGAACAAAGCATGCTGTTTTTATATTTTAATATTGAACATTATAGATCGTAAGAGTCTAAAACAAGGCAACAGAGTTTTCGAAAGTGATTTTCAAAGCACTAATTCTGCAAGATGCTCCCCATCCCTAAAGGGTGCCACAGCCAAATCCATTTGGTAAACATTGCAATGACTGAGAAAGCCTATGGGAAAGAAGTCCCTCCAGCTTTGTCAAACCCAAAACACTTTTTTTTTTTAAACCAAGGAACATTGATTAATATCCTGTTGCATGAAACATCCTAGGTGAGATGTCAGCTCAGAGCAGGCCTATTTTGGAGTGCTAATTCAGCAGGTCACAGATGTGAGAACAAGTAGGCAGATGCCATATTCTGGAAGAACTAGCAGAAGAGCAGAAAAATCTTTTTTGTTTTTTCATTTTTTTGAGACAGGGTTTTGCTCTGCTGCCCCAGGCTGGAGTGCAGTGATGTGATCTTGGCTCACTGCAGCCTCTGCCTCCTGGGATCAAGTAATTCTCCTGCCTCAGCCTCCCAAGTAGCTGGGACTACAAGAATGCACCACCATGCATTCTTTTAAGTATGTTGCCACTCTGCCACTAAGAGATCAAGCACATAGTTATTTGGAGTAAAATCAACTATGGTGGAGGACGTTGCTACATAGGCTCTAAAGTCATAGAAACTCCTTCCTTCCTTCCCTCCCTCCCTCCCTCCCTCCCTCCCTCCCTTCCTTCCTTCCCTCCCTCCCTCCCTCCCTTCCTTCCTTCCTTCCTTCCTTCCCTCCCTCCTTCCTTCTTTCCTTTTTTTTCTTCCTTCCCTTCCTCCCTCCCCCAGGAAAGATACATACCTATAGGGAGCTATAATCTAGTTACTCATAATTAATTCTTTCCAACAAGGTATATGAATAGTAAACTTTTTCAGGTTTCCCATATCTAAAAATGTCTTATTTTACTTTCACAATTTTAGGATAATTAGGCTGAGGATAGAATTCTAGATGCAAAGTAATGTTCCATCAAAGCATTGAATATATTGTTACATTCCCTTCTAGCATCTGGTGTTGGTAATGAGAAATCTGAAATTCTGATTTGTTTTTTTTTCTTTTGTTTGTTAATAATTTCTCTCTCTGAAAACTTTTAGAATTTTTCTGGGCATTTATCTCCCTGTAGTTTTATCTATTTTACAGCTGGATTTTGTTTATTTTAGTGTACTCTCTTTCACCTTGATCAATCTTGCCAGAGTTTTGTGTTATTTAGTATCCTAAAAAAAAAAAAAGCTTAGACTATCCTAAAAGCTAATAAACATGTAAAAAGATACTCAACATCATTCAGAGTCATAGAATGCAAATTCATTTAAAATGAGGCATTATTATGCAGCTGTTAGACTGACAAAAATCTGAGTAATGCCAAGTGTTGACAAGAATGAGGAAAAACTGGTAACCTCAAGCACTGCTGATGGTAGCGTAGGCTGGGGTGGCCCTTCGGGAGAGCAATTTCACATTTGGCACTAAGTGTACAGACTCAGCTTATATCTATCCATCATATAACAATTCTACCTCTGGGTATATCCCCCTCCCCACCAGCACAACACTTTTATGGACAGATGGACAGATGAGAGAGAGAGAGAGACAGAGAGAGAGAAAGAGAGAGAGAGAGAAAGGGAGAGAGAGAGAGAGAGAAAGGGAGAGAGAGAGAGAGAATAAGACCACAGGGATTATATGAGGATTTTCATTGCATTGATATTTGTGGAGGAGGAGATTAACTTGAGGACATAGATTGACAAGATGTGGTGAACCCACATCCCACACTCACAGGGATATATATATAAACAACAAAAAATACATTAAACAGAACAGAATTGTTGCCATGGTTGTTAGGGTAAAGAGGTCTGGGAGTGAACAAAGGAGAAAGCATGAAATCAAACAAACAACGAAAGGTTTCATTTTTGTTAATCCTTTCCTCTCTGTTCATTTCCCCACCTCTCTCTCATCTATCTATCTGTCTGTCTATCTACCTACCTATCTATCTAAGACAAAAAGATCTCCCTCTCCTCTCCTTTCTGTCTTCTAACCCTACCCCTCTCTCTCTCTTTTTGTTTCTCTCTCTCAGATCATTATCGTTCTGGGGAATCCACCTGCCATGGTGAGTAGCACTACAAGAGAGGCCCATGCAGCAAAGAATTGAAACCTCTAAACAATAGCCATGTAAGTAAGTTTGGAAATGGATTCTTAGCCTAACCTTAGGATAACTGTGGCCCCAGGCAATAGCTGGACTGGAATCTTATAGAGATTTTGCACCAAAACCGCTTAGCTCATCTGCTACCAGATTCCAGGCCCACAGAAGCCCTGAGATTAAAAAAATGTTTGAAGATTTAGGCTACGAAGTTTTGGATAATTTGTTACAAAGCAGTATATAAGTAATACACCTAGGAAATCAACTCTTAGGTACATATCCCAGGAACACTTGAACAGGTGCCTAAGCATGTTCCCTGAAGCACTATTTATGGTACAAATAGATGGAGACAAATAGATTTTCATCACTATCAGAATAAAATAAGTAAAATATGAAAAATTCAAATAACATAATAAAACCGTGCCCCAAAGAGTTAAAGAAAATAGTAACTAATAGAAATCCTTGAGTTTGCAGGATAGTAGATCAGAAAGCAAACAACTTGTTGAAACGTTGAGACACTATCTGCTTGTAAGATAACAAAACTGGCTACACTCAGTTAGAACCAATATGGCCAACTGGAGTTTATGCAGAATGAGCTTGCAGACATCACATGTTTTATATGAACTCACCCTGAATTTGCACATGAGACCCATGAAGAAGCAGGAAAAAGTAACTGCACCCAGAAGGAACCTCCAGGCCTCCTCTTTCCTTCCACAAATTACCTACTAATTCTCGGACTCCACCCTCTAAATCTTTTCTAATACAATTACTGCCTTAAAATCAGCAGGGGGAGACAAATTCGAGCTAGTCTCCTGTCAGAATTCTTGGTCGACTTGCAATAAAAAGCTTCTCTTTGCTCAAGAACCTGGTGTGATAATATTGGCTTTTAGTGCATTTGGGCAGCAAGCATCATTTGCTTGGTAACAGTAATACTGTAATCAAACACTAGATGAAATGAACTAGATTAGACAGATAGATCTTCAAAACACAATAAATTGTGTAAAAAAAGTTACATAAATAATCATTTCTAGATAAAACAGAGAAAACTGACATTTAATTTAAAAAACAATCAATCAGTTTATTATTTATTTTATAAGTAATCACAGATATACAAATACAAATATATTTCCTGATTATGAAAGAGAAGAACAGGAAAAAAATATGTAAGACTAAAATTGAGAAATGAATATGGGATACACAAAGACCTTTGATAATGCCTTCCCATGAACTGAGGAGTATCTAAACTCTCTTCTGTGTAACTGAGGTCCAATAATACTTTAACATAGTATATGAAGATGTGAACCAATGTTACAGGCTCATTTAACATAAATTCAAAAAATTCTAAACAAAAAATGAGCTGGGTATTAGAATAATAACTGCATCATAGTAAAGAATTGTTTATTCTAAGATGCAAATCAATATTAGAAAATATGCTATTTTAATATATTAACAGAGTAAAGAAAAATATAAGGTAACTAAATTTGAGGCATTTGATAAAAGTAAATACTTTAATATTTATCTATCTTTCAATCAATCAGTCTATCTAATAAAGTCTCATATATGGGGCCAGGTGTGGTGGCTCACACCTGTAATCCCAGCACTTTGGGAGGCCGAGGCGGGTGGATCTCCTGAGTTCAGGAGTGCAAGACCATCCCGGGCAACATGGTGAAACCCCGTCTCTACTAAAACACAAAAAATTAGCTGGGTGTGGTGGTGCATGCCTGTAGTCCCAGCTACTAGGGAGGCTGAGGCACGAGAATTGCTTGAGTTGAGGTTGTAGTGAGCCGAGATCATGCCACTGCACTCCAGCTTGGGCTGCAGAGTGAGATTCCATCTCAAAAACAAAAACAAACAAACAAAAAAGAATAGGATGATGTTTCATAATGGAATTTCATAGATTACACTGAAAGAAAAAAGAAAATGTGTGAGGAAGAAAATAGGCATAAGGATAGCCCAAGAAGTTTTAAAGAACAATTATAGTAAAGTTATCTTCCCTTAGGAGATATCTAGCATGCTATCAACTACAGTAGTAAAAATAGTATAGTTGTAGTGTAGAAATAGGCAAATAAAACAAAGATATAGAATAGAGAGTATACTGTGATGGGTGCACCCAAATCTCAGAAATCACCACTAAAAAACTTATTCATGTAACCAAACACCACGTATTCCCTAAAAACATATTGAAAAAATAAATAAATAAAATGTATAACTATTCTTTTAAAAAAGAAGTAGACCCATATGTAGATAAACTTTTGATTTATAATAAAGGCAATTTTAAATTGGTAGAAAAAAAGATAGCCTACAAATTGTTCAAGTTATTTTGAACAATTAGCTATCTACTTGGAAAAAATAATGTAATCTTCAGACCTTACATCATGCACTACAATGGATTCTAGATTATTTTAATAATAGTTAATTATAATCAAAATTATAAAAAGCATTTGTGAAAAAAATGTTTATAACTTTTATGTGGTAAAAGCCTTCCTGTAAGAGATATGAAGCCCAGAAGCTATAAAGGAAAAATAATTGATTTATTTTTATCTTCAGTTTTAAACTTAGTGTTCAAAAGTATAGACTTTGCAGCCAGAGTGCCCATTGTTTAGATTCTGGTTCCTCAACTTGGTTATATGGCTTTGGGTAAGTTTGTGATTGCTCCACGTCTTGGACTTTTACCTGTACACACCTCAGATTTTTACCTATAAACTAGAGATGGTAATAGTACCTTTCTCACAGGACCAGTGTAAGCCGTACATGAGTTAATATGTAAAGTACCTTGGAAAGTACCTGACTCATAGTAAATATTATATATATCTATATATATATATATACATATATATATATATATATATGTTTGCTACTATTAAAAAGATA
The DNA here is from genome assembly GCF_000001405.40 of Homo sapiens. Lineage (NCBI taxonomy): Eukaryota > Metazoa > Chordata > Mammalia > Primates > Hominidae > Homo > Homo sapiens. Next base: position 153,446,208 of record NC_000003.12, read on the forward strand.
AGTTGAGAAAAAGTTATTTACAATATATAGAATCCACATCCAGAATGTATGACAAACTCTAACAAGTCATTAAAAAAATCCCAATAGAAAAATACGTAAAAGATATGAACACACAATTTACAGAAGAAAAGATTATATGACCATACATACTTACACTAAAAATAAAAGAAATGCAATTTAAAAGCTTTCAAGATGACAGTAAAAAAGATTTATGTTATCGAGTGTTGCCAAAGATATGAAGAAATGTTAGCAGGACTATAACTTGCTGTATTATTTTGAAAGGCAACCTGGAAGTATCTGTAAAATATAAATGGCCTTTCATTATTTATAACAATTCTACTTTTAGGAATGTATTTAATATAAACAAACATTCTCACATGTACAAATATGTGTATATAAAGGTTTTTTTCAATATTATTTACAACAGAGAAAGAATTATAAATGACCTAAGTGTCCATCCCCACAGAGGGGATTCAATAAAGTATCTTTCACTCATTCAATAAAGACAATGCAACTCTTAGAATAAGATAGTCCTATACACATACTTCAAGTTCTATTTAAAAAGTAAAAATCATGTTATGAATTATTACACTCTGATTTAAAAATAAATTTAATGTTAATGTTTACCTATATTATGTAAATGCATAGAAAGTTAACTGGGTGTCTATCTTCCCAAATGTAATACTACTAATAGCTAGAAATCAGAAGGAGTGTGGAGAGGGCTGTTAAATGTAGATAAGGACGTGGGAATTAAAGATTTTTTTAGAAGGGAAACAGGATAAGTCTTGGAGGCTTTGTTCATTTCTTTTTACTATTCACAATAGCAAAGACTTGGAACCAACTCAAATGTCCATCAATGATAGACTGGATTAAGAAAATGTGGCACATATACACCATGGAATACTATGCAGCCATAAAAAAGGATGAGTTCATGTCCTTTGTAGGGACATGGATGAAGCTGGAAACCATCATTCTCAGCAAACTATCACAAGAACAAAAAACCAAACACCACATGTTTTCACTTACAGGTGGGAACTGAACAATGAGAACACTTGGACACAGGAAGGGGAACATCACACACTGGGGCCTGTTGTGGGGTGGGGGGGAGGAAGGAGGGAAAGCATTAGGAGATATACCTAATGTAAATGAGTTAATGGGTGCAGCACACCAACATGGCACATGTATACATATGTAACAAACCTGCACGTTCTGCACATGTACCCTAGAACTTAAAGTATAATTAAAAAAAAAAAAAGCAGCAGCATATGATGGGGGAAAAAAAAGAAGTGAAACAGGATAGAGAAAGCACACATAACAAGACATAGCTTCTTTTCTCAGTAAGAATATAATATAGAATGGGTGATAAAACAAATTATTAAAATGTATTTATTCAAAAAATCTATCTACACCCAGAGCTATACCTATCAATATAGAATTACCATGAAGATCAAATGAGAGAATACATATAAAGGGCTTACCTAGCACCCTCTATAAATATTTACAAAATATATATATATATATATAATATACACACACACACGCACACACACACGCACACACACACACACGTACATATACGTATATAAATTTTATTGTAAAGGCCGGGTGCGGTGGCTCATGCCTGTAATCCCAGCACTTTGGGAGGCCAAGGCGGGCGGATCACGAGGTCAGGAGATCCAGACCATCCTTACTAACATGGTGAAACCTCATCTCTACTAAAAAATATACAAAAAATTAGCTGGGCGTGGTAGCGGGCGCCTGTGGTCCCAGCTACTCGGGAGGCTGAGGCACGAGAATGGCATGAACCTGGGAGGGGGAGCTTGCAGTGAGCCGAGATCGCCCCACTGCACTCCAGCCTGGGTGACAGAGCGAGACTCTGTCTCCAAAAAAAAAAAAAAAAAAATTGTAAAGAATGAAAGAAATGATGCTACTGGCAAAGAGATGACTTTTTTCTCCTGTGCATCAGTACAGTTCCCTAGAACTCACCGTCTGATATCCTCCTTGCTCATATGCTTATTTCTATACAATCTGTTTCTGTCCACTACAATGAAGCTCAACAACTGCTGGGAGTTATTTTGTTACATACTGTTTCCTCACTGCTTGGAATAAGGCTTGGCACACAGTAAGAACTCAGAAAAGGTTTCCTTGAATCGTAATTCCTTTCTGCCAGTACTTATACTGATTAATGTATTTTTTGCTATGGCGAATGCTTGAGTGATAATACTTCCCCAGAAAACATTTCAAAACAGGAATTTGAGTTCTATGCTTTCACTAATATCTTAACTTGCTGAAAACATTTGACCAAATTCAACAGTTATCAAAAGCAAGCTTCATAAGCTGTTTTGCCAAAACAACAAAGAAATGAATATTTTGAATGGATGTAGACTTGCGCATTCTGTGAAATATCTATCCAAATGGGAATGAGTAAAATGAAATGGTGTTGATTCTCAGAATCCCAGAGCAGCATCTGGGCTTGCCAAGTGCAGGCAGGCATCATTGAAGAAAAGATGCTTGCCTTCGACTTTCTAATATAAACTATCTAGAGTGACCAGAGGAAATATGAAAATACCAATTGGCAATGTTTGTTTAAATTGATGCCAGAGGGTTTTTCTTTTATCTTCTCTTGGAAAGAATTCTGTTGTCAAAGTAGGCTTTGTGCAGGGAAAAACAAATGTGTGTTAAGCAAAAGGCTTCTACAGTTTAATTTCCTCTTGCAAAAAGTATGAAAATCTACTGTAGGTTGAATTTTAGACAACATTGTTGGTGGCTTGTGTGTCATCAGATCTTTGGGATCAATGGCTGCAGATTGCAAAATCTTGGAATTTGTAATTACAAAGACAAGACAGTTGAAGATAGCTTGATGTGAATACCTGCCATTTACCCCTTATTCTTTGTTTTTTTTTTTTTTTGTTAGCTTTCTTTTTTTTATTTTTTATTATTATACTTTAAGTTTTAGGGTACATGTGCACAATGTGCAGGTTAGTTACATATGTATACCTGTGTTCTTTGGTCACGTTTATTTTTTACTTATTCATTGGTAAGAACGCTTTATATACCTGAATATTAATTCTTTACTATTCATCTTCTAAATACTTTTTAGAAAACTTATTTTCTGCTTTAAAAATTATGTATGGTATGTTTATTTTCTATATAGAATGTTTCCATTTTTATGCAGTAATTTTTTATGTTGTTCTAGTTTCTGGCTTAATTTTCATGTTGAGAAAGAGCATTCCAAACCCAAAATAATTAAAGTGATTTTCTGTATTCTCTTCTATTGATTTTATGGCTTTGTTACTAAAATTAAATATTTAATAAATCTATAATTTGGTGTCCAGTGAGAAGTATTGATCTTTTTTTAAATGGTTTTACATTTTTCAATATTTCTATTAAAGAACAAAATTTATATTACACCTTTTTCATTTACTAAATTGACATGTACACTTGAGTCTTTTTATTTTTATTTTATTACTATTTTTTTGAGATGGAGTTTCACTCTTGTCACCCAGGCTGGAGTACGGTGGCGTGGATCTTGGCTCACTGCAACGTCCACCTCCCAGGTTCAAGCGATTCTCCTGCCTCAGCCTCCCAAGTAGCTAGAATTACAGGCGCGGGCCACCACACCCAGCTAATTTTTTTGTATTTTTCGTAAGGATGGGGTTTTGCCATGTTGGCCAGGCTGATCTCGACCTCCTGACCTCAGGTGACCTGCCCGCCTCGTCCTCCCAAAGTGCTGGAATTACAGGCCTGAGCCACCATGCCTGGCCCTTGAGTCTTTTTATGAACTGTTAGTCCATTTCTCGATCTTTTTGTCAAGCATATTATTTTAATATCTACTAGGGAAAATCTTTTATTTCCAGAATTTTTCTAGCTGTTTTACGTTTATTCTTCTAAATGGGTTTTTTTTAAAAAATCACTTTTTAAACATAATTATATGACTACATTCTTATTGTAAACATTTAAAACGATATATAGAATGACATACGATAATCTCCTCTTCTTACTTCCCTATTCTACTTTTCTTCCCAGAAGTAATAATGGCTAATACTCTTCAGTGTATGTTTCTAGAACATTTTCTATTCATTTACTTAAACGTATATGCATATGTACATTTTAACATAAATGGAGCCACACAATAATTATTGCTTTGGGCTTTTTAAATTTTGTATTTCTCTTAGATCTATGTCAGTATATGGCATTTTTCCTCATTTCTTTATCAAGATACACATACACGTATATTTATGAAGATACACATGCACATATATTTGTTGACCCCCAAGTGATATGCATACACACACACACACACACACACACACACACACATTTTGCCATAACACACAAGGCTCTTCATAATGGAATCACCATTGGAATCATAATGAAATCACGTTGTGTGAGTATCTTTTTTTTCTGCATTTCTTTTAGATTCTTTCTTAGAAGTGGAATTGTTAAGAATGGGATATGAGCATTTGATAAACTACTAAATTGCCTTCCAAAAAGCCTTTGAACATTTACTTTTCTGTAAAAAATACACAGGAATCCCTATTTTTCCACTTGTGTACCAGTTTTTAAAAATCATTTACTAATGTATGACTTCCATTTTGAATTTTTATAGGGGAGAATCAATAGATTAGTTGCTTCAGAAGCTGTTATGACGTACAAAAGCAACTAATGTAAAACATAAAATAATAGAATTCCTGTACTCCAAATTACTAGGGGTGAGGTATACCTTAGCAAACACAGATAATGTAACAAAAATAGAGTATAAAGAAACATAAGAAGTATAAAGTATAAAGAGTATAAAGAAATAGTGCCATAAGAAGAAAAAGCAAAAAACAGTAACATAGAAATAACACCAAATACTTTCCTCATCTTAGTAAGTGTGAATGGGACACCTACCTAATAAGAAAGGAAAATAAAGCACATCAAAACAAACAAACAAAAACCAATACACACATTTAGTGATGCAGAAAGGTTAAAGAAATCACAAAGCTATATCTGACAAAAATAAAATTGAATTCAAGGTGAAAAGTATTAAGTAACATTCAAAGATCTTTTTCTTGCAATAAGCACTACATGTTACACAATGTATAAAACTCTATCATCAACCTTTTGCAAAAAACAAATATAGAAATGAAATATATAAAGTAAAATACATTGGCAATCCAAATGTATAATAGTAATGGGAGACTTTAACACCTTTTTCTGAGTTCTTCACAGATTAAAGTATATAAAAACATCAAAATTAATTTAGAGGTGATCCAAAAATATCAGTGAGATTATATATATGTAATATATATATATTACATTATATATATATAAAATATAATTATATACATATAAAATATATAATATGTAATATATTAGTGTATATTATATGTAATTATATAACATATAATGAGATTATATGTATCTATGTAGATAAATCATATTTATTATTTGTAAAGCAGATATTGTTGGTTGTACATCCACCCAGTAATAATTCACTCTTCTTTCTGATTAACATAATGCCAATGTGGGCATCATTGCTAACAGCAGTGTATGAACTATGATGGGTCTAAGTTGATGATAACAATCTGATTTTTACTTGTTAGTAACTGTTGGGTGTGTGAGATCAAAGGGAAAACACTTTTGGGCCTTCTAGAACATATTTTTATCCCTGACATGAGACTTGTGAGAACACTTCTTTTTCCCTTCTTGCTTTTGGACGTTTTTGTGACATAAAATGACATTGGGAATTGCTGCAATCCAATTGTCTTGGGTCCATGGGGGCAGACACTACCAATACAGGAGGTGGATAGAGCATAAGGAGAGACCGTGTCCTGGATGGTGTCATCAACTTTCACAATAAACTCTGAAAATCTCTACTCCTGAACTTCTTAGGTGAGGTAATAATTTATTATTGTTTAAGCTACATTCAATACACAAACAGAGGTCAACTTTTCAGACCACAAACCAGTATATGTGGAAATAAAGAAAAGAGGGGAGAAAACAACCATTTGAAATTTAAAAAACTTTCTCATAGTGAATTACTGATTCAGAGATATTTAATCTGCTGTTGGAATGTGTCTAGTAAATAACAATGGTAAAAATATTCCATATCAAAACCTGTGAGATGAGGTTAAAGGTTACATAGAAGAAACAGGAAATGATAAAAATAACATGAAATGTTCAAGAAGTTTGAAAAGAAACACAAGGTAAGCCTAAAGACAGCAGAATAGAATCAATGACTGTAAATTGGATAAAAGAAAATAAATTGATAAAATAGCTAATTGTTTTAAAATGTTAAATACTTGCTAGCATAATAAAACTGTGCAAAATCATATCTTATAATTATCTTTTTCTTCTGTCTCTGATTGTAGAAATCATTTAAATCATAATTTTATATTTTTCTGTGTTCTCTCAGATTACATCTTTAATCTTTATAAACATGTGCACAGGTGATCACTATATGTGAGGCTGTGATAGCTAATTTTATGTGTGTGTCAGTTTGACTGGGTTAAGAGATGTCTGGATAGCCGGTAAAATACTGTTTCTGGGTGTGTCTGTGATGGTGTTTCCATAAGAGATGAACATTTGAATCAGTAAACTGAGTGAAGATCCACCCTCACCAATGTGAGTGGGCATTGTCCAAACTGCAGAGGCCCTGAATAGAACCTAAAGGTGGAGCGAGAGTGAATTGTCTTTCTACTTTAGCTGGAACATTCATCCTCTCCTGCCCTTGGACATCAAAGCTCCTGGTTCTCAGGCCTTTGGATTTGGGACTTACACCCGTGGCCCCAACCCCAGTTCTCAGGTCTTTGGCCTCTGAATGGAAGTTACACCAACAGCTGCCCTGGTTCTCAGGCCCTTGAACTCAGACTGAACTGCACCACAGTCTTTCCTGGGTCTCCAGAATACAGAAGGCAGATCATGGGTCTTCTTGACCTCCAGAATTGCATGAGTCAATTTTTTATAGTAAATCTCTATCTCGATGTCTATCTCTACCTATCTCTATCTGGACACAAATATCCTATTGGTTCTATTTCTCTGGAGATCCATGACTAATATGGAGTCCTTGCCAGTTTGAAAATGTATTTCTTAATAAAACTGTGAGAATAAAGTTTCTAGATTACTTATCCCCTTTTACACAAAAAATAAAAATACATCCTTAGTGATTTAATTTTTTCAGCCTAAGTTTTTTCGTTAAGAAAAAATCTATTTTTTTGTTTACAAAATTATTTTTATCAGATATGTTAGAAGATATCAGTCTAAGCGAATGAAAATATAATAGAAATTAGACACTTATGGACTTTAAGAGGTTTTTGGTTATTCTTGAAATACAATAAATGTGCAAGGATATGATTCATTATTCATAGTTTTTAAAATAATTTTTTTCCTGGTACATGGCGGGCCTATTTAACCGGAAGATTTATGCTTTCTTTCACTTCATGAAAATCATCTTTTATTATAGCTAATATAATTGATTTCTTCTGTATGTTCTGTTCCCTCTATAGATTTTTATTGTTTGTTTTCCCAATCTCTTTTTGTTTCTAATGATTTTCATTGCAGTGCTTTTCCTCTATCTTCTTTGCGATTTTTAAACACTTAGTTTATCTTACTGACTTGATTTTGTAATTGTCAGATATGCTGGCTTTTACTTCTAATTTGGTTTTACTGTCCGTTGTGGCTTTATTCTCTTTCGTAATTTCTTACTTTAGTTCTGCTGAAGAAATGTCATACAATCTTTATCTCTCATAGAATTAATGGTATTTTAAAATCTTCTTGGGGGTAAGAAGTAGTTATCTAAATGTGTTGTCCTCAGATGAAGTATGTTTTTCTGTGTTCTTCATCTATCTTTTGTCAAATAATTTTTGTATTGTTGTAACATTGCTTATTTTTCTCTTATCTTTGCATCATTTTATTATGGCCTTCTATTTGACACTAAATAATGTATATTTTTCTGATTCCACTTCCTGTTTACCTGAAAATTATTAGAGTAGTGTCTTTTCAACCATAGCTACACATTAAAATCACTTTAAAAATAGAGATGCTTGAATTCCAACCTAGCACAATTAAATTTAAATTACTAATGATGGGCCTCAGTTGACTCTATCCTGCCATTGAGCTACAAGGGTAGACGTGGTTGGTTTTTACCATCTGTTCATCTGTTTAAGGGTGGAAGAGATCTGCTTGAGGACAGGTGGGTCCAGAAATCTGGAGCTGAGAAATTGCAGCAGTGCATCTTCTCCTCTCTATTCATTGAAACACTTGTGTTTCAATGCCTCTTCCACAGAGCAGTTACAGAGAAACTATGGCATTTTGTTACGTGTAGCCATCTGAGGCTTTCAAACATAGTTGACTCTCCTTTGACATATTTATTTCTGTGCCTTCAGTTTACATAATGTCAGTAATAGTTATCATTGACAGATTTTTACTGCTGGAAGGAATCTTAACAGTAAAGTATTTCCATGTGAGAAGACTGAGGGATCAAAGAGTTAAGTTAGTTTCCTTAAGTTAGTTTCCCAGAGTACATAGAAACTGTGGGGTATGTACATGAGAAGGGATCAAACATTTCAGGCGCTTTTAGATGCTTTATGCACATCACATCATTGATTATATTCTAATAATCCTTTGAGATGATGTGAATGAAAATTATCAAATGCTTATTCAGCATTCACTCCCTATTATTCTACTTCCTAACAGCTTCTAGATTTTTTTCTTTAAGTGAACATCCCTTCCCTAATCCAACCTTCAGTTCCAACATTCATCAAAAATCTCCATCCATTTTCCAAAGTAATTAGTTTGGCGAAAGGCAGGAAACCCGGTACAAGTCAAGCAGTACACAGCTTTGGGTGTTTCAGATTGATCTTGTCAGAGCAAAGCTCTGGGCTTGTTTTAAGTATTTGTGAAAAGCAATGCTCCCCCTCTCTTAGCCTCCTACTAGATAAGAATGAGGAGCAAGTGACCCCTGTTACTACTTCCAGTAGTCAGATTGTGACCATCAGGGAAACCGGCATGAGGAAAGAAAGCAGACACAAAAATAAAGGAGAGGCAAGGGTACTGGAAAAAGAGAAAGAGAGAGAATGCACTTGATTGAACTATGCCTGAAACTTTCTACTTCTGGACTTCTTTTTAATTAAAATGAGCCAATACATTCCCTTTGTTGTTTAAGCTTTAAGTTAGATTTTTTTTCTGCCTTGCAACTAAAAGCATCATAATTCATGTAAGTGGAAATCACTTGAGGTGGCACAGCATTGTCCAATACTATAGCCATTAGCTACTTATTGCCATTTAGATTAAAATTAATTAGAATAACCAAAGTTAAAAATTCAGTTTCTCAGTTGCACTAGCCGGATGCTGGGTGCTCAATAGCCACATAAAGCTGGGGCTATCTTATTGGACAGCGCAGATGTAAAGCATAGCTATCATCTCAGAAATGTCTATTGGTGAGAGCTCTTCAGTAATTTGTCCATAGTTATGCAGCTGTTAAATTTCAGAACTATCATTTCAGACCAGGTTTTAGATGCCTAGAGAAGTGTTCTTTCTATCATGCCCCATTAAGCCCCATATGATCAAATGCATTGACAGTAGGCATTATCTAACAAAATGGTGCCACTTGTCTTGTGTTTGCATTTTAGCTCTGTAAATATAACACAAATGAATGGTCTATAAGACACATCTAGGCATGGCCCAGCTTGCCTCACTTAAACTAAATCCTTATCCATGTTGGTTTTAACCTGAGTTTCTGTGACTTTTATTATCAATATTTGTATTTCTGTATTTTCCCCAAATTTATATCAGTGGTTAAATCTTTTCAACACTTTCATTGTTACTGCTTTAATTTTTCTGAAGATTCTTCAGGAGTTTGTTTTCCCTTGTGAATCTGCTAAATGTCTGTCTTTGCCTTTTTATTTTCAAATCTTTGCACATCAGAAAGCTTTCCCTAAGGTATATGGGCTCTCCTCTTGACAGAAACTATGACATGAACAGAAAAATAGTACAAACTCCTCCATCCGTGTCTGAAAATGAATTTGACAAAGCTTATTAATACCAGTAGCCTTCTGGCCATTTTAAAATCTAAGCATTCTGTTCATCAGCAGTAAAGCTTATTTATTTCTTCTTGATTTGCTTTTTAATAAATAACCTATTGAACATTTGAAGTGCTTGCTGGTTATCAAAGTTGGAATTAATTGCACTGAATTACTCCAGGCAGATGAATAAAGCTACCTATTTCAGCAGAATTCTATCCTAATGGACATTTTGTGGTACTATTGGAAATAATACTGAACATAAATGAAATAAAGATTTAGTTTCAAGCATGACTAAGATCAGAGTCATGTTGACTAATAGATAATATATGATTTTAATCTTTGAATCTTTAAAAGTTTATATTTTTAATATTTATGGTATATTCTAGTTGTTTTTAAATAAATATAAAATGAAGACACATGTCAAAAATGCTTTCCTAAATCACTTTATTGTGCAAATTACATAAATATTCTACCAATTTTTGCTCTATGTGATATTTAAATTTTGGTAGAAGTTATAAGATTTTGTATTACAGCAAACTGCATTAGGCATTGGTATTCAAGAACAGGAAATAACATTAATCCTGGGTTCTACTATGCTCTGTTATTTTGATATCATTGCTAAGTTGCTTCATTGGAAATGGTGCTTCTATAACAGACAGCTCAATTAAGGTTAATTAGCAGAAAGGACTTGACATCCATGATTAATAAACCAACTACTACACAAATGCACTGATATTTTTGAACCATGTATCTAGCACCAGGTGTGATCTTGATGGAGTAATTGAAGTAATAAAGTGTTTCTTTTTTCTATATGCTTATTCAGCAGAATGAACCCCTAAGTGAGCCTTAGTTATATTCAAGATGATTTTGTCATTTATTTTTAAACGATGAAGTTTACCTCCCATAAGATTATCACAGTGAAATGGTTACAAGGATGTATTCAGAGTCATTATAAGATATGTAGTCCCTCCATTTCTCACATTTTTATTTTGCTTCATTCATACACAGATATATATGAAAGGTTCCTTTATTTCTGCCATTTTTATGTTGCTTCATTCACAGAACCCTTTATTATTGCAGCAAACCTTACTGTCCTTCCAAATTAAAGAGAAGTGTAAGACAATGGGAGCTACACATAGAGCAGAACACATCTGAATATGTAGTCCCTTGGTCACACAACCACGGAAGTGAAATATGACACATTCTCAGCAGTTGAAATTACCCTGAGGATTTATTCCTGTCTTAAACATTTTGGCTTGTTTTCCTCCAGAGGAATTAAGCAGAGAAATAAATATAAGGCATCCAAATTGGAAAGAAGGAAGTCAAGTTGTCCCTGTTTGCAGATGACATAATCTCATGTACGGAAAACCCTAAAGATGCCACCAAAAAGCCATTACAACTAACAAATAAATGTAGTAAAGTTGCAGGATACAAAACCAAATACAAAAATCAGTAACATTTCTATATGTGAATAGAGAACTATCTGAAAAAAGAAAACAATGCCATTTACAATAGCTACAAAAAGATTCCTAAAAATTAAACAAGAAAGGGAAAGATCTTTACATTGAAAACCATAAAACATTGATAAAAGAAATTGAAAAGAACACAAAAATGGAAAGATATCTCATACTCATAGAATAATTCATATTGTTAAAATATTTATACCACCCAAAGCAATCTACAAATTTAATGCAATCCCTATCAAAATATCAATCATATTATTCACACAAATAGAAAATACAGTACTAAAATTCATGTGGAACCACAAAACAATCTCAAGAAAAAAGCCCTAATAGCCAAAACAATCTCAAGAAAACACCAAAACAAAAACAAAGTTGGAGACATCACACTACATGACTTCGAAATTTACTAAAAAGCTCTGGTAATATAAACAGCATAATATTAGCATAAAAACATACATAGACCAATGGAAGAGGCTAGAGAACCCAGAAATAAACCCACCTATGCACAGCCAATTGATTTTTGACAAAAGTGCCAAGAACACAATTGGGGAAAAGACAATCTCTTCAATAAATGGTGCCAAAAAAATTGAATATCCACAATCAGAAGACTAAAACTGGACACCCAATCTTTCATTAAGTCAAAATGAAATATTTAAATGTAAGATCCAAAACTATGAAAATACTAGAGGAAAACATAATAAAAATGCTTCATGACATTGAAGTGGGCAAAGATATTTTTGATGAGAACTCAATAGTACAGGCAAGAAAAACAAAAATAGAAAAATGGAATTACATCAAACTATAATGTTTCTGCACAGCAAATGAAACAATCAACAGAGTGAAGAGAAAATCTACAAATGGGAGAAAATATTTGCAAACTCTACATATGACAAGAGGTTAATATTTACAATTTATAAGGAACTCAAGTCAATAGCAAAAAAATACAAAACCCAAAACCAAAAAACAAGTAATCTAACTGAAAAATGGGCAAAAGACCTTAATAGACATTTCTCAAAAGAAGATACCCAAATGACAAATAGGTATATGAAAAAAATGTGCAACATCACTAATAATTGGGGAAATGCAAATCAAAACTATATTGAGATATCACCTCACTCCAGTTAGAATGACTATCATCAAAAAGGCAAAAGATAATAAGTGTTGGTCAGAATGTGGAATAAAGAGAATGCTTGCACACTGTGGAAATGTAAATTAGAACAGCCACCATGAAAAACAGCATGGAGTTTCCTCAAAAAAATTAAAAATAGAATTGCCACATGATCCGGCAATCACACTACTGGGTATATATCCAAAGGAAATGAAATCAGTATGTGAAAGAGATTTCTGTACTCCTTTGTTTATTGCAGCACTATTCACAATAGCCAAGATATGGAATAAACCTAAATGTCCATCAACTGATGAATGAATAAAGAAAATGGGGTATATATACCCACAATGGACTACCATTCAGACATAAAAATAATGAAATCCCGTCACTCACAGCAACATGATGAGCCTGGAGGACATTATGTTAAGTGAAATAAGCCAGAGACTGAAAGAAAAATACCACATTTTCACTCGTGTAGAACCTAAAATGTTGATCTCATAGAAGTAGTAAATAGCACAGTAGTTACCGGAGACTGGGGATGGTAGGGGGAAGAAGGAGAGAGGATGTTCAACAGGTATAAAGTTACACATAGAAAGGAAAGATAGGTTCTGGTGTCCTATTGCACAGTAGAGTGACTATAGGCAACAATAAGGTATTATATATCTTGAAATAGCTAGGAGAGAGCATTTTGTATGTTCCCATTACAAAGAAATGATAAATGTTTGAGGTGACGGGTATGCTAATTACCTTGATTACATAATGTATACATGTGTCCAAACATCACATTGTACTCCATAAATATATACAATTAGTGTGTTTTGGAAAAAAAATTAAAAGTATATATTATTTAAAAAATAAAAAAGAAAGATATGGATCCTACATCTATAAACTATGGGCAAATCTTTGTAAAATCTAGTAGGCAATCACTTTTTCTTGTTTACTACTGTGTGCTTGTAACTTAGAACTGTGCCCGGCACATTGTAGGTGCTCAATAATAGCTATTGCATGAATGAATGACACAAGAGGTAGGACTATGCCATCTTCTAGGTCTAATTGTAATGGTTTCCTTAGCAGCTGTACTGTGTGCTATGATTGTGTTAATCATACTTAATAGACAGGGAAATAGCTTCTCTTTTTAAACATTTTATTCTTTATTGTAAAATGAATAATAAAGCCTATACTATGGAATTTTTAAAGGAATAAATGCTTAACATGCATGTGAAAGTTATAAATTTAAAATCATAATACCACTACGAGTCATTATTAGGCTCCATTTTGCTTCATCATTCTGCATTCCTAGCACTTGAAAACATTCGTGAAATATGTTTCACTGAAAAAAATTATAACTAGAGATGCCAGTGTAGAGAAAACAGATGCTCAGTGGAATAAAAATGCAAATACTGTGCTGATAAATGCATTCTGTTGTGATCAAATAAATGCATTTATTCACTAAGTAAATCTGTGGAAAAGTTTCCAACGCCAACATTGAAATGTATATACCTCAGCCAGACTGACATCAGAATAATCTAAAGACTGTTTTTTTACTAAAATTTTACTACTGATTTTCTCAATAAGCATTCTCCATTAACAAAAACTAAGAAACAAACAAACTAAAGCCAGACTTCTTAATAGTGCTTATAAAGGGTCTCCCAGAAGTTAAACATTCTGCTTATAACCCCATACTATTCCAATCTAGACTCTACACCTGAAGTGTGGGCTTAAGCTCTACTATTTCAGTGAGGCCTTTCCTCATTCCCTCATGCTAGAGGCTAGTAGCCATTCCGAAAATGACTATAGCACTTGCTGACACAGCCCACTGCTTTTTAGAGGGACAAATCCATTTTTCTTAAATAATTAGTGTGCTTTCCCTGTGTTGCTTGAAGAACTGGCCTCTTTATCTTGTTGCCCAGTTTCATTTCTTTAGCTGGACTGTATGCTTCAAAGGCAGAAGACATTGCTCATACGTTTCTGTTGTCCCTCTGAAGTCATAACAGGGTTTTACATCGCAGCTGCCTAATAAATACATGTTCATTTTATTTGAAAACTCAAAAGCACAGAATGTTAGAGCTAAAAGGGATACTACAGTTGTTACCATGTTTCAGCATCTTGAATTTAATGCTTTTGGGAAGGATATGTAGTCTTCAGCTCACCAGAATCCCCACCACTTTTGTCTGACCCTGGCCACTGCCACATTTAGTTGGTCTCTGAGGCAACTGTAGCTGTCATTCTGGATAGACACCCATAAGGGACAGTGCTCTAGAGGCCTTTAGTGAGTTGCCTGAAATGACACTGAGCTACCTTAATGACACTGCCAGGCCTAACCTGAAGGCCTTATTTTTATTTTATTTATTTTTCAGAGCTCTTTTCATCTCAATATATTGCCTTCTCAAGTGACTTAACCTAATTATTGTTTTTGTATGCCAGCCTCCTTCCTGCACCCAAATTCAGTTGTAATAAAAGTCAAAGTCTACTTGTTCAAGACTAGAGATACTACAGGGATACTTGAGAATGCACAGTTAACACTGTAAATCAGAACATATTTACAGTTTATAATAGATATAATAGACATAGTTTGGTACGTTAACTTTGCAAAAACATGTTTGTGGTGATGCAGAACAATGAATCTGAACTTGTGAAATGTTTAGGTAACAGTAATAAGCTAACAACAACAAAAACATTTTATCAGACTCTTAAAAGTCATGACAAAATGAAGATCTTTAACTCCAATCTGTGTAAAACATTTCTAGATCATGCTTTAAAATAGTATCAAAGGCCCTATAACTGACAAGAAAAGACTCCCATTTCTTTACTTTGTCCTTTTATCTTTTCCAGATGCTTAAAAATAAAAATAACTTATGTTTGCAGGATAGAGACACTATAATCAAAAGCATTTAACAAGCAAGTGAGAGAATGAGAGAGAAGGACACACACACACACACACACACACACACAGATAGAGATTATAGGCTCATTTATGAAAAAAATTAGAAAAGTTTTATATGAACTTTGGTGTCTATCCCACATCTAATACAAATCTTGCCAAGAATCTATTTTGTAGTTTAAGCAATGCTATTGTTTGTACAGTATGTTTTTATACTTATACAATTATTTCCCAACGACATCATCATTCTTTCTTAATTTCTTAATCATACAAGGTAATATTAGTTTGAAGAGATTAACAGAAAATTCAAAACGTGTTTCTTTGTCCACGGCAAATAGAGCATTTCTTAGATTTATTATTTAAAAATAATTTAGTTGGCCGGATGCGGTGGCTCACGCCTGTAATCCCAGCACTTTGGGAGGCCGAGGCGGGCGGATCACGAGGTCGGGAGATCCAGACCATCAGGAGATCCAGACCATCCTGGCTAAGACGGTGAAACCCCGTCTCTACTAAAAATACAAAAAAATTAGCGGGGCATGGTGGTGGGCGCCTGTAGTCCCAGCTACTCGCAAGGCTGAGACAGGAGAATGGCGTGAACCCAGGAGGCGGAGCTTGCAGTGAGCCGAGATTGCGCCACTGCACTCCAGCCTGGGGAACAGAGCGAGACTCCGTGTCAAAATAAATAAATAAATTAATAAATAATAATAATAATAATTTAGGTGATACACATAAAAAGACCCAAAATTTGACTTCTAGCCCTTTATTTAGGGAACAGATGAGTCTTTATCTGTTAACTACCATGTTATTGTGCTGACAAAAGATAAATAAGTTCTCATGTGAATGACACAGTTAATGTGTTTATAAAAAATAAAGCTATGGGAGTAAATGTTCTTAAATGGAAAAAGTGTATATAAACTGAAAAAAATTTTGAAGAAAAAACATGTTTGTGGGCTAAAAAGCATAGAAGTGAAACTGTTTTAGAGCTCTTTATTTTCAGCAGAAAATCAGCCAATGGGAGAAAAAGTTGCAAGTAACACAATCCTGAAGAACTCTTAACACCTTAAGGAAGTCGAAAGGAAACCAGACAAACCACAAAATAAAAGATACATAGCAAAGCAAGAGAGGAGCTAAAGCAGGCAGGTGAAATTGCTCTGCACAAAACCTTAGAAAGAGTGAGCATTATAAAAATGGGCCACTTATTTTTTTTCTATGCAAGCATCTTGATTGAGGCAGTCTTTGCTCTTGAACAGGGAGCTTATATTTTCCCACATTTGTACAAAATAGCAGCCCACTTACTTTGTACTCATAATCCTGCTTTATCTCTTTGAATAGCAGTTATTACTACCTGATACATATTCGTTTGTATATTGTCTAAATTTCTCCACTGGAGTATAATGTCTCTAAGGTCATGGTTTGCTGTTGCAACCCTTGTGCCTAGAACAATATCTGACACAGGGAGGTGCCAAAAAGTATTTGTTGAATGTGCATTTAGGTGCTGCATTTAGATACTCTTCATTTTTGTGGTTATACTTTTAATAATAATCTTACTGTATAATGATTGATTTGTTATTGAAAGATAGACACAATATATATTCTGGTTTGAATGTATCCCCCAAGTTTCATGTGTTGGAAAGTTAATTCCCAATGTCGCAGTATTAAAAAGTGGGACCTTTACTTATACACCATGGAATACTATACAGCCCTAAAAAAGAATGAGTTCATGTCCTTTGCAGGGACATGGATGAAGCTGGAAACCATCATCCTCAGCAAACTAACACAGGAAGAGAAAACCAAACACCACATGTTCTCACTCATAAGTGAGAGTTGAACAATGAGAGTACATGGATACAGGGAGGGGCACAGCAGACACCGGGGCCTGTTGGGGTGTCGGGGGTAAGGGGAGGGAGAGCATTAGGACAAATACCTAATGCATGTGGGGCTTAAAACCTAGATGACTGGTTGACAGGTGCAGCAAACCACCATGGCACATGTATACCTATGTAATAAACCTGCACATTCAGCACATGTATCCTAGAACTTAAAGTAAAATAAATTTATATATATAATATATATAAATTATATATAATATATATAATACATCATATACATATAATAGATATAAAATATATATAATTTATATATAATATATACATTATATTTATATATATTAGATCCAACTATATTTTTTAGGTGCCTACAATATTTAAGGCACTGAAATAGACATGTTAACATATTGTGATGATTAGATATAATTATATATGTCAAGAAAAGTGGATCCGTTAAGAGAAGATTGAATCACGAAGGTTCTGCCTTTATGAATGAATTAATCCATTCATGAAGTAATGGATCAATGGGTTATCATGGGAGTGGAACTAGTGGCTTTATAAGAAGAGGAAGAGAAACTTGAGCAAGCATGCAACACACTCAGTCCCCTTGTCATATGATGCCCTGTACTATCTTGGGACTCTGTAGAGTCCCCACCAGCAAGAAGGCTCTTATCAGATGCAGTCCCTCGACTTACACTTGTCAGCCTCCATAGCTGCAAAAAAAAAAATTCCTTTTAAATTACCCAGTTTCAGACATTCTGTGATAAGCAACAGAAAATGGACTAATATAATATATAATTATACATGGTATTTAGTTTTGAAAGGCAGAAATGCATACCCACACACTGGATCAAAAAAAATCATTCTGAGCTTTGGGCTCACCTGAGTTCCTCCTGGAGACCTGGAACTAAACTGATGATTGTAACTCTGAAGCCCTCAACTGCTCTGAAAGGATAATTGGGCACTTGACATATTTAGTTTAATTGTGTGTAAAGTGAATTTAAATCTTTGAACTACAAGAGAAAATTTACAATTTTTTAAACTGGCAGGAGGATCAAAATTATGAGTGTTGGATATATGAGACAATTCAGCAAAAGAAATCACTAGCCTAGCACTGAGTGATGAGGAGTCTTAAAATGCATAGGCATGTGTGTATTTGCGAGTTGGGTGCACAGATACACACACAAACTGAGGAATGTGATTTCCTGAAACTCTCTTAAGAGGAGGTATCTTTTGCAGATATCTTTAACACATTTCAAACAAATCTCAGTTGTTGCAATGATGTAGAATCCTAAATCTGGAAGAGACTTAAATTATCATCTGATCCAGTACTTTTCTCTTTTTTTTCCTTATTTTCCTGGACATTTTAGCTTAGGAAAAAAACATCTAACAGGGAACAAAATCCAAAGAAGTAGAAGTGGACTGAGAGCCCCAGACATTTATCCAATCAGCATCTTCTATTCTCTACCACTTCCAGAGGTACCTATAACCTCATATACCTTCAGTGCCATCTTCTCTACCATTTTGAGTTTGATCTTTGCTTGACCATCTTAGGTTGCCCTATTCAGACACATCAAATCATTTAGAAATTCTATCTTAAGTTGAATTGGATCTTCTGTGATTTTCCAATTAGATAATTACATCATTCTGGAATAAGCCAAAGCCAGAGTCTGGCAGACCATATCTAAAGACTTTCTTCCAAACTGAGATTACTAATTAGTTAACATTTTAAAACTTTCGTTGTTCAATCAGTTATGAATCCAACTAATTCTCCTATTACCAGCCACAATCCCCTGTCATGTTCAGATAAATGAGTGATAAATGTTTTCAAGTTGAAACCAAGATATGCTACAATTATCGTTCTCTTATTACAACTTTTGTAATCTTAGAAACAAAACAAAAACAAAAGATGCCAGTCATGTCTGTGAGTTCATTGCTGCCTCCTACCAAGTACATTTTCTTTACAGAATGATTAAAAAAGTGCTCAGAACATCTACTGTAGAATTTTGCTCAGGATTCATGTCAACTACCCTGCCCTATTTTTCATGGAATTTTTGTGTATGCTATAAATGCTGCTTAATAACAGCAAAGCTTGAAATTAATTCCTATGTCTGTCTTTCTCTGAAGAATTCAAAACTCTAATGTATTTTTTCACCTGTTAGCATTTTCCTTCAGGGTGATATTTTGTATTCACGAAATACAAGCTATTAGTTATGGCAAATTTCATTATAATCTAGAGTTATAAAAGGTCTCTAAATTATCTTAAATGCTTAAGACAACTGTAAAGAGCAGTTTTCAGAACAAAATCAGAAACTATGAGCAGTATCAGCAATATCAGGACAGTATCAGCAACAGTCTCAGATAATGACTACAGGCATGCACCATCACGCCTGGCTAATTTTTGTATTTTTAGTAGAGGTGGGATTTCACCATGTTGGCCAGGCTGGTCTCTAACTCCTGACCTCAAATGATCCACCCACCTCAGCCTCCCAAAGTGCTGGGATTACAGGCATGAGCCACCGTGCCTGGCCAAGGTATTCTTATTCACACACCATCACATTAAACAAATTTATTTTTAATTGAGTCATCTGGAAAATATAGTTGGAAAATAGTTATTTTTCACACCCCCCCCCCACAATTTATCCGTTATTTTAAAGTTTGGAATTGGATATGTTGGATTTTTTTTTTTTTTTTGACAGAGTCTCACTCTGTCGCCAGGCTGGAGTGCAGTGGTGCAATCTCGGCTCACCGCAACCTCCACCTCCCGGGTTCAAGCGATTCTCCTGCCTCAGCCTTCCGAGTAGCTGGGACTACAGGCGCACTGCCACCACGCACAGCTAATTTTTGTATTTTTAGTAAAGACGGGGTTTCACCATGTTGGCCAGGATGGTCTCGATCTCTTGACCTCGTAATCCACCCACCTCAGCCTCTCAAGTGCTGGGATTACAGGTGTGAGCCACCGTGCCTGGCCGGAGTTTCTTGAAATAGAATAATTACAGACTGATGAAATTGGCTGCAACGTAGAAGTTCTTTGACTCCTCACAGAGACCAATTGATTGGCAGCAAAATGAGAACAGCCTAGAAGCAGCCCAGTGCTGAATTATAACCATACCCAATGCTATGGGTATAACTTTTCCTGTGGAAAAGGCTGAAAGGACAAATGACATGATGGCTGAAAGTATAAACCAGCCTCCTAGTAAGCAGCTGTGATATTACCATTTATTGGGACCACTTCGTCACAGTCTATCTATCTGTCAGAGGTAACTGATTGAACATTTCTTTACTCCATAATTAATTATTAGATGCTGGGGGAAGAAAAGATTATGATAGGCTTTGAGTGTTAGAAAATAAGAAAGCCTATGGTCCCTTTTCTCAGAGTCACAGATTGAAGGGGTGAAATAAAGCATTTGATTTCATTTGGACACTCTTGAGATAGCAGAAAGCTAACCTTTTGTTCTGAGTTATCTCACTCTTTTTCATGGCCAGGATCTAGAGGCCTTTCATTTCCAGAGAAATTCTGAAATACCAAGCCCTGAGTTTTGTGTGACATTCAAGCTTTGAATATCTTATGTGTGCTTATTAGAGTCAAGAGGTGCTTTTCATGGTATTTAGAAGTCCTTAGCCCAAATTTTTCTGTCTTTTTTCTTCTGCCTAAGTTGAAGAATAGCCTTATTTGGTATTCTGAGGTTTGACATTGCTCATTACACTTTTTCTTCTGTTGTGTGGCCAATTACAAGCTTGCCTCAAGCCCAAGAATTGTAGGTGTCAGTTGTATTGAGAACTGTTGCAGGGAAAATTGCATAATGTAGGAAAGCAGACAAGAGGGGCTGACTGGCCAGAGCCCCAGCTTTATCTCTGTTCTATCACTTGCTGATTGGGTGGTTTGGGGAATAATACTTCAATTCTCTGAGACCCAGTGTCCTCATTTGTAAAATGAGGAATTTGGACCAGATCATTTCAAAGGTACCTTTAGGCACAAACATGGAACATTATTCTAGAAGCTAAAAATTAGAAAATTCGTTCTCACTTCATATCACACCTACTGGTATCACAAACAATAGGCAGAGAGAGAAGAATATTCCTTTTTAAATTAACAATAAGAATTGAATCTAAACAAATCTTTTGTTTCTTTCTTTACACAAAGAAATTTTCAATCATTCCATTATTTTCTTCATGTTATGTTTTCCTTGACATCTGAATCTTTTCCAGGATTGACAAAACACTATCACACCTATTTCTGAAATAATTTGGTGAGTTTTTCAATTGTTTCCATTCCATAAGATGCCATGAGTAGAGTAATTTTCAAATTTGCAAAGGTAGAGAGATAAGTACAATATGCAAAGTAACCTACCAAGGTAAGTGAAAGGCATAAATTGAAAAACCAAAGTAACAAACATTATAAACATAAAAGGTACACTGACCTAAATTAAAACAAGGTAGAATATTTTGTGGATTGGATTTCCATTAAGCTCATAAACAACTTTCTTTAATTTTTGTTGGAGCAAAACATTGGTGTACTGCTAGGCTATTCTTATAGTACTACTCAAGTTATTAAAATCTAATGAATGTTACAACAATTTTGGAAAAGGAGAAGTGAACAAACCCTTGTTTTTCTTAACCTCCTTAAGCTTCACTTGACTTTTCTGCAAGATAAAAATACTGCTACCTACCTCATGGCTTGTTAGAAGGACTGAATGTGATAATACAAGTAAAGTCCTCTACTTGGTACGCATTAATGGCTTGTAAGTTTTCTGAGCTGGTCTTGATACTTGTTGCTATATGTACTTTATTTCTTTTCATTCTACAAATGATATTTTGAGTAATATTTTGGAATTTTTTTTTTTTTTTTTTGCACAGGAGAAAAAAATAGAATCAGAGAACTGAAGGTTCTTATTCAACGTCACAAAATACAAGGTGGTTAAGGTTGGAATTATAATCATCCTAAGGTCTACATGGCTTTTAGGCACTTGATTTTCTTGGGACCCAATCCAAATGCGTAAGCCTTAAAATGGTTGTTTTGGCCGGCTGCGGTGGCTCACGCCTGTAATCCCAGCACTTTGGGAGGCTGAGGCGGGCTGATCACCTAAGGTTGAGAGTTCGAGACCAGCCTGACCAACATGGAGAAACCCCGTCTCTACTAAAAATATAAAATTCACCGGGCTTGGTGGCGCATGCCTGTAATCCCAGCTACTTGGGAAGCTGAGGCAGGAGAATCGCTTGAACCTGGGAGGCAGAGGTTGCAGTGAGCCGAGATAGTGCCAATGCACTCCAGCCTGGGCAACAAAAGTGAAACTCTGTCTCAAAAAAAAAAAAAAAAAAAAAGTCTTGTTTTAAGTTCATAGGAGAATATTGACTTGGTAAGTCTGCATGAAGAAATAATATTATTAGTTTTCATGTATGTAGAAAAGTAACTACAATTTATCGTGATTTTAAAAATTAACTGAGCCTTAAGTATCAAAATGAATGTTAGTTTTTAAAGTGATCTTTTTGGGAGGCTCTCTTGAGTACTCTTTCCATTGGCCAGAGTATTTTGAGATTGCCAACTCAAATAGTGACACTAGTCAACTGGTTTGATTATTTGAGTCATATCTCTTATTTTATTTTTAAAGAAAATGTTGTTTTAACCAATTTGTTTATTTACTATATTAGCTTCTGGCTCTTTCCAAAGAATAAAATCATCCCCAAAAGGATCGATACTCTTTGATCTTAAATCTATTAAAAATAATACAGGTAGGCTTGAAATATGTCTAGATGTATGGATCCTAATATTATTTTAAGTAATGACACACTTTGGAATACAGTCATGGTCACTTAATAAGAACTTGCTCTGAGAAATGTGTCATTAGGCAGTTTCATCATTGTGCAAACATCATACACTGTACTTACACAACCTATGTGGTATAGTGCACTACACACCAAAGCTATATGGTATTGCCTGTTGCTCCTAGGTTACAGGCCTGTATAGCATGTTACTGTACTGAATGCTGTAGGCAATTGTAACACAGTAATAAGTGAGGCATATCTTGGAGACACTGTTGGTTCAGTCCAGACCACCACAGTAAAGTGAATAAAGCAAGTCACACAAATTTTTTGGTTTCCCAATGCATATAAGTTATGTTTACCCTATACGATAGTTTATTAGGTATGCAACAGCACTATGTCTAAAACAATAAATATGCATTAATTTAAAAATACTTCTTTGCAAAAATATTGCTAAGGAATATCGGAACCCTCAGTAAGTCATAATCTTTTGGCTCGTGGTGGCTCTTGCCTCGACTGAGATGGCTGTTGACTGATTAAGGTGGTGAAAGATTTCTCTGAGCATGAGATGTTGTTTGACAGCATTTTACCCACAGTAGAACTTCTTTCAAAATTAGAGTCAATCCTCTCAAATCCTGCCACTACTTTGTCAACTAAATTTACATAGTAGTCTAAATTCTTGGGGGTCGTTTCAACAACTTTTACAACATCTTCACCAGGACTAATTTCCATCTCAAGAAATAACTTTCTTGGCTCATCCGTAAGAAGCAACTCCTCATCCATTCAAGTTTTATCATGAGATTGCAGAGATCCAATCACATCTTTAAGATCCACATTTAATTCTAGTTGTCTTGCTGTTTCCACATCTGCAGTTACTTTCTGCACTGAAGTCTTAAATCCCTGAAAGCTATCCATGAGAATTGAAATCAAATTTTTCTAAATTCCTGTTAATTTTATATTTTTACCCCCTTCCATAAATCACAAGTATTCTTAATGGCATATAGAATGGTGAATCCTTTGCAGAAGGCTTTCAACTTATTTTTGCCAAGATCCATCAGAAGAATCACCATCTATGGCAACTGTAGCCTTACTACATGTTTTTTCTTTTCTTTCCTTCCTTCTTTCCTTCCTTCCTTCCTTCCTTCCTCTCCCCTTCCCCTTTCCCTCCCCTTCCCCTTCCCCTTCCCTTCCCTTCGAGTCTTGCTCTGTTGCCCAGGTTGGAGTGCAGTGGCATGATCTTGGCTCACTGCAATCTCCGCTTCCCAGGTTCAGGCTATTCTCATGCCTCAGCCTCCCGAGTAGCTGGGATTACAGGCATGTGCCATCATGCCCAACTAATTCTTGTATTTTTAGTAGAGATGGAGTTTCACCATGTCACAACACTATTCTCGAACTCCTGGCCTCAAGTGATTTTTCTGCCTTGGCCTCTGAAAGTGCTGGGATTACATGTGTGAGCCACCCCATCTGGCCACTAAATGTATTTCTTAAACCATAAGACTTAAAAGTCAAAATTACTCATTGATTCATAGGCTGCAGAATGGTTGCTATGCTAGCAGACATCAAAACAGCACTTATATCCTTGTATATCTCCATAAGACCTCTTGGGAGACCAGGTGTATTGTTAATGAGCAGTAATATTTTTAAAGAAATCTCAACAGTGGGCTTAAAATGTTCAGTAAACCATGCTATAAACAGATGTGCTGTCATCCAGGCTTTGATAATCAATTTACAGAGCACAAGCAGGATAGATTTAACATAATTCCTAAGGGCCCTAAAATTTTCAGAATGATAACTGAGCATTGGTTTCCACTTAAAGTCACCAGCTACATTAGCCACTAGCCACTGACAAGACAGTCTGTCATTTGAAGCTTTTAAACTAGGTGTTTAGTGTAGACACTTTCATCACTTACCTTAGCTAGATCTTCTGGATAACATGCTGCAGCTTCTACATCAGCACTTGATGCTTCCCCTTGCACTTTTATTTTATACAGATGGCTTCTTTTCTTAACCCTTATGAACCAAACTCTGTTAGCTTCTAACTTTTTTTCTGAAGCTTCTTCACCTCTCTCATCCTTTATAGAATTGAAGAGAGTTAGAGCCTTGCTCTGGATTAGGGTTTGGCTTAATGAAATATTGTAGCTGGTTTGATCTTCTATCCATATCAACAATAGGGCTGTTTTACTTTCTTATTATTCTTTTTTTATTTATTTTACAAAAGTATGGAATGCTTCACGAATTTGCGTGTCATTGTTACCCAGGGACCATGCTAATCATCTGTATCATTCCACATTTTAGGATATGTGCTGCTGAAGTGAGCACACTTTCCTATTATTCTTTTGTTCACTGAAGTAGCACTTTTAATTTCTTTCAACAGCTTTTCCTTGCATTCACAACTTGGCTAACTGTATGGCAAAGAGGCTGAGCTTTCGGCCTGTCTTGGCTCTCGATATGCCTTCCTCACTAATCTTCATCATTTCTAGATTTTTATTTAGAGTGAGAGATGTGTGACTCTTCCTTTCCCTTGAACAATTAGAGGCAATTGTAGGGTTTTAATTGACCTAATTTCAAAATTATTGTGTCTTAGGGAATAGGGAGGCCCATGGAGAGGGAAAGAGATGTGGGAACAGCCAGTCAGTGGAGCAGTTGCAACACACACATTTATCAATTAAGTTTTTCATCTTATTTTATTTTTATCATGCATTATTATGGTTTTTAAAATTTATTTTTCCATAAGTTATTACCATTTTATTTATTTATTTATTTTTCCATAAGTTATTGGAATAGCGGTGGTATCTGGTTACATGAATAAATTCTTTAGTGATGATTTGTGAGATTTCGGTGCACCCATCACCCTAGCAGGTGTACATATACACTGCATCCTATTTGTAGCCTTTTATCTCTCGCCCTTCCCTCTCTTCTCTACAACTCCCCAAAGTCCATTGTATCATTCTTATGCCTTTGCGTCCTCATAGCTTAGCTCCCACATATCAGTGAGAACATACGATGTTTGCTTTTCCATTCCTGAGTTACTTCACTTAGAAGAACAGTCTCCAATCTCATCCAGGTCACTGCAAATGCTGTTAATTCATTCTTTTTTATGGCTGAGTAGTATTCCGTTATATATATGGAATACTTCACTATGTTGCAAGGCTGGTCTCGAACTCCTGGCCTCAAGTGATCTACCTACCTTGGCCTCCCAAAGTGCTGGGACTACAGGTGTGAGCCTGGTATATCTATCTATCTATCTATATCTATCTGTCTATCTATCTATCTATCTATCTATCTATCTATCTATCTATCTATCAATCATCTATCTATCTACCACCACAGTTTCTTTATCCACTCGTTGATTGATGGGCATTTGGGTTGGTTCCACGATTTTGCTATTGTGAATTGTGTGCAAGTATCTTTTTCAAATAATGACTTCTTTTCCTCTGGGTAGATACCCAGTAGTGGGATTGCTGAGTCAAATGGTAGTTCTACTTTTAGTTCTTTAAGGAATCTCCACACAGTTTCCCATAGTGGCTGTACTAGTTTACATTCCCACCAGCAGTGTAGAAATGCTCCCTGTTTACCACATCTATGCCAGCATCTACTTTTTTTAATTTTTTGATTATGGCTATTCCCACGACATTCTGCTAGCCTAGAGGTCTTAGTTGCAGAGGGAAGTACACTGCCACCAAGAGACACAACAATGATTCCATTAAACTGGAAGTTAAGATTGCCACCTGGACACTTTGGGATCCTCCTACCTTTAAGTCAACAGGCTAAGAGGGGAGTTACAGTGTTGGCTGGAATGACTGACCCAGACTATCAAGATAAAATCAGTCTACTACTACACAAGGGAGGTAAGGAAGAGTATGCATGGAATACAGCAGATCCCTTGGTGTCTCTTAGTATTACCATGCCCTGTGATTAAGGTCAATGGGAAACTACAACAACTCAATCCAGGCAGGACTACAAATGACCCAGACCCTTCAGGAATGAAGGTTTGGGTCACCCCACTAGGAAAAAAAACACGACCTGCTGAGGTGCTTGCTGAAGGCAAAGGGAATGCAGAATGGGTAGTAGAAGAAGGTAGTCATCAATACCAGCTAAGTGACCTAAATGAGGACTGTAATTGTCTTGAGTATTTCCTCCTTCTTTTGTTAAAAACATGTTTGTGCATATATACACTTGTACTAAGAAAATATCTTCATTTTATTTTTTTCCTATATTATGTGACATGAGATTTATTAACTTCATATCAGCATTTAAGTATTGTTAATTTTATGGAGTAGCATTTGGATTGGGGATTTGTGTATTTCTGGTTGTACAAAGGATAGTTGTTACATGTTAGGCATAATTATTACCTTATTATTGTCTTTATTGGAAGATTCTGATCTCAGGAGTTGTGTATGGGTTCAAGTTGACAAGGTGTGGACTTGTGATGTTTGATACTGAATGTCAACTTGACTAAAGGATGCAAAGTATTGATTCTGTGTGTGTCTGTGAGGGTGCTGCCAAAAGGGATTAACATTTGAGTTAGTGGTCTAGGAAAGGCATACCCACCCATAATCTGGGTGGGCACCATCTAATCAGCTGCCAGTGTGGCCAGAATAAAAAGCATGCAGAAGAACCTGAGGAGACTAGACTGGCTTAGCATCCCAGCCTACATCTTTCTCATGCTGGATGTTTCCTGCCCTCAAACATGGGACTCCAAGTTCTTTGGCTTTGGAACTTGGACTGGCTTCCTTGCTCTCAGCTGGCAGATGACCTATTGTGGGACCTTGGAATCATATGAATTAATATTCCTTATTAAACTCCCCTTTATATATATATATCTATAAAGGGGAGTTTATATATATATATATATCCTATTAGGTCTGTCCCTCTAGAAAATCCTAACACAAGGATCCATTTCATTCTCCTACATGTGGCTTGCCAATTATCCCAGCCCCATTTGTTGTATAGGGTATCCTTTCCCCACTTTTTGTTTCTGTTTGGTTTGTCAAAGATCAATTGAGTGTAAGTATTTGGCTTTATTTCTTGGTCCTCTATTCCGTTCCATTGGTCTATGTGCCTATTTTTATACCAGTAACATGCTGTGTTGGTGACTATAACCTTGTAGTATAGTCTGAAGTCGGGTAATGTGATGCCTCCAGATTTGTTCTTTTTGCTTAGTCTTGCTTTGGCTATGTGGGCTTTTTAGTTCCATATAAATTTTAGGATTTGGTTTTTTTAGTTCTGTGAAGAATGATGATGGTATTTTGATAGGAATTGCATTGAATTTGTAGATTGCTTTTAATAGTATGGTCATTTTCAATATATTGTTTCCACCCATCGATGATCATGGGATGTGTTTCCATATGTTCATGTCATCTATAATTTCTTTCAGCTGTGTAGTTTTCCTTGTAGAGCTCTTTCACCTCCTTGGGTAGGTATATTCCTAATAATTTTTTTTTTTGGTGCAGCTGTGTAAAAGGGGTTGAGTTCTTGATTTGATTCTCAGCTTGTTCATTGTTGGTGGATAGCAGTGCTACTGATTTGTGTACATTAATTTTGTACCCAGAAGCTTTAATGAACTCATTTATCAGTTCCAGGAGCTTTTTGGATGAGTCTTTAGGGTTTTCTGGCTATGTGTTCATATCATTGGCAAACATCACAGTTTGACATTCTGTTTCCTATTTGGATGTTCTTTATTTCTTTCTCTTGTATGACAGCTCTGGCCAGGACTTCCAGTGCTATTTTGAATAGAAGTGGTAAAAGCAGGTATTTTTGTCTTATTTCAGTCCTCAGGGGGAATGTTTTCAACTTTTCCCCATTCAGTATAATGTTGACTGTGGGTTTGTCATGGATGGCTTTTATTACCTTAAGGTATGTCCCTTCTGTGCCGATTTTGCTGAGGTTTTTAATCATAAAGGATACTGGATTATGTCAAATGCTTTTTCTGTGTCTATTGAGATGATCATGTGATTTTTGTTTTTAATTCTATTCATGTGCTATATCACATTTATTGACTTGTGTATGTTAAACCGTCCCTGCATCCCTGGTATGAAACCCACCTGATCATGGTGGATTATCTTTTTGATATGCTGTGAGATTTGGTGAGCTAGTGTTTTGTTGAGAATTTTTGCATCTATGTTCATCAGGATATTAGTCTGTAGTTTTCTTTCTTTCTTTCTTTCTTTTTTTTTTTATTTTGTTACGTCCTTTCCTGGTTTTGGTATTAGGGTGATACGGGCTTCATAGAATGATTTAGAGAGGATTTACTTTTTCTCTATCCTGTGGAATAGTGTCAATCGGATTGGTACCAATTCTTCTTTGAATGTCTGATAGAATTCAGCTGTGAATTTGTCTGGTCTTGGAATTTTTTTGTTGGCATTTTAAAAAAGTTACCATTTCAATCTTGCTGCTTGTTATTGGTCTGCTCAGAGTTTCTATTTTTTCCTTGTTTAATCTAGGAGGGTTTTATATCTCTAGAAGGTTATCCATCTCCTCTAGGTTTTCTACTTTGTCTTCATAAAGGTATTCATAGTAGCCTTGAATTATCTTTTGCATTTCTGTGTTATTGGTTGTAATATCTCCCATCTTGTTTCTAATTGAGCTTATTTGGATATTCTTTCTTCTTGGCTAATCTTGCTAATGGTTTATCAATTTTATTTATCTTTTCAAAGAACCAGCCTTTTGTTTCATTTGTCTTTTGTGTTTTTTTGTTTCAAATTCATTTAGTTCTGCTGCACTGATCTTTGTTATTTCTTTTCTTCTGCTGGGTTTGGTTTGTTTTTGTTTCTGTAGTTCCTTAAGGTGTGAACCGAGATCATCTAGTTGTGCTCTTTCAGACTTTTTGATGTGGGCCTTTAAGGCTATGAACTTTCCTCTTAGCACTGCTTTTGCTGTATCCCAAAGTTTTTTTTTTTTTTTTTAGACGAAGTCTTGCTCTGTTGACAGGCTGGAGTGCAGTGGTGTGATCTCGGCTCACTGCTACCTCCACCTCCCAGGTTCAAGTGATTCTCCAGCCTCCACTTTCTGAGTAGCTGGGACTACAGGTGCACACCACCACACCTGGCTAATTTTTTGTATTTTAGTAGAGATGGGGTTTCACCATGTTGGCCAGGATGGTCTTGATCTCCTGACCTCGTGATCCGCCCACCTTGGCCTCCCAAAGTGCTGGGATTACAGGTGTGAGCCGCTGCACCTGCCCTCCCAGAGGGCATGTATATGTATATATATACACATACACATATATACACACATATATATACACATATATATACATATATATACACACATATATACACATATATACACACATATATACATATATATACACATATATACACACATATATATATACACATAGAAAACTATTTGTATATATATATTTTTATATATATAGTTTGATGTGTCTTTGTCTGGCTTCAGTATCAGGCTAGTTAGTGCTGACTTCGTAGAATATATATATATATTTATATATATACACACACATATAAGAAAACTATTTGTATATATATATTTATATATATATAAATATATATATAGTTTGATGTGTCTTTGTCTGGCTTCAGTATCAAGCTAGTTAGTGCTGACTTCATAGAATAAGTTTGGAAGTAGTCCCTTCTGTTGTATTTTTTAGAATAATTTCATCAGGACTGTTATTTGTTTTTCTTTAATCATTTGGTAAAATTCAGCAGTGAAGCCATTAGTTTCTAGGCCTTTCTTTGATGGGAGACTTTTTATTAGGCTTCAATCATGTTACCTGCTGTTGGTTTGTTCAGGCTTTTTATTTCTTCATGGTTCAATATTGGTAAGTCATATATATTTAGAAATTTATCCATTTCTTCTGGGTTTCCCAATTTATTGTCATATAATTGCTCATAGTAGCCCCTAACCATCCTTTGAATTCCTGTGATATCAGTTGTAATGTCTCCTTTTTTATCTCTGATTTTATTTATTTGGGTCTTCTGTCTTTTCTTCTTATTCTGGCTAAAGAGTTGTCAATTCTGTTGATCTTTTCAAAAAGCAGTTGTTTGTTTCATTGAACCTTTGCATTCCTTTATTTCAATTATATTCATTTCTGCTCTGATCTTCTTATTTCCTTTCTTCTACTAATTTTGGTTTTGCTTGCTCTTGCTTTTCTAGTTCTTGAAGATGCATTGTTAGGTTGTTAATTTGACATTTTTCTACTTTTTTGATGTAGGCACTTATAGCTATAAACTTACCTCTGAGCATTCATTTCACTGTATCTGATAGATTTTGGTATATTTTGTCTTCATTATCATTTATTTAGATAAATTTTTCAATTTTCATCTTGATTTCTTCATTGATACACTGGTCATTCAGGAACATATTATTTAGTTTCCATATGTTCATAGAATTCTAAAATTGTTTTTATTATTGATTTCATTTATTCCACTGTGGCTAGAGGAGATAATTGGTATTATTTTATTTCTTTGAATGTTTTAAAATTTATTTTTTACCTAACATATGATCTGTCCTTGAGAGTAATTCATGCATTGAGAAGAATGTGTATTCTTCAGCCACTGGATGAAACTATTTGTAAATATTTGCTGGGTCAATTTGTTCTGTAGTACACATTAAGTCTGATGTTTCTTTGTTGATTGGGGTCAATCTCTCTATTTATTTCTAATAATATTTGCTTTATATATCTGAGTGCTCCAGTGTTGGTGCATATATATTTACAACTGTTACATCCTTTTGCTGAATTTACCCTTTTATTATTATATAATAATCTTCTTTGTCTCTTCTTATAGTTTCTGTCTCGAAATCTATCTTGTCTGATATACGTATAGCTACTCCTATTCTTTTTTGGTTGCCATTTGCATGTAATATCCTTTTCCATCCCTTTATTTTTAGTCTATGTGCATCTTTATAGGTAAAGTGTGTTTCTTGTAGGCAACAGATCATTGAGTCTTGGTGTTTCATCCATTCAGCCACTTTGACTTTTGATTTCAGAGGTTAGTCTGTTTACATTTAATGTTACTACTGATCGATAAGGAGTTCTGCCATTGTCTTGTTTTTGAGTTGTTTTGCGGTCTTCTCTTTCTTCCTTTTTAAACTTTTTTGTTAAAAACTAAGACACAAGCATATACATTATCCCAGGCCTTCACAGGGTCAGGATCATTGATATCACTGTCTTCCACCTCCACATCTTGTCCCACTGGAAGGTTTTCAGGGGCAATAACACGCATGGAGCTGTCATCTCCTATGATAACAATGCCTTCTTCTGGAATACGCCCTGAAAAACCTATCTGAGGCTGTTTTACACACATATATGTGTATGTAATATACATATGTGTGTATGTAATATACATATGTGTGTATGTAATATACATATATATGAATTAGTATACTCTTAAATGAATAAAATGTACAGTAAATACATAAACAAGCTACATAGTCATTATACTGTCATCAAGTATTATGTAATAATTACATGTGATAGGCTTTTATATGACTGGCATGCAGGTTTCTTTACGCCGGCTTCACTGCAAACACATGAGTAATGTGTTATACTATGATGTTAAGGTGGCTACAGTGTCACTAGGTGATAGGAATTTTTCAGCTCTATTATAATCTTATGGGGTCAACATCATATATGCAGCTTGTCACTGACTGATACATGGTTGTGATTTATGACTATATATGTATTAAGTTGATGCAAAAGTAATTACAGTTTCTGCCATTACTTTTAAGTTCCTTTTCACCTCTTTCCTCTCTCCTGCTGTTTAGTTTGAAAATAACATATCAATCATTGAGTTTAAACACTCTGAACTAGCATATTTGTTGAAAATTTTGATTTATCTAAAAAAAAATTTATTGAATGCCTACTAATTGTCAGGCATTTCTCTGAGTTCTTGGGAAACAACAGTAAACAAAACAGATCTCTAACCTGTGATGTTTACATATACATGCTTACAAACATTATATATATTCACAAATAAATATAACAAATATCTAAATTATGTATAATGTTGGAAAATGATAAGTGCTGTAGGAAAAACAGAAAAGACAGAGCCATTTCATATGGGAAGTGGAGGCAGATTACAATTTTATATAAAGTGATTAGGACAGACTTCATTAAGAAGGTATTATTTTTGCAAAATTCAAAGAAGGAAGAAAATTAGTCAAGAGGATACCTAGAGGAAGATGGTCTCAGGAAGACAAAATAACTTGTACAAAGACCCTGAGTTGTAAGTACACTGGTGCTGTTGAGACAGAGTAAGGAGACCAGTGTAGTTAGAAAAGTGTAAGTGAGGTATAGAGAACCAGGAAAAAAAAAGTCAGAGAAGAAAGGGCTGATCATCCTGGCCTTGGAAGCCAGTATAAGGAGTCAAGCTTTCATTCTTAGTGAAACGGAAGCCATTGCTGTGCTTTGAGCAGTGATGTGACATTATCAGTCTAGTCTTTTAGAAGGATTTCTCTGGCTGCTTCAATGAGAATAGAAAATAGGGGCAAAGAGAGAAACAGGGAGACCAGCGTGGAGGCAAGACATGATGAAACAGGGTGGTAGCAGTGATGGTGGTGAGAAGTGGTCAGGTATATAAGTTTATGCCTTTTATACAGTTTTTTCGCTGCAATCAGACTTTCTAGAAAGTATGCAGACCATGTCTCTTTTGACCACAGTTGTTTCCCTGAGTTCCTGGTACAAGAGCAGATAAATAGTAAGAACTTAATAATATTATATTTTGGATATAAAATAAGGTTTTAGAAAAAAACTAGCTATCGGCCTGGCACGGTGGCTCATGCCTATAATCCCAGCATTTTGGGAGGCCAAGGCGGGAGGATTACGAGGTCAGGAGATCGAGACCATCCTGGCTAACACAGTGAAACCCTGTCTCTACTAAAAAATACAAAAAAAATTAGCTGGGCGCGGTGGCGGGTGCCTGTAGTCCCAGCTACTCAGGAGGCTGAGGCAGGAGAATGGCGTGAACCTGGGAGGTGGAGCTTGCAGTGAGCTGAGATTGCGCCACTGCACTCTAGCCTGGGAGACAGAGCAAGACTCCAGAAAAAAAAAAAGAAAAAAAAAAAGAAAAAGAAAAAAACTAGCTATTACTTGTCAAGTATATGATCTTACTATTTTATACAAATTTCTGATGTAAACCTCAGCACAACCCTGTGCAGTTAGTACTATTATTATCTCCACTTTACTGATGAGGTAGCTGAAGCACAGAATGGTTACAAACTTACCTAACCTAGCCAGTGGCAGAGCCGAGACTTTAGGTCATCTGATTGCAGGATATCTGTTCTTAACACCATGCAGCACTGCTTTAAAGAACTGTAAGTCATAATTCACTATATAATTCATGGATTCAAAAATATGAGATTTTATGCTTGGTATCTGTTCATTTTCATAACTGCAGAAACATGATAGGTAAGGTACACAGAGACACTAAGATAAAATGTACTTTCTTTGTGAAATTATATCACCCACACTAAGAAAACCTAAAATGTGCCATAAAAAGAAGCAAATTGTTGGTGATAGCATTTGAAATTGTACCTTTTATTTTTATTCAGTCTGGAATATGTTGGAGTAGAAAATGTACCATGAGCAATTTGTTGCCTGAAACACTAAAATGGCTTTCTGGCAAACTAAGATAATACATCTTCTCGTGTAAATTTTATTTGAATGCATAGAATTCTTGCATTTAAACTTAGTAATGCTACATTTTTCCAACTCTGTTAGTGGTGCATTTTTAAGATATATGACTAAAGAATCCAATTATACACCTCAGGGCACAACGAACAGCCAGAAAAGGGCTTTATTTAGAAATGCAGCAGACCTTACTTTTAAACCTCTAAAAGGAAAAAAATAAAGCCACACAATTGAGGATTAATGAACCATATGCAAAATTTAGTGAATAATTTATTTAGCAAAATAGAGTACATGAAAGAGGTATGTGAAAAATTAGCACTGTCATTTCTGGAGTGTTTAATATTGTAGTAAAATTGAAACACAAAAAAAGGATGTACAGTCGGTTATTAAGAGAGAGAATTTTATCAGTGGAGAGTAATGATCCAAACATGCTGATGTGTTTTCGATGGCACAGAGCTGTCATGAACTTCCCCAGGTCTATAGAATATTAAGAAATTCCTAGTAAAAAAGCTCCTTTGTCTAGAAATCAAGTTAAAAATATACACATGTCTTAAAAGACACATGCAGAGAACCTATTAATGTGTGAGAATTTCAATTTTCTGATTTTTAAAATATACATCTTTTCACAAGCACCCTGTATAGTCAGAAATATAAATGTGCCTTGCATTACCAATTAGATGACATCCTGAAAATGTGTCTCAAGAGAACACATTTTTCCCCTTGTTCTATTATAACAGATTTATGTTTAAAATGTAAGAAACAATTCCCTCAAAATACTTCCATGCATGGTTCATCTATTGTCCCAAATAATTCAGCAAAAAAAGAAATCATGGTAGTCAAACATCACTTTTTTGGGGTATACTTATTAAAACAAAGTGAACTTTACTTAAAAAGTACATCAGCCACAGGAACATCAAATATTAAGATTTGCTTGACACTTAAGATGAAAATCAGAAATCTGCTACCCAGAAATCATGAAAATTTGCTTTCACATACTGCCTGATTAAATACTTTATTCGAAAGAAGACAGCTACATAAGTTGTTAGGAATGACTTCCAGACTTAATTTGAACACATTCACAAATATTCCTTGACTATATTATTTGTACCAAGAAATATTCAAGGCTGTGAGTTGAGGAATTTAAAGATTCCTTCCTTCTTTGAGTTTATTCAGTTAAGCAATATGTATTTTGCCTAGGCACTTTTCCAGGACTGAGGATATAGTAGTACATAAGATAAAGTACCTGGCCTCAAATAGTTGGAGTTGGCGAGAAACAAGCAATCAAATAAATAAATATGTATTGGTAACATGAATTTCAGGTGGTGAAAAGTACAACGATGAAAAATACAGCAACTCCATTGGAGAGTGCCAGCGACAGAGGGGTCTCTATTGTAGATGTGACTTGCAGAAAGGACCTCGCTGAGGATGTCATTTTCACTAAGACCCCAGTGAATTTCATGTGTAAGACAAGGGAAAATACACGAGAAAAAAGCGTTGCAACCCTGAGGCAGGAATCTGTTTGGCATGCCTAGGCCCAGCAAGAAGGCCAATGTGACTGGAACAGAATGAGGCAGAAAATGAATAGAAAGTCTGTGAGGTTGGAGAAGTCACTGGGAGCCAGATTATATAGCATAATGGTAAAAATTTTAGATTTTGCTCTAAACGTGATGAAAAGCTGTTGGCAGTTTGACTGTAGGGACTGACTCTGTCTTATGTTTTATGAAATCACTCAGGTTGGAATATATTTTTACGGTAGAGTCAACAGTGCTTGTTGATAAATTGAAGTGAGGTCTGCAAGAAAAGAGGAATCAGGGCTGGTCGCGGTAGCTCACGCCTGTAATCCCAGCACTTTGGGAGGCCAAGGCAGGGGGATCACGAGGTCAGGAGATCGAGACCATCCTGGCTAACACGGTGAAACCCTGTCTGTACTAAAAATACAAAAAAAAAAAAAAAAAATGAGCCAGGTTTTGTGGCGGGCACCTGTAGTCCCAGCTACTCGGGAGGCTGAGGCAGGAGAATGGCGTGAACCCGGGAGGCGGAGCTTGCAGTGAGCCGAGATTGCACCACTGCACTCCAGCCTGGGTGACAGAGCGAGACTCCGTCTCAAAAAAAAAAAAAAAAAAAAAGAGGAATCAAGGGTAATGCCTATGATGTTTTTCTGAGCAACTTGTTGATTCTGAATACATATACTGAGATGGAGAGCACTTCAAGAGTTGCGGCTTTGGTTAAGAAGATCAGGAGTTCATTTGCAATGTACTTAATTTGATTTGCCTATTAGACATTAAAATAGAGATGTATGTCAAGGAAGTAACGATATATCTGGATTTTCTGAGATAGCTACAGATATACATTAGGAAATCGTAAGCATAAGCATGGTATTTAAAGCCTTAATACAGAAGGAAATTTCCCCAGGAAATCAGTGCAGTTAAACAAGGTTTAGAAGTTTGAGATCTCAATGTTCAATGAGAAAGGAATGTGAGGTCATAACAGCTAATGTGGTAGGAAGAGAACTAGGAAAATACTCGTGGATGTTGAAGGTTGTTCTAATTATCTATTGATGCATAACAAATGATCCAAAAATTTAGTAGCATAAAACAATGCCTATTTTATGTGTTTATGATTCTGTGGCTCAGCAATTCAGGCAGGAAGATGTAGGCATGGTTTGTTATGTGTGGAACCTCAGCTGAGGTGGCCCAAATAAGTAAGATGGCTGGGTCACAAATCTAGGGCCTTAGTTCTTCTATACCCAGTCTCTCAGCATATTAGTTTGGACTCCATTACAGCA
Source organism: Homo sapiens (assembly GCF_000001405.40). Lineage (NCBI taxonomy): Eukaryota > Metazoa > Chordata > Mammalia > Primates > Hominidae > Homo > Homo sapiens. Next base: position 153,483,634 of record NC_000003.12, read on the forward strand.
TGGAGCTCTCAGGGTAGTCAAATGCCTTATGGGGGTGGTTTAGGATTCTGAGAGGCCAAAGCAGAAGTTGCCGTTCTCTTAAATGTTGGCCCAAACAGGCACAGAGTCCCTTCTGCCATAACTTACTGGTCAAATCATAATTAACATTCAGCCCATATTTGATTAAAGGAGAAACAGACCACACCTGATCATCTTTAATTTTCCTTGTCCATCTCTCCCACAGTGGTTAACTATTAAAAATTAGTCAGTTTACAGTGCAATCACCAGTAAGATAGCAGTATATACAAAGTAGTTGGGACAGAGAGGGCTGTGTCTGGAGGATTAGGAGAAAGCTTGACAGAAGAGCTTCATTTGGGTTTTAAAGACTAGATGGAGTTTGCTGGATGGAACAGCAGTAGCAGCATGTACAAATGCAAAGCTTCATGGAAGAGTACGCTGTGCTAAGGGAAGGCAAATGTGCCTGCAGTGTGACCAAGCTAGAAAGAAGAAACTTATCCAATAGCCACTGGATGTCATTGGAAAGTTTTACTACAAAATTCCTCCTGTAAGTGTGTGGGATCAATGAGTATGAAAAGAATAGACGTTAAAAAATCATATAGGATCATATTGCAATTACAGTTTGGGAAAAAATTGTCTGCTTAAGTTTTGGTTAGTGGGAATCAATAGGAGGGGAAAGACTTCAGAGGACTCAGCAAATATAGGATGGAATAATGAGTTGCATTTATTTACTTATCCAATCTTTGTTAACACTTCCTAGAAGCCTGGCACTGAATTAGGATTTAGAGAAACAAATATGAATGGTGTGGTTCCTACCCCAGAGGGGCTCACAGTCTTGTGAGTCTGATTTTGCCTCGGGTTTAGAAAGGACTGTGGAACATCTCAGAGCCTCTCAGTAGGAGCAGAAAAGTTACTGGGGAGTACAGATGCATGTATGTGATCTGCAGAAGCTGGTCAGGATCCAACTTGCATTTACTACATTTCCATGGATGTTCAGTTGCCATCTTCTGCCTACTCCTGAGCTTTCATCCAAGAGAAATCAGTGTTTGCTTTACAAGGTAAAACATTGATTTAGCCTTCAGCCTAGACATTCTCTGCTTATTGAGCCCCATAGGCAACTTCATATCTACACTTTCATCCTGTCTCTTTCAACTCTACTCTTTAAAAAAAGAACTTTCCTATTAAACACTCTTATTCTGAACAATCTCTAGCTTTTTACTTTTCTAGCCAAACTGTTTTCAAAATACCTGCTATTTCTTATAGACTTATAAAGTTTTTAACCCTTTTGAAATTATATTGAACTGGTCCTACCTTTTGATGTATTTAGTTTAGCAAGTATCAGGGACAGTTTTAAACTGATGCTTCAGTTTGTGGCTTTGTTATAGACGGAAGACTTGTGGCTGAAAATAGGGCTAAATCATACTTCCTGAAGTTGCTTATTTTAGAGTCTCTAGAATCAGGTAGGCATGGATTTGATTCTCAGTTCTTAGTAACTACATGACCTTGAACGAATTAATTCATCTCTCAAAGTCCAAGTCTCCTCAATCTTAAAACGGGTCTAATATGTCTAATACATGAGATGGTGTTTGGCTATAATGTGCAAGATACCAAAGATATAATAAGGTACAAAAACAGACACAGTCCTGGGAATACCCAACACCTAGATTTAATGTGTTAATATTTTACTAATTGTTTTTCGGATTTTTTTTTTTTTTTTTTTTTGAGACAGAGTCTCACTCTGTCACCCAGGCTGGAGTGCGGTGGCATGATCTCGGCTCACTGCTAGCTCTGCCTCCCGGGATCACGCCGTTCTCCTGCCTCAGCCTCCTGAGTAGCTGGGACTACAGGCGTGTGCCACCACGCTCTGCTAATTTTTTGTATTTTTAGTAGAGACGGGGTTTCACCGCGTTAGGCAGGATGGTCTGGATCTCCTGACCTTGTGATCTGCCAGCCTCAGCCTCCCAAAGTGCTGGGATTACAGGCGTGACAGATTTTTTTTTAAATAAATAAATGATATATATCAAGTGAACAATGTTTTTGAAACTTAATCGTCATTACTTGTAAATCGATTTCACTAATTTTAACTATTGCCAAGTATTTGATTTTATAAATGAAACAAATATGCAATCATTTATTTATCCATTCTTCCTATAATAGACATTAATGTTTCCATTTTTATATTACCAAAAATTCTGCAATAAATATTTCACACGTCTATGTGCTCACACATATTTATCTTGTTCTTTCTCCCTGTATATATATCTAAATGTTGATGAAGATTCTTTTTAGTTTTAAAAATACATATCAGAGTGCCTTTGCATTTCTCTCTGTGGACAATCATAATATCTAGAAGTAATGACATTTTTTTTTCATTTCTTTGACAGACTTCCGGTTGTCTAACCCAAATGCCAATTTTATATGGGCACCCTGCCACTCTTCTAAAAGACTACATTTTGCAGGCAATTTTGCAACCAGGTAACTTCATTCTGGTCAACGAGATTTAAGCAAAGTGTTTTGTGGGACTTTAGGAAAGCCTCCTTAAATGGGAAAAGGTGAGCTTTTCTTCCTCACTACTTCCTTCCTAAAATTGCCTAGAATGAAAATGCAATGTCTGGGAGTTTACCTTGAACATAAGGCCATATGCAAAACTCGTAGAGCAACAAGATAGAAGTATGGGTCCCTGAACACTGTGAAGCTGCCACATCAATCCAGCCTCTGGATTCTCATTCTCTTTCTCTCTCTTTTCTTTTCTTTTTTTTTTCCTTTTCTTTCTTTCTTCTTTTTCTTTCTTTCTCTCTCTCTCTTTCTTTTTTTTGTGAAAGTTCTATCTTATTTAAGTTATTATCATTTAAGATTTTTCTGTATATACAGCTGAAATCCTAATGTATACACTTTCCATTTCTTGTATCTCTTATCTTTTCCTTGAGCTATTGTGTTATCTTTGACCTCCAGGAAAATACTGAATAATGGTGTTCATTGCAGCCCTCCTTCTATTATTCTTACCTAGAATAGAAATGAATCAAAATCTTCTTCATTAAGTGTGGTATTTGAGTTTTTGATATTAGAGTTTTTGTAGATATGTTTTATTATTAAGGGAGAAGAAAATAAAAAGTACATCTTATCTATCTGTCATCGTTATACTTTTATCTTAGTTAAAATCAGAGAAGTAGCCATTAACTACTAGTAGATAGTTGCATACATTAGATCTAACCATATATAAGCTTTTAAAGGCTGTTGCTCTTTTAAAATATTTCTCTTTATTTTTAATGTACAACAGGGACATTTATAATCCAGATATAGTCTATATGTACATGTAGCAAAATAAATCTTATAATAATAAGATTATAACAAAATAATATAGCATACTAGTGAAATAGCCACAATTAAAATTCCCATGTCAGGTTGGGCGCGGTGGTTCAAGCCTGTAATCCCAGCACTTTGGGAGGCCGAGGGGGGGCAGATCATGAGGTCAGGAGATCCAGACCATCCTGCCTAACCCGGTGAAACCCCGTCTCTACTAAAAATACAAAAAAAATTATGGTGGCGGGCGCCTGTAGTCCCAGCTACTCAGGAGGCTGAGGTAGGAGAATGGCGTGAACCTGGGAGGCAGAGCTTGCAGTGAGCCGAGATCGTGCCACTGCACTGCAGCCTGGGCGACAGAGCGAGACTCTGTCTCAAAAAAAAAAAAAAAAGAAAAAAATTCCCATGTCAGAGAATTCCTAGTATTACTTTGCAATTGACTTTGTTTGTTTGTTTGTTTGTTTGTTTTTTGTTTGCCTGGCATTACTACAGACAGAAGAAACAAACTTTATCTGATGAACGAAAGATTCTTTTTGGTTCGGCATTCAATTTTTAATGATAGATTTCTGAACTTTGCTTTTAAAAAAGTAGGCTGAATAACTGAACACAAATAAATAACAAAAATTTCCAATCACATGGTACCTATAAAGAAGGTGCTGCCTTTATTTTAAAGAAAGGGAAACATTTATTAAAGACTTTTCAGAAGAAATAAAGAATAAGGAGGAACAGAATATCAAAACTTCAAAAGATGGATCAATAGGAAAGATTTATATTTTGATCTTTCCAAAATATTTGCTTGTTATATATACTGCAAAGTAACATCTATCTTTTATTTCTTTTTAGAAGCCAAACACCTGTTAAATGTTATATACATACTCTAACATTTACTTTTAATGCATGTGCAAATACTTCACAATCTCCTTCTCTTAAAATCCAACAAAGCGCCTGCCCACCCAGGTCTTTTCTATAGCATTTTAAACACACATCTGAAGTTGTTGGCCATATGTGCTGGAACTCTAACTGCTGCATTGATTTGAAGACATAGACAAGATTTGGATTAGCTACCCAATTTAGATTTTGACAATTGTATGATCTATGTGCTGAATAGAACCTCAAACCACAAAGGATTTGCAGTAATGACTCCATCAAAATATTCAGGTTTATAGAAATAGTACCAGTATACAAGTTTATTTTTGCTCTTAAATATAGTAATATGGGAATGCATACTGTTTCAAGTCAGCTGGATCTTTTATGTTGTGTTCATGTTTCTCATCTCTTGATTCAACTACTTAGAATATAGCCTAAAGGAAGCAGATGGTAAGTGAGTGAATAAAGACCTGAATTCTAGTTCCATAATTATTTAGCTAAGTCCCAGAGATTGGTTGGTAGAGTAGGCTTTTTTTTTTTTCTCCCAGAGATAGTATATATGAATCCTCTCCAAGGTTGCTAATACTAATGATAATCTTCACTATACAACTCTGTTTAAACAAAGCGCATATTTCTGGAAAAATTACCAGGGTATTTTTGTCATTTTGCAATGAAAATAAATAAGATCATTCCACTTCCACAATTGAAAGGATGTCAGAGGTTATGAGGAAAGTCAAACAGAAGTTTGAAATTTTATTTCAAGAATTACCATATAGTAATTTTTAGTCAATCCATACTCTCAGATGACTTGTGGCACCTGTTTATATCAACCAAGGTAGAGCAGATGGAGTTACTACAGGTGAGGCTGAATTTGGGAAACAGGAAAATGCCACAAGATTTATGCACTGACAGATCTGAAATTGAATCATATGAAATTTCAATATTTGAGTTTCTGACTTTCAAAATGACAATTTCATTTTGTTTAACCCAACATTAATGGCTAATATTTATTAAGCAGTAAGGGTTTTATATGTATTCAATCACTTATTCCTCACAGCTATGCAGTGTGGCAGTAATTATAGTAACCCTTCCCATTTGAGAGATGATAAAATGAGCCACAAAGGGGTCAGAAATTTCCCTTAGGTCACACAGCTAGTAAGTCTTAGAGCTGGGTTTAGGATCCAGGTGCTCTGTGTTTGATGCCCAGGCTCTTTACCTGCACTACACTAGTTATATATTTAGCCCACAGAATATAAATAAAGTCAAATTCATATTCCAGTTCTGGATTGCAAAATGCCCCAAATTTCTATCCATTGACCTAAAGGTAAAGCTAAATTCTAGACCCATGTATATGACTTCCTCTTGGACAGCTTCACCCGTATGTACTTCAGATTTTTTCCACTCAACATCTCCAAAAAAAAACCTTAATTCTCTTTCTCCACACTGCTCAGTAGCCCATGCCAGAATTTTACGTTTTTCCTGGACTCCTCCTTAATTTCAAGTTCATTCAGTTACTAGGTTCAGTCATATCTATTTCCTTATCTCTTTCATACCTACCTTCTTCCCTCCACCTCTACAACCAGAATTTCTCACCTGGACAACTATAATAGGCTTCTATTTTTCTGCCTATATCGACCATTGGTCTGCCTCAGTTCAATAATCCATCAGTCACTGCGTGAATTTTTGAACATGTAAATCTGATCATGTTATACTCCCTCTTTCCTGCTGGATAATTTGTATATAACTTATATTATTTTGCAACTCTTCACTGGTTTTTCCCATTCCTACTAGTCTCAAGTTCCATGCAGGGAGTATTAGCCTATTACATTTTGTAGTCACATTAATATATGTATAATAGTGCTATGTTAAATGTGTGTAAATTGTGATTTATAATCAATTTCCTTATGTAATTGAGGTGCTTGTCACTTACATTAAAGTGTTCATTTCAATTTCTCAAATTATTTGCTTTGCATTTTTCTACTTTAAAAGTATTTCAGGTCATTTCTAGGTACATTACAGAGCATGAAATGGTGCCACAGGGCTTATAATTGGCCTAAGGCTTCACTTTGCAATTGAGCAGATCAACCTTCTATGACTTATTAATTCTTACTTCTACTATAAACTGATATTTTTAAGGCTATTGGCATAACATTTTTATATTAACCCCAGTTCTTGTGGGGTTAGACTTTCATTTCTTCAGAAAGGACAGATTAAACAAAATGAAGTCAATTTCTTCACAATTTCCTACATGTAGATATCATCGGCATATTGAGCATTTTGCTCATGTGTTCCGATGCACATATTCACAATTGCATTTGTTATCTACTTACTCCTCACTAGAGATAAATAACCTATTTGATTGGAGTGTGCCAGTATGTTGTGATTTGTCATGTAAAACCTAATTTTTAATTAAATGTAATTTTACTTTTTCATTGTGTTGGTTTGTAATATTCCTTATAGCAGAAACTAAGATGAGTAAGCTGACTATGCTTGGGGTCCTTGGGGTGTTCTATAATGTTTAGATCCTTTTGGTTAAATTTCATGAGAATTAGAGGTAATGTGGCATTGGAGGAGGATGGCATTGCTGTGTCGGCAATTAATAAGAAACAGAATAGAGACTGGTCTGGCTTCTTTCTTAAAAAATCCCAGGAAAATATACAGCACCAGAGCTTTTACTAATGGGTAGGCCTGGTTCTACTAGACAAAGAACATAAGTATCACCCTTCTTCCTCTATAATAATTTAGAACGGGTTCATCCAGGTCCCATTTGCATCTCCTTGTCCTTTCTCACTGCCAGTATCATATCTGAGTTACTCATAACCACATGAAAAAACATTTTGCTACCCTTCCCACCATATTGAGTTGCAAGTGACTTCTAGACTATCTCAGGCTGTCTGATTGGACACTCCACAGCAATTACTCCTGTTTGCCTGGGCTTAAGGGAATGCTGTGAGGCCAGCCCTAACCCTGGGGTGCACTTGGAAAGTGAGACAAAGTTATTCTGAGACGTCCATCACCTCTACATCACTAGTCCTGCAGTCTGCCTGTAGATGGGGGACAAGGAATAGATTCCTTTCTGACCAATATCTAACTCTTGTGTTTTTCCCTCTCTTTTCTTTTAACCCTTTATTTAGCATGCTTTATTTAGTCTCAGGGACAGCAAAAACAGGCTTGAGCTAGTCATATATTCTAGATCATCTTCCCTTATGCCTGGTCCCTGGCTTTTTATTTTCAAAAGTCAGTAATTTAAGAAATAAAAGGTATCCAAATTGAAAAGGAGGAAGTCAAATTGTCTCTGTTTGCAGATTACATTATCTTATATACAGAAAAACCTAAAGACCCCACCCAAAACTCTTAGAACTAATAAATTCAGTAAAGTTGCAGGATACAAAAGTAATATAGAAATCAGTAGCATTTTTATACATAATCAACAAACTAGCTGAAAAAGAAATCAAGAAGTCAATCACATTTACAATAGCTACAAAAATACCTAGGAATAAATTTAATCAAGGATGTGAAAGACTTCTATAAGAAAAACTGAAAAACACTGATGAAAGAAATTGAAGAGGATACAAACAAATGGGAAGACATCCCATGCTCACGGATCAGACAAATTAATATTGTAAAAATGATAATACCATCCAAAGCAATCTACAGATTCAACGCAATCCCTGTCAAAATACCAATGGCCTTTTTCTAAAATTTGTATGGAGCTGCAAAAGACCAGGACTAGCCAAAGTAATCCTGAGCAAAAAGAACAAAGCTGGAAGTATCACTACCAGACCTCAGAATATACTACAAAGCTGTAGTAACCAAAATAGCATAGTATCGGCATAAAAACACACACATAGACCAATGGAACAGAATAAAGACCACAGAACACATAGACCAATGGAACAGAATAGAGAAATTAATTCACACATCTATAGCTAAATGATTTTTGACAAAGGCAAGAACACTCATTGGAGAAAGAATAATCTATTCGATAAATGGTGTTGGCAAAATTGAAATTCATGTGCCAAAGAATGAAAGTAAACTCCCAGCCCTCACTCTGTACAAAAATCAACTCAAAATAGATAAAAGGTCCAAGTGTAAAACTTGAAGCTATAAAACTGCTTGAGGAAAACAGAGAAACTTCTTCAGGACATTGGTCTGGGAAGATATTTTATGTTAAGGCCTCAAAAACTAGGCTGGGCGTGGTGGCTTACGTCTGTAATCCTAGCACTTGGGGAGGCTGAGGAGGGTAGATCACCTGAGGTCAGGAGTTTGAGACTAGCCTGGCCAACATGGTGAAACCCCATCTCTACTACAAACACAAAAATTAGCTGGGCATGGTGGCACACGCCTGTAGTCCCAGCTACTCAAGAGGCTGAGGCAGGAGAATCACTTGAACCTGGGAGGTGGAGCTTGCAGTGAGTGGAGATTGTGCCACTGCACTTCACTCCTGGGCAGCAGAGCGAGACTCTGTCTCAAAAAAAAAAAAAAAAGAAAAAAAGGAAAAAAAAAAAAGAAAAAACAAAAACCCACAGGTAACAACAACAAAAATAAACACACGAGATTATATCAAGCTAAAAAGGCTCTGCACAGCAGCAAAGGAAACAATTAACAGAGTGAAAAGACAGTCTACAGAATGGGATAAAATATTTGCAAACTACTCATTCATGGGGTATTGATATCCAGAATATTCAAGGAATTCAAACATCTCAACAGCAAAAATAACAATCAGTTTAAAAAATGGGTAAATAATTTGAACAGACATTTCTCAAAAGACATACAAATGGCCAACAAATATATGAAACAATGCTCATCAGAGAAATGTAAATCAAAACCCCAATGAGGTATCTTCTTATGCCAGTTAGGATGGCCTATTAGCAAAAAGACAAAAATAACAAATGCTAACAAGAATGTGGAGAAAAAGAAACTCTTACATACTGTTGTTGGGAATGCAAACTAGTACAGCCACTATGAAGAACAGTTTGAAGTTTCCTGAAAAAACTACAATAGGACTGCCTATGACCCAGGAATCCCACTATTGGGAATCTATCCAGAGAAAAGGAAATCATTGTTTTGGAGAGACATCTGCACCCCCACATTTATTGCAGCACTATTCACAATAGCCAAGATGTGGAATCAACCTAGGTCTCCGTCAACAGATAAATGAATAAAGAAAATACACCATACATATCTGATGAAGTACTATTCAGACATAAAACACAATGAAAACCTGTCATTTGTGGCAACATGGATGGGCTGGAGAACATTATGTTAAATGAAATAAGCCAGAAAAAGAAAGTTAAACATTGCATGTTCTTGTTCATATGTGGAAGTTAAAAAAAGTTGGTCTCATAAAAGTAAAAACTAGAACAGAGAGTACCAGAGGCTGTGAAGGGTAGAAGGAAGGGAAGAATAGGGGGAAATTTGTTAAAGGATAGAAAATTATAGCTAGATAAAGGGAATAAATTCTACTTCTATACCACTGTAAGATGTCTATATTCAAAACTAATATATAGTTTCCAATAGCTATAAGGAGGATATTGAACATTCTAATCCAAAGAATAATGAATACTTGAGATGATGAATATGCTAATTATCCTAATCATATTGTATTAGGGTTCTCTAGAGGGATAGAATAGGGTAGGTATATGAAGGATATACCCTATCTCTAATATGTACCCTATCTCTAATAGAGTAGATATATAAAGGAGTTTATTATAAAATATGAACTTATATGATCACAAAGTCCCACAATAGGCTGTCTGCAAGCTTGAGGAGCAGGAGTGCCAGTCCAAGTCTTAAAATTGAAGAATTCGGAGTCTGATGTTCGAGGGCAGAAAGCATCCAGCAAGGGAGAAAGATGTAGGCTGGGAGGCTGGGCCAGTCTTGCATTTTCATGTTTTTCTGCCTGCTTTATATTTGGTGGCAGCTGATTAGATTGTGCCCACCAGATTAAGGGTGGGTCTGCCTTCCCCAGCCCACTGACTCAAATGTTAATCTCCTTTGGCAACATCCTCACAGACACACCCAGGAACAATACTTGCATCCTTCAATCCAATGAAGTTGACACTCAGTATTACCCATCACATCACTGTCCATTCTATGTATTGAAACATCACTACGAACTCCTTGAGTATGTGCAATTATTATTTGTCAATTAAAAATACAAATTTTAAAAAATGTCAAGAATTTGCCTTACCTGCCATTGTTTCCGTTGTGTCATCCCTTCCCAGAGGAGAATAAGTACTGAATATTCTTACTGTTTATTACTGCTTAAAGGAGGAAATGTAGTTAAAAATATAGAGAAAAAAAGTAGTTACTATATCAAAAGGTTTTTGCACTACATGCAATTTTATTTTGGTTGTTTTATCATAGTTTTAATCTTACTTAGTCATTGCTATAGTAAAAACTCAATTCTGGTTAATTAAAGTTAATATTTTTAGTATTAGCAAAAAATTACAAGAACAAATTTTAAAATATTTAGCCTTTTTACAACCCCAGTGTCAGAATTACACTGTACCTGGAATAGGCTTCCAATATGTGTTTCAATTGGTTTATGTTATATATGTATTTTTTTATATAGTAAGTAAAAATCATTTGTAATTAGGATACGAATGAACCAGGCTATGTAGGCGCCTAACATTATGCATATATTTAAATTACACTTTATTACTCATTTGCTTTAACAAGTTAAATCTAGCAGTGTCATTCTTTTAATGTGTGCCTTTTAAACTAATGAGAATTTATTTCACTATGCTGTAGAATAAAATGTCAAATAAGGAGAAGCCACAGATATTTATTTTATTTATGGGTCATAGCATTCTCAAAAACTATATCTAGAAATTAAAAAGTTGAAATAGAAAAAAAAAACCTTAAGCAAAAAGAGTTTAAGAAGTGCTAGATCAGGAACAGAAAACCAAACATCACATGTTCTCCCTCCTAAGTGTGAATTCTCACTCACTGGGAGGGACACAGGGAGGGGAACATCACACACTGGGGCCAGTTGGGGGTGGGGGCAAGGGGAGGGAGAGTATTAGGACAAATACCTAATGCATGTGGGACTTAAAACCTAGATGACAGGTTGATGGGTGCAGCAAATCACCATGGCACACGTATACCTATATAACAAACGTGCATGTTCTGCACATGTATCCCAGAACTTAAAGTATAATTAAAAAAAAAAAAAAAAAAAGAAGTGCTAGATCCTTTCAGCTGGTTTCTGAAACCAGCTACCAAAGATATTTGGTGTACTTTTATTCCTGTCACTTCTAGCAAAGATTATGGAAAAACAAATAATTTGTAAATGCTGAGAATTGTACTCACTTCAGAGGATTATTGTAAGAATTAGTTGAGAAACCCAGAGCCTGGCACATGATAAATTCTCAATAAATGCATAATAAATATGTTCCTGATGGCATCTGGGAGGAAACTGTATCAGAAAAAGGACAAAACTGTTCCTGATCCTGTACAGAAAGTAAGACCTCCTGGACTGTGATGTCTGTAGAGGGTTAGGTGCCAGGGTTCACAGAGCACATCGCTTTAATGGGAAGGGAAGCTCATTCAGGGAGAACAAGGAGAGTTAGGACAGGTGCCGAGACTCTAATAGGATGGGGAATGCAGAGGATTGTGAACACAGGCAGGAGACCTTTGACCTGCCAGAGAACAGCCAAGGTGTGCAAAACATGAAGCAACTTCCAAAAAGTGAAGATTCACAGGCAAGAGAAAGAGAAAGAATAAAGGGAAAGTACACTTAGAGGATATTGTAGGAAGGGCAGCAAAGCTCTAGCAATAAGACAGTAAGACACTGAGTAAATGACAGGTTTCCAGCTGAGCTCTTCCTTCTATAGAAGCAGAAACAGATCAAGAGCAAGACCCAGACACTGACAAGAAAATATCTAGCTGTTAAAATCCACTTAGGATTAGGTATCAAAATTAAAATAGATATGGTACTTTTTAAAAAGGCATTAATGCATATTATATAATTATACTGTATGATTATTCTTAAGTGCACATTTATCTTTCTTATTAAAGTTTCAGTTAAGAATTCTGAGAAATGATTATATTTTTATAAACCATCTGGTTTAGCTGTAGGCAAACTCGGGGAAAAATATGTCTGATGAGGTTAATCTTTTTCATTTCCCAACAAATCAGAACAAAGGCTGAGGAGAAGGAGGAATGTTCAGAATTGAAACAATGAACGTAAATGTATTTAAATATTTGTATATAAAATTTTTGACATTTAAACATTACCTGAGAACCATTTTTCTTCACCACAATTATGTTAAATCTTCCATCATTTTATATATGATCAAATGTGATATGATATTAAGTCACTATTTTGAGGTAATTAGTTAGTACATTTAAGACCACAGTCATTTGGGGAGCTAACAGTGGGGGACTTCATAAACTAAGGTCCTTGAACTGTATTTCCATGAAGAATGTGGAGAATGATTAATTGAAGACCACCACACACATGCAATAATACAGTTCTCCCTCATTCTCTGCCTCCTTGTTTTTACATCTTCTGTCTCATTTTCTCTTCACTCTGTATGATTCTAACCCCTTCTCTCCCTGATATCACTTAATATTTACTGCTTTTCTTTCCAAAAAAGTACACTAAAGAGAAAAAAAGTACACTAAAGAGAAAAAAAGTCAAATGTTGTAGAATCATCAATTCTTTGTTTAATGGTATCAAGGCTCTGTTTAATGGTATTATTGAAATTTAAAGAAGTAACTTAATTTAGGTTCAATTTAAATTGTTTACTTGTCTTGGATTCTTATTAGCACCTCTTTTTTTTTTTTTTTTTTTCTGAGATGGTGTCTGGCTCTGTCATCCAGGATGGAGTGTAGTCGTGCAATCTCGGCTCACTGCAACTTCTGCCTCCTGGGTTCAAGTGATTCTCCTGCCTCAGACTCCTGAGTAGCTGGGACAGGCACCAGGCACCATGCCTGGCTAATTTCTGTATTTTAGTAGAGATGGTGTTTCACCATGTTGGTCAGGCTGGTCTTGAAATCCTGACCTCAAGTGATTCACCTGCCTTGGCCTCCCAAAGTGCTGGAATTACAGGCATGAGCCACAGTGCCTGGCCTTATTCTTACACATGTAACTGATTATTTAATAACATTTAATTTCTGGCTTTTCTAATTCAACCTCAGAATGAAAGGCATTAATTTAGCAGTGGACCAGTAGCTGTGCACAGAGCAAAGTCCTTGTCCTTATAGAGTGCATATTATAGAAGGGGATGTAGAAAAAAATTAGAGAAATATAAGATATAATTTTAGGTACTGATGGGTGTTATAAGAAGAAATATAGAAAGAGTATGAATTGAGAAAATGATGAGCAGGAACTTGTTTTAGACAGAGGTGGTGTATGAAAGTGAACAAGAAAGGGAAGAATGTAGAGTTCAAAAGGACATAGCTCATGGAGAGCCTTAGAAGTCTTGGTGAGGATTTTATCCTGCGTTTGATGAGAATCCATTGGAGGGAAAATGTCAGAAGATTGATAATATGATTTACACTTAAAAAGAATTGCTTTGGCTTCTGTAGCAATATGAAGATGAACATCAAAGAGGAGACGAGTCAAGATTATGCAGCAGTTAGAAGAGGAAGGGATGGGAAATGGTCAGGTTTGAGCTATGTTTAGAAGTAGAGATGATGGTATTTGATGATGATATTTGGACACTAGATGATTAGTTTAGCACTTAAAGTTATAAAAATCTTAAATAAGTTTTTGTTTAATAGAGGGCATAGCTCTCATCCTCCCATATAAATGCAGTCTGCCTGACCCATCTTCTACATGGTACCACATGCAAAGAAATGTAACATTCTAATAAATGCACCGTAAGAAATTCAAAGTTTTCTTGAGTTCTCTTGGAAAGTAACATGACCAGTTATCTTAACATCCCCTTTCACCACCTCCTTTTCCTTCTGATTCTTATGTGGCTCAGTAGCCACACCACATTCTCCCTCCTCCCTCTCCCCTCAGCTCTCGCTGAGTTCAATCAGCATCAACTCATCTCTCTCTCTTCCTCTCCTCCTGTCCGTTGAGGGTCTCTCCTTCTACCTATTTTGACTTGAAACACTCTTGGCTTCCTCAAAGATGAAGTGAGGTGCTGCTTTGGATGTCTTAGATTACTCTTCCCTGCCCACTACCCGCTCAGCACAGTGGAAGCCAGGCCAGCAGCCACCACGTCAGCAAGGCCTCCTAAGCCTCAAAGGTCAGGGAATGAGGGGAAGGGTTTGAGACTCATACACTAATACCTGTTGTCTCTTCTACGCTTATTATTAGCTAAGAGCCAGAAAGCACAGGTCTAAAACACCTGGAAATCAGTTTAACTTAAATTTGAACTAGAAATGTCAATAGGACATTTTGAGAAGCAATATCTAAAAGTAATCATCTTGCTTTAAATACTTACTTGTATTCATAAATAATTGTTTTACAAATCAAACAATTATTCTTACGGCATAAAATACATCATGTGTCATTTAGGTATGCAATGTTTTAAACTTTCAACCAATTTAGGAATCATTATTTTAAAATCTCTAATTTGCGGGGACTTGACTCTTCCTTATTTTGATAATTCTATTTGTTGGTTTTTATATTAACTTTTCTAAATTTATTTTTATTCACTCAACTATTGTAAAATATGATTGGGCAAGGCTCAGTGGCTCATGCCTGTAATCCCAGCACTTTGGGAGGCCGAGGCAGGTGGATCACCTGAAGTCAGGAGTTTGAGATCAGCCTGGCCAACATGGTAAAACCCCATCTCTACTAAAAACACAAAAACTAGCCAGGCGTGGTGGTGTGTGCCTGTAATCCCAGCTGCTTGGGAGGCTGAGGCAGGAGCATCGCTTGAATCCAGGAGGTGGAGGTTGCAGTGAGCCAAGATCGTGCCATTGCACTCCAGCCTAGGCAACAAGAGCAAAACTCTGTCTCAAAAAAAAAAAAAAAAAAAAAATATATATATATATATATATATATATATAATGCCAGTTGATTAGTATTTGCAAATACAAATGTAATTCTTTGCTTATAAAATTTTGTACAGCTATGCTTTGGTGAGACATATGTTTAATACCAAATAGAGCAAAAGAACTATTAAATAAGATATATCTTTGTGAATGTTTTAATGAGTTATATAGTAATAATTTCTATTCCCTATAATATACTCAAAATTGCTTATAGCACATTACATACAGTATTATGATTATGATTTTTTTTTTTGAGGCAGGGTCTTGCTCTGTCACTCAGGCTGCAGTGCAGTGTTACAATCTCAGATCACTGCAACCTCCGCCTTCCAGGTTCAAGTGATTCTCATGCCTCAGCCTCCAGAGTAGCTGGAAATACAGGCCAATGCCATCACCCCTGGATAATTTTTATATTTTTAGTAGAGACAGGGTTCTACCATGTTGGTCAGGCTGGTCTTGAACTCCTGACCTCAAGTTATCTTCCTACCTTGGCCTCCCAAAGCACTGGGCTTACAGGTGTGAGCTACTGCACCTGGCCTGATTGTGACTTTAAAACCTCTTATTTTGAAAAAGAAAAGTTATCTGAACAAGGTCTTTTTTTCCCCCTCTATTTTCATTTTTTTTTTCAGCTATATAACCTCTTATTGTGAGCTTGCTAAATACTGTCCTATATGAATACATACATAAGTATGTATTTAAACTAGACATGCGGTTTCTGGCTCTTGGATAATAATAAATACAGGAGAGGCAACAGGTTTCAGTGTATGAGTCTCCAAGCCTGCCCCTTATTCCCTGACTTTTGAGGCTAAGGTGGCCTTGCCGCTGCAGTGGCTGCTGGATTGGCCTCCGCTGTGCTGAGTGGGTGGTGAGTGGGCAGAGAAGAGAAATCAAAGACACCTAGAGCAGCACCTTAATTCACCTTAAATATATAAGAAGGCCTTTTTTGAGACACAAATGAAACATAATTGCTTCTCGTACTTAATGTTTTGTCATTAACATTTTCCTCTGTCAATAACATCTATTTTAAAATAGAATGCTTTTGGAAAGTGAGAATTCTGAAGAATTCAAAAAAGGATATTGTGCTCCCAAGCAATTCAAGAGAGGGTAATGTACTAAATTAGACTACAGGGACAGGGAAGTTTCACTAACGAGGTATCTGAACTGAGAAGCTATGATGGTCAATTTTGTGTCAACTTGACTGGGCCATGGGATGCCCAGACATTTGATCAAACATTATTCTTGGAGAGTCTGTGAAGGTTATCCTGGATGAGATTAACTTTTGAATTGGTAGACTGAGTATAGAAGATTGCCCTCCTTAATGTGAACGTGCCTCATCCGATCAACTGAAGAAGTGAATAGAACAAAAAGGCTAAGTACAAGAGAACTTCTCTTGCCTGACGGGGTGAGCTGAAACATCAATCTTCTCCTATCTTTAAACTCATTGACTGAATAACTGCCTCTTTTTGGGTCTCAACCCTACCACTTCTTAGATTGGAACTAGTACTGTTGGCTCTCCTAGTTTTCATACCTTTGGACTCAACCTAGAACCCATACCATTTGGCTCTCCTTGGCCTCCAATTTGCCTACTGCAGATCTTCTAACTTTCTAGCTTCCTAAATCACATGAGCCTTTTTTTTTTCTTTTTTTTTTTTAAAGACGGAGTCTCACTTTGTCGCCCAGGCTGGAGTGTAGCGGCGTGATCTCGGCTCACTGCAACCTCCACCTCCTGGGTTCAAGCAATTCTCCGGCCTCAGTGTCCCGAGTAGCTGGGACTACAGGTGCCCACCACCATGCCCCAGCTAAATTTTGTATTTTTAGTAGAGATGGGGTTTCACCATGTTGGCCAGGCTGGTCTGGTACTCCTGACCTCAGGTGACCCACTCCCTTTGGCCTCCCAAAATGCTGAGATTACAGGCGTGAGCCATCGCACCCAGCCGCCAATTTCTTATAATATAAGTATTTTACATGTATAAAATAAAGATATATGTGTGATCTGTATCTATATATTTAATATCAAATATGTACATACTCTATAAGAAGCAGCAAAATAGAATTATAATTCATTTCCCCTCTCTTATTTTTGTGTTCTCATTTATATGTGGTATGCTGATCAAAACTACTGCTTCAGTTTGATTTACAGTGAAAACATAACAATTTGATAAACATACAATCTGTTTTTAAAAATTGTGAATGATCATTTAAAAAAGGTAGATTTCATTTTTCTTACGTATTACTTAAAATGCAAGGAATTACTTTCACCAACAGAGCCTACAAAGGTACTAATTGATTTGTAGGACTGGTTAAGTGCAGGAGAGAGGCATTTTCTTGGGTAGATGCTTACGAATTCTTTTTGTATAGTATGTTTTATAAGAAAAAATATCTTAAAGGCACTGAGGATATCATATTTGACACACATTCAATAAAATCTATGCAGAGTAAGAATCTGATATAATGGGCTCACTTTATGTTTTTATCAGAATTTATTTATTGAATAAATATTTATTAAGCATCAACTACATGCCAGCTCTGTTCTTTATGCTGGAGATAGAAAAAAGAACAATGTAGGCAATGTTCCTGCCTTCTAGAAGGGGGTATTCTACTACAGGGACAGATAATCAACAAATAAGCAATGCAAACAAATTAGTATATGATATATAAACTATATATATGTATATATATCTCAAATGATTACGATTAGTGTCCACAGGGAAACAAGTAGGGTGCTGCTGTGATAGAGAATAATGGAAGAAACATGACTAGAAAGGGCCTATCTGAGGAAGAAACGTTTATAATCATGATGATCTTTTCTAATAGCACAATGTCTATAGTTTTCATCTTTTTCCTCCCATTGATATTACTGATCTGGAGAATGATTTATTTTAACATGCCAAGGATTTTTTGTTTGGATTCAGGGGGACGGATGCAGGGTTGTTATATGGTATACTGTGTGATGCTAAGGTTTGGGTTACGGATTGTTTAGAGAGTGATTTAATAATACTTTTCATATGGATTCTATTTCAATATATGTTTCTCAATTTCTTAACTTTAAGTCACAAATATATTTCATAATCCAAGCCCTTTTAGTTCAGACTTTCATATTATAGAACTTTTACAACTTAATTTATTGGTGAAGCCAATATTTACCCTGTATGTCTTAATGTGATTAATTTTAATTTGTATCAATTATTGGCATACATTTGTGATTTGCTTTGTTTCCCCTGCTAGATTGTTGGCTCTATGAGGCAGGAAACATATCTAGCTCCAGTGTCCAGAATAGGGGTTTATACATAAAAAGGAGTTAAATATTTTTTGAAGGAATTGCCTAAATTTCTATGATGAATATTAACAGAATGATCTAATCATTATTACACTTATTTTTTTTTTTTTCCAGATAGGGCCTGACTTTGCAGATGTTAAATTCTTTCTACTCTTGACTTACAATCTTAACTCCCTCTTTGTAAATGTGAAGGCTAGGAACTTTAGGGAGAAAAATCAGCAACAAGAAAAATTTCTGTGATCTTTCCCATGCCAAAGGGTTGGTGATGAAGAAAAGCTATTTCTGAGGATTGAGTATGCATAATCTGTGCTTGGCTTTCTCTGCTCCCTTTGATATTCTATTGAAAGTCCCTCTTTTATTAAACAGGAAAGAAGATTCAAGGAGGAACTGAAATACAGAGAGGCTCCTTTGCAAACCAGTATCAAACAGATGCCAGTCACTTG
The DNA here is from genome assembly GCF_000001405.40 of Homo sapiens. NCBI lineage: Eukaryota > Metazoa > Chordata > Mammalia > Primates > Hominidae > Homo > Homo sapiens. The sequence continues at coordinate 153,502,480 of NC_000003.12, forward strand.
TAACATCTGCCCTACCATTGGAATAACATAATGAGAGGCCTGGGCAACCCAGAGAGAAGTGTAAATGACATCAGTTACTAATAAGAACACTGCTGAATTTTGAAAAACTTTTGCATGCTTTAATTTCTCCATATTTTAAGTAATTATACTAATTATGAGAGTGCTGTGTATTATTAGTTGTTTGGTCACAAATAAAAACAAAATTCATTTCAAATATATATCTGACTTTACTGCTTTCCTATAGAGAATTGCTTTCTACAGTGAATTACTTTTCATGTTAAGAAAAAGTAACATAAAAATTCATGCTCTTGGGGATGAGTTGATGACACAGGCCCTCGCATACACTACTAGTGGAAGTGTAAATTTATTAATTTATTCAACAAACATTATGTGCTAGGCATAGCTCTGGGCATTGGGGATATGGAGGCAAGCCAAACAAAATCTCTGCAGTCATGGAGCCTACACTTTAACTGGGGAGATGCAAGTGTAAATCAGTTGGTATTTTATACTATGGAGAAAAATGAAGCAGGTTAAGGGAGAAGGGGAGTTTGGGGAACAAATTTTCTTATTTTAGTGTGTTAGGGAAAACTTGGCATTTGAGCAGAGGTGTGAAGAAATCAGAGGAACTAACCATGCAGATATTTGTAGAAGGATCACTCAAGATAGAAGGAGTAGGCCTCGAGTACACAGAGGATGCTATAGCTAAGTAGAGTGAGAGAAGGAGAGAAAGAGATCAGAGTTGATGTCAGGGTCTAGGTCTGAGTGAGATGAGAAGTCCATGCTTTCTGTTTTAAAGGGGTTTTTAAGTAAGAATGATATAACTTGTTTTAAAAGACTCCTGACTTCTCTATGCCATTTTGGGGCAAAATTGATAGAAGAGAGATGTACTAGGAAGCCATTACAGTTAATCAGGCAAGAGACAATGGTGGCTGGGACTAGTCCCCACGAGTAGCAGTGGAGGTGAGGAAGTGGTCAAATATCTAGATGCATTCAGAAGTATAATTTTGGGGTGTACAAGAAAGGCTTGGCCAAGGAAGATTCTAACATTTTTAGTTAACTAGATGAGTGGAGTTGCCATTTTATCAGATACTGATGAAGAGAGTTTAAAGGAAGAAACCAGGAATTTGGTTTTATATATGATTAAGTCAAGATATCTATTAGAAATCCAGCTGGAATTGTCAATACAGAAGTCTGGAGCTCAAGTGGCAGGATCCAGGTTGAAAAAAAAAAAGATCTTAGGATTGTCAAAAAAGAGATGGAACTCCCATCCGTAAGACTGCATGACTATGAATGATTATGACTAAGAAGACATAGTACATGGAGAATAGACAGGGAAACAGAGTGAGAGCAGAACTATTGGATTCAATTTTCAATAAGGGATATAATAGGGCCTAGTGATTTACAATGTGAACTCTGTGGTCAGAATGTCTGAGTTCAAACTGCGGTTTCAGCAAGGATTATCTGACTTCAGAGCATAGATAAAAATGGAAGTTTTATAGTTTTATATAAATTATTGTGAAGATTAAAAGAGAACCTGCTCACAAAGTACTTGGCGTATAAGTACTCAGTAAATGTTAGTCATCGTTATGAGCATCATCAGCGTCATCATGAATGAGTAACAATTTCTAAGGAAAGATGGATGGTAATACTCGTACTAATGATCTTCAGAGTTGATAAAAGAAAGTGGTAGACAGAGTTTTTATACCCATCACTACAGTAGCAGGTTTCCTTCTGTCGCTTCATGTTTTCTTTTATATAGACCTCAGTTACTCACAAATACCAGCCACACGGTTTGCATTTCTCCCTATGTTAAATTCTTGATCTCTCTTTTACTTTAAAGTTGCTGTGTTTATTGTAATATCATAAAAAGATCTAGGGTTTTAAGCAGTTTGTGCTACATATATAATTCCAAAGCTACACATATGCCCTAGCCACTCAATAGTAAAGGACCTGTGAACTGATTAAAAGAAGTAAATCATGAGAATGTATCTTTAGATTAACTTGAATAAGATACCAGGGAGCCAAAGGTGTGCATTCAAGTGAATGAGAAACCAGAATGGCATGGAGAAAACAGAAGAGCTCAGGTGGACTCCCTCCTAGACATGGGGGCTGAAGGGAGCCAGAGGGTAAGTGAAAGGTTCTACAGAAGATGACACGCAAGAAGACAGCACTGATGATGTTGAAGTCCTACCCAGAAGAGCTGTTTGTTTCTAGAATAGGAATAAGTAATGTAGTTACATCAACTTGGGATGTCAACAAAGGAAACAATGGCATTATGATTAAAAACCAGTTATTTTCCTATATGCTGGATTCATTCAAAATCAATATTGTTAATTATCATACATTCCAAGTCTTAGTAAAATCAGGCAATAAGCCTAAAAGAATTCAATGCCCTGTGTTTCTATTTTGGCAAAATTGCCTTAATAGTAAACAGAAATAAAATTTTAAAGATTAGAAAAATAGTCAAAAGAATCTATTTTTCTTTTTCTCCATTAAAATTTTGTAGAATTTTGTGTCTAGGAACATGTATATATACATTCATATATATATGAACACTCACATGAATATATTAATATATATGGATATACACTCACATATGTTTATATATGTGTGTTTAAAACTGCAGGCCAATTTGAAAAGGATGAGTGCGATTTCATTATTTTCAGTTAAGCATCAACTATTTAAATCTTATAAAATAAGTTCTTATCTAGTAATAAATCATAATTTTAGGTTGTTTCTACACAGATACCCCTGCACTGGAAATGTTTAAGGCAAGTATGTTAACCTGGAGTCTATGGAATCATAAAGGAGCCATGGATGAGCTTCACTAGGCTTACAGCCTCCCTGAAATTATATGAACATTTGTATATCTGTGTCCGTGTAAGTTTCTAGCATCTAGAGACACTGAAGGATTCTTAACTGATTCCTAATCTCCCAAAAGTTTTAGCCTGTTTTTTTCTTTTTATTATACTTTAAGTTCTAGGGTACATGTGCACAACGTGCAGGTTTGTTACATAGGTATACATGTGCCATGTTGGTTTGCTGCACTCATCAACTTGTCATTTACATTAGGTATTTCTCCTAATGCTATTGCTCCCAAAACAATGTATTAACTATTTAAAATAAAAAATAACATAAAATAAAAATAAATAAAACTATTTAAAACAGAATCCACCAGAACATTGATGGATTATAAATGGGAAGATTTGAAAATCTATCAAGATACTACTTCTATCCAGACATCTCTGATCCTCTGTAATTATTTTTCTCAAAAGTTATTTATCCTAGATAGTCCCCGGAATTATTTAACTTCTATACTCAGACAATAAGATGGGGTGTTTTCTAACAACTTATTTCCTCTGTGAAAGAACACTAGTCTGGGTTCTGACATACCCCTGGGCTCACAGCAACATTTCTGTTTTTTTTTTTCTATTCTCATCCCAAGGGTTTCGGCTGATCAGGCTGGGGGGTGGAACAGAGAGGATTTTAGAGCTCATCATTATTTGTAAGGAAAATCTGCTTTGCTTGATTTTTGTGTATTTGGAAGAAGGTTATTGAGAACAAAAGGAGAAGGTAGTTGAGGGATGGAGAGAAAGAGGATAAAGAGGGAAGATTCAAAAGATACTTTGTTATATAGAAACACATTTGCTTCTTTGGGAACTGGCAATTTGCAAATGCTGTCACTAATCTGTTTAACATATGAAGATTTCCAGTTTAGTGTACATGTTTCATATAATCAATTAACAATTATTATTACATATATACTAGATGCTTAGTGCATTCTAGTCATTGAAGAGGACAGAAGGGAAATAAAAATCACACTCTCACCCCTTAAAATATGTATAATTTGAAGCGAAAATTAAGCTAATACTAATACTAACAAATACTAATCAAAAAGAGGAAATTATTAAGTGGTAAACATATGAGGGAGGAGCCAAGATGGCCGAATAGGAACAGGCCCGGTCTACAGCTCCCAGCGTGAGCGACGCAGAAGACGGGTGATTTCTGCATTTCCATCTGAGGTACCGGGTTCATCTCACCAGGGAGTGCCAGACAGTGGGCACAGGTCAGTGGGTGCATGCACCGTGCGCGAGCCGAAGCAGGGCGAGGCATTGCCTCACTTGGGAAGCGCAAGGGGTCAGGGAGTTCCCTTTCCGAGTCAAAGAAAGGGGTGACGGACGCACCTGGAAAATCGGGTCACTCCCACCAGAATATTGCGCTTTTCAGACCGGCTTAAAAAACGGTGCACCACGAGATTATATCCCACACCTGGCTCGGAGGGTCCTACGTCCACGGAGTCTCACTGATTGCTAGCACAGCAGTCTGAGATCAAACTGCAAGGCGGCAGCGAGGCTGGGGAAGGAGCGCCCGCCATTGCCCAGGCTTGCTTAGGTAAACAAAGCAGCCCGGAAGCTCGAACTGGGTGGAGTCCACCACAGCTCAAGGTGGCCTGCCTGCCTCTGTAGACTCCACCTATGGGGGCAGGGCACAGACAAACAAAAAGACAGCTGTAACCTCTGCAGACTTAAATGTCCCTGTCTGACAGCTTTGAAGAGAGCAGTGGTTCTCCCAGCACGCAGCTGGAGATGTGAGAACCGGCAGACTGCCTCCTCAAGTGGGTCCCTGACCCCTGACCCCCAAGCAGCCTAACTGGGAGGCACCCCCCAGCAGGGGCACACTGACACCTCACTCGGCAGGGTATTCCAACAGACCTGCAGCTGAGGGTCCTGTCTGTTAGAAGGAAAACTAACAAACAGAAAGGACATCCACACCAAAAACCCATCTGTACATCACCATCATCAAAGACCAAAAGTAGATAAAACCACAAAGATGGGGAAAAAACAGAACAGAAAAACTGGAAACTCTAAAACGCAGAGCGCCTCTCCTCCTCCAAAGGAATGCAGTTCCTCACCAGCAACGGAACAAAGCTGGATGGAGAATGACTTTGACAAGCTGAGAGAAGAAGGCTTCAGGTGATGAAATTACTATGAGCTACGGGAGGACACTCAAACCAAAGGCAAAGAAGTTGAAAACTTTGAAAAAAATTTAGAAGAATGTATAACTAGAATAACCAATACAGAGAAGTGCTTAAAGGAGCTGATGGAGCTGAAAACCAAGGCTCGAGAACTACGTGAAGAATGCAGAAGCCTCAGGAGTTGATGCAATCAACTGGAAGAAAGGGTATCAGTGATGGAAGATGAAATGAATGAAATGAAGTGAGAAGGGAAGTTTAGAGAAAAAAGAATAAAAAGAAATGAGCAAAGCCTCCAAGAAATATGGGACTATGTGAAAAGACCAAATCTACGTCTGATTGGTGTACCTGAAAGTGATGGGGAGAATGGAACCAAGCTGGAAAACACTCTGCAGGATATCATCCAGGAGAACTTCCCCAATCTAGCAAGGCAGGCCAACATTCAGATTCAGGAAATACAGAGAACGCCACAAAGATACTCCTCGAGAAGAGCAACTCCAAGACACATAATTGTCAGATTCACCAAAGTTGAAATGAAGGAAAAAATGTTAAGGGCAGCCAAAGAGAAAGGTCGGGTTACCCTAAAAGGGAAGCCCATCAGACTAACAGCGGATCTCTCGGCAGAAACCCTACAAGCCAGAAGAGAGTGAGGGCCAATATTCAGCATTCTTAAAGAAAAGAATTTTCAACCCAGAATTTCATATCCAGCCAAACTAAGCTTCATAAGTGAAGGAGAAATAAAATACTTTACAGACAAGCAAATGCTGAGAGATTTTGTCACCACCAGGCCTGCCCTAAAAGAGCTCCTGATGGAAGCGCTAAACATGGAAAGGAACAACCGGTACCAGCCGCTGCAAAATCATGCCAAAATGTAAAGACCTTCGAGACTAGGAAGAAACTGCATCAACTAATGAGCAAAATCACCAGCTAACATCATAATGACAGGATCAAATTCACACATAACAATATCAACTTTAAAGGTAAATGGACTAAATGCTCCAATTAAAAGACACAGACTGGCAAATTGGATAAAGAGTCAAGACCCATCAGTGTGCTGTATTCAGAAAACCCATCTCACGTGTAGAGACACACATATGCTCAAAATAAAAGGATGGAGGAAGATCTACCAAGCAAATGGAAAACAAAAAAAGGCAGGGGTTGCAATCCTAGTCTCTGATAACACAGACTTTAAACCAACAAACATCAAAAGAGACAAAGAAGGCCATTACATAATGGTAAAGGGATCAATTCAACAAGAAGAGCTAACTATCCTAAATATATATGCACCCAATACAGGAGCACCCAGATTCATAAAGCAAGTCCTGAGTGACCTACAAAGAGACTTAGACTTCCACACATTAATAATGGGAGACTTTAACACCCCACTGTCAACATTAGACAGATCAACGAGACAGAAAGTCAACAAGGATACCCAGGAATTGAACTCAGCTCTGCACCAAGCAGACCTAATAGACATCTACAGAACTCTCCACTCCAAATCAACAGAATATACATTTTTTTCAGCACCACACCACACTTATTCCAAAATTGACCACATACTTGGAAGTAAAGCTCTCCTCAGCAAATGTAAAAGAACAGAGATTATAACAAACTATCTCTCAGACCACAGTACAATCAAACTAGAACTCAGGATTAAGAATCTCACTCAAAGCCGCTCAACTACATGGAAACTGAACAACCTGCTCATGAATGACTACTGGATACATAACGAAATGAAGGCAGAAAAAAGATGTTCTTTGAAACCAACGAGAACAAAGACACAACATACCAGAATCTCTGAGACGCATTCAAAGCGTGTGTAGAGGGAAATTTATAGCACTAAATGCCCACAAGAGAAAGCAGGAAAGATCCAAAATTGACACCCTAACCTCACAATTAAAAGAACTAGAAAAGCAAGAGCAAACACATTCAAAAGCTAGCAGAAGCCAAGAAATAACTAAAATCAGAGCAGAACTGAAGGAAATAGAGACACAAAAAACCCTTCAAAAAATTAATGAATCCAGGAGCTGGTTTTTTGAAAGGATCAATAAAATTGATAGACCACTAGCAAGACTAATAAAGAAAAAAAGAGAGAAGAATCAAATAGACACAATAAAAAATATAAAGGGGATATCACCACCAATCCCACAGAAATACAAACTACCATCAGAAAATACTACAAACACCTCTATGCAAATAAACTAGAAAATCTAGAAGAAATGGATAAATTCCTCGACACATACACTCTCCCAAGACTAAACCAGGAAGAAGTTGAATCTCTGAATAGACCAATAACAGGATCTGAAATGTGGCAATAATCAATAGTTTACCAACCAAAAAGAGTCCAGGACTAGATGGATTCACAGCCGAATTCTACCAGAGGTACAAGGAGGAACTGGTACCATTCCTTCTGAAACTATTCCAATCAATAGAAAAAGAGGGAATCCTCCCTAACTCATTTTATGAGGCCAGCATCATTCTGATACCAAAGCCGGGCAGAGACACAACCAAACAAGAGAATTTTAGACCAATATCCTTGATGAACATTGATGCAAAAATCCTCAATAAAATACTGGCAAAACGAATCCAGCAGGACATCAAAAAGCTTATCCACCATGATCAAGTGGGCTTCATCCCTGGGATGCAAGGCTGGTTCAATATATGCAAATCAATAAATGTAATCCAGCATATAAGCAGAGCCAAAGACAAAAACCACATGATTATCTCAATAGATGCAGAAAAAGCCTTTGACAAAATTCAACAACCCTTCATGCTAAAAACTCTCAATAAATTAGGTATTGATGGGACGTATTTCAAAATAATAAGAGCTATCCATGACAAACCCACAGCCAGTATCATACTGAATGGGCAAAAACTGGAAGCATTCCCTTTGAAAAATGGCACAAGACAGGATGCCCTCTCTCACCACTCCTATTCAACATAGTGTTGGAAGTTCTGGCCAGGGCAATTAGGCAGGAGAAGGAAATAAAGGGTATTCAATTAGGAAAAGAGGAAGTCAAATTGTCCCTGTTTGCAGACGATATGATTGTATATCTAGAAAACCCCATTGTCTCAGCCCAAAATCTCCTTAAGCTGATAAGCAACTTCAGCAAATTCTCAGGATACAAAATCAATGTACAAAAATCACAAGCATTCTTATACACCAATAACAGACAGAGAGCCAAATCATGAGTGAACTCCCATTCACAATTGCTTCAAAGAGAATAAAATACCTAGGAATCCAACTTACAAGGGATGTGAAGGACCTCTTCAAGGAGAACTACAAACCACTGCTCAAGGAAATAAAAGAGGATACAAACAAATGGAAGAACATTCCGTGCTCATGGGTAGGAAGAATCAATATCGTGAAAATGGCCATACTGCCCAAGGTAATTTACAGATTCAATGCCATCCCCATCAAGCTACCAATGACTTTCTTCACAGAATTGGAAAAAACTACTTTAAAGTTCATATGGAACCAAAAAAGAGCCCGCATCACCAAGTCAATCCTGAGCCAAAAGAACAAAGCTGGAGGCATCACACTACCTGACTTCAAACTATACTACAAGGCTACAGTAACCAAAACAGCATGGTACTGGTACCAAAACAGAGATATAGATCAATGGAACAGAACAGAGCCCTCAGAAATAACGCTGCATATCTACAACTATCTGATCTTTGACAAACCTGAGAAAAACAAGCAATGGGGAAAGGATTCCCTATTTAATAAATGGTGCTGGGAAAACTGGCTAGCTATATGTAGAAAGCTGAAACTGGATCCCTTCCTTACACCTTATACAAAATTAATTCAAGATGGATTAAAGACTTAAACGTTAGACCTAAAACCATAAAAACCCTAGAAGAAAACCTAGGCATTACCATTCAGGACATAGGCATGGGCAAGGACTTCATGTCCAAAACACCAAAAGCAATGGCAACAAAAGACAAAATTGACAAATGGGATCTAATTAAACTAAAGAGCTTCTCCACAGCAAAAGAAACTACCATCAGAGTGAACAGGCAACCTACACAATGGGAGAAAATTTTTGCAATCTACTCATCTGACAAAGGGCTAATATCCAGAATCTACAATGAACTCAAACAAATGTACAAGAAAAAAACAAACAACCCCATCAAAAAGTGGGTGAAGGACATGAACAGACACTTCTCAAAAGAAGACATTTATGCAGCCAAAAGACACATGAAAAAATGCTCATCATCACTGGCCATCAGAGAAATGCAAATCAAAACCACAATGAGATACCATCTCACACCAGTTAGAATGGTGATCATTAAAAAGTCAGGAAACAACAGGTGCTGGAGAGGATGTGGAGAAATAGGAACACTTTTACACTGCTGGTGGGACTGTAAACTAGTTCAACCATTGTGGAAGTCAGTGTGGCGATTCCTCAGGGATCTAGAACTACAAATACCATTTGACCCAGCCGTCCCATTACTGGGTATATACCCAAAGGACTATAAATCATGCTGCTATAAAGACACATGCACACATATGTTTATTGCGGCATTATTCACAATAGCAAAGACTTGGAACCAACCCAAATGTCCAACAATGATAGACTAGATTAAGAAAATGTGGCACATATACACCATGGAATATGATGCAGCCATAAAAAATGATGAGTTCATGTCCTTTGTAGGGACATGGATGAAATTGGAAATCATCATTCTCAGTAAACTATCGCAAGAACAGAAAACCAAACACCGCATATTCTCACTCATAGGTGGGAATTGAACAATGAGATCACATGGACACAGGAAGGAGAATATAACACTCTGGGGACTGTGGTGGGGTGGGGGGAGGGGGGAGGGATGGTACTGGGAGATATACCTAATGCTAGATGACGAGTTAGTGGGTCACATGTATACATATGTAACTAACCTGCACAATGTGCACATGTACCCTAAAACTTAAAGTATAATTAAAAAAAAAGTGGTAAACATATATAAAATCAACTGAGATTATATTTACTAAGAATGAGTTTAGACTTCTCTCATCCATTTAAAATGTTTCATTTAAATTATGAAACATTTTAAATATATCAACTATTGTAGAATATAATGTATCAATGAGAACCTCATTATGAAGGTTAAATATATATTTACATTTGGACCTTTTTTTTGTTAGATTTAAAAAGCAAATGACGTGAAATGTTCCAGTTAATACCCATTCCTTCCACTCTTTCCCTTCCCAGAAGGAACACAATCACAACACTGACGGGTATTGCTATGTATGGCTGTGCAGCTTTGCCATGTATGTTGTACATTCCTAAAGAATACACTTCGGAAATTTCAAATATTTGCATCAATAGCACAAGATAGAACTTCCTGTTGCTTTTTAAAAAAAGTTTATTGTTTTGTTATTTATGTGACACACTTGAATATACTTTATTCATTTTAAAGGCTATAGAGCTTTGTTAATCTATTTTTATGCTTACAGAACAGTTTTCTTTAAAAATCTCATACGTTTTTCCCAGCCTAGGATATGTATTTTCACTCTTTTCATACTGTCTTTCATCAAACAGAAGTTATAAGCTATGATAACTGTTATAACAGTTTTTTCCATTATGGATCATACTTTTTGTTTCTTATTTAAGAAATACTCTGCATAGAAGCTGGAAAAGAAGACGGCATTCCAGACATAGAATCCAGACAAACGGAAATTGGCTTGGTAGAAGACAATAAATAGATTGGCTTGACTGCAAGAAAAGGGACTTGAAGGAGTTTTCTCGTCCACCTTTTTTCAGCTCAGACAGAAACTGGTAATATTCTAGGTACCTTGAGATAAATGGCAGAGTCTGCTCAAGAATATAGGAGATGGCTTCTTAGTCTACATGTTCCAGGCCTAGCCAGGCCCTTCTAAGATGAAGGGATTAGCATCTTGGTACATCAGTAACCATCTGAGGGATTGCAGCTTGCCAAGGCACCCAAGTTAGGAAGCTCTGAAACTTTGCCACTAGGGGGAACGAGCACTAAACTGTCCTTGACAGATCTTTGGCAAACTAAGATAATCTCAGAGGTACATTTTTCACAGCCTCACCATTGCAAGGTTAAATAAATCTTTTTTCAAGAACATTTTCTCTTATCTATCTTTTCTTACATCTTATATCTATCTTGTTTCTGAGGCCATCACTATCTGAAGTAAAGGCAGGCACAATTCTTCCACCTAGATCACTATTCTCTGGCTAAAGTCCCTGCTAATTGACAGCCTTTTTCAATTGTTTCTTCCAGAAGTGTTTCTAATTATCAAGTAATTACAGTAACTTTAAGCTAAAGTATGAAAAGAACACAGATTGAATTTACACATCAATTCAATAATTATTTATTTTATAACTTCGTTATTTGCAGTGTTTCCTCATTATTCTTGTTCTGCTCTTTCTACGATGTTGTATTGACCTGGAACAAGCAATAAACAACACGTTTTCATAAAGCTAATTATAAAATTTTTTTAAATGACAGTTGATATTGATATTATTTAAAAGTTGTCTTAGTAAATATTTTGGAAACTCACCAATATATTTATTTTGTCATACTTTACCCTCAGAAAAACAAGAGGGCAAAAGGAATATTATCACATTACTTCCATACACATCTAAAAAATACATCACACCTACAGACAAATATATTTAAAAGGATTTGAAAGAATGAAGTCAGTTAGGAAGTAGTTCACTGACATGGCAATCAGAGTTTGTCAATTCAAAATCAACATTCATCATTCTCACATGTTCTTGTAGGTAACAAGTCAATCAAAATGGAATGGAGGGAAAACACCTTCATCAAAGTTTAGCAACAATGACAGGTTCATGCTTCTCAAATAAAAACACACATGCCAATGGAAAAACAAGCTAGCTACTAGGTTTGTGTAAATGGTACTACTTTTTGTAAATACTGCATCCCTGGCATATATAATTTTAGATTTTGATTAATATCTAATTTACATAATTTTATATAGATGATTCTATTCTTTTACACAGGTATATTTGCCAATTAGTACCATCCCTTTTGCATACACACAATTTAGCCAAAACGACATTCTGTAGAGATCTATATAAGTCCTCCAGATAATTCCCTTTCAGGCTAAAATTTGAGAACTATTGCATTACTCTGGACTAAGTCTCTGAAAGACTTAATAGCTTAAATATTTATATATATTATGAATGCATACAAAGGATATGATTGCATACTATATAATATGAACATTATTACATAGGCAAACTTCATAGCAGAAATAAAAAGAGAAGTCTAAGAGGATTCTGCACTGGCTGACAAAATCTATACCAATTTTTACAGAATTAATTTTTATAAAGTATTAACCTAAGGTATCACAAAGTTCCCTATGATGTCATAACCTAATACATGTAGAATGGAAGAAGTATTGCCTAATGCCTCAATCTCACTACATCTATCTGCTTAGAGACCTGTTGAGCCTAAGTTAAAATTTAATTTAGTATATATATAAAATAGCAATAACAAATATTATTAGCAAGTTTAAAGAAAAGTGTTGGCCGGGCACGGCGGCTCACGCCGGTAATCTCAGCACTTTGGGAGGCGGAGGCGGGTGGATCACGAGGTCAGGAGATCTAGACCATCTTGGCTAACACGATGAAACCCCGTCTCTACTAAAAATACAAAAAAATTAGCTGGGTGTGGTGGCGGGCACCTGTAGTCCCAGCTATTTGGGAGGCTGAGGCAGGAGAATGGCGTGAACTGCAAGCGGAGCTTGCAGTGAGCTGAGATTGTGCCACTGCACTCCAGCCCAGGCGACAGAGCAAGACTCTGTCTCAAAAAAAAAAAAAAAAAAGAAAAAGTGTTATCTTTCAGAAACAACAATTGAAAAAATAGTTATGACTTACGTCAAAATCTAGTATTGGGTATGAAGATATAAGCCAGAAAACATCAAATATACTTGATTTATAACTAAAGTGAGTGGATTATTTACATATTGCTAACAATCAAATCTTTCAAAAACAAAAACAAAATATGTTCAATTTCATAATTCCCAAGATGTAGAGAGAAAAGCTGAAATATAATTACACTGCTCTATTGTTATTGATAGATAATAAATGTCTATATTTTAGGGTACACATGATAATACATTCATATAATTTGAAAAGAAAAAATCAGTATTATTAGGATATTTATCACTTTAAATATTTGTCTTTTCTTTATGCCAGAAATAAATTTTTCTCTTCTAGCTATTTTGAAATATACAAGAGATTATTGTATGTTATAGTCACCTTAATGATCTATCAAGCACTAGGTCTTATTTCTTTTATCAAACTGTGTATTTGTACCATTAATCACCTCTCTTCAGTCCCCTCTCCCTCCCACTCTTCCTGGCCTCTAGTAACCACCAATCTGCTCCCTATCTTCATGAGATCCACTTTTTAGGTTTCCACATACGAGTCAGAAGATACAATATTTGTCTCTCTGTGCCTGCCTTATTTTATGATCTCCAGTTCTGTCCATATTGCTGCAAATGACAGGATTTCATTCTTTTCTATGGTTGAATAGCATTCCACTGTGTATATATACCACATTTTCTTGATTCATTCATCCATTGATGGGCATTTAGGTTTACTACATATTTTGGATATTGTGAATAGTTTTGCAATTAACACGGGACCTAACTTGGTACCTACAAGAATTGGTGCAGGCGCCTACAAGAAGTGTTGCAGATATCTCTTTCACATATTGATTTCTTTTCTTTGGGCTATATATAAGTACTGGAATTGCTGGATCATATGGTAGTTCTATTTGTAGTTTTTGAGGAAGCGCCACACAATTTTCCATAATGGCTATACTGATTTACATTCCCACCAACAGTGTAGAAAGGTTCCCCTTTCTCCATACCCTTGCCAGCATTTGTTATTTACGGTCTTTTTGACAAAAGCCACTTTACTTGGGGTGGGATGATATCTCACCATGGTTTTTGCATTTCTCTCATGATTCATGATATTGAGCATTATTTCGTATACTTGTTGCTTGATTCCTTTTTCAGCCTTCTTTTGAGAAACGTCTATTCAGATCTTTTGCCCATTTTAAGTGGATTATTTCCTTTTTTTGCTATTGAGTTGCTTGAGTTACTTATATATTCTGGTTATTAACCTCTTGACATGGATACTTTGCAAATAATTTTTCCTATTCTGCAGGTTGACTTTCCACTTTATTGACTGTTTCCTTTACAATGCAGAATCTTCTAAGCTTAATGTAATCCCATTTGTCTATTTTTGGTTTTGTTTCCTATTGTTTTGAGGCCTTACACAAAATTTTTTGCCTAGGCCAATGCCCTGGAGCATTTACCTATGTTTTCTTCTAGTAGTTCCATAGTTTCAGGTCTTAGATTTAATTTTTAATCCATTTTTATTTTATGTTTGACATATAGTGAGAGATAAGGGTTTAGTTTCATTCTTCTGCATATGGATATTTAGTTTTCCCAGAATCATTTATTGAAGAAACTGTTCTTTCCCCATTGTTGGCACCTTTGTTGAAAATGAGCACCTTTACACCTTTAGTAAAAATGAGTTGGCTGTAAATGTGTAGATTTATATCTGGTTTCTCTATTCTATTCCACTTGTCTTTATGTCTGGTTTTATGCCAGTACCATTCGGATTTGGTTACTATAGCTTCGTAGTGTATTTTGAAGTCACATAGTGTGATGACTTCAGCTTTGCTTTTTTTCCTCAGGTTTGCTTTACCATTCAAGGTCTTTTGTGATTCTCTATAATTTTTAGAATTGTTTTTTCTATTTCTGTAAAGAATGTCATTGGTGTTTTAATAGGGATTGTACTGAATTTACAAATTTCTTTGGGTAGTATTGTCATTTTAACAATATTAATTCTTTCAACCCATGATCATAAAATATCTTTCCATTTTTTGTGTCCTCTTCAATTTATGTTATTAGTGTTTGATTGCATATATCTTTAACATATTAGGTTACATTGATTCCTAGGTATTATACATATTTTTTAGCTATTGTTAATGGGATTGCTTTCTTGATTCCTTTTTCAGATTGTTCACTGTTGGTACATATAAGTTCTACTGATTTTTATAGGTTGATATTGTATCCTACAGCTTTGCTGAATTTGTTTATTGGTTCTAACAGTTTTTTGGTAGAGTCTTTAGGTTTTTCTAAGTATAAGATCATGTCTTTTGCAAAGAAGGTGAATTAGCCTGTTTTCATGCTGCTGATAAAGACATACTCAAGACTGGGCAATTAAAAAAAAAAGTGTTTTAATGGACTTACAGTTCCATGTGGCTAGAGAGGCCTCACAATCATGGTGGAAAGTGAAAGGCACTTCTTACATGGCGGTGGCAAGAGAATGAGAGCTAAGCAATATGGGTTTCCCCTTATCAAGCCATTAGGTCTCATGAGACTTATTCACTACCAAAGGAATGGTATGGGGGAAACTGCCCCCATGATTCAATTATCTCCCACTGGGTCCCTCCCACAACAGTGGGAATTATGGGAGTATAATTCAAGATGAGATTTGGGTGGGGACACAGCTAAACAATATCATTCTGTCCCTGACCCTTCCCCAAACTCATGTCCTCATATTTCAAAACCAATCATGCCTTCCCAACAGTCCCCTAAAGTCTTAACTCATTTCAGCATTAACTCAAAAGTCCATAGTCCAACATCTCATCTGAGACAAGGCAAGTCCCTTCTGCCCATAGGTCTGTAAAATCAAAAACAAGTTAGTTACTTCCTACATATAATGGAGGTACAGGCATTGGGTAAATACAACCATTACAAATGAGAGAAATTGGCAAAAACAAAGGGGCCAGAGGACCCATGCAATTCCAAAATTCAGCAGGGCTGTCAAATCTTAAAGCTCCAAAATGACCTCCTTTACTCCATGTCTCACATCCTAGTCATGCTGATGCAAGAGGTGGGTTCCCATTGCCTTCGGCAGCTCCACCCCTGTAGCTCTGCAGGGTACAGCCTCCCTCCTGACTGCTTTCATGGGCTGGTGTTGAGTGTCTGCAGCTTTTCCAGGCACATGGTGCAAGCTGTTAGTGAATCTACCATTCTGGGGTCTGGAGGATGGTGGCCCTCTTCTCACAGCTCCACTAGGTAGTACCTCAGTAGGGACTCTCAGTGGATGATCTGACCCCATATTTCCCTTCTGCACTGCCCTAGCAGAGGTTCTCCATGAGAGCTCCACCCCTGCAGAAAACTTCTGCTTGGACATCCAGGCATTTCCATACATCCTCTGAAATCTAAGTGGTGGTTCCCAAACCTCAGTTCTTGACTTCTGTGCATCCTCAGGCTCAATACCACGTGGAAGCTGCCAAGGCTTGGGGCTTCCACCCTAGGAAGCCACGGCCAAAGCCACTAGAGTGGCTGGGATGCAGGGTACCAAGTCCCTAGACTGCACACAGCACAGGGACCCTAGGCCTTGCCCACAAACAATTTTTTCTTTCTAGGCCTCTGGGCCTGCAATCAGAGGGGCTGCCATGAAAACTTTTAACATACCCTGGAGACATTTTCCCCATTGTCTTGGGGATTAACATTCAACTCCTCATTATTTATAGAAATTTCTTCAGCTGGCTTACATTTCTCTTCAGAAAATGGGATTTTCTTTTATATCACATTGTCAGGCTGCAAATTTTCCAAACTTTTATGCTCTGCTTCCCTTTTAAAATAGAATGCCTTTAACCCAAGTCACCTCCTAAATGCTTTGCTGCTTAGAAATTTCTTCTGTGGTTTTTGTCTTTGGCTCTGTTTATATGCTGGATTACATTTATTGATTTGCGTATATTGAACCAGCCTTGCATCCCAGGGATGAAGCCCACTTGATCATGGTGGATAAGCTTTTTGATGTGCTGCTTGATTCGGTTTGCCAATATTTTATTGAGGATTTTTGCATCAATGTTCATCAAGGATATTGGTCTAAAATTCTCTTTTTTGGTTGTGTCTCTGCCCGGCTTTGGTATCAGGATGATGCTGGCCTCATAAAATGAGTTAGGGAGGATTCCCTCTTTTTCTATTGATTGGAATAGTTTCAGAAGGAATGGTACCAGTTCCTCCTTGTAACTCTGGTAGAATTCGGCTGTGAATCCATCTGGTCCTGGACTCTTTTTGGTTGGTAAGCTATTGATTATTGCCACAATTTCAGAGCCTGTTATTGGTCTATTCAGAGAGTCAACTTCTTCCTGGTTTAGTCTTGGGAGGGTGTATGTGTTGAGGAATTTATCCATTTCTTCTAGATTTTCTGGTTTATTTGCATAGAGGTGTTTGTAGTATTCTCTGATGGTAGTTTGTATTTCTGTGGGATTGGTGGTGATATCCCCTTTATCATTTTTTATTGCGTCTATTTGGTTCTTCTCTCTTTTCTTCTTTATTAGTCTTGCTAGCAGTCTATCAATTTTATTGATCCTTTCAAAAAACCAGCTCCTGGATTCATTAATTTTTTGAAGGGTTTTTTGTGTCTCTATTTCCTTCAGTTCTGCTCTGATTTTAGTTATTTCTTGGCTTCTGCTAGCTTTTGAATGTGTTTGCTCTTGCTTTTCTAGTTCTTTTAATTGTGAGGTTAGGGTGTCAATTTTGGATCTTTCCTGCTTTCTCTTGTGGGCATTTAGTGCTATAAATTTCCCTCTACACACTGCTTTGAATGTGTCCCAGAGATTCTGGTATGTTGTGTCTTTCTTCTTGTTGGTTTCAAAGAACATCTTTATTTCTGCCTTCATTTCGTTATGTATCCAGTAGTCATTCAGGAGCAGCTTGTTCAGTTTCCATGCAGTTGAGTGGGTTTGAGTGAGTTTCTTAATCCTGAGTTCTAGTTTGATTGCACTGTGGTCTGAGAGACAGTTTGTTATAATTTCTGATCTTTTACATTTGCTGAGGAGAGCTTTACTTCCAACTATGTGGTCAATTTTGGAATAGGTGTGGTGTGGTGATGAAAAAAACGTATATTCTGTTGATTTGGGGTGGAGAGTTCTATAGATGTCTACTAGGTCTGCTTGGTGCAGAGCTGAGTTCAATTCCTGGGTATCCTTGTTAACTTTCTGTCTCGTTGATCTGTCTAATGTTGACAGTGTGGTGTTAAAGTCTCCCATTATTATTGTGTGGCAGTCTAAGTCTCTTTGTAGGTCACTCAGGACTTGCTTTATGAATCTGAGTGCTCCTGTATTGGGTGCATATATATTTAGGATAGTTATCTCTTCTTGTTGAATTGATCCCTTTACCATTATGATTACCTCAATAGATGCAGAAAAGGCCTTTGACAAAATTCAACAACGCTTCATGCTAAAAACTCTCAATAAATTAGGTATTGATGGGACGTATCTCAGAATAATAAGAGCTATCTATGACAAACCCACAGCCAATATCATACTGAATGGGCAAAAACTGGAAGCATTCCCTTTGAAAAATGGCACAAGACAGGGATGACCTCTCTCACCACTCCTATTCAACATAGTGTTGGAAGTTCTGGCCAGGGCAATGAGGCAGGAGAAGGAAATAAAGGGTATTCAGTTGGGAAAAGAGGAAGTCAAATTGTCCCTGTTTGCAGATGACACGACTGTATATCTAGAAAACCCCATTGTCTCAGCCCAAAATCTCCTTAAGCTGATAAGCAACTTCAGCAAAGTCTCAGGATACAAAATCAATGTACAAAAATCACAAGCATTCTTGTACACCAGTAACAGACAAACAGAGAGCCAAATCATGAGTGAACGTCCATTCACAATTGCTTCAAAGAGAATAAAATACCTAGGAATCCAACTTACAAGGGATGTGAAGGACCTCTTCAAGGAGAACTACAAACCACTGCTCAAGGAAATAAAAGAGGATACAAACAAATGGAAGAACATTCCATGCTCATTCGTAGGAAGAATCAATATTGTGAAAATGGCCATACTGCCCAAGGGAATTTATAGACTCAATGCCATCCCCATCAAGCTACCAATGACTTTCTTCACAGAATTGGAAAAAACTACTTTAAAGTTCATATGGAACCAAAAAAGAGCCCACATCACCAAGTCAATCCTAAGCCAAAAGAACAAAGCTGGAGGTATCACGCTACCTGACTTCAAACTATACTACAAGGCTATAGTAACCAAAACAGCATGGTACTGGTACCAAAACAGAGATATAGATCAATGGAACAGAACAGAGCCCTCAGAAATAACGCTGCATATCTACAACTATCTGATCTTTGACAAACCTGAGAAAAACAAGCAATGGGGAAAGGATTCCCTATTTAATAAATGGTGCTGGGAAAACTGGCTAGCCATATGTAGAAAGCTGAAACTGGATCCCTTCCTTACACCTTAAACAAAAATTAATTCAAGATGGATTAAAGACTTAAATGTTAGACCTAAAACCATAAAAACTCTAGAAGAAAACCTAGGCGTTACCATTCCGGACATAGGCATGGGCAAGGACTTCATGTCTAAAACACCAAAAGCAATGGCAACAAAAGCCAAAATTGACAAATGGGATCTAATTAAACTAAAGAGCTTCTGCACAGCAAGAGAAACTACCATCAGAGTGAACAGGCAACCTACAAAATGGGAAAAAATTTTTGCAATCTACTCATCTGACAAAGGGCTAATATCCAGAATCTACAATGAACTCAAACAAATTTACAAGAAAAAAACAAACAACCCCATCAAAAAGTGGGCGAAGGACATGAACAGACACTTCTCAAAAGAAGACATGTATGCAGCCAACGGACACATGAAAAATACTCATCATCACTGGCCATCAGAGAAATGCAAATCAAAACCACAATAAGATACCATCTCACACCAGTTAGAATGGCAATCATTAAAAAGTCAGGAAATAACAGGTGCTGGAGAGGATGTGGAGAAATAGGAACACTTTTACACTGTTGGTGGGACTGTAAACTAGTTCAACCCTTGTGGAAGTCAGTGTGGTGATTCCTCAGGGATCTAGAACTAGAAATACCATTTGACCCAACCATCCCATTACTGGGTATATACCCAAAGAACTATAAATCATGCTTCTATAAAGACACATGCACACATATGTTTATTGCGGCATTATTCACAATAGCAAAGACTTGGAACCAACCCAAATGTCCAACAATGATAGACTGGATTAAGAAAATGTGGCACATATACACCATGGAATACTATGCAGCCATAAAAAATGATGAGTTCATGTCCTTTGTAGGGACATGGATGAAATTGGAAATCATAATTCTCAGTAAACTATCGCAAGAACAAAAAACCAACCACCGCATGTTCTCACTCATAGATGGGAATTGAACAATGAGAACACATGGACACAAGAAGGGGAACATCACACTCTGGGGACTGTGGTGGGGTGGGGGGAGGGGGGAGGGATAGCTTTAGGAGATATACCTAATGCTAAATGATGAGTTAATGGGTGCAGCTCACCAGCACGGCACATGTATACATATGTAACTAACCTGCGCATTGTGCACATGTACCCTAAAACTTAAAGTATAATAATAATAAAATTTTTAAAAAAAGAAATTTCTTCTGACAGATACCCTAAATCATCTCTCTCAAGTTCAAAGTTCCACAAATCTCTATGGCAGGGGCAAAATGCCACCCATCTCTTTGCAAAAACATAACAAGAGTCACCTTTGCTTCAGTTCCCAACAAGTTCCTTGTCTCCATCTGAGAGCACCTCAGCCTGGATTTCATTGTCCATATCATTATCAGCATTTTGGTCAAAGCCATTCAACAAGTCTCTAGGAAGTTCCAAACATTCCCACATTTTCCTGAGCCCTCAAAACTGTTCCAACCTCTGCCTGTTACCCAGTTCCAAACTAGGTTCCACATTTTCAGGTATCTTTTCAGCAGCACTCCACTCTCCTGATACCAATTTACTGTATCAATCTATTTTCACAGATTTACAAAAATAAATAAATAAATAAATAAATAAATAAATAAGAGGTTTAATGGACTTACAGTTCCACATAGCTAGGGAGGCCTCACAATCATTGTGGAAGGTGAAAGGCACTTCTTACATGGTGGCAGCAAGAGAGAGAATGAGAGCCAAGTGAAACAGGTTTCCTCTTATCAAACCATCAGATATCGTGAGACTTATTCACTACCACAAGAACAGTATAGGGGAAACTGCCACCATGATTCAATTATCTCTCACCAGTCCCTCCCGCAACACGTGGGAATTATGGGAGTACAATTCAAGATGAGATTTGGGTGGGGACACAGAGCCAAACCATATCACAAGGGTAATTTGACTTCTTCTGTTTCAACTTGTACGCTATGTGTTTCTTCCTCTTGCCAAATTTCTCTGTCTAGGACTTCCAGTATTATAGTGAACAAAAGTGGTGAAAGTGAGCATCCTTATTTTTTTCTGTATCTTGAGGGAAAGGCTTTCAATTTTTCCCCGTTTAGTATAATGTTAGTTGTGGGTTTTCTGTCCGGATGATGTCTTCACTACTGAGAGTGTGATGTTGAAGTCCCCTACTATTCTTGAATAGTAGTGTATTTCTTCCTTTAGATTTACAAATGTTTCCATTATATACTTGGGAACCCTGGTATTCAATACATAAATATTTATACTTGTTATAGCTTCTTGCTGAATGGACCCCTTTATTATAATACAGTGACATTCTTTGTCTCTCTTCAGTCTTTGATTTGTAGTTTATATTGTCTGATAAAAACATAGCTACTCCTACCCATTTATTGTTTCCATTTGCATGAAATATATTTTTTTACCCCCTCACTTTTAGTCTGTGTGTGTCTTTATATTTGGGTTTCCTATAAGCAGCGTATAGTTGGGTCTTGTTTCTTTATCCATTCATCAACTCTATGCCTTTTAATTGGAGAATCAAATCTATTTACATTCAGTGTTATTTTTAATAAGTAAGGGCTTAGTGTGCCCATTTTGTTGTTCGTTTTATAATTCCTCTCTTTCTTTCTTCCTGGTTTTCTTTATAGTTAAGTAATTTTCTCTGCTAGTATGTTTTTATTCATTGTTTCTATTTTTAGTTAATTATTTATAATTTTTTTTTAATTTTTTTATTATTATACTTTAAGTTTTAGGGTACATGCGTGGTTACTATGAAGCTTACAAAAATCTTACAGATATAACAAGTTATTTTAAAGAGATGACAACTTATCTTAGATCAGAAAGCAATTAATAGAAACATAAAAAATAGAAAAGTAATCTACACCTTTTAACCCCATCCTCCCACATTTGGCTTTAGGTTGTCTCAATTTACATATTTTATACTACCCGTCTCTTGATGGATTGCTGTAGTTACTATAATTTTTGATAGATTTACCTTTAGGTTTCATACTAGAGTTATGAGTAGATTGCACACAATAATTACAGTCTTAGAGTATATATGATTGTGTACTTAATTTTATAAATGGGTTTTATACATACAAATGTTTTCTTTTTGCACATTAGTGTTTTTTTACTTCCATATTGAAAAACTCCTTATAGTATTTCTTGTAAGATGGGTGAAGCAGTGGTGAATTCTCTCAGCTTTGTTTGGGAGAAACTTTATCTCTCCTTTATATTGGAAGAATAGGTTACTGGATACAATATTTTTTGGATAGTAGTTTTTTGTTTCTTCTTCATCTTCTCTCAGTACTTTGAAAATGTCATCCTATTCCCTCCTGAACTGTACAGTTTTCATTTAAAAGTCTGTTGCCAAATGAATTGGAATTCTTTTATATGTTATTTGCTTCTTTTCTCTTGCTGCTTTTAGAATACTGTCTTTGTTCTTTGAGAATTTGATTATTATATGTCTTAGGGTAGTCTTATTTGGGTTGGTCAAATCTGTTTGGTGTTCTCTGACCTTCCTGTACCGGGATATTTAACTCTTTGAAAGTTTTATGTTATTATTTCTTCAAATAAAATTTCTAACTTTTGCTCTTTCTCTACTCTCTTTTGAATGCCAATAATTCTTAGATTTTTGTTTTACAAGGTAATTTTCTATATCTTGTAGATGATCTTTGTTTCTTTTCATTCTTTTTCTTTTTTCACCTCTGTGTATTTTCAAATGGCTTGTTTTTGAGCTCACTAATTCTTTCTTCCATTTGTTGGAAGACGCTGTTGAGAGTGTCTAAGGAAGTTTTCAGTTCAGCAAATGTATTTCTCAATTTCAAGCTATTTGATTTTTTAAAATTTAAATCTCTTTGTTAAATTTCTCTGAAACTTTTCTGAATTGATTTTTTTGTGTTATCTTGGAGTTTTCTTAAAACTGCCATTTTGAATTTTTGGTCAAAGAATTCACACATTTCAGTCTTATTAGGGTCAGTCATTGGTTTCTTGCTTTGTCCATTTGAGTAGGTCATGGTTTTCCATTTGCTGTTATTTCTCATGGAAGTATGTCCAAGAAAGATTGAAAGATTAGTTATTTATTTCAGTATCTTCTATCTGGCTTGTTTTGTTCTTCACTGACTATGTTAGCTCAGACATTCTTTGTAATTTACCTGTTGGTTTTATTTTTTCTTTTTACCTGCTAGATTGGTGCCTCCTTTCTGGCACTAGATGTTGCCTTAACCCAGGTTTGCCTCAGTTCTCATAAACAATCAGAGCTGCTTAGCCAGAATGGAGGAGATCACAAAGGGGATATCCCAATAGTGTGGGAAAGCTGGCTAGGAGTTTATAATTAGGGGGTCTGTGGAACAAATATCTTACAGTATTCTTGGATAGTAGCTTTTTGTTGAACAGCCACTCGGAGTTGTTATCTCCTTTTGCCAAGTTACAGAGCAAAGTTTCCAGGGCTAGAGAAGATGGTAGTGTCCTCCTCCCCCAACATTACCATTTGTCTCTGGTTGTTTGGTTGTTCTCAGAAATCTTTCTTGCTTTAGCCGCTCCCAAATTCGAGGCAGGGACAGGTCTCTAGCCAGAGAACCAAAGATGATAGGGAGCTGGTTGTCAACCCTGATCTCACATTTTCTAGTATAGAAACTAAGTTAGGGGGAAATTTTCCACATGCTTGGTGCCAGGCAGATTCAGGGGAGGAGTACCACACATACAGAAATTTGATTTCTCTGTAATCTCAGCGCAGTATATTTGTTTTTGGTTTTCTGTTGGGAAGTGATGCCAGCTTGCTTCTATGCTGCCATTTGGGACCTGGATGTCCAGCTTTTGTATTTTTTAAAGTATAATTGAATATTTTTCTTTACTTAAGAAAAAACATGAAAAATCATAAGCCTATTAGATTATTTATTTCAAATATTTATTCCATGAATATATAATAGGAAAATCAAAATGTTAAAAATCATCCAAAGTATTTTTTAAACCTTTTCTAGTATACAAATGTAATTTTAAAAGACTTCCAATTGTACAGATCCCTTAGAGTTATGCCTTTGTTCCTTGGAATGCTATGAATTTGGGTATTTTTGTGTCTTTATTGTGACTATTATAAATACAGATTAGGAAATGCTACTTTTACTTAATGTAATAAAACTATGCTTGGTTGCTTATTATTATATTCATAGAGCACCTCATTTTATTCTCTGAGTTGTACCTTTATTATCTTGCTTATTAATTGCTGTGAATGTTCCTGTGCTTATTGTTTAAGTTTATGCCTTTGAGTTCAATTTCTACTGAGTCTGCATTCATTATGTTATTGTGCACAGAGAAAAAAATTAAAAACAAGTCATAAAAAGAAATGCTAATGTGAAATCAGGCTTAAATGTGTATGCAACTCATTTAATTTCAGCTTTACATAGTTAGAGTCAGTTGAATCATTGAACTCTGTTTTTATTTTTCAAGTTTCCAGTTACTACCTAAATTTTTGAGATATTGTGGCAGAAAATGGTGTAAATGGAAGTAGAGTGGTGAAAGGACTGACACTTCTAAAATGTAGGGGAGACAGCCCTACTTCTACCTCTGTTACCATCATGACAGAGTAGAGGCTGAAAGAGTAGGTATGGAGTATGAAAGAGTAGTTACGTTGTGGAGTAGTTAGAGGTAAGAGATGAATTCTAAACCTCCAAATTGCTTGTGGCTGAAATCCCAAGGCAGTATCACCATCCAGTAATAACCAACAACAGGAAGATGGGACATAACCAGCAACTTAGAATTAGGGCTACTTCTCCATCTGACTTCAGTCTGCCAAGGTAGGCATTAAGGGAGGATGGGGTTTCTCTGTTGGAAAACAACAAATATTTTCATATTTCTGTATAGTCAGGACTTTCTGATGAAACATTACTTACTGGCAACCTGAGTTAAAGGATGAGTGAACAGAAAATAAGCTTTGGACATTAAAGATATTGAAATACCCAGGAGAGATTTCTAATGATTTGTCTCTCTTAAACCCATTTGTTCACATTGAAAAGGGTTTTAACAACTTGGCGACCTTCCCCTTCCCTTTCCAGAGAGGATTTGATTACATTGGAGAGCAAAAGTTTCTGTCTCTTCTCAGTGGGAGAAGAGAGGCATCTCTGCAGCAGATTCTGCACAAACTCCAAGAATCATAATTTTCAGGTCTTCTCCTAAAGAGCCCCTCCCTCTTTACGTATAGGGTGATATAGGCCCTCTATTGCCCCAAAGGGGAAATAGAGCACTGGAAACCAGCACTAAGATTGCTATTGAGAACTGCAGAATTCTCACCACATAATGACTCCATCCAAACCTCTGCACTAAGAGATGATCAAATTCTAGCATGGCTTCTAGTAGCACAGAGGTGTGTTCCCAGGATAACCACAGCTCGTTATAATGCCTAGCTGAGAAAGCTAAATACCGCCAGGAGAATTTACTGTTTGTTCTAGTCAACTGCTGACAATAGGCCCTAGACATTCCTTTTTAAAAAATGTTTACAATTGTGAATATGTATTACTTACAATTCAGAAGATTCTCAGAGCCATTCCTTTAAAATGGGCATGGGCAACATGAGAAAAGAGTACAGTAATCTATATGGAGGGTTATTGTATAACCTATGAATTATGCACAATTCATAAATTTTTCAGTGAATCAATTTTTCAGTTATCACCAGGAAAGATAGGGCCTCTGTCTTTCTGTCTCTGTGGGAAGACAGAATTCTAACTTTCATTAGAATGTTAGCAAACACAGCTTGCCTAATCATATTTATACTGATCAACCCTTTGTAAATTTTTTACCTCTTTGACTCTACCTAGCTCTCCCCTTCCTAATTCTCCCTTAAAAAACCCCCAATAATCTTTTCACAAATCCAAATGGAGCTCAGCTCTTTCATCTACTGTGAGTAGTTACTGAATCAGTGTTTATTGCTTTAACAAGTACTTGGCTGTGTTTATCTTTTACAAGATATAAGTAAATAATCAGTCTGGGTCTTATCCAGAAAACTTTTGCTTACAGTATGAATAAAATACATAGATATAAAAAGATATTAATCTTCCTCTACCCAAAGGAAGTCATCTTCTTTTACAGCTCTCTTCTAATAGATATAGAAAATACTGTTTCCAATAATTGAAGAATAAATGCTTATTTTTAATTAACTATGAAAAGTGAACATGTACTAGGCCATAAAACAATTACCAAACATCATAAAGAATTACAGAAAATTACAGACCATATTCTCCAACCTCACTGGAATTCAGTAAGAATCTATGACAAGAAAAGCAAATACAGATATTTCAATATTTTCAAAGAAATACTTCCACATAACCCATGCATCAAAGAAGAAATTATATTTTTTAATGTGGTAAATAGTGTCAGAATATATGAAATACAGTTAAAAAGTTACATTTAGACTGAAATATATAACCTTAAAGGGTGATATTAGAAAAGAAGAAAGACTAAAATTAATAAGCTAAGGTTCCAACTTTCAAAGTCAAGAAAGAGAACAAAATAGTAACAAAGAAAATATAGAAGAGAGAAACATCAGAGCAGAAAACCACAACTTAAAAAAGAGCAACAAACTGAAAAGTTGGAAGTTGGAAAATAAAACAATTTATAATTGTTATCAGCTGGAAATACTGATTAAGGAAGAGGAGACACAGTTGCTGATACCACTGTGGAATACAAAGGAATACAAAGAGAAATATATTTATAGATGTAGAAGATCCAAACTGAGTGCTTTTTACAAAGATCATTAAATTACTGAGTCATTTATCAGTAATTTAAAATCTTCCTAGAAAGAAAAATCTCTGAACTAGACAGTTTTACCAGTAATTTCTATCAAATATTCAAAGAGCAAATAATAATAATATTATATAAAGCCTTCTAAGGAGTAGAAAGACACTAACCTCCTACATTCTTTTACAAGGTGAGCATATTCTCGATACAAGAATGACACATGGGCAATATGAGAAAAGAGTACAGTAATCTATATTGTGGGTTATTGTATAACCTCTGAATTACACACAACAAATAAATTTTTCAGTGACTCAAAACTATCATATTAATATTATAGATTAAGAACTTCTCATATATTTGTGTTTTATATATTTGTGATATTTAAAAAATTTGTTTTATCAGAGTAGCAGGTCAACATTATAAGTCTAATGCAATTATATTATTGAGTAATCAGTTTAGATATTTTAATTTGGTTTAAATACTCAGCATTTTTTATTGTTAAGTTTTACATTAAGATTACTTAAAAATAAATACACTATATAAAATTTATATATGTACTTAGAATGCTGCTATGAATTTGATTAAGTTTATAGGAGGAGTCACACATTAATCAAAAGCTTTAGATTAACATTACTAGATACATAAAAAGAGCCATATGTGTAAGATATAGCTACAAAATTAGGGATTAACTGAGTTTTTAAATAAATTGAAAATCAATACAAAGGTATGAGTAATCTTATTCAAGCACAAAAGCTATTTTCAAGGGCTCCAAAAGTTTACCTTAACTATAGATAGGAACAGGGATGATATTCATCCAGTATGCCTTTTGATGGCCATGCTGGTTCCTCATATGCAAAATTAACCCTTATTGTTCTGATATCAATGGACAGGTTGATGTGTATGCCCCGATGCTTATTAACTGTTTTGAGCATCAGTGAAATAGGTAGAGTTCATATTATTGAGAAACCAATTTTTCATTAATAAATCTATAGAGACTATTTCAGTAAAAATTCTGACATTGTTTCATGATAATCTGACAAGCTAATTTAAAAACTTATATGGAAGAATGAAGGTCATAAATATTCAAAATATTCCTATAAAAGAAGGAGGTAAAGAATTTGTATTACCAGATAGTTAAACCTATTAACTGTACAACTTCAGACAATATGATATTGGCACAAGGACTCTTCTATTCCATTGGTCTCTTTTTCAAAAAAGAGAAATAGTTTCATAGTTTCATGCATATAAAAAACTTAAGATATGAGAGAAGATCAGTAGGAAAATACAAGACCTTTCAATAAATTACATTATACCACCTACCTATTAAAGTAGAATAATTTAAAAAATAAATTTCTATCTTATAAACATATGCAAAAAAATAATTCCAGGTGGATTAAAGAACTAATGTAAAAGGCAAAGCTTTATAACTTAAAGAGTATACTTTAATGACCTCTACATAGGAGAGGAGTACTTACAAAAAACACTAACCAATAACCATAAAATAAAATATTGCTAAATTTGATGTCATTAAATGAATGCTTGTCAATCAAAAAACCTGATGGAAAAAGTGAAAATATGACTTAAAAACTGAGAATATATTTTAAACACACATAATTGTGTTTAAAAGATTAGTATACCTATTATATAAAGAAATCATACAAATCAAAAAGAGAAAATAAACAGAAAAATGAGCTTAAGTCATGAATGACTGGAGGAAGCAAAACAACATGGCCAAATAGAGGCCTCCACTGAGGAACTTCTAGAAGTCTCCTGCAGGAACACCAAATTTGACAACTATCTACACAAAAAACACTTTCTTTTTTTTTTGAGATGGACTTTCGCTCTGTCACCCAGGCTGGAGGGCAGTGACATGATCTCAGCTCACTGCAACCTCCGCCTCCCAGGTTCAAGCTATTCTCCTGCCCCAGCCTCCCAAGTAGCTGGGACTACAAGGCACATGCCACTGCACCCAGCTAATTTTTATATTTTTAGTAGATACGGGGTTTCACCATCTTGGCCAAGCTTGTCTCCATCTCCTGACCTCGTGATCTACCCATCTCAGCCTCCAAAAGTGCTGGGATTACAGGTGTGAGCCACCACGCCTGGCCGAAAAAGTCCTTTCATAAGAGCCAAGTATCAGGTAAGTAATCATGATACCTGGTTTTAACTTCATATTACTTAAAGACGTACTGAAGAGGGTAGAAAAGACAGTCTTGAATTGCTGATGCCAATCCTCCCCAACTCCCTGGCAGTGGCCAAGTGGCACAGAGAGAGAATATGTGCACTTAGGGGAGGCAGAGCACAGTGTTTGTGGGACCTTGTATTGGAACTCGATGCTGCCAACATTAGACAGAACTCAGCTGATGCCCATGGAGGTACCATTTAGACTAGCCCTAGCCAGAGGGGAATTGCCCATCTCAGCAGTCAAACTTGAGTTTCAGCAAGCCTCACAGCTGAGGATTAAAATGCTCTGGGGTTCTAAATAAACTTGAAAGGCAGTCCAGGACACAATGACTGCAACTCCTAGGAAAGGCCAGTATTTTGCTGGGCTCAGAGCCAGTGGACTTGGTGGGCAGGTGACATAGTGAGACACCAACTGGGGCAGCTAAGGGAATACTTGCCTCATCCCTCTGCAGCCCTAGGCAGTACAGTTTGCAGCTCCAAAAGAGACCCTTTATTTCTGTTTGAGGAGAGGAGAAGAGACAGTAAAGGGGACTTTGTCTTGCCACTTGGATATCAGCTCAACCACAGTAGGACAGGGCACTAGACAGAGTTGTCAGGGCCAGTTCCAGGCCTTATCTCCCACACAGAATTTCTAGTCACATCCTGAGCCAAATGGGAACCTTGTGCCCTGAAGAGAAGGAAGGAAGGACTCAGTACTGGCAAGATTCATTACCTCCTGACTAAAGAGCTCTTTGCCCTGAATTATCAGCAGTGGTAGCTAGGTAGTATTCACCTTGGGTGAGACTTAGAGCTGTACTGACTTCAGGTGTGACCCAGAATAATCAGAGCTATGGTGTCTATCAGGAGAGAATCATTCTGTTTGAGAAGAGGGGAGGGAAGAAGAAACGGGACCTTGTCTTGCAGCTTAGGTATCAGCTTGGTCACCAAGTAGGCTCTTGGAGTCTGTGATTCCAGACTTTGGCTTTTAGATGGCATTTCTGGACCTACCCTAGGCTAGAGGGGAGCCCAGTGTCCTGAAGCGTGAGTCCCATGCCTTTCAGCATTCACCATAACATGACAGAAGAGCTCTTGGGCCTTAAATGTACATTGGTTTTATGCTGGCAGTGGGTTGATAAACAGACTAAGAAAGAAATTGAAAAATTTCTTGAAACAAATGATAATGAAAACACAACATATCAAAACCTATGGGATACAGTGAAAGCGGTACTAAGAGGGAAGTCTATAGCTATAAGTGTCTACATCTAAAAAGGAGAAAAACTTCAAATACACAACCTAATGATACATCTTACAGAACTAGAAATGCAAGAGCAAACCAAAACCAAACTTAGTAGAAGAAAATAAATAATAAAGATCAGAGCAGAAATACATAAAATTGAAATGAAGAAAAAATATAAAACATTAATGAAATAAAAGTTGGCTTTTTGAAGAGATAAACAAAATTGAATAACATTTAGCTAGACTAAGAAATAGGGTGAAGACCCAAATAAACAAAATCAGACATGAAAAAGGAGACATTACAACTGATACCACATAAATTCAAAAGATCATTAGAAGCTACTATGAGCAACTATAAGCTAATAAATTAGAAAACCTGAAGAAATGGATAAATTTCTTGACACATACAATCTACAAAGACAGAACCAAGAAGAAATCCAAAACCTGAGCAGACCATTAACAAGCAACAAAATCAAAGCCACGATAAAAAGTCTGTCAGCAAGGAAAAGCCCAAGACTTGTTGGCTGCATTGCTAAATTTTACCAAACATTTAAAGAACTAATACCAATTTTACTCAAACTTCCAAATAATAGAAGAGGAAGGAATACTTACTTCCAAACTAATTCTACAAGGTGAAGAATTACCAAAACCAGACAAAGACAAATCAAAACATAAAAAGAAAGAAAAATGAAAAGAAAACCACAGGACAATATCCCTAATAAACATTTATGCAATAATCCTGTACAAAACACTAGCAAATTAAATTCAACAACACATCATAAAGATCATTCATCATGACCAAGTGGCATTTATCCCAGGGATGCAAATATGGTTCAATGTATGCAAGTCAATCAATGTGATATATTATATCAACAGAATGAAGAACAAAAACCATATGATCATTTCAACTGATGATGTAGAGGCATTTGATAAAAATTCAACATTTCTTCATGATAAAAACCCTTAAAAAACTGGGTATAGAAAAAAACATACCTCAACATAATAAAAGCCATACATGACAGACTCATAGCTAATAACATATTGAATGGCAAAAAACTGAAAGCCTTTCTTTTAAAATCTGGAACGTAACAAGAATGCCTACTTTTACCACACTGTTATTCAACATAGTACTGGAAGTCCTACCTAGAACAATCAGACAAGAGAAAGAAATAAAGGGCATCCAAATTGGAAAGGAAGAAGTCAAATTACCTTTGTTTGTAGATGAGGTGATCTTACATTTGGAAAAAACTAGACTCCACCAAAGAACCATTAGAGCCAATAAACAAATTTAGTAAAGTTGTAGGATACAAAATTGGCATACAAAAATTATCAGGATTTTTATATGCCAATAGGAAACAATCTGAAAAAGAAATCAAGAAAATAATTCTATACATAGTAGCTATGAATAAAATTAAATATCTAGGAATTAACCAAAAAAGTGAAAGAGCTTTACAATGAAAACTATAAAATATTGTTGACAGAAATTGAAGAGGGCACAAAAAAAAAAAAAAAAAAACCGAAAAGATATGGCCAGGCATGGTGGCTCACGCCTGAAATCCCAGCACTTTGGGAGGCCAAGACAGGCAGATCATGAGGTCAAGAGACCGAAACCAACCTGGCCAACGTGGTGAAACCGTGTCTCTACTAAAAATACAAAAATTAGCTGGGCATGATTGCGCATACCTGTAGTCCCAGCTGCTTGGGAGGCTGAGGCAGCAGAATCGCTTGAACCCTGGAAGCAGAGGTTGCAGTGAGCCGAGATCATGCCACTGCACTCCAGCCTGGTGACAGAGCGAGATTCCATCTAAGGAAAAAAAAAAAAAAAAAGGAAAGATAATCCATGCTTGTGGATTGGAAGAATGAATATTGTTAAAATGTCCATACTACACAGAGTGATCTACAGTTTCAATGCAATCCTTATCAAAATACCAAAGATATTCTTCACAGAAAAAGAAAAAAAAATCCTAAAATTTATATGGAGCTACAAAAGAACCAGATTAGCCAAAGCTATCCTGAGAAAAAAAAAACAACAAAACTGGAGGAATCACATTACCTGACTTCAAACTATACTACAGAGCTATAGTAACCAACACAGCATGGTACTGGCATAAAAACAGACACATAGAGCAAGAAACAGAAGAGTGAACCCAAAGAAAAATCCACACACCTACAGTGAAACCATTTTCAACAAAGCTCCCAAAAACATACACTGGGGAAAGGAAAGTCTCTTCAATATACTGTGCTGGGTACACTGGATATCCATATGCAGGAGAATGAAACTAGAGTATCCTTCGCTACATACAAAAAGCAAATCAAAATGTATTAAATACTTAAATTTAAGAGTTCCTATTATTAAACTACTAGTAGAAAACATTGGGAAAACTCCCCAGGACATTGGAGGGGGCAAAAATTTCTTGATCAATACCCAACAGGCACAGGCAACCAAAGCAAAACTGGACAAACAGGATCACATCAAGTTAAAAATCATCTGCACAACAAAGGAAACAAAGTGAAGAGACAACCCACAGAATGGGAAAAAGTATTTACAAACTACTCATCTCACAAGGAATTAATAATAAGACTATATAAGGAGCTCAAACAACTCTATACAAAAATATCTAATAATGTGATTTAAAAATGGGCAAAAGATCTGAATAGACATTTCTCAGAAGACATAAAAATGGCAAACAGGTATATAAAAATGCTCAGTATCACTGATCATCAGAGAAATGCAAATCAACTACAACTAAATATCATCTCACTCCGTTAAAATGGTTTTCATCTAGAAGACGGGCAATAACAAATGCTGGTGAAGATATGGAGAAAAGGGAATCCTCATACACTCTTGGTGGAAATGTAAATTAATACAACCACTATGGAGAACAGTTTGAGGATTCCTCAAAAATCTATAAATAGAGCTACCATAGTATCTAACAATCCCACTGCCACGTATATACCTTAAAGAAAGGAAATCAGTATATCAAAGAGACATCTGCACTGCCATGTTTATTGCAGAACTATTTACAATAGCCAAGATTTGGACGCAACATAAGTGTCCATCAACAGATGAGCAGATAATAAAAATGTGGTACATATACACAATGGAGTAGTGTGTTGCCATTAAAAAAATGAGATCCTATCATCTGCAACAACAGGAATAGAACTCGAAGTAATTTTGTTAAGTGAAATAAGCCAGGCACAGAAAGGCA
Organism: Homo sapiens; assembly: GCF_000001405.40. Taxonomy (NCBI): domain Eukaryota; kingdom Metazoa; phylum Chordata; class Mammalia; order Primates; family Hominidae; genus Homo; species Homo sapiens. Next base: position 153,536,069 of record NC_000003.12, read on the forward strand.
AACTTCACATGTTCTCACTCATTTGTGAGAGCTAAAAATTAAAACAATTGAACTCATAGAGAGTAGAATGATCGTTACCAGTTGCTGGGGAGGGTAATGAACAGGTTACAGGGGATGTAAGAAATGGTAATGGGTTAAAAAAATAGTTACAATGAATAAATAAGACCTAGTATTTGATAGCACAATAGGATAACTATAGCCAATAACAATTTAATCGTACATGTAAAAATAACTAAAAGAACATAATATTGTTTATAATACAAAGGATAAATCCTTGAGGTTATGGATACCCCATTTACTCTGATATGCTTGTTACAGTTGGGCCTATATAAAATATCCCATATACCGCATAAATATATACACCTACTATGTACTCACAATTTTTTAAAAAGACATGAATGATCTTTCACAGAAAACAGAAAAAACAAAAAGAATCTCAATTTTATCATTATTCATGGAAATAAACATTAAGTCCAAAATGAAGAATCATTTCTATCCTCAAGTCTGCAGAAATTAAAATTTCAACCATATTAACTGTTAGCAATTTGGGGGAGTAATACAAATTAACACAGTGCCAATAGAAGCATAAATTGCTATTATCACTCTGAAAAACTATTGGCTATTATGTAAAAAAGCTGGAGATAGGCATTCACTCTTCCCAGCAATTACACTCCTAGGTATGAGTCCTAAAGATACTCTTGTGCAAATTCCTTAGGAGGCTTTACGATAATGTGTATTCAAGCATTGTTTTAATAGCAAAAACAAAACAAAATTGGATGAAAATATTTATCTACAGAAATGTGGGTAAACTGTGGTATATTCCTGTAAGGGAATACTATGGAGCAGGAAAAATAAATAAAGCAGAGTTACATGTATCAACATGGATGAATTTCACAAATATAATAGTAAGTAATAAAAGCAGTAGAATACAAAGAGCTTCATTCCATTTATATAAAATTAAAAATATGAAAATATTGGTTTGGGGATTCATGTATTTGTATAATACATGTATGGTTGAAAGCAATAAAATTTTGAATTCAGGCCCAGCACTTTGGGAGGCTGAGGCGAGTGGATCACCTGAAGTCAGGAGGAGACCAGCCTGGCCAACATGGTGGAACTCCACCTCTACTAAAAATACAAAACATTAGTCTGGCGTGGTGGTGGGCTCCTGAAATACCAGCTACTCAGGAGGCTGAGGCAGGAGAATTGCTTGAACCTGGGAGACAGATGTTGCAGTGACTGAGATCGCACAATTGCACTCCAGCCTGGGCAACAAGAGCGAAACTCTGTCTGAAAACAAACAAACAAACAAAACCAATAAAATTAAAATATTGAATTCAAAATTCAGGATAATGGTTTATTCTGGGGGATAAAGAGGAAGATACAGTCAAGAGAGCATATAAAGGAGGATGCAATATTGACAATGTTCTATATTTTAAGCTGAGTGATATATTTTATATGTGTGTGTATACATACATGTATACTAATACACATTAGCATATGCAATTTTGCATGTATAAAATACTAAATTCTAAAATATAATCCAAAAAGCACTGTCCTTAGAAACTTATATAAGCTAATTTAATCATCAGAATAGCTCTCTAAGATATAATCACTCTCATTCTCAACACCTTATCCTTGGTCTAATGTAATCACAGAAACTTTTCCATGAGGTAAGAATTATTTTGGAAATAAGGGAAATAAGGTACAGGAGATTAAAATCTTGTCCAAGTTCACATAGCTAGTAAGTGCAGGAGCTTATCCATTAAAGTAAACGACCTCTATATGTAAAATAGGTAACCTCTCAATATCAATTAGTTTATCATAAGGGAGTAATTATATAGATATACAAAAAGTTATAAAAAGATATTTATTGTCTCAATGTTAACGAAATAAAAAAGTGGAAATGACCCATATAGAACCTTACTGGCTAGGCAAAAGGTAACATTTTCCAATCACAGAACATTATACAACCATTTATAATTATGTTGGAGCTATGTAATTATCATGATGAAAAAATATCCCTGATATGTTAAGTTTAAAAATCTGTCTGGTATATATTGTATGATGTTATTTTGAAAAAAACTAAAAGCACAGTGTATCTTCAACTGTACTGGTAATTGAAGCAATTACAAAGAACTTCTACCATCTGCTACATCTATCCACATTAGGGGATCTGTACCCATAACTATCTTATACATTTTTTTCCTGCCTGTTATTTTAGGGGAGGCATCAGTGCTTCTGTGCAAAGCCAATGCTATGCAAGTGCACTGGGTTCATCCACCCAACCTACTTAAGGGTATTAGCCAGCCAGAAATTTACCTCTGTGTTAACAGTTCAGGATTTTGGAGCATGAAGAATATGACTTCTCAATTTTATGCCCCCAGGAGTTTGTAGTGTTTAATCAAAAGAATTACTCAACAAATATGGGCTAAATGAATAAACGATTGGAAACGTAATAATGCCTTAAGCATTATTGTTTTACCAAAATTGTGTTCAAGACCATTGTTACACCTGGAAGAAGGAGAAAAAGGGTCTCTTCCATCTCTTCTCTCCTCTAACCTAGTGTCTTGGGACTCAAGCTCATGGTTTTAGTGCTACAGTTGAGCAGACTTTCATGGAGTGTCTGGGAATCTAACTATCATTTGTAAAACAGTTCTTTTGAAAAAATAGGTTATAAGCTAAAAACAACTGATTTACAAACTCTTTGTTTGAATTATCTTATCAATAAAGTGCCTGTAGAATGATGCTTGAGAAACATAAGAGTTATAAAAAAGAGAAAAAGGTAACTGCAACCGTGTTGAGATGTCCTTGATGTCAGTCAGTACAAGTCAAAGTATAAGACAGGCTAGACAATTTTTAAAGTCAAACACGTAGTTTTATGTGACATTTAGTAGCATGGTATATTAAATTGGTAAAAAGAATGTATAGAGAAGATTCTAGCCCCAAAGAGAAAAAAAATACGTATGTTTTAAACATAGAACATGATTTGAAAATAGGTTGGAAAAGTTGATGTGAACTCATAAATTGTAAAACATTTACTTTCTCTAGCTCTGTTGTTAACATGAAGTATCCTTGGTGCCACCTAGTCTAATATTAGTCCCCACTTGGTAGTTGCCTGCAGTGCTCAAATGTTTGCTTCTGCTATTCTTCACTAAAAACAATCAGAGCTTCTGGAGAAAAGCTGATTCAATGGTTCTATACAATAAAATCAAGATAGTTCCATGAAATTTTGCTACCATAAAGCAACAAATGGGTCAGCTTTAAGGGACTTTCAATGGCCAAGTTGTGATCATTTGAGCATTAATTTTGTGTAAACATGACAAATACTAGCAGATATGCTAAGGAAAAGACAGAAATGAGTTGTTAAATATATGAAAGAAATGCTTAGGCTGCAAATTCCTTTAAGGCAAAATCTCACAAAAGATTGATGAAATGTATTGCAGTGTGGTTTGGTGATACAGAGTCTCCTCAGCTCAAATTATATAACAAAATCTATGAAAGATATTATGGTTAAAATAATAGATAAGGGTAGTGAATGATACACCCGAGAGCAAAAACTAGACAGGGAGAATTTGAAGTTTCTTATTTCTAAAAAAAAAAAAAAAAAAAAAAGAATTGATTTTGCTCAATAAATCTCTTAAACATGTTAGATTCACTTAGGGGACTATAACTTATTGAATTTCATTTTGCTTTATTAGCTTTACAAGGATTGCTTCCATGCTGAAAAAGATGTGGGTATATAAATTGACAGATCTGCCCGGTTAGTTGTTAAAAAGTCTTGAGAAAATCAGATAAATCTGAATTGTAGTTTGAAATAGCTAAAGAAATTAAATTAATCTTGTTTATGAATGCTGTTAAATATCTAGGGGAAATGAATCTGCCAAATTTAGTAATTAATTAGGCATTTATCAAAGTGAAAGTAATTTTTAAAATTTAAACAAAAATTACTAGACTCATAAGCAAAATAAGAGGTTTCGTGATTTGAGCTTTAAGGTGTAAGAGAAAATAGGTACCTCTTCCCAATATACAACTAAATAAGGTGAATTTTAATCAAAGTGTAAGTTATTGTAAGCACTTCTTTATGCTAAGTACTCCCAGATGTTAAAAATATCATAACCTATTTATAATTTGAAGGCTGCCTTACAATGTAATATAGTGGTTGATTATGTGTACATGATTTTACAAGACATGGAGATGTAGAATTAAATCTCAGCTCTGCTGCTTAATGGCCGTGTGACTGGTAAAAACTCTGATCTTCAGCTTTAATATTAACTTGATTAATTAACATGGTGATAGCACCTAAATCCTTTTGACGATTATGGTAAGTGACTTGTTTTTTAGGTCCTGGTAAGTAATAATAATGCAATCGTAGTTATTTATTGTTAATACAGGAAAAGTTAGCTAATAATACGTGGTAGAAAATAACGTGTCCAATGACAGCTGATTTAATAAGAAAAGACGTTATGAAGGTAGGTGGGTAGGATTTACACAGCAAGAAAGGACGAAGCAAGGAATTTCGGCTTGAAGCTCAGAGGCAAGAAAACACCAGGAAAATTTGAAGGTCTATAACTAAATTTTAAGGTCTAACTAACTAAAATTTAAGGTCTATAAACTAAATTTTTTACCAAAATTTAGTTGAAGAGATAATAATGAGCAAATGGATTATGTTTAGATTGTAGAAAACCTGAAATCACTAAGGAATTTGGGTTTAAACTAGATGCTAGCTAATAACAGCTTAGATATAGCAACAGCTGTTAGGCATAAAAGATTCATACTAAATAATGAACATTGGAACTAAGTATAGATGGAATGATTGTCAAAATGATTTTTGTTAATAGGCTAAAATATACGAATGCAAAATTGCTTTCTGATGGAATTTTCTAAAATAAAGTTTCATTCCATGGAAACGCATTTATTTTATTTATTTTTATTTTTATTTTTTCTGAGACGAAGTCTCGCTCTGTCACCCAGGCTGGAGTGCAGTGGCACGATCTCGGCTCACTGCAAGCTCCGCCTCCCAGGTTCACGCCATTCTCCTGCCTCAGCCTCCCGAGTAGCTGGGGCTACAGGCGCCCGCCGCCACGCCCGGCTAATTTTTCTGTATTTTTAGTACAGACGTGTTTCACTGTGTTAGCCAGGATGTTCTCGATCTCCTGACCTCGTGATCTGCCCGCCTTGGCCTCCCAAAGTGCGGGAATTACAGGCGTGAGCCACGGTGCCCGGCCAGAAATGCATTTAAAAACACGTGACAATGTTACTCTCATGAATTTACTTTTTAAAGATTACAGATTTATTTTGTTCATGTATTTTAGAGACTCAAATGATTTTACTACAGAACTACTAAGCTAACACAAACGTTTCAGTTTCATACAATGAAGTGGTGATGCAGTGTTGAAGGAAAAAGTGACATTACTCTCCGTTATCAACTGAGAAAATGGCACTGAAATGCATAGACATTTTCTTTTTCTTTAGGAAATTTAATTCCTTCATATGATGATATAATCATATATTGCCTCAAGTTGAGATATTTAAGATTAATTTTGCTCTATGTAAAGCAGAAAGAATTAATCTGGCATCCTTATTACCTTAGAAATAAAAGGAAGTATTTAAGGAATAAAACAAAATGATAATTGAGAATAAAAACTACATATATGTTATTTTGAAAGATTAATCACACAAAAGTGATTTGGGGAAATAATGCTTAGTTTAGAATGAATGTTTGTTTACATAATTTTTTCTGTCTATAATTCTTTTATATGAAATTACAAAAAATTGGTAAATCTAAAGGAAAATTGTTTTTACTGATATGTTTTTGGATAATTGAGAAAAAATTACCCCAGTGGTTCTCAAAATGTGATGCTTATAACCAACAGCAGCAGCACTTGGGAAATTTAGAAATGCAAATCTTCAGGCTCCACCCCAGACCTATGAATTAGTAACTCTGGATATGGGTCCCAGCAGCCCGTGTTTTAATACGCTCTCCAGATAATACTGATGTACGCTAAACTTGACAACCACTGATTTAGACTATTGCCCTGGGACTAGAGATTTTTTAATGAACTTTAATTACTGCCATGTGTGGTTAATAAGAGACTATAAATTTCCTGTTTCAAACATTTGTCCATTTAGCTTGATCAGCTTTATATAATCCTTGACATTTTGATTATTGGTATTCATGTATTTGCCAAGGAAATTGAGTAGATAGTTGCTAAATTAAAAATGGTTTTAAAGTAATTCCTTATCAGGCCAGTGTAGGTAACTCATACTCGATAAATTTAAGAATGACTCATGTTTTTGAATATTTGAGTATCAGGAGGAGGAAATATAATGCAATTCTTCCAGCAGATCCTATCCCATTGCTCTACTCATTGTTGACATCTTAGATTTGACCAAGCATTTGCAAAAGGGTAGTGTAAAGATTTGCTTTCTTATAGATACCAAAGAGAAGTAAAACCCACTTTCTCTTATTAATCCAGGCACAACCATCTATTCACATATTGCTTATCTAATCAAGCCTAACACATACATGTACATACAACTCCTTTGCCAAAACAGTTCCAACACAGGGCCATGAGTACTGGTATTCCTAGCTGGAATTAGTAAAATTTTTGCCACTTTAGAAACAATTTTGTCAATTATTCTATGGTAGTCACATGAAGTACTATACTTCAGATGAATACGGGTTAAGCTGGCTTTGCAAACTGTCTTATGGGCTCCACAAACTAATACATTTTTTTCTTGAAGAAAAAAAAGTCTAAATAGCTGACCTTGCCAACAAATAATTCACTGCTCAATATCACCTTAATAATGTACCTTGTACCCAATAAGTAATTACTTATTGTCTATCCCCTCCTCTCCCTTCACCCTTACCAGTTGCCATTGTCTATGATTCCACACCCTACGTTTATGTGTACACATTATTTAGCTCCTACTCATAAGTGTAAACACCTGGTGTTTGTCTTTTCATGTCTGAATTATTTTACTCAAGATAATGGCCTCCATTTACATCCATGTTGCTGCAAAATACATGATTTCATTCTTTTTCATGGCTAAATAGTATTCGGCTGTTCATGTATACCACATTTTGTTTATCCATTCATCCACTGATGGACACTTAGGTTGATTCCATTTATTTGCTATTGTGAATACTTCTGCCATAAACATACAGGTCTAGGTATCTTTTTGATATAATGATTATTTTTCCTTTGGATAGATAGCTGGATTGGTAGTTCTATTTTTAGTTCTTTGAGAAATATCGATACTGTTTTCCATAGAGGTTGTACTAAATTTACATTCCCACCAACAGTATATGGTTTCCCTTTCCTCTGTACCCTCATCAACATGTTATTTTTTGTTAATAGTAGCCTTTCTGACTGGTATAAGATGATATCTCATTGTGATTTGGTTGGCAGTTCTCTGATGATTGATGTTGAGTATTTTGTGTATGCTTGTTCACCATTTGTATATCTTCTTTCAAAAAATGTCTATTCATGTCCTTTACCCATTTTTAATATGATTAATTTTTGTTGTTGAGTTGTTTGAGTTACTTATCAATTCTAGATATTAGCCCCTCTCAATGCATAGTTTGCAAATATTTTCTTCCCTCTTGGAGGTTGTCTGTTCACTCTGTTGATTATTTCTTTTGCTGTGCAGAAGTTTTTAGTTAAATAATTAAGTTCCATTTGTCTATTTTTGCTTTTGTTGCCTGTGCTTTTGATGTCTTAGTCACGAATTCTTTGCCTAAGCCAACGTCCAGAAAAGTTTCTCCCTAGGTTTTATTCTAGTATTTTTATAGTTTTGGGTCTTACATTTAAGTCTTTAATCTACATTGAGTTGATTTTTTTATACGGTGAGTGATAAGGGTCCTATTTCATTCTTCTGCATATGGCAAACCAATTTTCCCAGCACGGTTTACTGAAAAGGGTGCCCTTTCCCCAGTATATGTTCTTGTTGACATTGTCAAAGATCAGTTGGCTATAAATATGTAGCTTTATTTTTGAGTTCTCTATTTCATTGATTCATGTGTCCATTTTTATACCAGTACTGTACTCTTTGGGTTACTATAGCCCTGTATTATAATTTGAAGTTAAATAATGTTATGCTTCCAGCTTTGTTCTTTTTGCTTAGCATTTGTTTAGCTATTTGGGCTTGGTTTCAGTTTTATATAAATTTTAGGATTGTTTTTTCTTTTTTTTATAGCTGCATGATTTTTTTTATGATATTTGTGTTTTTTTATTTTTATTATACTTTAAGTTTTAGGGTACATGTGCACAATGTGCAGGTTAGTTACATATGTATACATGTGCCATGTTGGTGTGCTGCACCCAGTAACTCATCATTTAACATTAGGTATATCTCCAAATGCTATCCCTCCCCCCTGCCCCCACCCCACAACAGGCCCTGGTGTGTGATATTCCCCTTCCTGTGTCCATGTGTTCTCATTGTTCAATTCCCACCTATGAGTGAGAACATGCGGTGTTTGGTTTTTTGTCCTTGCGATAGTTTGCTGAGAATGATGGTTTCCAGCTTCATCCATGTCCCTACAAAGGACATGAACTCATCATTTTTTATGGCTGCGTAGTATTCCATGGTGTATATGTGCCACATTTTATTAATCCAGTCTATCATTGTTGGACATTTGGGTTGGTTCCGAGTCTTTGCTATTGTGAATAGTGCCACAATAAACATACGTGTGCATGTGTCTTTATAGCAGCATGATTTATAATCCTTTGGGTATATACCCAGTAATGGGATTGCTGGGTCACATGGTATTTGTAGTTCTAGATCCCTGAGGAATCGCCACACTGACTTCCACAAGGGTTGAACTAGTTTACAGTCCCACCAACAGTGTAAAAGTGTTCCTATTTCTCCACATCCTCTCCAGCACCTGTTTTTTCTAATTCTGTGAAAAAAATGGCATTGGTATTTTGATAGGGATTGCACTGAATCTGTAGTTTTCTTGGGCTAGTATGGTCATTTTAATTGTATTAGGTTTTCTTTGGACAGTATGGTCATCTTAATTACATTAATTTTTCCAATTTGTGAGCATGAAATGTTTTTCTATTTGTTTCTGTTGTCTATGCTTTCTCTTATGAGTGTTTTGTTGTTTTCCATTTAGAGATCTTTCACCTCCTTAGTTTAACATATTGCTAAGTATTCCCTATTTCTTTTTATAGCTATTGTAAATGGGCTTGAAAAAGGCCATACTTTTTTGTCTACTCTCCTTTCATATCAAGGTGTAGGAGGAGGTCTTTAGATTATATATTATAATATTATTATTATTTTTGTTTGGCCTCCAAGTACTTAATTGCTAAAAGAAATGCTTTTTTTTCTATAATTTTTTAATTCTAAGGTAGGCTTATATATTTAAATTTGTTTTAGAATGTTCCTTACTGAAAAGAGACTAAATGTCATTTTACGCATTTCCATAGTTTCAGAACTATTTTAGGCAATAAAATATTTATGTAAATATTTCTAAGGTACATGAATAAAGATATGAAAACGTTCTTAACATAAGCCATTAAGATGATACTGGCTGTTCACAGTTGGGCTCACTTTCAAGGAGGGATAATCAAATGGAATTTTGCTGAGTTGTACTGGGAATGGAGCTTAAGGAGCTAATATCTATATCCAAGAATATTTCGAGCATGTCTTGGCTACATTCTCCTCTTTTTTTCCTTCCTTGGTAATTTTTTGTAGGTCTCCAACATACTGAATGTCTTTGTCACTAGCATGAAAGATATTTTAAAACACCCTTATTAGCTTGAATTGCATCCCCTTTTATTTTGGTCTCCTAAATAATGAGATTTTGACACTTTCTCTAAACATCCTGCATTTTCTTCTGCATTAAAAAGTCTATAATCTTCTTTCATGAATGTAGTACAGTTAGGTCTTATTTATTTATTTGTTTATTTATGATGGAGTCTTGCTCTGTCACCCAGTCTGCAGTGCAGTGGTGCAATCTCTGCTCACTGCAACCTCCCTGTCTGAAGTTCAAATGATTCTTGTGCCTTGGCCTCCTGAGTAGCTGCAATTACAGGCATGCGCCACCAAGCCTGGCTAATTTTTGTATTTTTAGTAGGGAAGGGGTTTCACCATGTTAGCCAGGCTGGTCAGGAACTCCTGGCCTCATGTGATCCACCAACTTCGGCCTCCCAAAATGCTGGGATTACAGGCATGAGCCACTGCACCCGGACAGGTCATTTTTTTAATTGTGAAAAGTAGTTCAAAATTTTTTAGAGCTAAATATTATAAAATTATTTTTTAAAGTGACAGTCACTTGATTTTCTTAAATTGTAATTGAATATTTTGCAATCAAGATTTACTGATTATTAATAGATATGCTAAGCATTTTAAAGTTACAACAAAAAAATCCATTTTAAGGGATTAAGTAGATTTTACTCAAATATGGGTTATTTAAATGCCCTAGAGACAAAGAACAAACACTTGCTCAGTAAATTATGATTTTCTTCCTTAACCATTAAAAACATTTGTTTTTGTGTTGTGATGAGTCATTTTTCAGTTACAAATTTCCTCTCGATTACCTTCTAGTATTTTTGAGTGAGAAGGAGCTATTTGTTTGGTTGGATAACAGTCTCCAAACTCATTAAAAATAGGTGGCTATAGCAACATTCTTGTCACAACTCACTCACTTCTGCAAAACAAATATTGACAAAATATGTTTAGTTAAAGACAAAGAACAACAGAAAAACAATGATATTCAATTGTTCCAAACTTCGAGCTAGCCTGTGAAGCCAAAAGATCAACTGCATATTATTCTGAACTCATTGTTCTATTTTCTTTTTAATAAGATTGTTTTCTTTGTTTTTATGCAGTTTTAGAAGTATTTTAGACCTTTTTGATTGTATGCATTTTGGAACACTGACCCTTAAGCATACACACTGTCTTATTATTTCGATCTTAGGCTAATATGTCTTTCTTTTATTAACCAGCCTGAAATATCTCTTTTGCCCTTATCTAAGAAAAGGAAAGGAACCTCATAGTTTGAAGAAGGACAGTTTAAAAACTTAAGCCTCTAGCTTACTTCATTTCTCATCATTTCAAACAACGAAAGATCCAGACAGTAGATGTTTCCTGTCTTTTTCAAGATTTAACTAATATTTTTCCATCTTGTTTAAAGATTTAGAATTGTAGTCTTTTCAGAGACCTCAATGGTTTACCATAAAAAAGGCTTGTGCTTCAATTCTACCCCATAAATTCTTGAGCGAGTCTTTGGTTGGTCTTGTAAAACCAACCAAATGTACTATTTCCCAAACCTCCGAGTCCTACTTATGAAACATTAGAAAAAGTATCTTATCTGTGTGTATTTTTCTACTAAGCAAATGAGTCCAGATTTCTTAAAGTTGGACATCCATTCCCTAAGACAGCCTTCCCTATTCAGACTACCAGGACAAAAATCTTGCCTTTGGGATAGAAAAGAGTGAAAGTATCTATTATGTCCTCCACCCACAAACATCATGCTCAAGGCCATGCATCAAGCCCACACTGGTGTGGAGAGACATTTTTTTTTTTCATCTTAATAGGCCATCACAGATAATTTTTAAAATTTTAGTTATAAAAACCACTTGTGAGGTTAGATTGAGGATCCTAATCTCCATTTCTTAAAACATGTAGGTTATGTTCCCCTTTGCTGCTTGGTAGAGACTCTTAGGCTGAGGTGCTATTATCTGGGACATCATTTGCCTACAGGCTACCATCAGAGGCTCTCTGGAACAACTTTTTTTCCCCTTTAATTCTGTTTTACCCTAGAGTGCACTGCCCTTTTATACCTGATATACTATCATTAGATAGTTTTTCTGTAGGTTAAGGCTTTTCATCTTCAGAAGTTCTCCATCAAAATGCAAATTGCCCTCAGAGCGCTATGAAACAGACACACTAAGAGGCTATTTATTAGGCAGAATCCAGGGGAAGCTGAAACTCTCAGCTCAGGATTTCATTATCTTCTAAGAGTATTTTGATGCTGATTTGAAACCTTGTCTTCTGGCTTGGAGGCAAGCAAAGAATGACAGAGCGATCTCTAGGGCCAGAGCAGAGAGGAAAAGAACAAGACCTGGAGCAAAACAGAAAGGCAGATCTAAAGTCTCAGTAATTGTTTTCTGAATCAAATAGCATTAATGAGTCATCTGTCATCTGAAAATGCTCTTCTCATTGATGGTTGGAGAGAAGTGCAGCTTTGTGGGAAAATAGAGCAGTTGCACTGAAAAGACCTGAACTTAAAGCACTTGACTTAAAGAGAGGCACATTTTAATGCAGAGCTTGAGTCTGGTGGTTTTAATGCCAGCATTATATTCACCAGCTGTGTGACTTTGGACAAAACTGCATTTCCTTAGACCCTCCACAAGGTAGAGGTGACAGTCAGACCTATTTAATAGGGTTATTTGGAGGATTTGATCAGATGTCGTAGGTGCTGGGGGAAAAAAAAAGTCAGTTACTACTATGATGTCTAACAAATATAGAGTTCTTACTATATGATAGGCACTATTCTAAGCATTTTATTTAAATTTATTCATTTAATTTCCTCCATACTCTGATGTAGGCTCTTTCAAAACCCCTACTTTACTGTTGAGAAAACTGAGAATTCCATACTGAAGACTATAGCAATAATCTCTTTAATGGGTTTGTTGCAAGGCTTTAATAAAATACTGTGATTATGCTTAAGTAATACTTTTTAAAATGTAATGTGCATATGAATCATTTGAGGTACTGTTAAAATGCAGTTTGTAATTCATTCAGTAGGTGTGGAGTGGAACATTTCTATCAAGAAAATTCTGTATGTCTAAGAAGTTCCCAGGTGATGCTAATGCTGTTGGTCCAGGAACCACACTTTGAGTGTACTAGGAAACTCCTGAAAAATTTTGCACTTTTGGTTTGGATGCTTCTTTTTTTTTTTTAATTATACTTTAAGTTTTAGGGTACATGTGCACATTGTGCAGGTTAGTTACATATGTATACATGTGCCATGCTGGTGCACTGCACCCACTAACTCGTCATCTAGCATTAGGTATATCTCCCAATGCTATCCCTCCCCCCTCCCCCCACCCCACCACAGTCCCCAGAGTGTGATATTCCCCTTCCTGTGTCCATGTGATCTCATTGTTCAATTCCCACCTATGAGTGAGAATATGCGGTGTTTGGTTTTTTGTTCTTGTGATAAATGGTGCTGGGAAAACTGGCTTGCCATATGTAGAAAGCTGAAACTGGATCCCTTCCTTACACCTTATACAAAAAAAAAATTCAAGATGGATTGAAGACTTAAACGTTAGACCTAAAACCATAAAAACCCTAGAAGAAAACCTAGGCATTACCATTCAGGACATAGGCATGGGCAAGGATATCATGTCTAAAACACCAAAAGCAATGGCAACAAAAGCCAAAATTGACAAATGGGATCTAATTAAACTAAAGAGCTTCTGCACAGCAAAAGAAACTACCATCAGAGTGAACAGGCAACCTACAAAATGGGAGAAAATTTTCGCAACCTACTCATCTGACAAAGGGCTAATATCCAGAATCTACAATGAACTCAAACAAATTTACAAGAAAAAAACAAACAACCCCATCAAAAAGTGGGCGAAGGATATGAACAGACACTTCTCAAAAGAAGACATTTATGCAGCCAAAAAACACATGAAAAAATGCTCATCATCACTGGCCATCAGAGAAATGCAAATCAAAACCACAATGAGATACCATCTCATACCAGTTAGAATGGCAATCATTAAAAAGTCAGGAAACAACAGGTGCTGGATGCTTCTTAACTATTTCTTTTGCTTTCTTTCTTTTTTTGAGACAGAGTCTCATTCTGTTGCCTATAGTGGAGTGCTGTGGTGCAAACATAGCTCACTGCAGCCTTGGCCTCCCAGGCTCATGGGATCCTCCCACCTCAGCCTCCTGAGTAGCTGGGACCACAGGCACACACCATCACATCCAGATAATCTTTGTATTTTTTGTAGAGATATGGTTTTGTGGTGTTGCCAAGGCTTATGTTGAATTCCTGGGCTCCGGCTATCTGCCAACCTAGGCCTCCCAAAGTGCTAGGATTACAGGCATGAGCCACCAAACCTGGCTGCTTCTTCACCATTTCTATGTGACAAGTTTTCCTGTATCTTGACAAGCAGGGCTTGATAAACATTAGTGTACCAATACAGAATTCTGCACAGACTGGGCCATTCCATTACCCAGGATATTTTGTACCTTATAAAAAAGAAAAATAATGGACATTTGAGATATTCTGTAAACATTTTTATCTTCCTATTTGCAATCTTGAGATATTAAGCACACCACTCCTTTATAATTTTTGTGTTGGAGAATAAGGAAAGCCTTCTTAAAGTGTCTCTCAAATGAAGAAAACTGTAGTTGAATATAATCCTTATCAGTTGTCTAGGACACAATAGGTGAAGTTTTGACACCTTATCTCTTGGAAATGGTAACTAGGTGTCATCAAAAAAGCCTGTATTTATGGCTGGAATCCTCTTGTCTCATCCTTTTCACTCCTTTCCCAATACAGGAGAGAGAGAGGAGCAATTTTTATAGTTCACATTTTTTTTTTTAACAAAAACAGTAACACCCCAGCAGCGGGCTGAGGGTAAAGCCTTATTGTTAATCAATATTATCTTGGGAGAAAATAATAAGTATCTTTGTTAAAAAAACAAACAAAATACTCTTCAAGCTGTTATGTGCCCCTTGGAATTCTGAGTCATTTATTTCCTATCTCATTTAAAATAGATATAAAATCAAAGCAAATAAAAAGTTAATTAATTCAAGGTCTCACAGGGAGAGGGCAGTTTTTCTTGATTTTAACTAATAATACTCCCAAATAATTTATAAAAGGTCATATGAACCATAAAATACCAAACAAATGGTAGGATAATCATCATCACTGCCATGAGGTTTCTTCACATAGCAATAAAGTTTTTAAAATAATCTAAATAGAGCCTATGGTGTTTGTTTTATCCTACCAGTTTTTAGAAGGCGACAAAAGATGTCGCCATGATGACTATTTGGGCCTTTCCCTTTGTTCCGTCCTAGACAGTTGTCTTACTAAAGGAATAAATATTGTGTATTGTCAGTCACTGTGAAACTCTATCATGACCATCTGATTGCTTAAATATTCGTTTCTTTATTTTTCCTGCAAGTGTTTGAGAAGATGTCAAGGAGGAACAAGGTTGTGAGTGTGTGGGAGGGTGGCACTAGATACCAGCTTTACTCATTTTGTGATTTTGCCCTCACTCGTGCAAATGAATAAAGATAGAATTGATTTGCAAATTCTATAATTGTTACTTATTTTCCAAAAGAGAAACGTGGGGGTGATAATAGTAAATGTCACATTGTAAAAAAAGAAAAAACAACAACAACAACAACAAAACACAATAGAAACAAAAAACTTTTAAGTATGTCTTCTAAGTAATACTAGTTACTTGGAAGAGAAAGTGTTTTAATTTGATTTATGACTAATTTTTTGGAAAATTAATGTAAATATTAAAGCATCGTTTCCGTAATAAATAATGATGAAAAGTACACAACTAGACTGATATTTATGCTCACAGGGGGTGATTTTGTACATAAAAGTACAGAATGTTAATGCTCAACTCTGACATTTTGGAGCACAGCTTCCAAATGTTGTGTGAGGCATGTCTTATCTTTAGATTAATGTGTGATATGAAAGGAGGGGCAGAAATGTCTCTCAAGTGTGAAAGTCAGAATCCTTTCCTGGTACGTAGTGCTCTGCCATACTGTGAGAATAAAATCCTTTTTATGTGATATATAATACGATTTTTAAAATAAGACATTGGGTATAGGCAAAAAGACACAAAGGGTTTTTAAGAGCATAAAGCAACTTTTTAATAAATATTATTCTTCTGTTTTAAAGATAAATTGGATAGAAACAGACAGAGGGCTTAAGTTTTCTTATACTAGAGATAACATTTTGTAATCAAAAGAATATTGTATTTAGCAAAATATTTTGGGAGTTGCCATATAAACAGTTGGAAATTCCTTTGAAATGCTTGATGAATTCAAAACACAGCTGTTGAAATTCTTATTATGTGTAATTTTAATGTGTTGGGTTTTTTTTTACTGTTACTTATTTATGCATAATCATCTATATAAAACTACTTCATTAAAAGAGCAATAGAGTCCAAATTCTTGAAAAGATTTCTACTAGCCTAGAGAATACATGGTGCATGAATAGCATGAAGATGAGATGTGCTGCTTGAACCCTCTACTGGAGTTGCAGAAGATGCCACTGCCCCTCCCGAACTTCGGGATTGCTTTGAAATGCTGTTGACAGCGCTAATGACTAATTTAATGAACGATCTGTACTCTTCTACATGTTAGATAAATTACATGTATATTTGAGAAGTAAAGTTACTAGAATTAGCAAATGAAAATATAAGATACTCAGTTAAATTTGAACTTCAGATATATTTTCGTATAAATACGTCCCATGAAACCATGAAATATAAGTATATCCCATATAATACTTGTACAAAAAATTGTTGTTTATCTGAGCTATATATTTACTAGATACCCTGTGTTTTATCTTGCAGTCCTATTAAGGAGGCTATTTCAGGTTAGAGCCATTGTGCAGTGCAGTAGTAGAAGCAGCAGTAGCAGCACCAGCTAAAATAGTAATAGTAGAAAAAGTAAGAACTATTTATCAAGTGCTTCGTCTGTGATCTTTGTTCATTTTCTCATTTTATCTTCCCAGCAAGATACCTCTGAGGTAACTGCTTTATGAAGAAATAATTTAGCAGAGTACTTGGCACATAGTAGCCACAATTATCTGTTAATCATGTCTGTTTTTTTTATTTTTATTTTTATTTTTATTTCTTTACCACCCTTACACTTCTTCTTAAAGAGGAAGAAACTGAAGCTCCGACACCTCAAATTCACTTAGGTTGAAATAAGTCACCCTGGAATTTCAATCATGACCTGTTTATTTCCAAAGCCCAAGATCTTAGACATTTTGTTCCACAGGAAGTCCTCACTTAATGTTGTCAGTAGGTTCTTGGAAACTATGACGTCAAGCAAAACAATGTATAATGAAACCGATTTTACCATAGGCTAATTGATACAAATGAGTTAATTCCTAAAGCATATTTCTGGTTAAAAAAAAAAATCACCAAATTTCGAAATAAAGACAAAAACACCCCTAATATTAAACATTAAAATACATGTGAGCTATACATACATTTAAGAAAGATTAATAAAAACAAGTAAGATAATTATTTACCCAGTTATTCCAGTTCAGGTTCGCAGGTGCCCAGAGGCTATCCCGGCAGCTCAGGCAAGAATAAACTTTGAACAGGATGCCATCCCATCACAGGGAACATTCACATACACACCCACACTCAATCAGAGTGGGTGCAGACACACCAATTTACGTAACTTGCACATCTTTGGATGTGGGAGGAAACTGGAGTGCCCAGAGGAAACCTATGCAGACACGGGGAGAATGTGCGAACTTCACGCAGACAGTGGCTCCGGCCAGGAATCTTTTATTTTTTTTTCATTAACATTATAATGAAATTATGTTGAACAAAACAATGTTTATTTGAGGACCTATTGTACTGTCCTAGGTCTGATTTTAGTCTTTGAACCTTTGAACCACACTAGGTGACTGAAGCCTTGAAGTGGCCTGCGTTTACACTCTAACTCATGCCAACATCACGTGGTTGACTGGAACAGACTGTGTAGCTCAGAAGCAAGAATGCTGGACAGCTATGTGGAGCAATGGTGCTTGGCATGAGAGTTTAGGCCACTGGAAATGACAAGGATTCACAAATATCAACAGACTTTTTTGGGTGGTAACTGTTTACACACTTAATAAAGGTTACAGGGGCAGTAAGTGCCTAAAAAATAACTAAAATCCAGGTCCTCTGACTCCCAGTAGTGGTCAAACATGATGTCATCACCTTCATTTCGGCATTTTTCATGTGTTACATAAATTTATCAGTAGAACAGCCACTTAATAATTTCCATTTATTTTCTATCAGAAGGCACATAAGAAATTTAATGTTAACATCATCTGGTACATACTTATTTGATTAAATTTGTCTAAACTACTAAACTTGTGATTAATTTATTTGACAAATTATTTAGAAGTGTTAATTCTTAATTTGCCTGCATTTCTATTCTAGATAGTTCAATTTTGCATATTTTACTTTTTGAGCATCATTTATTATTAATTCTATGTATGAATAAAAAGGCTTCATAAATAATAACTCAGATATCAGCTTTTAATAACTAATATCTTATACCAAGAACCTGTCACAGTTATCAGATTCATACAGTAGCAGATGTGAGAAAGTGAAAATAGATTGGAGATCATTCTGAAAACTCCAAATCTTGACCCAGTTTCACCATTTAGCCAATGAAATAGAAGGAAACATAGCATGACAGTTTAATTAATGACTTGTTACAATATCAAGGGCAAAGTAACCAAATTTATTTTTGAGACCGTCACAATTACTGAAAAAAAAACCTGAAACTTATCTAAAATCAAGTTATAAATCTCAGTTATTTATCATAACAATTTTAATGATTTTTTTTTAATTTCAGGGGTATATGCCTAAATGTTGTTGCAGATTATTCTTATAGTATCTTATTCCTGCCAATGGCAGATGATTTTGGATTTTGGACAGGACATCAGTGAAGTTTGATGGGAAGCGTCCCTCTTCCCCACTTTACAACAGTGCAGACATAATTACATAGATACGAGATGAAACAGTAAGATGCATTTCTTGTCTACTGGAAAAGTAAGAGATGACGGTTAGGGGGTTTAAAGACTACATTTTTCCAAATAATTCTATAGAGTGAAGGAAACTAAAAATAAATACATCTATGATCTATGCAGAAAAACAAAGAACTGTGCATCTGTCCAGGATATTTTCTTTAAGAATTTAGCAGTATATTCTCATCAAGAAAGGTGATTCTTTGTGTATTTATTATAAAACAGAATACGTTCTTAATTTGAAATATAGTTTTATTAAGCAAATCTTTTAAAGTATAGCTGCAGATTCAAAGGCCACTTTCCTCAGGATGCAAGGAAATGACCTACACTAATTTTAATTTTGTTAATCTAGCCACGAGGTGTAAGAAGGTTGCTATTTGTATCAACAATATTTAATATTTAGGCAGCCAAACTGCTTTTTCCAAGTGACAGTTTCTCTATTCCTTTCATTTGGCAAAAACGCCTTTCAAACTTTCTAGTAGTGGCATCACTTTAATAAAGGGTAATAATTTTCTATTTTTCCATAAATAAATAATTATAATTGAAGGAAAACTGCTTTAGAACAAGAGTCACCATTGTAAGTTTACAGCAGTGTTTTCTAAATCTGGCAGAAAAGGGTGTCAATATCACACTCTAAACTTTTTAGGAAATCTCTGAAAACGAAATAGTAATGGGAATTTTTGAACTTTCAGGGATTGTTTTTTAGGTAATCATTAGGAACTCATGATATAGGTGGTATTTTTCTGTGCCCTTTCCATGCATTTCTCACCCCAGACTTTCCTGCTGCCAAGTTGAGGTGGGAGACTAACGTTTTCAAGGTTGGATCATACATTAAAATGTCAGAATTGACCTAGGGGTTTTGCAAATGTGTATTAGGAGATTCTTATAAAACAGAGGAGGACAACTGAGAGAAAACTTGAGACAGTCAGACTTTTTAAATGATAATGGAAGGGTACTATTACATCATGACTCAAGGGAAAATGTAAAGACTTTGGATCCCCAGAAAGATAGTAGCACTGCCAAGGCCTAAACTTACTATCATGGATGTGATTTACTGCAATAGGTTTCCATATGATTTATATTTCATAAATGACTCGTTATTATAAAAGGCAATCATAAATGACACAAAGCTAAACCTTTTATGAAATATAGTCTATATCTAGAGATTCTTCCTGAGGCAGAAACAAGAGAAATAGGATGACCAGACACCCTAATATAAAAAGACGTTTTTGATGTAGTGTCACCTTGATGCTTCTTTCATAGAAGAATATTCTTATGGTTTTCTCTTTCACTATGAATGTCTTATATGCATTTATTTGGACCCAATGGAAACTAAAGGGGGTAGTCATAATGACTATTTACTAAGTTTCATTTTGCTTGGTAATGAGATATATAATGTATCCTAACTCAGAAACATCTCTTTCTTTCCCTGTACTCCATTGTGCATTCCCTCACTTACCTTTTCCCAGAAATACTTAATAACACCAAGTCATTTTACAAAGAATCACCTCTTGCTAATTAATTTAAAAATAATAAGTACCTCTCCAAAATAGAGCTTCTTCCTCCCTTTTATTTTCTTAAATTCCCTGCAAAACAGTTGCTTGAGTAGCATTTATATCTGTGCCAGGAGGTAACCTACACATATTGGAATTCTCAGTATATAGACAACTCTCTTTTAGGCTAATTAGTAGTAGGAATTAGAAATTTATACCAAGATTGAACACACTCATTTTATGTGCTAGTTGCATTTTTATTTTTCCCCCAAAGCAATTTTTATTTTAAGCTTAGAAGTATAAAGAAGAAAAAAAGAATAACACATTTCAGTCAGTGCTTTGCTCCAATATCACATACATCTATAAATATTTATTGACTATTCTCTGTTGATAAAATATCTTATGCAGAAACACCTAATCTTTGACTTAGTCTTTTGTGAGAGATGAAACTTGGGCTTTAGTCTTCTGGGAAGACCTCTATCACTGCATCTTTTTATTTTTATTTTAAATTCTGGGGTACATGTGCAGGATGTGCAGGTTTGTTACATAGGTAATGTGTGCTATGGTGGTTTGCTGCATCTATCAACCCATCACCTGGGTATTAACACCAGCATGCATTAGCTACTTTTTCCTAATGCTCCCCCTCCCCCAACTCACCACCTGACAGGCCTCAGTATGTGATGTTCCCCTCCCTGTGTCCATGTGTTCTCATTGTTTAGCTCCCACTTATAAATGAGAACATATGGTGTTTGGCTTTGTGTCCCTATGTTAGTCTGCTGAGGATAATGGCTTCCAGCTCCATCCATGTCCCTGCAAGGAACATGATCTCATTCCTTTTTATGGCTGCATAGTATTCCATGGTACGTATGTACCACATTTTCTTTATCCAGTTTATCATTGATGGGCATTTGGGTTGATTCCATGTCTTTGCTATTGTGCATAGTGCTGCAATGAACATACACATGCATGTATCTTTGTAATAGAATGATTTATATTCCTTTGGGTATACACTCAGTAATGGAATTGCTGGGTCAAATGGTATTTCCGATTCTAGGTCTTTGAAGAATCACCACAATGTCTTCCACAATGGTTGAACTAATTTACATTCCCACCAACAGTGTGAAAGCATTCCTATTTCTCCACAACCTCACCAGCATCTGTTTTTTCTTGATTTTTTAATAATTGCCATTCTGACTGATGTGAGATAGTATCTCATTGTGGTTTTGATTTGATTTGCATTTCTCTAATGATCAGTGATGTTGAGCTTTTTTTCATATGTTTGTTGGCTGTATGAATGTCTTTTTTTGAGAATGTCTGTTCATGTCCTTTGCCCACTTTTTTTTTTTTTTTTTTTGAGACAGAGTCTCGCTCTGTTACCCAGGCTGGAGTGCAGTGGCACAATCTCAGCTCACTGCAAGCTCCGCCTCCCAGGTTCACACCATTCTCCTGCCTCAGTGTCCCAAGTAGCTGGGACTACAGGTGCCCACGGCCACACCCAGCTAATTTTTTTCTTTTCGGGTTTTTAGTAGAGACGGGGTTTCACCATGTTAGCCAGGATGGTCTCGATCTGACCTCATGATCCTCCTGCCTCAGCCTCCCAAAGCGCTGCTATTACAGGTGTGAGCCACTGCACCCAGCCCTTTATCCACTTTTTCATAAGGTTTTTTTGTTTCTTTCTTATAAATTTGTTTAAGTTCATTGTAGATTCTGGATATCAGACCTTTGTCAGATGGATAGATTATAAACATTTTCTCCGACTCTGTAGGTTGCTTGTTCGCTCTGATGATAGTTTCTTTCACTGTGCAGAAGGTCTTTAATTTAGTTAGATCCTGTTTGTCAATTTTTGCTCTTGTTGCAATTGCTTAACTATCCTAAATATATATGCACCCAATACAGGAGCACCCAAATTCATGAAACAAATTCTTAGAGACCTACAAAGTGACTTAGACTCCCACACAATAATAGTGTGAGACTTTAACACCCCACTCTCAATATTAGACCAATCATCGAGACAGAAAATTAACAAAGACATTCAGGACCTGAACTCAGCTCTGGATCACATGGACCTGATAGACATATAGAGAACTCTCCACCCTGAAACAACAGAATATACATTATCCTTGGTGCCACAACTTATTCTAAAATTGATCACATAGTTGAAAGTAAATCATTCCTCAGCAAATGCAAAAGAACTGAAATCATAACAAACAGTCTTTCAGATCACAGTGCAATCAAATTAGAACTTAAGATTAAGAAACTCACTCAAAACCACACAACTATATGGAAATTGAACAGCCTACTTCTGAATGACTCCTGGGTAAATAATGAAATTAAGGCAGAAATCAAGAAGTTTTTTGAAACTAATGAGAACAAAGAGACAACGTACCAGAATCTCTGAGATGCAGCTAAAGCAGTGTTAAGAAGAAAATTTATAGCACTAAATACCCACATCAAAAAGCTAGAAAGATCTCACATTGACATCCTGATATCACAACTAAAGGAACTAGAGAATCAAGAGCAAACAAACCCCAACACTAGCAGAAGAAAAGAAATAACCAGAGCAGAAATGAAGGAAATAGACACAAAAAAACTTCCAAAAAATCAATAGATCCAGGAGGTGGTTTTATGAAAAAATTAATGAAATAGATAGACTGCCAGCTAGACTAACAAAGAAGAAAAGAGAGAAGAATAAAATAGACACAATAAAAAAATGGTAATGGGAATATCACCACTGACCCCCCCAGAAATACAACCATGAAAGAATACTATAAACACCTTTTTGCAAATAAACTAGAAAATCTAGAAGAAATGGATACATTCCTGGACACATACACTTTCACAAGACTGAACCAGAAGAAGTTGAATCCCTGAATAGACCAATAAGAAGTTCTGAAATTAAGGCAGTGCTAAATAGCCTACCGAAAAAAAAAATAGCCCAGTACCAGACAGATTTACCACTGAATTCAACCAGAGGTAAAAAGGAAAACTAATACCCCTTCTTCTGAAACTATTCCAAACAATTGAAAAGGAGGAACTCCTCCCTAACTCATCTTATGAGGCTAGCATCATCCTGATATCAAACCTGGCAGAGATACAATGACAACAACAACAACAACAACAACAGAAACTTCAGGCCAATATTCCTGATGAATATTGATGCAAAAATTTTTAATGAAATACTGGCCAACCAAATACAGCAGCACATCAGAAAGCTTGTCCACCACGATCAAGTTGGCTTCATCTCTGGAATGCAAGGCTGGTTCAACATATGCAAATCAATCACTGTAGTTTGTCACATAAACAGAACTAAAGACAAAAACCACATGATTATCTCAATAGATGCAGAAAAGGCCTTCAATAAAATTCAACATCCCTTCATGTTAAAAACTCTCTATAAACTAGGTATTGAAGGAACATACCTCAAAATAATAAGAGCCATATATGACAAACCTACAGTCAACATCATACTGAATGGGCAAAAGCTGGAGGTACTCCTCTTGAAAATTGGCACAAGACAAGAATGCCCTCTCTCACCACTCCTATTCAACATAGTATTGGAAGTTCTGGCCAGGGGAATCAGGCAAAAGAAAGAAGCATTTTCAAATAGGAAGAGAGGAAGTCAAATTGTTTTTGTTTGCAGATGACAAAATCAATGTGCAAAAGTCACAAGCATTCCCATACACCAACTACAGACAAGCCGAGAGCCAAATCATGAATGAACTCCCATGCACAGTTGCTACAAAGAGAATAAAATACCTAGGGATACAGCTAACAAGGGAAGTGAAGGACTCTTTAAGGATAACTACAAACTACTGCTCAAGGAAATAAGAGATGACACAAACAAATGGAAAAACATTTCATACTTATGTATAAGAATAATCAATATCTTGAAAATGGCCATACTGCCCAAATTTACAGATTCAATGCTGTTTCCATTAAACTTTTTTTTTTTTTTTTGAGATGGAATCTCGCTCTATCGCCCAGGCTGGAGTGCAGTGGCATGATCTCGGCTCACTGCAAGCTCCGCCTCCCAGGTTCACGCCATTCTCCTGCCTCAGCCTCCCGAGTAGCTGGGACTACAGGCGCCCACCACCATGCCCGGCTAATTTTTTGTATTTTTAGTAGAGACAGGGTTTCACCGTGTTAGCAAGGATGGTCTTGATCTCCTGACCTTGTGATCCGCCTACCTCGGCCTCCCAAAGTGCTGGGATTACAGGCGTGAGCCACTGTGCCCGGCCCATTAAACTACTATTAAGTTCCTTCAAAGAATTAGAAGAAACTATTCTAAAATTCATATGAAGCCAAAAAAGACCTCACATAGCCAAGACATTCCTAAGCAAAAATAACAAAGCTGGAGGCATCACACTACCTGACTTCAAACTATACTATAAGGCTACAGTAACCTAAGCAGCATGGTACTGGTACCAAAGCAGACACATAGACCAATGGAACAGAATAGAGATCTCAGAAATAAGACCACACACCTAAAACCATCTGATCTTCAACAAACCTGACAAAAACAAATAATGGGAAAATTATTACCTGTTTAGTAAATGGTGCTGGGAGAACTGGCTAGCCATATGAAGAAAATTAAAACTGGACCCCTTCCTTACACCTTATATCAAAATTAACTCAAGATAGATTAAAGACTTAAATGTAAAACCCAAAATTATAAAACCCCTAGAAAAAAAATGTAGGCAATACCATTCAGGACGTAGGCACGGGCAAAGATTTCATGCCCATGCCTATGTTCTGAATGGTATTGCCTATATTTTTGCTAGCTGCATTTTTAAAATGAACATTAGAAAAGAACATTTCCTACCACATAGTAAATGTCAGTTAAAAACTTTAAATGTACAATTTTGGGGAATTAATAGATGTCCAGTTTAGAACCTTATTTTTAATAGGTTGTGATTTGTGATCTTTTGCTTATTAACTATCACACCATTTTAGTCTTAAAGCTAAGTAAAAATTCAGCTAATCTTTTTTCATAGGATCAAGTTTTTGACCTTACTAAAAACACTAAGTTTGAAAATTCAATTTCTTAATTTAATATACATATACAGTCATAATTAGTTATTTTGAGAAATGTGTGCCTTTGGAATGATGGTAACCTACTGAGTAAAGGGACACGTCATCTTTCACCATGATATTGCCTCAAACTTTGATCCTAACTAATTTGTAGAATGTGGCCTGTGCTTTGAAATAGGCATTAAAGACATTCTGTTTCTAAATCACATCTGAAAAACTGGCATAGCTTGTTAAGATTCTCACATATCCGATTCCAACTTGGATTCACCCACTCTTAGGAGGAAATAATTGGGATATGCCATAGAGGAGGTTCCTATCACTCAGAATTTTTCACTTTTGTTTTTTCCAATGTTCAGTTTCAAACAACTGGAGAACATAGATGCCTTCAGGAAGAAACATCTGATATACTACTCAGAAAACATTGCTCTATCCATTGTCATCACCCTACTGGGGAATGTCATTGCTTTTGTTATATGTGCTGCTTCTTAAGAGAGCAAGTATAATAGCCATCTATTGCTACGTAGCAATATCATCAAAAATTTAGTAGCTTAAACAACACATATTTATTATCTTACAGTTCATATGGTCAGAGTCCAAGCCTCCCTTGCCCAAGGCTTCTGCTTCATGGTCTCACAAAGCTGCAACCAAGGTGTTGTCTAGGGCTGCAGTCACACTTGAAGTTCAGCTGGGGAGGGACCAGCTCTCAAGTGTACATGGTTGTTGGCAGCTTTCAGTTTCTTGCAAGCTGTTGGTCAGAGGCCACCCTCAGTTTCTTACCATGTGGTATTCTCCATCATAAAGCTCATACCATGGCAGCTTGTTTATCCTAAACCAGCAAGGGAGAGACTCTTCTTGTTAGACTGAGGTTACAATCCTCTGTAATGTAACCACGGAAGTTACAGTCCATCACACTTGCTGCATTCTACTGTTTAAAATCCGGTCATGGATTCCACCCATGCTCAAAGGAAGGAAATCATACAAGGGCCTTAATACCAGAAAATAGGGATCAGGGGACCCACCCAGACTTTGTCTGCCACAGCAGGCAATAAGCCTACTAAAATAATTATGGGGGAATGTTTGCTTAATTATACTCTTTAATATTTTGTTTCATTTTTGAAATTTTCCTTAACTCATTCTGAAAAAAACCTCTCAAATATACAGTGCTAAAAATCACAAAAGAAATAGAAGCTAAAATTTTAGAATGATGAACCATATAAGCTTAAATTTCCTTTTATATTCCATTATATTGAGAGGGAACCCTCAGTTTAGAATGTTGAGCAGCAATTTGCAAAGGATCTTGGAGAATAATAAACTTGCATTAACTGTCAACCAATGAACTTGATTCAAGGGAAAATGCCAAGTGTTTATAGGTTGTCAATAAGAACATCGTGAAATACTGTTAGCATTACCTCACCACAGTTCAGCTATGCTTTAAGTGTAGCCATCCCCTCATAAAACAGGGTGATGATGTGCTTAGGTCCAGAAGGATTCAATGCAATGTATAGTAGAGGAATGGAGGAGGTTGGTATAGGGTCTAAATAACATGGATCTTGCCAGTAGTGATGTTGGTAATTGCAAAGATTTTTTTTTCTAATAACTTGTACAAAGACTTTGAAATCTTTTTTGTCAAATAAATTTACTATAAAGCTGAAAGGGATAGCCAATAGGTTGTATGACAGAAGATATGGCAGAATGGATGTGGTGACTTCCTGATATGGTTTAGATTTATGTCCCTGCCCAAATCTCATGTTAAATTGTAATCCCCCATGTTGGGGGAGGAACCTGGTGGGAGGTGACTGAATCATGGGGGTGGATTTCCCTCTTGCTGTTCTTGTGATAGTGAGTGAGTTTTCACAAGATCTTGTTGTTTAAAAGTGTGTAGCACCTCCCCCTTCTCTTTTTCCCTCCTCCTCTGGCCATGTAAGAAATGCCTACTTTTCCTTCACCTTCCACCACTGTTGAAAGTTTCTTGAGGCCTCCTCAGCCATGCTACCTATATAGCCTGTGAAACCATGAGACAATTAAAATTCTTTTCTTTATATAAATAAGTTACCCAGTTTCAGGCATTTCTCTATAGCAGTGTGAGAGCAGATTAATACAGAAAATTGGTATGTAGGAGTAGGGCATTGCTATAAAATATATCTGAAAATGTGGAAGCAACTTTGGAACTGGGTAATGGGCAGAGGTTGGAATAGTTTAGAGGGCTCAGAAGAAGACAGCAAAATGAGGGAAAGTTTGAAACTTTCTAGAGACTTATTAAGTTATTGTGACCAAAAGGCTGATAATGATATGGACAAGGAAGTCCAGGTTGAGGTGATCTCAGATGGAGATGAGGAACTTATTGGGAACTGGAGTAAAGGTCAATCTTGCTATGCTTTAACAAAGAGACTGGTGGCATTGAGCCCCTGCTCTAGGGATCTGTGGAACTTTGAGTTCAGTGTGATGATTTAGGGTATCAGGTGGAAGAAATTTCTAAGCAGCAAAGAGTTCAAGATGTGGCCTGGCTGCTTCTAAAAGCATATGGTCATATGCATGAGCAAAGAGATGATTTGAAACTGGAACTTATATTTAAAAGGGAACCAGAGCACAAAAGTTTAGAAAATTTGTAGCCCGACCATGTGGCAGAAAAGAAAAACCAATTTTCTGGGGAAGAATTCAAGCCAGCTGCAGAAATTTGCATAAATAAAGAGGAGCTGAATGTTAATAGCCAAGACATTGGGAAAAAATGCCTTGAGGGCTGCTTTGTGGCAGCCCCTTCCATCACAGGCCTGGAAACCTAAGAGAAAAGAACAGTTTTGTGGGCTGGGCCCAGGGCCCACTGCCCTGCACAACCTTGGAACACTGCTCCCTGTGTCCCAGCTGCTCCAGCCACACCTATGACTAAAAGGGCCCCAGATATACCTCAGGCCACTGCTCCAGAGGGTGCAAGCCATAATCCTTGGTGGCTTCCACGTGGTGTTAAGCCTGTGGGTGCACAGAGGGTAAGAGTTGAGGTTTGGGAGCCTCTGCCTAGATTTTAGAGGATATATGGAAACACCTGGATGTCTAGGCAGAAGTCTTTTACAGGAGCGAAGCCCTCTTGGAGAACCAATACTAGGGCAGTATGGAGAGGAAATGTGTGGTTGGAGCCCCCACACAGAGTCCTCACTGGGCATTGCCTAGTGGAGCTATGAGAAGAGGGCCATCATCCTCCAGATCCCAGAATGGTAGATCCACCAACAGCTTGCACTGTGCACCTAGAAAAGCCATAGGCACTCAATATCAGCCCATGAAAGCAGCCTAGGGAGCTGTACCCTGCAGAGCCAGAGGAGTGAAGCTGTTCAAGGTCTTGGGAGGCCACCCCTTGCATTGGTGTGGCCTCAATGTGAGACATGGGGTCAAGGGAGATTATTTTGGAGCTTTGAGATTTAATTACTTCTCTGATGGGTTTCAGACTTGCATGGGGACTGTAGCCCCTTTGTTTTGGCTGATTTCTCCATTTTGGAATGGGTGTATTTACCCAATGCCTGTATTCTCATTGTATCTTAGAAGTAACTAACTTGTTTTAGATTTTATATGCTTACAGGCAGAATGGACTTGCCTTGTCTCAGATGAGACTTTGGACTGTAGACTTTTGAGTTAATGCTGAAATGAGCTAAGACTAGGGGGACTTAAGTTGAGAAGGGATGATTGTATTTTGCAAGGTGAAAAGAAAATGAGATTTGTCAGGGGCCAGGGACAGAATGATATATGGAATTGTGTCCCCACCCAAATCTCATGTCAAATTATAATCTCCACTGTTGGAGGAGAGGCCTGGTGAGAGGTGATTGGATCATGGGAGCAGGTTTCCCCCTTGCTGTTCTTGTGACAGTGAGTGAGTTCTCACGAGATCTGGTTGTTTAAAAGTGTGTAGCACCGCCCCCTTCTCTGGCCATGTAAGATGTGCCTGCTTCCCATTTCCCTTTACCTTCCACCTTGATTGAAAGCTTCCTGAGGCCTCCCTAGCCATGCTTCCTGTGCAGTTGCCTGTGAAGCAATGAGCCAATTAAACCTCTTTTCTTATAAATTGGCCAGTTTCAGGTATTTCTTTTTGTTTTTTTTTTGTTTGTTTGTTTTGTTTTTGAGACGGAGTCTTGCTCTGTTGCCCAGGCTGGAGTACAGTGACGCAATCTCCGCTCACTGTAAGCTCTGCCTCCTGGGTTCAAGCCATTCTCCTGCCTCAGCCTCTCGAGTAGCTGGGACTACAGGCATCCACCACCATGCCCAGGTACTTTTTTTTTTTTGTATTTTTAGTAGAGACGGGGTTTCACCATGTTAGCCAGGATGGTCTCAATGTCCTGACCTCATGATCCACCCACCTTGGCCTCCCAAAGTGCTGGAATTACAGGTGTGAGCTACCACACCCAGCCCAGGTATTTCTTTATAGCAGTACAAGAATGGACTAATACACTCCAATCCCCGATTTACCACTTACAGGGTATATTTCCTTAGCTATCCTGAGCTCCGCCTTCTTCATCTGTAAATTTAAGGTGATCTTACCTATCGCAAGTAGGTAATGGCAGTGAAAGGCATTAGAAAAGTCAATTAGCATAGTGCCTGGAACATAAATTTAATCAGTAATAACAGTGTCTATAGACTAAGTATTTTTCATGAGTCAGTAATTGAGCTGTGTCTTATTCTAAGTGAAAATATTATTATTCAATTTATTTCAAGAAACTGAAATCAAAGTGATTTGCATTAAATAAGACTGAATGTGGCAAAATGACACTTAACAGAAATTAACCTAAAGTTTTTACTTGTATCCTCAAAGAGAACTGCAAAGGCAAGAAGGCATGATTTAGTAGCATCTGTGTAAAGTGTGTATAATCTTTAAAGGACTGTGACCTAAATGTGAGTGACAAAGTATAATGTGGTTACCACAAAACAGCTAAACTTTTTAGGTGGCTTTAATAGAGGTAGAATGGTAGTAACAAAGAAGATAATCACCCCTCTGTGCTCAACCATAATCAAGCCTCACTGAGAAGCTGATGTTCTCTTCTGAGGGCCAAAAGGACACGATATTTAGCTAAAAGACAATAACAGATTGATGAAAACCTTGAAAACTGCACAGTTTGTGAAAGATGTGATGATTGGAATAGGAAGAATTATGGTGAGAATGTGATTATTGTCTTTAAGTATCTGACAAATTATCCCATGAAGCAAAGCATAGACTTCATTTATGATGTCCTACAGATTGTGAAAAAAATCATATGAAAATAGTCAGGTTCAGAAATTACAAAGTATGAGTGTATTGGCTTACAGTCAGATGATTTGGATATATTAGGGGTAATCTAACCGAATACCCCTTCCACAGGCCACCTTTACGCTCTTCCCTTTGTTGTTTTGTATTTTCACTATACTGTCTTGGTACAGATTTCAAAGATATTGCCTGAGACTTATTGGTCATTTTGAATCTTCTAATTAGTTTTTTTTATCAGTTCTGGAATACCCTCAGGTATTACATTTTCAAATATTTCCTCTGCCTCACTGCTTCCTCTCCTTCTTAAGCTCTGTTTAGATGTACATTAGATTTTCTTACTCAATCCTCCATGTTTCATAACATTGTTTCTATCTCTTCACTCTGTGTTGTATTATAGAAACTTTATTCAGATCTATTTTCCAGCTCAATAATTTTATCTTCACTTGAGTCAAATATGCCATAACTGTTTCACTGAAGTTACTTTAAGTGAATTTCAGCTCCATGTAATCACATAGGGCTTGATTAAATCAATCAGATACATACTTGATTTTTCACATATTTAGAATATGTATTTGTGTGATTCCAAAGTCTTCTGCCTTGGGAGTTACCAGTGGACTATTATACATTGACATTTGATTTAACTTGGAAGATCATGTATGGAGATAACAAGGTTAAGGCCCCTTTAAATAGCTTAGGATAGCAAATATCTAACTGGATATTTCTAAAGACATTACACCACAGTTTTAGGAAATTGGATTTTCCTTCCAAACAATTATTTTAACATTTCGTTCTATATTTTGCATTTTAAAATGCAAACTTTTCTTTCTACTTTTCATCTTTAATCTTAGAAAAGTTCTCTAAATAACATTTTCTGATATATTCAGTTAGCATTTATCTAAATAGAATTTTAGAAGTTAGTTTTTAAATTTAATGTCATCTTTAAAACATTAAACATTCTCACTGCAAATAAACTTAAAAATATTATCTCCATATATAACTCTCTGTTTACTCATAAAACAAAGTGAGAAATATGTATGTTGCAATGCTGATTTCTGTATTTTTTGTTCTTTTGATGAGTCTCTAAAATGGCAAATAAAATCTATCAAATTTATGACTGCAGTTCTTTTTTGTTTGGATAAAATGAAGCTGGCTTAAAACAATTAAGCTTTTTGGAACACCCAGAAGGGATTTTTTTTCTGTTGTGTGCTGGTTGTTGGAGTCTATCCAGGTATATTCAAAAATGCAGTTTTAATTTTAGTAGACATTTCTTCATGAACTTATTGTGAACTTATTTTTAACAAAAATTGTTTATAATCTCTGCTTTTGTAAAGAGGGGGTTGAGTATTGCCACTAGCCAAATCCATGGCTATAAGACTGAGGTCATAGATATGTGGTGACGTATTGTAGATTTTTTTTAAATTAAAGGTAAAATCAGAGATATACTGGGAAAAAAAGTTCTAGAGAAGAAACGTTACTCTCCAATAAATAGTAATGGACAGAATCAAGAATTTCTATAAAAGCAATTTATCTAAAGAAATCCTACGTTGGACTATGTCTAGCTTTTTCTAAATCCTTCTATCTCTTTGGAGAAGTTATTTTGCAGTAGTTACTATATTTCTGATAACTCATTGAAATATGATTATGGTATATGAATAGGATGACTTACATAGCATATGCTTATTTCTTTCATGCTTTATGTATGTTTATTAAACAATATTCTTTCATTTGCAAGTTTCAAGAGCCCGTTTCAAAAATGGCTAAAGCACAATGGCTAGTCCAAGGATAGCTTTGACTTCTTTATCTTTTTCTTTGACTGCTTTATCTTTCCGTCCTTACCTCATCTATATCGACTGATTTGCAGGCAAGCACTTTTCACATGGTAGCCCCTAGCACCTACAGGCTTATAGACTTGCAGAAAGAGAATAACTCCATCCCAGTAGTGCTAACAAAATCTCAGATTGTGTGCTGCAGGATCTACCAGGACCCCTGGCTCTTTATGATTCAGTCACCATGGTCAGTGAGATGGAACACACTGATTGGCTAGACTTAGGTCATGATCTTCTAGCACAACCTTAGGCTCATGTGGCCTGTGAAGGCTGGTATACCAGGGAAGATCATCCCCCACAAAAACATGGACTGAGAGATGAGAATGGTAATTTTCCCCAAAGCAAAAGTATGTTGTTACCAGAAGAAGATAAAATGGTCATTAGGTAGGTAAAAATTGCAGCAGTCCACATAACATCTGAAGTAAAGTAATGTGGTATATGCATCAAACAAAGCCTTTAAAAACAAGCCTCTCTTTCTATTTAAATAGGCTTTATTTCTTTCTCTTGCCTGATCACCCCGGCCAGAACTTCCAATACTGTGTTGAATTGAAGTGGTGAGAGAGGGCATGCTTGTCTTGTGACAGTTTTCAAAGCGAATGCTTCCAGCTTTTGCCCATTCAGTATAATATTGCCTATGGGTTTGTCATAAATAGCTCTTATTATTTTGAGATATGTTCCATTAATACCTAGTTTATTGAGAGCTTTTAACATGAAGCGATGTTGAATTTTATCGAAGGTCTTTTCTGCATATATTGAGATAATCATATGGTTTTTGTCATTGGTTCTATTTATGTGATGGATTATGTTTATTGATTTGCATATGTTGAACCAGTCTTGCATCCCAGAGATGAAGCCGACTTGACTGTGGGAGATAAGCTTTTTGATGTGCTGCTGGATTCAGTTTGCCAGTGTTTTATTGAGGATTTTCACGTTGATGTGCATCAGAGATATTGACCTGAATTGTCTCTTGTTTGCAGATGACATGATTGCATATTTAGAAAATCCCATCATCTCAGCGCCCCCTGCCCCCAAAACTCCTTAAGCTGATAAGCAACCTCAGCAAAGTTTTAAGATACAAAATCAATGTGCAAAAATCACGAGAACTTCTATACACCAATAATAGATCAGCAGAGAGCCAAATCATGAGTGAACTCCCATTCACAATTGGTACAAAAAGAATAAAATACCTAGGAATACAACTTACAAGGGACATGAAGGACCTCTTCAAGGAGAACTACAAACCACTGCTCATGAAAATAAGAGGACACAAACAAATGGAAAATAATTCCATGCTCATTGATAGGAAGAATAAATATTGTGAAAATGGCCATACTGCCCAAAGTAATTTATAGATTCAATGCTATTCCCATCAAGCTACCATTGACTTTCTTCATGGAATTAGAAAAAGCTGCTTTAAATTTCATATGAAACTAAAAAAGAGCCTATATAGCCAAGACAATCCTAAGCAAAAAGAACAAAGTTGGAGGCATCACACCACCTGACTTCAAACTATACTACAAGGCTACAGTAACCAAAACAGCATGGTACTGGTACCAAAACAGATATATAGACCAATGGAACAGAACAGAGACCTTAGAAATAACACCACACATCTACAACCATCTGATCTTTGACAAACCTGACAAAAACAAGCAACAGGGAAAGGGTTCCCTGTTAATTAAATGGTGCTGGGAAAACTGGCTATCCATATGCAGAAAATTAAAACTGAACCCCCTCCTTATATCTTATACAAAAATTAACTCAAGATAGATTAAAGACTGAAATGTAAAACCCAAAGCCATAAATATCTTAGAAGCAAACGTAGGCAGTACCATTTAGGACATAGGCATGTTCCTAAACACCAAAGGGAATTGCAACAAAAGCCAAAATTGACAAATGGGATCCAATTAAATTAAAGAGCTTCTGCACAGCAAAAGAAACTATTATCAGAGGGAACAGGCATCCTACAGAATAGGAGAAAATTTTTGCAATATACCCATCTGACAAAGGTTTAATATCCAGAATTTATAAGGAAGTTAAACAAATTTACAAGAATAAAACAAACAACTCCATCAAAAAGTGGGTGAGGGATATGAACAGATACTTCTCAAAAGAAGACATTTATGTGGCCAACAAATATATGAAAAAAAAAAGCTTATCATCACTGGTCATTAGAGAAATGCAAATCAAAACCACAATGAGATATCATCTCATGCCAGTTAGAATGGCTGTCATTAAAAAGTCAGGAGACAACAGGTGCTGGAGAGGATGTGGAGAAATAGGAATGCTTTTACATGGTTGGTGGGAGTGTAAATTAGTTCCACCATTGTGGAAGACAGTGTGGCGATTCCTCAAGGATTTGGAACCAGAAATACCATTTGACCTAGCAATCCCATTACTGGGCATATACCCAAAGGATTATAAATCATTCTATAAAGACACATGCACATGTATGCTTATTGCAGCACTGTTCACAATAGCAAAGACTTGGAACCAACCCAAATGCCCATCAATGATAGACTGGGTAAAGAAAATGTGGCACATATACACCATAGAATACTATGCAGCCATAAAAAAGGATGAGTTCATGTCCTTTGCAGGGACATGGATGAAGCTGGAAACCATAATTCTCAGCAAACTAACACAGGAACAGAAAACCAAACACCATATGTTCTCACTCATAAGTGGGAGTTGAACAATGAGAACACATGGACACAGGGAGGGGAACATCACACACTGGGGAACATCACACACTACTCCTACAAATACCTAATGTAGATGACAGAGTGATGGGTGCAGCAAACCACCATGGCACGTGTATACATATGTAACAAACCTGCACGTTCTCCACATGCATTCTAGAACTTAAAGTATAATAATAATAAAAATCTATGCTATAGCTAATCTATTTGAAGATTAAATGAGAAAATTTATATAAAATGCCTGCCTGGCATATGAGACAAGCTCCAAAATATATAATCGTTCAAAAACAACAGAAAATTATTTCTCATTTATCTAACAATCTGAGATGGTGTAGCTGGTTAGCAAAGATAATTCTCCCCAACTCAATTACTCAGGGAACTGAATTCCTTCCATTTTGAAGCTCTGCGACCCCCAGGGCCTTATCATTGTCATGCATTAGGTTGGTGCAAAAGTAATTGCAGATTTGCCATTACTTTTAATGGTTAATTTTTCAACCTAATACAGCCACCTGCTAAAGGAGGAAAGGGAGGAAAAAGCATAATTA
This sequence comes from Homo sapiens, assembly GCF_000001405.40. Classification (NCBI taxonomy): domain Eukaryota; kingdom Metazoa; phylum Chordata; class Mammalia; order Primates; family Hominidae; genus Homo; species Homo sapiens. The sequence continues at coordinate 153,571,641 of NC_000003.12, forward strand.
CTTATTCTTAGCACACAAGTGGAACATACCATTTCGTTCATCATTCATTGAGTTCCATGGCCACACCTACTCAAAAGGGGTTGAAGTATGTGGCCTATCAGTCTTTCCAGGCAGAAAAGAAAAATAATCTCTGAGAGGCTCATTTACTAATAATCACGAGCAATACAGAATCATGAGCTTTGCTCTAGACATAATCTGTGTAGTTATATATATATCTATCTTTTGACAGATAGATCAGCCCATACATGGAATGTAACTGATCCCTTTCAAATGAAAAATCACATTTGCAAATTTGGCCACTATGACATGTCTCAGTATAGGATTATTGAATTAAAAAATGATAAAGTTCTCAAAGGCAAATTAGTGAAAGTATGATTAACACAACTGAATACCATTTAGCAAATAAGAAATTTTATAAAAATAAAATTTTTTAAAATTCTAAAATTCTGAAAAATTTCTAACCTTAGTTTTTTTAATTGCAAATAAAATCATTTAAACATGAGAATTTTTCTCTGCTAATTTGCAAATGTTTTTGTCCCTTTCAAAAGTGCCAAGTTATATATTTGAGGCTCAGAGTAGTTTTTGACATTGAAAGGACTTAAAAATCTCACAAACATTAGTAACCACAGAGTCCATTCATTTACTCATCGTCCATTGACTCTTCACTACGCCCTTCAAATCTCATCCCTTCACCTCAATGATCCCAGGAATTGCCTAATTCTCTGTCCTGACACATGCCTACCTCCTACGCCCAGACTCACCCCTAACATGCTGGCAGGAATTATGATACTAGTAGGGAATCTCACAGAGTCATTAGCTCACAAGGCAGAATCAAAATCTGAATTGAAGCCATAATAAATCCTAAATTATATTGGGTAGGGTAAAACAGATCACCACATAACTTGCAGAGTTGTCTTTTAAAGAAACCACGTAAGATATTCAGTTCCTAATAGTCTCACATTCTTGTATAGAATTTTCAATCTAGCAATGAGAATAAAAAAGAAGAAAGTAGATCATACTGAAAATTGAATAAAGTTAATGTTTGTAAACTCAAATCAACGAAATATTTTTATGCATAAAGGAGATTCTAGTATTCTCTTGTAAAAGACAGGACATTAACAGCCATGGCTTTTATGGCAATGCAGCTTGTACCTGCCCAGAGCAGGTCATCAGATGAGAATGTGACCCTTGGTCAGAAGAGCACAACAGAGCTCACTGTTAATTTGAACAGACACTGTAGCATAAAACAAAGACTCTGACACTGAAACCTTGTCAGTTAGAATGTAAATGAATCCTGCTGACAGAAAACTCTTTTCTCCATCCAGAAGCCAGAGTCATCATGGGAGGCACTGTGAACGGCTGCCTGTCAAAGCTTGCAGAGAGCCTAGGCTTCTGAACACAGTTTTTGTGGTGCTGAGAAGAGAAGACATCCATGAATGTAATTTCCTACTGGAGACAGTGTGCATCGTAGGCTGTGCACTTTAGAAGAATCTACAAGACTAGTGACGTGATTTGTTTTTTGTTTTGTATTTTTTGCCCTTTACACTATTAAGTATTTGAACTAACAGGAGGCGTCAAAATGAGGGCAGATGTGGGGTAAGCAAATGAAAATTGATGCCTTTCCTAAGTTAACAGAATAACGGCTCAATTAGTTATTTTACTGGCTTCTAGCATGGCTCTAAGGAAGCATTCTCCAGCATCATTTAAAGTCACTGCCACCACTGTAAAACTGCCCTGGAGTTCTGATTCTTACTGACTTTAAAATTAGGCTTAAAGGAGATTCTTAGGCTCAGGAACATTCTAAACACTTTGCAGTAACTGAGAAAACTTTGCCCATGATGGGGCCCCAACTAACTGTGTGATGTAGAGCGAGGGCAGATATTTAGAAAGCTGACTTTGGTAGCTGGATGGTAAGCAGGGTTCATCACATGTAAGATCTCATCTGGCAGAAGGGACTGTGATGAGGAGAACCGGGCAGCAGGCTGAGGATCAGTTCAAGTCTATCTGCTGCAGGATTCCTTTCCAATCTCTCTGAGCCTTCCTTGGACACAAGAGAAATGCTTTTATCTATTGCAGTTAAAAAACAAAAACCCCAAAATATATTTATTACATAATGTATGTTTCTACCAAGTAGCTGTTTAAGATGTGCATGTTTTTTCCTCTGGATTTGAGAATAATGAGATCACTGATCCACACTTTGCAGATTGCTAAATCTATTTTCCTTACCCCTCCTCCCTCACATACAAAGTTAGTAAAACTACGTCAGTAGTGTATACCTCATCTCTTCCTCTTTCTAATATAGAATTTCCTCGTGGACCATCCCAGCACTTGTCCACACATGCTTCTTTTTCTAACCACACCATACTCTCATGGGATACCTGATGCGCCATTTCTCAATTTTCTGTGATTTTTCTTCTTTGGTTGCAAATATGCTTGGAAGAAACACACTGGCCTCTGCTTGCTATTAACGTGATAAAGTGAATTATGTTAATTCAAAGATAAATTGCTTTCTTCTTTCTGAGCAGGCCAGATTAATCCCAGACCAGACTAGAACGCACAGTAATTCTGAAGTGTGGGCCACTGTGGGCAGAAGGGACACTTGACTGAGGCTTTGATGTCATGAATTGATACAGAGAAATGTGGCAAAATAAAAACCCAGGGTATGGGGGGGTGGTCTGGGCAAGGGAAGTGGAGGCATCACCAGGAAGCAAGCAGGATTTCTGGCAAAGAATTATGAGTACTTTAAATTCTCCTTTCATTTCTAATTTTGCAAAGAATGGGGCTCACCTAGGCCTTATATCATCAGCAGGTGAGATCAGAAGAGTCAGTTATGAAAATTAGTAATTTCAACCTACATATATTACCTTTTATGTGTTATATTTAAAAACATAAGAATAAAAAATATTTGGAACATACAGTAGCACAAGACAAACCAACTAAATAGTTGTTTCTGGAGCGGTATATCAAGTGTCCAAGTTAATGTTTTGACTGAGTCATTGCTATGCTCAAGGCTTTTCAGGCCAAATGTTCAAGATATTTTCTTGGCCAGAATTTAATCTACACAAACAATGTGATAATTTGTGCTCCTAAGCATGACTATTGTGGTACAATTTCTTTCTCCTATTCTTTCTTAGGCTCTTTAAATCAGGCCTCTGTCTTTTAACTCTTTACGATCAGTAGAATTTTACTTTTTTCATATTGTACTTCTTAGAGACTGCATGGGCCTTTGATGTTGAACATAACTTTGTGTCAAATCCTAGCCTGATCACTAATTCACTATATGACTTTGGACAAATTATCTTCTCTGAGCCTCAATTTTTTCATCTATAAAATGCATATGGGTAATACCTGCCTTTCAGGCTTATCCTAAGACATTTAATACAAGGGATAAAACTTCTGTTATTACTAACCATTTGTTTTGAAAGTTAATGTTGTCATTTTCCTATTATTTTACAGTGTGGCATGAGGCCCAAAATTATGTACTGTCTTGACATCTGAAACTGGGAGGGCCTCAAATGGCTTAACTGTAAGTTCTTCACATCAATCTACTTCCATGAAGAAATTGAAGTCATTGTAGAAAATAAACAGAAGGATGGAAAACTGGCATCTACTGAACACCAAACAGATGCCATGTACTACCCTAGTGAGCTCAATGTTACTGACAGATAAACAAAGAATTAGAGAAGAAAGGTAGGGTGTGAAAGAATATGGGTGTGTGATATTGGCAGAATGAAGATCCAAACTCAGTATGTTTGACACCGTATTTATCTTAGTCAGTTTAGGGTACTATAATAGAATACTATAGACTAGGTGGCTGGAACAACAAACACTTATTTCTCACACCTCTAGAGGCTGGGAAGTCCAAGATCAAGGTGCCATGGGATCCTGTGTCTGCTGAGGGTCCTCTTCCTGGTTTGCAGGTGGAGATCTCATTGTATTTTCACATGGCTGAGGGAGAGGGAGAGGAAGCAGGCTCTCTTGTCTCTCGTTTATAATTCCGTTTATGAAGGCTCTACTCTCATGCCCTAATTAGCTTCCAAAGGCCACACCTCCAAATGTCATCACTTTGAGGGTTAGGATTTCAACATACGAATGTTGGAGGGACACAAACATTCAGTCCATAACAGCATTCTGTGACCTTTTTACTATACCAAATATCTTTGCAGCAATGACAACAAAAACAGAAATAGGCCAGGCTCAGTGGCTCATGTCTGTAATCCCAGCCCTTTGGGAAGTTAAGGTGGGCAGATCACTTGAGCCCAGAAGTTTGACACCAGCCTGTGCAACATGGTGAAACTTCATCTCTACAGAAAAATACAAAAATTAGCTGGCCTTGTGGCACATGCCTGTAGTCCCGGCTACTCAGGAGGCTGAGGCGGGATTATTGCTTGAGCCCAGGAAGCAGAGGTTCTAGTGTGCCATGATCATGCCACTGCACTCCAGCCTGGGTGACAGAGCGAGACTCCATTTCAAACAAAAAACAAACAGAAACAACCAGAAATAATATAAAGGCAATTAAATTTTGAGCAGTGTTCCAGATCCTTTCAAATTATTCCCCATGGCTTATGTGGAGAAGAATCTTCTAATTTTCTTGAGCCTTTTAAATCATAAGGATAAGGGCAGAGAGGCAAGAAAGGAAGTGTAATATAAAATCCATGAGGGCAGTATTCAGTATTGCATATTCAGATAGTGGCATCTCATAGGCTTTCAGCCAATATTTGTAAAGCAAAAAAATGAAGAAAAACATGTTTTCACACAGGTCCTTAACTGAAGCCTTGAGATTACGGAAAAGAAGATGTCATAGATTCAAATTGGGACGCCCCATCCATAGCTTTCATTCATCTATTCCATATATACTTGTTATACTGGGCACTGTGGGGATGAAATAGCAAATAAGATGTGGTATCCATCCTCCAAAAACATACTTTAAGATAATAGAGAAAGCTAATAAGGATTTTTTTGAGGATCTACTATGCACAAAGTTCATTATAGAGGATACAGTATAGACACAAATAAGAACAACATGCCAATCAAGTTAGTTTTTGGTAAGTGTATTAAGTAGCAGAGAGCAGTAGCACTGTGGATTTGGGGATCAGAGAATCACAGAATTTCCAAGCTGGAAGAAACTTTAAAGAGGATCTCCTTTGTCACTGCAGTGCTCCTTTATGGCCAAAGATGAAATTCAAGCCCATCTACAAAGCACACTGGGCTTCTTAAGATCTTCCTCTTGCTCACCTCTCTGGTTGAATTTCTTACAACTTTCCCCCTCCCACTTTAGGATATGCACTTGCCCAGGAGCATCCAATTCTCATTTCTCTATGAGCCATTCACTCCCTCTTCACTCTCTACAGTGATAATTGTCATGCGCCTCTTCCTCTTGTGGCCTCTGATCATCCCAGCTTCACCTCTGCTTTTCTTGTCACTGGGGTTCATGTCCCCTCTTTGAGTGCACAGGCATTCTTCTGTCAAAGAGCCAAATGCACACTGTGACCAAGGTCTCTCCCACTGGACTGTAAACCTCTGAGAACAGGAACAAGGCCTCACCATCTTAGAAGCCCCAGTGTTTAGTTTGGGGCATAGAACTGACTCTTCAGAGATTAGCTCAATTGCCCAGAGGTAGATGTCATAAACAAGGTGTGAGGGACATAAGCCACAGCTTAAAAGATGAGTAAACGTTGAGTAAAGATGATAGTGTGAAAGTTGATTATACAAATTGGGTCATTCTTGCCATACCCACCTAAAACAGAATCAAAAAGTCAGAGGAAAAAAACCCTCAGGGTCCAAAACATTGCTCCAAAAATGTAATTATCTGAAAGCCTGGCAGCTAAAACTGTCTGCTATAAACTGAAACCAGTTTTATCTAATTGCTACTGAAACCACTTGCTGCAACTTTAAGGCCAGTTTTACCTAATGTTGTCACTCACCAATTAGAGCTTGCCAGCTCCCCAAACCTTACTAGTACTCACGAGCTTTTTCAAAGAGCAATGTGTAACATTTCTCCTTTTTATAAAACCTCTAGCCTTTGTTCTTTGTACGTATCAAAGACCAGGCAGTGTGTGTTGTATGCCCCAAACTGCAATTCTTTCTTCACAAATAAAACATTTTAATTTCAGAGCTTTGTCTCTGTATTTTATTTGACTTTGACGATAGGGTTGGGAACTCTGGTGAAGTCTAAGAAATCAAGTAAGCTGAAGCCTTGCTCTAACCATGGTGGGTAGACCAGTTTGTCTAAAGCAGAAAGTTAAGTAGAGAATACCTTTGAAAGGTAGAGGGAGCCTACTTTAGGAGGGCTTTAGTGCCACACAGAAATACAAGCATCTTCCTTAAAGGAATTTGATCTCATTTATCTTTTTATACTCATTAACACATTCCGTCTTCTCAGAGATAATCTAGGAGTTACTGGAGGATTTGTAGTAAAGACATGATCTTGCTAATTACATATGAATTGATTTAATAACCAATAACTTAGAGGGAAAGTCAGAGCACAGAAGATGACTATAAGCTTTATATTTAACAGGGCAATAAGTATAGGCAAGAAAAACTCCAGGGTAAGGTCTCCAGGGCAACTTAGTTTGATTATATGTCAAGTAGAAGTTCATTAAAAAGTAATTGTCCAAAGGCATCTTAGACATCCTGAGACAGATGTTTACAAATTCTGAGTCCCTTCAATTATAGGAAGACAAGTAAACATTGACAATACTTTAATTCTAACATCATTTACAGGGATAAGTATTTCAATAAAATGAAACATTTTTGCCAGAATACATATTGACTACATCTCTTACAGCACTTACCATTTTTTTTTTTTTGGTAAATAATATAGCTTTAATAGATCTGGTGCTAGTTAGTGATTTTTCTGGAGAAATATGGAGACAATCATTCTGCTGAGTGTGTGTAGGTGTTCTGAACATGTCACCCATATGTGCTAATGTAAGAAATAGGCAACTAATTGCCTCAGTTACAGTGCATGGGACGTGCTATTGTGCACACTCCCTCTCCATGATGCACGTGGCAGTGCTGAATTCTTGCTTTATTTAACACAGGCCTCAATAAAGACAAATGATTGTTCATTAAAAACCATCCTGTGACATGCAGAGTGGCTGTGGTGAGGATATGTAGACACTAATTCAAAATTAAAAAAAAATTTAAGGTGGCAAATTTTTAATGTAAATATACCTAAAGATAATATGTGAAACCATATCATGAAGTTTTGTGTGTTTTTCAAAAGGCATACATTTTAAAGTTTACAATGAACCCTTTTATGAGTACAACACTTTAGCTGAATTGACCAAATCTAACGCATATTCTAGAAGCCAGCTAAGACTCTATTGCAGACAGTTTTTATTTGTTTTAATTTTGTGGCTTGGCAGCGGGAACCTTATTCCACAGTATGCCTAACTCACCTCTGCAGAGAAGGTGGATGGTTTTTTATATAGCATAATAAAAGGCTAAGGGATGCAAAGCTTTCTAATGAGTAGATTCTGAAGTAAGAAGACACAGATATGATTATTATGAGTTTCTTAATGGCTTCTTTTCAGCTGGAGTTATTCTCAGTGTGTACCTCAGTGGGAAGAGACTCACTCTGCCCCTTCATTGTCAGTTGATAGTCCTGAAGCTGCAATCTCCTGTTTGCCTTTTGTTCAGTGAATTATAGATTTTTTTGTTAATTAAAACGGTGAAAAGTGGCTTCATTAAGATGTGCTATCCACAGACTTCTCTGTCCAATTTGAAGAAGAAAGCAGGATTTTAATGGATATTTATTGCCTGAAAAATAATAAAACTAGAATCATAAAGAAAGCAAAGAAGAAAGAACTGGAAGGAACATGGGATTGGAGCTTATGGCTTCATCTCTGACATTTAGTCTTGTGTGGCCCAGAGGTTGCCATAAAATGTCACCAAAGATCAAGTTGGGATTAAAATGAGTGAGGCAGGCCTGGTGGGGAAGACTGTGAAAAATTCAGTATTCTAAGATAACTTGATTTTTCAAGGAAAGCCAAAAATATAGATTTATGCAAAAGTGCCCAATTTTTGAATGTTGAAGACTAAATTTAACTAAAACTAAAATGCATTAAAGGCAAAACAAAACATATCTGCAGCTGCATTCTGCCCATAGGCCCCTAGGATAGGACTGATAGTATTTTCAGGCTTCATTTTCTTAGCAATTAAAGGAGAGACAGAAGTAGAAGATCACTAAGGTCTTTTAGTTCTAAGATTTCCTCCTGGGCAGTGGAGTGGAGACTCTAGGGGTTCTCAAACTCTGTCTTTTCCTTTCTCCTAAGCAACACTCCTTCTGTGCAGTCTTCTGTTCAGTCTTCAAAAATTCACTCAAATACTGTCTCCTTACTTGCACTTAGAATGTGGAAAATTGCTGTAATGAGAACAGCAACAACAACAACAATGAAGAAGAATGAAGAAGATGACAGCAATTTTTTAACTTAGAAATCTATAAATAGTTATGTCAGGTAAAATACATGCATTCACGGAATGTACACATGACTGCAAGGATTTCCAGTTAATAATTTAAATGGCTGTTTCCACCTCAGAGTATTTTTATACTGCCTAAAGTTCTTTGGAGAAAGACAAAATGCCTTGCTTGAGAAAATCATGATATTCTTAAGTGTGGGATGGATAATTTAATACAATTTCTATATAGTGAGAATGTGATACATGAAGGCCATTGTCTTTTCCTGGAAAAGAAAGCTTTAATTTTTTGTTATAACTGACTTATACCATTTTGCATAAAGTTGAACCTGAGGGAAAACATGCATTATGACCATAACAACTCTGTCTATTAAAAGCTGTCAGCCTCTTTCTGTAAGTTAAATGAATGATAGAGAAAATGCTATTGTATTAGCCTCCTAACTCATCTCTTGTTTATTCTTCATGCAGCAGCCAGTGTCATCTTTGAAACACAAATTTACTCTTATGACGCCCCTAATCAAAATCCTCCTATCACTTCTCACAGATCTTGTAACGTAATTCTAAGCCTTTCCTATAGTCTGTGAAGTAGTTTTAAAGTGGTTTCAAATGCTTCGGTGCTCATCCCATCAAGAGGTACAGCCTCTTTTCCCACCCTCTGAATCTGGGCTGACATTATGACTTCCTTTGATTATTAGAGATGTGTCAGAAAGGATCTTGAGCAGGTTCTGAACTGGGTATCAAGAAACCTGAAGCTGGAGGGACATGGTGGCTCACACCTGTAATCCCAGCACTTTAGGAAACTGAGGCAGGTGGATCATTTGAGGACAGGGGTTTGAGACCAGCCTGGCCAACATAGTGAGACCCCATCTCTACTAAAAATACAAAAATTAGCTGGGCCTGGTGGCACGTGCCCATAATCCCAGCTACTTGGGTGGCTGAGGTAGGAGAATCACTTGAAACCAGGAGGTGGAGGTTGCGGTGAGTTGAGATCACACCACTGCACTCCAGCCTGGGTGACAGAGTGAGACTCTGTCTCAAAAAAAAAAAAAAAAGAAAGAAAAGAAAAAAAGAAACCTGAAGCTGGACTCTCACTCTCTGGAACACATCTGCCACTGTGTGAAGAAACCCAAGATAGAAAACCTTCTCAGCTGAGGCCCTGGAGAACCAAGTGAGGACATGCTAGACCAGGGGTATCCAATATTTTGGCTTCTCTGGGCCACACTGGAAGAAGAACTGTCTTGGGCCACACATAGAATATACTAGCACTGATGATAACTGATGATCCAAAAAATATATTTAAAGATCTCATAATGTTTTAAGAAAGTTTATGAAGTTATGTTGGGCTGCATTCAAAGCTGTCCTGGGTCGCATGCAGCCAGCAGCCTAGACTGTAAGCTCCAGCAGATCTACCCATTGACTGCAGTGCATGGAAGAGGGCAGGCGAGACCAGCAAAATTGCCCAGTAAGAAATAATAAATCGTTACTGTTTAAGCATGTTTGGTGTGATTAATTACATAGCAGTAGTTAACTAATATGGCCTATAAGGCACTGGATGATCTGAGCAGGGGTACCTCCTTACCTTACCTCCTCCACCTATTTCAACCACTCTGGCCTCCTTGCTATTCCTCAACCTACAAGGCAGGCCCTACCCTTCACTCTGCCTGCAGCCCCCTTTCTCCCAATAGACACGGCTACTGCATTCACTAAAGTCTCCTTTATCATTCTGTCAAAAATAGCAACCGCCTCTCTCCTCCCTCTCATGGCCACTCTCTACTTCCATCCCCTGCTGCATTATTCTTCCTAGCACTTATGTACTTAGCTATATATTATTTTCTGGATTAACAATATATTTATTTTCTCTCTTTCTTAACCTGAGTGTAAACTTCAAAAGACAGATATTTTATTTATTTTGCTTGCTAGTATATCCCCACTACCAAGAACAGTGCCTGGAACATAATAGGTGCTCAATTAAAAATATGTTGAATGAATTATTTTTCAGTTCCTAGAGATTATTCCATGGACATTCAAAGTAGAAAATCTGTTCCTCACATGTGTGCTCCAGCTTATATGTAATACATTCTAGGGACTAAGACAGAACCTTAAACAGAAAAAACCCTAAAAATCCTGGAATGGAACACTTGGTGCATATGTGCTCTAGAGTTTTCCTGGAAGATAGAAATGAGAGTTGCCTCTATGGAACAGTTGTAGATCCTGTATTTATACTGAGATAAAAAAGAACTTGATGTCATTCAGTTTCTCTCTGGGATTCTTTATCTAAAACACTTCTATTCTATTTTTTTCTAATCCCTAAACAGAATTTTGTGTCTCTGAATGTGCCTCAACCATGATAATTTCCTAACATGTGTCATAACCTATTTCCCACTTCACACCATTCCCCTTCTGTCTCACCCATTTACTTAGGTTTAAGACATTAGTTTTGTGGGTATGTACTTTGCATCAGCTTGAATAACTGTCACTTTTTTATTAGACTTTACCTTTTAGAGCACTTTTAAATTCATGGCAAAATTGAGTTGAAGGTACAGAGATTTCTCATATAACCCCTACTTCACACATGCATAAACCTCCCAGATTATCAACATCACCCACAGATTGGTAGATTTGTTAAAATTGACAAACCTATATTGGCACCACATCATCATCCAAAGTCTATAGTTCACATTAGGATTCACTCTTGATATACATTCCGATGGTTTAGACAAATGTATAATAACCTGCATCCATCATGACAGCATCAAGCAGAGTTGTCTCACTACCCTAGAAGTCCTCTGTGCTTCACCTATTCATCCTTCCCTTTCCCCACAATTGTTGTCTTTTGGTGGAAACAATTTGGACATTAATGAGGTCCCAGGAAATGTCCTAAACACTGCATGTGCATCACACATGTCAAATACATTAAGCAAGGAGACGTTATCTGGTATCCCTTATACTCATTGCACAAAGGTAGGAGATCAACATTATGCATAAAATGCACGCTGCATGCTGCCATTTGTAAGTCGGTTCACATGGGCCAGAATCTGTTTCTGTTCCAACCAGAAACCTGGGTATCATGCTAGACTCCTTCTATTTTTTTTAACCCTTTCCCCATTTATTTACCAAATCCAGGTGATATGAATTTCCAAGCAGCCATCTAATCCATCCTCTCATCTTCCTTTAAGTAATCAATACAGCTATAACTGAGGTGACTATTATCTCTTACCTGGACTATCACAATAGTTTCTTATTCTTTATGCTTGCCTTCAACCTTGCCCCACCTCCAATTCATTCACCACACTGCAGCAAGCCTGTGCATTCTGTTAGCAATGGAAAGACTAGGGAGGGAAGGATGTAGTTATTACTCCTCACATAATTACTTTTCTAGAACGTGAATATACTCAACTTTACATCTGTCATGCACATCTATTTTCCTATGAGGGTAGAAATGATCTCTTGGAAAATTGGCAGTTTTCTTGTATATTTTCATCTCTAGTTTTCTTTTCTTTCTTTTTTTTTTTTTTTTTTTCTGAGACAAAGTCTTGCTCTGTCTCCCAGGCTTGTATGCAGTGGCAGTGGCATGATCTCGGCTCACTGCAACATCTGCCTCCTGGGTTCAAGTGATTCTCCTGCTTCAACTTCCCGAGTAGCTGGGATTACAGGCACAGGACACCACAATTGGTTAATTTTTGTATTTTTAGTAGAGGCAGGGTTTTGCCATGTTGGCCAGCCTGGTCTCGAACTCCTGGCCTCATCCTGATCTCAAACTGCCTCAGCCTCCCAAAGTGCTGGGATTATAGGCTTGAGCCACCTCACCTGGCCTAGTTTGTTTTTCTATTCTTTTGAGAGAATATAATACTTTTCTATCAGACAATCCTGGAACTTTTATTTGCAACTTCTCTTCTGTTTTTACCTTCATTGTAAACAAACAGTCCCTGACGTCCAAGATGGCCAAATAGGAACAGCTCCAGTCTACAGCTCTCAGTGTGAGTGATGCAGAAGACAGATGATTTCTGCATTTCCAACTGAGGTACCAGGTTCATCTCACTGGGGATTGTCAGACAGTGGGTGCAGGACAGTGGGTGCAGCGTACCAAGCGTGAGCTGAAGCAGGGCGAGGCATCGCCTCACCAGGGAAGTGCAAGGGGTCAGGGAATTCCCTTTCCTAGCCAAGGAAAGGGGTGACAGATGGCACCTGGAAAATCGGGTCACTCCCACCCTAATACTGCGCTTTTCCGATGGTCTTAGCAAACAGCACACCAGGAGATTATATCCCGCGCCTGGCTCAGAGGGTGCTATGCCCATGGAGCCTCGCTCATTGCTAGCACAGCAGTCTGAGATCAAACTGCAAGGCAGCAGTGAGGCTGGGGGAGGGGCGCCCACCATTGCTGAGGCTTGAGCAGGTAAACAAAGCGGCGGGGAAGCTTGAACTGGGTGGAGCCCACCTCAGCTCAAGGAAGCCTGCCTGCCTCTGTAGAATCCACCTCTGGGGGCAGGGCATAGACAAACAAAAGGCAGCAGAAACCTCTGCAGACTTAAATGTCCCTGTCTGACAGCTTGGAAGACAGTAGTGGTTCTCCCAGCATGCAGATTGAGATCTGAGAATGGACAGACTGCCTCCTCAAGTGGGTCCCTGACCCCCAAGTAGCCTAACTGGGAGGCACCCCCAAGTAGGGGCAGACTGACACCCCACACGACAGGTTACCCCTCTGAGATGAAGCTTCCAGAGGAACGATCAGGCAGCAACATTGGCTGTTCAGCAATATTCACTGTTCTGCAGCCTCTGCTGCTGATACCCAGGCAAACAGGGTCTGGAGTGGACCTCCAGCAAACTCCAACAGACCTGCAGCTGAGGGTCCTGACTGTTAGAAGGAAAACTAACAAACAGAAAGGACATCCACACCAAAACCCCATCTGTACGTCACCATGATCAAAGACCAAAGGTAGATAAAACCACAAAGATGGGGAAAAAACAGAGCAGAAAAACTGAAAATTCTAAAAATCAGAGCGCCTCTCCTCCTCCAAAGGAACGCAGCTCCTCACCAGCAACGGAACAAAGCTGGACGGAGAATGACTTTGATGAGTTGAGAGAAGAAGGCTTCAGATGATCAAACTTCTCCAAGCTAAAGGAGGAAGTTCGAACCCATCGCAAAGAAGTTAAAAACCTTGAAAAAAGATTAGAAGAATGGCTAACTAGAATAACCAATGCAGAGAAGTCCTTAAAGGACCTGATGGAGCTGAAAACCATGGAACGAGAACTACGTGACAAATGCACACGCTTCTGTAGCTCATTAGACCAACTGGAAGAAAGAGTATCAGTGATGGAAGATCAAATGAATGAAACGAAGTGAGAAGAGAAGTTTAGAGAAAAAAGAATAAAAAGAAACAAACAAAGCCTCCAAGAAATATGGGACTATGTGAAAAGACCAAATCTACGTCTGATTGATGTACTTGAAAGTGATGGGGAGAATGGAACCAAGTTGGAAAACACTCTGCAGGATATTATCCAGGAGAACTTCCCCAATCTAGCAAGGCAGGCCAACATTCAAATTCAGGAAATACAGAGAATGCCACAAAGATACTCCTCGAGAAGAGCAACTCCAAGACACATAATTGTCAGATTCACCACAGTGAAATGAAGGAAAAAATGGTAAAGGCAGCCAGAGAGAAAGGTTGGGTTACCCACAAAGGGAAGCCCATCAGACTAACAGCTGATCTCTCGGCAGAAACTGTACAAGCTAGAAGAGTGTGGGGGCCAATATTCAACATTCTTAAAGAAAAGAATTTTCAACCCAGAATTTCATATCCAGCCAAACTAAGCTTCATCAGTGAAGGAGAAATAAAATACTTTACAGACAAGCAAATGCTGAGAGATTTTGTCTCCACCAGGCCTGACCTAAAAGAGCTCCTGAAGGAAGCACTAAACATGGAAAGGAACAACCAGTACCAGCCACTGCAAAAACATGCCAAATTGTAAAGACCATCCAGGCTAGGAAGAAACTGCATCAACTAACGAGCAAAATAACCAGCTAACATCATAATGACAGGATCAAATTCACACATAATAATATTAACCTTAAATGTAAATGGGATAAATGCTCCAATTAAAACACACAGACTGGCAAATTGGATAAAGAGTCAAGACCCATCAGTGTGCTGTATTCAGGAAACTCATCTCATGTGCAGAGATACACATAGGCTCAAAATAAAGGGATGGAGGAAGATCTACCAAGTGAATGGAAAACAAAAAAAGGCAGGGGTTGCAATCCTAGTCTCTGATAAAACAGATTTTAAACCAACAAAGATCAAAAGAGACAAAGAAGGCCATTACATAATGGTAAAGGGATCAATTCAACAAGAAGAGCTAACTATCCTAAATACATATGCACCCAATACAGGAGCACCCAGATTCATAAAGCAAGTCCTTAGAGACCTACAAAGAGACTTAGACTCCCACACAATAATAATGGGAGACTTTAACACCCCACTGTCAACATTAGACAGATCAACAAGACAGAAAGTTAACAAGGATATCCAGAAATTGAACTCAGCTCTGCACCAAGTAGACCTAATAGGCATCTACAGAACTCTCCACCCCAAATCAACAGAATATACATTCTTCTCAGCACCACACCACACTTATTCCAAAATTGACCACATAGTTGGAAGTAAAGCTCTCCTCAGCAAATGTAAAAGAACAGAAATTATAACAAACTGTCTCTCAGACCACAGTGCAATCAAACTAGAACTCAGGATTAAGAAACTCACTCAAAACCGACCAACTACATGGAAACTGAACAACCTGCTCCTGAATGACTACTGGGTACATAATAAAATGAAGGCAGAAATAAAGATGTTCTTTGAAACCAATGAGAACAAAGACAACATAACAGAATCTCTGGGACACATTTAAAGCAGTGTGTAGAGGGAATTTATAGCACTAAATGCCCACAAGAGAAAACAGGAAAGATCTAAAATTGACACCCTAACATCAAAATTAAAAGAACTAGAGAAGCAAGAACAAACACATTCAAAAGCTAGCAGAAGGCAAGAAATAACTAAGATCAGAGCAGAACTGAAGGAGATAAAGACACAAAAAACCCTTCAAAAAATCAATGAATCCAGGAGCTGGTTTTTTGAGATCAACTAAATTGATAGACTGCTAGCAAGACTAATAAAGAAGAAAAGAGAGAAGAATCAAACAGACGCAATAAAAAATGATAAAGGGGATATCGCCACCAATCCCACAGAAATACAAACTACCATCAGAGAATACTATAAACAACTCTATACAAATAAACTAGAAAATCTAGAAGAAATGGATAAATTCCTCGACACATACACCCTCCCAAGACTAAACCAGGAAGAAGTTGAATCTCTGAATAGACCAATAACAGGCTCTGAAATTGAGGCAATAATTAATAGCTTATCAACCAAAAAAAGTCCAGGACCAGACGGATTCACAGCCAAATTCTAGCAGAGGTACAAGGAGGAGCTGGTACCATTCCTTCTGAAACTATTCCAATCAGTAGAAAAAGAGGGAATCCTCCCTAACTCATTTTATGAGGCCAGCATCATCCTGATACCAAAGCCTCGCAGAGACACAACAAAAAAAGAGAATTTTAGACCAATATCCCTGATGAACATCGATGCCAAAATTCAAGATGGATTAAAGAGTTAAATGTTAGACCTAAAACCATAAAAACCCTAGAAGAAAACCTAGGCAATACCATTCCGGACATAGGCATGGGCAAGGACTTCATGTCTAGAACACCAAAAGCAATGGCAACAAAAGCCAAAATTGACATATGGGATCTAATTAAACTAAAGAGCTTCTGGACAGCAAAAGAAACTACCATCAGAATGAACAGGCAACCTACAGAATGGGAGAAAAATTTTGCAATCTACTCATCTGACAAAGGGCTAATATCCAGAATCTACAAAGAACTCAAACAAATTTACAAGAAAAAAACAAACAACCCCATCAACAAGTGGGCGAAGGATATGAACAGACACTTCTCAAAAGAAGACATTTATGCAGCCAAAAGACACATGAAAAAATGCTCATCATTACTGGCCATCAGAGAAATGCAAATCAAAACCACAATGAGATACCATCTCACACCAGTTAGAATGGTGATCATTAAAAAGTCAGGAAACAACAGGTGCTGGAGAGGATGTGGAGAAATAGGAACACTTTTACACTTTTGGTGGGACTGTAAACTAGTTCGACCATTGTGGAAGTCAGTGTGGCGATTCCTCAGGGATCTAGAACTACAAATACCATTTGACCCAGCCATCCCATTACTGGGTATATACCCAAAGAATTATAAATCATGTTGCTATAAAGACACAGGCACACGTATGTTTATTGCGGCCCTATTCACAATAGCAAAGACTTGGAACCAACCCAAATGTCCAACAATGATAGACTGGATTAAGAAAATGTGGCACATATACACCATGGAATACTATGCAGCCATAAAAAATGATGAGTTCATGTCCTTTGTAGGGACATGGATGAAGCTGGAAACCATCATTCTCAGCAAACTATGCAAGGACAAGAAACCAAACACTGCATGTTCTCACTCATAGGTGGGAATTGAACAATGAGAACACATGGACACAGGAAGGGGTACATCATACACCGGGGCCTGTTGTGGGGTGGGGGGAGGGGGGAGGGATAGCATTAGGAGATATACCTAATGCTAAATGACGAGTTAATGGGTGCAGCACACCAATATGGCACATGTAACAAACCTGCACGTTGTGCACATGTACCCTAAAACGTAATGTATAATCATAATAAAAAAACAAACAAACAGTAGGTCTGAATTCTATTTTATAAAGTCCCAAAATGCAGTGTTGCGGCCTTTTTACTATCTGAAAACATATTGTTTTAATATTATTCTCTCTGGTGACTTATTTCATTGATAGATTTTCCCGTGTTCTACTTTATATCTTTTATTTCCTTTGGTTGCCATATATACACATATAGATATATGTATTTTTTTTTAATTTGGTAGTCCATTTTGTCAAAGAGTTATATGTACTAGAAATAGTCTGGGTTTTGAGAATGTTTCTTGTGCTTGCTTTTAACTTATTGAAAGTCGAGTTCTCTTTCTGTCTCCATGGAAGGTTAGAAACACAAAAATACCCAGAAAAAAACCTTTTGCTTGTGCCTCTGGGCTCACAGTGATCTTGTGTAATATGAATCTTTTTCTGTTGATGCCTCATGTAGCCTTAGACATGAGGGAAGTGTGGAGGAAGATCTTTTCAAGATTCTTGTTAGCTCTACCTTTCATGGAAATGCTATGGAGAGTTTTCTTCTGTCAAGTTGTAAGATTTCTGTTTTGCTTTTGTAATGGTCAGTCGATAAAGTATATACAAAATTGTTAACGGCATTGGGAAAAAATTGCATTTAGTAATTAGAAAACTCAAATTTTTTACTAAATTCACTAAAAACAATAAGCCTTTTATATCTAAGAAATACTTTCTGGTTGAGTTCAAATAATACTTTCTCATATGTCCATTTTATTTATATTTTACATTTAGAAAATCTTGAAAATAATCATAGTACTTTATTATATTAAATCATTGGTCATTAAGTGATCAATATATACTACTTTTTCTAAATTTCTGTGACAACTGAAAATTCAATGATTCATTTAGTTTTTGAGAACTTCTTGCTAAATTCCATGATTACCTATCTATTAAAACCATCTGGTTAGCTATAACTATTCTATTTGTATTTGCATGCTGAAGATGATTTTCAAATAATAAATAGTAGTAGGATTTTTTTTCTTCTTCCATTAATGAACAACTTTTAACTAACCAGCTTTCCAACCATTGCTGTGATTTTATGAGGAAAAGTTGTGGATATTCTTATAAACCAGTGAAATAAAACATTTATAGAATGTTAAAATGTGTAGGAATTCCACAATCATTGCCAAAGCTATGTACCCTACACATAACTTTTGATCTCTACTCCATACCATCCTTATTTGGGGGAACTGATTCAACTAGAGTTAGTTTCTGGAAGAAAATATCCTAAATTGACATATCATTCTTGCTAAAAAATCCATTTTTATGACTTCCATTAAACTCACATTAAAGACTTCCTTTGCTGCTTAGCCAGTAGAGAAGACAGGAAAGTGAGGAATGTTGAGGGAAGTTTTTAGAAAGGCATGTCCAGTGTTTGCTCTCCTGCTCTAAGTTTATTGTGTAATAACAGGCATTTTTAAAAGCTGGTTTGGGAATATAACCACCATTTTTAACATTCTTGCTATAAGAAAATTCATTCTAATTGCCATAAATTATAAACCGTTTTCTGAAATTCTTTTAAAAACGAGTATAGCTGGTATGCTATGCTTTAAGAAGATCATTATAAGCCTTTTAAATTCATAGTAATTTAATGTTCTATGTAATTTGGATTTCCTCATTTCACATGCAGTCAGCCTCTACTCTATGTTAAGTGTTAGCTAGAACTCGTGAGAAATTAAGAACGCTAAATAAAATGTGGTGCCAAAGGGTTTACAACCTCTTCAGAAAGAAGAAAAAAAGTGTCTAATCACCATATTCAAGATGAAATGAGAAAAAAAAATGAGAGAGAGAAGTACTGCAGCATGGGGGAGTAGGGTTGGAAGAATGGATCTCATTTATTGGCTGGGAAGAAAGAGAAGACTGAAAGTCTTCATGAACTAGGATCAACTAATATAAATTATTCTAATATGGAATCTAATATAATTCAAGAAGCAAAGTTAATGAGTACTACACAAAATTTCACTCAAAAAAATAAAAGATAAAACTGAAAACTGAGAAGACATTGCCTAATTTATATTTCTGAAACCCTTGCTTCTGGTGATTTTTTAAAATTGCATTCAGTAATCAGAGCAGTACCAACTAAGGGAAAATTAATGAACAGAAATCAAAGTGCAATGGCATTGAAGATTTATCTTTTTCTCCTTTAGGGACAAGAGTTTCATAGTAGTCCTGTGTGTCTGATGTCACTAAGACTGGAACTGAAAATAAAGCATGCCAGAGGAGATGACAGAAAGAAGAAAGACAGAAACAAAATTTCTCTACAAATCACTTCACACTTATTTTCTTTCCCTTAGTACCACATGTTAAAAAGAAAAAAGAAAGAAAGAAAACAAAGAAGGTATCTGTTAGATATAGAGGTTAGTAAACACTATGAAGAAGGTAAAAATGAGATGTGGAATTTTTATAAGGAGAGAATCTAATGATGCAGCTTTTACTATATCAGAAATTACTGTATAGGCCAATTATCATCCATTGATATTCTACTAAATTCCAGGTATTCTATATGTATATGTATGTGTATGTGTGTATGTATATGTATATGTATATGTATATGTATATGTATATGTATATGTATATTCTAGTATGTATTCAACCATTGCAGCAACTTTGCATGGTAGTATAACTTTCCTAACTTCAGCAATGAGCAGACAAACACTCAGAGTGATTAAATGGTTTGCCTAAAGCAATGGTCTGCAAACTCACAGAGCCAGTTAGCTACATAAGAAATCAACCTGGGTCTACTTAATTCCAAAGTCCATACTATTTTCACCATAGAACATGGATGTGGTTGCTTTCCTAAATTACTCCACCCCAAAGGAATTTTGAGGGAAGATTTGATAAAGAATAAAAGAATGCAGGTTTTAGATGACTTTTCTGATAGCAGAGGTAAATATGGAAGTGAGAATCCTCAACATTAATGGAGGTCAAGTTCCTGACTAACTTCAAGTCCATGCCAGGAGAAAGTAACTGCAGGAACAATGTGGGTCTTGCTTTTCAGTGAAGAATTTGAATGGAAACCTGTGGAAGGAGGACAAGAAGTTTTTTTTGCCTCATTTATTGCACAGATCACCCTGCATGTTCTAGTGTCCAAAGGAAGAGGAAGATGGAAAGATGACACAACCAAAGCTTCCCTGTGGCTTCACCACAGCTTAGGGTTTTGAAAGCCGGAGATTAAATTTGATTTATGACCACCAGAAAATTTCCCTAGAACCTAGTGTGGCAATTCTCATTAGGCAACTGGCCATTTCTTTAAGGTAATCCTAGACTGTAGCCCTGCCATTGTTCTCACTAGCTATAGTACTCCTAGAGATCTAAGTGCAGTTACTGCAATACTAATACTCAGTGGGTAGGTTAAATCTGAAGAAAATTTTGCTAGCATCAATTCTGTATTTTCTTTTTTACCTGGTAGGAAGGTCAGGGAGAGCCCAAAATCTCTTTCTACCTACAGTCTGATCCCTGTGATTCTACTCTGAGAATTTAACCCCTTTCATTGAAATCTTTGGTCCAAGGTAGAACCAGAGAAACCTCCAAGAAGAGGTCTTTGCAGGTTCTGGCCGGATGGAACAAGATAACCAGAAGCTGGAAGTCACCTAAGAGTATGGAGTGACAGGAGTGAGGGAATAAGAAGAGGAACAAACATTGACTGAGGCTTCAGTGTCCCAGTCCCTGTGCTCAATTCTTTCACATTCCTTTTCTTGTATAATCTCCCAAGCAGTTCTATAAATAGCTAACATTATCTTTATTTTACAGACAAGGAAATCAAGGATCAGAGAAGCCAGATAAATTGTGATTTGTAAGTAGCAGAAACCTGAAACAGTAACCAACCTTCCCTTTATCTGGTTTTGTTAGAAAAAAAATGAATTTTAAAAATGTATAAACATGCCTAATTGCCAGAAGAACATTTTCCCATGCAGTGAACACCCCAACCTCACCAACTCTGTTTTGAAGGTGAATGCTACTTCCTCAATGAATTTGTGACTTCTTTTATTGGTTGCCAACATCACCCAAACTGTACAAACCCAAACTTAGCAGTGGGATCATCTCTGCAAACAAGGGTTTCTCAGATCATTAACAATACCTGTTGCAAAATGGTAGGTTGGGGGACACTTTATTCAACAAAAATCGAATCTACTTTAAATATAAAAGAGGTGCTTCTACAATTCTTTCTACTGACATTTCTGATAGGATTTTTTCTTATTTAAATTGTTTGTTTATGTAAATTAGTATCTGTTTTTCTAAGTTTTAAACAAGCAATCATCTCCAACTTGAAAGAAATTATTTTGAAACATCACAAGATCTAATTTATTGTTATTTCGGTTGGCAAAATATTAAGTGTATTGTTTTCAGTGAAACACATTGGATATTTGTGTAGAGTGCATCTGAACATATTTACATAAGTAATTTAGAATTATGCTTTTTTCCACAAATAAAAAACATACAGCCTTCATATTAATTATTTTAAATCACATCCTCATTGCACTAGAAGAAATAATTGTGTTTTTGGAACTGAACACATTTGTTGTGCAAATGAGAATGCTCTTGCTTCTGCTAAAATATGTGGAAATATAAGACCTCATCTAACATAATGTGTTCTGTTTTGTGAGATGACAATTACATTTCTCACATACAGAGATGTGTCATTAGAACGCACAAGGGGGGCACCATGCTATTATTCTTTGTGGTGAATGAAGCGTGATACTGATGAAAACCAGAACTCTCATTGATAATGCATTGTCTGGTTTCATTTTCCAGGTAGTATCAAACACCATGTAGTTTCCCAATATATTTAATTGGATATGAAGTTAGACTGCTCATTTCCTAAGCTTAATTTTCTCTTCCAAATAAACCCTAAAGCAAACATGATATAAATTAGCTTTATTATTATTTTTTATTTAATCTGATTACGGACACTTAGATCTTTTTGTTCTGTTTCTGAGAATCCAGAGATTCATTAAGTCCTCTCTTCTGGTTTTATATCCAAAAGATATATATATATATATATATATATATATATATACACACACACTGGTATATGTGTGTGTATATATACATACACACACATAAGTGTATATATATATATACACACACACACATATAAAGAGTGGGCTGCTCATGAACAGCTATTATGCAGCTTCTAAAGCTTTTCATGTATGAATTAGGTAGGAATGTGTTGGTTGCATGTGGCAGAGATCTTAACCTATTGTCTAAAGTCAAGAGCAGTGCCTGCTTTTGTCCAACTCAGTGCAGGGGTTATTCCAGCTGCCAGAACCTTATCTCTTGGCTTACCTGTGCTACACACACACACACACAAACTTATATATACACATGAGTGTGTATACATATATATACATATACATACATATGCATATACATAGAGTTCTCCTATATAAAAAGACATTTATATAGGAGAATTCAGATTTGTTACTGAAATAAATTCTTAGCAATAATAATATATTTGCATTCTCCTCTTCCCTTTCTTAGAAACTACTCTTTGATCTGCCTTCTCTCAGAATGATATTGTGTAAATTACTACTTAATTTAATATTCTTTAAAATAGGATAGCATCCTTCTCCTCTGGTAATCTTATTCCCTGAAAAAAATCCTTGAGAATTGTACATTGTTTTTAAACATAAAAACTGCTTTGATCTTTTTGTGAGAAAAGATGTATGATTTACAAGCCCCTTTCAACCTACAAATTCTATATTGTGTGTCTGCTGGGCACAAAACATGATGAAGTTTCCACAGGAATAAAATGAAGTGTAAGATGCCATCCCTTCTCTCAATGACCTTATAAATTTTTTGGTGACACATAATAGAAACACCTACAAATGATCATATGTTACTTTTGTACTTGGAAATCACTTAACTTTCTTCCAGCAAACTAAGAACTACTAATTCCCTCCCATCTATTACTGTTCAAGCAAGATAGCACAGGTAAGCCAAGACATAAGGTTCTGGCAGCTATACTAACCCCTGCACTGAGCGGCACAAAAGCAGGCCCTGCTCTTGACTTTAGACAAGAAGTTAAAATCTCTGCCACCTGCAACTAACACATTCCCACATGATTCATACATGAAAAGCTTAAAAGCTGCTTAATAGCTGCTCATGAGCAGAAATTCCTTTTTTCTCTGTGCAGATAAGGAAGTGAGGTGCTACATTCCTTTGAGAAATTTAGTTTCTGCATAAAACCAATTGGGACAAGTTTTCAATACAAAAAATATTAGACATTATCCCAAGATGGAAATTTTGGTTCCTGAGTCCTCAATAAAATATTGCTGTATTTTAAATAGAAGCTCGAAGTGTGACCCCTCTCAGTAACTATGTAGGATGCCATGTAATCATGAGGGAGTCTCTTTCAAGATGACAGAAAGAAAATGAGACTGGGAAAAAGAAATTTTCCCCTTCTTGGCTCTGTAGCAGTAGTTCTCAATCAGGATGATTTTGCTTCCCAGGGGAAATTTGGCAGTGTTTGGAGATATTATTACCACTGGGGTAGAGAGATTAGTAGAAAGGTGCTACTGTCACCTAGTGGAGAGAAACCAGGGATGTTGTTAAACATCCTACAATGCACTGGACAGCCCCTGACAACAAAGAATTATCTGGCCCAAGATGTCAGTAGTACTGACATTGAAAAGTCCTATACTGCAGAGTACTCCTTAGTGTTGAGATATTTAGTTGGATAGGATTAACAAAACTAATAGGAAGAATCAATAGAAATGCTGCTTACATTGGATCATAGAAAACTAAGTACAGTTGCTCTTATGTTACAATTACCTACATAGTCATATATTAGTTGCCTATGAAAGATATTTTATTGTTTCAGTCTTCCCTTATTGTCTTGTAACTGTCACATAATAGATCAACAACCTAACTGGTATTCACAGCCTTTGTATGGGCTTCCAGAGGTTTTTGGTATGGGGTATCTATGCAACCTTATGATTTAAAGAAGCTAGTCTCAACTGGGTTATTTCCCATGTCATTTACGTAGGTATACTGCATGTGTGACTTTGTATTAGGCCTTCAAAGTGAAATCAAATATTTGTGCATCTGAAGTCAAAGAGGAATACTCTTTATTTAAAATTGTTTTATTATACTTTAAGTTCTGGGATACATGTGCAGAACATGCAGGTTTGTTACATAGGTATACATGTGCCATGGTTGTTTGCTGCACCTATCAACCTGTCATCTACATTAGGTATTTCTCCTAATGCTATCCCTCCCCTAGCTCCCCACCCCC
The DNA here is from genome assembly GCF_000001405.40 of Homo sapiens. Lineage (NCBI taxonomy): Eukaryota > Metazoa > Chordata > Mammalia > Primates > Hominidae > Homo > Homo sapiens. The sequence goes on from NC_000003.12 coordinate 153,596,112, forward strand.
TGACAGGTCCTGGTGTGTGATGTTCCCCTCCCTGTGTCCATGTGTTCTCATTGTTCAACTCCCACTTATGAGTGAGAACATGTGGTATTTGGTTTTCTGTTCTTGTGTTAGTTTGCCGAGAATGATGGTTTCCAGCTTCATCCATGTCCCCGCAAAGGACATGAACTCGTCCTTTTTTATGGCCGCATAGTATTCCATGGTGTATATGTGTCACGTTTTCTTCATCCAGTCTATCATTGATGGGCATTCAAGTTGGTTCCAAGTCTTTGCTATTGTGAACAGTGCTGCAATAAACATACGTGTGCAAGTGTTTTATAGTAGAATAATCCTTTGGGTATATACCCAGTAATGGGATTGCTGGGTCAAACTAATTGTTTAAATTAGTCAATCGATATGTTTTTTTGTGGCAGAGTTTGCTGAGATATTTTTCTATAGACCAGTTCAGAAATGACTGTATTGAAATGAATGTCAATCAGCAGAGTCATTTGAATAAAATCTGGTGTTCAGTTTCACAGACACAGGATGCAAGGACACCCATAGCAAAACTTCTGATAGAAACTTTGGTGTTTTCGAAAGCAATCTCGTGTATTTAATTTTCCTTAAGTCACTATAAGGTGGAAAATTATTTCTTTGTCAAAAGGATCCTATAAAAAGTTCTGAATGCTAAAGAAATAAAGGCCATCATTTTGCACAATAAAAATAACAACCGCATAAACTCATTAGCAGAGAAATTTTGGTGTCCCACAGGACATTTTGCAGATAAAATATCAAAAGCACTTTGATGCACTCAAACGTAATGAAAATCTTTGACACTTATAACATTTTAGAATATATCTAAAAATTGCTCAAATAAAAATAAAAATTCCTACTGGTATAGTCTAATTACATAAAAAAGAACATTGTAGTTTAACATTTATTTAATTTCAGTCACATATTCTCAAATGATAAAATATTTATTTTGTAATCTTTCTGTTTTTTATTTAAAAACAAGATCATCCTTATAAATAGGAATTGAAAATTTAGTAGCCCAAATAAAATTTTTAATAGCTCTTCTTCCCTATGGAAGATAATAAGTAATAAAATGAATAAAATGTGTATACTTTACAACTCAAATCATATTAATTGCTACATGCTCTAAGCAAATTATTCTGCTGCCATTATAGGTCAAAGCTCAACCTGGGATAACTTTATTATTCAGTTTATAAGATAGGTAGGCATAAATGTCATTATTTTAAAGGTTATAAATTTTAAAAATCGAGACAGGAATATGTATTTGTTCAAAGTTATCTATTCATAAGATGGGAAAAGAGTCAAGATAACAAGATATGTATTAGATGCAGAAGAATTCCATCACAGTGAGATGATCAGGAGATTTTATAACAGATATAACTGAAAGCATTGCTGTTTGAGCATATTTGTTTACAGATAAAATGTCACGATTATTTTTACTGGTTTTTTTTGTTTGTTTTATTGCTCTTTTTCTCTTTGTAAGATGAAACAGATTTGATTAGATGAAATAAGAGCTCTCATCTTATCCAGGTGGATTTATGTAGCTGCACTTATTGCTGACCAGGAAAAAAATACTTCATATTCTTCTAGCCCAATGCTTTGCAAACTTTCTCACTAAAGTAACCCAATGGATGGTGACAATATAAGCATATCCCATGGAATATAAGCTTTAGCCTGATTCAGACACTGCATGCCTGCCATTTCCTTGAAATTTAACGTTATGTTAAAAATACATTCAAATTCATGATTCAACTTCTTAACACAGCAGTGTCTTGGCATCTCAGTTTGGAAAACAAGGCACTTCAGCTGGTGTCTTGGCACAGTAAATCTCCTATAATGGAAGATACCTTAAAAGTTACCTAGTGTGGTAGTTCAAAATGTTTTGGTAGGCTCACAGTGCTTGTCTGTTCCTCCCTTCATTAGCTACTATAATTTTTTTTTCATTTTGTGAAGACAAATTATTTCATCACTGTGTGGCAATGAGTAAACCATTCAGTCTCTCTGGGCCTTTAATTTCAACTGCAATGTGGGTATTTAGGTAGATTATTATAGTCTGAGGCCTGAATTCCGACCCCAGCTTTATTTATTACTCATTACCAGGATTTTTAAATTTTTTTAATGAGATCCAAAACAGCTTTATTATGAGTAAAATATTAATGTATGTGAAAAGTAAGGTAATGAGACTGCTGTAGCATAGTGCCTTGCACATGATAGGCTCTCAATGGCGTTGGTGGAATCAGGTTAATGAATTCAAAAAGAGGATGCCTGGACTATTTAGACAAATCTTGAAACCAACAGTGATCCTCCCTACTGATACAATCTCTGTGCTCCTACTTGAACTCACTCATCTAAAATACAGACCAGGACAAATGAAGTGTATTATGCATGTCAAGAGATGAAGTCTCAGTTCCATCATAGTCTATTCCAAAGTTTGTTATTATCTCTGATGAGGAAAACACCTTTTATTTAAGCTAATGCACAATTGCTATGATTTAAGCTTTTTTTTCCCTCTGTCATGCTCCTTAATTGGAACAAGGAAAGGGTTCTCTCTTTCTTTGGACATTACACGTTATAAAATTGAAGTCCCAGCTTCTTTTCTTCCTCTTCAGAATGAGCCCTCTATATATTAGGCTCTTTCTTTACATTATGAAAAAATTTATTATTATACAAGTGTATCTCTATGTATGTATACATAAATATGTATACGCACACACACTCCCACGTACAACTTTTTTTCACAAATTATTTTCAGAATAATAGAGATGACTAAGTTCAGAGAATCTCTTCAAAACCATTAAGGTTATTGGTTTTGATTTCAAATAAGAAAAATAAATAAACCTCATGCTACAGTGTGCATTAGCCACTTTTGAATTTTCATGAAAATAAAAAACATTATTCTGAATTCATATATGATAAATGATGGTGGATTTAGAAAGCATAGCTGTGGCAGAACAAGTTTAGGGAAAGAGAATTGTGCCACCTGAAGAAAAGTCCTGAGATTAGGAATGAAAGACAAGTGATCTGGTGGGGCACCCAGAAGTGCAGAAGTCTGAGCAGACAGTGTGGAAGCGGATGAGGGGTTCAGGTTTATATACAACAGGATACTGCACTTGATTGAGGTAGGACGTCTATAAATGTCTGAGGATAGGTTTGCTTCTCACAATGACAGTTGATACTGGCATTTAGTGGCATGAGACTAGGGATGTTACAAGGCAAGCACTGAGACAGTCCCACCCACCCAAGAACTGTATGACCCAAATTAACCATAGTGCTGTCATTGAGAAACACTAGCAGGATAAAGCAAATTTCACAGGTTATCATAGATAATAGACTTCAAGTTCAGAAAGGTGATCTGGATAGGCAGATTCAGGAATCTGCCTGGACTGAGCAGTGGAACAAAGTCTTAGAAACAAGGTGTTGGCTAAAATCACCAGAGTCTACTAATTGATGGCCATTACCACCAACGATCAGTGCCTATTGTGTTCAAAACCCATATCCAGCACTTCAGGGGAAAGACAGACAATAAGGACCTTACCCCTAGTCCACTGTGGGCACGAATCCTTTATCACACAGAGCTCCCAGCCAGACTGGGTGATCAACACTGCCTTCAGGAAAACATAAATATGGTTCATAGCACACACTGCCACTGCCAGCCTTGCAAAGTCACTAATAAGACACAGAAAGCACAATGGATCTATTATCTTGCCCTGATTTGTGACCCTTATACCTTACTTCCCTGACTGTGGCCAGACTTATTTGAGTCCAAAGAGTAAACTGTGGTCAGCAAAGCTGGCTGGCCATCAACAAAGATTCATGGTCACCCCTGTGGTTTCTGTTCTCCGTGAGTGAATCATTCCTTGGCTTCTGCCACTCCTCAGCCCTCCGAGTCTATGGGGAAGAGTGCTTCCTTAGGCTCATGTGTGGCTGGACTGCCTGCCAGAACCTAAGCACATACATTAGTCCCTGTAGGCTATGTTGGAGCCTCTAATCTCCCTCCACCTTGTGCCTTTTTGTATTAAATCACCTAGATTTTTATTTCTGAGACTTAATTATCAAGGACATTTAACTTGGCTAATTTTAGAGGCAATAGTTGGTTTTTATCTTTAGAGTTAATAAAAGAGGTAAATCATATATCCAATTGTTTGGGTTTTTTGGTTTTTAAAACCTGATCCTTAGAAGGAAAACTACGGTACATGTGATATGTAGAGCCAAGATTTGTTATGGGTTATAAGAGAGTGAGATTTGGCGGAGGTTGACAATTTGAAGAATCACCATGAAAACGTATCCTCAAGGAGGCATTCGGTTGTGATGAAAAGCTCTGCTTGTTTCCAGAAATAATTTTTATCATTTGCTAATCACTGGGCTCTTTTCTCGCTTAATGGCCTGAGATCAGAACTCTGGAAAGAATCTTGGAGAAACCAAGGGCTTCATGCCTGGCTGCACAAAGTACCAGCATTCCTTCAGCCCAGGGGCAAAGAGTGGGGGAAACTTCTACTCAGCCTGGTAAATACTGGGAGCTTCTCCATAGAAGAGACGCGGGACCCTGCTTCTAAGTGGAAGGGCTTACTGTGATGGGCCTCTCTCTATTATACTTGTTTAGGAACTTTGAGACTTTGGGGTCCATTCTTTAGGCACAAGCAAATGGAAAGAGAAAGAATTTATTTCCTTCAGGACCTTACAGATAAGTAGATGCTTTTCTAGGTAGAGGTAAAAATCATTTTGTCATTTCCTTTGTTTTTAAAGAAAATGTAAAAATAATACTATTACTGATAACAAAATTAGCAGTATTTTTTGGTGTAGCTTCATGCTCACAGAGTCATGCATGTTTATGTTTGAAGGGGTTTCTTGAACGCAGGCCCATGGTCTCTTCCTAAATATGTTTGACACTCATGTGCTTTGGAAAGCAATTGCATGAAGTACATATCAGCTAACTTTTTAAGTCTTGCAACACTTCCTACACTCACAATTCGGAAGCTAACCAAACATAATTGAAAATTACAGGCATCTAAAACAGATAATTATCTTTCCAGAATTAAGTTCCTCTTGGGAAACTATTTTTACTCAAATGGTTCACTGGAATGAATTTCTTCTAAAGAAAATGTGATAGCATCTTAATCCATTATTAACTCATTGCCTTTAACTTTGGCCCTGATTTTGAGCAGCAATAAAATCAAAGATTAAACATGCTTATACTCATGTCAGGTACTTGTAGCTCAAAGGGCCTGCTTTAAATTATGTGTGTTATACGTCTCTTTGCTTAAAGTCCTAAGCAGAAATTTAAAAAAAATCATCCAACTGGACAAAATGTAGGCAAGTATACTGACTATAATATTTATCAAACTTTCCTAAGGAAATAAGTCAACAAGTGTTACACAATTTCCACTTCCTGCCAAGATAAAACAATGAGCACTGGGTTTACCCTTTTATCTCAAACAACAAAAATATCCAAGAGGTAAAATTTATATTTATAAAAGTTTTCAAGACATGAGACAAGAGGAAATGAAGGACAGTAAGTCCAGAGTGAGGCAAATGAAGCCATTTCAATGACTGCTCCCAGCACTGCCATGAGCCAGTGTCCAGGCCACTGATCAGGGAGGAAACTCAAGCAGAGCCTGGTGCGCTCCCTGCTGAGAAGACAGAGTTGACAGTCTAAGGGGGATCAGGCAGCTACATCTTATGGGACAGGACACAGAGAAGGAGAGGAGAGTGTGGCACAGACAGAACTCCTGAGATCGGCAGAGAGTCCTTCTAGAAACTCTAGCAGAGAACTAGCAGCACATGTATATAAGAAAATGACTTGAAGCCAGAAAAAGAAAGCATCTGAAAAGATTAGAGGAATGCAATAGTGACTGATATCCACATAGGGCTAGAAATAATGCTTGTTACCACAGTCGGGCTGGAAAAAAACCTTGTCACTTACAGGCAACAGTTAGGTAAATTCAGGATGGTTTTGCTTCAGTAATGGGGAATAATTAGCCCAAAATATGCACTGCTCTGGTTCTACTTAATGAATCTTAAATATAAGACTCTAGAGGATAAAACTATTTCCAAGTACCTTAACCACATCCCAGAACAAAGCTCAATAATTTTTATAGAAATACAAAAATACTCAACACCCAATAAATGTTACAAGCAGCAAATCCACAATCCTATAAATATTCTTTTATGTAATAACAAATTCATGGAACAAAGGCTTATTATATTGAGAAATAAGTACTAACAACATGCAGGTTCTCAAGAAGTTTTACAGTCTAGCAGGGAGCAAGAAGGGTAGCGTATCTCATTGGGGAACCATGGATCTGCTACAGTGGGAGACCACAGATTCAAGGTGGTTATTCCATGTGAACGAGGCTTTGGCAAGGGCTCTTCTTGTTTCAAAGAAGAGTAGTTCTTCCCTTCACCTCAAGCAAAGTAGGGTTTATTAAAAATACAGTCATTGACTAGAAATGGAAGCAACCAGCAAGCCACAAGGAAGCTGGGCAGCCACTCAGGGCCACATGGTCCCTCACACACAGAATCTGTTTCTGCCTGTGCGTCCACTCCATTCTCCTCTCTCTATGGGCTGTTGTCCCCAGGACATCAGCTTGCATGGCACAAGAGAGCCACTGCAGCCCCACATAACCCATGACCTGGCTGCTCCTGCACCTGGTCTCTCTGTTTCTACATCCCCAAAGAGAAGCCAGTAGGCCCCACTCCACTCTATCTATGAGCTGGATCACACCATGAGCATCATTAAGTTAGGGGTCCCACCTCTTTGCCCAATCAGCTGTGACTATAGACAGAACATAAGTATCCCCCACATCAGTGCTGTGTTCAGGGCAGATTGACTCAGCAGAGGTTGAGGGCAGGCAAGAATTCTTTATTCAGGAGTAGCTGGAAAGACAAACAGATGTTTGCCAAGCAGATGGGAGACACAGAGAGCATTGCATGCCGAGAAAACCATAGAAATGTGAGTACTTGGTATCTAGTCCCTAGAAGATACATTTCCTTGTTGGTCCCCCTCTGCTTAAAAAATATGGTTGTATATACAAGTCAGTTCTACTATTCTGCCTATTTGGTCCCCTCTTTGGCATATTTTTCTTATGGAATTGACAGAAATGGTCTGATTAGGGATTTTTTTTTTTTTTTTTGAGATGGAGTCTCGCTCTGTCACCAGACTGGAGTGCAGTAGCATGATCTTGGCTCACTGCAACCTCCGCCTCCTGAATTCAAGCGGTTCTCCTGCCTCAGCCTCCCAAGTAGCTGGGACTACAAGTGTGCACCACCACACCCAGCTAATTTTTGTGTTTTTAGTAGAGACAGGATTCCACCATGTTGACCAGGATGGTCTCGATCTCTTGACCTCATGATCCACCCGCCTTGGCCTCCCAAAGTGCTGGGATTACAGGCATAAGCCACCACACCCAGCCTAGGGATCTTCTTAATCAAATGCATTGATAGAAAAAAAGCAACCAGAACAAGTTTTGTCTTTGTGCACTCTGGCTGGTAGGACCAAATCTGCAGAATTGTGTTACATCTGGGCAGTATCCTGAGTGGGCTTTTGGCAAAAAAGGATGGATTGAGAAGGGGTAATGAGTAGCAAGAAGCATAAGAAAATCATATCCTGAGGAATGATTGACAAAACTGTGGAAATTTCTCTTGAAAACAAGAAAACAATTAGTGGGAGGCTACCCGACAGCTTATTTAGATTATCTACCTGGGCTGCAGAGAAGGGTTCCACTGGATCTGATGATGATACTGGAGGCAAAACTAACTTCATGGAATGGAAATGATTGGCAGACAAATTTCAATGCAATAAAAGGAAAAAAATACCACAATTACACAGTGTAGTTAATAAAAAGTAAATGAGGTTTATTGTGATCCAGGGAATGCCTCTCAACTAGAATCAAGGGCTAGATTAAGCTATTACTTAGTGTGGAAGCTGAAGAAAAAAGCAGACAACCCTGCAATTGCTTTTGCTTTTGTCACAGAGGTAATGCAATGCAAAGCTGAAATTTCTTAGATTGAAAGATATTTAGTAGTGAATTCAGAGGATCATTGTTAGTTCTCCTTAGGGTAAGACATAATATTTGCACATTATTTTTAAAAGCAGTGAAATCTTGGATTGCATTTTTTCCCAAAAAGCAATAAAAGCTTTGACTGTCTAATAAATTTGATGATGCAGAGGTTAAGAGAGATAAGTGACTTAATAACTGTGTTCTATTTTGCAACATGGTCCACAAGGTACAAAGGAATAGTTTACAATTTTAAATGACCCTACTTCTGAAACCAGAGTATCTTTTCTTCTATGATACGGCTGACCCGGTGTGCTGATAATGATATAGTAAGCACTGCTTACATGCCATCCCAACAATTCCTCAAATCAATCTAATAAAGAAAAGGAACAGAGCACAACACTGGAAGGATGGAAATGCATCCTGTGCATTGGCATCTTTATATTTATGAAAATATTAACTAGAATTTACTGCAGCCACTTAAGACCCTGCATGGCTCCTGTTGTACTAACCGTGTACTCCTTTCCTTACCTCTCAGAGTGGGGCACTCACACCAGAGAGTTGCATCCTAGTTCCATCACTTACTACGAGACTCATTCACGTGGACTGCTCCATGCCTCAGTTTCCTCATCTGTAAAATAGAGATAATGATAATAGCTTCTTTACTGCATAATTGTGAGAATTAAAGTTTCATATATAAAAATAGTGCACATTATTTCTCTCCCGTTTACCATTTCTTTTTTCTTTCTTTTTTTTTTTTAGACGGAGTCTCGCTCTGTCGCCCAGGCTGGAGTGCAGTGGCGCAATCTCGGCTCACTGCAAGCTCTGCCTCCCGGGTTCAAGCCATTCTCCTGCCTCAGCCTCCCGAGTAGCTGGGACTACAGGCACCCGCCACCATGCCTAGCTAATTTTTTGTATTTTTAGTAGAGATGGGGTTTCACTGTGTTAGCCAGGATGGTCCCGATCTCCTGACCTCGTGATCCACCCGCCTCAGCCTCCCAAAGTGCTGGGATTACAGGTGTGAGCCACCGCGCCCAGCCCCGTTTACCATTTCTTTTTACCCCATGCCCCCGCATCATCTCAAAGCATCATTTCCAGCATCCTCAATTAATGCTGGAAATGAAAGAACAGAAGCTAATCTATGATTTGTTTTTCAATTCAGAGGAAGGATCCTTTTTAGAATTATTTCCAGGTAGTTAAGATTTTGAATTTATTTCTCTCCACGTATTTTCACTTTTCTTCAAATGAAGAAATAAAAATAGCCTGTTAATTTGGGTACCTTTTGGAGTGATATTTTGTTAGGTGGATGTGAGCAAATTACTTTTAATAGTCGTAGCATCCTTTCAACTCTAAAAGTACCTGCTTGTTCCCAGATCCAAGTCCCTTTGTGGCAGTTTTCAGCATTTCATGAGTTTGAGGACATAATCTCACCCCCTATTGCTGGAATTCTCTTTGATAGTCGAAATCTTTCAAAGATTGTTGGCTACTGTTGTTTCTTAGCAGGGTTTGGCAGGCACAATGACAAGTATCTGACAGACATGTGTTTTTCCATTGATAAGAAGAAAAGTTTCCTGAGACAAGTGTGTTGAATATTCATGCTAAAATTTTAAAAATGTGTTGTACATTTTCCTCCTGCCCAGCACATGCACTAGTATGTACACGACATAAAATGGTATCATCAGCCCCCAAACAAACATCTATAACAAAATCTTTTCACCTGGTGCTGGCAAGGCCCAGGTTCACATTGTGAACTGGTGAGGCAGGAACTTCTTAGTGAGATTGTCTACAGCTCTGTTAATATTCAGCTGACAGAGCCTCACCAGCATCTGCTGCTAGAGACTATGAACTTGTTTTTCTCACAATAATTAGGTGAACTGAATTATCCTCCCAGGAGTATTATACCAGTCTGAGGTAGTCAAACCATCACAAACACACATACATACACACACACACTCTCACACACACACACCCCCCAAAGATAATTTTCACAGGAGGAAAGCCCTGAGAAAATCTGTTTATGAAAATAAATGTAACCTACTATAACAAGTTCGTATAAATAAAAATGGAATAAAATGATGTATTTCCTGATGTGAATGACAATAGAAAAAGCACCATTCTGCCCTGTTAGGTAAAAGAAAACTTAAATGTGTGCTAATAGAGGGGGAAATTAGGTTATATTCTCAAATAGAAGGTCCAATGTTCCTTTATGTCCCCAAATTAGAGGAAGGCATATGAGGACCATAGAACCTTTGGATTCATACCACTTTCAACTGAAGATATTCTCTACTAAAATAATCCTTTACATATTATAGAGAACAATTTACAAGGAAGTTTACATTTTATTGAAGAAACATAGAAATACTTGTATACATTATTACTTATATAATAAAGAAACATTTTATAGTTTTGAGGGAAACACTGAACCATGTTTTTCCTTGAACTGCATGAATATGTTAAAATTTATTTACTTTTTAGAGGATATAGGTGGGCCACTTTGAGAAATAAGCTGAAAGACTTCCGTCAATATGACAGACTAGGATGGTGGGACAAACCCTTACTCCATGTCTAAAAGAAAAATTACGGAGAAAATCTCACTATATTCTTCTCCAGATAGCCAAGCTCAAAATAAAGGAAAACACTTGGGTACCAGAAATAAAGAAATTAAAGCTGAAATGTCAATTGGTAGCTGAGAACATGATGGCCACAGGGATTTTTGTTCACAATTCATGCTAAGGGGCCAGTGACTGGGTTCCCAGTGCCCACCCAGGAACATCAGGGTTTGTCTTAGACCATGGACAGTGGAGGAGCTGGAACAGGAAGCCCCTGGGTGGTAAGAAGGAGCTAAAAAACTTTTCCCATGGGCCTTTCTTTAGGGCCCTGGGAGAGGGTAAAGGCATGAGAAGTCAAAACATAAGCCTGAAACGTGAACTTGGAAAATTAAGTGAAAACCAGGACCACTGAATATAACTTATTAGGGAAAAAAGGATCATGACAAGGATGGTTCTTTTCAAAATTCCTGTATGAACTTAAAAATTCATAAATTTGAAAGATAAAAATAGTTTGTCAAAACATTTGCAAAATAATTTGTTAAATAGAACAAATCTTTGAAAAATATAACTTTCCCAAATAAACTGATAAATGCAAGAAAACAAATTGTTCTATCACTATCAGTATTTTTTTAAAGTGAAAGAAAACTACTAACCAGAAAAATACAGATGATTTTATAGGTGAGCACCAACAAATATATAAGAAATAGTATTTAGGCTGGTCCAAGTGCAATGGTGTTTGCAACTAAGTGATTACAAACAGTTGTGGATCTCTTTGTTTCTTCTCCACTCCCACTGCTTTATTTGACTAAGTTTAAAAAATAAATAAAAAATAAATAGATATTTAAAACTTTTATGCAAACTATTCCAGAGAATAGAAAAAAAATGAGACTACTGCTCAAGAGTAATAACCCTGGTACCAACACCAATCAACGTGACAATATGAAAAAGAAAGATCTGAGCCATTCTTACTTATAAACCTAGATGGAAAATTCCAACCAAATTGCAAGCAAACTAATGTAATATTTAAAAACAAGAAGATAAAGTTTTTATTACTTAAGAATTAGAAGTATGCTTTCATATTAGAAAATCTACTAATTTAATCCACCTCATTAAAAACTCAAAGGAGACTAGGATACATGATTATTTTAATGAATGTTGAATTTTAATGAATGCTTCTGCCTCTTTTTTTAATACAAGAAAACTTTAACAAACCTTACAAGAGAAAAGAATTTTCTTAACTCAATTAAAGATGCCTGCCAAAATGCTATAGCAAACAGTATTATTAATGTTGAAATAAAATTGTCTCTTCCAAAGTCAGGAAGTTGTCAAGAATTCCTGTTAGCTTCTATTAAAATTTATCAGGGAACTCATAGAGATAGACAGAGACCAGAATGATGATTACCAGAGGATGGGGAGAGTATTGTGGGGGCATGGCAGGGAAGTAGGGATGGTTAACGGATACAAAAAATAGTTAGAAGGAATAATATCTAGTATTTGATAGCACAGCAGGGTGACTATGGTCAACAATAATTTAATTGTACATTTTGAAATAACTAAAAAAGTATAACTGGATTGTTTGTAACACAAAGGATAAACATTGGAGGTGATGGATATCCCATTTACCTTGATGTGATTATTAAATATTGTATGCCTGTATCAAAATATCCCATATACTCCATAAATATGTACCTAATATGTACCCACAAAAATTAGAAGTTCAGATGATAAGTTTGTTCACAGAGAATACTCAATAAAATCTATAGATACATTATTAGAACATTTAATGTTGATTATAAGATAAATATAGAAAAATCAATCACATTTCTATGTACTTACAGTCTACAAATGGCAGCTTAAAATGTCCTTTCATAGAGAATGTGTAAGCACACACATTTATACATACAAGTACCATATCTGTACACAGTCCCTAATAAATAGTCTAATGTCATCATCTACAAAAAAAATTGAGGTGTAAAGACTTGCCCTACCAGATACGTAATTGATTCAGTGTGATATTTGTAGAATGGAGCGATATACAGACAAATGGCACAGAACAGAGAACCCAGAAACAAACCCACTCAGAATGAAAGCCTGAGAGGTGACAGAGTGATCTTGCAGGTCAGTTGAGATATTGGCTATTCAGTAAATAGTGCTGTCCTAAGGGCTGTCCAAATGCAGAAAAGCTGGATGCCTATCTCATACCCTCACAGTCAACTCTAAGTGTATTACAAACGTAAATGTGAAAACAAAACTTAATGCTCAGAAAGCAATTGAGATAATCTTTATGACCTTGAGAAAGGAAAATGTTAAGTGAGACCCAAAAAATACAAAGGTAATAAAATTAGACTATATCTTAATGAAGAGTTTGCACATAGAATGCATGAAGTCTACAAGATAGTAACAAAAAGAAAAACAAACCAGTAGATAAATAGAAAACAAATACAAATAGGCAATTCAGAAAGAAGGAATCCCAAATGGCCTACAAACACATGTAAAAACATTTAACTTCACTGTAAAAAGTAAATAAGATATTATTTCACACTTATCAGCGAGGCAAAAATATTTAAAGTCTGACAATATCAAGTGTTGACAAAGATATGGGATAACTGGAATTTATAATCTACTGGAGGGAATGTAAATTGGTACAATTATATGACCCAGCAATTCCCTTCCTAGATATATATATCCTTGAGAAATGGTCTCACATGTATACAAGGAAACAGAGATAAAAGATGTTGGTAACAGCACTGTTTAGAATTTTTAAAAAATGTAAACAAAGTGCACATCAGAAAATAAATTATAAATTCATACTATAAAAGACCATCCAGATTAGAATGAATTGAACTCACCATACACACCCAACATTATAAATATTAAAAGAAAAACAAACATAGTTTAGAATGCAAAATTATAGAAGTAAATAGTTTTCAAAAGGCAAAACAGTACTATATAAAACGTATCTAGAGAAATAGATTTTCATATGTCTATATAAATATAACTATGTAATGTAAGTGCAAGGAAAATTTGAATACCAAATTGAGGATAAATTAACACAAAGATGAGAGGAGAGCTGCAGTCAGTGAAAGAGACACAGGGGCACTTAAACGCTCAGCAATTTTTTATTTTATACTTTCAGTATAGATATAATTGTATTCATTTGAATATTTATTGAAAAATTTGTAAAATATCGAGCCATACCAAAATAAAGTTTAACACATGGCAAAAAGTATACTATACAAATTCTAACTGAAAGAAGGCTTAGGTCTCATTATTAATACCGTAAAAATATGTTTTGGCAAACCCATTAATAGTTTAAAGTGGGTCTGTTTTGTATAAAATAAAAATCACTGTGATTATTTAAAAATCCTGAATACATGTCTAGTACTGAATAGTATATCTTCACAAGGCATAAAGCGAAACTGAGAGACTTTCTTAAAGAAGCTGGTATTTTGTGATTATAGAGAAATAATTTTACATACTTCTCTCAAATGAATAAATCAAAAACACAAAAGAAATAAAAGATTTACTTAAAAAGACACAGAAAGCATAAAATATAAAGGGAATGATTAATACATGAATGAATAGTAAAATATTTCTTAAATCTAATAAAAAATATACAAAGTTAAAAGACAAGCCACCAATTAGGAAAAGATAGCTGCAATATATATAACAAAGTATTGATATCAAGAACATAAGTAGAGTTACTACAGAACAAATAAAAGAGAATAACTCCAATTATAAAAAAATTAACAGATCATTCATTGACAAGAAAACCCAAATGACTAACATTTGAAAGATTTGTCATGTTGGGGGGAATTCTAAGAATGTTATTAGAGAACCATTTCACAACTTATAAAATTGGTAATAAATGAAGAGCCTGACAATACTAAGTATGAATAAATGTATAAAATGAGAACTTTCAAATTTTACTGGAAGAAATGTAAATTCTTACTACCACTCTAAAAGGAAATTTGTTATTATTAATAAATTAGAAGAGATCTATTAAATAGATTTCAGCTTATAGTTATTTGCCCCCCAGAGAAAGTTTTATACAGGTCTACAGGTAGTCATGCACAAGGATATTGATCACTGTTTTTTTTTTTCTTTTAATTACAGGGAAAATACTAGAAACAATCTAATTACCCAGCCGGGCGTAGTGGCTCACGTCTGTAATCCCAGCACTTTGGGAGGCCGAGGCAGGCGGATCATGAGGTTAGGAGATGGAGAGCATCCTGGCTAACATGGTGAAACCCCGTCATTACTAAAAATACAAAAAAATTAGCCAGGCATGGTGGCACGCACCAGTAGTCCCAGCTGCTTGGGAGGCTAAGGCAGGAGAGTCTCTTGAACCCAGGAGACGGAGATTGCAGTGAGCCAAGATTGCGCCACTGCACTCCAGTCTGGGCAACAGAGTGAGACTCTGTCTCAATTAAAAAAAAAAAAAAGACAAAAAAAGAGAAACAATCTAAATATCCACTAATATAAGAATGGATTTATGGTATAATCACGCAGTTGAATACAGAAGAGCAAGTAAAGGAAATAATATAAATCTATACATCAATTTGGCAGAACTCTAAGGAATAAGGTTGAGTGAGAAAAATTATAGTAAATAGCATTTATGTAAAATTTAAATATACATATAAATACTATATATTACTTATGAACATATATTATGGAGTAAAGTGTAAGGATTAACAAAGGTATATGCAAAATTACAACGTGATTTTCTCTAGGCTTGCAGGTGTAGGCAATGGAATAAGGGAGATGTTCAAGGGATGGTTTGAACCAATCTGTAATTTTTCATAAATGTTAAAAATCTAACCAATAGAGTCGATGTTAGCATTTATTGAATCTGTTGTGTATTCTCTGAAATATTATATTACATCCAACAATCTGACCACTTTGCACCACTTCAATTGCTACAATGTTATCATCATCATATCTCCTTTGAGCTGTCACTGTTCAAAGTGTCAAATAATGTCACTGTTCTGTTGAAAACACTTAGGTAGGTTCCTTCTCTTTGTCAGAAGAAGCCCAATGGCATTCAGTGACCTTCAAATTCATACATGACGTGTGCTCCCTACCTTGCTGTTCCTTGAGTGTTGCCTGCCTCAAGGCCTTCCTACGTGCTGCTTCCTTTGCCTGGACGCTCTTCCTTCCTGGCTCCAGCCCTCACCCATGGGAAACTCGAGAGGTCATCCCTGATCATCCATAAAATAGCAAGTACTTCCTAGCCATCTTCCCTGCCTTTTCTGCACTGAACTTATCCTCTGCCAAGGTATGTGTTACTTATTCATCATTTGTCTCTCCTACCAAATCTCTAGCCCTAGAAGACCGCCTGTAAGTAGTAGGCACTTAATAAATATTTGCTGAATGAATGAATGAGTGAAATGCTACAAATACTTAATGATATCCATACAATCAGTTTTGCTTTTAATCAGATTTTTTTTGTCTTTTAACTTCTCGTGTAGTGATCTACAGTGATATTTGTTATACTTTTTGACTCCTGCATAGATATGGGAGATATATAGGGCAACATACTCTATTCAAGGATTATTATTATTATTATTTGAGATGGAGTCTGGCTCTGTCACCCAGGCTGGAGTGCAATGGTGCAATCTCGGCTCACTGCAACCTCTGCCTCCCGAATTCAAGCGATTCTCCTGCCTCAGCCTCCCAAGTAGCTGAGACTACAGGCGCCCGCCCCCACGCCCAACTGATTTTTGTATTTTTAGCAGAGACAGGGTTTCACCATTTTGGCCAGGATGGTTTCAATCTCTTGACCTCGTGATCTGCCCGCCTTGGCCTCCCAAAGTGCTAGGATTACAGGCGTGAGCCACCATGCCCGTCTTATTCAAGGATTATTTTCTAAAAATAAAGAAGTGCTCCAAAAAGACAAGATAAAATACGTAAGAGTGTTTTAACATGGTGTAAAAATTTGTAGTGAATGCATATTTATGTATATGTTATATACTTAGATATAAATGTCTATGGCTATATATCTATATAGATAAGGGTTAGATATTTTTTCCCTGATTGCCCCAAATATTTATTAAAAGCTACCATTAAAGAAAAGCCCCGGACTGCCAATGTGTTAGTAAGAATATCTACAAAGGAACGAACACTAAGCTATATTTTGTAAGTGGTGTTCCATATATGGTCTGCCTATTTTTATATGAAATCCTCAAAGCCATAATTTGATGGGGTCAGAGTCTGAATATACATCTATAATAATTAAAGAATTGTTTTGTCACAGGCCCTTTATGAAGATGACATTGGCATAAGTCAATAACTTATTCAAACTGGGAAATAAACAATATTCAGTTCATGAAAACTTTAATCATAAATAATATAAACAAAATTCCACCAAGCACTTCAATATGAGATTACTGGTACTTCCCAACCCACTTCATTATGGTATTTGTAACTTCATTAGCCAAATAGAGAACAACAAAAAAAACCCTCAATGGCTTCAAGAGGCTACTTGATTTCTTCCTCAAGTTTGTCAGAAATTCATTATCAGCTCAGGCTGAACTAATCACCCCCTTGCTAACAGCTGATATACAATGAAAAAAAGAGTGAGACTTTGTGTCTTGTATGTTGTAATTTAAACTCTAAATTACAGATATTTCTTCACTTATTACTTAGTTCTAGATATTTCTGTTCCTGTTTACCACAGCACCAATCTATTCAAATACTGAACTGCAATTATCATCTAATTTCATAAAGCATGAGCTTCAGCTGACTACTATTTGAGGATAATTCTTTGATCTTTGTGCTTCAGTAATGATGTGAATTTTATAAACACCTCTCCTTATTCTTAGGAAGAGACCAACTTCCAGAATAAGTGTTAACTGAATGGCTGCCCTACGCTTTGCTCTGAACACTTCCTGTGTCTTTCTAGTAAGGATCCACCCTGGGTACAGCAGCTATCACTAAAATGCTATTTCTTAAAGCTTTTGATTTTTTTCTTTTGTCGTTTTGTTATTTATCTGTTTACTCTTCACAATATCTGAGTTAAAGTAATAGGTAGCACCACATTAAGTATATAATAAATCCCTAACTGAATTTTAGTAGGATACATATAATATGTATAAAATTATCAATGAATAGTGTACACATAGTAATGAGCTCACCTTTCTTTAACGTGAATACACCTTAGGCCTCTGGGGTATGTGATAGCATTGTTAATAGCAATATTACTATTCCCATAACATGGAGGTTGAGAAGCTTATTTGCCAATGAGCAGCAGGATGTGATAGACATGCTGAAGTTGGGGGAGAGGGGCTCTAGGAGGGAGGAGAGAGAGTTTGGCTACAGGATGATGATATGAAGCAGCTCATATAACAGACACAGAAAACTTGGTGTTATTTTTTCAATCCTCCCTCTGTTCCAGAATGTGTTTCATTAATCTCCCAGCACACCGTCTGAGATCTGCAATTTTTTTTGCCTTCATTTTAACAAGAATCTGAGGTTGGGCATAAGGCAATGAAAGAAATGACATGACAGAAGTAAGGTTAACAAAGAGTCTCTGATGCTATTTTGGTAACCCCAGATTGTTTTAATTGCAATAAGAATTTTCTTTTTCTGCAACTACAAATAGGCTTTATTAAGTACAGCAACGAAGACAATGAATTACTTTTTCTCATTCTCATGAAAATGTGCTTCTAATTTTACTCAGTGTTCCTTATACATTCTTTTCTTAGTGGTCATTTACAGGGCTTTAATCATGAGTTTAGGATTTTGATTTTCTTTCTAAAATATTTAACAGACAGTCAAATGCCATCTCTCTCTCATGTCTAATAGAGGTCTCATCAAATAGCTAAAGGATTCAGTCTCTCTACTCATTTGGTCTCTCTCAACCAATGGAGTTATGGTGTGGTAACCGAGACAAATTTCTGGATTTTGTCTCCTGATCCCCTTCTAGTAACATCTGTAACTTTTCTTCTTGGTTTGCTTTATCTTCAAACTATTTCATCTAGCCCTACCCATTTTTGACACTTCTTTTGTTTCTCCTTTCTATACCTTGCTCCATAGTCAGCCTCTAGATTGGTCTGAGTAAGAGTTATGCAAGACCAGTCTGGATGGCATAGCAGCTTCTTATTAGGACACAATGGAGAAATAGATCTGGGAAGGCATGTCAGGGCATGTCAGACCTAAATATAAGGATGGTGAATCACAGTTTTTCTCTGATTCTCTGGACTTTATGGCATGGACAATGAAAAGAAAAATCAGGGAAGGGTTTTAAGACCCAAGAATTGCTTAAATGATTGATTTGAACATATTATAGACAAAAGCTTAATGCGAGGCCAAACAGGCTATACACTGCATAATTTCATAAGCTGTCACAGTAATATTGCTGTCTGTACCACGTGCTTGAGGTATACTGTGGTTTCCCTAGTCAGTTATTTGAGAAAAATGTGAACTTAGTTATAAGATATTCAACTTTTCAGTAATCTAGACAAAATATTACTTGAAGCAATGCTTTTTTCTTAATTTGAGTAAAAATGTATAATAGAAAGTTGAATTACATGACTACTGCAGTTGTCTGTAAACGAGATGAAAAGGGTTAGCTTTGAATATAGCAGTGGGAATATAAAACCATTATGAATAAAAAACAACACAATTAACATATTTTGTTTGATATATTGTGTTTGAGGCAGAGGTAGAAAAAGAGAATAGGTCTTCTGACTCCCAGCAAAATACTTTCCCCCATTATTTTATCATGACTTTCCATAAACAAACTTCTCATTTTATTTTAGATTTCTCGAAGACAGATTACTTATGCATAGCATTTGGACAAATTTATCAAAAATAAAAGAAATCATTAAGTGAGGTTCTTTACATTTTCTTCACCTACATTAATTTTTAACTGTAAAGTTTCAGATCAATACCAGATGTACTGAAGGAGAGGGAATCTAACAAATATTTAAAATGAGCCTACCTTGACAGGCATTGTGCTAAAAACTTCACCTTTTATTCATCCATAAATAAATAGAATATATAATTATGTTTTTTCTCCAATTTACAGATGAGAAAACTGGCTGAGAGAAATAAATCAAATTCCCAAGTTTCCATTAGTTGAAAGTTACAAGATTGAAATTCAAGTCCAGTTCTAACTATAAAGGCCTTTCTTGTCTACTCTCGGCAGATTGTGTCTCAAATACAAATATTTTGTCTAAATGTGTTGAGACTGCTGGAAGGAATAACAAGTAAAGGCAATATTCATTTTTCTTCCTGACTATACTATACTATCTTTACTGCCAACATTGTCTGATAAGTTCTATTTAAACTGAGCACTACTAACTGAAGCACTTAAGGTGACAACATTCTATCTCATTAGGTTTTACATAAAGGGAAAGCTTATCTGTAATCTCCAAGTAGCACCACCAAAGGGTTCACTAACGTAATTATCACCAGTTGGGTGCCATCTGTTCCAATGCATCACAGTCAAATTACCTCAAGGCTAACACAAATTGTATTTCCTTTAAAGAAAAACCAACACAGAATACTTGCCTCACTTAAGCTAAGAGTGAGGCCTCCTAAGAAGCAAGTCATCCAGGCTCTAGGTGTATGCTTCCTTCATGTTGGAGGACTGAAAGAACTACTTTGTAGTGGAGGCATAGGGTATTTGAATAGTGACAGTAATTCCATTCTGATACTAGCAAATTCATTCATGTTATGATGAGATTGCAGTCACAGGTAGAGAGACCAGTCCTCCCCTAAGACACTGTGAGGAAAATAGTCCGAAACTGCTTTAATAGGTAGAAAAAGAGAATAATTTACGTCTTTTTGTATAAAGTTTGTTTAAAGGCATTCACAATTCAATTTTAAAAGCATCTGTGGAGCAGCTATTGGGTGCTAGGTTCTATGCTAGGGCCTAAGGATACAAAGAGGAACAGGAAGCCCTCCTCATAAGAATCTCCAGTCAAATCGGGGAAACAAAAAGAAAATAGTCTGGACCTTTTTGAAATGATATGTGGGTCTATAAACTTGGCTGATCAGAGTGACACGATGAAAAAAATAAGAGGTTTTATATCAATAAGTTTTATATGAATAAGTTTTCCAGGAAAGCAGAAATCTACAAAGTTGTATATATTTTGTAGATTTGCAATAGCGCCATATTTTTCCCCTTCAAGATTTTCTGTTATGATTGTAAAAGAGAAAAACAAAAGCTGAAACTAATATTTCTGGAGAGAAAATGATATGAAGACTTCAGTTTCTTTGTGAACAGACAAGGAGGAGAAGCCAGACAAAAGTTGTTACAGCCTGAAATGACAATCAGAAGACGCTTCAGATCGTGCTGTGTTCCAAAGCCCACTGAAGTCCCCAGAAACCGAAATCACTGAAGTTGCAAGTAGAGTCTAGAGTACTAATGACCCTGGAAGCAAATATCCAAAATCACGACTGATTCAGATGAAGAAAATATACTGCATGCCACTAGCAGGAGGGTCTCCAAAATATAATACTTTGTTGGACAAAGAAGAATACAAGGCAGCACTCCTGTTCTAAGGAGGGGCTCTGGAATTAGGCAAGGAGTGAATGGAAAGGCCCTGTGGCATTTCCCATAATAAAGGGAAGCCAGCATTTTATTAAAATTTTAAACATTTCCTATCAAATTTGTTCAATCCCTGCTTTTATACTTCCTGCCTCCTTCCTCTTCTCCTTCCCTTCTTTCCCAGTATAAATGGCTCTAGAAATGAGTGCATTCCACTAAACAAACATCACAAGAGCCCATAGATCACAAAAGCAAATAGCAATAGCTGACTTTTGATGAGGAATACAAACAGATATTCCTATTTCCTGAAAAATGTTTCTATCATAGCTTGATAAGAACGTAGTAAGCAATAATACTAAAACCTGAATAGTGAATTATTCAGTTATATGTATTTTTAATGAAGTTTCTACCTATAGTAAAAGCATCATTGACTGGATAGTGGACAAGCACTCCAAGAGTCTGCTGGAGACATCTGGCAAAATATGAGGCAGCACCCTTCCCCTGAAGCTCAGCTCAAATTCCAATCATCTGGTCATGAAGGGGTGACTGACCCTGGGTTCTGGCACCCTGTCCAGGCTGGTTACATCTTGGCCCCTTCATACAACTTAGCTTCTCTAGCACCATTACTTATAGCAGAGGTTGTCTCCTGCCAGTGTCAGAAACTCACACTCTGCATGCTTTACTATATGCATGATCACTTTTACCTTTTACCTTATGCCCCAACATCAAAGCTAACAATTTTCTGATTGAATATAGCTTTTCAAATGATCATGTATTCCTGAAGAAATACATATGTAATTCAATGACTCTGGTGCTGATTTTATAGTAGATGCTAAAGAAGAGTTAAAGCAAAATTTATCCTGCCTTTATAAAACATTCAGATTCCAGTTTTCACATCTGCATGGAAAAGGTCAAGAAGAAAGAGACACTCCTAAACAAGGAAAATGGACTATCTTTAAAAATTGCAAATTAAACCTTCATGGGACAGAAATTTTCCTTTACTGCCGTTTATGCTAAGAACATTTGAGAAACATAGGCAATGATGATATGACATAAAAGAAAAAAATCAGACACTCCAAAGTGGTTTTACAACTACATGAAATGCCATTTAACCCACTGCATAAGCTGATGTTCCTGCAGGCAAATTTTGCATAGGAAATTTCAACAAGTGAAAGAGCAATCACAGAGATAACACCACAATAAGATTTTCGCAGTTGGTGTGGATGTGACTCGAATGCACTATTGAATACATTGCACCCAAAGGGAAAAGAGCAGGAATTCAACAGATGTGAGTATCCATAGGGTTCTCCATCCATCAATTTCCCTTCCAAGGCTATGATTCTGCCCCTTCTTTGCTCTCCCAAGACAGAATTATATCTCAAGTTTTCATAAACTGAACCCGTCCCTCTGTTCACTGCTTCCAGGCATTTAAAAATATAAAGCCAATTTTTTAGACTATTTCTATCTAAAAACATGACGTTGTGCTCTTCCAACATAACCCAGTTATTATACCACACAATTTTGGAGGGAAGAATTCTTTATTATGTTTGTTATTTATAATATCTTTCAACATAAAATACCTATTTACCATATTCTCTGAGTGCTGATAGAAATGTCTGCTGTTATTAGTTATGATGCTGCTAATATTTTAATTGAATATGCTGCATAAATACTTCTGTTCTGATTAGCCTAATCTACTATTGCTAAAACTCATTTTAAGCTTTTGCAGTAAAAACATTTTGTATATTTAAATTGTTTCATTAAAAAAAAAGTTGTCAGAGATTTCTTCTCTCCCCCACTTTTCTTGCCACTATTGGAAGAGTTCCCACCATAATAGAAAAAATAACAAAGAAGCATTAGTGAAATAATGAGTCACACCTGAACTGCCCCTGCATAATTGCAATATGTAATTACAGGTTGCTATATAATTAGAACCATTTTATTTTAATAATTCCTCCATGTGTCTAAGTACCTAATGTCTTTCAGGGGGGTAGATAAAAAGTGCAGTATTTCTTTATTCCTTTCATAAACTACCATTATTAAGA
The DNA here is from genome assembly GCF_000001405.40 of Homo sapiens. Lineage (NCBI taxonomy): Eukaryota > Metazoa > Chordata > Mammalia > Primates > Hominidae > Homo > Homo sapiens. Next base: position 153,619,207 of record NC_000003.12, read on the forward strand.
AATGGGAAGGCACACCTTTACAATAATAGCAGTGACAGCTATATAACAATCTTTAGTGCATCATCTGACATTCTGATGAATCTCACTCATTTTCCTTGCAAATACATCAGAAACACTAGCATCTGCTTCTGAACTGATGTCGCACAGAGGCAGGTCCTCCTGTTTAAGTCCAAGAGAATAGATGAGCTAATGTTACAAGGCAGAGTGCCTATGTAGAAAAACTACTAATTGTCAGCAGGAGAAGCTGCTCTCCTGGGGACTGATAGCATGGCAGTTGGCTGGTAGGCATGCCTATCACCTGGGTCTTCTGGGACTTTGCTTCATCAGAAATCAAGTCTAAAGGGGCATGAATTGTTATAATTGCATTCACAGCTATTTAAGGCTTGAGTTGATGTTAATTTCATTTCATTTCCCCTCCAAATACCGCTATTACTACTACATGACTGTTATGGATCTTTCTGAATATTTCCCCAATGTTTATTTTACCCATACATAACAGCCTAGTTATAATTTTTAAAATCTAAATTCTTGAGTAAAGGCAAAGACACATAATTTCTATTTAAAAACAAAACTACCTTGGTTTTTCCCCCCAGTTAGGGGTAGATAATTTAAAAAGGAGAAATGTTAAGTGTTTCAGTACATAATTTAACTGGATATCTGTCATTGCCACTTGAAAGTGAAAATCAAAACACGTAACCATTTGTGATATTCAGTTATCATATGTTGTGCCTTCCTGTAAATAAACAACTAGTTTAACCTAAGAGGGTAGAAGAATGGATGTAATATATATGATCATGATTTTAAGAACAATCTAAAGGACTCATAAATATCAACATTGAAACAGATAAGGGTTGGGATAAGTCAAAATTAAACCATGGTAAGAAAACTAGTTGTTTGCAAGTAAACGAACTCAGGAATATTTTTGCCTCCAAAGTTGCAAACATAATAGTAATTCCTAGAGATGTTAAGTCACAGCTTTCAGATTTCATAGAATTTTACTTTAGATATTGAATGCAATGAAATTTGATATCACATTCAGAGCTTTACTATTTTTGTTCTAGTTTGGCCTTTCTTGCATTTGTGAGGAAGTCTCAGTTCTCTAGAATATTCTGGCATCTTTCAGCAAATTGCTTTAAGTCCTCTTCCCTGTAAAAAATAAGGTACATATAGAAATTCTATGTTTGCTTTATAGAGACACCTAAGTAGATGCAAATCAGCAGGCACATAGTAGAAGAATCTAAAAAATCTAAGGCAATGATATGGTATTGAAAGTTATCAGCAGCCTGAACAACAGAGCAAGACCCTGTCTCAAAAAAAGTTAGTTGCTAGTATTCTGATTAACCATATCAATTTTCAGTAATAAACTTAAACAAATTTACAAGAAAAAAAAAACAACCCCACTAAAATGTGGGCAAATAACATGAACAGACACTTTTCTAAAGAAAACATAAATGCAGCCAACAAGCATTGAGAAATGCTCAATATCACCAATCATTTGAGAAATGCAATTCAAAACCACAGTGAGATACTGTCTCATACAAATCAGAATGGCTATTGCTAAGAAATCAAAAAATAACAACAGGTGCTGACAAGGTTGCAGAGAAAATGGAACATTTATATACTGTTGGCAGGAGTGTAAATTAGTTCAACCATTGTGGAAAGCAGTATGGCAATTCCTCAAAGAGCCAAAAATGGAACTACCATTCGACTCAGTAATCCCATTATAGGGTATATAGCTAGATAAATATAAATCATTCTACCATAAAGATACATTCACACAAATATGCATTGCAGCACTATTCACAGTAGCAAAGACATGGAATCAACCTAAATGCCCATCAATGACAGATTGCATAAAGAGAATGTGGTACATATACTCCATGGAATACTACGCAGTCATAAAAAAGAATAAGATCAGGTCTTTTTCAGGAACATGGATGGAGTTGGATGTCATTATCTTTAGCAAACTAACGTAGGAACAGAAAATCTAATACTGCATGTTCTCACTTACAGGTGGGAGCTAAATGATGAGAACTCATGAACACAAAGAAGGGAACAACAGGCACTGCAGCCTACTTGAGGGTAGAGGGTGGGAGGAGGGAGAGGAGCAGAGAAAATAACTATTGGGTACTAGGCTTAGTACCTGGGTGACAAAATAATCTGTACAACAAACTCCTGTGATGCGAGTTTACCAGGATAACAAACCTACACATGTACCCCTGAACCTAAAGTTTTTTTAAAAAGATTAAAGCCACATGATGCTGTTCAGAATTCAGAAGTTATAGATGCCTTTGACTATACATAGATAACTACTGTGTGTGTGGAAGAGAAAGGGAGGTAAAGAAGAGAGAGAGAGAGGTGGGGGGAGAGACAGAAAGAGAGAAAAGACAGAGAGATATGGGAGGGAGCATTTGTTTCAAATATCTTTATAAACTTCTAAAGAAGCTTTGGTCACAAGTCAAGAACAAAAGATACTATATACTAATTGGGTGGGGTTTTCACAAAGGGTGACCCAATTTGTATGAGGGAGCAGAGCTGAGCATGTGCTAAATGGAAAACTTCGAAATCTTACTAAATAGCTGTGTTCATCCTAGACTCTCGAAATGGATAGATTTGCACAAAGCTTGGTGATACAAATAATTCGATGAATGAAAGTACTGGGGTCTGGAAGATCTTGACGAGCTCAACGGATGGCTAGGACCACCAAGAGTACATTTAATAGAACTAAATATAAATTCTGAACCTACAGTTAAACATGGAAGTTTGAACACCTGCATTTATTTCTGCTCTCTCCCAAACTCCACTATAATGACAGTTGAGGAATTTTAAAAAGACATAAATCTACAAGGTCAAACAGAATGGAAGACAAGATCACAGCAGGTGAGAAATAGGAACAAAGTTTTGGAAGAGGAAATGCAGATGCAAGAGTAGTAGCTTTGTGTTGCTGAGATGAACAGGAAATGAAACCTAAAAGAAACAAGCTGATTCATATCAGAGAACTCACCAGAGGCTCAGAGACTGCAGTCACCAGCACTTCTGAATGTAATGGTACGAGCTGGGGCTGAAAAATCAAAGGATTAATAGGTACCCCTCTCCTATTATTCTCCTTTCAAACAAGAGTGTATATTTATTCTCTGCGGGTATGGATGAGGATGAAGTTGAAACACTGCACAGAAAATAGCCTATCAAAGAAAAGCTTACACTGTGAATATGTTTCCTTCCCTTTCTCCACTCCCAGAAGTCTATCACCCAGGTTTGCATCCAGAAGAAAGGATACCAAAAGGGTCTGGTATTTGAGATTTTCCAAGTATGAAATGGCCAGGTTTCACTTGATCACCCATCTGGAAAACCCACCATCAACTTCCCTGCCTATGTACACAGAGCATCCAATCAGGATTTCAGTGCCTCTTTTTAAAATAGAGGCCTATAGAGAAAAATCACAAAGCATCTGAAGAAACCTTTAAAATAAACAGAAAGGAAAAAGAAAAAAGAGGAAGAAGACAAGGAAGAAAACAAGAGAAATCTTCAAACTATAACTAATGTGCTCATGAAGAGAGAAGAAAATGCTTTTAGTCAAGAAACAGGAAAAATATAAAATAAGCTATAAAAAACAAGCAAGTAATGATTTTAAAAGGCTCTAGAAATTTAAAATGATAGCACAAGTGAAAAAAAAATCAAGAGAAAAAGAGAGTAAAAAGAAAATCTCCCAGAAAGTAGCCAAAAGGGCAAAAATAATCAGTCCAAGAGACTTGACATACAAATAATTGTTCAGAGAAAGAAAAGAGAGAATGTGGAAAAAAGGGAAGATTTATCCAATAAAAACTATGAGAAAACATATTCCAGATTTTATACAAAATAATATAATAAAAATATTGCAAAAAATGTAGTGTATATGAATTTCTACTTTCAAGAGAGAGAAACAATTTTAAGAGTCACTTTACTATAAAATTTTTGATTATCAGAAATAATATAAAGAGCTTAGGAGCTTCCATCGAAGGGTTAAAAAAAAGTCACAGATAATATATTTAGTATAAATATGGTATTAGATTTCTTAACAGTAAATGTAGAAGTTAAAACAGAGCAATGCCATCACAATTCTGAGGGAAAGTTAGTTCCAATATAGAATTCTAGATCAAATTAAGAGTAAAATTGAGGTACTCCCAGACATGCCAGATCTCAAAGAAAATCATCATCCTCTTTCAGAAATCTGCTAAACGATATCATCATCAAAATGTGGAATTAAAATGAAAGACACAAGATTCAGGATACAGAAGATCCAAAGAGGAGACAGACAGAGACAGCATGCACTCTAGTTGACAGTGTCACAGCAGATCTAGAGAGCAAAGATCCACATTGGAGCACAGGAACAGGCAACTCTAGGATAAATATTAGCAGAGAGAAAGAGTAAGTGATTACTTGATGTTTAAACCTTCCAAAGTCATTTTTCTATACTAACAGAAAATTAAGAATTGAGTGTCAGGTAGACAGGAAGCTGAACAACCAACCAACCAAAATCAGAGGCAATTATTAACTTCAGGAAAAAGAAATCAGACATGCACAAGAAGAATTAACATAGCAATCGTAGATACATGGTTCAACTGTAGGTAATATTTATAAAGACCTAATGTAAACTAAATATTAATTTTAAAAAATTACTGATAAAAGTTATCCTCAGTAGGATGAGGCTAGAAAGATTTCCCTACCACAGTGACTGCATTTCAGAAGTAAATAGGTTTGTTTGGTAATAGTCAGAGTCATAGTTCCAGCAGCCATGATTGAAGGAAATGAATAGCCAAATGAGACAACCCATAATCTCCAGGTGAGCCCAAGTGACCTCTGTTCCTATGAAGGGACACAGGAGATGCAGATCCCTCAGCTGGCATAGTCTCTCAATTTCTCTTAAGGATGATGGTAATTCAAGGGTAGGATCTGAGCAGAGAAACTGATAAAGCCCAAATCCAAAACTGTTCGATTCAATTCATTTAGGGGTATGTGTGGTGTGGGAGAAGTCAGACAACTGAGCTGATTTGGAAAGGCTGACTAATGTTATTTATATGGCTGGTTATTTTTATTTATAGCCACAAGCTGAACCTAATTCTGGTTACCTACTTCACTTGAGATACTCTGACGTTGTTCACTAAATCTAAGGAGCTACTAATGGGCTCACTTACAATTTTTTTAAGGCCCCACTGTTCTTGACTTTAATGTACAAATAGATGTTTTTACAGGAAATGATGTTGGGTTTCTATAAGACTTGGAAAGTAAAGAACTACTAAAAACATAAGTGAAGGTTAAAAACAGGAAATAGTCAAATTATCTGAAGTATACTTTTCCACAAGTTTTATCATCAGAAGACCATGAATGGCATTTCTGGTGATCCATCTCACAGAGTGGAAAACAGAACCCGCATGGTGTCTCTCCTCACAGGGCGGTTATAGCCTCCGCTGAGATAATAGCTGTTCATAAGACAGTGTGAAAAGGATGGCATGGTGCCCTGTGTTTTTCAGTTGGGCTTATGTCATCACCAATTGTTACCAGCTAAATATGTAGGTGATAAAAATAAAATCGTACTTTTGCGACAGCCACAATGGAGGAATTTTACCTTCAGACAGAGAGTTACAGTAGATCTGAAACATCCTGTCTCATTGTTTATCTCCATGACTATGTGTTGAGGTGCCACTCTGGATGAGCCCTTACAAAATATAGCATGAGTTTCTACTTAAAAACAAAAAAACAGTATGGAGCAAGTTCTTGGTGAAGAATATCACTTTGGTGAGAGTACAATTCTATTGTTTTGTGCCTTCAGAATATGAATGATGTGACTGCTGATTAGAGTTTCTATAGAAGTTAGCACTTAGATAAAAGAATCTAACATTGTTAGCATTATAAACACAGAGGTAAGAGTTCAGGAAAATCATTACTTTCAAAGTCTCTAATTCCAAAGTATGTTGACACAAAATTGTTTAACTCATTCAGAAAACTGGTACAGGATGTTCTTGTTAGTATGCATAGGCATTATAGTTTGCATTCATCTTTTCACAAATAATTAAAAATTATTGTGAAAAGCTCCTGGCAATGTTGTCCTGATTCACTTTTGTAAATAGACAGAGAAAATTCCCTTAATGCCTAGAAAGAACTTTTAAGAATGCCAGACACTTTCTTATTGAGCTTTCTTGAGATATAATTCATATACTATACAACTCACCTACTTAAAGTATCAGTTTCACGGTTTTAGTATATTATCAGAGTTGTACAAACATCATCACAATCTAGTTTTAGAACATTTTCTTCACACTCCCCAACCTCACCCCTCACTCCATCCCCAGCGAAAAGAAACCCTTACTTATTGGCAGTCAAGAGGGGTAAATTTTAGCAGTGTCCTCTCTTTCCTTAAAAAAAAAAAAAAATCATTGAAAGGATTAAGAATTACTTAGCTGTTTAGACACAGGAGCTGAATGTACTTTTGAGGGAGTAGCTTGAGATTGCCATCTGGTGCCCAAAGCAGTCCCCTGTACAGTGTGTTTGTCCATAAGGGTCTCTGAACCATCAATCAGTGCTCACAGTCATGAACACGAACATATTTACTACGTGCCTGGCACTGTAAGTGGTTCATGTATATAACTCACTTAATTCACCTGACAACCCTATGAGGTAAGTATTATTACTATCCCTACTTCAAAGTAGACAAACTGAAAAATAAAGTTAAATGCTTAAGAAGTGTTATTACATTTTTTTTTACTTTACCAGCCCAGTAATTTGGTATTCTCTTTTTTTTTTAAATTTTTTATTATACTTTAAGTTTTAGGGTACATGTGCACATTGTGCAGGTTAGTTACATATGTATACATGTGCCCGTTGGACTGCAATGCTGTTTTCTCTGTTCCATCTAAAAATCAGTCAGAATTCAAGAACTTCCTCTACAAATACTTTTTGGGCAATTTTAATATGAAATTTAGTGTTGACTTGCAGTCCTCGACTATGAAAATCTTTGTAAAATGAGGTTGGGTGTCTAATTTCTACTGCACTTAGCTTATAAATGTATTATACATATAGCATGCTGCAGCTGGTCGTAGGCTCCTCCAGACACAGGGTATTTCCAGTGCTTCCTGTAAAGGTTACTTGCTTGGAACTTGAAACACATTTTCCACAGACATAATGTTTTCAGTAGTTGCAAAGTCCTCTGGCTAGTCTACAAATACTCAAAATGGGCTTGAAAGTACAACCTTGAAACCACTGAGTCATAGATTCATTACAGTTTAAGGCTATTAACTACTCTGTAGAGCAAGGATTACCTTTGCAGAGATTCTGAATTCCAACAGAAGCCCCCTCTACCTGTCTGCACCTTTGCCCCCTTTAAAGGAGAAGGAAGTTGTACATAGTGTGTTTCTGCACATACAGAATTCAGAGGGAAACCAAGCTAATCTCTCTTGGCTCTTAATCTCTAGAGTTAGAGCAGAAAAATAACCCAAGTGGGAAGCAAATGGGATACTTCCTATGATTACAGCATTGGGACTGTGAGATTCAGACAGCAATGGGGTGTGGGTGGGGGTGTCTGTGTACGTGTGTGTGTGTGTGCATACATATGTGCATGGGATCAAGCACATTTGTAGAAGGGGGATGGAAAAGGCAGAGGCTGTATGCAGACTTGCTGTCTCTTTCTCTTTGAGAAAAGATAGCTTTTTACATATGATAGAATTATGGAAAATACAAGGTGGATTTGTCCAGAAGACAAATAATTTTTGTTTGTAAATTACTTCTCAACTGGGAAAAAAGTTATGGATGGCCTGAAACCTATGCAATGCCATTAAATTCCTATCTCATCGTTCTAGGCCTACTGTTAGGTAGACACTATAAGTGCTACGCATGTGTTTGTGTGTGTGTGTGTGTGTGTGTGTGTAAACTTCAAACCATTCGATTCCAATTAGTAGAATACAGATATTAAATAGGAGTCTGCATTACATCATAGCTATGTTGTTCGTGCCTTATTTCCTCTTCTAATTTTGAAGGATAAGTTGTTTTCTTACTTTCCCAACCCCCACAGAACAAAGGACAGTGCCTCTCAAAGGACAGCCTCTCACCAAGTATTTTCTGAATTAAATGTTCTAAATAATGAAATAATATAGGGCTACCCAAAGGAGAGCACACTTAATTATTGCAGAAGTGATAGGTACATCTTCATGTGGGAGATTGCATTTGAGGTCAGTCCTAAAAAAGATGGAAAGGACATTGAGAAATGGATAAATCAGAAAGGTACCCATGTAGGAGAAGGCACATATACCAGAAAGCAGAGCCACTAAAGGGGAATATAGGGAAATCTGCTTAGCTAGACATGGAGTGCTAGTGGGAGGGGAGATGTAGAACAAGTGCAGAACAGCTGCATTGGTTGAAAAGGGAAGATTTAGGTTTTTTCTTTTAAAATATTTAAAAAACATGTGCCTGGTAAAATAATGAACTTTGTCTTAGACTCAAAAGCCTGTATCCACAGTCATAATTAAATGGATCTTGCACTGCACTCTTTTTGCATTCATGGAAAAGCCTCCTTCCTCACCAACAGCGATTGAGTAAAGAATTGTGGTTTTCCTAATTATACATGCAACTTGGGGTAAAAGACCGGGACCTATGAGTCTCTGCATGACATGAGGACATAAAGGGTAACTCTTATTCTTTCACCATGAAAATTATGCTGCTTTACAATGTCATGTACATAGAAATGGGCAACATAAAGCCCCAAGGAATATTCAAGTGTAGGCTCTTTAAAAATGTATGTTTCTTTAAACATAGAAGAAAGATATTTCCAAAATAAGTGGGGTGCCATTTAACTTAACAGGGCCCTGCAATTCATTGGCATAAGGGAAACAAGATGAACAAAATATGGTGCTAAGGAATTTTCCTTATCTCCTGAGAGTCTGCCCTGAATAATTTATTTTCATATATAGACATATGCATGTATATGTAAAATCTGAAAACATTCCAAAGATATTTGATAACTTTCAGGAGTATTCTTATAGCCCTGCCTTAAGGTCTTAGAAAGGCCAACAACCATATCATTGGGAAAACATGGTTAATTTATTTGCTAGTTACTAATTTTTCTCCTTGTTAGTGATTTTATCATAGTGAAAAAATTTTTCATATCAAAATTCTGGTTTGGAGAAATGAAATGTCATTTCTATTAAAATTGCCTCTAGAATAGAGTAATTGAAGAAAGTATATAGCATTTGGACTTAACAGACACAAGTACATATATTTTTCTTGAAATATTCCTCAGGAAGGAGAGGCATAGACTAAAATGTTTGATAGCTTTTAGATCTTGAAAATAATAATGTTAAACCTCTATAATTTTATAAAATATATTTTTATTAGAAAGTTACAATTTTGTATGTGGTTAATGCCTCGTAATTTTATGTATTTTTCCAGTGTTACAATGAGAAACTTAAGCTTCCTGTCTGAAGTCATCATAGTTAAAATGGCATGTCAGGAAGTCAGTCTATTATCGGTCTACCCAGATGTTTCTTCAACTTGTCCGAGGCTGCCTGCAACTAATTTGCTTCCTTTAAAAACACAGGGACTTTCCCATTCCCTTTATGACCATTCTCAAGTTTAGAACACAGTATTTGCCCCAGCATCTCATTCACTTTTCTAAGTGACTGGTGAATGTGTGTGTGTGCCTTTCTCTCATCTCCGGAAAAGTGTGTCACTGCAGCTTCCTTGGTCAGAAATGTCCTTCTTGCCAAAAGGAAATGCATTGTTCTTTTTAAAATATTGAAAAAAATTGAAAACCCTCAAGCCAATCTAGAAGTATCTCACAATAATATCATCATGTAAGATAATTTATTAGAGGTTTGTGTGACCTTTCATTTAAGGTCTCACCTGATTTTTCTTTGCACTTTCTATTGCCAAATAAGATGGCTCCAGAGGATCAGTGGGAAATGCCGCAATTTTGCATTTAATTTGTTTGTTGAATTTGCTGCTGAACACTGCATGCTTTGGAAGGTGTAGAGAATGAATAAAACCATAAGCAGCAGATAAGGAGACCTGAGAATTCAGCCATCTCTGCCAGTCTTGTCCCCAAGATTAGGACTCTGAAGGGCTACGTGTTAAACCACATGTAAAGTATTTTATGTCTTTGTCAAGCAGTGTGTCTTGCTTGAGGTAAATGTTCACTGAGGTGATAGAAAGCAATCTCAGTAAATCACGGACTTAGCTTATTTCCCCACATGGCTGTCTGCTAATATGTTCCATGCAGTCTCTGTCTACTAATTTCATTCCCTCCAAAAAAATCTCCTTTAATCTGCTTTTCTTGGCTTTCATGCTCAATCATATTATTTAAGTACTAAATTAATTTCCACCTACCTTTAATAGCTTTCATAGGAAAGAGGGAATAATAATACTTGAACAATTTATGTAGGTAATCTCTCATATAATAGAAAAGAACACACTTTAGGAGTCAAACTCACACATCAGTTCAAATGCTACCTCTATGAAATAAAAATCCTTTTAATATCAGTTTCCTTATTTGCAAAATGGCAGCATCACAGCTACCTCAGAAGATTGCAGTAAAAATCAGAGTATATTTAAAGTATACACAAGAATGCCTGGAGTCCAACAAGCATTGATAACTTACTCTTACATGCCAGGTGTTGTACTGACTGGGTTCTAATGTCGCAAAGAATAAGGTAGTGTCCCTCCTTTCAATGAGACCATATTCTATGAAGTAAAGATAAAAGATACTGAAGAGGATGCAAAAAAGGTAGCTATCATTATTAAACTACTTTATTCTGTTGCCAAACCCTGTTTTCACGATATTAAAACCAGAAAACGTCATCAGTGTAGCCCTAATAGATGTCTAAACAAATTGCCATAGGAGAAAGGCTGGAAGAATCCCATCTTCTTCAGGGAGAAGTATAATAGAGAAGAATCCAGGAAAGCTTTAAGATAAAAGTAATTTTTGAGCTGAACTTTACAGAGAAGCAGGGAGAAGGTGCTCCAAGAGACAGGAACACCATGCAAAGGCACAGGGTATGAGATTGCACAGCAGGCAGTCACTAGCCAGAAGTCCTCTAAGATGACAGTACAGTATATAGCAGGAAGGGAGGCTGGAGCAGCAAGGAACTCAGGTGTCAATGGCTTTGCATGACATATCAAAGAGTTTAAAATTAGGCTAGCAGCAACGGAGAAACACTGATGACTAAGAGGAAAAGAGCAATGCGATGAGATCTATGCCCTAGAATGGAAGCTCTATTTGCAGCATAGAGAGTAGAATGGATGGTGGCTAGGCCAGAGGAAAGGAGACACGTTAGAAGAGTATTGGAGAACAATAGAGATGATGACTAAAACTAGAGAGATACTGGTGAGAATGGAAGGGAAGGGAACAATCTGAGAGACATTTTGGGACATGCTTTATTAGCATACCTGGTCAAATGATCAGAAAAAGAATATTTACCTCCTCACTTTCACTTATTAAAATATAGTCATGGAGTAGCTCTCCGTAGTAAGAGCCCCTTGGAGACACCCTCTATATTTCTTTGGGGAATAGGAGGAACTGAGGAAAGATGGGAGGCAGGCAGAGAAATCTGTCTGCTCATCTGTTTTCACTACCAAGAACCCCTTCATTCTCACCTCCATTTAAAGCTCTCAGTATGTCATAGTGCAGACTTTCAGGAAATAGAAAAGAATAGAGAAGGATGATTGGGGTGGGGAGGAGGGGTAGAAGCAGCAGGGAGAGGGACACTTCAGGGCTTTGGGGACAACAGAATTATGTTCTGAGGACAGAAGGCCAGGGCCAAGAGGCTTTACCACTTACCAGCTGTGTGACCTTGGGAAAGCCACTTAATGTCACAGAACTCTAGCAGCATCATCTGTGGCAGGAAGACAAGGACAAATAACACCTGCCCTGCCTGCCCTTCCTTCACAGAGATGTGAAAGGAAATGGAAGGAACTCATATGCCTGAAAATTCTTTGCAAAAGAGCTACATGAATGTAAAGAATTATAATCAAGGGATCACAAATGTTGATATAATGGGCATCTCACTTTTATGGAAATGAGAGAGACAGTGTCTGCTCTCCAAAATATGTTTATTTCATAAAGACGTATTCAAATCCACAAAGGCATGCATAATTCACTGGAGGCGTGAAGAGCAGAGCTAAATCTAACCACTTAATTTAAGCTTGCTATGTGAGATTTCTACATGCTGTTGTGGAAAAAACACAAAATCTGGATTTATTATATAATGAGCTTATTGTCTAATGATATAATCAGACTGGGAGCTCCTTAAGGGCTTATACAGCATTATAAGACTGAAGTTCCCATTTTTCTCATCAGCAAGATGAAAACAACACTTAACTCACAGTAGTAACTACGTAAACTAACATAGATAATAATACTTAGTACAATACTTGACGTAAAAATGGGATTCTCTAAGTGTTAGTATCTCCACATTTATTCATCTATCCATCATTTAGCAAATAAGTAGTATATGTCTAGTGTGCAGATACCACTCCAGGATTTGATAGAACAGAAATTAAGAATAACAAGTTCCCACCCTCATGGAGTCTATACTATAGCCAGAGAAATAAAACAAGAAAACAAAACAAAAACGAAATGAAAAACACACTATAACACATTCTATGAAGGACATAAAAAGATGCTGTGGCATCAGGGTAGGTGACGTCAGGGTAGATGACAGGTGGCTATTTTAAAAAGAAGACTCAGGGAAGGTCTTTCTGAGGATGTGACATTAAGCTGAGATTGAGGAATGTAATGGAACCACTCATAAAAAGACAGGAAGCTAGTATTCTGGGCAGAAGAATCAGCAGGTAGAGAGGACCAGTGGCAGAAATCTTGGAATGTTTGAGCCACTGGAAGAGAGCTGGGGTGGGTGGAAAGCAGCAAGTAAGAGGGATTGTGGTAGAGGTAAAGATGGGGAGAAGCAGAGGCCACTGGGTCATGCAGGCCCCGGGTATTGTTGTGAGAGTTTGAAGTTCATTTTGAGTTCAATGGGGAGACACTGAGGGATTGTAAAAAACTGACATGATCTGAATTACAGCACCTACCTCTGTACCTAATGTATAATCAGCACTGGAAAAATGAATACCATAAATATTCTGAACATTTTACATTCACAGTGTCCTTTATCATAAAGATGTGGCTAATTGATACAAAGCAATGCAATATCAAAATAATACCCACCTTATTTCAATAGTTTGCCATTTCTCTGAATGAACTTATTAATTATGAGATCTACCCAAGAACGAGTCATGCCTAGGTCTGATATACTTAACTATTTTCATTAACTAGGTAAAAATCTTTAAAGTAATTTCTAGAGTACTTAATAGTCTAGCACGAAATCTGACTCAAAAGAAATAGCTCTTTGCTGCAACAGGCTTTTTTTTTTTTTTTCTTTCCCTGTTACCTATTTTCCTTCCTAAAACCACATGAAAGAAAACGAAGAGGAAGGGGTTGTTTCTTTCAGTGACCTGCTATTACTAAACTGACCAATACTAAGAAGCAATTTTTTTTGCCGGCCTAATGTAGTTATGAAGCCATTTAGGAAGGGAAGAAAATATATGTCCTACTTCTCTCCCTCTCACCTTGATTAAGCTTTTCACGATGTGTGGTGCCTGTCTTCAGGTCTAGCCCTATGGTGTCCCTTCCTGTGACAGGCTTTTGTTTGACTGGTAGAAACTGCTCTGTGTTTCCGTGTGGCAACCTTCCACTTGGCTGGATTCCTTCTCATATCCATTCCTATTCTCTCATTTGTTTTTATTTCTTTTCTTTTTCTCTCTTAGAGAGTCAAAGTATATAAAATTTCTGATGAAATTGTGTTAGGACAAAGTTTTCATATTCTGTGATAGTTCTTCCTGTGGTTTTAACTAACTGAGTGTTTCTGGATATACTCTCAGCAGTGGGTCATGATTTTTCTTACTTTAAAAGCCAGTAGAAAAAATGTTCAGTTTGTAAGGAAAGTTCACCATCACTAGGCTCATGAGCAGTGGTGAAATCGTCATTCAATGAACAGACGCCTCAGGTGGGCTGCGTCTCTTTCCATCTTCATCCCCAGCTGGTCCCAGAGGGAGACCATATAATTAGGTTAAACTGGGGACATAAAGATGTAAACAGTGACTTGAACAAATGCATAGGGCAAGGAATCTTTTCTTTTGAATGGAGGCAGTGGGAACTAATTAATAAGTAGAAATTCATATGAGGAGTAATTGCAAAAAATAATAGTTATAGCCATCAAAAGTGAAATTACCTAACAGCTTCTCTTGTGCTTGGAAGCAGAAACTGTCTTACAGCTTATAAAATATGGTTATGTGTATCATCACATTTGGTTTTCACAACTCTCACTTTGAGAAAGTTTGAATCATGCCATGATTAAATTGATGGAGAAAGTTTGCATAGGGGTGGGGCACACACCCTGGTCTCTGTATGTGTGATCTTGGGCAAGTCACTTCACCTGTGAGAGGCTGAGTACCCTGCAGTATCACATGGAAATAATAAAAATACCTGCTTCGGGGGTCCTATGAAGAACTATCAAGATAATGCATGTTGAAAATTCACTATACTTTCTAGTACACAGTGACCACATAAGAAATATTATTTTTGTTGTTATAACAACCATAAAAAATTAATTTCAGCCCCAAACCCGACTTTGGATCCCATAATTTAAACCTTTGGAAGTTTGGAAGATTTTATCAGTTGTCTTTTTTCTCACACTTAGTAGATATTAAATGACTTGCATTTGAATGAACATTTTTCCCCCAACCTTGAGATCAGTTATCACATAATAAGGCTGTGGCAGCCACATTTTTGGGGAGGACCTTGTACCAAAAGGCTTATTCTTGTCTTTTTAGTAAATTCAAACTCTCTGCTCTCATCCCAATCATATCGTCATCTCTGCCTAGACTGACTGAGTGGACTCTGCTAAAATATTTTTGTTAGAGGTGCTGGACTCACATAGGATAACAGGGTCTAATTCAGAAGAGAGCCCCTACACTACCTCCTGAACCCACTCATCAGAGAAGGGATCTCACTCCCATATCTGGCTATGCCTTATCCCTTTCCCTAAGGAAAATGCTATCTTTCCCCTTCAATTTTCCCAGCCAGCCTCTTTTGTGTAAGTAACAGTATGTGTTCTTTATCCCTAAAGAGATAAGACTTAAACAATTCTCTTCCAGAAACCACAAACCAGTCTCCAGAGGTTTAATGCAGTCACAGAAGTGTTTTGTTTTGGCCTATACATTGTATTACAAAATTAACCCAACATTTAGAAAATCCTATTTTAGTTGAGGTCTGATTTCCTGGCTTCTCTTGAACTATCAGTATACCTGGGGGTATGGGACTCATGTTTCCATATGCAATGATGAACTGGAGTTGATCAGAAGCTGCGCTCTTTGAGGATCAAGTGCTCTTCAGTTTGGAATGATCCCCACCACTCCTTTTTGGGTTTCACCTTGCCCACTTCACTTATTTACATGTTCTGCCTGGACTCTATAGGCATTTGGGTTTGGAACTCCTTGTGCTACGTACTCCAGGATTTCATAATCATTCCTTTCTCTGTCTGTAAATTTTTCATTATGCTCTGTTTTCTTTTTAAGCTTCAACAGAGCAAGAATTCTCACTAATGAATAAGTTCAACGCTTTGCACATGACTATGTTCCCCATGGAGTTACTGTTCTGGAGCCAGGACAAGCACATCCGCTTACTGTGAATTGCCTGGGCACTCTGATTACACCATGCTTCTCACTCCTCCATCTGTCCTGCCTCGTAAGGGAGCAGAGTCTTACTCAGTTTTGTATTACTCAAGTTATTATTTAATTTTGATCACTGATCTTTAAAGTAGGTATGGAAACACAGCACATTCTTAGAGTTCAACAGCAATTGCTAAACCCTAGCCCCCAGCTTCTTGTCATTTTGAAGTTAAAAGTTACTATGTCATCATAACTTTGTTCTATATCTCCCAGTCACACAACCATTACCATTCATTGATTAGGAGATACCTCTTAACCCAGTGCTTTGTAGAATCCTCAGCTATTTATATCAGGTCCCATCAAATAAACACCATTTATCTTCAGTCTTCCCCTTACCACCAAGAGGCCTATTTTATTCATGCACTTTTATACTTATAATCTACTTCTAAAAAGTAAGATGTGGCTATAAGGGAAACAAAGTAAAATAAAACCCAAAGACCAATAAGACAAAGGAAGCAAGTATATGGTTGGAGAAATGAAAATGAAAGGTAATAATATTCTAAAACTGGATAAATGACAGCTACTACAAGTCAGTACAAAACTTAACTCTGAGTTTTCTGACAGGCAAGAAGATCAGGAAACATGCCCATCACTCCATGCCTGCATTATTTTAATAATTTCCTTGCTGATCTTCCTGCTTCCACTAGTATAAACACATTGGATGCCTCTGTCAGATTACTGCTTAAAAAAAAAAATCTATATTTTAACAATTTCAGTCCCTTGCTTACCCTTTCACTTTCAAATGGTTCCATCCATACAAGCACATGTCAAAGGTGGGTAAAATGATGTCTGGAAAAAGCAATTAGCCTATGACTTAGAATCCATCCAGAATGCAATGAGTTTCCCTCTTGCCTTCTGCGGCCCTATTCCTATCTGGGCTACACTACTTTTTCTTAGTCTGGCATCCCTTGTTCAGACACAATCATACTGTAGCTGAGATCCTGGTTTATCCTCAACCAGGAGGAGTCTAGAGATACCTGAGAATATGCTGTCAACACACCAGAAGTTTACATATATGAGGAGTGTCTAAGTAAAGAAAGGATTGCCAGGCATGGTGGCTCACACCTGTAATCCTAGCACTTTGGCAGGCCGAGGCAGGCAGATCACGAGGTCAGGAGTTCGAGACCAGTCTCGAATGGCCAATATGATGAAACCCCATCTCTACTAAAAATACAAAAATTAGCCAGGCATGGTGGTGCGCGTCTGTAGTCCCAGCTACTTGGGAGGCGGAGGTTGCAGCACAGCACACTTAATAGGGTAATGTAGCTTTAGAGGTGAGGAGAAGAAAAGTATGAACATAGCATGATGTTTACTACTAATTTTCACCTTCATGTCCAGCTCCCTCCCCTGTTACCCGTGACTGGACTCATGACTGAGCCCTGGGAGGTATGTGAATAGGGTGTGGAGCTATAAGTAAAAACTGAAACAACTTGTTTTACTTTAATCTATAATCAGGGGTGCACATATCTGTGATCTAGGACACATGACTATAATGATTGTAGTAACAAAGATGACCAGAGATTCCCTGGATTCCCAGTAGACAACTATGAAGCTTCAGTAGCTTGAGCTCCATCCCTCAGAGGCAGTGGGGACAGCCTGCTCAGCACAAACCTCCTCCTCGATGCTTGATGGCAGGGGTGATAAACAGCAGGCATGGCAGGGACAGCAGGAATGAGTGATGGTCCTATTCTAGGGGAAGAGTGTAAGACACTGGAAAGAGAAATAGAGAGATCCAAATATGGATGCCACATGGTAACTGATTAGATTCATTTGTGAGTTCAGATAGAATATCCTTTGCACTTCAGTAAACTATTCGTGGGACATTCAGGGTCTAATAATCCTATATTAATAAGAGAATTCCTAGGCAGGTTACATTGACATGAATCCCCCACAATATGTACTTTTATTAGGGAAAAAAGACTCTTACCACCATACTACATAAATTCCTTCTCTGAGATCCATGGGACAGACCACCTAGGCCATTACCAAACTGGAATGTCCTTCATGAATCAGAGCTTACATCTTCTCATTTGGACTCACCTTTCCCTCCCAATCACTGCTCTCCTACTGCTGCTCTCTGGAACAAGGTTGCCTCCCTTCTACCCAG
This sequence comes from Homo sapiens, assembly GCF_000001405.40. NCBI lineage: Eukaryota > Metazoa > Chordata > Mammalia > Primates > Hominidae > Homo > Homo sapiens. Next base: position 153,637,061 of record NC_000003.12, read on the forward strand.
TGTCCAGTCACATCTGTTCATTTTCTTGTGCTTTTCTCACTTCCAAGTGTTCATTTGCCTACTGACATCAAGTTGATGCTTCTAAATATCAGAAATTTTACTAATCATTCCCTGTATTTTCATTTCTAAGCATCATTATCAGGCATGTACCTCAGTGTTGCTTTGGAGTTACTAGTTGTGTATGCATTTTCAGCTTAATCACTTTAACTTAGACTTTAAGTAACACAGAAGAAAAATGCCATCTTCAATTAATCAATAAGCATTTATCTAACATTATGTGCCCAGCAATGTTCTAGATGTGCATACAGAAGAAAAGATAATTTGCCATCTCAAAGCGTTTGCTAATACAGCACTTAGAGAACAATGTGAGACAGTATGTGATTGAATGGGAGAGATCCTCGTGGTTAGGAACAATCAGAAATGATATCAAGAAAACAATGGAATTTGAGCTCAGTCTTGAGGGATGTACAAGATTATAACAGGGAGGGAGGAGAATGGAAGACAGGTCGCTCTTCCACAACAGTGCTCATCCAATATACTTCCATCCCCAAACCCACTGGCACATTTGCCCTCCCCAAACACAACATGGACGCTCACACTTAATCTTTTGTTCACATTCTTCCCTCTGCTGACTTTCTTATGTAATGAAACCCACTAAACTTCACAATCTAGCTCAAAAATTTCTTGGTATCTTTCGCTTTCCAGATCAAATGTAATCATTTTTCTCTCTAAATTTATAAAATATATTTATTCATCAACTGCAGCACTTTTTACATTATTACCAGTAACTAACATCATTGTGTTTTCTACTTAACTGTGGGTTCCTTTAACCATATTTTAGAGTCCTTGATTCCAACACCTAGCACATAGCCTGGTATTTGGTAGGGGCTTAGGAATATCAATTAAATCACAAAATAACTGTCTGACTAACTACCTGGACACCAAGGTATGAGAAAATATGGCCAATGTGGGATATTCTAGGTAGGGAGTCCAGCTGGATTCAACATATATTTGTTATTAATTAAAAATTTTCCTTCCAAAACAACAAACACTTAACTCGCCAATTCTATGAGTTAGAAATTTAGACATGGCTCAGTTTGGTCCTGAGGCTCAGGGTCTCTCACAAAGTTGCAGATCGTGGGCCAGGTCTGCGGTCATTTCCAGGCTTGACTGGAGGAGGTCCGCTTCCAGGCTTATTCGTGTGGTGTTGGCAGAGGCTGCCCGCCACAGAGGGCTTTACATCAGCTCAGGAACAGCTGAAGATGCTTCCGGAGAGAAAGGTGGGTGCTAGATCATGAAGGCCACACTTGTATACCATGCTAAAGAATCTGGAATTTATGCAAATGACCATTGAACCTTCAAAATTATTATTACATGATAATTAATACATTAGAAACATTATTCTGAATGTTTAAAATGTTTCAGATAAATCCACTGGATTTGACTATGGTGATACCAGAAGCAGGAAAGCTACTTAAAAGGCAAACATACCAAGGGTTAGGTCCAGCTTAGTAGTTTTCATTTTTACATTTAGTAAATAGTTTTTATTTTGCTTACGTTTTTTAAGATTATTTTAGGCCAGGCGTGGTGGCTCACGCCTGTAATCCCAGCACTTTGGGAGGCCCAGGCGGGCGGATCACAAGGTCAGGAGATAGAGACCATCCCGACTAACATGGTGAAACCCCGTCTCTACTAAAAATACAAAAAAATTAGCCGGGCATGGTGGCAGGTGCCTGTAGTCCCAGCTACTCGGGAGGCTGAGGCAGAATGGCGTGAACCCGGGAGGCGGAGCTTACAGTGAGCCGAGATCACACCACTGCACTCCAGCCTGGGCGACAGAGCGAGACTCCGTCTCAAAAAAAAAAAGATTATTTTCAATATTAAAAAACAGTAGAAATTATGTTTAAATAAAAATAGGGTATTTTAGTCAATGGTTATAGCTTGCATGTGTAACAAGGGTACATTTGGAAAGAGATTTAAAAACAAGAAAGATATGTCAAGGAAAGATTGTGAAACTGTCATGGACTAAGAGACATGGTGCTGCATGGCATCGTATGGTCCTGGAACAAGCTAAAAGACATCCGTGGAAAAACCGGAAATCTAGAGTTTAGTTAATAATATAGGCCAGGTGCAGTGGCTCACGCCTATAATCCCAGCACTTAGGGAGGCTGAGGTGGGCAGATCAAGAGGTCAGGAGTTTGAGACCAGCCTGGCCAACATGACGAAACCCCGTCTCTACTAAAAATACAAAAATTAGCCGGGTGTGGTGGTGGACGCCTGTAATCTTAGCTACTTGGGAGGCTGAGGCAGGAGAATCCCTTGAACCTGGGAGGTGGAGGTTGCAGTGAGCTGAGATCGTGCCATTGCACTCCAGCCTGGGTGATGAGAGCAAGACTCCATCTCAAAAACCAAACCAAAACAAAACAAAAAGTATAACAAAATCTAGAGTTTAGTTTATAGTATAGTACCAGTGATAATTTTTTAATTTTAATAAGTGTACCTTGGGAAGATACATTTTTTAAATCACAGGAAGCTGGGTAAAGCTATACACCTATACTATCTTTGCAACTCTTCTGCAAATCTAAATTTATTTCAAAATAAAATGCTTAAAAAATAAAGAAGAAAAACAGGAGGGAAATAACATATAACACTTAGATATGTAGCTGACAATTCCAGAACAAACTTGGATGTGACTGCTGTTAGAAATCACTGGTCTTGTTGTATTGAGAAAAACAACTTAAAATCAAGCTCAGTGGGTGGTAGATGGTGGAAATGCTGCCAGACTTCAGGCTCTGTATCTCCGTGAGGAAACAGCTCACCATATTCTCAGGAGTTATTCATGCTGATAAAAATAAATCAGGAAAAGGCCCTTTGGGAAAAATCTGCAATTCTGTATTAATCTGGTAGAATTTTTATGACTTTTGTCCAAAAATCCATAGTTCATATTTAAAGGGAAAGTAGAGCTCCATTATATGATGAGCTAAGTGTACACCCCGGAGCACAAAGAGAGAATTCGTGTTTTTCTCCTGAAATGCAGAAACAGGTAGCAAGAGAAATTTATGTTCCTTTGAGTATAAAGGAAGGACCCTTTGCAGACCTTTTTTTTGTTTGTTTTTTCTTTCCAAATTGTATGGTTTGATCCATATGTCCAAATATAACTGTTCCAGGGATCATGGCGGACGGGAGGCAGGATTAGATTGCAGCTCCAGACAGAGCAGCATGTGGAGGCTCACACTGTGAATTTTAGCTCCAGATTGACTGCAGGAACAAACCAGCAATCCCGAGAGAAACCACAGACCTTCTGAAGGATGTGGACTGCTCCTGCAGAACCCGGGAAATACCCAAATACTGTGAGTCCCCCAACTGTGGAAGTGGGAAAGGGAGACCCTCCTCTCCCTAATACACACATCCACTGGAGAAACTGAAGGTCTGTTTGCGGGAGAAGTTTCCGACTTGACTTGGAGCTGAATCAAGTTAGAGAGCCGAGTGAAATACAGGGGTAGAGGAAGCCCCAGAAAGGCCCTGGGAGCTCAGTGGGTCCCCAAGCAGCCCATTCCTGCCTGGCACCCCAGGGATCAATCCATCGGGAGGGTGGCCAGAGGAGCAGGGGGTAAAACTCCACAGAGAGAAGGAATTCCCTAGCTGAACTTTGTAACAATTTGAACAGGTGAGAAGTCTCCTGGCCAGAACTCGGGGGAGGGAGCAAATCTTGTGTGCAGACTTCACAGGTGGGGGAAGAACTAAAGCCCTTTTCTTCTGCAGCTGGGAAGCGGATAGCCTCAGGCAAGTTTTCAAGCCTGTCTAGCCCTCCACCTGGAAACAGACTGTTGCTGGGGGCACAGTGGGAGTGAGACAGGCCCTTCGGTTTGCACAGGAGCTGGGTAAAGCCTGTGACTGCCAGCTTTCCTCTACTTCCCTGACAGCTTGAGTGACTCAGCAGAGATAGCCATAATCCTACTAGGTACACAACTCCAGTGACCTGGGACTTTCATCCCCAACCCCCACAGCAGCCGAAGCAAGACCCACCCAGGGAAAGTCTGAGCTCAGACATGCCTAGCCCCGCCCCAACCTGATGGTCCTTCCCTACCCACCCTGGTAGCAGAAGACAAAGGGCATATAATCTTGGGAGTTCTAGGGCCCCGCCCACCACCCATCCCTCTTCACACTACTACAGCTGATGCTTTCTGGAAAGTGCCACCCCTGGCAGGAGGCCAACAAGCACAAAAATAGAGCATTAAACCACCAAAGCTAAGAACTCTCATGGAGTTCATTGCATCCTCTGCCCCCTCCCCTGGAACAGACACTAGTATCCATGGCTGAGAGACCCACAGATGGTTCACATCATAGGACTCTACGCATACAATCACCAGTACCAGCCTGGAGCTGGGTAGTCTCGCTGCATGGCTAGACCCAGAAGAGAGACAACAACCACTGCAGTTTGGCTCACAGGAAGCCACATCCATAAGAAAAGGGCAAGGGACAAAAGAATCTGAACAACACACTGACACCCTGTGGGACAGAAGAATCTGAACAACAGCCTTCAGCCCTAGACCTTCCCTCTAACAGAGCCTACCCAAATGAGAAAGAACTAGAAAAACAACCCTGGTAATATGATAAAACAAGGCTCTTCCCACTCCCAAAAAAAATCACACTAGTTCAACAGCAATGGATCCAAACCAAGAAGAAATCCCTGATTTACCTGAAAAAAGAATTCAGGAGGCTGTTATTAAGCTAATCAGGGAGCAACCGGAGAAAGGTGAAGCCCAATGCAAGGAAATCCAAAAAATGATACAAGAAGTGAAGGAAGAAATATTCAAGGAAATAGATAGCTTAAAGATAAAACAATCAAAAATATAGGAAACTTTGGACACACTTTTAGAAATGCAAAATGCTCTGGAAAGTCTCAGCAATAGAATTGAACAAGTAGAAGAAAGAAATTCAGAGCTCAAAGACAAGGTCTTTGAATTAACCCAATCCAACAAAGACAAAGAAAAAAGAATAAGAACATATGAACAAAGTCTCCAAGAAGTCTGGGATTATGTTAAGCAACCAAACCTAAGAATAATCAGTGTTCCTGAGGAAGAAGATAATTCTAAAAGCTAGGAAAACATATTTGGGGAAATAATTGAGGAAAACTTCCCTGGCCTTGCTAAAGACCTAGATATCCAAATGCAAGAAGCACAAACATCACGTGGGAAATTCATCCTAAAAAGATCTTCACCTCGGCATATTTTCATCAGGTTATCCAAAGACAAAGGAAAGAATCTTAAGAGCTATGAGACAGGAACACCAGGTAACCTACAAAGGAAAGCCTATCAGATTAATAGCAGATTACTCAACAGAAACCCTACAAGCTAGAAGGGATTAGGGCCCTATCTTCAGCCTCCTCAAACAAAACAATTATCAGCCAAGAATTTTGTATTCCGCAAAACTAAGCATCATGAATATAAAGGAAAGATACAGTCATTTGCAGACAAACAAATGCTGAGAGAATTCGCCATTACCAAGCCACCACTACAAGAACTGCTAAAAGGAGCTCTAAATCTTGAAACAAATCCTGGAAACACATCAAAAAAGAACCTCTTTAAGCACAAATCACACAGGACCTATAACACAAAAATAGAAGTTAAAAAGCAAAAGCAAGAAACACACACAAAAGCAAAGTATACAGGCAACAAAGAGCATGATGAATGCAACAGTACCTCACATTTACAATACTAATGCTGAATGTAAATGACCTAAATGCTCCATTTAAAAGATAATACAGAACTGCAGAATGAGTAAGAATTCACCAGCCAACTATATGCTGCCTTCAGAAGGCCACCTAACACATGAGGACTCACATAAACTTAAAGTAAAGGGGCAGAAAAAGGCATTTCATGCAAATGGACACCAAAAGCAAGCAGGAGTAGCTATTCTTATATCCAACAAAACAAACTTAAAAGCAACAGTGGTTAAAAGAGACAAAGACATTATATTATGGTAAAAAGGCCTTGTCCAACAGGAAAATATCACAATCCTAAACATATATGCACCGAACACTGGAGCTCCCAAATTTATAAAACTATTACTAATAGACCTAGAAAATGAGATAGACAGCAACACAATAATAGTGGGGGACTTCAATACTCCACTGACAGCACTAGGCAGGTCATAAAGACAGAAAGTCAACAAAGAAACAATGGATTTAAACTATACCTTGGAACAAATGGACTTAACAGATATATACAGAACATTTCATCCAACAACTGCAGAATACACATCCTATTCAACAGCTCACGGAAATTTCTCCAGGATAGATCATATGATAGGCCATAAAACAAGCCTCAATAAATTTAAGAAAATTGAAATTATATCATGCACTCTCTGAGACCACAGTGGAATAAAACTGCAAATCAACTCCAAAAGGAACCTTCAAAACCATGCAAATATATGGAAATTAAATAACCTGCTCCTAAATGAGCCTTGGGTCAAAAATGAAATCAAGATGAAAATTAAAAAGTTCTTTGAACCGAATGAAAATAATGACAAAACCTATCAAAATCTCTGTGATACAGCAAAGGCGGTGCTAATAGGAAAGTTCATAGCCCCAAACACCCACATCAAAAAGTCTGAAAGAGCACAACTAGACAATCTAAGGTCACACCTCAAGGAACTAGAGAAACAAGAACAAACCAAACCCAAACCCAGCAGAAGAAAGGAAATAACCAAGATCAGAGCAGAACTAACTGAAATTGAAACAAAGAAACAAACAAAAACTACAAAAGATAAATGAAACAAAAAGCTGGTTCTGAAAAGATAAATAAAATTGATAGACCATTAGTAAGATTAACCAAGAAAAGAAGAGAGATAATCCAAATAACCTCACTAACAAATGAAATAGAAGATATTACAACTGATACCACTGAAATACAAAAGACCATTCAAGGCTACAATGAACACCTTTATGCACATAAACTAGAAAACCTAGACGAGACGGATAAATTCCTGGAAAAATACAACCCTCCTAGCTTAAATCAGGAAGAATTAGACACCCCAAATACAGCAATAACAAGCAGTGAGATTGAAAGGGTAATTTAAAAATTACCAACCAAAAAATGTCCAGGACCAGAAAGATTCACAGCAGAATTCTATCAGACATTCAAAGAAGAATTGGTACCAATCCTTTTGACACTATTCCACAAGACAGAGAAGGAAGGAACCTTCCATAATTCATTCTGTGAAGCCAGCATCACGCTAAACCAAAACCAGGAAAGGACATAACCAAAAAAGAAAAGTACAGACCAATATCCTTGATGAATATAGATGCTAAAATCCTTAAGAAAATACTAGCTTACCAAATCCAACAATATATCAAAAAGATAATCCACTACCTACAATCAAGTGGGTTTCATACCAGGGATGCAGGAATGGTTTAAGACATGCAAGTCAATAAATGTGATATACCACATAAACAGAATTGAAAAAAACCCCATATGATCATGTCAATAGATGCAGAAAAAGCATTCGACAAAATCCAGCATCGCTTTATGATTAAAACTCTCAGCAAAATCGGCATACAAGGGACATACCTTAATGCCATACCTAAAAGCCATCTATGACAAAACCACTGCCAACATAATACTGAACAGGAAAAAGTTGAAAGCATTCCCTCTGAGAACTGGAACAAGACAAGAATGCTCACTCTCACCACTCCTCTTCAACATAGTGCTGGAAGTTCTAGTCAGTGCAATCAGACAAGAGAAAGAAATAAAGGACATCCAAATCAGAAGTTGAACTGTCACTGCGAGCGATATGATGGTTTATCTTGAAAACGCTAAGGACTCCTCCAGAAAGCTCCTAGAATTGATAAAAGAAATCAGCAAAGTTTCCAGATACAAGATTAATATACACAAATCAGTAGCTCTTCTATATACCAAGTGACCAAGCAGAGAATCAAATCAAGAACTCAACCCCTTTTACAATAGCTGCAAAAAAATTAAAATACTTAAGAATATACTTAACCAAGTAGTTGAAAGACCTCTACTAGGAAAACTACAAATCACTTCTGAAAGAAATCATAGATGACACAAACAAATGGAAACACACCCCATGCTCATGGATGGGTATAATCAATATTGTGAAATGACCATAGTGCCAAAAGCAATCTACAAATTAAATGAAATCACTATCAAAATATGACCATCATTCTTCACAGATTAGAAAAAACAATTATAAAATTCATATGGAACCAAAAAAGAGCCTGCATAGCCAAAGCAAGACTAAGCAAAATCTAGAGGCATCACACTACCTGATTTTAAACTATACTATAAGGCCATAGTCACTAAAACAGCATGGTATGGGTATAAAAATAGGCACATAGACCAATGGAACGGAATAGAGACCCAGAAATAAACCCAAATGCTTACAGCCAACTGATTTTTGACAAAGCAAACAAAAACATAAAGTGGGAAGGGACACCCTTTTCAACAAATGGTGCTGGAATAATTGGCTAGCCACATATAGGAGGATAAAACTGGATCCTCATCTCTCATCTTATTCAAAAATCAACTCAAGATGGATTAAGGGCTTAAACCTAACACCTGAAACTACAAAAATTCTAGAAGTATAGTCTGATTGCAATGACTATACTTCTAGACTTTGGCTTGGGCAAGGATTTCATGACCAAGAACCCAAAAGCAAATGCAATAAAAACAGGTAAATAGCTGGGACCTAATGAAACTAAAGCACTTTTGCACAGCAAAGGGAACAGTCAGCAGAGTAAACAGACAACCCACAGAGTGGGAGAAAGTTTTCACAAGCTATACATCTGACAAAGGACTAATATCCAGAAACTCAAATCAGTAAGAAAAAAACAATTCCCTCAAAAGTGGGCTAAGGACATGAATAGACAATTCTCAAAAAAAGGTATACAAATGTCCAGTAAACATGAAAAAATGCTCAACATCACTAATGATCAGGGAAATGCAAATCAAAACCACAATGCAATACCACCTTACTCCTGCAAGAATGGCCATAATCAACAAATAAAAAAACAGTAGATGTTGGCATGGATGCAGTGATCAGGGAACACTTCTACACTGCTGGTGGGAATGTAAACTAGTACAGCCACGTGGGAAACAGTGGAGATTCCTCAAAGAACTACAAGTAGAACTACCATTTGATCCAGCAATCCCACTACTGGGTATCTACCCAGAGAAAAAGAATTCATTATTTGAAAAAGATAATTACACACGCATGTTCACAGCAGCACAATTCACAATTGCAAAATTGTGCAACCAACCCAAATGCCACTAGTGGGTATCTACCCAGAGAAAAAGAATTCATTATTTGAAAAAGATAATTACACACTCATGTTCATAGCAGCACAATTCACAATTGCAAAATTGTGGAACCAACCCAAATGCCCATCAATCAGTGAGTAGATAAAAAACTGTGATATATATGTGTGAGTGTGTGTGTGTGTATATATATATTATATATATATAATATATATAATTATATATACATTATATATAATAAACATTATATAATTATATATATATTATATAATGAATATATATAATATATATATTATATAATGAATATATATAATATATATATTATATAATGAATATATATAATATATATATTATATAATGAATATATATAATATATATATTATATAATGAATATATATAATATATATATAAAATGAAATACTACGCAGCCATAAAGAGGAACAAATTAACAGCATTTGCAGTGACCTGGATGAGATTGGACACTATTATTCTAAGTGAAGTAACTCAGCAATGTAAAGCCAAACATCTTATGTTCTCACTGATATGTGGGAGCTAAGCTATGAGGACACAAAGGCATAAGAATGATACAATGGACTTTGGGGACTTAGGGGAAAGAGTGGGAAGAGAACGAGGGATAGAAGACTACAAAATATGGTGCAGTGTGTACTGCTTGGATGATGGGTGCACCAAAATCTCACACATCACCACTAAAGAACTTACTCATGTAACCAAATAACACCTGTACCCCCATAACTTATGGAAAACAATAAAGAAAGTAGGAAAAAAAGCAAAGAAAATAAAACAAATAAAATTAAAACAAAAACAAAAGCAAATACAATTGTTCTACTCACCTGTCCCCTAAGCAACAGAGTTTTCCAGAAGAGGTAGTTTCAGCTAGTTATCAGTATATTGGGGTTAATCTGGTACCTAGGGTTAGCTCAGTAAATGTTGTTTTTAATTGACGTGTTTTAGCTGTGGAATGCTTTACAACAAATTGGGCATTATAGATCCTGAGTAAATAAGCCACAGGAATAAGGCATTATTTTAGATTAAAAGTCAACAACCCTCAATATATCTACTTTTAATTTCAGATTTGCAGGCAGATCTTAAAGGTAGCTGTACTTCAATCTCCAGCTTTTTTAACAAAGCTGCTTTCACAGGTGCTACTGTTTCTACCTCCTTTTTTCCCCTCCAAAGGCTAACTTGAATACCATGAATTACAAGACAAGTAAATGCCTAATCTATACAGAAGAAACCTTAAGAAGCAAGATGTCCAAACTTATAGAAAGGCATTTTATTCAATTTTTTTTTAAAAAAACGGTGGCAATCAATTGCACATAGGATGCAAATATCAAATAACCAGCAAATTTAACTGACTGCCTACTTTGCACTTAGTATTACAAAAGTTCAGTAAGGAAAAAAAAAAACTATATATTTCCTCAAAATGACTACTATGAACTGAATTGTTCACATGTTGAAGTCCTACCTTCCGTGCGATGGTATTTGGAGGTCAGCATTTGAGAATTAATTGGGTTAACATGAGGTTGTGAAGGTGGAGCTCTCACAAAGAGATTAGTACCCTTATAAGAAGAAACAAAAGAAAGCATGCTTCCACACACTCTCTCTCTACTATGTGAGGACACAGCAAGAAGGCAACTGGCTGTAAACAAGGAAGAGTCCTTGCTGGGGAACCAAATTGGCCAGCACCTTGATCTGGGACTTCCCAGCCTCCAAATCTGTGAGAAATAAATTTTTGTTGTTTAAACCACCCAGTCTGGTATTTTGTTATGACAGCCTGAGCTGACAAATGCAGATATCAAGTTTTTAGTGCCTAAAGCTGACTAATAAAATGACGCTCAACAAAAATAGAGCAGGTTACTAAGTCCTAAATTGTGAGGTGCAACATGCTTTGAACAAATGAGAAAAATAATGAAAATGGGACTGATCTAGGAACAGGCTTTGGAGAATTTGGGCCTGAATCTCATCTTTACAGGGCTTTCCCAGTCCCCTCTCATCTGAACTCACGAATGTCTTCAGCCTGTAGGGTCAGGTCCCTGCCTGTCCCATGTCCATTCTGACCGTGCCTATCCTGACCAGCTAGCAGGTCCTATAAGATATTTGTTGCTTTATAGCTAGTTAACTGCCAGAGGGAGGCCCTATTCCTTGATGCCTACTACCAGGTTGCTGTCTGGCCATATTCTCTTACTGAGTTGGCCAGTCCTCATGGTTGGGCCTTTGCTCTAATTACCCTTCTTGGACTTGGTTTTCTCATTGAAATGGGAACCTACATGCTGATCTCCCACAGGAGATGGAGAGAAATTTGATGAAGTGGGGCAAAGGGAGATAAGGGGCTTTCTGGAATTATGGACAGGAATGAAGACATGCAGTTGAAACTACGTATGGTATTGTTATGAACTAATCTAAACCAAATTTCCACCCCTCACCAGTACAACTACATGAACTAGGCTAGGGAATAATGGGAAATAAAACCAAGGGGGCCAAATTATGTGGAACTTGGGTTAGACTGTGTCTCCAGTTTATAGTGGCAAGCAAATGAAAGGTAGCAACAATAAAGGAGCAGATCTAATTTTCACTAATTGTGATATTCCACTAGCATAATTGCTAGCAAGAACTGGTTGCTGGCAGATTGGTAATTCACCACCCAAATAAATTACCATCCAAATAATTGAGAATTAGCTGTATGCAGCAAAGTATCCAGTGTAGACAGAATTAGTTTATAGGAAAGAAAGTGCTTTCTATTATTTCATTTTATTTTCTAGTATCTGAATGCTTATGAAACTAGTGAGAAATGAAGAGATAAAGCAATGACAGATGTCATAAACTTCTCTATAGTTTCAGAAAGTAGCCTGCAAATTTTAGCATGCGTCAGAATCATCTGGATATGAAGTTTTTGGGGTCGGGGTGGATAGGGGAAGGCAGACTGAGAATTTACATTTCTAACATGTTCCCAGATGATGTTGATGCTGCTGGTTCAAGGATCACATTGTGATAAATGCTGGTCTAAGAAAAGAGCCCTTGATCATTTTTGCCTGAGAAAAATCAGTGCTAAGAGTTATGTCTAACTGCCTCTTTTTACTCAAGAGAGAGTTTGACAGACCACTGTCTTCCATCCACACCATTAGAAAACCTCTCCCTAAAAATATGAAAAATATTTCTTATCATTAAAATGTGATATTTCCCAACAAAGATAAGCTGGGGAGTGAGAAACATGAAACATTCTTTCCATTTGATTATTTTAATACACTAAGTATGTCATAAGATAAAATAGTAAACATCAAAGAAGAAAGAAAAAAAAAGGAAATTCATTTCATTTCGTTGCCTTGCCTCATATAACCCTGACCTGAATTAGAATTAAGACTGAATTTCACATACGATTTAGACCATGAAAGTGGTCAAACCTTGTTTATTTTATGAACAGTAATTTGATAATATCTTTATATAATAGGTAACCCAATTAACAGTTCAATAATGCCATCAGAGTAAAAACTATTACATTCATTTAAAATAAAAAAGTATGAGAAACTTTGGGAGGTACTATGTAATCACTCAGCGTATGTGCTGTCTTCAGACTCTGAAGATTGAAGTGGAATATCTGTTCTGTCATTTAAAGTATTTTGGTAAACTTTAGGGCATAATACTTTCAAAAGCAAAAGATTCCTATGCTACTTGGAAATGACTGATTGTTCTTTGGCTGTAGCAATAAGTAACTACCTGAACCAGTTACAAACTGGACCTAATCTATTATATCAACACAACTCACACCAAAATTTGCCGATTCTGGGACTCCTCGCTTTCCTAAACCCTGTGTAAGTTCAATGCTCTTCTTTTCTCAGAGAGACTATGCTTACAAGTACAGCTTGCCTTTAATAAGCAATAAATACAGTTTAATGAGCAAAGAACTCAACTTTTTCTTTTAAGTACTTCCTTTGGTACTGCACATAAGGATTATCAATAGTATGGGGCTGATTATCTATACTTCCTAAATACCCATTTTGGAAAATGTATGATTATGTCACAATGCAGTAGAATCCACAGTAGTGGTTCTCAATGATGGGAGAGGAAGGAATTTTGTTCCCAAAGGACATTTGGCAAACTCTGGAGATATTTTTCGTTGTCACAGCTGAGGAGAAAGGACGATTACTGGCATCTGGTGGTTAGAGGACATGGATGCTGCCAAACATGCTAGGATGAACAGAATGAAACTGGATCCTCATCTCTCACCTTACTAAAAAATCAACTCAAGACGGATCAAGGACTTAAATCTAAGACCTCAACTATAAAACTTCTAGAAGATAACATTGGACAAACCTTTCTAGACATTGGCTTAGGCAAAGACTTCATGACAAACAACCCAAAAGCAAATGCAACAAAAATGAAGATACATGGGTAGGACTTAATTAAACTAAAGAGCTTCTGCACAGTAAAGGGAACAGTCAGCAGAGTAAACAGACAACCCACAGAGTGGGAGAAAATCTTCACAATCTATACATCCAACAAAGGACTAATATCCAGAATCTACAATGAACTCAAAGAAATTAGCAAGAAAAAAAAAACAAAAAATCCCATCAAAAAGTGGGCTAAGGACATGAATAGACAATTCCCAAAAGCAGCTATACAAATGACCAACAAGCATATAAAAAATGCTCAACATTACTAATGATCAGGAAAATGCAAATCAAAACCACAATGCAATGCCACCTTACTCCTGCAAGAATGGCCATAATCAAAAAATCAAAAAATAATAGAGTTTGGTGTGGATGGGGTGAAAAGTCAACACTTCTACACTGTTGGTGAGAATGCAAACTAGTACAAACCACTGTGAAAAACAGTGTGGAGATTCCTTAAAGAACTAAAAGTAAAACTACCGTTTGATCCAGCAATCCCACTTATTGGTTATCTACCCAGAGGAAAAGAAGCCATTATATGAAAAAGATACTTGCACATGCATGTTTATAGCAGCACAATTCACAATTGCAAAAATATGGAACCAGTCCAATTGCTCATCAGTCAACGAGTAAATACAGAAATTGTGGTGTATGTATACATAAGACGGAATGCTACTCAGCCATAAAAAGGAACGAATTAATGGTATTCACAGCAACCTTGATAGAACTGGAGACTGTTATTCTAAGTGAAGTAACTCAGGAATGGAAAACCAAACATTGTATGTTCTCATTCATAAGAGGGAGCTAAGCTATGGCGCTGCAAAGGCAGAAGAGTGATACAATGGACTTTGGGGACTCAGTGGAAAGGGTGGGAGGGCAGTGAGGGATAAAAGACAACAAATTGGGTTCAGCATATACTGCTTAGGTGATGGGTGCACCAAAATCTCACAAATCACCACTACATAACTCACTCATGTAACCAAATAACACCTGTTTCCCAAAATCCTATGGAAACAAAACAAAACAAAACAAAAAAACAGTCTGGGCACGGTGGCTCACACCTGTAATCTTAGCACTTTGGGAGGCCAAGGCTGGTGGATCATGAGGTCAAAAGATCGAGACCATCCTGGCCAATGTGGTGAAACCCTGTCTCCACTAAAAATACAAAAATTAGCTGGGTGTGGTGGCGTGTGCCTGTAGCGCCAGCTACTCAGGAGGCTGAGGCAGGAGAATTGCTTGAACCCAGGAGGCGCAGGTTGCAAGGAGCTGAAATCACGCCACTGCACTCCAGCCTGGTGACAGAGCAAGACTCTGTCCCAAAAAAAAAAAAAAAAAAAAAAAAAAAAAAAAAAAAAAAAACTAAGTTTTTAAACTGGGGTTTTCTTTTCTTAAAAAGAGACCCTCTTGCCTCTCCAAATCATGCTGTCATTAAATAAAATTGAGCAAGAGTACAATAGAGTTTCCTTTCCAAGAACTCTAATTTTTCCAAGGGAAAGACTCCAAACTGTTGCCTAACAAATGACATTAGAATGGTGCTGAAAGATGCATTCCTATTGCTGTGTTGCATTAAAACTTTTTTGAGCATCTTAATTGAAATTGTTCTACTACACATGGAGCACAAAGGACCTAGCTGGTGGTAGTAAATGACTTTTTAATTTTCTCCTTCTCTGAAGCAATGAGAGGCAGGATAAATGGTCTTTCCAATATGTTGGAGTATTAAAATTATGTTATTTTAGTGGAAAAAATGCTGAGACATACACTCAGTTCAGACATTCAAATGTGCTCGCTTGCTGTCTTGTAAACAGAGCCACAACTTCTAACAACACTTTGAAGTCTTCTTAGTCGTTACTCAGGCTGAGATGGGTTTGTCCCCTTAGACACATAATTGGCCCATAATTTTCAGCCTTACTAAATAACTTTATAAAAGAAGGGTCATAATTATTCATATTCAAGGTGATTTCAGGAATAGAGACCAAAAGAAACCTGCAAATATTAAAGCTGTTGCCCACATCATTTTCAATACATATCACTAATGTGTATTGATATTCTTTATGAGAAAGTTTGAAATCATAATCTGTAAGGCATAGGAATACTTTTGTGTTTCTGAAAACTGCTCTTGACCCTTTTCAGTGAAACTGAATTTTAATGTGACATTCCAATTTCTTAATAGAAACTCACTTAATCTTAGAAACCATAAAGTTAAATTGGCTTTAACCCCTTTAGTATGCATGAAATGAATGTGATAATTGCACTAAGATACATTTGCTTTTATAATTAAGTATTATTGTGAAAATCTTCTTTTTTGCCAGTTAAGTGTTTTTCTCCCATATTCAAGGATAAAATGGAAACAAAGGTCAATTCCAGAGAAAGCTCATCAAATAAAAGTTCAACATACTCTTGAAACTTGTATTGCTAAGATCCTATATAAATAAATGTTATGTAATTAGGATTTTAAAAAAAGAATGCTTTTATAAGGAAATTAAACCTTTCTATGGCTTTTCAAATAATTATGATTAAATGGCAAAACTATCTCTTGTTTCAGCATTTATCGTCTGGACCAGATTTCTAATATTATTCTGACTTTTCAGTCTTTTCTTTTCAAAATCTATCTTTTTTAGGTGGTAATTTATCATCCTCAGACTGTAATCTCAGTCACTGTGTCATCATATTGAAAGTTGGAAATTCATGGTTAGTAAATCTCTGAGGAAAGAAGTCAGCAAAAATCAGAAACATCGTTTTTAATCTAGTGCTGTGATACTGTTTGGATGTTTGTTCCCTCCAAATGTCATATGAAAATGTGATCCCTAGTGTTGGAGGTGGGGCCTAGTAGGAGGTGTTTCAGTCATGGGGGTGGATCCCTCATGAATGGCTTGGTGCCCTCCCCATGGTAATAAGTTCGTGGGAGGGCTAGATGTTTAAAGAGCCTGGCATCTCCCCAACCCTTGCTCCCTCTCTTACCATGCAACATGCCTGCTCCCCCTTTGCCATCCACCATGAGTAGAAGCTTCCTGAGGTCTCACCAGAAGCAATGCTGGTGCCGTGCTTATACAGCCTGCACAACTGTGAGCCAAATTAACTCTTTTCTTTATAAACTACCCAATCTCAGGCATTCCTTTATAGTGAGCCAACATCAACTAATACACGCTGAGTTACTCAATAGCTTAATAGCCCAGTAAATTTGGTGAACCAAAAATATTATTGAAAGGGTTTTATATTTGTTATTAAAAGGGGGCTAATATATCATGGAAAAACATCAAAACTTTTTTGGATATTCCCAAACTTATCTTTTTTTTATTATACTTCAAGTTTTAGGGTACATGTGCACAACGTGCAGGTTTGTTACATACATATACATGTGCCATGTTGGTGTGCTGCACCCATTAACTCGTCATTTAGCATTAGGTATATCACCTAATGCTATCCCTCCCCCCTGCCCCCATCCCACAACAGGCCCCATTGTGTGATGTTCCCCTTCCTGTGTCCAAGTGTTCTCATTGTTCAATTCCCACCTATGAGTGAGAACATACGGCATTGGGTTTTTTGTCCTTGTGATAGTTTGCTGAGAATGATGGTTTCCAGCTTCATCCATGTCCCTACAAAGGACATGAACTCATCCTTTTTTATGACTGCATAGTATTCCATGGTGCACATGTGCCACATTTTCTTAATTCAGTCTATCATTGTTTGACATTTGGGTTGATTCCAAGTCTTTGCTATTGTGAATAGTGCCGCAATAAACCTACATGTGCCTGTGTCTTTATAGCAGCATGATTTATAATCCTCTGGCTATAAACCCAGTAATGGACTTGCTGGGTCAAATGGCATTTCTAGTTCTAGATCCCTGAGGAATCGCCACACTGACTTCCACAATGGTTGAACTAGTTTACAGTCCCACCAACAGTGTAAAAGTGTTCCTATTTCTCCACTTCCTCTCCAGCACCTGTTGTTTCCTGACTTTTTAATGATCACCAGTCTAACTGGTGTGAATGGTATCTCATTGTGGTTTTGATTTGCGTTTCTCTGATGGCCAGTGATGATGAGCATATTTTCATGTGTCTTTTGGCTGCAAAAATGTCTTCTTTTGAGAAGTGTCTGTTCATATCCTTCGCCCACTTTTTGATGGGGTTTGTTTTGTTCTTGTAAATTTGTTTGAGTTCATTGTAGATTCTAGATATTAGCCCTTTGTCATATGAGTTCACAACTAAAAGAACTAGAGAAGCAAGAGCAAACACATTCAAACGCTAGCAGAAGGCAAGAAATAACTAAGATCAGAGCAGAACTGAAGGAAATAGAGACACAAAAAAAACCTTCAAAAAATCAATGAATCCAGGAGCTGGTTTTTTGAAAAGATCAACTAAATTGATAGACCACTAGCAAGACTAATGAAGAAGAAAAGAGAGAAGAATCAAATAGACACGATAAAAAATGATAAAGGGGATATCACCACCGATCCCACAGAAATACAAACTACCATCAGAGAATACTATAAACACCTCTATGCAAATAAACAAATCTAGAAGAAATGGATAAATTCCTCCACACATACACCCTCCCAAGACTAAACCAGGAAGAAGTTGAATCTCTGAATAGACCAATAACAGGCTCTGAAGTTGAGGCAACAATTAATAGCTTACCAACCAAAAAAGTCCAGGACCAGATGGATTCACAGCTGAATTCTACCAGAGGTACAAGGAGGAGCTGGTACCATTCCTTCTGAAACTATTCCAATCAATAGAAAAAGAGGGAATCCTCCCTAACTCATTTTATGAGGCCAGCATCATCCTGATACCAAAGCCTGGCGGAGACACACACACAAAAAAGAGAATTTTAGACCAATATACTTGATGAACATCGATGCAAAAATCCTCAATAAAATACTGGCAAACAGAATCCAGCAGCACATCAAAAAGTTTATCCACCATGATCAAGTGGGCTTCATCCCTGGATGCAAGGTTGGTTCAACATATGCAAATCAATAAACGTAATCCAGCATAAACAGAACCAAAGACAAAAACCACATGATTATCTCAATAGATGCAGAAAAGGCCTTTGACAAAATTCAACAACACTTCATGCTAAAAACTCTCAATAAATTAGGTATTGATGGGATGTATCTCAAAATAATAAGAGCTATCTATGACAAACCCACAGCCAATATCATACTGAATGGGCAAAAACTGGAAGCATTCCCGTTGAAAAATGGCACAAGACAGGGATGTCCTCTCTCACCACTCCTATTCAACATAGTGTTGGAAGTTCTGGCCAGGGCAATCAGGCAGGAGAAGGAAATAAAGGGTATTCAATTAGGAAAAGAGGAAGTTAAATTGTCCCTGTTTGCAGATGACATGATTATATATCTAGAAAACCCCATCGTCTCAGCCCAAAATCTCTTTAAGCTGATAGGCTACTTCAGCAAAGTCTCAGGATACAAAATCAATGTGCAAAAATCACAAGCATTCTTATACACCAATAGCAGACAAACAGAGAGCCAAATCATGAGTGAACTCCCATTCACAACTGCTTCAAAGAGAATAAAATACCTAGGAATCCAACTTACAAGGGATGTGAAGGACCTCTTCAAGGAGAACTACAAACCACTGCTCAACAAAATAAAAGAGGATACACACAAATGGAAGAACATTCCATGCTCATGGGTAGGAAGAATCAATATCAAAATGGCCATACTGCCCAATGTAATTTATAGATTCAATGCCATCCCCATCAAGCTACCAATGACTTTTTTCACAGAATTGGAAAAAACTACTTTAAAGTTCATATGGAACCAAAAAAGAGCCCGCGCTGCCAAGTCAATCCTAAGCCAAAAGAACAAAGCTGTAGGCATCACGCAACCTGAGTTCAAACTATACTACAAGGCTACAGTAACCAAAACAGCATGGTACTGGTACCAAAACAGAGATATAGACCAATGGAACAGAACAGAGCCCTCAGAAATAATGCCACATATCTACAACTATCTGATCTTTGACAAACCTGACAAAAATAAGCAATGGGGAAAGGATTCCCTATTTAATAAATGGTGCTGGGAAAACTGGCTAGCCATGTGTAGAAAGCTAAAACTGGATCCCTTCCTTATACCTTATACAAAAATTAATTCAAGATGGATTAGAGACTTAAATGTTAGACCTAAAACCATAAAAAACCCTGGAAGAAAACCTAGGCTATACCATTCAGGACATAGGCATGGACAAGGACTTCATGTCTAAAACACCAAAAGCAATGGCAACAAAAGCCAAAATTGACAAATGGGATCTAATTAAACTAAAGAGCTTCTGCACAGCAAAAGAAACTACCATCAATGTGAACAGGCAACCTACAGAATGGGAGAAAATTTTTGCAATCCCACACTTATCTTAAAGTTTATGGTTAAAAAAATATTTAAACATATTTGGGGTTTAAAATAGCCCTTACCACACTTAAGCACAGGCTGCCTTAATACACTTCCTGATAACAAGTGTGTAGGTGTCTTTGCAACACAGAGAAGTGACAAATAAAAACTTTGCAACAAGGAAAACACAAATCTAGACATGACTGTTTCATCTCTGTGTAATAATCTCTCTAAATGAAAGAATATCACAGAAATGGAGAAATGTCCAGGACATACCATCAGAGAAATCTGCCCCTTCCTCACTTGGAATGTATTTCTGCAGTCAACAAGTAAATTTGGTTCACAAGTGATTCCCTAAAATTTCTAGTTGCTCCCAGTGTTTTTATATGAGTGCCGTTACTACAACTTCGAAATATGCTGGCCATAAAGAAAACATTATTAAAATTACACAAAAGCAACAAAATCAAATCCCAACCACTTACAGTTCTGTATTTATCTCCTTTCTTCAGGGAAATGTCAACCCTTCAGAAGCTCAGCCTTTGTAATTACATACTGACTTCAGTCAGGTGGGAGGAATCCAAAGTCTCAAAACCTTCACAGCGGCTTCTAATCCTGGTGTGCATTGGAATCACCTGGAGAACCTTTTATTCAATAGTAGCCATGACTCCTCTCTAGAATCTAAATTAATTGATCTGGGGAGGGGCCCCTAATAATAGAATGCTCTCAAAGCTCCCCAGGTGATTTTCATATTGCAATCAGGTCTAAGAAGCCCTGTTCTAAACTTAATATATATTCAAACTGAAATAAGACATCTTGGCTCTTAATTTCTTTAACATCAACTGTTAATTTTTATATAGAAAATAGGCATTTAAAGGTTTAGCAACTGAAGTCATTGCCGCAAAAATTAAGTGGTATCCTTAGTTTCAGAATTTTTTGCCAACTGACATGTTAAATGAACCAGAAAACATTCACCTACATTCTTACTCTGTAATGATGAGAATCAGAAGACGGACTAGACTCGCTAAAAGCGAATCCCAGCTCCTCAGAATTTCCTCAGCTGGATTTGAGAAAGTATGAGTCTTTACTGATTTGTCCTATTTCAACATCTCACTTTACTAAAAGCCTTGAGTGACTTGCCACCACCCACTTCTGTTAGCACTCAACAAAATAAGATGAAGAAAGAGGGTTGTGCTGGGAAATGTTTAACTAGTTCTCTTGGGGTGAGATGGGGCACTTAGGGGATTTGCAGTGTTTGCTGATTTCCATGGCACATACACTCCTACTCCCACTGTAGTCAATTTTAAGCTATATTGACAGCTTAACAACTGGCTTGCAAAATTTTTTGAAAATTTCACAATTTCCTGAGCCAGTATAAGCCAGGTCCAGCATTCCACTGTGAAATTACTAACATGTTTGTGTATCAGAGTCCTTGCTTGGCAAGAATTGACATTTAGTTGCATCTATCTTATTACTTGACATATCTCCCTATGAATATCAATTTGAAATTTTTGATTCACAATTGACATGAAGAACATTTCCCAGCGGAGGCTATACTTTAACTATGTTTTATCCACAATTGGGGTTCAATAATTCAGAGGGAAGAGGGTAAAATAGATAAGATTTTAGTGACTTTAAGAGAGAAACCATCAAAAGAAAGAACTTCTATGATGAGCTGGATTCAGCAGTAAACCCTAAGAAGGAAGGTAGGCAGTTCTTCTATAATAGGAGATGTGGCATCTTGAAGGCCTAATTGAGCTGGATGGGCCATTAAGATATACCAGGTTTAATCTGTAACTTTGACAAAGTTATGAAATAATTTTACTAATATCTTATCAAAAAAGTCATAGAGGTTATGGGATTGGCTTGAAACCAGTTTTTGGGGGTTCAATTCCTTGTCAGAGGAATTGAACTTCCTATGTCAGAGATGTCACGCTATTGTTAGTAGAGTTCAGAATGAACACAGATATGGAAAGTTATTTAGATCCAGCTCATTTGTGCAAGGGGAAGAAAAAAAATTGTATCAATGAGCTAAATGGTCTGCATCACTAAATTCAGTGTCAAATATGCTA
The DNA here is from genome assembly GCF_000001405.40 of Homo sapiens. Classification (NCBI taxonomy): domain Eukaryota; kingdom Metazoa; phylum Chordata; class Mammalia; order Primates; family Hominidae; genus Homo; species Homo sapiens. Next base: position 153,659,163 of record NC_000003.12, read on the forward strand.
CAGGCTCCACTATGAAAAGCCAGAGGAGGATCCATTCTCTTTACTTTTGAGAGCAAAAGACCATCAAAAGAGCTGATAATCAGGCCAGGTACGGTGGCTCATGCCTGTATTCCCAGCACTTTGGGAGGCCTAGGTGGGCAGATCACTTGAGGTCAGGAGTTTGAGACCAGCCTGGCCAACATGGTGAAACCCCGTCTCTACTAAAAATACAAAAATTAGCTGGGTGTGATGGCACACACCTGTAATCCTAGCTACTAGGGAGGCTGAGGCAGAAGAATTGCTTGAACCCTGAAGGTGGAGGTTACGGTGAGCTGAGATCGCGCCACTGCACTCCAGAGCCTGGGTGACAGAGTGAGACTCCGTCTCAAAAACAAAACAAAAAAGGGTTGGTAATCAGAATAGTTAGCTGGAAAAGGTTAAGAGTTCTCAGGTCTTTGGTAGGGACTGGAGTTTCAGAGTAAAGCAGTCAGAGACTTAGAGCTATCAGGATCCAGCTTAACTATCAATAGATTAATATTACATGGCTAGGGACATACAGGTAATTTACATTTCACCCTCCCTCTCCTGCAATTGCATGTATAGGCAGACTAGCATAGTGCTCAAGAGTACACTCAGTATCAGTCTAATTCCCAACTCCACCACTTAATATCTATGTGACCTTGGAACATTTCTCTGTGTACTAGTTTTCTCCTCTATAAAATGTAGATAATGATAGTACCCACTTCATTGGGTTATTACAAGATTTAAATAAGATAATATGTGCAAAACATTCAGCATAATGCCTTCATGGAACATTTTATTATTTTTGGCTAGTGGCCATGAAGAAAACATGGGCAAAAGATAACATAGGTGAGGTATACAGCATCATCCGCACTTGAAGGAAAAATATGTTAAAGAAATGAAATATCTCACCCAAGATCAGATAGTTAGCAAATTGTAATTTAGAATTTGAACGTGAATCAGCCTGACCCTGAAGCTTCTGTTTTTCCCATACGTGTGTGGGAAAATGTCCTGTCTCCCAATGGGGGAAGACATAATAGTGCAAATGGATTATCCAGGATGCTTACCTATCTTGGGGGTGGTTTGGATGACAAATATAATGCTAAGTTGTTGTTTTTTTATATAAAGAAGGATCAGATTTAGGACAGGGACACAAGCAATAAAGAATCCCTTCTAAACCCTGATTAAAGGAAAATGTCTTTTGTTATATAATTTCCACTTTTATTTTAGATTCAGGGGTACATGTGCAGGTTTGGTACATGAGTATATTGAATGATGTTGAGATTTATTATGATTGTTCCCATCACCCAGGTACTGGGTATAGTACCCAATAGTTTTTCAATCCTTATCCCATCCTCCCCCTTCCCTCCCTGCTCTAGTAGTCCCCAGTGTGTATTGTTGCCATCTTTATGTTCATGAGTACCCTATGTTTAGCTCCTACTTATAAGTGAGAACATGCAGTATTTGATTTTCTCTTCCTGAATTAATTTGCTTAGGATAATGGCATCCAGCTACACCCATGTTGCTGCAAAGGACATAATTTCATTCTTTTCATGGCTGCATAGTATTCCATAGTATAAATATACCATATTTTCTTTATCCAATCCACCACTTATGGGCACCTAGGTTGATTCCATGTTTGCTATTATGAATAGTGCTGCAATGAACATATGAGTACATGTGTCTTTTTGGTAGAATGATTTATTTTCTTTTGGACATTTACCCAATAATGAGATTGCTGGGTCAAATGGTAGTTCTAAGTTATTTGAGAAATCTCCAAACTGCTTTCCACAGTGACTGAACTAATTTACATTCCCACCAACACTATTTAAGTGTTTCCTTTTCTTCACAACATCACCAGCTTCTGTTGTTTTTTGAACTTTTAGTAATTGCCATTCTGATTGGTATGAATAGTATCTCATTGTGGTTTTGATTTGCATTTATGATAGTAATGTTGAGCATTTTTTCATATGTTTTTGGCTGCTTGTATGTCTTCTTTTCAGAAGTGACTGTTCGTGTCTTTTGCCCATTTTTTAATGGGGTTGTTTTTTGTTTGTTCAATTGTTTAAGTTCCTTATAGATTCCAGATATTAGACTTTTGTTTGATGCATCATTTGTGAATATTTTCTTCTATTCTGCAGGTTGTTTGTTTATTCTGTTGATGGTTTCTTTGGCTGTGCAGAAGCCCTTTATTATAGTTAGGCCCCACTTATCAATTTTTGTTTCTGTTGTCATTGCTATTGAGGATTTAATCATATATTCTTTCCCAAGACCAATACCCAGAAATGATGTTTCCTAGGTCTTTTTCTAGGATTCTCATAGTTTGAGGCCTTACATTTAAATATTTAATCCATCTTTAGCTAATTTTTATATATGGTGAGAAGTAGGTGTCCAGTTTCATTCTTCTGCATATAGCTAGACAGTTTTTCCAGCAACGTTTATTAAGTAAGAAGTCCTTTCCTCAGTGCTTATTTTTGTTAACTTTGTCAACAATCAGATGGCTGCAGATGTAAAGCTTTATTTCTGGGTTTTCTATTCTGTTCCATTGGTCTATGTGTCTGTTTTTATGCCAGTACCATGCTGCTTTGGTTACTGTAGATTTATAGTATAGTTTGAGGTCAGGTAATGTGATGCCTCCAGGTTTGTTCTTTTTTAAATTTTTATTATTTTTAAAAATGCTTGTGGACACACAGTAGGTATATATATCTATGGGGTACATGACATGCTTTGATACATGCATGCAGTAAACAATAATCACATCATAGAAGACGGGGTATCCATTCCCTTAAGCATTTATCCTTTGTGTTACAAACAATCCGATTACACTCATTTAGTTATCTTAAAATGTACAATTACATTATTATTTACTATAGTCATCCTGTTGTGCTATCAAATACTAGGTCTTATTCATTCTTTCTAACTATATATATTTTTGGTAATCATTAACCATTCCCACTCTGTAGCTCCATGAGTTCAATTGTTTTGTTTTTTAGTACTCACACATAAGTGAGAATATGTGAAGTCTGTCTATGTCTGATTTATTTCACTTAACATAATGACCTCCAGTTGCATCCATGTTGTTGCAAATGACAGGATCTCATTCTTTTTTTTATGGCTGAATAGTACTCCTTTGTGTATATGTATCACATTTTCTTTATCCAACATCCATTGATGGACATTTAGGTAGCTTCCAAATCTTGGCTATCATGAACAGTGCTGCAACAAATAGGAGTGCAGGTATCTCTTCAGTACACTGATTTCCTTTCTTTTGCTTATATACCTAGCAGTGGGATTGCTGGATCATATGGTAACTCTATTTTTAGTTTTTTGAGGAACCTCCAAACTGTTCTCCATAGTGGTTGTACTAATTTACATTCCCGCCAACAATGTACGAATGTACGAGGGTTCCCTTTTCACCACATCCTCTACAGCATGTGTTATTACCTGTCTTTTGCATGAAAACCATTTGAGGCCCAGCGCAGTGGCTCACTCCTACAATCCCAGCACTTTGGGAGGCCAGGTGGATCACCTGAGGTTGGGAGTTTGAGACCAGCCTGACCAACATGGAGAAACCCTGTCTCTACTAAAAATACAAAATTAGCCAGGCATGGTGGCACATGCCTGTAATCCCAGCTACTCAGGAGGCCGGGGCAGGAGAATCACTTGAACCCGGGAGGCGGAGGTTACAATGAGCCAAGATCACGCTATTGCACTCCAGCCTGGGCAACAAGAGTGAAACTCCATCTCAAAAAAAAAAAAAAGAAAAAAGAAAAAGAAAACCATTTCAACTGAGGTGAAGTGATATCTCATTGCAATTTTGATTTGCAGTTCCAGGAGCCTTTTGGCAGAGTCTTTAGGGTTTTCTAGGTATAGAAGCATATCATTAGCAGAGATAGTTTAACTTCATTTTCTATACGAATGCCTTTTCTTTCTCTTGCCTGATTGCTCTGCCTAGGACTGCCAGTCCTATGTTGAATAGGAGTGATGAGAATAGGCATCCTTGTCTTGTTCCAATTCTCAAGGGGAATGCTTTCAGTTTTGCCTGCTCAGTATGATGTTGGCTGTGGGTTTGTCATAGATGGCTCTTATGATTTTGAGGCATGTTTCTTTGATGCCTTGGTTCTTGAAGCTTTTTTATTATGAAGGGAAGTTGGATTTTATTAAAAGGTTTTTCAATGTCTTTTGAGATGATCATTTTTTTGTTGTTGTTTTTAGTTCTGCTTATATGATGAGTCACGTTTATTGATTAGTGTATGTTGAACCAAACTTGCATCCAAGCAATGAAACCTACTTGATCATGGTGAATTAACTTTTTGATGTGCTGATGGGTTTGGTTAGCTAGGATTTTGTTGAGGATTTTTGCATCTGCGTTCATCAGGGATAGTGGCCTGTAGTTTTCCTTTTTCATTGTGTCTTTGCCAGCGTTTGGTATCAGAGTGATGCTGGCTTCATAGAATGAGTTAGGGAGGAGTTGCTCCTCCTCAGTTTTTTTTTTGTTTTTTTTTTTTTGGAATAGTTTCAGTAGAACTGCTACTGGCTTAGAGACAAATTTCTGCAGCAGAATTTCATTCTTTTGTTCCCACACTTCTCCTCTGCAGGCATTGCATTTCTCCATCCAGGGCAGAAGCAAGAGTCAAAACATGTAGCTTCAACAGCAAGCTATTGGCTAGGTGCCGTGGCTCACGCCTCTATTCCCAGCACTTTGGGAGGCCGAGGCGGGCGGATCACAAGGTCAGAAGATCGAGACCATCCTGGCTAACACGGTGAAACCCCTGTCTCTACTATACAAAATACAAAAAAAATTTAGCCGGGCATGGCGGCGCGCGCCTGTAGTCCAGCTAGTCGGGAGGCTGAAGCAGGAGAATGGCGTGAACCCAGGAGGCGGAGCTTGCAGCGAGCGGAGATCGCTCAACTGCACTCCAGCCTGGGCGACAGAGCGAGACTCCGTCTCAAAAACAAAACAAAAACAAACAAACAAACAAAAAAACCCCAGCAAGCTATTGCTTATTCTGCATGGATGGGGGCTTTGTGTTCCATCATTCTTACTCACAGACCCAGAGGTTCTGCTTCACGCCCTGGCAAGTGGCAGTAGCTTATCAGCCAGGCAGCTGCTTTTCTCTACTGCTATTCTGGCCATCCTCTTCTTTGTTTTTGCTTCCCAGAAATAATAATGTACACCCTGTCCCTAAATGTAAGTGGTCAGATAAATTTGGCAAGTTCTAAAGTAAACAAACTGTAATATCAGAACCTTTAATATTTTAATGCACATTAGGTATATTTAAGAGGGAATGTAATATGCAACATTTGGAAATACTGCTTTGAAAACGCAGAGTGCTTATTGCCCAACCATACCATTTTCATCAACCTTCATGATCTTCTGAAGATGGTAGTTTCCATTCCTTTGCCCTTCTCCTAACCGATCAGTCCTGCAAACCAGCCCCACTAGCAAAAATATTCCATTAATAGCTGAAACCATAGTTCTTGCCCAGTGAATTATAAGGTGTGGCGGCTCATGTCTTTAATCCCAGTACTTTAGGAGCCTGAGGCAGGCGGATTGCTTGAGTTCAGGAGCTTTAGACCAGCCTGGGCAACATGGTAAAACCCTGTCTCAACCACAACAACGACAACGACAACAACAAGAAAAATACAAAAATTAGCTGGGTGTGATGGTGTGCACCTGTAGTCTCAGCTACTTGGAAGGCTGAAGTGGGAAGATCATTTAAGCCCAAGAGGTTGAGGCTGCAGCGAGCTGCGACTGTGCCACTGCACTCTAGGCTGGACAACAAAGCAAGACCCTGTCTCAAAAACCAAACAACAAACAAACAAATAAACAAAACCTCCGCAATAACTCTACAATAAGGAAACTCCATGAATGTGGTACAAAGCATTAGAGTAGCTTCCTATCTGAAGTTGAATTTATAATTCATCTTTCACTTTGACAAAAAATTTGTATGAAACAAAGAACAGAACTTTCAAAGCATATCTGAAATATGTGGATAGCTTGTTAATTGGATAATAAACTCTTGAGATAGTTTCAATAATGAACAGCACTTTTTATTTCGATTAGGGTATAAACCAACATACTGAAAGTGATACAAACTGATTGTTCAGAATAAAGAAATAATAATGTGATTAACTGGAGAAGGCAGACCTAGAGCAACATTAATCTGTTTAGAAGCACAATTTAAGTCCCAATTGCATATTTCTTTTTCACTGGGAAATTTTATATCCATTTTTCCCCTCTCTTATTATTTGCTCTTTACAGACAGGCTGGAATACTTCTGGTTTAATTTTATCAGACTTTAAATGGCCTAACTTTTATTCTTATACCATTGTGTTATGAATAATCTGAGGCCGTTTCACATGTTATTGAACCTTCTTGTTTTACCTTTTGCATAGGTTGTCTGTGCTTAATTTGAATGAAAGCTGTATTTCTTCAACCTTGAATTGTGAGACTATTGGAACTTCTTTCAGCTGAAAGATTTATTTCCCTTTGTTTAGAAAAGATAGGGAGTGATAAAAATGTTAAGTAAATATATCCTCTTAATAACAGTCATATCAAGTAATAATTGTACTGATGAATAGTAGTTAATACTAGTTAAGTTCAATATTATGTTAATATATAATATAATGTCATGTTAACTTACTTTACCTGGAGATAAATCAAGTTGCTAAAATATAGGGGGATGGAAGACTGATAAAATATTGTATTCTGCACCGGCCCTGAATGGTGAGCTATATCTTCTGTCAAAATGATTAAAAGTGATGATAAGTTATCTATTGCCTCATTTACTTAACTAATATGAAGATAATAAGGTTTATGTTTATTTGTTTGATTAATTGTATTGCGCTTCTCTGTACCCAGAGCTGGGGTTAAATAAAAAACGTCTTTAAAAAAAATAATCACTCCCCTTAATGATGAGTTTAATGCAAGGTCCTATATATATCAAATAGGAACACACACAGCTGTGGTGGTTTTCCCCAGATGGATAACTATTGTTCAACTCATGCAATTCAAGAAACGTTTGAAGTCCTAAATTTTGTGTATAAATATTTCTTTTCAGGAAAGATATGGTAGATGATTTTCTCATTTTGGAAATGACAGCATTTTGCTATTTATAAAGAAATAAGCCCTGAAAAAAAAGATCTTTATAATTTTACAAAACGTATTGCCACCATTACTTATTTATGGACTTGCTAATGGTAATGTTTGGCTAAAATGCTATCAATACCTAAGGGGAGATGTAGCACATACTTACTAATTAATAGGTATTCTTATCACAAAATGATCATGCTACAGATTGACTCTGCTTGTTGCATTCAGTAAAGCCTTAAAATAAAGCAGGCATGGACTATACTAGTTATGGTAGGTATTTTACATGGTAAGCTACCACTAAAATAATGTATTTTTAATACTTTTTAGTGCTGGGAAAGAGGAGTTCTGATAAGGGTGAGACTGAGAGTGAAGGCAGTGTCCTTGCTTTATGGGAGGCTAGGAATTAAAAAAAAAACCCTGAATTCCTGATTCAAAAAGTTCAAAGTTCATCTAAATAACAATTGTACTGTTAAAGAGTCAGGGACAAACAATGAATTAAAACCTGTGTTCATAGTAAAAAGAGTGAGGAGGAACTATATATTAAATATAAATCTATAGGCAAAGCTAACATAGGGTTTTAAAATGTCATTTAAAGTGATAGTTTTATTTTTCACTAAAGACTGCAAAGAAGTATATTTTCATTTAATTAACTTGCAGCCTCAGTAATAAACATTGGAACAGGACATTATAAAATAGTAAGCTGAAACTAAGATGTGCTAAATGCAAAATGATTTTATCTAATGTTTTCAGAGATGCTCTTTAAAAAGGCTTTACCACGTCTTATCTACTTCTCACCTCACTATCTTGCCTTTGCCTAGCAACAATGTAACATTAAATTCTTTGCTGCTCTGGAACAAATATTGCCTTACTATTTGTTTTCTATCTTTATGATCTGCAATTTGGTTGTTAAAATTATTTGGCAAATGCTTTTGCTTTACTACAGATGGAAGGGGCAGGCATTTATGGTTTGATGTAAGCGCAAGCCAGAATAATAATTGTGTTAGCGATGGCAAGAGTCACTGAACCAGTGTGGACAAAACAAAATGTTTGAATGAGTTACTGGCTGACTAACATGAAATGTCAACTTCCTCAGCAAAGTTCAGCAGAAAATGAAAATAATTTGAAGGAAAAATATATATGTTGCATGAAAAGCCTTTGAAAAGACGGGCTTCACTGTGTGAACTGAGTATTAACAAATGAAGCATCTCAAGAATGCTAACAAGGAACATAGTTACCCATGTATATTTCTGTGCTGACCTAGCATCTAAACCAACTTGCATGCAATGTAATTTAACACTTGAAGATCACAGCTCTGTTGGGCATTGCACTGATCGGTGGAAAATAACAGTAGTAGCTACTTACTCATCACTCTGTCCCGTGCACCCTCCCCCCGCCAAAATTCCAAAAGATTCACTCTAATATTCTAAAAGCAACTGGTCACTTACAATTAAACCTATTTATCACCCCCAAGGAGTTTATTATATAACTTGCTGTTGACCTTGCTTACATAGTTAGTGTTTGTGTGAAGGTATGCTTGTTATCTTAGTAGAAAAGTTCTTACTGTAAGAAAAGTAAAAACAATACCTCTTTGTGCGTTTCTTCAGTACTAGATATAATAAAGGAAGACTGAAGTCTATTTGATGTGTATGTCTTTTTCTTTTTCTGTTTTGGTTTCTGGACAAAAAAAATTCTTTTTTATTTCCTAAATAGAAAAACTAAGACCTTATATCTTTAATTTATCAAAAGTCTGATTTATGTTTCTCATACTGCATTTGTACTTCTTAAATGTATATGCTTAAAAACATATTAAAAACTCTTTTAATGGACCCCTCAAAGACACAATGTTCTCTGTCCATTCTGATATGATCTGAACTCCTTAGTGCTAAAGAAATGTGGATTTTAATTTTGCTTATCTTCACTGTAAGTAGTCTTCAAAATGGTAAGGAAGCAAAATCACCTTTTAATAGACATTTAAAAATTAGTTTCTGGCCGGGCGCGGTGGCTCACACCTGTAATCCCAGCACTTTGGGAGGCCGAGGCGGGTGGATCACAAAGTCAGGAGATCGAGACCATCCTGGCTAACATGGTGAAACCCCGTCTCTACTAAAAATACAAAAAAAATTAACCGGGCATGGTGGCGGGCGCGGTGGCAGGCGCCTGTAGTCCCAGCTACTTGGGAGGCTGAGGCAGGAGAATGGAGTGAACCCAGGAGGCGGAGCTTGCAGTGAGCCGAGATTGCACCACTGCACTCCAGCCTGGGCGACAGAGCGAGACTCCATCTCAAAAAAAAAAAAAAAAAAAAAAATTAGTTTCCTAGTACATAGTAACCCATTTCTCTCTTCCACTTTTGTAATATATATTTTGTACTTGCTGTTAACTATATCAATACACATGCACGCACACACACACACACACAAATAATTTGAAGGGACAGGTGTGGGAAACTCATTTTATTGTCCCATTACCTTTAACTTTCCAGAAATTTACAGGATGTTCTATTTCTCAGAGTTCTATCACTCAGAGTGAGTGATCGAAAAATTTATATTCAGAAAACATGTCAGAGGGAAGGAAGAAGTGAAGGTGTGAGGAAAGGGACAGGAAGGGAGAGGAAGGATGAAAATTACACTATCCTAAAATAGAGACCAAAATCATTTGTTTATCTCATTATGGAACTTGGCTAAGCCATCTGAGTTCTGATATATAAGGAAAAAATATGAAATGTTAAAAGCAAGTTATTCTCTCTACTTTGTTGTATGCTGGAAATTTTCCATAATAAATGTACATGAAAAATTATTCTAAATCCCAAGTCTATAAATTTTTGAAAAAAATTTTTGAAAAATTTTTGAAAAAAAATTTATACAGTAGATTTCCACACTTTCTTCCTTAGCTGAGATTTCAGTGGACCACATCGGACAGAGAAAATATTCAAATTACTATAATTAAAAATGAAATATAATGATCAAAACTAGAAAAATTCATGGGAGTTTGGAGAAAGAACAGATTAGGCTGAAATGGATAAATTGGGAGAATTTTGAATGGAAAGTAGCATTGGGAATGGAATTTGAAAAACGGTTGGAGGGAGTTTGGAGGATATTTGAAGGAGGAAAAAATTGAGAAAAAACAGAGAAGTGGAAAAATTTTGTGTGGTTACGAGGAAAAGAGGTTGTCCAGTGTGGCTGGAACACAGGGAACAAAGAGAGAAGTACTAAAAAGAATGAATGAGATCTAGTATTTGATAGCACAACAGAGTGACTACAGTCAACAATATTGTACATTTAAAAATAACTAAAAGAATATAAATTGGATTGTTTGTAACACAAAGAAAAAATAAATGCTTAAGGTAATTGATACCCCCCTTGCCTGATGTTATTATTATGCATTGTATTCCTATATTAAAACACCTTATGTGCCCGTTAAATACATGCATCTACTATGTACCCACAAAATTTTTTTAATTTTAAAGAAGTAGGGCTCCCCTTGTGGGGAAGTCTTGAAGGCCAAGGTGATAAAGAGGAAGAATAATGGCTGATATAACCAGTAATTTTTAAAAATCTTGTTTGGAGAAAGAAATAGCTACAGACAACTACATAAATCCTGCAGGAACAGGTCAGCGAATTATCACAATGCGAACAATGTGAACACCACCAGATTAAAGAATGTAACACTACCAGCCACCCCAGAAGCCTCTCTTCCACTGTCTCCCAGTCCTTACACCTCTGCCTGTTTTTGAACATTTTGTGAAAGCAATCATATAGTATGTACTCTTTTTATAAGTCTCCTTTCAGTAAGCTGTGTTTGACATTCATCTGTTTTGCTTCCTGGTAGCTATATAATTATGCCACTTTCATTGACATTTATTATTTCACTGCATTAAAATATGCAACTTATTTAATCTATTATTGATGAACATTTGGGGTTTTCAAGTTTGTAGCAAATGTTTATGCCAGCAACTAATGCTGTTGTTTAATGACAAATTATCTAAGTAGAGCATAACCAAATCAGGTGATCTCTTAAAATCATCTGGGCTTTTCCTGGTGAAAGAGATTTAGAATTTGAGGGGGATTTTAAGGGAAGGAGATTCTCTGTTGCTGGCTTTGAGATACAAGAGGTCACATGTCAAGGAATGCAGATAGCCTCTGGGAGCTGAGTGGTCCCAGCTACTGGCCAGCAAGGAAAGAGGGACCTCCGTCCATCAACCCTAGGGACTGAATTCTGCCACAAACTGAATGAACTTGGGTGCATATTCCACCCTAGGTCCTCCATTAAAAGAACATAGCCCTGCCAACTCCTTGATTTCAGCCTGTGAGAACCTGAGAGAGGACCCAGCTACTCCATGCCTGGACTTCCAGCCGATAAAACTGAAATAATAAACAGGAGTTGTTTTAACAAGTTTGTGGTCATTTGTCAGGCAGGAGTAGAAAACCGATACAAGTAGTACATGTGGCAAATGCAAGCCTCAAAGGATTAGTGTGGAAGAACCTCAGGAAGAAACTGAGAGAGCAGTCAGAGAACTATTGTGACACAGGGGAGAAGGGAGTTTCAAGGAGACTGTTTCCAAGAGTTTGAATTGCAACAGAGACAGCAACAAGTATAATGTGTAAGGAAGTAAAATCTTTGGATTCGATGATACATTGGTCACTAATAACTGTCAGAGCACTTAGGGCAGAGGAATCTCAAACTGCAGATATGTGGGGGAAAAATGGAAAGTGAAGGGGAAACCTATGAGTATAGACTTATCTTTCCTGAAAAGTGATTGAGAAAAGACAGAAGTAGGAAACGGGATAATGAGCAAACTGGAAGAGAGATGAGTCTGTTTATATACTCAAAGCAGAAGAGGAATGGGAGAAATCAGAGTAGAGAGGAGAATAACTGAAGTGACGTTTCCAGGTAAATGAGGGAAGATGATATAGTGAGTGCAGATGGAGCAGATGATCTTGAAGGGGAAAAAGGTACCTTCCCTTCTGATATTTACAGTGCAGAAGATAAGGAGGGAAACAGATATAACTAATTTTGAAAGGAGGAAATGGGCATTGGAGGAAGTATCACTCTTAGACCCGGACAATTGGGAAGTACTAACTTGGGCGTCTACAGATCCCAAGCTTTGGCATGCATTTCTCAAAATTTTCAAGTCCTCCACTAAGACTTGGAATTGATCAGAAACAGCAGTGCTTTCATCAGTAGGGTACCCTGGATCAGGACCCTGGGATAGTTCCACACTATCCCTTGTCAACAGAAGTATCTTCCTCAAAATTGTCTTAGATACCTGGGACTGGAGATGGCAGTGCCATCTGAGAGGATGTGGATGGACCTTGGGCCCTATCTTTCCCCTTCAGGACACCCTCTGCTGCTTTGTTACTTGCATGGGCTCTACCAAATGCCCCTAAGATGTTTGGAAATCATACCTATGGGATTGTCATTGGCCTGAAGTTAGTCCCAGATTTTAGGAGAGTGACTTAGTAAGCACCTTGTTCTTGCTGGCTGGTGTAGTAACTTTCTTGTATGGGACTGTGTGAGAATGGGCTGCCAGAATGGCACTGGAATGGTGATTTTTGGTGACACTTGCTTGTGAGGATACAGTCAGCAATCAGCAACCAAGGGCTGTGGGGGTGGCAGCAGAGATCTTTTATCCTATACGCCTTTCACTTATGGCACTCAGGGAAGTCACCTTAACTTCTCTACAGGTGCCTTGTTCAAGCAGTCACTGGGAAATGGCTACACCTATCTTCTCTAAAGGCTTTTATGACCATTGCTCCTTAATACCAAAAGTTGCTTCCAGTCAACCCTTCTCTTGCCTCTCATTGATATGGTGACATTGTGCTCCCCTCAGTTGGTCTTCAGCTGTACTGGAAGAGAAACGAATATTGCCTGCATGAAATGGACTGATCTGCTTGCTTCAACCAAGAGTCATTCACTTACCCTCCTCTCCTGTAGTGACATGTGGAAGGCAGGGTGTGGACATGCTGAAAGAGATCACATTCTTGAAATGCATTCATTATGGCCTAAAACATTCAAAAAAGGACATGATTGGAAGATGTCTTTTTCTATATTTATTTTAAAAGATTCTGAACAATAAATTTAACATGACCAGAAAATGAATTATGGCAAGACTTGGATTTGTGGTCATCATCAACAAAGCAGAGTCAGAACTGTCAAGAGGGTCATTGGAAGCTAATATTCATGGGTGGCACAATGGATGATGTAGCATCATGAGTAATGATGTAATGAGCATTAAATAAGTGATATCAGGGATCTCCTTTTTTTTTTTTTTTTTTTTTTTGAGACAGAGTCTCACTCTGTCACCCAGGCTGGAGTGCAGTGGTGAGATCTCGGCTCACTGCAACCTCCACCTTCTGGGTTCAAGCGATTCTTCTGCCTCAGCCTCCTGAGTAGCTGGGATTACAAGCATGCGCTGCCACAACGGGCTAATTTTTCTATTTTTAGTAGACATGGGGGTTTGCCATTTTGGCCAGGCTACTCTCGAGCTCCTGACCTTAGGTGATCCACCTGCCTTGGTCTCCCAAAGTGCTAGAATTCTAGGCATGAGCCACCATGCGCAGCCCTCCTATTGTTTTAATACAGACATTGGATATTGTGATTAATAACGGTACTGCTACCTTTTACTAACGGTAGGAGATACAGAATTAACCAGAAATGGCTCATCTGATAATAAAGAATATGAAGCCACAATTCCTGAACCATCTTTCTAGAGATGGTGTTGGACACTATGAAGAATCTTCACATGCACTGAATAGACAATAAATAAATAAATAAATACACAAATGTCTCTTCTCTACCTACTACGCTAAGTCATCATAAATAATTGCCATAATTTGGCTGGGCGCTGTAGCTAATGCCTGTAATCCCAGCACTTTAGGAGGCCGAGGCAGGTGGATCACGAAGTCAAGGGTTCAAGACCAGCCTGGCCAATATGCTGAAACCCCGTCTCTACTAAAAGTACAAAAATTAGCTGGGCGTGGTGGTGGGCGCCTGTAGTCCCAGCTACCAGGGAGGCTGAGGCAGGAGAATCTCTTGAACCCGGGAGGCAGAGGTTGCAGCGAGCCAAGATCACACCACTGCAGTCCAGCCCAGACGACAGAGCGAGTCTCTGTCTCAAAAAAAAAAAAAAAAATTGCCGTAATTCACATGGGTCCATTAATTTAGTAACACTTTCTTTAATAATCAAATTGTTTCTACAAATAGGGACCCTGCAATAAATTTATTTCCCCTGAGTCCTACATGCCCTATAGGCAGCCCCTGAATGAAGATAATTCACATTTTCTCATCTTAATTTTATCTATAAGGTGAGATTTAAGGTCATCAGCTACAAGTGAAAAGGGTGATGTTTTTGAAGAGGTGTGAAAAGAGTTGGTGAAGATTTAAAACAACCACTAATGAGAATGGGACACAGTTCTGTTTTGGACACATAAAATGAATAATGGCCAGTTTTAAGAACCTGGTTAAGTGTGAAGACCATGAATCTGTACTGAGCAGTCTATATATCTGAGGAATTTTATTCCAGCAATTTTCAACAAATCATGTATAAGAGTGGAAAAGACAGACAGTGAGATTAATTCTAGGCTTAGTACTGGCCAGATAGTTGTAGCAGAAAGACATGAATCCAAGGGTATTAAGAGAGATTTGGGTGATCTATCATGGGTTTCAGGATGAGTGGTGATGTAACGTAAGACAGAAGTAAACTAGTAGTTCTTGGAGACAAAACCCAGAGTTGAACCAAAGGTAAGGGATTTTTAGGATGATAAGAGAGCAAGAGGTATAGATGAGTCAGGTGCCAGCACCTTCTATAACTTTGACAAGAAACAGGGAGTTCAAGGTTGTATAAACAGACATCATAAACCTCCTAGGGGAAGCGTTTAGCCACAAAGATTGATGAGTAATGGTGCATTACTTTTCTATTGATGCTGTTACAAATCACAGATACTTAGAGGCTTGAAACAACACAAACTTATTATCTGTAGTCAGAAGTTCAAAGTCAATTTCACTAGGCTAAAGTGAAGGTCTTATCAGAACTGCACTCCTTCTTGAGGCTCTAGGGGAAAATCTGTTTCCTTGCCTTTTCCACTTTGTAGAGGCCACCTGCATTTCTTGGCCCAAGGGCCTTTCTACCATTTTAAAAGTAGTATCCTTTCTCCTCTCTGATCTCTGCTTCTTTCCTTATAATTTCTTTCCCTCGAACTCTTATCTTTCTACTTCCCTCTTCTAAGGACCCCTGTGATTACAATGGACCCATCCAGATCACCCAAGATAATCTCCCCCAGCTCAAGACCCATAGCTTCATACATGTGTAGTCTCTCTTATCATGTAAGGTAACATATTCACAGGTTATCAGGAATGGGATGAGAACATCTTTGGGGGTGGACATCATTCAGCCTCCCACAAATAGTGTATTGAAAGAATGAATATTTCTGCTTGGAGTGCTCTGGGGGCATTTGTATTCACCAGACAGGGCAGGATTTTGCTAGGGCAAGAAAAAGGAAAATATATCCTATGTCAATGTTGAGCCCAATCACAGAACAGTGGAAGAGATTCAGCAACAGAAGTCTGTAATGGAAGCTTCCAGACAAAATGACTGGGCTTTATATTGTTTATTTAATCAGTAAAATAAAGTAAATTTGCAATGCCTGAGAAGTAGTTATTTTTTTCATGTTTGCATTGTCTTTTTCATTTATAAAAAAGGGTGTTCCATTCTATGACAAGCTTCACACAATTGAAATTGAAAGCATTTCTATTTCCTTGAAAATGCATGAATTTAGATTCTGAAACTCAAGAAAATTACATTATAGTGGAAGGCAATGTGTCTATACTTCATATATTGCATAATACTTATATTTCTTAGACTCATGCTGAATAGAATGAGAAAGTCAGTATCATTTATGTCAACCTTTAAATGGTACTTTTGCAAGAAAGTAACAAAAAAATAAAAAAACCAATATCCTAGAAAAATTCTGGATATTCTAGTTGCTGACTGAATAATGTCCATAATGGGCAAACTATTTCGATAAAGTTTACACTTTGTTATTATTTTATTTCTACACTCTCAAAATTTAATTTCCTTAGATAAATTGATCTGAGATATAATTACTGAAGAGCTGATGTCTGTTAGTACTGGTGACTTGAACAGTTAAAGACTCAGTGTGGCATAACTTCTGCCCCTTCTCATTGCTGGTCAAGGGTAAATTTTTTAAATCTTTTCCTTTAATTTTTATCAAAAGTGGTACCAGGTCCATTTGGGATGAAGCCTGCTTTTTGTCGTTGTTGTTGGTTGGTTGTTTGTTTTTGTTAAGACGGAGTTTCGCTCTTGTTGCCCAGGCTGGAGTACAATGGCGCGATCTTGGCTCACTGCAACTTCCGCCTCCCAGGTTCAAGCGATTCTCCTGCCTCAGCCTTCCCAAGCAGCTGGGATTACAGGCATGCACCACCACACCCGGCTAATTTTGTATTTTTTTTAGTAGAGACGGGGTTTCTCCATGTTGCTCAGGCTGGTCTCGAACTCCCGACCTCAGGTGATCTGCCCGCCTCGGCCTCCCAAAGTGCTGGGATCACAGGCGTGAGCTACCGCGCCTGGCTGGGATGAAGCCTACTTAATATAACCTCGGTTTTAAGCTTTTCATCTCTTAGGCATTTAAAATCATTATTTCTTTTTTCTTTTTAGCTGAAAAAGTTAAAAAGAACGATGAGAGCAACCCCCCTGCTCTCATCGCTGAGTGAGCTATGAGATGGGAAGTTGTAGGGTAGCCTCTCACTGTTATTTCCAACCTGTGACCTAACCGTGAGAAGCACTTTCATCCGCAGTGCCAGTTTCATCTTCTCTATTAGCAAAACTTATAGGAAATAGTCTGAGTCTACCTGCCCCTCTGGTACTGTCAAAGCATCAGTAATTTGTCTTTCAAAAAGACACAGGAGATGAATTTCTGTTTTCTTCTTCAATATAACTAAGAAAATGGATATAGTATAAATCTAAAGAGCTTATCTTTTTCTTTCTGGCTTTTCCTATGCAGCTTTCTTTTTCATCTTATGTGCCTTGTAACCAAAATGTCAGAAAGTTTTCACTCGAATTTTACAAAGCTGTAAGTAACCTATAAATGTTGGGTAAATAAATTTTTTTCCAAGTATGAGACGGTCCATCAGATACTTCACCCACAATCTATAGGAAGTTAGTTTAAATCTGGGGTCTGGAGAGAGAAAGTATTGGGTCAGTAGGGTGATTTTATTATTTCACGGTGCATAACCAAAATGAAAATGAGAGCTTTCTTTGTTTTGGGTTGAGTTTTATCATCTTAGTATGGTGAGATTGACTATCCATTGATATTTGATAGATCGACTTTTCCATTGTCTGGGTGTGCTACAGTTTATTTATCCATTTGCCTATGGAAGGACATCTTGGTTGCTTTCAAATTTTGGCAATTGTGAAGAAAGCTGCTATAAATAAAGCTACCAAAAAACTATAGTAATCAAGATAAGGTGGTATTGGCAATAGTATAGGCAGATAAACAGAACATAATAGAGAACCAAGAAATAGAGTCACATAAATATAATCAATTGATCTTTGACAAAAGAGCAAAGGTAATGCAATGGAAAAAAAGGTTAGTCTTTTTAACAAATGGTGCTGGAAAAACTGGACAGCCATGGGCAAAACAAAACAAAAACATCCAGACACAGACCTTATACTCTTCACAAAAATTAGCTCAAAATGGATCACAGACCTAAATGTCAAATAAAAAACTATAAAACTTGGGCTGGGCACGGTGGCTCACACCTGTAATCCCAGCACTTTGGGAGGCCAAGGCAGGCAGATCACGATGTCAAGAGATCGAGACCATCCTGGCCAACATGGCAAAACTCCATCTCTACTAAAAATACAAAACTTAACTGGGTGTGGTGGTGCGTGTCTGTAGTCTCAGCTACTCGGGAGGCTGAGGCAGGAAAATCACTCGAACCTGGGAGGTGGAGGTTGCAGTGAGCCGAGATCGTACTACTGCACTCCAGCTTGGCGATAGAGTGAGACTCTGTCTCAAAATAAAACAAAATAAAAGACAAAAAACAAAACTGTGAAACTCCTAGAAGATAACACTGGAGAAAATCTAATCCAAATCCTTGGGTTTGATGATCAATTTTAGATATAACACCAAGGGCACAACTCTTAAGAGAAAAAATTGATACATTGGACTTCATTAAAATTAAAAATGTCTGCCTCATGAAATACATTGGCAAGAGAATGTAAAGACAAGCCAGAGACTGGGATAAAATATTTGATAAAGGACTCTTATCCAAAACATACAAAGAATTCTCAAAACTCAAAAATAAGAAACTTAACAACCTAATTTTTAAAAGGCCCAAAGATCTTAAAAGACTCTTCACCAAAGAAGATACACAGGTAGCCAAGTAATTACATGAAAATATGTTCCAACTTATATATCACCAGGGAAATGCAAATTAAAACAACAGTGAGATATCCTACACACCTATTAAAATGACCAAAATCTAGAACATTGATAATATCAAATGGTGACAAGGATGTGGAGCAACAGGTACTCTCATTTACTGACAGTAGAAATGCAAAATGACATAGCCACTTTTGAAGACAGTTTGGTAGTTTCTTACAAGATATATTAATATACCTTTACCTATAACCCAACAATTGTGCTTTTTGGTATTCACCCAAAGGAGTTGAAAGCTCATGTCTATACAAAAGCCAACACATGAATGTTTATGCCAACCAGCATTTTTTAATAAAATAAAATAGAAATATCTAGAAATGTTTAAAATAGTAAAAGTGTACATTGTTCCCTGGCATTTCGTTTCAGAGGCAGTAGGTAAGTTTGCATGTATGTGTGTGCACTGTAAAATCATATGTTTAAAATAAATTTTAAACATATGATTACTTTAACACATTGGGGTTTCTTGGGAAAATATTTCAATGGTATTTTCTTTGTACAGGTAAACTCTGAGTAGACTGCATGAGGAATGAGTATCATGAATTGACACTGAATAAACAGGATCCATCTTGTTAAAATTCCTATCTAGGTATGAAATGAAAACTGCAGACAACACCCCAGAGACATCGTTGGAATACACTTGTGAGCTATACACAACATGAAATTGTCCCTATAACTTTCTGTGTCCTATTGCCAGTCTGTTTTCTCTAGCAACTCTTTTCTCAACCTCAAGATTAACACACAATGCAAATATTTATATAAATAAAGAGCAATATATTTAGTCATTTAATAACAATGATATATTTCATTGAATAGTAAGTTCTCCTGTTGTTGCTAATAAATGTAGTTTTAAGAATTTAATCAAAATAGATTAGTTATTTAAAAGTCATTCTTCAAATACAAGAATGACTTTTAAGAGAGAAGTGAGTTAAAAGATGCTGTCTCTTCATCACTAGGTCCCAGACCCCTTGGAATAGAAACCCAGATTCTGGCACAAGGTGCAAATCAAGTTTTTGTCCTGGAAGAAGAATAAAAAAAGGCCTTTCCCTCTAATTTGGGAGGATACAAATA
The DNA here is from genome assembly GCF_000001405.40 of Homo sapiens. Lineage (NCBI taxonomy): Eukaryota > Metazoa > Chordata > Mammalia > Primates > Hominidae > Homo > Homo sapiens. Next base: position 153,678,783 of record NC_000003.12, read on the forward strand.
CATCATCACAATCCAAACAGTCAAATTAGTGGGAGAGAAAGTAAGATGCTGACCCTGACACACAATTGGGCAATTTACTACTCCAAAATTAGCCTTCTCTATTGCTGTTTCACAAACAAAACTTCTTTAAAAAAATTCTTGGCTGGGCGTAGTGGCTCATGCCTGTAATCGCAGCACCTTGGAAGACTGAGGCGGGTGGATCACAAGGTCAGGAGATCAAGACCATCCTGGCCAACATGGTGAAACCCTGTCTCTACTAAAATACAAAAAGTTAGCCAGGCATGTTGGCGTGCACCTGTAGTCCCAGCTACTCAGGTTGCTGAGGCAAAAGAATCGCTTGAACCCAGGAGGCGGAGGTTGCAGTGAGGCAAGATCACACTATTGCACTCCAGCCTGGTGACAGAGCAAGATTCTGTCTCAAAAAAAAAAAAAAAGATTCATATTTTGCAAGTCTCTTTGCAACGTATGCAGCATATATATATATTAAGTAAGAACCAGAGCAGGAAGCTTAAGACTGGAAATTTAAATAGATGCTTAAGGAACTGCAAATAATTTTTTTAAAATGGATTTAAAAATTGTTCAGGTATAATAATCTGAGTCATTAACAGTAATAAACTAAGTAAAAGTAATTTTAATGTGCTAAATGTATTACCTTAACTAATTAGTATACTCAGAATAATTTTATATTGAGAAGTCTAATTCAATGTCTTAGTGAATATTTTAACAGTAGTAGTATATGATAATCCCTAATAAAATTACCATTTAAGTTGAGTCCTGAACAAAAGTGAGTATTATGACATTCTTGTTGCTTTTGTGTGACTTATAATTTTAAAATACCATAGAAAATGGGTAGTGACAAGGAGAGTAGCTTCTAGAGAAGAAAAAGACAGAGGATATCACGAGAAAGATATCCTTCAAAAATTTTTTAAATTAGATTTTCAAGTTTAATTTTGAAACTGACTCAATTGTTTCATAGAAATGATGTTTATGGTTTTTTTTTTTAATAAACATAGAAATTGACCCTCCCAGTCTTAAAACTTAAGAAATTACATCTGTCTTGTCTGAGTTCCTTTTTCTGAAAAACAACCATCAGGACTCTCAAAGAGTATCAAGGAAGTGAAACTTGAACCAGATCACCACATCTGGACAATGAGATGTCAGACCCCTCACCTGTCATAATTGCCTAAGTGACCACTGCTTCCTGTTGTCCAACTCATCTTCCTTATTCCTCCCTAATTCCTGTTTTCCTGCATGTAGTACATTACTTCCCTGCTATATAAATCCCTAATTTTTAATTGGTTGAGGATATGGATTTGAGACTGATCTGTTCTCCTCAGCTGCAGTACCCAAATAAAGAGTTCTTCCTTGGCAATACTTGTTGTCTCAGCGACTGGCTTTCTGTGCAGCAAGCAACAGGACCGAGACCAGCTCCCTGGCATTTTGGTAACAATTTTATCTAAAATGTTTACATGTTGGGTGAGCAAAATGGGCATTTCTTCATCACATTTAAATCATATACAGTCTCCCAACAAAATGACTTAAGCCTTGGGATTGTTCATCTTTGTGTTCACATTTTCCAAAGATTTTTATCTGGCTCTATTACTGAAAATGCTTTGAGTAAATTTATTTCTCTCAAAGTAAAGGGAGGAAAAAAATAATTATGATCATTTATCTGTTCTTTGGAGACTGAACCTAAGGGTAAAGCACAGTGGAAATCACCATAACAAGTATAAACACTTTCCAGAGGACCAAATGATTCTCTTTCTCCCTGCTGAATTCTCCACTGCCCTGATCCATCAGACCTGACAATGTAGAAGCAAAGCTACAAGCATGTGGGCAGAACTGCCCACTCAGAGGCAGCCTTCACACTCTACTGTGTATCTTGCTGGCTAAGTGTAGCTCTCCTTTGCCTGTACTGTGTGTAATGAGCCTTTTACCCACCATACCTTCTCTTTACCTTCTGGAGTAGGTTACTTGTATCAGTAGTCCACAGTCAGACATACTGCACCATCAATCAATCCACATCCTGTTGATACCAAGTCTGTGAAAGACTCAGTGCTGAAGCTTTCAGGAAGAACACCAGAGTCAATGATAAGGAATATTTATTGAGCTGTTACTACGTACTAGACTCTAAGGTGGGAGCTTTACATGCATTCATTCATTTAATACTGCCAGCCATCCAATATACAATTGAACCAGTTTTGTAATAACATAATGCTGAGAAACAGAGGCTCAGATAGGGAAAGTTTACCTCAAAGAGCTAGAAATAGGTAAAGTCTAGGTTTGAATGTAGACAGTATATTAGCCCATTTTCATACTGCTATGAAGAAATATTTGAGACTGGCTAATTTATAAAGAAAAAGAAGTTTAATGAACTCATGGTTCCACATGGCTGGGGAGGCTTCACAATCATAGTGAAAGGTGAAAGAGGAGCAAAGGTACATCTTACAAGGCTGCAGGCAAGAGAGTGTGTGCAGGGGAATTGCCCTTTATAAAACCATCAGATCTCGTGAGACTTATTCACTATCATGAAAGCAGCATGGGAAAAACCCACCCCCATGATTCAATTGCCTCCTATCAGTTCCCTCCAATGACACATGGAGATTATGGTAGCTACAATTAAAGATGAGATTTGGGTGGGGACACAGCCAACCATATCAGATAGTATGACAGAGTATATGGTCTTAACCACTACTCTGTACTATCTCACTGTAAAGAAGAGAAAGAAAAAATATCTAATGCTGTGTAATTTTTAAATTATAATGACACAAATAAATGTGACGAAGAATGTCCAATTATCCACCGTAAAATTTGGAAAACACCATGAAATGCTGGTGCAGGAGCTGAGAAGTTACAGTGCAATTTCTTGTTTCTCCTACTTTGTGCTGGGACAAGGCTGTATCCCATTCTGGATCTGTTCAAAGAATGGTAAGAGAAAAAAGGAAGTTGAACATGGGTCTATGGAAACAAAGAATCAGACCCAAAGATACTTCAGATACCAAAATCAACCAAAAATATATTCAATGTGTTTAATATAATGCTATTGAGGGATAAGAAAAGGAAAAATCAGCTAGGTAGACAGCTAGGGCTAGTCCTCAGAGAAGCAGCCTGCCTGAATAATCACAGCTATAGGCAAAAATAAAGCAAGCAGGGGAAAACTCAGACTACAGATGCACAGATAGGGTGTAGCATAGAAGCATTTTGTTCTTTGTGTGACTAGCTGACTCACAGGAAAAGTTTCCCCCACTTTTCAGACATGTACATGGTGGGCTCCATGGGAGCTTCATGGGGAGGGGAAGGGGGGCTTACATAAAACAAACCCACAATTATAAACAAGAGAAGCTGCACTCTGTGCTTACCTAGAGACATACCCACAACTACATAGATAAGAGGGAGTTATGCAGACAGCTTTACAGTTAAGAGAAGTTACTCAAACAGCTACAGAGATTAGAGGAGTTTCTTATAAAAGCTTTTAAATTCAACTGTAAAAGCGGCAACCCACTCAGGCTCCCTCTCTGCTGCAGAGAGCTTTCTTTCACTTATTAAACTTTTGCTCCAACCTCAACCTTTGTGTCCACACTCCATAATTCTCTTGGTTGTGAGACAATGAGCTTGGATAACACCTCAGAAATCAAGACCATTGACCCTGACCCATTTCACTATTACATTATAATATTATAATACTATTGTATTGTATTAAACATATTGTATATAATATTTAATACATTAAAAGAAATAATTCTAAGTATGGATTAGGAACAAGATACTATCAAATATAACTGGATAAATCTTAAAAATTGTCACATAGAACTTATGTAAATTTTAAAAATATTAGCATGGAGCTTGACACGCAGATTCTAAAATACATAGAGAAGAGCAAAGCCCCAAAATTCACTATGATACTCTTCAGGTAGAATATTTGAGAAATTAGAAAATATCAATATGTATTAAAAAGCTCTAGTATTTAAAATGTGTGGCATTGTTACAGAGGTAGACAGACCTAGGCAATTGAACAGAAAACAGACATACAAATCCATTCATGTGTGACATCTTAATATGACAGTGATGAATTGCTTATCAGAAGGGGTAAGAATCCTATTCAGTAATTGCTGAGGGGATAATTGATTACTTTATAACATGCACAAAAATCAATTCTTGATGGATTCATGATTTAAATAGGAAAGCCAAAATTTTAAGACTTTAGTAAACATTGAAGGACAGATTTATCACCTTGCAGAAAAAAATTATTTCTTATTCAAGACACAAACAGGGCAATCGTTTTTTACAAGTTTGATCAATTTTACTAAATAAAATTAGAATTTTCTGTCTACCAAAAGACACCACAAGGTAAATGATAAAAGCCAAAAACTGGTAGAATATGTTTGTGATGCATGTAAACAAAAGGATACATAGTCAAAACATGCATGTAACTGAAAAGAAGCAAGAAAAAGACAAATAGTCCAACATAAAAATGAGCAAAATCTATAAACAAACATTTCACAAAAGGGCAAAACTCAAGCAGCTCATACTCATATTAAAGGCACTCAATATCATTAGGACTCAGAAAATGAATATGAAAAAATAAATTTCACACTCACATATTATCAAATATAAAAGTTTTGCAATACAAGGAGCCATGTACAGTGGCACATTCCTGTCATCTCAGCTACTTGGGAGGCTGAGGCAGGAGGAGCACTTGAGCTCAGGAGTTTGAGGCTGTGGTCAGCTATATGAATGAAAATGAATATGAAAAAATAAATTTCACACTCACATATTATCAAATATAAAAGTTTTGCAATACAAGGAGCCATGTACAGTGGCACATTCCTGTCATCTCAGCTACTTGGGAGGCTGAGGCAGGAGGAGCACTTGAGCTCAGGAGTTTGAGGCTGTGGTCAGCTATAATCACACTGTGAATAGCCACTGCACTCCAGCCTGTGCAACATGGTGAAACCCTGTCTCTAATTTTTTTTTAAAAGTTTCATAATACCAAGTGTTGGGGAAGATAAGATGTGCAGCAATTGAGACATATGAACAAATGGTGCGACTGTAAACTAGTACAATCACTTCGAAAAAACAATTGACATTACCTACTAAAATTAATCATAAGTATACTCCATATCCCATGGATTCAACTCATATATATATCTATACACATATATATGAGTCAAATATATATATTCTAGTACATATATATATGTGTTTATATATATATATGTCCTAGGACATATATATATATATATATATATATATACCCTAGAAAAGCTCTTATGCATGAGCAAGAGGAGACATGTAAAGAAATGTTAATAATAATAAAATTTTATGGTATTAGGAAAAAAACCCAAAACCTGGGAATAAACAAAACATCATTGATTGGAGAATAGATATATGAGCATTATATTTATTCAACGGAAAACTGTCATTTGAAATGAATTAGCTAGAGCAATGCTCATCAACATAGATGATCCTCACAAATGCAGTGATGTTACATAGATATAAACTTCATAAATATTCAGAACTATACTCTTAGAAGTACATGCATACTTATTAAAAGTAAATGAAAACCAAATGGGTTACAAACACAAAATCCAGGGTAGCAGTTGGGAGAGAAGCAGGCATCTATGATTGGGAAGGGAACACTGGGGACTTGAGAGTTCTTAATATAGGTGGTAACACCCTTTCAATGGCTGTTTTATGTGTTAGCTTTACTGGGCCATGGGATGGCCAGATAGCTGGTTAAACATTATTCTTGGGAGTGTGGAGAGACTATTGGAAGAGATTAGCATTCAAACTGGTGGACTGAGTAAAGCAAATAGTCCTCCCCAATGGGAATAGGCATTACTCAATCTATTGACAGCCTGAATAGAACAAAAAGGTAGAAGAAGTTTTAATTTGCTCTTGGCCTGACTGCTTAAACTGGAACATACATCTTCTTATGAACAAGGAGCTCCTGGTTCTCAAGCCTTTAGACCTGGACTGGAATCTACACCACTGGCTCTCTGGCCTTCTAACTGCACCACCAGATTACCTGAGTCTCCAGCTTGCAGATGGTAAGTTGTGGGATTTCTCAATCTTCACAATTACGTGAGCCAATATCTTACAATAGATATCTCTCTGTCTCTCTCTCCCTCTCTCTTGGTTCTTTGTCTCTGGAGAACTCTAATATAATCCTTTTCTGGGTCATTTTAGAAATTCATGATTAGAAGTGCACCACTGGCATTATTGGACTTCAAAATATCTTGCTGAACTAAACCCTTACTAATATGAATTGATGGTATTTTAGTATATGATAATACCGAGCATTTAATCCATAATAATATTGAATTTGTATAAGAAATTACTCTAAAATTTCAGTAATATAGGAGAACTTATTGAGAGGGAAGCGTCAATGGAATAAAGACAATATCTTTAAACTATTTAGTTTTACTCTGCACATCTTACACTTTCTAGTCAACATATTCTAGCATTTCTAACTATATATGTAATTGAAAGTGTTTCAGATTACAGTACACTAATGATAGCATCCTGTGCTATACAAAGGGAATAATTTTGACACTATAACTTTAAATATAGCTTAGAGCATCATTTGAGAGACTATGATTCCTCCTCCTTTTCTCCATTTCAGCAATCTGTAATTTGCCATGACGTGTTATCTCCTCCTGCTCTTTTGTCATTTCCTTTGCCTTACACTAGTAAATTTTGTTTGTGATTATTTATCTATCTCCAGGCTTTTATTTACTTATTTATGTATTTAATTTGAGTGTGCGTCTCTATTTCCATATAAAATGGCCTTTGATCTATATGTCTTCTATATCAAAACAAATCGTCAGTATTTAAAAAGAAATTTAACTGCTTCATGAGATTTCCAGAATACATGTGCCCAGACATTTACATATTGAAGTACATTTTATTTTATTATATTTTGCATTCTTTTCACATATCCTTTTTTATTCCAGTTAATTTCACTGATTTTTAAAAATTATGTGTAGGTAAGTTTGTTATGAATTTTATTGCCAGATAATGAAAATATTATTTCAAACTGTGTGGTGCATAGACAAGTGGTCATTTCACAATAATTTATTACAACTCTCATACATGCCATCCTATCTGTGTGAAATCTTCCATAATAAGGGAAGAAAACTTTCTTCAGATAGTGCAGGAACAGTTTGAGTCATCTTTTTTTTTTTTTTTTTTTTTTTGAGACGGAGTGGAGTCTCTGTCGCCCAGGCTGGAGTGCAGTGGCGCCATCTCGGCTCACTGCAAGCTCCGCCTCCCGGGTTCATGCCATTCTCCTGCCTCAGCCTCCCGAGTAGCTGGGAGAGGGTGGGCCACAACGCCCGGCTAATTTTTGTATTTTTGGTAGAGACAGGGTTTCACCGTATTAGCCAGGATGGTCTCGATCTCCTGACCTTGTGATCTGCCTGCCTCGGCCTCCCAAAGTGCTGGGATTACAGGCGTAAGCCACCGCGCCCGGGCGAGTAATCTTTAGATATTTGTTTGACATTCTGTGATGAAGTCAGTAGCAAAGCGCTGAAGGGAAGAGGAAGGGATGGGGAGTCTACGGACACGTGTGTGAGAGACATATCAACGGACTAGGACTAAAGCACACTTCTAGGAAGGGATGAGGGGACCCTCTACAGGCTTCTCCATTCCTAGACCTCTCGTCTGCATCTGGGCACCTGCTGCAGATGGTGACGTAGGGTGAGGAGGCTCATTTTCTAAAAAGTCTGTAAATCTTTCTTTTAAAAAATCCTCCATGGAAATACCAAAAAGTGAATAATGTATCACTTGCTTTCCACCACGTATTTCTCCTTTTAAAAATTTTATTTTATTTTTAATTGACAAGTAATAATTGTATAGAGGGTATAATGCAATATTTCCATGCATGTATACATTGTGGAATGAGCAAATCAGGCTAATTAGCATATTCATCACTTCAGATACTTATCATTTCTTTGTGCTACCACAGATTTCATTGCTGAAAATCAGCAGCTCAGACATCTGAAATGTCACCCTCTAAAATCTTTGTGCAATTTAACACACCATTATGTAGAAGGGTTGAGAAATAGAGAAATATCGAGGTGTTGCCCGCAGGCAACACAACACAATTGCAGTCCCAGGCAGGAGATTCTGGAATTCGGTTTAACAAGTAAGGCTCTTAAGGCTGTCAGGGAGGCAGGCAAGACACTCCCTGAATGTTGAAAACAGTAAAGGACCCAGATTTTGGAAGTGAGGCTCAGAGCAAAAAATATGTTATTATTGCAAGTGATTAAGACTCCAGCCCCACAGTGACCAAAATAAGGATCTTGGGGCAAAGAGGAAGCAAGAAAAAGTCACTTTTCCTGGAGCTAAGTGTAAAGGCTCAACTACAGTGTCCCAGCTGCATGATAGAACCAGATCGAATAAAGCAGAAATGTGATAATGTTTACTAGAACTCAAAAGCATAATTTATCAGTGATAAAACCCAAGATACATAATCTAATAAACATAATTGACTTTACATTTATCGTTTGCCTGACATTTTAAGCTGTATACTGTTTTTACAGATTATATTGGTTAGAGTGGTAAATGGAAGTGAGAAGACACTGAAGAAGAAAAATAATCTATTACAAAAGGATCCTCAGGGCAGGACAAAGAATCTTTTATTTTACTGTATGTACTATTTCTGTATGAAATAGTCACAGTGCATTATCAGATTTAAATGAAACTTTCCATTGCCAACAGCGAATTCATTTATGTAGCTTGCTTTATCACTAATGAATATCTATTTTTTTGCTTAATATTGGGAAATATTTTACTTGAAAAAGAGGATTTTCAAATATTTAAAATATAAGCTAATGGTTGTTTATTTTTTACAACTTCTTATAAAAGTGATACATCCCATGCTATAAATATAGATTCAGACCCACCTTCAAGTCAGAAAATTGTCTTCTATCACAAACATTTCCCAAATGTTCAGAATTCTACTTTGACGGTTTAGCATTGAGAATCAGAATAGGATTTCAAGCAGCATTGATATTTGAGGACTAAATTAGGGACATTTCTCCAGATTAGTGTCTCATAAAATTTGCCAAATGTTAGACATAGAGTCTCTGCAAAAGCATTATCTTGAGAAACAACCTTTGAATATTCAAATGGTTTTTCTTGAGAAGTAAGAAGGATATGGGCTCAGTTGGTTGAACAGACACTTTTTCTGTACTCAGCTAATTGCACACAACATTTTACATGAAGCAAATTAGGAATCTTCTGTTATCAGTTGGACCCGTACTGCATTATAATAAGCCATTACTGTTGAGTTAGCCCAGTACTACATTTCTTACCAAGTTCAGCTTAGAGTATACAAAATAAGGATCTACCTGAAGATTATATGAGGTTGCTGAAGAGCATACAACATTTACTAGATTCATTCTTGTATATTCCTAGGGTCTGCATGGAGGGCAGAGGACACCAAGTGTGAGGGAGATTCATAGTATCTCATTTACTGCCTATTCAACACATTTCAGTGCTTAATGCTCAGTCCCAACAAATTAAATCTTTCAAAAGATATTCAGTCCTATTAATAAAAATACAATAACAGGGGAAAAGCTTTTTGTTTCTTTCTCTAAAAGTAAAAACAGTTCAAATCCCAGATTTGTGCCTCTTTGGCTGCTGGTCTTTGGATATGGTTATGGTCTATGTCTTGATTTCAGTATGTGCAAAATAAGTGAACAGATGACCTCTGGGGGCAGTTTTGCTTAACAAGAGCTTTGCTTTCTATTTATAGAGAGAGTAAAGAACTATAGTAGAGAATTATAATGTATTGGAAGGAAGAACAAGAGTTTGAAGTTGTCCAAAGAGGCTGTATGATTAGACAGGAGGCCACGGATAAGAGACACGAATTACAATTCTTCTTTATAAATTAACATAACTTTGTAACCCTTCTCAATAGTGTGAAGTTTTTATATTAAAAAGCTTTTAAATCTGATCTTTGTCATGGAGATTATAGAAAACAAAAGAAAAGCTAATTTTCATGAGAATAGGCATGGGGCACTAGACTTTTGCTCCAGACAAACAAGAAATCAGGAATTTCCCTTCAAATAAAAAATAGAATGTAATTACAGTATACATAGCCTTCAAACATTCCCAGCACTTGAAACAAAATACCATTGTTATCTTACCTAATATATTGTTACTTAAAGTAGATGGTTTCTGTTAAAAAAACAATGCTTTTTTCTTCCATCCCAGCATCCTTACCAGCCTTGAAAACATAACTTTAGGAATGAGAGTGTCAGATGATGAAATTACAACAAATTTAGTTTAACGATCTATTTGGCTTTAGTTTGCAATCCTAATATTGAGTAACACCTCGTTCTATGATATAGAATGAGTGTTCTGTTGAGCATGACAGAATGGTTGGTTTTTGTAAGGTGGGAACAAAGAAACAGAACAAATTCTTCTTAAGTGGATTGGTTAACTTCAGCTTACTACAGGCCACTTTTCTTGTAAGGGTTAAAGCAGAAGGGACTTTCTTACTACTGACTAAGGTAGAAAGAACTCAGATAGACCGAGCTCTTTCTTACTGGTTGCTGTGAATCTCCTGCTTTCTGGGAAAGCTGGTCTATTTGGGAATTTAACTGCTTTACCTAGCATAAATGACTCTATTTTTGGTTTGTTCTTGCCTGCCCAGGCCCAGTTCAGGAGGCTAGTCTTAAACAATGGCCTTCTATAAACTTTGTCTAACAGGAGAAATTTAGTTTGTATCACTATAACAGCAATATAGCACAAAAAGAATTAGATTTTGAGGACTCTCTTTTTGTGTGTGTGGGTTAGCCCAAATACTTTTTAAATAAAAGGACAGTTGTACAAAGACATTTGTAGTGACAGTTTTTAAAACATCATGGCTGATACACTGATCCTATCAAATCAGGAGTCTGTCTTAATCCTCAGCAAATGGAAAGGGATTCCTTTTGGTTCCAAAGCTCTGGTTTTGATATAAAGATATAAAAGAACAGTGGTAAAACTTGGTAGACCCCCAAATAATACTATTTGTTAAATGCATAGTCCACAGGTACATTCAGAGCAGTATCAATTAAGGATTACCTGATAGCTATAATGAAAACATCAGTTTTTATTTTTTACAACCTCAGAAGTGGACTCATTACCTCTCATAATGAAATAAATGGTAAAAAAAAATGAAATATTACATTTATTATTTGCCTATAATAGGTCAATCAATGTGTTAAATGGTTTGCCTACATTGCCATTGAATTCTTAAATTACGTTTTGAGAAATGATTATTCCCATTTACAAACAAGTAAACTTGTCCAAGACCACATCAAAAGTAAGGAGTTAGGGCTGGAATTTGAGATCAGGCTTCTCTGATGCAAACGTCAGTACAGTTATCGCTCGGCATTCAAGGGGGATTGGTTATAGGACCCCCCACCCACCATGTATACCAAAATCTGCAGATATGCAAGTCCTTATATAAAAAGGCATAGTATTTACATATAACTCACACACACCCTCCTGCATACTTTAAATCATCTGTAGATTACTTATAATACCTAATATGATGTAAATGCCATGTAAATAGTTGTTATACTGCATTGTTTTTATTTGTATTAATTTTTTGTATTTTTGTTTTCATTTATTTTAATATTTTCAATTCATGGTTGGTTGAATCTGTGGGTATGGAACTTGCAGATGTAGAGGGCCAACTGTACTGCCATCCTCTATGTGCTATGAAAATTTGTAGTCACAGGTGTAAGACCCAGTGGGTCTCATTTCTAGAAATATAAAGTCTGTTCACTCACTTCTTCGCTATCTTCAGGTGAACTAGTTACTATCCTCTACATTTTCTTGGCCATTATAGGTGTGCTCAGTTAATGTCTGTAGATAATTTTGAAGCCTTCTTTAGATTGTAATAAAAATCTTATCCTATGTAATAGTTTGGGTATTTTGAGTGTCCTTTCTGCTTCCATGGAGAGGATTTTAACTGCTTACATTTGAAGGTCAGGTCTACTTATAGTTAAATATGTTGTTCTTAGATGTATCTCCCACTGAGTTCAGCATCACGTGGATCCTGAACTTCATATGAAGATGGGTAGTGAATTGGGTACTTTGCAAAATTCTATGCAAGCTCAAAATATCATTATTGTCAATTTTGGCAATCATCCTATTCTGTCAGTGTTACTGTATGTGTTTCAATGCTATACTTGGCTTTACTGATCTTATCCCTCATTTTCGCTGTCCTTGAGCATGTTCATGTTATATTAAAGCTCTTTCTAGGATGATCGTTAATAACAATTTCACAATGTTGTTAATCTAGAAATCCGAGTGCATTTACTTCTAATTCTTAACAAAATCCAATAAATTTGACTACTCATAAGGGAAAATATATATGAAAATGTGGCCACTCTAAACCAAGGTATTGCTCGTGATAGGCTACTTTATGCCATGGTAATAGATTAAGGCTTAAACCCCAGTGGGTTAACAAAACAAAGGTTCATTTTTTGTTCCCACTACGTGTTCACGGAAGTTTGATGGGACACTCTACCTCACATTGTCAGACAAGGACCCAGGCTGATGGAGTTTCCACCATCCTGTAGCCTCACCATCTGAAACTATGTAACTTTGTTTACTATGGCAGGGCAAAGAGGAACTAAGGAACTGGAGAATCTTTTACAGACTTACACTGCTCCAGTTCTGAAGTCACATAGGTCACCACCATTTACACCACATTGGCTGGAAATAGTCACATCTCTACCTAACTGCAAGATGCCATTTAAATAAAAGGAAGCAAATGGCACGCTTTGTGAGACTTATTGCTGCTACCACAAAAAGGAACAATTTAGTTTCTACTGTATCTAACGAGGCAGCTTTTAAGGGCCCAGTAAAACAACATGTGTCCTTTAGTCTCTTCCCTCGATGCACAAACCATTCTCAAACATGTTTACTAAATTCACCTATGAATGACACAGCCTTGCTTCTTCTCCACTTAAAGCACTTTAAAGTGACATAACCTGCGTGCTTTTTCTATGATATTGGTCATAACAACCTACATTATAATGTAGAAAACGGAAACTTTTAGAGAAAAAGTAAATGTCCTAAAGTAACAAAGCTAGTAAGTGGTGAAATTGCGATTTTTAAATGGGCTTCTCTGAAATGAGACACTTTCTTTTAACTGAAATGGTCTTCCTTCATATCACAACAGACTTAGATCTATGCAGCTTTGAAGGCGATAAGCATAGACATCTTTTCCAAACTCCAGTTTCTGCCCAAATTAAAACAACTGCCAGTTCTCAACAATAACATCAGAATAGCTGACTTCTATTCAAACTTCTATTCAATACAAGGAAAATACCAATCTCTTGATGATTCTTTAAACAAATAACATCACATATAAGAAACTGAGCTTTAGTCAGAAGATGATGTGAAATAGATGGTCCTTACATCAAACTAAGTCATTAGTAGAAATTGAAAGACTTCATTTAAATAAGCCAGCACGTTTTGTATATGTGTGTGTGTGTGTCTGTGTAGGGTTCTTACTTCCTGAAAACCTACATTTGAAAACTCTGAGGTCTAATCATTTTCGAATTCCGTCATGTAGAGATAGAAAGGAAATGTCATTCTGCTTTAAGTTCATCTTTTGGATATCTAGCTAAAATTTGAGAAATAAAAATCCAGGGGCATGCCAAATATGAATGTTGTTTGAGGTGTGTTAAATTCAGATAAACTCAGGACTTTTCCTCTAATAAAAGAAAATATTTGTTTTAATTTTGATAGATTTATGCCTAAAACTATTATGCTCTATTTGCTTTTAAAAAAATACTAAATGTATTTTTAAGGACAAAATGTGTTTTGAAGGATTGTTAGGAGCAGACTTTATTATGGTATGCAAATCTTTTCAAACCACTGATACAAAAAATTGCTAAATAATTGATTTTGTAAACATATACTTTAGTATAAATTATTTCTCCTTGGAACTCACTTTAGTGACTAGGAATTTCTGCTAATTCTGTATTGTTTACTTGGCTTGCAGTTCAGATTGTTTCCAGAACCCTACAAGATGGATGTTCAATGTCCAACATGCTAATACCTCACTTATCCAGATACCAACTACCTGGTAACCTCAAACATCCAGTAAAAGCAGAAAGGTTGAAGATCACCTAAGCCAGATAACACAAAATGTACTCATTTGCTTAAGGAAGATCCCATCTGGGACATACTCAGCGTCTATTTGTTCATATTTTAGATAAAAATTTACTATAGTCAATAATGCGATTTACCAACTCAATGCAATAGAGGTAAAGAATTTTGAAAGTAAAGAGAGACTTTATAGAGGCAGGTAGGTGATACCTACTTTTATATTCCTTTTAGTTGATACACATGTAATTTTAGTCAGAGTAAGAATGAAAGGCCAAAGGTTGAGACTTCTATCTGATACAAGAGCACAAGTATTGCCAGGATGTTCTTACCATGGCAAGCACACTTTGGTAACAGTGCAGTGGTAAGGAAAGGGCTGGAGGTGAATTGAACTGGATCAGACATTAGGGGTAAATTTTGAGGCTAACAGAATGCAGTGGGTTGAGTGCAGTAAATCAGCATGAGAGGCTGCAATAGAAATCATGAGCGTGGCATTGAAGTCAAACCACCAAATTCACAGTACTTACATGTGTCTGTGTGACAGAAAACAAAACTTTGAAGGGATCCACAATGCGTAGTTAAGTTTACAAAAAAGCTTTTTATGCCCTCAACACAATTTTCTAAATCAAGACAAGAAGCACCCAACACTCTGACATAAACTAAAAGAGGTGTATTTATACATAGCACTCATCTTGCCGTTTCTTTACTTCTACACAAATATTATCAGTACTAGGTACTGTCCCCAGCTAAGCCAGCAATCAGACCTTTTTTTTTTTTTCTGCTGCTGTTGTTTTTTAAGAAGACTGTTTTTTCTATGGACAGGGAAGTGATAGAGAAGTGACACAAGAAAAGAAACAGTATGAGATCATAAGACAAAACCAGTAAGCTGAGATTTTAAAACATTTCTAGTTCTTACTAACAGTGTCCAACGTGTCCTGTACATTAAAAGATCTGTTTTATATGTATGTGTATATATATATAAAAAAAGGTAATATAAAATATATGTAATATAAATATATGTAAAATATTAAATATACATAAAATGTATGTAAAATATAAAAATATATAAAATATATGTAAAATATAAAATATATGTAATATTTATACTATAAAAATATATATAAATGCAGGGGTTTAAAATCATATTTATATGATATATATGTAAAATCATATATGTGTGTGTGTGTATATACATATATGATTTTAAAACCCTGCATTTTTTATATTATTGGAGTAGAACCAATCCTTTTGTTGATAACTAAAAGCTAGCCACGGATACATTTGCCTAGATTTTTTGATTTATTTGTGAGCTGCCAAGGATGGCAACAACTTCAAGACTTTCTTTGGCAATAAAACATAGTCAACATATTTAAATAAACAAACATTTAAATAAATATACCGTAAAGTATAATTAAACATTCTTTAAAATGAAAACATTTGATTAAAATTATTCCTAAATGGAGTATCAAGATTTTGATACTTATAAGAGATTATGGTGTCTGTGAAAGAATTGATAAATAGATCAATAGAAGTCAAGAAAGTGGTTACTTTTGGAGAAGGGATACAGTGGGGATTTTGATTGCTACCAATGTCCAATTTCTTGACCTGTGTGATAGTAAATCATTTGACTCTACATTTTTATTTTGTACATTTTTCTATTATTTCATAATATTAAAATAGCTTAAACTTCAGTATTCACAAATAATACATGGGTGACTATTGTCAAAGACTATAGATGTATTATATTAAACATTGATAACTTTATAGTTATAAAGGTTTCTATAGCATTGAAGACTGAGGTCTTGAGTAACCACTGGTGTGCTATATTTCATCCTTTCCCTCCTGCTTCAGGAGCTTTGTTTCCGTCTCTCCTGTATCATCATTTTTCTCTCTACAATGGTTCATTTCCCCAGCAATCTAGACATGTAGTATTTCCCCTTTTATTTAAAACAAAACAATACAGAACTCCCTGATCCTTTGTTCTGCCACCACTCTCAGATTAACCTTTTGCTATGGCCTGAAATTCATTTCTCCAACCTCATTTCTTACAACCTCCAAAATTCATTTCTTACAACCTAATACCCAATGGGATAGTATTAAAAGGTGGGGACTTTGGGGGAAGCCCTCACGAATGGGATTAAATCTGCTTATAAAAGAGGTTAAAGGAAGCTGCCTTCTCCCTTCTGCCATGTGAGGACACATAGAAAGCATCATCTACAAGGAATGGGTCCTCACTAGACACTGAATTTTCTGGCACTATACTCTTAGACTATCTAGCCTCTAGGACTTTAAGTTTTGTTATTTATAAAGTGTCGGTCTAATTATTTTGTTATAGCATCCTGGAAAGTATAAGATACCTTTATTTTCTGTTTCGTTTCAAAGTAAAATTCCAAAAAGAATTGTCTAAACTTGCTGTCTCTACTTCCATTCTCTCTTGAACTCGTTCCAATAAAGCTTTCATCACTACTCCACTAAAACTGCTCTTGTCAATTACTTGTGAACCTCCATATTAAATATAATTTCTGAAGTTTCAGTCCTTTAACTACATTATATAGAGTTGGTTGATCACACTTTCTTCCTTGAAACACTCCACTTAGCATCTCAGTCACCATTTACCTTGGTTCTCCTCTGATTTGTTCCTTGTTTCTTTAGTTTTCAGTTGTAATAAGCCTAGTGGCCATGTCAACATGTTACATGTCAACAATGGGCCAAGAAATAGTCTGATCTTGTTAATTTAGTTCTCAACTGTCTCGTCCAATTAGAAATTATAGTTTATATTTTAATCTCTCTCTACATCATACTCTCATAGTGAATTGAGGTCAACATTTAATAACTGCTTCAATAATAAATTTAAATTTTATATCATTTTATGATCTGCACCATTTCTCACCATTTATCCCATATTTTTCACTGCCTTTAAAGTTTCTATTTTCATTGCTTCTAGAGTTTCCCTTGAGGCCAGGGAACATGTGTTGCCCTTAATTGGGCTCAGTCATATTTCTTGGCAGGAACCTAAAAAGGGAGAGAAAAATGAGGAAGATATTGTCCATTTGAGAAATTAACTTCTACTTTTCTCATACAAAATTATACTTGTCAATATACCAAAAAATTATTAAGCACCTACATGGTTCCAGATACTTGCTAAAGGCTAAGGAAACAAGGACTAAAAAATAATGCCTATTTTCAAATACCTTGCAAGCTAATAGAACTTTTTTTTTTAAAATTGAGTCAGAGGAGCATTAATTCATTATAGATTTAACAATCTGTTCCATGAGAACATATTATTCATAACTTGGAAAAAGCATAAGAAATTATTAAGTATTCTTTCAGTGAAGTGCTGGGCTTGATTCTATTGATTGGGGCTATGTTACAACTCTCTTAGGGCAGAGGTTAATGAATAGATGTTGTCCAGCGAAGATGCAAGTAATTCCTATCTGGTGGAAAAATAACTCTAAAGGTTCATTTCTCCTGGAAACATTAACCAGTTTCATAAACTATATACCTTATGTTGACATTCCTGTATTAAATTGCACATATATTTATTAATGGTAGTGTGCTAGAGTCAATTCAGACTAGCTCATAAGAATCAATTGTTTTATTTTCAGGAACTTTGAAAACTGGTTGACTTCATGTTGGTAGCTTAAAATTAGCCATGGTCATGGTGGGAGTACCTATACTACAAAAATCAACAGACACTACTAATTAGGTTTTTGTTTGTTTGTTTCCTGGAGAACCAGTTGAATCAATTTTAATGTTTATTGGTTCTCTTATTAATTGATAAGCTAAACAAAATTGCTCATTTAAGTAAAAATTTTAACATATGCTAATTTTCTATTTTTATAAACAGTCATGATTTTAAAACTTTTGGAGATTATACTTTAACAGTTTATGCCAATTGCCTTTCACAAGAATTGTTTAGCCATCATTCGGTTATGTGAATGAAGAATCTGATTTTCACAGTCACTGGAACAAATACAGACTGGCTCAGTTGTACTGCTTTAAGATGACAGTGTAAAAGGTTATAACAGTAACAATTCATCTTCACCAGAGGGAAAGAATAGACAAAATAATATACAATTCCTTTACTCTCTTTATTTTCTCATTGCAAATGCAAACATGAATTTAATTTGCAACATGATTGCTTAGATTTTGACACTTTCTTAATCTGGGTTGCGGAAGAAGTTAATGAAATAGGAAATAAAACTTGGGGTCTAAGGAAGAGTAAAAGCCTCAAGGCAAAGCTTTACTTTATTTGAGGGTAGTAATCCAAAATTCAAGGGTATATTAGTACCTTTGTCCACTTGGCTATTCCCTTTCTTATGTGTTTTTACTTAGGATGGTCCTGGGGGAGACTGGCGATTTAGGGGGCAGAAGGAAAGCAGCAGCCATTCTGTAGCTCAAACATGTTGCCGTTTTATTTTATTTATTTATTTATTTGTTTTTAGAGACAGAGTTTCGCTCTTGTTTCCTAGGCTGGAGTGCAATGGCACAATCTCAGCTCACCACAACCTCTGCCTCCCAGGTTCAAGCAATTCTCCTGCCTCAGCCTCCCGAGCAGCTAGGATTACAGTCATGCGCCACCACACCCTGCTAATTTTGTATTTTTTGTAGAGATGGGGTTTCTCAATGTTGGTCAGGCTGGTCTCAAACTCCCGACCTCAGGTGATCCGTCTGCCTCAGCCTCCCAAACTGCTGGGATTACAGGTGTGAGCCACCACGCTGGGCCCGCGTTGCTGTTTTACTGACTCATCTTGGTGTGAAACAGAAGTTAGGCCTGCAACTACTCTACCTTCCCCCTGAATTCTCCTGGGCCATTTGTGTGTGTTTAATACAGAGAGTCTAGCCCAGGCTTCTATAAGACACTCAGCAGTGGCAACAAGAACTGACATAGCTGTCAGTTTTTCTTGTGGAATTCCAGCTCATACTTTTGGATTCCAGTTTGCTCTTGGTCTCCACCAATACACATTCATCTTCCCTTCCCAAATGAATGCTCTAAACACTCTAAGCTCCAGCATCAGATGTAAAGAAAATAGCTTTGCAGAGACTGTCTGTCCAGCTGCATAAGGCCAAATATATATACGTGTATACATCTCCTAGTGGTTATTGTTTCTTGTTAAACTCTGAGTGATATAGTGTTCTTCAGAATGGTAAGAAACACCTAAATTGTGGAATAAATGCCAGTGTAAGACTTTTAACACAATTATCAAAAATATCAGAGGCCTGGTCCACCAATAGCAGCTGCCCACATCCCCAGTTATATCCTGTTTCTCCATGCCCTCAAGTAACAGACAAGATGGAAAAACACACAACATTAAGTGCTCTGAAGAAAATGCCAATTGATCTCAGATTTTAAAAAGGGAGTTTAGGACAAGTTCCCCATTCTGTACCTGAGCAAATAGGAGGTTTGGAATAGAGTTGACCTTGTCAAATATGACAAGATAAAAGGAAATGGCATGATGATAGCTATGTAAAAATTCAGGTGAAAAAGTGGAGACAAGAAACTCAGTTCTATAGGACAAATAAGCAGTTTAATATGGAGAAAAAGAAGAAAATATTTCATAACACATATTTACAGGAAAAATTAAAAGAAAATAAAATCACTGAAACAAAATGAGACATTACACCAAAGGAATATATGATGAATAATGCAGACCTAAATAAATCAATTAGGGACAAAACACTACTTTGCTAAAAAACTCATATATAAATTAAAAGAGGCAAAAGAACAACACAGCCATGGCTGAAACCTAATTGGAAGCATGGAGGAAAGGAATTAAGACAGCCACAGTCATGGCAGAAATATAGAACAGTGATAAAATTTCATTCGAAAAAGTTAATAGAAATGGTGAATGAGTAACAATACGAAAGCTTAAAAGTATTCAATGAGTATGAAGTTGGGAAGATTATTAACAGTACAGAAAACGTATGCAACGTTCTAATAGAGAGTAATAGTTCTAATAGTAGAGTTCTAATAGTTTCAAAGGTTTCAGACTAAAGGATTATAGTACTGATGAGCCCATTTGTTATACAAAAATAACAATAACAACAATAATAATAGCTACTTGAAGATAAAATTCAGCCAAACAAAAGTTAATCAAAATAAAGAATTTCAGAAAAGATAAGCTATGGTAAACACTTCTGATAATCATTAACTTTACAGCAATATCGGGGACTCTTCAATCTCTCTAAGAAGTTCCAACTCTTTTCTTCCAGTTCCTCAAATCCATGTTTTCCTCTCACTTCCACAGTTTATCCAGAACTGATTTTAAGTAAGCAAACTAGCAACCTGGGCTAATTCTCTATTTTCACAAAATCTGAAAGTCCAAAAATTGTTGCTTGAGTGTTTTCAATGAGCATGCATTAATTTTCTTAAAAAGTATAATTTTTTTAAAAAAGGGAAATCCTGTAATACATACCACACACTGCCTGATAGAAACAAGAACTGTTAGGTTTTTGAACTTTTATATAATTGTTTGCTTTTTATATAGAAAAAATATTAAATCCTGAAATGATTGATCTCATACTAAGATCTGTGTCAGTCTTAATCTAGAGAATCAATCATTGGGTAATCTGGTACCCTGGCCTCAATCTTTAGGCTCCCTGCAAACCTGAGGCGTAAGTAGCTTTTCTGATGAAGTAAAGGGAGACTCAAGCACACAGTTTCAGTAATTTATTTACTTTCTGAAATTGTTTTGGTATTTGTAGGTAGTTATTAGCCCAGAACACTAGATCTGAACGTTTCTTTCTAAATAAAATCTTAGGGCTCTGAGATAGTTGATGAAGTCTGAAAGTGCATTTGAATACACTTATTCACCAGGAGAATTTCAGTTATATTCTTAAAATTTAATAAGTCTGAAAACATAGATTTAACAAAACTATAGCTAGTATTTATATCTGACTTTATTGTGAAGGTCAGTAGATACCTAGCCAGCCAGATAATCAGAACCAGAAGGATCCAGCTATTTTTTTTTTTCAACCAAGAGGTCTTAAAAAACATGAAAACTGTTTATCTTCACTAACAACAAATAAATGTAATATTATGCAAAAATAAGATAGTGATTTTTGTTTACCAAACTAGTACATGTTCAAAATAATAATTTTGTTGAAGTGAGTTAGGAATTCCCAAATATTGAGAATTAAATTTGGCACAATATTTCTAAAAACCAATTTGAGAATTGAATTATTCTAAGAACTTTGTAAAATTAGGGATGACTTCTTTCTCTGAGTTCTGCTTTACTATCATAACAGAAAGTTTAGGGTAATTGGAAGTTAAATTGTTAGTTTCGAATGTGGCACAGTGAATTGTGAGATAGCCCAAAATGTAGATTTTCAAAGGAATATCTAGAAACTGTTTGCATGCCTCCAAAAAGTCCTTACCATCAAGAGGATATTTTTAAAAAGGCAAGAGTTGAATAGTTGTAAAGTTTTGCCAAAAGATTTCTTCGGAGAGAATTGATGCCATATGAGTTCCCCACTCAGCCCACATACATAACATGACACCCACTCAGGGAGGGGGGATGGGTAGAGCTCTCTTGCCCTGAAGCCTGGAGATCTGGGTGGTAATGGGACCACTACTCAAATACGGCAACTCTTCTAGAACTTGGGAAGGACAGTGGAGTGGCATCTGACTTCTGCTAGATAGGAAAGTGAAAGAGATGGACTGCCGAGCAGAGTTCAGAGCACAGGTGAGGTCCTATTTTGTGTTTGTCTATGCTTCCAGGATAGATTTGGACAAAATATGCATGATTGTTGATTGTGGGTTATATGTGAACCAGGTCAGTGAGAAGGCGAACCTGGAGCTTTTTTGACTTCTTCCCAAGAAGACCACCTAGGTATGCTGAGGGTCCAACAGAGCAAGCCCATGCAGAATAGACAACTGGAGAACCAGAGGATAAAGGTGAGGCCAAGGGCAAAGAAATAGAATATATCAAGATAATGGAGCTGCAGTGGGAGCAACCTAGCAGCAGAGTTTTCAAAACTCAATGAAAGCCACGTGTGAAATAAAGCTTAATTTATCTGGCATTTCCACAAAGCCAAAAGCCATATTCCAAAACCAATCAAATCAGAGCTTTCCGTCCCCATTCTCTCTTCCTTCTGCACATCAATCCAAATGATCCTTAAGAATTTCTAGCAAGTTGGGAGAAGGGAAGTAATAAAAGAAACAACCTAAATACTCTAGTGCATGAAATCAGGTGTCGATTCTCTTCAGACTACACTTGGTGGCCAAGATGAAAGAAGCTTACATTTTAGTGAAGATGGATGTGTTATTCACATATTATAATTCTTGAATCAAAACTGTAATATGCATAGGACCATCTAGTACCCTAGAGAGACTAGACAGTCACAGGGCTATATGAGTTTTATCCAGTGAAAGGGAAAAACATTTTCTGTAGAAAAAAAATATAAAGTGACAGTGAGAAATTAAAACTATACACATCTCTGAACTTTTATTAAAGTATAACAAACACAGCTGTACACAAACAATAAGACATCGTTCAATACATTGTCACAAAGCCCCCCTTCTTTTTAACCAACACACTTATCAATACATTACTAGACTCCACAAAGCCCCCTTCATGCGACATTTGAATCAATCTCCTCTGCCATTGTAACCATTAACCTAATTTCTAACATCACAGACTAGTTTTGCCTATTTTTGAACTTTATATATAAATGGAATCATACATGTTTTTGGGTAATCATAAACACTTTTGCACTCTTTTGTGTCCAACTTCATTCAGTCGATATTATGTCTGGAGGTTATTTTATACTGTTGCATGTACAGAAGTTGTAGTTTTCTTCATTCTCATTTCTATATAGTATTCTTCCATATCAACAGTTGGCAAACTCTGACCTATGGGGCCAAATCTGGCTCACCACCTGTGTTTGCATGGTTTACAAGAAAAAACGGGTTCTACATTTTTTAAAAACTAAATAAAAAAGCGTACTATTTCCAGACATGTGGGAATTGTATGAAATTCAAATTTCATTGTCCATAAATAAAGTTTCTATTGGAATATATCCATACTCGTTCATTTTGTATTGTCTATGGCTGTTTTATGCTATAATGGTAGAGTTAAGGACTCATGACAGAGATTGTGCTGCCTAAAATATTTACTATCTGGGCCTTTATAGAAAATGTTTGCCAACCCCTCCACTATGCGAATGCATAACAACTTATATTTATCTATTTGACTATTGAGAAGCATCAGGGTAGTTTTTGGGGACATTACAAATTACATTTGGGGACATTACAAATAATCCTGCTATGAACATTCTCATGCATTTCCTTTGTGAACATATGTGTGCATTTCTATTGCAGATATTATACTTAGGAGTGGAACTGTTGCACTTTAGGAAGACACTGTCAAACAGCATTCCAAAGAAATGTACAAATTTACACTCCATCTGGCAGTGTTTGGGAGGTCTGGTTGTTCCACACCCTTTCCAATATTTGGTATGCTGTCTTATCAATTTTAGCCATTTTGGAGAGTTCTTGGTAGTACATTTAGTTTTTATTTTCCTCAAGGAGGCTCTCAAGTATTTGATTTTTTTTCTATACTATTGTCAGTAGCACCATTTTTAAATTTGTATTTTCTGTTTGCTTCTTGCTGGTACATAGAAATACAATGTATTTTTGTACATTGTCTTTGCATCCAACAAACTTGCTAAATTCATTTATTAATTCTAATAGCTTGTAACTTCTGTTGATTTTTTTCCCACCAAAACTGCCATGTCTTCTGCAATGACAGCTTTATTTATTATTTCCAATTCTCTTGCCTTTTCTTCTCCCTTCTTCTTCTTCCTTCTCCTCCTCTTCCCCTTTTTCTCCTTCTCCTTCTTCTTCTTCTCCTTCTTCATTTCTGTCTCTCTCTCTCTCTCTCTCTCCCTGTCTGTTTTGGTCTTATTGCATCTGCCAGGATTTTTAACATAATGCTAAATAGAATTGATTACAGCGGACAGGACCTTTTCTCATTTACAATCTTAAGGAAAAATCCTTTCAGTATTTCACCAATAATATAATTTTTCCTTTAAGGTTTTCACAGATACTGTTTCTCAAATTAAGGAAGTTTTTTTTTCTGTTTATAGTTTACTAGAAGGTTTTCTGTGTGTGTGTGTTTTTTTATGTTACGAATGTGTTGAATTTCATCAAATGCTTTTATATATCTGGTAAGATAATCAATTTTTCTACTTTTTTTCTTTAATGTGATGAAGTACATAGATTGAATTTCAAACAGTAAACCATCCTTACATTGCTATAATATACCTACCCACCTTGGTTACGATGTATTATCTCTTTGATATATTGCTGGATTTGATTTGCTAATTGACAAGAACTGTGAAGGGTCAGAGATTTTTACCTTACTGTACTTACTAAACTAACATGTTAACCTGCCACAGTTTCATGGATGATGGTAAACAACAGGAAACATCTGAGTCAGAGTTAATGAACAGTTTTTATTCACAGAAACAGTAATAGGCAGAGTGTCAGCATTCACATTTGTGCCCTGAGATCCAATTACCACAGGTAGCTCCAATCTGTTTCATATGCAGGTACCACCTGCATATGAAATACATTGCATTACAAAAGAGAAACCCTAAGTTTAGTGAACCCAAATCTTTTACAATGGGCAGAAATTATATTGTGGTTTTCTCTGGAGAGAAACATGATCTCTGTCTTCTAAGGCTGTTTGCTATACAAACATCCTTGAAAAGAGAGTCCAGATGAAAAGCCAATTAGTACTTCATGTATGAGATGTGTGGAAATTCAAGAAACCCATGGAGAATTATCTCCTAAGACTATTTGGTTCTTGTTTCTACAACTCCTTGGCTTTTGGTGTTATTTTGCCTGAGTACACCACTCTGCTTAATCTGATGGAGGCTGGGACGCAATCTGCTCTGTTTTATTTACCCTTTAATTAAGGACACTTCCAATATGACTTCAAGTACCAGAAGGAGGCCAAAATGAAGTATTCACCTCGCTCCCCAGATTCCCAGATCCAACCAGGTAAATAAATCTCATAAACCAGTGGTCCCCAGCCTTTTTGGCACCAGGGACTAGTTTCATGGAAGACAATTTTTCCTTCGGCTGAAGCGTGGGGGGATGGTTTCAGGATGATTCAAGTGCATTACATTTATTGCACACTTTATTTATATTATTACATTCTAATATGTAATGAAATAATTATACAACTCGACATAATGTAAAACCAGTAGAAGCCCTGAACTTGTTTTCCTGCAACTAGATGGTCCCATCTGGGGGTGATAGGAGACAGTGACAGATCACCAAGCATTAGATTCTGATAAGGAGCGTGCAGCCTAGATCCCTTGAATGTGCAGTTCACAATAGGATTTGTGCTTCTATGTGAATCTAATACTGCCACTGATCTGACAGGAGGTGGCACTCAATGGTAATATGAGCAATGGGGAGTGGCTGTAAATATAGATGATGCTTTGCTTACTCAACTATTGCTCACACCCTGCTGTGTATCTGTGGCCCAGGGCTTGAGGACCCTATCATAAACCACCATGGTCTACCTTAGAAGGTTAGGTGACTTTCTTCTCAGGTACCTGAACTTGACTTTTCACTTGACTAAAGACATTAATCCAGGTACAAAAGAATACTATTACATAGACTCTTCCTTGGTTTGCACAGAGGATGACTAGGGCAATTCTGTCATTCATAAAAACCCTGGTTAGTGAGTTGAAGCTGACTTGAATGCTTTCCAGGACTGAGATGGCATCATTAATTATTTCGGATAAAGCCAGGGACAAATTTCGTAAACGTATTTTAATTGCATGATTTTCATCATAGAGATAACTGTCCACAGGGTACACATGAAGAATGACTCACATACCCTTCCAAAAAGGTCCACCAATTAGCTAAGGCTAGCCTCATTTTAGAGAGATCTCCACAGTCCCATGAGGGCTACATGATCTACTGGTAATGTTTCCTCAATATTTGAAGGTTTCTTATGACCATTCCTGAAGTACAAATACTTTGGAGAATGAGACAAATTAATGCCTGACTCCTGTATAAGAAGTATGGGTCTGGGAATGCAGATCATGTCTCTGGAGATCAAGGTTTTTTGTTGTTTTTTTTTTTTTTGGTTTTTGTTTGTTTGTTTAAGGAGAGTCTTGCTCTGTTGCCCAGGCTGTAGTGCAGTAGCATGATTACAGCTCACTGCAGGCTCGATCTCCCAGGCTCCAGCAATCCTCTGGCCTCAGCCTCCTGAGTAGCTGGGACTACAGGCACATGTCACCATGCCAGGCTAGTGTTTTATTTTTTGCAGAGATGAGATCTCACTGTGTCAAGCGATCCTCCTGCCTCAGCCTCCCAAAGTGATGGGATTACAGGCATGAGTCACCATGTCTGGCTAATAAACTTTTGTGTACAATTATTGGGGCAACCTAAGTGGGACCTATTATGTTAGGGATGAAAGTTGACAGTATCTTCTACATGGCCTCTCACCCAGCCGGTAGATGTTAGGATTCCAACTTCAGTTTGAATAATGGAGCCTGGTCCTTGTTTTTAGAGGACTGCCAGGGAAGTTGTTCTATTCTAACTTGTTCGTCCACTCCACCAGTTAGGTGGGTTTGTCTGTCCCACAAGATGACTGAGCAATTATGAGAATAGGAGTGGGGAAGATATCTGATTGTGTTGACAG